>NC_000001.11:102053835-104553835 GCF_000001405.40 Homo sapiens | reverse complement strand
GAGTTCATTATTGGTCTGTTGAGCTATTCAGTTATTTCCTGGCTCAGTCTTGGAAGGATGTATGTGTCTGAAATGTAACCAGTTCTTCTAGATTTTGTAGTTTATGTGTATAGAGGTATTAAGAATATTCTTTGATGGTTATTTGTGTTTTGGTGGGGTCTGTGATAATATCTCTTTTGTTATTTTTAATTGTGTTCATTTGGATCTTCTCTCTTTTTTATTCTAGCTAGTATTCTATTTTATTAACTTTTTTCAAATAAAAAAAAAAACCTTCCTGGATTCATCGATCTTTTGAATGATATTTTGTGTCTCAATCTCCTTCAGTTCAGCTCAGACTTTAGTTATTTCTTGTCTCCTGCTAGCTTTGGGGGTGGTTTTCTCTTGGTTCTTTAGCTCTAATAGTTGTAATGTTAGCTTGCCAATTGAGATCTTTCCAACTTTTTAAATGTGACCATTTAGTGCTATAAATGTCCCTCTTAAAACTGCCCTAGCTGTGTCCCAGAGATTCTGGTACATTATATCATTGTTCTCATTAGTTCCAAAGAATTTCTTGATTTATGCTTTAGTTTTATTATTTACTCAGAAGTGATTTGGTAGCATGTTATTCAATTTTTATGTAACTGTATACAATTCTGAGCAGTTTTCTTAGTCTTTTCCTCTAATTTTATTGCCCTGTGATCCAAGAGAGTGGTTGTTTTAATTTCTGTTCTTTTGCATTTGTTGGCAAGTGTTTAGTGCTGATCATGTGGTTGATTTTAGAGTATGTATCGTGGTAATGAGAAGAATGTATATTCTGTGGTTTGGGGGGTGGAGAGTTCTGTAGATATCTAGCAGGTCCATTTGATCCAGTGCTGAGTTCAGGTCCTGAATATCTTTGTTAATTTTCTGCTTTGATGATTTGTCTAATACTGTCATTGGGGTGTTGAAGTCTCCCACTATTATTGTGTGGTAGCCTAATTCTCTTTGAAGGTCTCTAAGAACTTGTTTTATGAATCTGGGTGCTCTTGTGTTGGGTGCATATATATTTAGAATAGTTAGGTCTTCTTGTTTAATTGACCCTTATGCAATGTTTTTCTTTCTCTTTTTTAAAATTTTGGTTTCTTTAAAGTTTGTTTTGTCTGAAATTAGGATTTGAAAACCTGCTTTTTCTACTTTTTATTTGCTCAGTAGATTTTTCTTATCCATTTATTTTGACCCTATGGGTGTCATTGCATGTGAGATGGGTCTTTTGAAGATAGCATACCAATAGATCTTCATTTTTTAAAATTATTTTTATACATTTTATTTTATTTTTTGAGATAGAGTCTTGCTCTGTCACCCAGGCCAGTGCGTAGTGCCACAATCTCGGATCACTGCAACCTCCACCTCCTGGGCTATAGTGATCTTCCCTCCTCAGCCTATGGAGTAGCTGGGACCATAAGTCTGAACCAACGTGCCCAGCAAATTTTTGTATTTTTTGTTGAGACAGGGTTTCACAATGATGCCCAGGCTGGGTTTAAACTCCTAGACTCAAGCAATCTGCCCATTTCAGCCTCCCAAAGTTATGGGATTTCAGGTGTAAGATGCAGCACCTGACCTAGGTCTTGGTTCTTTACCCCACTTGCCATTCTGAACCTCTTAAGTGGGGCATTCAGCCCATTTATATTCAAGTTTAGTATTGATATGTGTGGACTTGATCCTGTCACCATCATGTTAGGCGGTTATTCTGCAGACTTGTTTGTTTGGTCACTTTATAGCATCTCCGGTCTGTGTACTTTAGTGTGTTTTTGTAGTGGCTAGTAATGGTCTTTCCTTTCGATATTTAGTGCTTACTTTAGGAGCTCTTGTAAGGCAGGCATGGTAGTAATTAATTCTCTCAGCATGTGCTGGTCTGAAAATGATTTTTTTCTTTTTCTTTTTCTGCTTTTGAAGCTTAATTTGGCCAGAAAGGAAATTCTGGAATGGAATTTATTTTCTATAAGAATGTCAAATATTGGCCTGTAATCTCTTCTAGCTTATAGGGTTATACTGAGAGTTCCACTGTTTGTTAGTCTGATGGCCTTCCCTTTGTAGGCAACTTGACCTTTCTCTGTAGCTGGCTTTAACATTTTTTTTCTTTTCTATCATTTTGACCTTGGAGAATCTGACGATTATATGTCTTGGGGATGACCCCGTGAAGTATCTTACTGGGGTTCTCCGAATTTCCTGAATTTGAATGTTGGCCTCTGTAGCTAGGTTGGGGATGTTCTCAAGGATTATATCCTGAAATATGTTTTCCGATTTGCTTAAACTCTCCCCATGTCTTTCAGGGAAACCAATGAGTCATGGGTTTGGTCTCCTTACATAATCCCACATTACTTGGAGGTTTTTTCTTTTTTTTTTTTTTTAATTCTTCTTTCTCTATTCTTTTCTTCCTGTTTTATTTCAGAAAGCCAGTCTTTAAGCTGAGATTGTATCCTCTGCTTGGTCTACTCTGCTATTAATACTTGTGATTGCATTATGAAATTCTCATAATGTGTTTTCAGTTCTATCAGGTCAGCTACATTATTTTGTATACTGGCTATTTTGCCTGTCAGCTCCTGTCTCATTTTATTGTAATTCTTACTTTCCTTGGATTGGATTTCAAAGTACTCCTGCATCTCAATGATCTTTATTTTTTATTTCATTTTAAGTTCCAGAATAGGTGTGCAGAAAATGCAGGTTTGTTACATAAGTATACATGCGCCATGGTGGTTTGCTGCCCCTATTGACCCATCCTCTAAGTTCCCTCCCCTCACCTCCCCAACCCTCAGGAGAACCTGGTGGGTGTTATTTTTCTCCATGTGTCCATGTGTTCTCATTGTTCACATTGTTCAATTCCCACCTATAAGTGAGAACATGCTGTGCTTGGTTTTCTATTCCTGTGTTAGGTTGCTGAGGATGATGGCTTCTAGCTTCATCTCTGTCCCTGCAAAGAACATAATCTCATTCCTTTGTATGGCTGCATAGTATTCCATGGTGTATATGTACCACATTTTCTTTAGCCAGTCTATCATTGATGGGCATTTGGGTTGGTTCTATGTCTTTGCTATTGTAAATAGTACTGCAATAAACATACATGTGCATGTGTCTTTATAGTAGAATGATTTATATTTCTTTGGGTATATACCCAGTGATAGGATTTCTGGGTCAAATGGTATTTCTGGTTCTAGATCCTTGAGGAATCATCATACTGTCTTCTACAATGGTTGAACTAATTTATGTTCCAAACAACAGAGTAAAAGCATTCCCATTTCTCCACAACCTCTCCAGCATCTATTATTTCTTGACTTTTTAGTAATTGCCATTCTGACTGGTGTGAGATGGTATTTCATTGTAGTTTTGATTTGCATTTCATTAATAATCAGTGATCTTGAGCTTTTTTTTCATATGTTTGTTGGCCATGTAAATGTCTTCTATTGAGAAGTGTCTGTTCATATCCTTTGCCCACTTTTTGATGTGGTTGTTTGTTTTTTTATTCTTGTAGGTTTAAGTTTCTTGTAAATTCTGAATATTAGACCTTTGTCAGATGGGTAGACTGAGAAAATTTTCTCCCATTCTGTAGGTTGCCTGTTCGCTTTGCTGATAGTTTCTTTTGCTGTGCAGAAGCTCTTTAGTTTAATTAGATCCCATTTGTCAATTTATTTTTTGTTGTAATTGCTTTTGGTGTTTTTGTCATGAAGTCTTTGCCTATGCCTATGTCCTGAATGGTATATTGCCTAGGTTTTATTCTACAGCTTTTATGGTTTAGAGCTTTACATTTAAGTCTTTAATCAATCTTGAGTTAATTTCTTTATAAGGTGTAAGGAAGTGGTCCAGTTTCTTCATATGACTAGCCAGTTTTCCTAGCATCATTTATTTAATAGGAGATTCTTTCCCCATTGCTTGTTCTTGTCAGATTTGTCGAAGATCAGATGGTTGTAGATGTATGGTGTTATTTGTGAGGTCTCTCTTCTGTTTTATCTATCTATATATATATATATATATATATATATATCTGTTTTGGTTACTGTAGCCTTGTAGTATAGGGTAGTGTGATAACTCCAGCTTTGTTCTTTTTGCTGAAAATTGTCTTGGCTATAGTGGGTCTTCTTTGATTTGATATGAAATTTAAAGTAGTTTTTTCTAATTCTGTGAAGAATGTCAATGGTAATTTGATAGGAATGGAATTAAATCTATAAATTACTTTGGGTAGTATGGCCATTTTCATGGTTTGATTCTTCCTATCCATGAGGATAGAATGTTTTTCCATTTGTTTGGGTCTTCTTTTATTTCTTTGAACAGTGGTTTGTAGTTCTCCTTGAAGAGGTCCTTCACATCCTTTTTTATCTGTATTTCTAGGTATTTTATTCTTTTCATAGCAATTGTGAATAGAAGTTTATTCATGATTTGGTCTCTGTCTCTTGTTGGTGTAAAGGAATGCTTGTGGTTTTTGCACAATGATTTTGTATACTAAGACTTTGCTGGAGTTGCTTATCAGGTTAAGGACTTTTGGGGCTGAGATTATTTTTTTTTTAAGTACAATAATGTCATCTGAAAACAGAGACAATTTGACTTCATGTCTTCCTATTTGAATACACTTTATTTCTTTCTCTCACCTGATTGCCCTGGCTAGAAATTCCTGGCCATGTCTAGTCAGCCATTTACACTCTTTCCTGGTCTTTTCCCTTGCTATTATTTTGAGGGGTATATCATATCTTTGAATGGTCAGAGTTGATGTTAAATAAACCACTTTTTTCACTATAATTAATGTAAAATCTATTGATGAGTACAATGCTTAGGTAAAACACATGTAATATCTAGATTGAAGTGTACAAATAGGACTGAGTACATGAATTTATGACATTGTCTATTTAAAGGAAAGCTTGAAATAAACTATAAAAACATATTTGTATTTCAGAAATATTTCGAAATAGAGCTGAAGTGCTGTAGAGAATTCCTTTCTTTCTAAAATCACAGCTCTGTCTATATGTGTGTAGAAAAAAATTTAACCTTGTACAAAAAGTGTTCAGGCTTTTACCCTTGGGTTCTAGGAGGTAATCTCTTAGCTTTTGAAGAATCATGCTAGTTGGGGTGTGTTTGCTTGCCTAAGAGCCTGTATTGTTTGGATAGTCTAACAATGTGATTTTGAGTGGGGTTGGCTACACCAGATAATCTAACAATATGATTTAAGGTGGGCCTGTTAGGTTATCCGCTTGACCTCCAGAGGAACTGAAGGCTGAGGTCATCTTGAGAATCTATCATGTATATGTGATGAAACCCCAATAAAGTCTCCAAACGCCAAGAATCAGATAAGCTACATGGGTTGATGACACTTCATGAAATTGCATATTATCACTCATCAATGCCAGGAATATAACACTATCCATTACTCACAGAGATAAAACAACTAAAAGATCCACATTTGGAACTTTCTCAGACCCTTCACTATAAGCCTCTTTCTTTGATTGACTTTAAATTTGAAGTTTTAGCTGTAATAAACCTTAACCATGAGTATAGCAGTTTTCAGTGTGTTCTGCAAGATTTTCTGGAGAATTATTAAACCTAAGGTTTGTCTGGGGTATGACCAAACTTGCAATTGGTGTCAGAAGTAGGAGTAGTCTTTGGACTGTTCTTGAACTTTGAAATATGTCGAATTTTTTTTTAACTTGGTAAGAAACAGCCACCAGGATAATTCAAATTTTATATTCTGTGGTATAAATGGGTAAGGTATTCAACAATTTCGCTTTCCTCACTGCATCAATGTTACATATTTCTCAGCCTACCTGAAAAATAAAGAAGGAAAGCTCTTTTAATGTCTTTCTCATTTTATAACCAGCTGTCAGCTAGATGCCACCAAGGCAGCCTTAACAATACATATGAAAGATTCTGTCTGCTACATGTGGCAGCATGAAAGCTGCATGCTGTCTGGGCCACCACAACCTAACAAGCAATGACTTTGGCATAAGTGAAAAATATGTCTCTATTTTGTTAAATAAGAAATTGAGATCTGTTTGCTACCCAGTATAATGTAGCCTAACCTAATACATGAACATTTATTCTCAGTCAATATGGAGAAAAATGTCAAAAACTTTTCTTTTTATTTGAAAGTTCAGGGAAAGGTACACGGAGTGGATTAGCTTGAGTGAGAAAATGCTCCTCTCATTTCCCACCTGCTGGCAGAGGATGCCAGATCAAGTCGTACTAACACAGAGGATCCCATAGTAATTATATATATGAAAGAGAGGAATGCCTTAAAAATGGGTGTTGGACAGTTATTTATATTTATGTCTATTATAGTGAAATTTGAGACTTCAAGCTTGTTTCTAAGAATTGCTTCTACTAAAACTTCTTTCTGCCGTGAATGTCCCTTTCATTGCTATACAAAATATGCAATACAAAATTCAAGTTATAGACTTAAATTTATTGTCAAGGTGAAATACACACACACACACACACAAACACACACACACACACACACACATATGAGAGACTTTGGTCATCTATGTGTTAATTGTTGCCTAACTTACTTTCATTGATTGTTTTCAATTGCATCTATGTAGGAGAAGTTAATTTTAATCAAAAGTAAAAGCCATGATTGATCCAATCAGCCTGCTCAGCCTGTATGAGGCACTTTAGATCAAAGTGGGGCTTTTAACTTTAATTAAATTCAGCAGTCCTGCAGACTTTAAATTTAGTATGTGCACAACACCCTACCCATGGTCTTGATTTTTCTCCCCTCAATATTGAACTTACTTGCTGTTTTCAGTTTTTCTAGCTAGAAGATTTAATCCTGAATAGAAGTCAGACATTGCAGCATTTGTTAATGAGGTACGAAGTTTCATTAAAATAATTAGTAACAGAATAGACTCTGAAAATTCTATAAAATGTTTAGAAATGTTTTATGCTTTCTCAAGAACTATTCACAAATGTAAAGCAAACTGTCTCCAAAATGTTAATGGATGTCAACAATGTATAAAACTTATGAAAATAATTACAGAAATGTTTAGGCTGAAAACTGGTCTTCTTATGAAAGTCCAATTCTATGCTAAACAGTCTCACAAGTGCTATCTCATTTAATTATCTCAATTCTGTAAAGTAGATATTATTAACTTTACCAATGAGGAAACTGAAGCTTAAAGGGATTGTATAACTTGGCTACATTTTACACATTTAGTGAAAGTATTTAGATTCAAAATCTTATTCTTTGAATATAAATGAAATGTTTTATATATTATGATTCTAAATAAACTTAAATGAACCTACAGCTATTAGGTTTATGATAAATTATTAAGATTGAGAGCTATACATGTAAAAACATTGTTTTCCTCAAAAATAACCTTAATATCACTGTTTTTTGGGTGTAGAAATTACTGAATTACTGGATTAAGTGGTCATAAATTTGCTAGCAGGACATTAACCTACATGAATAAAGAATTTTTTTTCTATTTTAATGTATTAGAATAAAAGGCTTTTGTTATATGGATTTTTAACAATTCTTGAATACCACTGAAACACTTCATTCAACTCTGTATATTTTGATATCACATATTACACAGTGCATTTCAGAATCATGGTGAATTTACTAAAATAATTTACTGAGGGAGACTTACAATCATGGCAGAAGGCAAAGTGGAAGCAGCTGTGTCCTACATGCCTGGAGCTGAAGAAAGAGGGAGCGGGCTGAGGTGATACACACTTCTAAACAACTGGATCTCATGAGAATTCACTGTCATGAGAACAAGGGGAAAATCTGCCCCCATAGTCCAATCGCCTCCCACCAGACCTCTCCTCCAACATTAGGGATCACAATATGACATACAATTTGGGCAAGGACACAAATCCAATACATATCCATCATTATTTCCTTTCCTGTGTGCTTTAGAAAAGAGAGAGTAAATTCTAGTGTGTCCTCTTCTTATGAGCACACCTGTCCTATGGAATCAGTGTCTCACTTTTATGACCCCATTTAACTTGAATTATTTCCTTAAATAACTCATCTTTAATACAGTCACATTGGGGGTTAGGGATTCAACATATGGATTGTGGGGAAAACAATTCAGTCCATACTGTCAATTTAATATTTACGAGCACCTAATATATTCTAAGCTATATGATAGTAGTTAAAAATATAGATGTAAAATTTCTGTTTTCATGAAGCTTATAGTTTTGTAAAGACAGATGCACAAATCACAAGTAATCCATAGAAATATACAAAATTCTAATTGAATTTAAGGCCAGGAAAAATTCCTTCAAGGATAAGACCTGGAAAAAAAAGAGTTTCAAAAACTTGTAAATCTCAAAACATTTGAGAAAAAAAGACAAAGTGAGCGGGATGAAGAAGCATAATTTGAGGCTGAAAAGATAGGCAAGAGCCGGTTGGTACAGAGTCCCCCAGGTTTTAGTGAAGATTATACATTTTGTCCTATACTTAATGGGGAGTATATACAGGATGTACACAGTAAAGGTACATACTCTAATTCATGTTTTAAACACAATTTTTCCAGAATGGGGAAATCACATATTAAAGTGCTAAGAGAGGAATCTGAGAATCCAGTTAGGGAGATACACAAGTAGTCAAGGTAAGGAAAGAGTTAAGCAGGAGCAAAACCAATTTGGACATATTGAATATGGGGAGTGAGAAAGATGGATATGGCAAAGGTGACACCCAGGTCTCTAGCATGATCTGTAGGGAGCATGGATGTGCCTTTTGCCAATCCTAGAAACACTGGTAGCAAAACTGTTTGGAGAAAAAAATAAGACCTTGTTCCACAAATATAAAGTTTAAAGTCAATCCTAAGCCAAAAGAACAAAGCGGGAGGCATCACACTACCTTACTTCAAACTATACTACAAGGCTACAGTAACCAAAACAGCATGGTACCGGTACCAAAACAGAGATATAGATCAATGGAACAGAACAGAGCCCTCAGAAATAACGCCGCATATCTACAACTATCTGATCTTCGACAAACCTGAGGAAAAACAAGCAATGAGGAAAGGATTCCTTATTTAATAAATGGTGCTGGAAAAACTGGCTAGCCATAGGTAGAAAGCTGAAATTGGATCCCTTCCTTACACCTTATACAAAAATTAATTCAAGATGGATTAAAGACTTAAACGTTAGACCTAAAACCATAAAAACCCTAGAAGAAAACCTAGGCATTACCATTCAGGACATAGGCATGGGCAAGGACTTCATGTCTAAAACACCAAAAGCAATGGCAACAAAAGACAAAATTGACAAATGGGATCTAATTAAACTAAAGAGCTTCTGCACAGCAAAAGAAACTACCATCAGAGTGAACAGGTAACCTACAAAATGGGAGAAAATTTTTGCAACCTACTCATCTGACAAAGTGCTAATATCCAGAATCTACAATGAACTCAAACAAATTTACAAGAAAAAAACAAACAACCCCATCAAAAAGTAGGCGAGGGATATGAACAGACACTTCTCAAAAGAAGACATTTATGCAGCCAAAAGACACATGAAAAAATGCTCATCATCACTGGCCATCAGAGAAATGCAAATCAAAACCACAATGAGATACCATCTCACACCAGTTAGAATGGCAATCATTAAAAAGTCAGGAAACAACAGGTGCTGGAGAGGATGTGGAGAAATAGCAACATTTTTACACTGTTGGTGGGACTGTAAACTAGTTCAACCATTGTGGAAGTCAGTGTGGCGATTCCTCAGGGATCTAGAACTAGAAATACCATTTGACCCAGCCATCTCATTACTGGGTATATACCCAAAGGACTATAAATCATGCTGCTATAAAGACACATGCACACATATGTTTATTGCAGCACTATTCATAATAGCAAAGACTTGGAACCAATGCAAATGTCCAGTAGACTGGATTAAGAAAATGTGGCACATATACACCATGGAATACTATGCAGCCATAAAGAATGATGAGTTCATGTCCTTTGTAGGAACATGGATGAAATTGGAAATCATCATTCTCAGTAAACTATGGCAAGGGCAAAAAACCAAACACGGCATGTTCTCACTCATAGGTTGGAATTGTATAATGAGAACACATGGACATAGGAAGGGGAACATCACACTCTGGGTACTGTTGTGGGGTGGGGGGAGGGGGAGGGATAGCATTAGAAGATATACATAATGCTAAATGACGAGTTAATGGGTGCAGCACACCAGCATGGCACATGTATACATATGTAACTAACCTGCACATTGTGCACATGTACCCTAAAACTTAAAGTATAATAATAATAAAATTAAAAAAAATAAAATAAAATAAATAAAGTTTAAAGTACCTCTGAAACATCTCAGTAAATTTGTTATATAAGCATTGAAATCTACTGGTAAAACGCAAAAGAGTTATGGGCTAGACATCTAGATTTGTAAAACATGATAAAGATGGAATAAAATCCAAGAAAGTTATATGAAAATACATAAGGAGAGAGAACAAACTAAAAAGAATGGGAGTCCTCTTCAGCTTTGAATAGCTTGAACATTTAGAAAACAAGAGAAAGAGGAGTAACTGCAATAGGAAATTAAAAAGGAGAAGGCAGAAAGATAGGAGAAAAAAACATCGTGATGAAGTATCATGGAAGAAAAAAAAGGAAGGATTTAAAATTCTCATGGGTTCCACAGAGAATACAGTCAAATTGGGAGGTAAATTATTGTCTTGATTTATCAACAAGTTGTTATACCAGACTATTTATACTACATAATTTATCTAATTTGTTCTCTCACTAGCCCTCTTAAGCATAAGATTAATTACTTGTCAAAGAGAATAAATGACAGATCTGAAATTCAAACTTCATCCTGCATTTGTCATATTCTGGTAATACAACAAAAGTTTTAACTATGGTATCCAAATATCCGCTAAAATACAAGCTTTTGGGGATTGAAAATATTATATAACAAATCATTTTTTAAAAAACTGAAAATGAAGCTACAAAGAGAACATATTGTCCTACTCATTGTCTATGCCAACTTTTTAGTTGTTTCTTTGGCTTGTGGGTGGCATTTGATAATAGCTTTATTTTACATTTATTTATTTATTTATTTTTTAGAGACAGAGTCACACTGTCACCCAGGCTGGAGTGCAGTGATCCAATCATAGCTCACAGCAGCCTTAACCTTCTGGGCTCAAGTGATCCTCCCTCCCAAGCCTCCAGAGGAGTTACTACAGGTGCAGGGGACCATGCCTAGCTAATAAAAAAGAAATGTAGAGATGGGGTCAAGCTATGTTGTCCGGGCTGATCTTGAACTCCTGACCTCAAGCAGTCCTCCAATCTCAGACTCCCAATGCACTGGGATGGTAATAGATTGACTATCTCATGCATTTCTTCTTTTTTTGGAAGCTCAAGCAGAAATCTAATGATAAATCATCTTTTCTAAAAATGTCATTTTGAATTTAAAGTGAAATTTTTACTGCTAAATTATTACATTTATGCCATTAAGGTGTTCTAACAATTAAGTCTACAGACGTTCTATTAAAAATGAGAAAATTGTGTTCCTCAGTTATATTCAATTTCTCACCAATGGTCTGGATCAAGCTGCTTTATTTGTGTTTATAAAAAAAGGGTGAATAACTTTTATTTCCCAAAAGTTTTTTCAATTTTTTTTCAAAGGACCTGTTATATTTTAAATCAGACGTGTAGGAATGTCAGAGCTTTTTAAGGGAATTTTGTAGTTAGCATATGTTTTATAATTTAGATAGAAATCAAGTCTCTGCAATAAAACAACTGTCTTTTAATAGTTTCAGTTGATAATAAAATCATGTAATAGTTTGTATATTTTATTATTAGTAGATGTAGAAAGTTTAGGAAACTGAACTTCATTAGTTGTGTTGTGAGGGAAGAATTAATGCAGCATACTAAAATATAATAAGCCCAGTGCTGGGTTTAAATCCTGTCTCCTACAAATGAGATAATTTCAGCTTATCCATTTCTGGCTCTAAAATATAAATTAATTGAATATAACTGGGCAGCAAGTGGTGGTGGGAAATGGCTTTAATTGGTGGATAAAGAAGGGCTCTCAATAGGGGTGACATTTTTGCTAAGGAGTAGAGGAAAGTAGAGAGTTACTGGATGTTTGAGAAGAGAAGACATAGTTAAAAAAAATCCTGGTGAGTGACAAACTTAGAATTTGTAACAGTATTTCAAGTCCTTTTATGTTTACTTTAGAAGTTGTGTTCACAGGAAGGGGAACATCACACTCTGGAGACTGTTGTGGAGTGGGGGGATGGGGGAGGGATAGCTTTAGGAGATATACCTAATGCTAAATGACGAGTTAATGGGTGCAACACACCAGCATGGCACATGTATACATATGTAACTAACCTGCACATTGTGCACATGTACCCTAAAACTTAAAGTATAATAATAATAAAATAAAATAAAATAAAATAAAATAAAATAAAATAAAGAAGTTGTGTTCATAACATTGAATCTATCAGCAAAACTATAAGCTTTGTCCAAATAGATTCAGCCCTGTGCATGTAGGTTATGTAGAGTAAGTGGGTAGTTAAGTTTAACCATTGTTGTTTCTTTCTTAGTTGAATATAAAGCAGAAAGAAAAAAGTAAAGACCATTAAAGAGCATTTGCAAAGAAATAATTTTAAGTGATGCATGATGAAAGTGAGGGGTCATGAAGAAGGGTGGAGGTCAAAGAATAAGCAGTTTTCTTGATGTCAATGAGCTATTTTGCAAAAAGAATTTGAGTAAGTGAATCCATATTCTAAGAAAAAAAATGTATCTAATAACACAGTGACCATCTAGCTGAAGTCCTGTTTTGGTGATTTGAACTACATAACTTGTCCTTACAAAAACAAAAGCAATAAATACCCCTTTAATAATGAAGCTTTATGTATTTATAGGAAGAAATAAACACACACACACACATTATCTATCTATCTATGTATCTATCTATCTATCTATCTATCTATCTATCTATCTATCCATCTATCTCTCTAAAGTCTGAAAGTGGTAACCAATTCCCAAGTAGCATGTGGCAAGCTAAAAGGTTACAAGATCACTCTGGGCTTGAAAGACAGGGAAGCAAGGATGCTTGGAAAGAGGAGAAGATGCATTGTCTGATTACTAAATTAGTCAGTGTTCTCCAGGGAATCAGAACCAGAATGATAGATAAATAGAAAATAGATAGATAGATGATAGGTAGATTAGACAGATGATAGACAGATAGATGAGATAGATGATAGATGATAGATAGATAGATAGATAGATAGATAGATAATATTTATTGTGAGGATTGGCTTACCCAATTATGGAGACTGAGAATTGCTAAGATCTATCATCTGCTAGAGGACCAGGAAAGCTGGTGGTATCATTTGATTTGAGTCTGAAATCTCAAGATCCAGGATCTCAGCTGTCTAAGAGTAGGAGAATATTGATGTCCTAACTCAAAAAGGGAGAAAAAATGTTCTCTTTTTAAAATCTTTTTGTTCTGTTCAGGCCTTCAACAACTTGATGATGTCTGCCCTCATTTGGTGAGTGTAGATTTCTTTTACTAAGTTTACTGATGCAAATGCTAATGTCTTCCAGAAATTCCCTCATAGACAGACACCAGAAATAATATTTTACCGTCTATCTAGGATCCTTTAGCTTACTTAAGTGATGCTTGGATTAGACATCACAGCTACATATAATTTTGCATCCCTCACGGGTTCACTGCTGAATTCAACCACTCCTTTCTGCCACAGTTTGTTTCTTTTTTAAATAATGCAAAACATATTTCTGTTTCTATTTAACGATACCTCTAAGAATCTTACAGGATGAAAGACAAAGATAATGCCACAGAAATGTTTTTAAACATGAATATGATAAAACCTGGAAAATAATTGGAAAAGTTTAAAAGGGGAAATGAAAAAATCACAGGAAAAAAGAAAATAATGCAGTGAAGGCATAATTAGCAATTAAATATTTATAAAATCTAAGAGAAGAGGAGTGAAAAAAACTCTAATATACATTAGATAATATAAATGAAAACAAGGAAGTCTGTTACTGTGAAAGTAAAGTGACAGATTTGGTTAACTGGACATTTTTTTCTGCTAAAAAGAACAAAGGTTGCTTTATGTAGTTTACAAAATTTATCAGTATGAATAATAGGGTTAACTCTCTTACAAACAAGAAAATTCTTCTGTAGCATCGCATAGACTGGAATGTTATGCAAGAAATATTAAACATACTCACATGCTCACTAACTTTTTTAAATCATAGTTTAAATTGCTAATGAAAACTCAGCTGCTATGACCTCACTTAATCTAGTAGTACTTGCAAAACAAGAAGAATCTTATGTCTCTTGCCATTTTAAACTCTACTCTGACCTCACCTGCTTATATTTTATTTTAGTGTAAAGAGACCATGTCATTTGGGGGATGGCTCATTTTCTGTCATGTTAAAACCCAGAGTCACCTCAAAATGACATTTTTTCCTTTGACCCACTCCCCCTCCTTTTTTCCCCTCAAAACCACAAAAATCTAAAGAAACACTGAAATTGCCTTTCTTTGTGTTTTCGTACTTACTACCTTTGTACTGTTTAAAACAGTGACCTTGACATTCTAAAAAGTCTAAAATGATTTGGAGAAAACTTTCCAACAGATATTGCTCAATATATTTTCAGACCAATATGTTGCAGATGGAATCTTGAGATAATTGAAAAACTCCACAGGCTCAGTTTTTTGTGTGTGTAATGAACTAAACCAAATGGCCTTTTACAATGATCACAGTGAAGATAATTTGGTAACCGAAATTCTCAAGTGTGTCCCGCTGGTTTTGTAAAACTAAATAAATGCCCACCAGACATTGTATGTGTTGAAGCAGATTCTGGTGACAATTGTAATTCCTCTTTCTTTACATGATATTTCACCAGTGAAGACAAATTAGCAGCTTTGTATGTAATTTGCAGAATTAGACAAAATCTCTTCGTTAAATATATCACTGGAAGCTTTGTCATGAGTAATTCATTTTCAATTTATAAGTGATACAATTATTCTTTAAAAATTGATTTATCTAGCAACTACTGGTTAAGTTTCTACTGTAAAACTTAATATTCCCTACTTAGGTCCTGAAGATGTAGCATTGTGAATCATAGATATTCAGCGTTCCTGCAGAAATTACGTTAACACATACAAGTTTATTTAAACAGGAAAGCATCAATACTTAGTGCAGGTAAGGAAATAGAAGTAGCAGCAGAAAGAACTTCTTGGGTACTAAACACCCTGACAGTTTTTAATCTACCCATCAAAATTCAAGAAAGCTTATGAACTCCTACCAAAATGATGGAAGGATGAAAATACTATTAAATATATTGACAAGAATCTTCTGCAGGAAGAATTACTCCACCAGGGCATGCTTACGTATTCTTTTCATTTATTTATTTATTTATTTATTTATTTATTTATTTATTTATTTATTTTGAGATGGAGTTTCACTCTTCTTGCCAGGCTGGAGTGCAATGGCACGATCTCGGCTCATTGTAACCTCCACCTTCCGGTTTCAAGTGATTCTCCTGCCTCAGCCTCCTGAGTAGCTGGGATTACAGGTGCCTGCCACACCACGCTCTGCTAATTTTTTGTATTTTTTTAGTAGAGACGGGGTTTCACAATGTTGGCCAGGCTGGTCTCGAACCCCTGACCTCATGATCCACCTGCCTTGGCCTCACAAAGTGCTGAGATTACAGGCGTGAGCCACTGCGCCCGGCCCAGGGTATGTTTGTTACATAAGCGATCATGAACAGCTAGAACTGTAGAACCACTATTGATTAAATTTTCAATTAAAATTAAAATGTAGATTCTAGAGACGTTTCTGAAAGATATTAAAAGTATATGGCATTAAAATAACTCTCTCAAGTCTGAGGAAAAATGCTTGGGTAAGCCTAAGCTGTAGATTGGCCTGGCATATAGAAGATAATTAGAAGTTGATGTATCATGCCAAAAATTTAAAAGAGGAAAATTCAGAGAGGATTATGTTATAGTCATTTCTTTAGTTTTTCCTCAATAATGAAACAGATGACAAAGGACAACAAACTGATCTCATTAACAGGGAACATTGTATTGTAAATTATATCATGAGAAAGAAAATTCCTTTGTTACCTTTACATAACAGGAAAGAAAATAAGAATAAACAACATGAGAATCTGTAAAGCTTATGTGATCAGTAATGAGAAGGTAGTTTTGAGATTTTTCAGTGGTCTGCAAGTTGTTCTCACAACTGTATTCATATGACTTTTACTGTAAAAAATTCTATATCTATGTCTCTCTCCTCAAGTAATTGTTATACCTCTTCAAAACAAAATGACAACAAAGTGTAAAAGGGAAATGTCACTGAGTGTGAGGGCAAGAAAGTTAACTTCATTAGCTCAACAATGAAGATGTCTGTGGCAAAAGCACAGATCTAAATGGAAATGATTCAAATCTGAGAACAGAGAAAACTTAATGGTGTAGAATGGCCTGTATTTTGAATGATTTTTTTCTTGTTACACTTATATATAAATTTATGAACCCTATGAAGGCTACCAAGTTAAAAAATGAAGTTTAAAATATGAGATGCTCTTTAACTTAAAATGGGGTTATGCCTTATAAACCCATAAGTCAAAAGTATCATTAAGTCAAAAATGCATTAGTGCTGGCAATACAGCTATTTAAATGATTTTTTAACTTTACAATGGTGTGAAAGCCATACATATTTAGTAAAAACCATAGCTCCATGGGAAGTCCTTAGGAGCTCCTTGATTTATGATGGGGTTATATCCTGATAAACCCATCATAAAATAGAAAAACCATGTCAGAACATCCTAAGTCAGAAACTTTTGGCATTTAAATGCTGAATTTAGTGGTGCATAGATGTGCCATCTAGATTTTTTAAATGGTAATTACATACCAGTCACATTAACTAAATTCTAATGTATTTAAATTATAAATCTCATGTTTCAATGTTAAAAAATTGTAAATATTAAACTTTTAATACCACAGGTATTCAATGAAATCATTACATTCCCAATAAATTGTTTTCTCAAATTGTCTTACAGTTTTCTCCTTTGTCAGCACTATGAAAGAATTCCTGATTTCATAATGTTCATTGAAAATAGAAATGATTTTGACTATGTTACTTCTCCTTCCAGAATTTTTTACAAAGTCATATTTGTCTTTTGTCAGGTATATTGATATATAATTGTTTGTATACATCAGGTGAGGGGCAACATTACCATAAAAGCAGAAATAAATCACAAGCTGCCTTCTTCAAAGATGCTTTTGTCAAACTAATTTTGCTACAGTAGAAAGCAAATTCATGCACGCATATGTGTTAAGGGATTTTTCACAGTATGATAGCATAATATAGTTAGTATTCACTTCTCCCAGCATAATACAAAAGCCAAACATGGTTATTATAGTTTCAGTAAAGAATGAATGCTGTATCAATAGGATGCTATACTGAGGAAACTACAGATCATTTCCAGATAAGTTGAAAAGTAATAAAATTGAACTGGTATACTTAATTTATCCCTTTTTACAGAATTTTTTTTTATCTACCATTTAGAAAATAACAGTATGGTATTACAAAAGAAATCACATCATCAACTTTAGTTCAAATACATACTTGCAGCTGCTTGTTGTATAAAGGTTTTTTTAAAGAAGATTCTCATCCTTCATTTCTGTAAGTTGTGTGTTGAATAAATTGTTTTATCCAGTTTTCTTACCTAAAAATGTATTTGCTTTAAAATACATTTTGAACTGTAATTACATGTTTTTCAGTAACTTATGCATTTTATTAAATATTTCATTCAAAAAAGGGTATTTATTTAGTTTTTTTAAATTTATTGAGTCACGTGCTAAGCATTTTTCACATATGTGACTAAAATAATATACCTTCAATTACAATTTGTAAATTATAAGTAAAGGATTTTGCACTGTTAAAAAAAGAGTAAGTTACTTTCACAGTAAACCCTATAATGGAATGTTAATTTGTTTCTGCATGAATTCAAAGTCAAGTACTTTTGGACTTCCTCTTCCATCTTTGATGGAGCACTTAAAATCAGACCCATGCACCCCTAGTTCTTGGGGAAATAGAAAAAAAAAAAATTAAATTTTAAAATAAAAATTAAAAAACAGGAAACAAAGCAAGGAGGAAGAGGAGCAACCTAAGGGGCACTGAAGAATTAATGAAAAGACAGGTCTTGAGGGGACAAAATCTTGGAGAAGCAGGACAACACTCAGGAAGTCAACCAGCTGTTCCTTTTTCCTTCAGGGCATTTTCAGACTCTTTACCCATTGCAAGAAATTGAACATCCATGCAAGATACTTGGTAAGCCGGAATTGCAGTGGAAAGAAACGATGAACTTAGTGTCTCACATTCTGCTGAGCATACCTTTAAAATGTCTTCAAATTTCTAAGTACATGAGACGAAGGCAAACAGCAGAAAAGCTCAGAAATGTAGAGACGTCTGGACAGTCGAATTGCTGGTGAGACAAGTATGGATATTCTGTTAAAATCAATATACTATTATGAGTTGTGATTTATCCAACAAATATGCTTTAAGCACTATGAATGCACAGAGTATTGCACAGAAGAATGATTTCCGCTGCAAAAGGAAAGTCTGTTGATCAGCAGATAATTTGGGGGTTTCTGATAAATGAATAAGGATTTGAACCACTTTCATATGTCTTCTCTTAGAAGTCAAGTCCCACATTCTCTCTCAAATGATCCTAAAGTATTGGGCTCCTGCTTCTGTTACATCACCTGTATTAGTACATCTTAATTATGTTTAACTTGCCGGACTCCCTCCTCTTACCAGCTTCTGAGTTGTGCTCATTTTGTTTATTTCACTGATGCAAAACAATATGTATAAATGATATGCTTATCGATTTAATGAAGAAGATATTTTAGGTCTTTTAGTAGACAAAAGATTTCACAGATATGGAATTGCATTAGTCAGGGTTCTCTAGAGGGACAGTACTAATAGGATAGACGTATATATAAAAGGGAACTTACTAAGGAGTATTGACTCACATGATCACAAGGTGATGTCCCACAATAGGCCGTCTGCAAGCTGAGGAGCAAGGAAGCCAGTCTGAGTCCCAAAACCTCAAAAATATGGAAGCTAACAGTGTAGCCCTCAGTCTGTGGCCAAAGGCCAGGGGGCCCCTGGCAAACCACTGGTGTAGGTCCTAGAGTCCAAAAGTTGAAGAACTTGCAGTCCGATGTTCGAGGGCAGGAAGCATCTGGCATGGAAGGAAGATGGAAGACAGAAGACTTAGCTGCCAGTCTAGGCCTTCCATTTTCCTTTTCCTCTTTTATCCTAGCCACACTGGCAGCTGATTAGATGATACCCACCCAGATTGAGGGTGGGTCTGCCTCTTCCAGTCCACTGACTCAAAGTTAATCTCATTTGGCAACACCCTCACAGACATACCCAGGAACACTACTTTGCATCCTTCAATCCAATCAAATTGACAATCAATATTAAACATCACAGGAATCGAGGCTCATTCTCATATTATGTTCACATAGAAGATGAAAAGATAGAGAATCTTCCAGGAAAAAAAATACCAAAAGCAAAAATGCAAATGTGTGAGGTACTGTATAGCAGGGGTCCTCAACCCCAGGGCCACAAACCAGTACACGCCCATGGCCTGTTAAGAACCCGGCCTCACAGCAAAGTAAATGGCGGGCCAGGGAGTATTGCTTCCTGAGCTCTGCCTCCTGTCAGAACAGGAGCGGCATTCAATTCTCATAGGAGTAGGAATCTTATTGTGAACTGCGAATGTGAGGAATCCAGGTTGTGCACTTCTTGTTAGAATCTAATGCCTGATGATCTGAGGTGGAACAGTTTTATCCCAAAACCACTCCCCACACAAGCCCCGTATGTGGAAAAACTGTCTTCCAGGAAACTGGTCTCTGGTGCCAAAAAGGTTGGGGAATGCTGCAGTATAGGGTCAATCTTAAAGATTATTCACACAGATAACTAAACAAAGTTTGATTTTCCAATAGAGATTAATATAATATGTTTTGGGGGAAAAAAAAGTACAGCTGGGAAATTTTCAAATTACCCAATTACCAGGCCAAGAAGTTTTGACATTTCCCAAAAACTCTTTTAGGAATTTCTGTTGTCATTAAGATGCTGAGGAAAACAGGATGAATTGAATAAACTACCTTTTGCTTGTTTGTTTGTTTTCTAAGTCATCGTCTTTTTTTTTTTTTTTTTTTTTTGTGATGTCCAAACAGGAGTGAGGTGGCCACATCAGGATTTACTGCAACCTCTAACTCCTGGCCTTAAGTGATCCTCCTGCCTCAGCCTCCCAAAGTGCTGGGATTGCAGGGAGCCATCATGCTAAACCTAAAATAGCTTTAAGTAAACTGATCTAGTTGTGCTCTAAATTGGTTTTGCCTGTAACCTGAGGTCACAGAATCTTTAAATTTTCTTTGTTTAAGATGTTACTTTATCAGTAGATAATGGACTAATTATTAAGCTTTACTCAGACTATTTCTGTTCTTTTCATCGTGTATTTGTGTTGATAATTCCATGACTAATATATGTATTACTTTAAACAAATTGTTCAATAACATATGACTTTTCTTTTCCAGGAAGATTCAAAAATTTTCTTCATGTCACAAAATGCTACAACCCAGACAACAGTGCCATTATTATTTTTTAACTGGGGCTAATAAAGATACCTTCATTGATTTGTTTTGTTTTGTTTTGTTTGGTTTGGTTTTCCTAAATATATGCATTAGCTTGGTGGGTTATGCAATGTTACAATCTTTAGAGTGTATAAAATCTATCACCAACATTTCAAAAAACTAGAATAATCAAACAAGTTCTGTCTCTTTAATTAAAAGTACTTTGTTCAGTATAAAATTTATCTTATACATAAGATACTTAAGATTATGTATGAGAAGAATTTAAAATTATTTGAAAATTTAAGAACAATGCTGATATTTCCAATTATTGCTTTTGCAAAATCTATGCCTGTGTTTAAACAGCTGGTGTAAATACACACACAAACACACACACGCATTTCCTACTTTTTAAGATTAAAGTGTTATTTTCTAACAGTCTGACAACCCAATAAATTCTGAACTGTTTTTATGGTGCTTTTTCATTACGGTTTTATTTGTTGCTTGCTAATTACTTTTTGCCCAATTTCATTTGCAGTTTAAATAAATAAACTGTAACTTTCTGCCTGCAGGTTACTAGAGGAATAGTCAATATGCAGCTGCAATAAAATCATAAATTTCTTTGAACAGGCAATTTCCAACTTATACTTCCATAGAGGGTTTTTAAATATCTACTGTTAGAGAAACAACTTTATGGGACCGGCAAAGTTTTATTCTAATTTATAAAGCTTAGAATCGTAAAGATGAAATAAAATGATTGGTGGTATATTTTGACTTAGAAAATAATAATTTCAATGACAATGAAAATGACCCTTTTCCACATTTATCTGATATATGTGCTTTTCAAATTCAGTGAATGAGATAATTGGTTTTGGTAATCATTTAACTGTATGTTACCGCTGTGTGTCATCCAACTAAAAAGTTTGATAAACTTGGCTAGTTTTGATAATCGATATTCAGAGTCCAACATGAATTTTGGTTTTGTTTTCTAGCCAGCAAAGCATATTCATTATAGTGAACAATTTTGGCCTTTGCATTTTCTTTAATAAAATGCTGAGTAAACATTAAAGCTCCTGTCTGTATTTCCAGTTGAATTTTCCTAGTACTGAGATTAAATAATAATAAATATATAAAATCTTGTTTACAACATGATAAAATATTCACAGTACTAATTTAATATTAAAATATAAAATCATTTTTGGGAAATACAGTCTTATTTTCACTTGTAACTTTTTAGTGATTTTGTTAAATCTTCAATTTCATATGGAAGTATGTACATCAAATGGATACTATTTGCATAAAAAATTGTGAAATATTCATTAATGCAGTGAAATATAATTGTAACTTATTTGTTTAAAAAAAAGGCATAAAGCCTGTCAAATAAAATTTTATTTTTGAAGTATAGGTACATTCTAATTATATTCATATTGTATTCTAAAATATTTTAAAATAATTACTTTCTAGAAATACAAAAGCAAATTCCAGATAACTAACTCCTCAGAAATGATGGCAAAAGCTGATATTTATCCTGTGAATGTCTTCAGAGTCAAAAAAAAGGACACATACTACCTCTTAAAGTAAGAGTAGGGTTATTTCTCCTCTTTAGAAAATTTAGTATTAAATGTAACATGGAGGTGGTGATGTCCTAGATATTCTTCTTATTCAATAGTTTGGAAATATTTCATCAGCCTCTGCAAAGACTCCCCACTGGTTCTGGTTTTTAATAACATTAAAGTGCACATAAGTTCAGTATTTTCCCATTTACATAGGAGGAAAGAAGAAAGAGGGCTTCTAGAGACTATTAGTACTGGAAGATGTTTATGGACAAGGGTCATACTCCTGGGGTCACCACTCTAAAAACTTTTGGATAATTAGGATAAAATTTGCATAAACATCAGAAATTTGAGATGCTTATCTGAAGTAAGTTTTTTGAGGTCATTTGCACAATTTTACTGTGATGAGCATCAAGGGGCTCTGACAATGAGCTAGAGTATTGTATCAGTTTTAGCAAAAGAATAAAAAGCTGAGAAAAACAGAAAACTACATGTGCAAAAGATAATTTTAAAGATGGAAGAATTGTGGGACATAGGATGGCAGGTAGACATAAACATTAAAAGACAAAAAAGGAATGATTATAAAGAAATATATTTTGAAAGGTAGATATGTCTGGATCAGGAAAATAAAACACAATGCATCATTTAACTTAACTTGAGTGATTCTTCATAAGTTACTGAAGATGATGAATTATAGAATAATTTGTAAATGTTTTATAAATTTTAAATAGGTGAAATAACAGGCAAATTGATTATTCAGATAGAATCTAAAAAACTGCTTTAAAAATATTCTGATAGTCGCTTTCATTTAGAAATATTATTTTAATATGAACAATTTATAACGAAATTTTCTAAATAAAAATAAAAAAACAAAAAGTTTTATTAAGAAATAAATTAAAAATTAAACAAAAACTTTTAATAGTACCGTTTTTTCAAATAAATACAAAAATAATCTCTAGAGACTTAAAGGTTATAAAATCAATTTACTGGATATTTTAATTTATTCATCTACAAAGGAAGGGTAATATATATTTTAAAAGCATTTATTTATAAAAATATAGGAAACTTTGTAATCTTATATGCAGAAAACAAATGAAATTTATGAAGAAAATACCATATCCTGGAAAGAGTTTTGAAGATACGAGAAGCAAATATTATTATTTTGCAAAAAATAATAGTTTTACATTTATTTTTCAAAAAAAACTCTGGTAAAACTTCTGTTAGTTTTTACAAAGAATTAAAAAGCATCATAAGGAAAGTTTAGAAAGTTAACTGACCTCATTGTACCATATATCAGATCATTTCATAAGCAACATATTTTGTCAGACCTGAAAAAAGATTCAGAACTTTTGCTTGTTGACTGTGGGCTTTGGCATCATCGTCATATGCTAGGGACAACATTAACTGCTTATCTACTGTGGAAAAGCATTTAGAGTTGTAGACACAATAATGCCTCTCAAAAATGTCCACATTCTAAATTGCAGACACTGTGATTATGTTAGGTTATATGGCAAGGGGGAATTAAGGTTGAAGATGGAATCAAGTTTACTAGTAAACTGACCTCAATATAAGGAAACTTCCCTGGATTATCCAGGTGAGACCAATGTAGTCACAAGTAACCTTAAGAGTGCAAGAGGACGGCCAATGAGGACAGTTAGAGGGAGATGTGAATATGGAATAATGGTCAAAGAGGTGTAACATTGCTGGCTTTGAAGACGAAAAAAGGTCATGTCCCAAGGACTGTGGGTGGACTCTAGAAGCAAGAAAAGACAAGAAAATATTTTTTTTTGGTGGAGGGTGAGACCCTTCAAGAAGAAATACAGTCTTGCTCACACCTGAACCATTAGCCCAATAATACCCACATCAAACTTTTAACACATAGAACAACAATATAATACTCTTTAATTCTTAATTTTTATGGATACATAGTAGTACCTTTTATAGGGAACATATTATATTTTGATACAACCAAACAATGTGTAATGATCACATCAGGGATTGGGATATCCATCACCTCAAACATTTATTTCCTTGTCTGGGAACATTCCAAATCCACTCCTCAAGTTATTTTGTAATATACAATAAATTACTGTTGATTATAGTCACCCTATTGTGCCACCAAACACTAGATCTTATTTATTCTAACTGTATTTTTATACATATTACCTCTGTATTACCTCTCCCCCACTATCTTTTCTGGCTCTGATAATGATTATTCTATTCCCTATTTTCATGACATACATATATATTTAGCTCCCACATGTGAGAAAGAGCATTTGTGGTAATTTGTTGTGGTAGGAATATAAAATGAATACCAGTTTATAGATTTTAAAATATAATTTTCACTTTGAACTTCCACACATGCATACATATACATACATACTGTTTAAAACATATATTACACAATTTAACAATTAATTGTCAAGAGAGTGTTACCAGTACTCAGATCAAGAAAGATAACGTTGCTAATATTTCCAAAAACTCATCTCTTGTACCTCTTTAATCACATCTTCCTCCTTGTTTCCCATAAAATGTGATAATCATTTCTAGCCTTTTATTTGGTACAGTGTACACTGCTGGGGTGACAGGTGCACCAAAGTCTCAGAAATCACCACTAAAGAAATAATAAATCACCACTAAAGAATTTAATCAAACACCACCTGTTTCCCAAAAACCTATTAAACTAAAAAATGATCTGCTTTTATATTTTATGTAAATAGAATCCACCTAAGATACCTTTTATGTTAGTGTTTTGCAAATGACCCATATGGCATATGATTTTAGGTTTTGCATTTCAACTGTGTATTACATTCCAATCTAGTATAATTTCATAATTTATCAATAATTCTCATAATTTTATACTCCAATGTTACTATCAGTGGACACTGGGTTAATTCTAATTTAGGGATAACCGTCATCTATGACTCTTTTTCTTACAAGCATCATAGTAAATATAGAAGAGAAATTATACGATGCGTGCACAAAGCCCTCACGTATAGAAGATCGCATAGCTGAACTTTTTTTAAGTCACCTGAATTAAATGTTTGCTTTGTTTTGAGTTTGTAAGTACGTTTTATTATTTGTCCATTGGTGGTTTATTTGTATTTACACTACTTGAAAATCATAGAGTTCTCAAATCTGTGGCTCAATGTTGATGTTTTACATCAGTTTTGAAAAACTTTTCAGCCAGTGTTTGTTTTCAGTTACCACATCTGATTCACACTTTTTTTCCTCTAGTGGGAGTACAATGACACCTAACTTAGATCTTAGATTCATGCTGTACATGCCTTTTAAACTTTTTTTGGTCCTTTGTCTTTTCCAAGCTTCAATTTGTATACTTTCTATTAACCTATCATTTATTACAACAGTCCTCTTCACTGCTGTGTTTAAGCTACTGTTACACACATGTATTGACTTGTTATTTCATGTTTTAATTTTAGAATTTTTATTGATAGTTTTCCATGTAAAATATTCCATCTTGTTTTCTTTGGGGAAGGTCTATTAGTTATAATTTGTGTGACTATATCTACATATGGCTCTGTTTCTATTTTCTGCAATGTCTTTTGTTTTTTGGTCTTGTTTCTTGGCATATAATTTTATTGCATGCTAGATCAATACAGCCTCCAAAAATAATTTAATTTCCTATCTGGCAATAGAGTATGACGAGATCACCTTGATCTCATAAGAAATTTAGTTAGGTAGAGCCTGGACTTTATATTGTGTTCATTTTCTTCTCAGTCCCTCAAAACCAAATGACATATTTTCCTAGAATGTCATGTTTTTGATATTGTTTTATCTTGTACTTTACCCTATTAATTCATCACCATATTTTCAGCTTTTTCATGCATTTTAGGCTTTTAAATAATATTTTACATTTATGTTTTTATTTGTTTATAGTAGTAGTGTGATTTTTAATAATTTAACTCTCATCAAGGCATGCATTGTTAAATTACTTCTGCTCTCTTTCTAATACACGTTTTCGCATCCATACTTATACTTTTTTGATGTTTCCCATTTTTACACCGACCCTTAAAGTACACTGTTAAAATACGTTTTGCAGTATAGCCATAAATTCTTATAAACACACATTATAATCCATTCAGGGAAAAATGCGGTTTACATAATATATGTGTTAACATTTATTTAATATAACACAAATGTAAAATTTATGGTTTGCAAATTGTGTAAATGGTAGTTCTGTTCAAAAGGATTTTCTAATCATTTCTTCAATCAGAGTCCTGAGTTTTATGGTGTAATATTTTTGAAATAATAAATAAAAATAATTTTGCTCTTAAAAAACCAGGGAAAGTCTCCTACTCAGTATAAAATACAAGAGATCCAGAAAAGTAGATATCCATGTTTAATCATCTATTTGCTAAGAAATTACTGAAGAAGTATTGTACAATAAACAGTATTAGAGTGCTAGTAGTCTTTGTCTAAGAACAGATACATACAACTTGTCTTTAAAAAATATAAAGCCTAGAAACTCAATTTGTAATAGCTATCTTTTACTAATTCATTCATATAATTGGATACTTATTGTTTTAGGTTTATCTTTTTGGATTTAGAACATATAAACCTTTAGAATTTTCATCTTATAATTAATTGAGTTGGTGAAATCTTATTCACCTTGGAGACTACTTTTCTGATTTTTTACATTTTTCTAAATACTAAGATTCTCATAATGTCATAACTTACAATTATAAAATAAAAAATGACCATGCCAGGTTACTTTACATGCAAAATTGGAAATTGATAATAAAATAATTTACTTTTGTCTAATTTTTATATCCAGTTAAGCTCATTTGCACTTGTAAAACAAAGCAATAGGTATAGACAAACTGTGATCTCAAGATATGAAGAATTATCATTACAGAGATTGTAAATGTTAAATACTCAAGTGTATATAATCACATAAAAAATTCTTTTACTCTGCCGTGCAGTTGCTTAATATTCCTTAGAGATTAATTTCCTAAGCCATATTTATTATTATAGTTCACAGAGGCATTAAGTAAGACCTGTAACTG
This sequence comes from Homo sapiens, assembly GCF_000001405.40. NCBI lineage: Eukaryota > Metazoa > Chordata > Mammalia > Primates > Hominidae > Homo > Homo sapiens. Next base: position 104,526,659 of record NC_000001.11, on the reverse strand, counting down.
TGATATATGAAATGCCTTATAATCTATATTTGTTAATAGGCCACCAGTGACTTCTAGCTCAAGATTTAAGAATTGGATGTCTCATCAGGAATAATTCATAAGTGGTCAGTGTTCTGCTGATGCAATAACATGACCTTGATCCTTAAACCAAATCATGATTGCAAAATAATTAATTCCATTCAGTTAATCCACATTTGTGGTGATGAATGACATCATTTATCAAGACATTGGGAAGTAATTTAGGAAAATGTCTTATTATATCCCTAACCCCTCTGCTACCCATAGTAAAGGCAGATTTGTAGGGTCAGGTTTTGCTATGTCTAGAAGGAGATTTATAATCATTGTTCTATGCTGCTTGCATAATATATAAGTCTTGGGAATATTCTAGCTACGTGCTTTCATTTCTGCTATAACTATAGTATTAGAAAACATTGAATTCATGTGCACTTTGTCTGCTTGGAAATCTCAGGTCAGAGTCACCCATGACCTTACAATTCTGCCACAATGGGCTTTCATTCATGATGGAACTTAACAATTTTTAATATTTAAAAGAAATTTTCCTGAAATAATCAATATATTACAATTCAATGGGCTGTCCTCTGTGAAGCAGAAATGTTTAATGTATTTCTACTCCCATGTATTGGCTCTATCTCAAATTTTGGTACAGTATTTTATTATCTCAAATATTGACATGTATTCAAAAAGAATATGTCCCTGTCCCCATTATCTATATAATGCAAAATCCAGGAATATAAGACTGAAGATAACAGATCACTATACAACATATGTAACTGTGGGATTTTGAGATCACTGTGGCAGACTAATTGTACAGTGTATCAGGGTCTAAGAATGCTTACCTCCTGAAGGTAATCCAATTTCATTGTTATTACAGATGATTGTACAGCTAATTAGATGTTCTTTCTCTTTGTTGATTGCTTAATACTTAGGTTTTTTTTAATGAGGCATTAAATACATTATGTAATTTTATGCAATACACCCTTTTAAAAAGCCCAAGCTATACCTGCTACTAAAAAAATAAAAACTATAAATCATATAACACAGTCCATTTAATTTGTTTCCCTTCCTTTGTTAGGCCCTCAGAAGCAGTGGGTTGTAGTAACTGTAGCTCCAGGTCAAGGAACATAAACAACATTCTGATTTACTCATTTATTTATTACCCTATGTCCCAATTTCTTACTTCTATTCTCTTTCATCACAGGCAATTATTATAATTCCTTTAAGGTTACTTTTAATTTATATAAATGTTTTTCGGTTATATGACATTCTGTTCTGTTTTCAAACAATAATAGGTTTTTGGGTTGTATCTGCTTTTTTGTGTGTATATTTGCTATGTTACTTCTAACTGTTCATAGTACTCTGTGGTTTCTATCTAATATATATTAGGCATTTCCACTTTAAGCAATAAACACCAAACTTCCCTACAAATTTCTGTTTCCAGAAATAATACTGAAATAAGCATCTTCCCCCATGTTCACTCATGTGTGGGATTCTTCGTAGTAAGTACCCAGAAGTGGAATTGTTGGATCATACCATTGTTTTACGCCTAATTTGACTAATTATACACAGTGACAATTTGCCATCTAGAATGGGTGCACCTTCCACACTCACATGAGTGGTGTGTGAGGATTCCACTATCCCTATATTCCAGATCAATATTTGCCTTATGCAGCTTACTAATTTTGCCTTTCTGATTACCTTAAATACATTTGGTATTTCATTTTGAATTTTCCTTATTACAAATGAGATTAGAGGTCACCTTATACATTTTTTTGATGTCTAGTACCTCTTTGAATACTATTCATTTTGTTGTTTTGTTTGTGGGGGTGGTTGCTAGTTTCTGTGCTCTCATTATATTCTACTCTATGTTTTGCCTTTGTCCAAGGCATTCTTCACTGAAACAGATATATTTAATTTTGATATTATCAACTTTTTTTTTTGTTTCAGTCTTTATGTGGTTCTCACTTTGTTTATGAAGACTTTTCTTATGCTGAAATACATTCCATTTGCAAGCATCTAAATGAAGTCAAACATTAATAATATTAGTGACTGTATTATTTTACTTGAATCTCTATACATTTGGTGACATTGTTTTTTCTATTGTTGCCAGTGTATTTTCTGCAGTACAATATATGTATTTTTGAAGGCAAGGACTGTGCCATACTCAATTTGTATGCCCAGTGTCTAGTAGAATGTCTGGAATATAAGAGGTTCTACATCAACATTTATTAAAATAATGCATTTGGAGCTATGACACTAGATAGAGGAGAGATGCCTGAGAGGGGAAAAATCTAAAGTGAGGTAGTTACTAGGAACATGGGCAGATAGAGTCTGTGCAAATCTTGCAGTGAGTGCAGCCTCCAACTAGGTTCACAGAGTGAGTTCATCCCTGTGGTTACCCCAAAGTCGTTTCCTCTCATTCATCTAATGTTGTACCTTCCCATTCCTTCTCATGCAAGGAACAGCTTCTACTCTGAGCCATAAAATGACATCTAGGATACTCAAATGATTCTGAATTTATCAGTGTATTTGTTTTAGTACATAATTAAAATTAACTTGAAAGGAAAAAAATTAGTTCCCTCTCTTAAGCATAGTTAAATAATTTCCTTAGTTCTTCTCATTCCTAGTTTACTTCATGAGAAACAGATTGAGCATTCGGATTTTAGATAGGTTCTTGGGTTTAAATTTCAAATCTGTTAGAAACTACAAATATAACCTTAGACTTAGGACATTTCCTTAAACACTAACCTTCCCCAGCCCCCTCATCTTAAACTAGGGGATACATAAAAGCCTTTAGCATAGAACCTGGGCATATAGTGAGAGCTCATTAAATGTTGGTTAATGATCATAAAGATAAAATTAGTGAAACCAAAAGAAAACGTGCAATCTGAATTGTGATGGACCTAATACCATCTTTACTCCTCTAACAGACACTTCTAGTAGATGTGAATTTTATGAGTGTCTTGGACAAAAAGTTCATTAAGCACTGATGACTGAGCTGTTATAAAATCTTTAATTAACCAAAACGTCAACTTCACTCATGTTATGCCACTGAATAACATCAATCTTTACTGTTTGCTTCACATATTGGGTATATATCTTCAAAAGTTCCAGTATGTTGTACATTTAAACGATCCTTATTTTTTAATACTTTGAAATTGATACTGCAGAGATAATCTTGTGACATGTTATAATATAAATGTTTAGAAATAAACAATTAAAATAATATATCAGTTTTATGTTAACATTTGTGTCCTTTATCTAGTAACAGAGAATATTTATCTTTAGCCACGGCAATGTGTATATGTTTTATACATATACACATTTTTCTTCAGGCATTTCCTTGCTCCATTCATTCTGCTTTACTTAAATTCAAAACAGGAAGATAAAGAGAGACTTCAGTGTTTGGTTTTGCATTTAATTATTGATAATTTTAAGCAGGATTTTAAAATGATTTATAATAATAAAATATTATCAAAATGGCATTCTGCAGTTGTCTGGTGTATCTTCTGCATTAGCATCATTTCCATCACAATTGGGTCTTAACCATCAGCTTAGAAATATGCCACATTTCTTGTAAAGTGATCCCATTATTTTCTTCCAGTTTCTATCCTAGTTCTCTGTTCTTCTATCTAACAAAATACTTCAAAGAGCTGGCAATACTCTGATTTCAGCATCTTCATTTTCTTTCATTTTTCTTAGGCTCCTTCTAATCACCTCCATCACTCCATCAAAAGTACACCTGCTAAGGTCATCAATAACATTCAGATTAATAAATCCAATCATGAGTTTCCAGTACTTATCTGCACCTATCAACAACATTGCTCATAGAATATCACTTCCTCTGGGAAAAAAATATCTTTCTTCATGTTATCTTCGATGACATTTCTTTTGACCCTTCCTTGACTTTCCCAGAAGTTTATTCTTTCCTCCTTAACAATCCTTTCCTTATTTTTACAAATAACTCCTCTAAGATCATCTAGTACTATAAGTTTAAGTATGTACAACCTGATGTTTCCAGAAGTTATGTTTCCAGCATAGCATTATCTAAACATAAATAATAGATACAGTTGCCTATTTGATATCTCAATTTGAAAATCCAGAGTGTTTCAAAATGAACACATCTATAATCAAACTTGTCTTTATCTTCCAAACCTACTAATCTTATAGTCTTCAAAATCTCAATATGTATAGCAATTTAATTCTCTCTATTGCTCAGAGCAAAATCTTTGGAGTCTTTCTTGACTCATTGGGACTAAGAAGTGCCAATTGGGGTATAACTACATGGGAGCTTTTAACTACAGCAAAATTAATAATTAGGGTCCAATTTAATTTTATCCCTTATTTGTCTTAAAAACTGTATCTTTCCTCAATTAACAATATCTGATTTTGTTTTGTTTTGTTTTGTTTTGAGACGGAGTCTCTCTCTATCGCCCAGGCTGGAGTGCAGTGACACGATCTCGACTCACTGCAAGCTCAGCCTCCGGGGTTCACGCCATTCTCCTGCCTCAGCCTCCTGAGTGGCTGGGACTACAGGCACCCGCCACCATGCCTGGCTAATTTTTTTGTGTTTTTAGTAGAGACAGGATTTCACCGTGTTAGCCAGGATGGTCTCGATATCCTGACCTCGTGATCCGCCCGCCTTGGCCTCCCAAAGTGCTGGGATTACAGGCGTGAGCCACCACCCCCGGCCTGATTATTTTATATATATAAAATAAGATCCTAAAAAGAAAGGAGCTTGCCTAGAATTAACTAAATACCAAACACAAAGAGAATTCTTTGTGAAGAGACTTGCAGATAGCATTATTAATCTAAGTATCTGCAGTCCGTGTATGTAGACAGTGGCATATAACAGATAAAATTGTGATCAAAGACACAACAGAGATCATAAGCAGGAACATGTAACTCAGAGGAACAATTGTCAGAAAGAAGATTCAAGGGAAAAGATAGACTGGCTTACATGTACGAGATCTCTTCAAAGCATTCTGTTAAGACAGAAACTGCTATCCTTAGTCAATGATGTTGAAGTCAGTTCATTAATGTTGAATTAAGTGTTCAAAACTATTATTTCAGTAAATGCTAAATTTTTGATGTTGTACTAATTTCTGAGTATATGGCACCTGACCTCATCAATTGCACATATTTTTTTATAGAAATATGCTACCATAATGTGACCAAGTAAGGGAAATGGCTAACATTATAAATGTAATCAGCACTAATAATAAATAAACATCAAAGTAATTTTTGTATTGCATTTAACAAAATGCAACAACAAATTATGAAACTACACAGTTTACCTATAGGAGAAAATGTGTTAATGAATGAAAATGACATATCACTAAAACAAGCAAAAAATTGAAGACGGTGGAAAGTTTTCTCGTAGTATATTATTAACATTATTTTAAAGATTATAAGTTTAACATTAGAGAATAGAATTTGAAATACTTAAATTCAATAAACATATTTTCACTAGAAAAATAGATATGATAGTATTTAAAATATTTTAATCCAATTAAATTTTACAAATTACACTACCAAAATGATAGGCCCACAAAAATAAAAGAATTTATCTTAATTATCATTTGTGTGATTAAATTAGTGAAGTAACTATCACAATGGTATGATGTTAATTGTCAAAGTACTTTCTACTTATTTATTTATTGTATTGATAATATGGGTTTCAATAAGAAAAAAACCATAGAGCTATAAAATATTCACGTGCCTGCAAATCCCTTTGGAGGCACAAGATAGGTTTGCTCATATTAGAAATAACAGAAAACTACTCAGAAACATATGCTCAGTTTACTCTCATGTATTACTGCCATGTAAAATGTTGCATAGTTCATTTGTTTGTATTTTACTTGTAAATAGGTTTTAGCTGAAATACTTTAACATAACACGTATAAAAATGAATAATGCAGGACATCTCTGTACTTGGAAACCTCCTCTCTTTTGTCTTACCAGTTAACATACAGAATTATACTGTTTCTTCTGCTTGCCTTTTTTTCTGTTTTGTTATAGAACTATTGAGCAGGAACACTGCCAATGTTTGATTTATTACATAACTGAAATACCGTTGGTGCCCAATAAGGCAGTGAAAATCTATTCTGTGAAAAGAAGTTACACACATTTAGAACCTGTGTTACATCTTCTTCTCTCTAGAACAGCACTACTTACTCTAAGTGTGATCCAGGGACCGAATCCAGACAGCAAATTGCTGTAACAGATTATGTAAGAATAAGATTTAAAAATTTTTATAGGTATTTAACATTTCCATGACATCCAAGTATGTGATCAGTCAACCTGTCTTAACGATAGGACATAGATGGCTCAAGGTGTTAACTTTTACTTCTAGTCACATGTAACAATTTGTTACAGCACTTTGTCAATTGACAGCTAAAGCGAATAAAAGTCTGAGAAAAAGTACCATTACTGAGTTTTTATTACTAAAAATAATACAATTAGTGAGAAATTAATGAAAGACTAAAACTAAGATGTTTTCTTGGAAACGTCCAAAATCTATGGCAATGAAAGTAGCTTTTCTCCCATTTTGCCAAGAGCGCATAGTACGACAGAATCAGTATGACATGAAGACCAATTTTACCTTTCAGTGGAGTTTTTATATTTCTAGAAAAATTTTAAGTATTATACAGAATTCACATATATCCTATACCCTGTTTCTTCTATTATTAATATCACACATTAGTATATTTGTTATAATAAATGAACCAATAGTGATATAGTATTATTAATTAAAATCTATTCATTTTTCAGGTTTCCTTACTTATTGCCTAAAATCTTTTTTATGCTTTAGGATCCTGTCTAAGATAATGTATTCTATTTATAATTATCATGTTCTTAGGCTCTTTTTAGTTGTGACATTTTCTAAAATTTTCTATAACAAAGACAGTTTTAAAGAGTACTGCTTAGGAATTTCTTAGAAATTTTTGTGCTTTCATGTTCCCTATTTTGATGTTTCTCTATTTTTATGTTCTCTATTGTGATTTGTCTCATGTGTCTCTCATGATTGGCCTGGCTATGTGTTTTGGTGAGAAAAGCCACAGAGGTAATAATGTGATATTTTTGTTACATCAGATCAAGGATACAAACTATCAGCAAGGCCTGTCACCCTTTTTTGACACTATAAGGTAATTTAAGATCTTTTAATTTTTTAATCTTTTAAAAATTTTCTTCATTCTATTTAACTTATTTTTCCGTTCTTATTTTTAAACATAATAGATGTACATATTTTAAGGGGTATATGTGACATTTCAATAATTAAACATTTTAATAATCAAATCTGGGTAATTCAGCTATCCATCACCTTAAACGTTTATCTTTTCTTTATTCTTTTTTGTTCCCACGTGTGAGTGAGAACATATGATATTTGTCTTTCTGTGCTTGGCTTATTTCATACCCATGTGGCTGCAAATGACAATATTGTAGATTTTATGGCTGAATAATATTCTATTGTGTCTATATATCACATTTTCTTTATGCATTCATCCATTGATGAGCATTTAGGTTGATTCTAAATTTTGACTATTTTAAATAGTACTGCAATAAACATGGGAGTATATACAATAAACTTGAGAGCGCAGATATCTCTTCGACGTATTGATTTCCTTGTATTTTTTGATATATACCCAGTAGCGGTATTGCTGGATCATATGGCAGTTGAATTTTTAGTTTTTTTGCGGAATCTCCACAAAAAAGGGAAGAACAATCTTCCCTTAGTGATCGTACTAATTTAAATTTTCACCAACAGTATACCAGGGATCCTCGTTCTCCACATCTTCGCCAGCACCCATTATTCCCTGTAATTTTGATAAAAGTCATTTTACCAGAATGAGATCTTATTGTGATTTTAATTTCCATTTCCCTGATGATTAGTGGTGTTGAGCATTTTTTGCACATATCTGTTAGCTCTTTTTATGTCTTCTTTTGAGAATGTCTATTTAAGTATTTTGCCCAGTTTTTAATCAGACTTTTTTTTTTGTTTTTGCTATTGAGTTGAATTTGTTATATATTCTGGCTACTAATCCCTTCTTGGATGGATAGTTGGCAAATATTATTTCCCATTCTGCGAGTTGTCTTTTCACTTTGTTGATTTTTTCCTTCGCTATGCAGAAACCTTTTAGCTTTATGTAATCCCATTTGTCTATTATTGCTTTTGTTGCCTCTGCTTTGAGGTTGTAATCAATAAATCTTTGCTAAGACAAATGTCCTGAAATTTTTTGTTATGTTTTCTTATAGTAGTTTCAGACTTTCAGTTCTTAGATGCAAAACTCTTTTATCCATTCTGATTTCATTTTGGTAGATGATGAGAGATAGGAGCCTAGTTTTAATTGTCTGCATATGGGATTCATGTTTTCCCACACCATTTATTTAAAAAACCGTCCTCAGTACATGTTCTTGGGACCTTTGTGGAAATGAGTTGATTGTAGATATGCGGATTCCTTTCTGGGCTCTCTATTCTGTTCTATTGGGCTATGTGTCTATTTTAAGGCCATTGTTATGCTGTTTTGGTTATTAAAGCTTTGAAGTATATTTTGAAATCACATAGTGTAACGCTGTCAGATTTATTTTTCTTCGGGTTACTTCTGCTTTTTAGGGTCTTTTGTAGTTCCATATATATTTTAGGATAGTTTTTGTTCCATTTCTGTGAATAAAGGCATTGGTATTTGATAGGGATTGCATTGAATCTATAGATTGCTTTGGGCAGTATTGATATTTTAATAATATTGACTCTTTCACTCCATGTGCATGGAATAGCTTTCTATTTATTTGTGTCCTCTTTCTTTCGTGAGAGTTTTGTAGATTTCTTTTAGATATTTTTTCTTCTTACATTGAATTTATTCCTAGTTTCTTTATAGTTTTGTAACTGTTGTAAATGGTGTTTTCTTAATTTCTTTTACAGATTGTCCCCATGGATAAACACACACACACACACACACACACACACACACACACACACACACACATATTTTTAATGATAATTTGTTATCCTACAAGTTTACTGAATTCATTTATCAGTTCTAACAAATTTTTTGTTGAGCTGGGTTCGAGCCCCACATATGGGCACCACTTGTTCACAGATGAACAAGTATACATTTTAAAAATATAAGATGATGTCATCTGTGAACAAGGAAAATTTGACTTCCTCTTTTCCAACATAGATGTCTTTTGTTTCTTTCTCTTCCCTTGAATGCTCAAAGACTTACAGTATTATGTTGAATAAAAGTGGTGAAAGTGATCATTCTTGTGTTGTCACAAATCCTAGAGAAAGTGTTTTCAGTTTTTCTCTCTTTTGTATAATGTTAGCTGTGGGTTTGTCATATCTGGCGTTTATGGTCTTGAGGTATGTTCCTTGTATATTTAGTTTATTGAACAAGTTTATTATAAAGGAATGTTAAATTTTATCAATGCTTTTCGGCATCTATTGAAATTATCATATGGTTTTTGCTCTTGGTTCTGTTAATGTGATGTATTGCATTTGTTAATTTGCATATGTTGAACCATCTTTGCCTCCCTGAAATGAATATCATTTGATTATGGCAAATAATCTTTTTAATGTCTTATTAAATTTGATTTGCTAGTATTTTATTGAGGATTTTTACATGAATGTTCATCAGAGATTTTGACCTCTACTTTTCTGTAGGGTGATGGTAGAGAAATCAGCTTGCTTCTAGTCTGCCATTTTGATGCTGTCACATTCCCTTATAAGTTTTGATGTATACTTTTATTATCTGGATGAGGTAGAGTCTGTCACATTCCTCCACTGTAACATTGCTCTTTTTCTTTCCTTTCCATGTTGTACTCTTTTGAAGGGAGTCACTATGAACAATCTACACTTACAAACTAGGGAGTTATGCTCCACCAACTTCAGTGGCATTTCTTCATAAAATATATCAAAATCTTCTGTATAGAAAATGTATCTCTTTTCCCCTGTTTTTTTAAAATTAAACAGTTTATGTGTATACATATGAACTCATGAATATCTACTTTATATTTGGGTTTTAATAACATTATTTTATTTTTTGCTCAACTTATTCCAGCTTTAGTCATTGAGAGCTCTTTCAGTTGAATCCTATGTCCCTTTGACATATTCCATTATTATATTATTGTAGTGTTGTTTTTCTTTTGGGAACAGGCCCCCAAATCTGGCCATAAACTGGCCCCAAAACTGGCCATAAACAAAATCTCTGCTGCACTGTGACGTGTTCGTGATGGCCATGACGCCCATGCTGAAGGCTGTGGGTTTACTGGAATGAGAACAAGGAACACCTGGCCCACCCAGGGTGGAAAACCGCTTAAGGCATTCCTAAGCCACAAACAATTGCATGAGCGATCTGTGCCTTAAGAACATGTTCCTGCTGCAGATAACTAGCCAGAGTGCATCCCTTTGTTTCCGCCCATCGCTTTGTTTCCTATAAAGAATGCTGTTAGTTAATCTATAATCTATAGAAACAATACTTATCACTGGCTTGCCGTCAATAAATATGTGGGCAAATCTCTGTTAGTGGCTCTCAGTTCTGAAAGCTGTCAGCCCCCGATTCCCACTCCGCGCTCTATATTTTGTGTGTGTGTCTTTAATTTCTCTACCGGCGCTGGGCTAGGGTCTCCAAAACTAAACTGGTCTAGGCATTTTTCCTTTTTTGATCACTTTCTTTCTTTCTTTCTTTCTTTTTTTTTTTTTTTTTTTGAGACAGAGTCTCGCTCTGTCACCCAGGCTGGAGTGCAGTGGCTCGATCTTGGCTCACTGCAAGCTCTGCCTCCTGGGTTCACACCATTCTCCTGCCTCAGCCTCCCGAGTAGCTGGGACTACAGGCGCCCGCAACCATTCCCGGCTAATTGTCTTTTGTATTTTTAGTAGAGACAGGGTTTCACTGTGTTAGCCAGGATGGTCTCGATCTCCTGACCTCGTGATCTGCCCGTCTTGGCCTCCCAAAGTGCTGGGATTACAGGCGTGGGCCACCGTGCCCGGCTGATCACTTTCTTATATTCTGGCACTAAAAGATGCTGCAGAATCATCCTGCATCGTTCATTCTACATACTCCCTGATTCCTAGAATCCAGTCAAAAAGCCCTGATTCCTTTTAATGGATAAGAATATTGGAATCCAATATATGGATGTTAGGTGTATCCACTGCTACTGGAATGAAATTACTTCTAGGCAAACTCAGCTGACAGAACAAATAAAATGCTGAGTGTATATTAACTTGTGTATAAAGATAGACACATAAATATGTCTATGTTTAATCATCTGTATGTATATTAAGATAACATAAGTTCATATTGATGTGTCCAAATTTAATCTATTATAATATGGTTCATTCCAACCTTCTTTTCTGCTTACCTATAAACTCCCACTCCCCAAAAGCTAGAAAATTTTCTAACTACCGATTTACATAATTTTTCAATTCTAATGTGCTTGTATAACAGTATCAAAATTGTTAATCCCATATTTCAGTGGTATATTACCTTATTAAACAGAATACAGGACTTGTGCACAGTTTATTTTACCTTTAATTTTATAAACTTGACTAATTTCCAGAGTTACTTAAATTAACACCTTCTTCCTGCCTCTCTTTTTGTGATGTTGCTTCATATATTTGCAATATGATTAGATTGCTCTGTCTCATTCTTCATTTTGTCTGAAATTTCTCTGACCTTGTAAGTCCTTAGTTTGTTGTTGCTGTTGTTGTCATTATTTGCACGCATTGACATTAACCTTTTATTCTCTACAGTTCTATGTATTTTGGAAAATGCATATTGTCATATATTGATAATCTCACTGTTCAACTGGTTAAAAGTTGATGACCCTAAAACATTCCCTGTGTTTCCCTATTAAAATCTACTTTTCCTCCCCTCAATCATTTGATACTACCAATATTTGTACCACATCTATAGTTTTGCTTTTCCAGAAAGTCATATAATTGGACTCATACAGTATATAAACTCCAAATTAGTATCTTTTTCAAACGATATGTATTTCAGGTTTGACCATGTCTATAGTGGTAATATAGACATGTAATAGTGTAATAAATTCAATTGGTGGCATCTACTTTCCATTGGGTAACATATGAGATAACAAATTAAATAATATAAAAAATTTTTTTTTTCAGAATTAGAATATTGGATTTATTATCTTACTTCTTTTAATACTGTTCTCTGATTCGATATTATGATGGTTTGGGAAGATGTGATATTTGAATTAGTAACGTTAAGATGTTACCCATATGTGATTATACATCTTTGTTTAAATGGGTGCAGTGAATATGAAGGCATATATGATTTGAATTATTAACTCTAAATATGTAATCTATTCATCCTCAACATATATAGTGTGGTTTCTAGATTGAAAAATGCTACTGTGATTAACTCTCATTCATTTCGAGCAAGAGGAAAAGAAGAAATGGATATAGTAGTTTTATTTTCATATTTGCACATTTAAATGATAATATTGTCAATAACCAAACACACTAAAATATTGATAGTGTCTGTCACTCAAGAATATAAAATGCAGTCCATTCAATAAACATTTCAAAAGTGTTCAGTGTTTTCTTTAAAGCTATATATCTAGGATTACAGCTAGCATTAAATGTTAAGAACAAAAAAGTCTATAAATTTTTTTTAAACTCTACTCTATTGGCATATAATCAAATGCACCTGTTCCTGATAAGTTACTCTTTATCACTGGTACTAACAATAAAATGCTTATTCAGATAAATCTCACAATGTCTCCTCTAAAGGAAACACTGATTTTATAAGATCTTCTAGCTATATTTCTGTTTTGTTGGATAAAGATTTATTCTTCAACAGAAAAAAACCCTAGCCACTTAAAATATAGATCCACGAAAACAGTATACTGTGAACATTTTACACATCGTTAAACATAGGTACTTCATAGGAGCAATTTACAATTGAAGATATAAATCTACATATAATGAACACACTGTGGATTTAACACATGTACACTGAACCAATAAATTGACTATTTTTGACTGGATTATAAAAGCATTTTATCTTCTCTGAATATAAGGTTAAATAAATTTTGTGTTTAGTAGAGAGAAAGAACATTCTTAGACAGGTTAATGCAATAACTTGATAGATTAAAATAGAAGGTAAAGAAGTCACAATAATTTTATTCTACCTAATGATTAAAAAGGAGATTCTTAAAAAAAATATGAATTACAACAACAAGGAGAAAAAAATCCTGGGAATTATATAAAACACTTTTTAAAAAAGAAACTGATGAATTTGATCCTGTTATGATCCATAGCTAATGACACTTTAACATCAATCACATATTGACCTACATGCTATAAATATACTGTTTAAGGATCATTTGACAAATTACATCTCAATATGCTAAATGATTACCAAAGACTTAATGGAAAATAACACATTGATTTTAAACATTATTTAATTCACTGTAACTAATAATTAAGGCAATCTTCAATAAACTTACTTTTGTCTTTACCTTACATTTTGTAAAATGAGGTTATTCTGAATACATTTATTAGACAGGATACATAGTATATATTATATTTATTCTATGTTTTTTAATATCTCCCAAATAATTCATCCTCATTTTTACTTCTAAGAAATAAGATGTTTGTAGTTTTTTTTTTCTTTTTTTTAATGAGACAGGGTCTCACTCTGTTGCCCAGGCTGAATGTAGTGGTGTGATCACAGCCCACTGCGGCCTTACTTCCTGGGCTCAAGCAATCTTCCCACCTCAGCCACCTGGGAAGCTGGGACGCTGGGACAATAGGTGTGCACCACCAAGCCTGGATAATTTTTTTTTTAATTTTTTGTAGAGACGGAGTCTTACTATGTTTCCCAGGCTGGTCTCAAACTCCTGGGCTCAAATAATCCTCCCACCTTGCTCTCTCAAAATGTTGGGGTGAGAGGCTTGAGTCATTGTGCCTGGCCTGTTTGTAGGCTTTTAATAATAAATTAGGACTTTTAAAATATTCAGTGTATGTATTATACAAAATGCTGAAGGTGTTGACATTTACCAAAGCCTGTGCAAAAAGATGCATTTCAGTAACATGAGTGCACATTACATCTTAGACAGAAACACGCAATAGCATGCATATTCACTGCTATTTTTCAAATGTGCCGAAACTGTATTATGATAAAACAAAATTTGTCTTTAAAGCTACTAAATTTAGAGTAGAACACTGCATTTTCCCAAATAATTGATATGAAAAGTACAAATATCATAAAGTTTGGTTTTCTTTATTTATTGTTAATGTTATGGATATGTAGTAGTTGCACATATTTGTGGGGTACATGTGATATTTTGATGCAAGCATACAGTGTGTAATGATCGAATCTGGGTAATCGGAAAATTTATCACCTAAAACGTTTATATCATTTCTTTGTGTTGGGAAAAACCCAAATCTTCTCTTCTGGTGACTTTAAAATATATAATACATTATTGTTAATTATAGTCACCCTATTGTACTAGCCAACACTAGAACTTATTCCTCTATTTTTGTACCTAATAACCTACTTCTCTTTCCCCCAAACTTATTACGCTTCCCAGCCTCTGGTAACCCAATTCTATTCACTAATTCCATGAAATCATTTTTTTTAAGCTCTCACATGTGTGAGAACATTCCCTATGTGCCTTTCCATGCCAGGCTTATTTCACCTAACATAATAACCTCTAGTTCCATCCATCAGGTGAGGTTTGGTAGATAATTTTAATATTAAAGAAGACTTCCTTAAAATACAAAAATTTAGCAGTTATTCAACCACAGTTTATTAAAAGTCAATAATATGCTCTGGTGGATTGTCTTAATTCATATATATGACTTCAATGTTTTGGAAAATTATATCAAATAATTAAACTACAATTTATTGAAATAATGAAATTGTTGAATTAAACACTTCACACATTTTAAAAAGGACAGCTTAGCTGAAAGAAAAAACCCTAAAAGCCAAAAACAAACAAAAAAAAAAGTTAAAATCAAGGAAATTAATAATGGTGACACACATACATGACTCATATTATGTGATAGATACTATTTCAAGGACTTTCCATGTGTTAATTCCTTTAACCTTCATACAATCTTCTAGTGTATGAACTATTAATATTCCTGTATCATAGTAAGTGAATCATGGCGAGTTTGGATACATTTCTGAAGGTGACACAGTTGAAAATAGGGCTATTATTATCACTAAAAAATGAATTTGGTAATTTGTGTAGAATTTTTAAATTATATGTAAGTTGAATAATTTTGGCAAAGAATTGTCCATAATATTTCTCATTATCCACTTAACATCTGTAATATCTGTAGTAATTTCTCTTTTCTCATTCTGATATTGGAAATGTGTGTTTACATTCCTTTTTTTTTTTCTTGTACCTGATACAGGTTTGTCAGTTTTATTTATCATACCAAAAGTGAGCATTTTTTTAATTTTTCCATATTGTTTTGCTGTTTTCAATTTTATTAATTTCTGTTCTGAATTACTTTCTTTTTGCTTCGGACTGCATTTGTTCTATTTTTTTAAATTTTATAAGGTGGAATCATTGGTCATTTATCATTTATTCTTTACTAATATAAACATTTAATTATATGAATTTCACACTAAGAACTCTAAAGTTGTATCACACATTTATTTTGACATATTTTGTTTTAATTTTCATTAACTCTTTATATTTATTTTCCAATTTCTTTCTTGAATCTATAGGTTAATAAAGAATGTTTTGTTTAATTTCAAAATATTTAGGTATATTCTGGATACTTTTTTCTTCCACTTTTATCAGATAGGATACTTTTTACTATGTAATTCTTTTAAAACTTATTCACATATGCCTTATGACCCAAGATATGGTTAATTTTGTTAAAACTCCTGTGTTTATTTTAAAACCTTATATATTATGTTATTCTATTAACTGGTCTACATAGGTTTGCTAAGTCAAGCAGGTCGATATGACATTCACAGTTTCTATAAACTTACTGATTTAATTCTTTAATCAATTGATAAAATGAACTATAATTTTGATTTTATTTTTCCTTGTCATTCTATCATATTTATGTCATGTATTTTGAAGCGGTATCAATTTGATGCACAAATGTTTAGAATAATTCAGTTATATTGATAAAACAATCTATTTATCTTTATGAAATGCCTTATTTATTCCATGTACTTTTTCATGCCTTGGAATCTACTTCATTTAATATTAATATAGCCATTTCAGCACTCTATTCATTTTTGTTGGCACAATATATTTCTATCCTTATATTAAAAGTTGTTTTTTGTAAACAACATATGTTAATTCTTACCTTTTTATCCAATTTGACAAGATTTCTAAAATATATTACTTTGAATTTAATATAATTTTCAAGATATTTGACTTTGAGTCTGCCGTTTAGCTATTTGATCTCATTGTTTATTTGAGATACATTCTCCCTCTGTTACCCAGACTGGAGTGTAGTGGCACAATTTCGACTCACTGCAGCCTCCAACTCCCCAGTTCAAGCGATTCTCCTACCTCAGGCCTCCTTAGTATATGGGACTACAGGTGCACATGCACACCATCATGCCTGTTTAGCTTTTCGTATTTTTAGTAAAGACGGGGTTTTGCCGTGCTTGCCAGGGTAGTCTGGAACTCCTGGCCTCAAGTGATCTGGCCGCCTCGGCCTCCCTAAATGCTAGGGTTACAAGCGTGAGCCACCATGGCCGGCGTAACGATTTGTTTTCTTTTTTTTTTTTTTTTTTTTTTTTTTTTTTTTGAGACGGAGTCTCGCTCTGTCGCCCAGGCTGGAGTGCAGTGGCGGGATCTCGGCTCACTGCAAGCTCCGCCTCCCGGGTTCACGCCATTCTCCTGCCTCAGCCTCCCAAGTAGCTGGGACTACAGGCGCCCGCCACTACGCCCGGCTAATTTTTTTTGTATTTTTAGTAGAGACGGGGTTTCACCGTTTTAGCTGGGATGGTCTCGATCTCCTGACCTCGTGATCCGCCCGCCTCGGCCTCCCAAAGTGCTGGGACTACAGGCGTGAGCCACCGCGCCCGGCCACGATTTGTTTTCTAATTGTCCTATTAATTGTCTCCTTTTATTTCTTGCGTTCTTTTATATTTATTATTTTTGTTTCCATTTTATATTATTTATTAGTTTATTAGCTGTACATATGTCTTCTGTTTTTTTTAGTGCTTTACAGAGTATGTATTTAAATGATCTACCTTCAAATAACCCCATGGACAAGTATAAATCTTTACATTAATATACATTTTGTAGTATACTTGTATATGTTGCAACCTCATAACACACTGTCAATTATCCATTTATCTTTTATAATTATCAATATATTTATCATTTCTTTATTCTAGACCCAAATCTCATCTAGTATTATTTTCCTTCTGCCTGAAAAACTACCTTTGTGTTATTTTTTGTAACGCTGTTTTGCTAGCAATACATTTTCTCAGCTTTTGTATGTCTAAAAAGGTATTTTCGCTTTTGTTTTTGAAAGTATTTTTATTGGATATAGAATCCTAGCTTGACTTTCTTTTTTCTTCTAGCAATTTCTGAGATTTTCCAGTATCTTGTAGCTTGTATTGTTTCATTCAAAATGTCTGTAAATTTCATCTTTGTTCTGTGTATGATATGCATTTTTTGCCCTAGATACTTTCAAGGTTTTCAAGAATTTTGGTTTCTTAAAAAGATTTTTAAATTTAATAATGGTGTGATATTTGTTTCTATCTTTGGTTCATTTTGGATAGTTTCTATTGCTTCACTCATGCTCACTAGTTTCATTTCTGCAGTTTCTACTATGCTATTAATTGCATACTGTGTATTTTTTCTGTTTAGATGTTGTATTTTTATCTTTATAAGTTGTATGAAAATATTTTAATTCTTCACATTTTTTTCTGACATGCTCATTCTTTCCTTTACATTTCTGTATATATGGGGTGTATTGGTAACATATATTGTTGTTTTCCTATGTTTGTTTTATTTAATGTCTTGCTCAGCTCAATTTTTCATCTGTTATCTGAGTATGCTTCTATTGATTAATTTTTCTCCAGGATGTAGGTGACATATATTTAGCATGCCTAGTAATTCTTTTTGTGGGGTAGGAAGGCAGGGTGAGAGCAGCTTTCAATGTAAACCCAATGTAACCCCACACAAAATAATATCCAGATGACTCTATTTCATGTCTTGCTAAGAGTTTGTTTTGTTTTGTTGTTTTGTCTTACTCTGATTGGTAGAAACACAAAAAAATTCTAATCCTGTGCGGGCTTCAGAGATTGTTTTATTTATTTATTTTTTATTTATTTATTTTGAGATGGAGCCTTGCTCTGTCGCCAGGCTGGAGTGCAGTGGCGTGATCTCGGCTCACTGCAACCTCTGCCTCCCGGGGTCAAGCAATTCTCCTGCCTCAGCCTCCTGAGTCGCTGGGACTAGAGGCTCATGCTGCCATGCCCAGCTAATTTTTGTATTTTTAGTAGAGACAGGGTTTCACCATGTTGACCAGGCTGGTCTCGAACTCCTGACCTCATGTGATCCACCTGCCTTGGCCTCCCAAAGTGCTGGGATTACAAACTTGAGCCACTGTGTCTGGACTATCTCTCTCTCTCTCTCTCTCTCTCTCTCTCTCTCTCTCTCTCTCTCTCTCTCTCTCTCTCTCTCTCTCTCTCTCTGTGTGTATGTGTGTGTTCTTCCTACCCTCTGACCCTGAGCTGCAATAGTTTTCTTACATGCAAATATTTTAAAAAATACTAAAATATTCTGAGACCATTATCAACATTTTTAGATCTCTCTCTCTCTCTCTCTCTCTTCTCTCTCTCACTCTATGTAATTCCCTCCTATTTTTTTTTCCTGCTTCACAGATTCTAACAGCTCAGTGTTACCAAAAGTCTAGGCTCTGTCTCCTGAAAAGAACAAATCTTGCCGGGTGTGGTGGCTCACGCCAGTAATCCCAGCACTTTCAGAGGCCAAGGCGGGCGGATCATGAGGTCACAAGATTGAGACCTTCCTGGCCAACATGGTGAAACCCCGTCTCTACTAAAAATACAAAAATTAGCTGTGTGTGGTGGCATGTGCCTGTAGTCCCAGCTACTCAGGGAGGCTGAGGCAGGAGAATCGCTTGAACCCGGGAGGCGGGGGTTGCGGTGAGCCAAGATCGTTCCACTGCACTCCAGCCTGGCTACAGAGAGAGACTCCATCTCAAAAGAAAAATAAAATAAAATAATAAAAAAGAAAAACCTATAAGCCTGCAAGGCTGAGCTATGTTTGCACCATTCTGTGCAGCGGCCTGGAAACTCTCCAATGTGTTTTCTGCCATTCACAGATCACTCATTCAATGCCCAATAACTATAAACTATATATATAGTTTTATATATATCTGTTCTCTTTTCCACTTGTTTAAAATGGTCAGGTAAATTGGATTCTATTTTCCTGACATTGTCAGAGGTAGGATTTTAAATAGAATAAACTAGAAAAAATATGATAAAAGAACTTATTAAGTAAATGGAAAGTTTATTAGAACGGGATAAAGAGAACAAGTGAACTAGAGTTTGTATTTCAAAGACCATCTAGAATGCATTACAGAAAGATGAAAGGATGAAAAATATCAAAGAAAGATTAACAACTACCCAAGAGTTAGTAGTAATGTATGCAATTGCTCCTCAGTTTACAATTGGGTTATGTCCTGATAAATCCATCATCAATTTAAAATATCATCTCAAAAATGCATTTAATACACGGGACCTATCAAATATCATAGTTCAGCCTAGGCTACCTTAAAAGTGCTTCACTTCCTTCAGTATTAGCACTTGCTGCCTCACTACTGACATTTACATTATGAAAATTATGTCTTTTGATGTGTTAGAGCTACTCATAAATTGCAATACACATTTACCTATATACAGGATCATTAGCACACTCTTTTAGCATATCAAAAAGACTTTTTGCCTTAGCCTGGATAGTCAGTAGGATAAGCAGTATACACTTCTATGTCTCGTCTTCTATTCACGAGGCAAGTAATTTGTCTGTATCATCAACTGGCCTAACTCACCTTGATGACAATTGATTTAACTGATACTGATGATTTCACTGCATCACCGATTCACTCTTCATTTTTTAAGATGGTTGAGTGTGTAGATTGCACAAGTCCCTACTCGTGTGCAATGGCTATTACTGGATTACTTCCTTCATTCTGGGCAATTATTTGAAACTTTATCTCAAAAGTAATTGCCTTCCTCTTTTCTTCTTTACCAGAAGCAAGAAACACAGATGGGCATTTTCTAGACATGACTGGATGCAAAAAACACAAAACTGAATATCCACAAAACACTGGCAACAGAGTACCCTCATGACTGCATGGCATAAAAGAGTATTATACTGTTTCATGGCTAGCCTGCGAAAAGATAAAAATTTAAAATTCAAGGTATGGTTTCTACTGAACACATACTACCTTGCACCATCAAACATTACAAATATTTTAAGTCAAACCATCATAAATCAGAGACCATTTGTATTAACATTTAAAATACAAATTAAACCCATGCAAGAAGTGTCTGCTTAGTAATCCACAATTCTTAACAATTCAAAATAATTAAAATAATTTCAAAGAATTAAACAATTTTAAAGAATTGGTATCATAGAGAAAATATTTGATGATTTCATCTGTATTAATCTACTTGGCCTGCCATAACACGATACCACAGACTGGGTGGCTTAAACAATACAAATTGGTTTTCACACAGTTCTTCAGTCTACAAGTTCTACATCAAAGAGCCATCAGATTTGGTTTCTGGCAAAAAAAAACTCTCTTCCTGGCCTGCAAATGTCTGCCTTCCAGCTGTATTTTCCCAAAGGCTCTTCTTTGCATCTGTGTGGAGGGACAGAGTTCTCTTGTGTCTTTCTTGTCTTCTCTTCTTATCAGGAGACCACCCTATCGAACTAAAGCCTCACCCTTATAATTTCATTTAACTATTATTTTCTCCTTGTAGTCCCTGTCTCCAAATACAGTCATATTGAGAGTTCGGGCTTCAACATAGAAATTTGGGGTGGAGGAAGCCCCAGTTAAGTTCGTAACACCACGTAATTAAATAAAAATACAGTAGATATTACAACACTTAAATTCATATTAGGATATTAAAGAACACTTTAGGTACTGGTAAAATTATCTAAATCATCATTACTTTAATAGATTTAGAACACTAGTTACTTTTTTGCTTTGCTAAGGCAATGTGGAAAGATATTCATAGTTTATATTACTGTAAAAAAAGTTGTCATTAACAGAATTTATTTTAATATCTTTAGTAAATTTATTTTAATACTTATCCAAATTCAAGTTTATGCTGTCAGGTTTAAAACTATTGTATTTAAAAATATCTCATCATGAAGGATTCATTTTTTAATTCATTAATACATATATTTTTAATTACACAACCAAGCATTTGATTATTACTATTTGCTAAACTGGAAGTACTTTCTAACTTCTGGAGCATTGCATATTCTCTTTCTATGGAAACATTTTCTCTATTACCCATCCTTTCATGTTGTGAACTTCCCTATGTTATTCGGGTATCAGTAAACATTCTAAGGAGTGCTGAATGTATATATACCTACACCTTTTCCATATCATAATACTTTCAAATACTATATTGTAATTGGAAATGTAATTGTTTTTATTCCTCTTTATACTGAAATCTCAGTGAGAAAAATAGGCCTCTCGTAGGATGAAATTTATCCATAGAACTCAGCACAAATAAGAACGACATAGATAGGCAATGTTTACCTTTTAAATAAAATATAAATAATTCTTGATTTTTCTTATCTTACTTCTCACTAACTTGAAATGCAGGAATACTGTCTGTGATTGTCAAATTAGCCAGCCAATTAAGACAGTAATCTTTCAGATTCTAGCAGACTCAGAAAAGTCTTGGGATGTTCTTAATAGATGGAAAGAGTAATAGCAAGCCAACAAGACAAAAATAATTGGAGTATTAGGTATTCATAATGAAGAGTAATGCATTATGTATATATTTTTATTTTATAATTATTTTGTCATGATAAAATGTATTCAGTTACTTAAATTTACTTAACCATTTTTAAGTGTACAGTTCAGTTTTAAATATATTCACATTTTTGTGCAACAGATGTCTAACACTTTTTCAACTTCCAACACCAAACTCCCTATCTTCTAGACACTAACCCCATTCCCTAGAGGCCCTTGATAACCTCCATTCTATTTTTTGTTTCTATAATTTGGACTACATTAGATACTTCAGATTAATGCAATGATACAATACTTATCCTTTTGTGACAGACTTATTTTGTTCAGCATAATGTTTTCAAGGTTCACTCATGTTGAATCATATGACAGGATTTTCTTAGTTTAAAGGTTTCATAATATTCCACTGTAGTTATATACATTTTATTTATCTATCTGTCATTACACATGAGAATTTCTTCACATCTTAGCTATACTGAATGATGCTATGAAAAACATGGCTTTACAAATATCTGTGACATTCTGCTTTGAATTCTTTTTGATTCTATACCAGAAGTGGGATTGCTGGATCATATGGTTATTATTATTTACAATTTTTTTAGGACTTTCCATACTGCTTTCCATAGTAGCTACACTATTTTACATTCCCACCAACAGTGCAAAAAAATGCAACTTGTCAACACTCGCCAAGTGTTCATCCTTGCCAACACTTCTTTTCTTTTGTTAGTGGCCATCCTGACGGACATAAAGTGATATCTCACTGTAATTTTAATTTGCATCTCCTTAATGATTTCTGATGTTGATTATCTTTCCATGCACTTATTGGACATTTGTATCTCTTCTTGGAAAACAGTTTAATTTCTGTGCCCAATTTTTAATCAAGTTATTCATTTTTGTTGTTATAGAAATTTCTTATATATACTAGATATTAACTCATTATCAGATATATAATTTGCAGTTATTTTCTCCCATTCCATAGATTGTTGTAGTCCCATTTATCTATATTTGAATTTATTGTATGTACATTTGGTGTCATATCCAATAAATTATTGTCAAATACAGTGACTTCAATCTTTCTCCTATGTTTTCTTCTAGGAGTTTAATAATTTCAGATCTTGAATTTAAGTTTTCAATCACTTTTGAGGTAATTTTTGTACTTGGTATGAGGTAAAGGTCCAAATTAATTCTTTTGTCAATGAATATCCATTTTTTCTGACACCATTTTTTGAAGATACTATCCTTTCCCCATTGTTCAGTCTTGGCGCTCTTGTCAAACAGCATTTGGCCATTTATATGTGGGTTTATTTCAGAGCTCTCTATTCCATTCCATTGGTCAATATTTCTAAACCAGTAACACATGCCTAAATTATTCCTGCTTTGTAATATATTTTGAAATCAGGGAGTCTGACGCCTATAATGTTATTTTTCTTTCTCAACATTGTTTTGGCTCTTTGGGGTCCTTTGAGATTCCATATTAATACAAGAGATAAAAACAAATTATTTTGGCAGTAAGTGAGGGAATCCTTGGCAAGGTTTCCCTTTTAACAAAAAGCAGCCCTGATAGAGCAGGAGCCTCGCCATCTTGGACAAGCACTGCCATTTTAAAGTTCCTATTGATCAAAAACTGCCTGGGTCCAACCCAAAGGGCATCGACCTGATGGCTAATGTCAGCATGACCATAGACCACAAATGACATCTGCAATCATAAATATTCTAACCCTAAAATAAACCCCTCCCCAACCAGAGACATGCCAGCCACGAGATAACCTCCCCTCCATCTGAAGAGATGTCAGCCCCAAGATAAACTCCCCTCTGACCAGAGACATGCCAACTCTGCAATAAACTTCTCCTCCACACAGAAATATTCCAAGCCTGTGATAAGCTCTCTCACCCTAAACTCTTAAATACTCAGTCTGTAAGAGAGAGTGCTCCTGACTGAAATTGACCAGAAGCCCCTCTCAGATTTATTCTCCAAAAAAACCTGTTTCTGAGTGCTGAGCCACTTTGTATGTTTCTTTCCTCTTTCTTTAACTCTTACAAGTCCCAAAATCATTTCTTTTCTAAAACAGAGCAGCCTGTGAAGTCACGCTGCAAACATAGATAAGCAAGTTAGAAACTTGCATAGGGGAATGCAGGCAGCTGTGCCAATAGAAAAGAGCTACCTGAAAGCCAGATATGTTCAATATGGAGTCTCCATCTTCCCTTTTCTTTGTTACCACGTGTACAGTAGAAAAGCAGGAAACATGGTGCCAGCCAGGTAAAGAACCCATCTGCATAATAAAGGACTAGGGTGGGGCAGCCAGCTTCTTTGTGCACTATGCAAATGGCACACCTAATCTGACCAATATTTCATGCCCTATGTAAATCAGACACTGCCTCCTCAAGCTAGTTTATAAACCTCACGCATTTCACCATGGAACTGGCTACCCATTTTTTCTGGGACCCCTCTCTCTGCAGTAGAGAGAGATATTCTCTTTCTTTCGCCTGTTGAACTTCCACTCTTAACCCCACTCTGGTGGGTTCGCGTTCCAGTTTTCCATGGCTGTGGAACAATGAACCTTGGGTATTACCTCTGCCAATGATGCCACTTTAATATGGAGTTTAGAATACATTTTTCTATTTCTGCAAAATTAAGAAAATGTCCTTGTATTTTTTATAAGAATGGCTTTGAACCTGTAGATTGCTTTCGGTAGTATGAAAATTTTGACAATATTAAGTGCAGCAGTCCACAGTACAGAGTATCTTTCCATTTATTTGTCTGTTCTTTGATTTAGCAAAGAAGATTTGTGTCTTTGATTTCTTTTAGTTTTGTACTTTTTGGTGAACAAGTCTTTCACTTCTTTGTTTAAGCTTGTTCTCAAGTATTTTGTTCTATTGGAGGCTACAGTAAATGAAGATATTTTCATTTCTTTTTCAGGTTGGCCATTTTTAGTCTTTCGAAATGGAACTGATTTCTAAGTGTTATTATGAATCCTGCAACTTTTCTAAATTTTTAAATTTGTTATAATCATTTTTTGTAGAGTCTTTAGAGTTTTCTAAACGTATGATTATGTCATCTGATAACAGATAATTTTGATTCTTTATGTCTAATTTTCATGGCTTTTATTTCCTTATCTTGTCTGATTATTCTGGCTAAAACTTCTAGTACTATGTCCATATATGGCTTTTATTATGTTGAGATAGTTTCCTTCTATTCCTAATTTATTGAGAGTGTTTGTCATGAAAGGATATTGTATTATGTCAAATGCTTTTTGAGCATCAATTGAGATGGTGTGCTGTTGAATTTAGTTTGTTAGTTTTTATTGAGGATTTTTTAGTCAATACTCAACAGTAATATTGTTCCATCATTTTCTTGTCTTATGCCTTTGTCTGATTTTTGGTAACAAGGTAATCCTGAGCTTTTTCTGATAGGAGATTTTTAACTACAGATTTAATCTCTTTACTAATTATCGATTTGCTCTCTTTTTTCTTCATAATTCAGTCTTCATATACCATGTATTTCTAATAATTTATTTCTTCTAGGTTGTCCAACTTATTCACATTCATAATAGTGGCATAATTATTTTTATTTCTGTGACATTAGTTTTAATGTTTACTCTTTCATTTCTGAATTTATTTATTTGAGCCTTTTACCTTCTTTTTAGTCTAGCTAAGGGTTTGTCAATTTAGTTAAATTAAAAAAAAACTGTTTTGTTGATTTTTCATATTGCTTTTCTATTCTCTACTTCACTTACCTCTGCTATAACATTTATTATTTATCCTCTTCTGCTGAGAAAGAAGATACTTTGTGTAATTTCAATCCTAAATTTGTTTGCATTTCTATTGCCTATTTTGAAAAATATTCCATGTGTGCTTAAAAAATATATTTTCCACTACTGTTAAATCAAACATTCTGTATATATTTGTTAATTCCAATTGATCTGTAGTGTTGTGAAATATCTCTATTATTTTTCATCTTCTGTCTGATTTTTCTATCCATAACTAAAAGTGGGATATCCATAATTGAAGTCTCCAACAATTTTGAGGTTGCTATTTTTTTCTTAAATTCTATCAATGTTCATTTTATATATTCGAGTGTGCTAATGTTGGGTGAATATGTATTTGTAATTGCTGTATCTTCTGGTGAATTGACCTTTTTGTCATTCTGTAATGTCATTCGTTGTTTCTTGTGACAGTTTTTTTCTCAAAGTCTGTTTTGTCTAAGTATTGCCACTCTTATCTATTTACATTCCATTTTGCATAAAACATCTTTTTCCACTCTCAATTTTAGCCTTCTGAGTGTCCTTAATCTAAAGTATGTTTCATATGAAGCATACAGTTGGATTTTGTTTTTGTAATTCATTGAGTCAACATCCTTTAATTGTCATGTTTAAATTTAATTAATGTTTATTAATTAAATTTAATGTTAATTTATGTTTACATTTCAATTAACTTCTGATAGGAAAAGACTTAATATTAACATTTTGTTGTTTTCTGTCTGTCTTATAGCTATCTTTTGTGTCTTTTTGTAGCTATCTTGACTAACTTCCTTTGTGTTTTATTGATATTTTTGTAGGGACATTTTGATTCTCTTCTGATTTGTCTTGTATATTTTCTTGTAATAATCATTGCCATTACATAAAATATTTAAACATTGTAACAATTTATTTATTTATTTATTTAAAGAAGGAGTCTCACTCTGTCTCCTAGGCTGGAGTGCAGTGGCGCGATCTTGGTTCACTGCAACCTCTGCCTCCCAGGTTCAAGCAATTCTCCTATCTCAATCTCCTGAGTAGCTCGGACTACAGGCATCCAACACCATGCCCAGCTAATTTTTGTATTTTTAGTAGACACAGGGTTTCACCATGTTGGCCAGACTGGTCTCGAACTCCTGACCTTGTGATCCACCCACCTTGGCTTCTCAAAGTGCTGGTATTACAGGTGTCAGCCACTGCACCCAGCCTAATAATTTATTTTAAACTGATAACAACATCACTGCAATCACATACAAAAACTCTACTTCTACATTCTGACTCCCTTCCAGTTTATATTAGTGATGAAAGAAATTGTACCTTTTTATACTAAGTATCTATTAATGCAGGCTTATACCTTTTATACTTTATATATACACACATACACACATATGTATATAATATGCTGGATTTACTCACATATTTTTATTCACATTATATAATTGATTCACACACACACACATACACCAGATTTATAATTGATTTACTCACATATTATAACACTTAAGCATTCTACATTTGTCTCTATACTTAATTTTACCAGAGATTTATTTCCATGTGGTTTTTATATTTTTGTTTTTTGTCATTTTACATCAGCTTGTAGGACTCCTTTCAGCATTTCTTATGAGATAAGTCTAGTAGTTATTAATTCCCTTTGCTTTTAATTTATCTTTTATTTTTAAAGGAGAGACTTCTAAATGTAGTATTTTTGCTTGATAGTTGCTGTTTCCTTTCAGTACTTTGAATACAACATTCCATTTTCTCTTAGACTACAGGTTGGTAGAGCTGCCTTTTATTTAACAAGTCATTGTTCTCTTGCTTCTTTCAAGATTTTCTCTTTTATCTATGACTTTTCACCATCCGTTTAGGATGCATCTTTATGTGGCTCTCTTTCAATTTGTACTAATTGAAGAGTTTTTTGAGCTTCTTGAATTTATAAGTTCATTTCTGTCTTTAGATTTGGGAAAATTTTCACCCATTATTAATTCAGTTATGTTTTCTGCCTTTTCTCTCTTTCCTCACCTCTGCATGTCCTATAATGTGTGTGTTGTTCAGCTTAATGATATGCCATAAGTCTCTCAGGCTCTCCTCACTTTACTTGACAATTTTTGTTTCTCTGCCTCAGTAATTTCAAAGTGTTGTTGTCCAGTTCATTGATCTTTTCTTCTGTCTAGTGAATGCTAAATTTTAGTTCCTTCAGTGAATTTTTCAATTTAATTATTATATTTTTTGGTTGGATAATTTTTTTATGGTTTCTATCTCTTTGTTTATATTCTCATTTCTTTTTGTGTTTTCCTGATTTCATTTAGTTGTCTGTATTTTTTTTTTTTAGTTCACTGAGCATTTTCATGACAGTAATTTTTATTTCTTTGGCAAATTGGGATATCTCCACTCATTTGGCCTTAGTTTTTAGGGATTTAATTGGTGCCTTTAAATGTGACAAGACTGCTTGTTTCCTTTGTGTTGTTATGGAATTTCAGCAACTGAAGAATCAGCCATCTCTCCCAGACTTTGCAGTCTGGTTTCAGACAAGGAGGAGTTTCCCTACACAACCTGGGTAGAGATTCTGGAGACCTCTCAAGACTTTTTTGGGTGTACATCCTTATGGGCTTATATGTGTAATCTTTTAGAGGAGGTTTACAGGCTTCTATTTACATTTTTCCTCTGGTGTCTGTCTCCAGTAATGAATATTCTCTGTTGCTTTATTTAAACGTGATGGTAGATCTCTACCTAGTACCTGTCTTTGGTACTGTAGACTTTGGTACAAGGTTGACATCTTTGTTTTCAGAGACCCCTAATTTGGCACTCCATTTCTGCTAGTACTTGGATACAGGCAAGACAGACATTTCCTCAGGCAGGTTCCCTAAAAGTCAGTTGGATGTACTTTCTATTCATTTCCTTTCCCAGGAAGATAATGGGAGTGGATGGCTTCCTCCCAAACTGCCCCATTCTGCTGGTGGCGGGGAGAGCGGTTCTGACAAGATAGAGTGGAGAGTGTCAGTGATTTTCTACTGGGTTTCCACATGGTTGGCTTCACGCTTACTTGGGGTAGAGAAAACATTTCATTGGTTTCTGGATTTCTCATGGAGATATTTTGTGTTTGTTTTTAAATTCATGTCTCCATGGACAAAGGATCATCTAGGTCTTTCTAGTCCTCATTCTTACTCTACTTATTATATTCATGACAGTTAATAATGAACCCATTGCCTTTGTATCCATTAGCTTCTTTAATATGTTTTACATAGTGTAATGCTTTGGTAGATGCTAGTCACCATTATATTGATATGTAGAAACTTTGTTTAGTTGATGGGTGAGTCAGACAGTACTACCTTTCTTTTGTGTCTTCTGGAAATCTTTAAGTGTTTTTTGGGTGTCAAAATGGGCAGAAAATACTAAAGGTAGTTCCTTTAGGGCTGGAGTGGCTAAATGACGCTAAAATGTCTCCTACTCTAAATAACCAAAATGTCTCATCTGAGAAATATTTGAGAGAGGAAGAAAAGGAGAATTTCTATTAATATACATTTTATTAAATGATGATCTGGGAATTGAAATAAATGTTCTCATTATCAGGTTGTCTATGCAAATTGAATTCTATCTTTAATAAACTAATTTAGTTTAATACCACTAAAAATTATTTAATGTGTCTAAAAGTATTAATTTGTAAAATTATAGAATTCTTAATCTAGGTCTTAAAAGTAACCTATTATTTCTACATGTGGGTCTATCTTTAATTTACTGCTACTTTAATTTATTGCTACTTTAAATTCAGTGTATTTTGTGCAATTAACTATACTCCATATAAAATTACTGAATTCTTACCATAGGCTATGTATGCCAGAGAATCTCAATTACAAAACTGATGCATTATAGATTGTTTTTTTTCAAGTTGTGACACTGTAAGGAGCAGATCCATGATTTTTATTGATTCCACATCAAATGAATGATAATGTATATATTTAAATCGTTGTACCAATGAAAATTGCTGATGGACTGGATATGGAGTATGACAGAAAGGGAAGTATTGAGAATTATTCATACCAAGTAGAAATGTAGGATAAAATTAAATGATCAGTACTGGTGGAGAAATAATTTGGAAAGCAGAGAAATTATTATTTTTGTCTTAGAAAAATAAATTACATTTCACGTGAAGAGAATTATTGAGGAGTTAAATATACAAGGTTGGAGGTCAAAAGGACACTGTGGCTGAAGGTTAAAAAAAAAGTCTTCAGCTTTGATATTTAAAACCATTTTATCGGATGAAATTACTAAGGAGATGCATGTAAATAAAGAAGATAATAAAACCTAGGAGAAAAATAGAGAATAGTACTCTGCAGTTCAAGTAAAAATAATGGCACCATCTCCAGTCTCTGCTATGTACAGGACAAAAGAATAAAGCATGTAAAAATGGCCAATGGGTACCATTAATATTTATTTATTTTTATTTTTAATTTCTGTGCGTTCCTAGTAGGTGTCTATATTTATGTGCTACATGAGATATTTTGATACAAGCATACAAAACATTATAATCACATCAGGGTAAATGGAGTATTCATCACCTCAAGCATTTATCCTTTCATTGTGTTACAAACAATCCAATTATATTCTTTCAGTTATTTTTTAATGTACGATAAATTTTTGCTGACTCTAGTCACCTTCTGTGCTGTTAAATATTAGAACTTATTCTCTCTATCTAATTACATTTTTGTACCCAAACATCCCTACTTCCCACACAAAACTACCCTTCCCAGCCTTGTTTTGGGTTTTTTAGCTCCCCCAAATAAGTGAGAACATGGAAAGATTTTCTTTCTAGGCCTGGCTTATTTCAACTAACGTAATGTCCTCCTCCAGTTCCATCCGTGTTGTTGCAAATGACAAGATCTTATTTCTTATGAATGAAGAGTACTCCACTTTATATATGTAAGACCTTTTCTTTATCTATTTATCTGTTGAAGGATGCTTAAGTTGCTTCCAAGTCTTGGCTATTGTAAACAGTGCTGCAATAAAATGCAAGTACAGATAGCTAGCTGATATACCAATTTCCTTTCTTTTGGGTATGTATCTAGCAGTAAGATTGCCAGATCATATAGTAGTTCTATTTTTGGCTTTTTGAGGAACCTTCAAACTGTTCTTCCTAGTGGTTGTAATAATTTACATTCCCACCAACAATGTATGGGAGTTCCCTTTTCTCCTGTACTCAGCAGCATTTGTTATTGCTTGACTTTTGAAAAAAAGCTACTATTACTGGGGTGAGATGAGAAGATATCTCACTGTAGTTCTGACTAGCAATTCTCTGATAATCAATGATGAGCACCTTTCATATACCTACTTATCACTTGTATGTTTTCTTTTGAAGAATGTCTATTCAGATTTTTTGCTCATTTTTAATTGGATTATAAGATTTTTTCCAATAGAATTATTTGAGCTTCTTATATATTCTGGTTATTAATCTTGTTAAATAGATAAGTTTTCCAACATTCTCTCCCATTCTGCATGTTGTCTCTTAATTTCGTTGATCATATCCTTTGCTGTGCAGAAGCTTTTTAACTTGATGCAATCCCATTTATCCATTTTTGCTTTGGTTGCCTATGCTTTTGGGGTATTAGTCAAGAACTCTTTGCCCAGTTCAATGTCCTGGAGAGTTTCTCAATATTGTCTTTTAGTAGTTTCATAGTTTAAGGTCTTATATTTAAGTCTTTAATTCATTATGATCTGATTTTTACTTGGAGAGGGATAGAAGTTTAGTTTTATTCTTCTGCATGTGAATACCTAGTTTTCCCAGCATCATTTATGGAAAAGACTGTCCTTTCCCCAAAGTATATTCTTTGCACCTTTGTCAGAAACAAGTTCACTGTAGATTTCTGAGTTTATTTCTGGGATATCTATTCTATTCCATTGGTCTGTGCGCTGGTACTGTGCCCTTTTGGTTATTATAGCTCTATAGTTTAATTTGAAGTAAGACACTGTGATTCCTCCAGTTTTTTCCTTTTGTTCAGGATAGCTTTGGCTATTCTGGCCCATTTGTGGTTCTATGTAACTTTTCAGACTTTTTTTCTTTCTCTAAAGAATGCCATTGGTATTTTGATAGGGATTATATTGTATCTGTAGATTGCTTTGGGTTCTATGGACGTTTTAACAATATTGATTCTTTTAATCCATGCACATGGAATATATTTTGATTTTTTGATGTCCTCTTGAATTTCTTGCATCAATTTTCTAGCTATCATTGTGGAGGACTTTCACTTTTTTGGTTACTTTTTAGGTAATTTATTTTGTTTGTAGCTATTGTAAATGGGATTACTTTTTGGTTTTAGTTTTTAGTGTTTCATTTGTTGGCATAAAAAATTCTACTGATTTTTGTATGTTAACTTTGTATCCTGCAACTTTATTGAATTTGCTTATGAGTTCTAACAGTTTTGGTGGAGTCTTTAGGTTTTTCCAAATGTGAGATTGCATCACCTTCAAACAAGAATAACTTGAATTACTCCTTTGCAGTTTGGATGACATTTATTTATTTCTCTTGTCTGATTGCTCTAGCTAGGAGTTACAGTTCTATGATGAATAACAGTGGTGAAAGTCAGCATCCTTGTCTCATTCAAGATCTTAAAGGAAAGGCTTTCAGTTTTTCACCACTCAATATGATACCAGTTCAGGATCTGTTGTATATGGCTTTTCTGTGCTAAGGTATGTTACTTCTACACCTAATTTGGTGAGGGTTTTTATCAAGAAGGGATGTCAAATATTATCAAGTGCTTTTTCAGCATTAATTGAAATGATCATATTTTTTTTTCTTTATTCCGTTGATATGATGTATCATGTTGATTGATTTGCATTATGTTAAACCATCCTTGCATCCCTGAGATAAATCCCACTTGCTCATGATGACTATTCTTTTTAATGTGTTATTGAATTTGGTTTACTAATATTTTGTTGAGGATTTTTTTCTGTATTAATACTCATTGGGAATATTGGCCTGTAGTTTTTATTTGGGAATATGTCTTTGCTTTTGGCATCAGGGCAGTACTGGCCTCATAAAATTAGTTTGAAAGTATGTGTCCTCTTCTATTTTTTGGAATAGTTTAAATAAAATTTGTGTTACGTCTTCCCTGTATGTTTGGTAGAATTCAGAAGTGAAGCCATCAGGTCTCAAGGTTTTCTTTGCTGGGCAACTTACTATTAAAGCTTTGATCTCACTGGGAGCGGTGGCTCATGCCTGTAATTCCAGCACTTTGGGAGGCCAAGGCAGGCAGATCTCCTGAGGTCAGGAGTTCGAGACCAGCCTGGCCAACATGGTGAAAATTTATCTCTACTAAAAATACAAAAATTTGCCGGGCCTGATGGCAAGCACCTGTAATCCCAGCTACTTGGGAGGCTGAGGCAGGAGAATTGCTTGAACCTGGGAGCCAGAGGTTGCAGTGAGCCAAGATCATGCCATTGTACTCCAGCCTGGGTGACAAGAGCAAGACTTCATCTCAAAAAGAAAAAAAAAAGCTTTGATCTCATAACTTATTAGTCTGTTCAGGTTTTCAGCTTCTTCAGGGTTTCATCTTGGTAGGTTGTATGTATCTGGAAATTTATAAATTTCTTCCAGGTTGTCCAATTTATTGGCATGTAATTGCTCATGGTAACCTCAAATGATGTTTGAATGTCTACAGTAGTAGTTGTAATTACTTCATTTAATCTCTGATTTTATTTGGGTCCTTTCTTTTTTTTTCTTAATTAGTCCAGTTAAAATTTTACAATATTATCATTTTTTCAAAAAAAAATCATTTCATTGAACTTTTATATTTTTTCCTCATTTTAATTTTACTTATTTCTGTTTCAATTTTTATTATTTATTTTCCTCTACTAATTTGGGTTTGGTCGCTCTTAATTTTCTTTCTGAGACAGGGTCTCTCTCTGTCACCCAGGCTGGAAAGCAGTGGTGCAATCATGACTCACTGCAGCCTTGAACTCCTGGGCTTAGTGGATCATCCCACCTCAGTCTCCTGAGTAACTGGGGCTACAGGCATGAACAACCATGCTGGCTAGTTTTTCATTTTTTTTTTTTTTTTTTTTTGTAGAGATGGTGTTTCACCATGGTGCCCAGGCTAGTCCTGAACTCCTGGCTCAAGTGATCTGCCTACCTTGGCTTCCCAACATGCTCAGAGTACAGGCATGAGCCACTATGCTGGGCCTGCTTTTGCTTTTCTAGTTATTTAAGATTCATCATTAGGTTGATTATTCGAAGTTTTTCTACTATTGTTGATGTAGGTGCTTATAGCTATAAACTTCCCTCTTGGTACTGTTTTCACTCTATCCCGTAAGTTTTGCTATGTTGTGTTACCATTATCATTTGTTTCAAAGAACTGTTTAATTTCCTTAATTTATTCATTTACCCACTGGTTATTAAGGAGCATATTGTTTAATTCCTATGTGTTTATTTAGTTTCCAAAGTTCTTGTTATTGATGTCTAATTATATTACATTGTAGTCAAAGATACTTAATATAATTTCCAAAAAAATTAAGGCTTGTTTAGGCCCAAAACAAAATAGACATATGGTCTACTTTTTAGAATGATCCATGTGTTGAGGAGAAGATTGTGTATTCTGTTCTGTAACTATTGTATAAAATGTTGTGTAAGTATGTATAAGGTCCATTTGGTCTGTGCTGCAGATTAACTCTGATGTTTCTTTGGTGATTTTTTTTTTTTCGTCTGGATAACATCTCCAGTTCTGAAAGTGGGGTGTTTAAGTCTCCAGCTATATTTGTATTGGGGTCTATCTCTCTAGCTCTATTAACACTGGCTTTATTTATCTGGGTACTCCATTGTTGGGTGCATATATATTTACAATTGTTTTATCTAATTGCTGAATTGACCAGTTTATAATTATTCAATGACTGTCTATTCATAATTTTTGTCTTGCAATCAATTTTGTCTAAGTATTGCTACTCCTGCTTTTTTTAGTTTTCATTTGCAGAGAGTATCTATTTTTATCCCTTTATTTACAGTCTATGTGTGTCTTTATAGGTGAAGTGTATTTCTTGTAGGCAACTGATTACTGGGTCTTATGTTATTTATCCATTCAGCTACTCTATGTCTTTGGATTGGACAGCTGAGTTCATTTGGATTGAATGTTTCAGATAAGTAAGGACTTGCTCATGTTATTTTATTTGTTTTCTGGTTGTTTTGTGATATCTTCCTTCTTTCCTTCCTTCTTGTCTTCCTTTTAGTGAAGATGATTTTCTCAGGTGGTATGTTTCAATTTCATACTTTTTATATTTCGTGTATCTGAAACAAAAACAAAATCAATACAAACTCTACACTTTAACTTCATCTTCTCACTTTTTAACTTTTTGTTGTTTTTGTTTATAACTTATTTTCTTAAGTTTTGAAAGTTGTAATTGTTTTTGATATATTCATCTTTTAGCCTTTCTACTGAATATACAAGTATTTTACACATCACAATCACAGTGTTATAATATTCTGTATACTTACTGTTTTTGTGTACTTGCTGTTAACTGAGTTCTGTACCTTCAGATGATTTTTTTACTTGTTAACATAATTTTTATTTCAGATTGAAGAACTTCCTTTATCATTTCTCATAGACAGGCCGGCATTGATGAAATTTCTCAGCTTT
The DNA here is from genome assembly GCF_000001405.40 of Homo sapiens. NCBI lineage: Eukaryota > Metazoa > Chordata > Mammalia > Primates > Hominidae > Homo > Homo sapiens. Next base: position 104,491,314 of record NC_000001.11, on the reverse strand, counting down.
TGTTTGTCTGGAAAAGTATTTATTTCTTTGTGTTTGAAGGATATTTTCAGCAGGTACACTATTCTGCAATAAACGTTTTTTCTTTCATCACTTTAAATATTTCATGCGACTCTCTTCTGGCCTATAAGATTTCCACTGAAAGTCTGCTGGCAGACATATTGGAGCTCTTTTGTATGTTGTTTATTTTCTCTTGCTGCTTTTAGGACCCTTTATTTATCTTTGAACTTTGAGAGTTTTATTATTAAATGCCTTGAGGTATTCTTCTTTGGGCTAAACTGATGCATGTTCTATAACCTTCTTGTGCTTGAATATTGATAACTTTCTGTAGATTTGATAAGTTATTCATTATTGTCCCTTTGAATAAACATTCTACCCTAATCTCTCTCCCTCTTCTTCCTCTTTAAGGCCAATAACTCTTAGATTTGTGCTCTTGAGGCTATTTTCTAAATCTTTCAGGCATACTTCATTCGTTATTTTTTTCTTTTTTTCCTTTTGTCTCCTCTTACTGTATATTTTCAAATAGTCTGTCTTCAAGTTCACTAATTATTTTTTCTGTTTGATCAATTCTGCTGTTAAGAGACTCTGATGCATTCTTTAGAATGTCAATTACGTTTTTTCACTCCAGAATTTCTTCTTGTTTCTTTTTAATTATTTTGATCTCTTTGTTCAATTTCTCATAGGTTCTGAATTTCTTTTCTGTGTTATCTTGAATAAAGCTTCCTCAAGACAGCTATTTTGAATACTCTGTCTCTCCCTAATTAGTCATTGGTTTTATTCAGTTTTCTTAGTAAGGTCATTTTTTCCCGGATGGTCTTGATGCTTGTGGATGTCAGTGTGCTGGCATTGAAGAGTTAGGTGTTTATTGTGGTCTTCTTAGTCTGTGCTTATTTGTGCTTATTCTTTTCGAGAAGGCTTTCCAGGTGTTTGAATGGGCTTGAGTGTTGTAATGCAAGTCTTTGGTCACTGAAGCTATATCTGCTTTAAGGGGCACCTCAAGTCTAGTAACACTGTGGCTCTTGCAGAGTCGTAGATGTACTCTTGGTGGTCTTGGGTAGGATCCCAGCTAATTCCTTACATGATCAGGCAGATATTATTCTCTTTCCTTCCTTCTCCCCTTCCACACTCCCCAAAAAAGAGTCTCTTTCTCTGTCTGAGCTTCCAGGAGTTGGGGCAGGAATGATACTCACAGGGGCCACCACCACTGTAACTTTGTTGGGTCAGACCTTAAGCCAGCACAGTACTGAGTCTCATCCAATGCCCACAATGACCAGTACCCAGCTACCACCTATGTTCACTCAAAAACCAAGGGGTCTACAATCAGTAAGTGGTCAATCCAGCCAGGCTTGTGTTCTTCCCTTTAGGGTGGTGAATTTCCCTTGTCACCAGGTGGGTCCAGAGATGCTGTTCAAGAGACAGGCCTGGAGTCAGGAACCCTTGTAATCTACTTGGTGTTCTATTCTGCTGAAGCTAAGCTGTTACCAAAGCTGCAAGACAAAAGCCTCTCCTACTCTTCTTTCCCCTGTCTCAAGCAGAGGAGTATCGCCTTGTGGTCATCACCCCTGGTCTATGGCAAGTACTGCCTTGCTGCCACTGATATTCACTCCAATCCAAGAGCTCTTCCTTCAGCTTGTGGTGAATGCTGACAGTTCTGAGTTTCTCCTTTCAGAAACTGGGCTCCCCTATGGCCTAGGCTGGGTTTAGAAGTGCCATCCAGGAATCAAGGCCTAGAATCAGGAAACTCAGGATTCTGTTTGGTGTTCTAACCCATTTTGGCCAAGCTGGTACCCAAGCTGCAAGATGATGTTGCTTTTATTCTTCCTTCTCCTTTTCTCAAGCAGAAGGGGTCTCTCCCAATAACCCCTACAGTTGGGAAAGCACTGTGTCACACCTAAAGCCAGCATGACTCTGAGTCTCACCCAAGGCCCATGGTGAGTACTGCCTGGCTACCACTGCTGATCAGGGGCCAAGGAGTCTTTAGTCAGCAGGTGATGAATTCTACCAGGGCTAGGTCTTTCTTTTTAAGGCAATGGGTATCCTTTTGGCCCAAGTGTTGTAACCACAGGAGTTAGAGAAAACACCACACTTTGAGACGAATTAAGAGTCCTTTATTAAGCCGGAGGCCAAAGAGACTGCTAACGCTCAAAATTCTCTCGGCCCCGAGGAAGAGGCTTGATTAACTTTTATACCTAGGTTTAGGAAGGGGAGGGGAACTCAAATGCAATAATTCTACAGAAGTAAAAACATGCAAGAATCAAAAGAAGCAAAATGGTTACAGAGAGATAAACAATTTAAAAGACAAATGGTTACAAAAAGAGCAAGGGTACCACGTGCAGGGATCTAAATCTTTCATTATAATTAGATATAGGGACTATGCCGGGCAGGAACTCAAACCTCTATGTTGTTACCTCCTTGAGAAAAATCCTGGGAACTTCATACCTTGTTGGTGCTAGTACCTTATCAGTTAATTGGGCTCCTTTGAAATGCTGAGGTTCTGTTTACACAGGTCAACTCCTTACAGAAGGAGGTTGGGTAAGGAGCCCTTAGTGTCTTGTAAATTAAGGGGTCAATTGGAGTTTGTCTGGCTTTCCCAGCTAGAGAGAGTCTTATTTACATGAGAAGCAAGGATAGGTGATTAAAGAGACAAGCAGGATAAAATTCAAAGTAACGAGTTAGAGTGAAAACAAGGTTAGGCATTTCACAAGGTGTGTTAAGAAATGCCTTCTAAATGCTAAGGCTTGGAATAGCAGGCCTCAGGACTCTGCCTGGTGGCCTATTCTATTGTGGCTTAGCTGGCATCCAAGTTTCAACACAAGGTCGTCTTTATACTCCTCTCTCCTTTCCTCAGTTGAGAAGAAGGATTCTCTCCTGGAGCTACAACTTGTGCTGCCTCTGGTTGAGGGAAGGGTGATGCAAGTCTCTCTTGGCTGCTCAAGCTGGTATCTCTGTAGATTGCATACACACTGTCCACTGGCTCTTGGGCATGGCACTTAGACTTCCCTAAGAATTTCAGTCCTTTTGACCTAGACTGCCTTTCAACTTTATTTGGTACCGCAGAGTACTTTAGCACATGGCAGTGCTTGCCAGAACTCAGGCTCCTACCACTGGGATTGGTGATTTGCCTCAGGCTAGGACTGGCCTAAATACTCCTTCCATGTACACTGTTCTAAAAGCCATAGTAGCCTATTAAGGAAATTTCCAGTGTTTTCAGTTTCTATAATGAGTTCAGCTTTCTATCAAGTTTTAAGGCATGTATTTCCTTTAAAATTAAACAGAAATTCAAACATGTTGGAATTATCTTTAATGATCACTGTCTGGCAAGGTTCTGAGTTTTCTGCAGAGTTGTAAGGGAAAGGAGAAAGATTTTTGAAACGTAGAAATCATGGCACTGATTTTCAATTACAGCAGTGACAGTGACATAGGACCATATAGGGCCTTGGTAGACAAGTCATATTATCAACACTGATGGTGGTGTAGAAGCAAATGTAACGGTGACTGAACCAGGGCTCTCTGAGTCTCTCTGCATATTCTTTTATGAACTACTTGGTGGTAGCCTTGCTTTCTTTTTTTTTTTTTTTGTTGAAGCCAATGATTTTATTTTATTTCCTTTTTCTTTTTCTTATTCCTTTTAATTTCTTTTTTTTTAATTATTATACTTTAAGTTCTGGGGTACATGTGCACAACATGCAGGCTTGTTACATATGTATACATGCGATAGACTGGATTAGGAAAATGTGGCACATATACACGATGGAATACTATGCAGCCATAAAAAAGGATGAGTTCATGTCCTTTGTAGGGACATGGATGAAGCTGGAAACCATCATTCTCAGCAAACTATTGCAAGAACAAAAAATCAAACACTGCATGTTCTCAGTCATAGGTAGGAATTGAACAATGAGAACACTTGGACACAGGAAGGGGAACATCACACACCAGGGCCTGTCCTGGGGTGGGCTGGGGTGGGCGGAGAGAAAGCATTAGGAGATATACCTAATGTAAGTGACGAGTTAATGGGTCCAGCACACCAACATGGTAGCCTTGCTTTCTTACAAAAAGACGGGTCTGAAATTCCCAGGTTGGATGAGGCTATTAGAATATCAATATTTTTCATAAATTTTTCTCAACACTTTACATGATATTCTTAGTAAAGCCCCGAAGAATATACAATTTAAAGTGTCAGTATGCTAAATATCAGGAAAGTGAGTGCCTGAAGAGCAGAATATGGCATAGTCAAGATATTGTAGACATGAGCCTTCTGTAGGACACTCCATTATTATTTTTCTTGAGAATCGGATGAATAGTTAATTGGCAATGTACTCTCACATTGTAGTTTCATGTAAACATTGTCTGATACCATGTGTTTCTTTTTTCTTCTTTACTTTCTTTGATATTTTAAATAAGACATCAAAGTACATTTCTATTTCAATATTTTTTGAAACATATTACTCTTATTATGTTCTTAGGAAGCATTTAATTAATTAAAATTCTAGAAAAAATGAATTGTATATATATTGGACTTTCCGATTAACTCTAGACCTGGAATGGTCACCCTTCTATTTGTAGGATAACTCATGTCTAGATTATTTTTAAAAGCAAGTGCAAATCTACTCAGTATGCTTGTTGTAGGAACAATTGTTTCAATGTATTTACTAATTTAAGAAGCAAAAACATAAGACATGAAGCTCAGAGAAATGATAATGCAGCTCAAAGCAAAACAAACTGAGTGTGGTATATAGAAATCAAGAATGCTATCAATGATATTAGGAATATGTCTAATTTAATATATTAGGTTCATGTTAGGGTTTAAATCCAATGTGTATGAACTAGTGACATACCATTGATTGATCTGTTTATTCTTTAAAACATTTGTAAATTATTGCAAGATGGCATAACCCAACTAAGAAAGTTATATCACAAATGTGAAATACTGCATTTGAAAATGATAAGGGGTTAGGTGTGTGTGTGAGTAAAGACGAGTGAAAATCTATTATTAATAATAATAATAATTAAAAATACTAAAGCATTACACTATCTCAATTCTTAAAAGCCATCAGATTTAAACAATAAAAGTCACTAACATCACATATTTATTTCACACAATAAAAATTTTATTAAAAATATGCTCTAACAAATCTAGTTTCAAAAAGCACTCTTGTTAAAATTCATTGTGGTATTCTTTGTTCCTGTATGTTTTCACAATAGACATATATGTTTAAAGCCCTCTTTAAAACAGATTTTTTTCTTTGAAAACACTGAATTTGCTCTGTGAATAAGTAATAATAACATATAATAGGAATCTTGATAGGAATAAAAAAGTATTACTGCGTTTTGTTCGTATCAACAGCATGTTAAAATCACAAGTTTTGGGACATGTTAATTTACAGAGAAAAAATATGCAAAATATGTGGTGTCAATGAATATCTCCTCATATTCACTACTAGTTTGTATTCTGTAGATAACTGTAGACTTGTTTCAGTAACAGAGCCTTTGTACTTACATTTGATTTTAATAATACTAGGCAAAAAGGCAAATACTTTTGATGAAAACATTTCTACACAATTCAGTCTATTTCTTAAAGGACCTATTGCCATGGTATATCATTTGTAGCCTCATACCTAAAAAGATAATATTCTACATATCAATGTTTCCAAAATATCTTAGTTTGACTTTACCTTTTTGCTCAAAAAGATTAAAAGCACTTTAATGAGCAGCCTTATTTCTGAATGTATTGGAGGAGCTACAACTGGAAAACTATGACAATTACCTGAAGAAAGCAAGATGTTTACCTCCTCTGCAGCATGTTTCCTTCTATGTTAGTAACTGTTCCACATCTATTACCAAAATATTTGAAATCCTTTATAATTATGGAATGAAAGAAATACATTCCTATAGCATAGAGTTTATGAAGAAAACATAATATGTAAATTCAAAATCTGAAAAGTAACAAACAATTGTGTAATTCAAAACTATCCATAAAAATAGATATAAGAAAATTAATTTAGTCATAGTAGATATAATTATTTAATAAAAAGTGAAAATACCTAGCCTTCAGAAAATAAAAACAAATAACCAAACAAGTAATGAGAGAAAATGAATTCTAAAGAGTGATAAATTAATACAGAGTAAGAATGGATTTTATAATTAATGTGATAATCTTATTCATACAATTTACATTCAATTAGCTTGACCACAACTGACTTGTGAAAGAGAAGTTCCTATAATAACAAATAATTAAAATAAGGTACAGAATAATATTATTAGAAATAATATTCATGGAAAATTTGAATTGAATATTGTTGCAGTTAGGCAATATAATACACTAAGATTCCATGTATGCTATCTTCCTTTGTGATACTTTTGCTTTCTGAAATTATTAAACATACATCTCTAGAAAAAACCTGATTAGTGAGATTGCACATTACCTATTTAAATCACCTCAGTATCTCTAACTCAGAATAAATAATAGCTTTGGGCAACAATAAAATGTGACTAATGGTCTTGTTCATTTGAACACTGTAAGCAAGAGGTAGAATCACTCATGGAAAATCGTGATTGGTGGAATGAATAAGTGGTAATTGTTTCACATTAAATAAACAAAAGGCACTATCATATATTAACACATTCACAGTTTATTACAGTCTAGACAGATATTCTAATCAACTATGACAACAATTGAATAGACTGGTTGCAGCCAAACGTGCTGTTTATTAATTTATCTTAACAAATAATGATGTTGTGTCAAGGTAAATTATGTTTCTTCATATGTTGCAGGTTTTTGTATTGAAACTTTAGTGAAGCAGACTGCTTATTCTTTTGTCCTTTTTTAAATGTAAAATTATTTTAAATTAACATTTTACTGAGTTTTAGGAAAATGTGTTTTGGTATTGAATAGCTTTTAGCAAATATTAATGAAGAATAATATCTGAGCTGTCAAATTGTCAGAGACTTATAGTAAATTTTCTATTTACATTTTTCTTCCTTATATGTAAAGTAGGAGTAATAATCTGTACCATTTAGCTTTTAATGTGGTTAGACACATAAAATGTGATAGAATAGGGGAATATTTTACTATTTTTAAAAGTTACTATAATAATTAATAATGATACAAGTAGTTTAATTTAAAATGAAGTATTTTTAAAATGTAACCCAAAAGTATGTTTATTTGTGTTCATTCTGTTAATCACAAACTGTTACATACAACTAGGACCCTGTCAAACAATTTTGTGTCCTCCAAACATATGTGACTTACCTTGCCTTTGTTCCCTTTTACAGAATAATTCCTATGTCTTTTTCAAGGTGAACCTACTATTTGGTTAAACAAGTCTTTTTTGATACTCTCTTCTTTTTTATTCTTTCTACATCACTATAATTTAGTATTTATAATATTAGAATATAAATGCCTTTTTATTTGTGTTTTCCTCACACAGCACAGAGCAAAAGAAAGAAGTGTTTCCAAATGGAATGTGTGTGTATATATATATATATATATATATATACACACACACGTATATGTCTGTGTGTGTGTGTATACATATATATGTAACTCTACACCCATGTCATTTTACCATATAAGTTTTAATTAAAAATTTTTCATTGGTAAATTTATGCTATACATCTAATAAAATTGCACTTTAGGTTATAACTTCAAGCACTATCTGCAAATGTAAACGCAATATCCACTCATATGTAAACCAAGTTTGAATACATTTTTCTCTCTCCTTTCATGTCTCACTGTCTTCATATGTATCATTATATATGCCTATACATAAATACTAATACAAATTTTAAATATATATGTGCTGCTATTGATAAAAAGGAACAACCTGATTTCCCAGGAACACAATTCCCTCTCTTGGAGATTTGTGAAACCACTGAAAATACTGATTTAGTCTGTTATTTAAAACATGTTTGTGAAGTCATTAGATGTACTTATGGAGACTGAAATGACTAAAGTAAGACTAATATTAATACATACATGTTATCTAAATTTATAGAAATTAGAGGATTCAATCATGGAGCATTATTCATTAATGTATTTATCCCAATAATTCAACAAATATTGATATAATATCTGTTATGTACCAGATATTTGACTTGGTACTTCTTATAAACTTGTGAGCATGGTGAGAATAGTACCTGATCACATGAAACTTCAAATCTAGAGAGCGATCTTAGGAAAATGAACACTTAAAGAAAATTAATTTAGTGTTATTAATTTAAAGAAACTGGTATCAATAACTTAAAAATAGAGTGACGGAAGAAGTGGCAATATTTATATCTACTTGAGGTTTGAAAAGGAGCTAGGTATACAAAATAATTGTTACGTTGTTTTTTTTCTAGGTAAAGGGAATGATATGTGCAAAGACAGTGTATTAATAACATTTAATGAATGTAAAAACTGAAAAGAGAATAATTTGAAAGGAGTGTATTAAATAATGGTAAGAGTTACACCAGTTAGACTTGAGAAACTAGCAAGGGGGAAGTCTGTGAGGGTCTTGTGAATCAGAGCAAGACACTGGAATTTGATTCTAATTTCAATGGAAAAACAATCGAATAGAAACAAATGTGATCTGATTTATATTTTGAAAGCTTAATTTGGTTCTGTATGGAGGATGGATTGTATTGAGTCAAGAATGGAAATAGGGATATCAGTTAGGTAACAGTTCTCTATTCCATGTAGGGGATTTATATTTGTATCACAGGTGATTTTGCAATTGTTGTATGGTGATATGAGATGAAATATCAAAGAAAGAACAGGTGAGGCTCTTTTTCAGAAATTACAATTTACCAATCAACTTAATTATGAAATAGTTATTTTCTGTATGAAACTATTTTTAATTAAAATATACAATTCTCTACAGACCATCTACATTGTGATTATATAACTTCAAATTTGAATATAAAACAAAGAACACATCTGCTGCACAAGAATGCACATCTGAAAATACATCTGGACAGTTAATTTAAATTTTTAAGTTTGACTTAAAAAATCTGTACTATTAAACTTTAATCATTCTGAAACTAGAAAATAACAAAATCTTACAGTTCATAAGGTAAGTTCAATATAAATAATTTGCAACACTTTTATTAATATGAATTTATTATGTTCTTACTTGGCACACACAGTTCTGCATTTGGCTTGTCTCTGTTTTGCCTACAAACAATTATAGATAGCTACAGGTTTCTATAGTAGATAGTGACTGTTGAGTTGAGAAATATACCAAAGAAAGAAATTGAAAGTCATTTCATTATAAGGACATTTACTTTGACATTTCTCCATAACTCAGAATTTTTTCAGTTTGAGGTGGAGTCACATTAGCCTATTTCACAATGTTTTTTAATTGCCATGTGGGTTGGAATACTTATTTTAAGTTGACTAACAAATTATTTTTTATACAATGATGAACCAAAGGAGAGAAAATATAATCAGAAATTTACTCTGCTAGTACAGTTGGTTGCATTTTTAAAGGAGAGATGTTCCATTTTCTTGTCTTACAATCATCTAAACTTTATTTAAAATGTGTAACTTAAAACTTGATAGGAAGCAGAACTCATTACAGAAACTGAAAAGACGGGAAATTTACTTAATAGGCTACTCTGGCTTTTAGAACAGGAACATGGGGACAAGGAATGACTAATTAGATACAAATAAACAAACTCAGAAATTTTAAATCTAGTATTAATGATAAAATCTCAAAAGTAGGAATATTAATGTCAAGCACTGTATATCATTAAGCAGTGAGAGTGGCACTCATTGATTCCAGGCTTTAAGAAGCCAAGTAAGGGTTTCAGATCGCAGAAGGTGCAATTGTGACATTAATAGCAACCCTGTTAAATACTTATCAGTCTCATACTCATTTTTCAAGCGAAAGGGTAGAAGTATTGAGTGTTTATGCATTTGCAAAGCTAGTAGGTGGTGAGTATGAAATAGGTCATTAGGGCTTAGAGTTACTCCTTTAATCACTACACTACACTGCCCTTCTCACCCACATAAAATAAGTCCTTTCCAAAGCTATTAAAATTATTTTCAAATATGCCAACACATTATTTACCAATGCATTTTTCAATGTGTTTGTGAAGTACATGTCTTCGGGGTCTTAAAAGGTGTTATAGATGCAAAATGGGCGATTTACAAATTATAAATCCACTCCAACTTCTCCGTTTCTTTGTTATCTATACTTGCATATTTTTTCCTTCTTTTGGTTCCTAGTCAATCATCAGAATAAACTATTAATTGTTTGCTTGGTACATTGGGAACCAATCTCAATAGTGGCCAATAATAAATATATATGCCATAAATTATTTAATATATTGATGCTCTTGAAATACACTTCAGTTGAAAATGGCTCATTTACTTTAATGGGCATTGCAGAATTCTGTGAGGTTCTCAGGGCAGGTAGTGGCACTCAATGACCAGGGCAAATGAGTACAATAAACAGCAGGGCCAATGTGGTAATCAGAAATCTCTCATATTCAGGAGTCTTCAATAGCAGCTAGACCACATGATTGGCAACCGGCTAAGAATCCACTTATTAGATATTTTTAAAATAAAATATAATTAGGCTGCAGAAGCGGGGGTTTGATTTGAAGTAATAGAATTATTACTGTCAAATTAATTCTAAACTCTTTATTTTACAGGCTCAGAAAGACCTACAACAAGATAAATACATTCTCAGAATCTTCTTTCTTGCCTTCTCCAAAGAGAGAAATAACTATGCAATTTGGAGAATGAAACACTTAGATCTTTTGAGTATATGTTGACAGAGGTCCTAAGTTTCATTAATCTGAAAACTACAACATGCTTTCCTTTCCTTAGTCACGGTAGTAGCTTAAGCACTAAGTGATAAATGAGGACTGCATGAAGTTTTCCTCAATGTAAGCCTAGATTTATCCTAAAATTAATCTACTATTCTTACACAATTTTCTAGATTTCTAGTTAAGGAATAAATATTTTTTACAATTAGAACAATACCCGAAGAATTAGAAGTCGGAATTCACAAACACACAAATGGGTGAAAGTAAAATAAAGAAGGTAAGCAGATTGTATCAGTACAAATTTTGGTTGGGATATTATACCCAACTTTCAAAAACGTTACTATTGGAGGAAACTGGAAAAAAATGTAAAAGTAGCATCTATATTATTTTTTACAAACACATGTGAATCTACAATTATTTCAATAAAATTTTCAATTAAGGGTAGTAAAAAGAGGTCCTTTGTATCCTTCATCCAGCTTCCCCTAATATTAACATCTTATGTAAGCATAGTACAATTAAAGCTAATATAGATACAATACTCTCTATAGATGTTATTTAAATTTTACCATTTTTTCTATCAATGTCCGTTTTTTGTTGTTGTTCTAGGATACAATTCAGATTCCACATTCAATTATTTCTCCTTAGATTCAGCCAATCTGCGGCAGTTCTTCAGTCTTTCCTTGTTTTTCATGACTTTGACGTTTTCTGAAGGGCATTGATCAATAACTTTGTAGAATGTCCCACAATTCATGCTTGACGCTTTCTCATTATTATATTCACCTTATTCATTTTAGGGAAGACTACTACAGAGGTGATATGCCCTTCTCGACCCTTCATTACTGGGGCTATATGATGGTGATATTATACAAGAGGTAGGAAACAAAAGGAGCTGACCTAAGTAGTTTTGTAAAATGGTGTTTGATTGAATACTCATATCCTCTTTTAGTTATCAGTTATTCCCGGGGGACAAAACAAATGGGTGATAAAAATGAGTTGATTATCACTTTTCAAAATCACTGCTTTAATTGACTTTGTCACTGCTATTTTATATATATTCTCTTAAAAATTAATAAAGATGTAAAAGTTTTGTGGCAATTATCTTAAGATGAATAATGAAGCAAAACCCTTGGTGCAGTTTCTGATTTCATAATAAACAAAATTATTTTCCAGAAGTCATTAAAATTGGAAACAGTTCTGTTTTATCTGGCAAAATCAGCAGTGCTCTACCTACAACATGTTACTTTAGCATTAAATTTTAGGTTCTGAACAAACATTAAGTTTTTAAGGAACTTGACCATCTTATAGTCAAGGAAAGACCTTGACAATCTCACTCTTTCAAAGGTCATCCCCAAGTTACACAAATATTCTTATCACAATGGCACCTGAAAAGGAGAGGATAGCAGGTGTCTTAGATGCTGTGGTAATTCATTTACATTTCAGAGGACAGGAGATCATTCTCGTGAAAACTGGTATTTGCCAAGCCAATGAAATAACTAGGAATCTAGTCATCTTAGAAAGTTTGAGACATCAGCTCCACAGTAAATAGCAGGGTTCTGCATGTTTTTAATTTAAATTGTATTTACTTACTTATTTTTGAGACAAGATCTCACTCTTTCTCCCAGAATGAAGTAAAGTCGTGCTAACATGGCTCGCTGCAGCCTCGACTTTCTGGACTCAAGTGATCCGCCTGCCTCAACCTCCCAAGGAGGTGGGACCACAGGCATGCACCGTTAAGCCCAGCTAATTTTGTTTATTTTATTTTTGGTGGAGACAGGGTCCTGCCATGCTGCCTAGGCTGGTCTGAAACTCCTGGGCTCAAGCGATTCTCCCACATCAGCCTCCCAAAATGCTGGGATTACTACAGGGGTGAGTCACTCCACCTGGCCACGTTACTTTTCAGAACAATAAAACAAGCAGTCATTGCTTCCTAGGTTTGACACAAATTTGGAAGCAACATTTCTATGTGGCACTCCTCTTAACCCATTTTGAGTTATGGAAGGATAACTTTGAAGTAGCCCAGAAAGCTTATTGGTTTCTACAGTGTATACAGATTTACTATCTCATAAACCCACAAGTCTAGTGTTACATAAGTATTTACAGTAGAGACATATTTGGTTTAACTGCATAACAAGGCCCAACGCAAGAGGCACGGAGGTACCCCCCAAAGAAATGGAAGAAAGGCTGTGTTCTCTTAATAATTAACTATATTCCTTTTCAAGAAATTTTTTTTTCCTATTTCTGGATGATGATGCAAACTAAAATGCTTAACCATTGGGTATGAGAAGTTTGTCCAACCTGAGTTACACACAGTGTCTTAGGTTTTATTACATTCTCTTTAGCAATAAATTTAGACATTCCCAGCAGTACTTTATGATGAAGAAAGGTAGTATATGTGAGATTGTTTCAAGCAGGTCCCAACCAGCACAAGCAAGTTGCATGAGAAATTGATTAACACAGCTTGTTTTCAACTGCCCCACTATGTCTTACCTCAAAACTCATATATGGCACCATTAATAAGCTCTGTGATCAGTGTTCTGATGAGAAAAATATCCAAGCCTGATTTACAGATAACACTCTACAATATCTTTGCACTGACCAGAAGTGTACAACAGTATTGAAATCCCACTTTTGCATAATCCTAAATGAAAGTGAAGAAAGTACAACTAATATTAGGAGTTAGAACACCAACTGGTACAATTAAATTTTTAGCATTATCTCAAAGGAGAGAGCACCTGGGGTGAGATATCTATGAATAATGCTTTGAAAGGATAATCAGGCATTGAAAAAAAAATAGAAGCGTTAATAAGAAGTTGAAGAAGACATATGTTAATGGACCTCCTAATTTGTGACCAGATAAGAATATTTGTGTCTCACAATAGCAAAGTCTTGGAACTAACCCAAATGCCCATCAATGATAGACTGGGTAAAGAAAATGTGGCACATATACACCATAGAATACTATGCAGCCATAAAAAGGGATGTGTTCATGTCCTTTGAAAGGACATGGATGAAGCTGGAAATCATCATTCTCAGCAAACTAGAACAAGAACAGAAAACCAAACACTGCATGTTCTCACTCATAGGTGGGAGTTGAACAATGAGAATACATAGACACGGGGAGGGGAACATCACACACTGGGGCCTGTTGGGGGGTGGGGAGCTAGGGGAGGGATGACATTAGGAGAAATACCTAATGTAGATGACAGGTTGATGGGTGCAGCAAACCACCATGGCACATGTACACCTATGTAGCAAACCTGCACGTTCTGCACATGTATCCCAGAACTTAAAGTATAATAAACATTAAAAAAGGATATTTGTGTCTCATGTATACAGTCTTAGGTTAACTTAACTAAGTGTTAAGTCAGAGAAAGCTTGTAATAAGAAAATATGAAAAGATTATTTTGTAAAATAGATCAGCATTTTTCTTCAGGTAAGTATAAAAGAAAGAAATACTAGTTCCAGGGGTGCAGATTGTACAGAGACTCAACCACCAGGCCCTCCTCTCACTGACTTGCCATGTTACTACCAGTGCTCATTCTCCAGTACTATAATCCTGAAGACCAGTCATCTACATGGTGGAAGAGGATTTTATCAGAATCCTTCCATTATGTAGAGAGCAGAAGCATATTTGCATAATGTTGACCATTGTTCTGGATTTTACTGCCTTCCATAAACCTGCAGAATTTCCATTCTTAAATTGGTGAGTGTCATACACCCTGCTCTGGCCATCCATCAACACTGCTCTGGACAAAAACTCAATTGCTAACAATGAAAGAAATAAAGACAATTAATGGGTCATATGTATTTCATAAGTATGATACAGCTAGGCTTCATTAAAACATTTTAATTTTTCTTAGGATAAAATCCAAAATGCTTAATGTGGCCTAGAAGGACCTGTGCTATCTGGCTTCTCCGTTTCTTAAAGCATAATCTTCAACTATTCTTTCCTCAATTTTCAGTAATCCAGCCACAAAGACTATCCTTTCAGTTTTTCAGATATCTCATCTAGTTTTGGGGTCCTTGTAGGAAATGTTCCTCAACCTGTATCTCTCTCTACTTTTCTTCCATTTCTCACATAACTCACCCTTATTCATTGTTTAAATGTCAGATTGAATAATACTACCACAAAGAAACCTCCCTTTCTTTCACAGACCACATCAGGGCTCTTTTCTAATGCTGTCACAGCTTTCTGTACTTTTTCATTTTTCTTATCATCATGTAATTAGTTGTATAAGTGTTCCCTGTGTCTCTCTTTTTGGAATGAAGCCCATGAGGCATGAATCATTTTTAGCTCATCCATTTTTCGCTATGGCATTTACATTATCTAGCACTGTGTTTATTCATTATTTGTACTCCAAAATATGTGTTGAATAAATGAATAAATGAGTGAGTGAACTAGCTCGTTGTAAGTTAATTCTTCAAATGAAAATTGGAGTTTTATAATTAATGAGCCAAAAGGACATTCTTGTAGTCACGTCTCATCCCCACATTTCCCTCATAACAGCAGGATGGTGTCTTGCAAGGTGAGAACCTCCTTTCCAACATTCTCTTCCCAATCTATCAGCCCCATTACTAGGCCCCATATCACTTTATCTGCCAGTAATCAATATATTAGCAATAGCCTCACCCATGAGGAGTACCCCAATCATTAAAAAAAATTGTATATTCAGTACTGGAACCACATTTTCAAGTTGTTTGGAATTTTTTTGAATTTATGAGAGCATTGTAAGCACATAGAAAATTTGTAATAAGCACATTATCTGATAAAGGGACAAACATGTTCCTAGCTATTGAAAAAAACAGTTGCACATTCAAACTGGATGCTCAAATTATGATGATACACTTGTCAAAACATAGTACAATTATGTTATGAATAAGAGGTTGATGTCATATTTTAATTTTAATGGAGATTGTTTATTTGAATTCTGTAGACATGTGTCTGAGTTTAATAACCATCAAATGCATGTTCAGATTGAATGACTGAATCAATTATTTTTCCCAAAGCAGTTATTAAGACAGTTTTAAATACATAAGAATAGTAACAAAATAACTCATGAATATTCTATGTTTCAAAAATTAATCACAAGTCAACTTCTAGTTTATATCTTCTGGAATTATTATATGATTTGGAGATGCTAATGAGTTACAAAGTAATGAAATGCAAATAACTTTTGAATGAAAGGACATTGATAAGCCATGTAGTTCTTATCACAGTGATCTCATCTGCTACAAATTTGCATCTAGACTTACATTTTTCTGAAATAGATCATTTTCCAAAGTATATTTTTAACGCCATGTGAGACAAATTGTAAAACACTAAAACAGTGTAAACAAAACTTTATATTTTATACTTTTAGAGTAATAAAGTAATAGTTAAATGTTGCTTATTTTTTCTGTAATATAAAATAGTTATTTGATTCAATGGTGGTTCCAAATTGTTTTGTTGTATTTCATACACATTTAAGAGGGTATAAAAAGATTAAACTAAAGCATATTTTTCTTGCCAGCCTCCCCACTTGCACCACATCCCCTCAAAATTCAGATACTAATTAATTTTGGTGTAGTCATTGGTTGTATACAGAGAAGGAATGGAAGAAATGGAAAAGAGCAGGGGAAGAAATCATTATAATGCAGCATAGTCCAAGGTAAAGAAATATAAAACAAATGTTTGGAATTTGAGAGCAGATTATACTTCAGGAGACAGGCAAACTAAAGTTTCCTATTTTCTTTACAGAATTAGATAAACCAACAAAGAGAGTCCTCAAGAAAAACAAAATAAATATATCCTATATATGAGTAATTCTAAGGAATCAGCTCACGCAATTATGGAGGCTAAGAAGGCCTACACTCTGCTGCCTGTAAGCTAGAGACCCAGGTAATTCAGTGGTAAAAATTCTAGTCTAAGTTCAACAGCCTTATTATCAGGATTCTTAATGTAAGTCCCAGTTCAAAGGCAAGAGAAGGCTGATGATTCAGCACAGTCAAGAAGAAGGGGATAATTAAGTTTTCTTCTGTGTTTTTTTTCTATTCTATCCCTCAACAAGTTAGATGATGTCTACCCACACTGGAGAAGGCAATGTACTTTACTCAGTTTATCAAGTGTTAATTTATTCTGATAACAACATCATGGACACACCCAGAAATAACTAGGTATATATCTGGGCATCCTGTGGCCCAATCAAGTTAACACAAAAAATTAACCCTCACAAGTCTACCCCTTATCAACTTGGAATCCATACACATCTCTACAAACCATACTTAATCTCCAAATAAATATAATAACAAGACAAAATTATTACTAATATAACTATGCTGTATACAAACAAATACACACAAATCCCTTCCTCAGAAGAGAAGGTAAAGTTTTTCAGTGATGTTTACTTTTCTCCTTGATATCTGTTTTAGTCTGTTTAGGTGATATAACAAAAATACCATAAACTGGGTAGTTAATAAGCTAAGTATTCAATGTCTGGTGAGTACCCTTTCTTCACTGACAGTGACTTCTTGCTCAGTCTTCACATGATAAAAGGGTCAAACAAGCTCTCCCAAGCCCCTTTTATATGGGCATTAATTCCATTCATGAGGGATCTGTCCTTATGACCTAGTCACATCTCAAAGGCCTCACCTCTTGGTATGATAAAGGTGCAGATTAGCTTTCAACCTTTAAATTCTGAAGAGACAAACATTTAGGCCATAGCCATATCCCATAACTTAAATTCTATGATATAAAATTAACAATGCTTAAGTATTATGACATAAAGTCAATACATCTTACATTGCATGATAATAAAATAGGAGAGAAAAGAATGAAGATAGTTTACACACAGTGACACACAAACATATACATATGCATGGTCATAGGTGATATTTATGACTTCTTCTAACCATTCTGTATTCCCCTTGCCTTCAGCAAGCACCTTAGCAAGTTGTAATTCTGTACCTGGTAGGGTGATTGAAAACTTTATTCCTGAAGGATCTGAGCCATTAGTAGTCCTGTTTAAATTGTATTGTAGCCGTTTTTCATTGGCCTTAATCACAGGGCATGGTAATAGTAGAAAACACCCTAATATTTAAGATATACTGTTTCTTACCTCCATTGTGAAACAGTAGTCTAATTTCCCCTTGGTAGTCAGGACCAATCACCCCAGCCAGCACAGTAATGCCTTTCCTGTTGATTCAGAGACATGAGGAGCCCAAAGTCATGTGGCGGTCTTAACTTCCAGTTCAATCGAACTGTTACTGTTCCTGCTGGTGAAAATATTCCTCTCTCCAGAACTAAAACCTCTAGACCAGCAGACCATTAAATCATGGAATCAGAAAGAAAACATGTTGTTAATGAGTTACCAGAGGTAATAGCGAGCGTTATCACTCCTTCTTTGACCACTCGATTTCTGGGCCCTTGAATCAGCTATGGAAGAAACATTTTGGATTCTGGTTCAGAGCACATACAGCTTTTTGAAGAACCTCACTCCAGCCCTACAGATTTTTGCTATCTAGCTAGTACTGTAACTGAGTATTCAAAAGGCTATTCTACCATTTTATCAAGTCAACTGCTTCAGGACGTTGAAGAACATGGTAAGACCAGTGAATTTCTTGAGCATGGGCCCATTGCTGCAATTCATGTGCTATAAAGTGAGTTCCTCCATCAGAAGTCATGCTGTGTGGAATACCACGACAATAGGTAAGGCATTCTGTAATTCCACAGATGATAGTTTTGGCAGAAGTGTTGCACTCAGGAAAGGCAAATCCATAGCCAAAGTGTCTATGCTAGTAAGGACAATGTGCTGCTCTTCTCATTATGAACATGGTCCAATATAATCTACCAGCCACCAGATAGCTGGCTGCTCACACCCTGGTATGGTGCTATAACAGGAAGGCAATATTTTTTGGTCTCTACTGCAGCTGGATTATGTAATCAGCAGTGGCCATATTCAGGTCAGCTTTGGTAAGTGGACATTTATGTTGCTAAGCGCATGAATAACCTGCATCCCTGCCACCATGGCACTTTATTCATGAGTCCACTGGACAATGACGCGAGAGGCTGGGGAAAGAGGCTTACTGATATCCACAGCATGTGTTATCCTATCCACTGCTTATTAAAATCCTCTTCCATGGAGGTCACATTTTGGTGAGCATTTATAAGTAATACAGATATCTTCACATATTTTGCCTATTGAGAGAAGCAGATTTCTTTTCCAAGTTTCCTTGTCACCAATTTTCCAATCATCTTTCTTCCAAGTCTCTGACCATGTAACTAAACCATGGCCCACAGCCTGTGAATTGGTGTACAATCATATGACTAGCTGTTTCTTCTAAGCAAAGTGCAAAAACAGGCACAATTCCTGAAGTCCTTCTCACTAGGAGGAGGATTTGGCTTCACCACTGTCCTTCAGGGATGTCCTGAAAAAGGGGTACAATGCTGCAATTTTCTACTTTTGTGTGGGGCAGGCATATTTTTCAGAACTGCTTTTAAGCCAGTTCTGGGTCTTCTCTTCCTCTGTCTAATGATTATAAAAATCTTCACATAAAACTATATATGTAGCCTGAGAGAGACAAGATATCATAACAGGAGTGGGGACAATAGGCATTTGGACAACTTTTTCATTTAACTTACTCATGCCTTCAGGGACTGTTTGGGCCCAGTCATATATATATCACTTCCATTTGATGATGGAGTGCTGCTCTGCATTCCCAACTTTATGATTTGGCAGGTCAGATAACAGCCAGTTTATGAAGGGCAGCTCAGGTTGCATGGTAGCTTGGTGGCCTATGCATTCAGTCTGAATCAAAGCTCAAGAGCAGGCCTAATGCTGTTTCTCAAAAGGAGAATAGTTATATCTGGAGGATGTCAGGCCTTTACTCCAAAAGTGTAAGGTCCTGTGCTGTGATTTACATATACTGACCAGACAAAAGTTTCTAATTTTATCCCTGTCTGCCACTAAGACTTTAAGAACCACTAGATCTGTGTGATTGTGTGGTCCAAGTAGCAGAGCAGCTTTCATAGCAGATTTACCTATTGGAGAGTCTTCTCTTGTTTTCAGCCCCATTCAAATTTAGCACCTTTTAGTGTAAGTCACTAAATGCACAGGAGTAACATAGAAAACAAGGAATATGTTGCCTCCAAAATCCAAAGAGGTCCACTAGGCATTGTGCCTCTTTTTTGGTTATAGGAGAAGCCAGATATAATAACTTATCCTTCACCTTAGAAGGGATATCTTGATGGGTCCCACACCAAGGGACCCCTAGAAATTTTACTGAAATAGAAAGACCTTGAATATTAGTCAGCTTTACTTTTTACCCCCTGACAAGCAAATGTCCTACCAATAAATCAAGAGTAGTTGCTACTTCTAACTCACTAGGTCCAATCAGCAAAGTGTCATTAATATAATGGATTAGTGTGATATCTTGTGGAAGAGAAAGCTATTCAAGGTACCTACAAACTAAATTGTGGCATAGGAATGGAGAGCTGATATACCCCAGAGGCAGCATAGTAAAGGTGGCTTTGCCATAAGAAAGTAAACTACTTCTGGTAGTCTTTACTAACAGTTATTGATGGGGAAAAACAAACAAAAACCAAGCAACAAAGAAAAAAATATTTATTAAATCAATAGCTGTCTATCAGACACAAGTAGATGTATTAATTTGCTCAAGTTATAAAGCTCTGTCTGGTACAGCAGCTGCAATTGGAATCACTAAAAGTTGAATTGTGATGTGGTGAGAATCATGGCCTTGCATGCTTTAAGCAAAGAGATAATTGAACCTTCCTCTGCCTTTTGTTCTACTTGAGCCTCATAAGGTTGGATAACAACTACGCATATGGGGGAGGGCAAACTCCTTTACTCACCCACCAATTCAAAAGCTAATCTCTTCCAAAAACAACATCACAGACACAGATATAATGTTTAACCAGGTATCTGGGTCAAATTAAAATGGTACATAAAATTAACCATCCCAGCCATGGAACTACAGAAAATGTTTGTGTTAGAGAGAAACAGATGTATTTTTCTACTTGAAATTCAAAACATTTCATAAATGAGTTATGATTTCATAGAAGTTTTTGTTTAGAGAAGTTAATGGTGACAACTGCTAAAAATAAATTTTAGTTAAGCAAAAATAGGATAGAAAATATATGACCTAGTATGACATAGTAGCATAACTTCATTATAACCTTGGATATTGGTTACTGTTATTAATTCATAAACATACTTATCCATATGTTTATTATTTCATTCAATTAGCAAAAACTCAATATTTTTAAGTACTAAAAATGTGTCAAACAAGGGTACACGGAGAAATAAAAAAATGAGAAAAATCATTGTCTTCAAGAAACTGTTAATTTGCTTTGTTAGTTAGGAAACCAAGCAGTTATACAGTGGAGAACATTCAAATAACAATGAACTTGATGTCAAGGGAACACATAGAGACTGCAAAACAAATTTGGAGAATAGCAAATTGTTCTTCACTGCTGCAGTAAAGTGTATATAGGTGAGAAATGGCAAGAACTGAATGGTTAGAGTAAATCAGTCAAGAAAGTCCAGATATAAAATGCTAAGAGATATATATTGTATTTAATAGTCCATGAGAAGATATTGGAGGATTTTAGGAAGCTGATATTACAGATAGTGTAAATAATGATTTGGTCAGAGACAAGATTGCAGTTGAGTCCAGTTAGAGACATGGTGTAGTAGTCCAGGTGAGAAATACTCAAGGGTATTTCAGTAATTTGTTATTGGGCAAAAAAATAGAAAAAAATATGCTAAGTATTTAGAAAATTAGTAGGACTTAATGTCTTATTTAGAGGACATGGATATTGACATACGGGAGTAAGAACAGGAAATATTTCAGAATAAATCCAAGATGTAGGTGATTAGCTAAATAGAGCTGTTTTGACCAAAATATGGATTAAAATAAAATATGGTGTTTTGAACTATTTCCTTGGTTATTTTTGTTATTTTGGAGGCAAGAGTAGAATAATGGGGAGGTATAGATGATAACTTTGGAGACAGAGATAAAGTTAAATGAATTTCATTAAGATAAACTAATGTGCAAAAAGTATGGTGATTTGATAGGATGTTTAGCTTTCTATCAATTTCATTACTTTGAAGTAATCTTTTTCCTAATTTTTTTTTCTGTCTTTGTTTTTATAGTTTTAGACACAGGGGAGGACAAAAGAGTTCATGTTTCATGTAGAATTTATTTCCTAAAACGTTGAGGGAGAACCAGCATAAAAATACAGTATATCTGAAACTCACAAGGCCACCAAAAATCTATGCAGTTTAAACAATATTCCAAAAATTCAACTTTTATTCCTTGTTGCCATCATTTGAAAAATCTTGCCAGGAATGCACAACTAATGTTCTTTTTGTTTTGTTTTTATCAGTTTCCCTTTAAATAGAATTAAAATACAGGAATATAGGAAATGAAGAGACTGTATAATTCCAACCAGCTTTTTTTGAAAAAGATTGATGCAGCAAAATTTCCGTTAATATTGTTTTAGGTATAATTTAGAAAGCATTCTTGTGTTGCACTATCCATCATAACCATGGATAGAATATTGAAAAATAAGTAATTAAAAACACATTTATTATTTTGTGTAAATTATTGTTCCATTATCCTGGAGAGTTGCTGAAACGAAAGGGTTTTGTTTTTCATTTAAATGCAGTTTAATATGAGTAAAAGACTGTTTTATAACCAAAGTCTCAGAAAGTATGTTCATTAGCAATAAGATCAATTCATTGAAAATAATAAAGCAAGAACTTTGTTCGCTTGTGTGTCAACTAGGAAACACATTAGCTCAGCATCTTCCATTTTGCCAGATACTCTACTACATATTTTTGAAAACCTTGTCTCATTTATTTATTACAGGAACACTTTAAGATAGAAATTATTGTCTACATTTTAAAATGAGAGTAAGGAAGGAGACCACCTCTCCCATTGTCTTCTGTTTCAAAAAGGAAGCAAAAAAGTTCAAAAGAAGCAGAAGTGAGATCAATAGCCAGACAGCTTGGTGCCCAGAACCAGGCCTCGTAGTTAAAGATCAACTCCTGACCTAACCGCTTGTGTTATCTATAGATTCCAGACATTGTATGAGGAAGCATTGTGAAACCTTCTGTCTGTTCTGCTAGTCCTCATCACTGATGCATGTACCCCTCAGTCACGTAGCCCCCGCTTGCACAATGTATCATGACCCTTTCTTGTGGACCCCTCAGTGTTGTAAGCCCTTAAAAAGGACAGGAATCTTTACTTTGGGGAGCCTGGATCTTGAGATGTGAGTCTACCAATGCTCCCAGCTGATTAAAGCCTCTTCCTTCCTAAAACCAGTGTCTGAGAGGTTTTGTCTGCCACTGGTCCTGCTACATTTCTTGGCTCCCTGGCCGGGAAGCAAGGTGATTAATGGAGAGTGGAGGCAGCCCCTTAGGCAGCTTAAGCCTGCCCTGTGGAGCATCTCTGGAGGGGACTCCGGCCAGCTTAAGCGACATGGTTCCTGAGAGTGCTCCAGCATAGGCAATTGCCTCCCTGGAATGCCTTGCCAGAGGAGTGTGCGGCAGACCCCCGCAGAGGATTAACACAGCAGCTGAACACTGGGAAGAATTGGTGCTTAGAGTCTGGACATCTGGAACACGGTAAGGCTGGTCTTGGAATTTGCCCACTCCATCTTAGTGGAAGTGTGGCCTGATCACCCACAGCATGCCTTTACCGGCACTTTGGTTTTGGTTTTGATTTTGACTGGATTTGCACTGTTTTGGTTTTGATTTCAGTTCTGACTTTTGGATTTGAATTGTTTTGGTTTTGATTTCGGTTCTGATTTGGCTCAAATTGCTTGATGAATGAGTAACTCCTTATCCGTCGTTTGGTTTTAGTTTTAATTTTGATCTGGTGTGAATTGCTTGGTGAGTGAGTGACTTTTTACCCCTTTTCCCTTCCCTCTTTGTGGTAAGAGTGTTGTTTTGTCCCCTGAGAGAGGAAAATGGGTAAAACACAGAGTAAGCCTACCCCATTAGGAACTACGTTAAAGAGTTTCAAGAAAGGATTCAATGGAGACTATGGAACTGCTATGACACCTGGAAAGCTTAAGGCTTTGTGTGAGATAAATTGGCCAGCATTAGAAGTGGGATGGCCATCAGAAGGAAGCCTAGACAGGTCCCTAGTTTCAAAGGTATGGCACAAAGTAACGGGTAAATCAGGACACTCAGATCAGTTTCTATACATAGATACTTGGTTGCAGCTGGTTTTAGAACCCCCACAGTGGCTAAGAGTACAGGCAGCAGCAGTGCTAGTAGCAAAGGGACAGACAGCCAAGGAAAAATCTTACTCTGCCCGCCAAGGGAAGTCAGCTCCTACGGTTCTGTCTGACTCCACATCAGAGGATGCATGGCAGGAAATGGCACCAGTGGTGCCCTGCCCTTACCAAGAAGAGAGGTTCCCCACATTGTATGAGGAAGCATTGTGAAACCTTCTGTCTGTTCTGCTAGTCCTCATCACTGATGCATGTACCCCTCAGTCACGTAGCCCGCAGCACCTGAGCCTCTACAAGGTACGCACACCCCAAGACCGCCTAGAATAGACAGAAGAAGATGTGAAATCTCGGGAGAAACCCCTCCCTTGGCAGCTCGCTTGCAACCTAAAACTGGGATACAAATGCCCTTAAGAGAACAATGGTATACTGGGGTAAACGAGGAGGGACATATGGTAGAAAGGTGTGTCTTTGTGTATCAACCTTTTACTTCTGCCAATCTCTTCAATTGGAAAAATAACACCCCATCCTGTACCGAAAAGCCACAAGCTCTTAATGACTTGCTGCAAACTGTTATCCAAACTCATAACCCCACTTGGGCTGATTGCCACAAGTTGCTCATGTACCTCTTTAACACGGATGAGAGAAGGAGAGTGGTCCAGGCAGCAACTAAGTGGCTGGAAGAGCATGTTCCAGCTGATTATCACAACTCCCAAGAGTATGTGAGAATCCAGCTACCAGGAACTGACCCTCAGTGGGATCCAAACAAGACAGAGGGCATGCAAAGGCTAAATCGGTATAGGGAAGCACTCTTAGAAGGGTTGGGGAGAGGAGCCCAAAAGGACGCAAACTTAAACAAGGTCTCTGAGGTTATCCAAGGAAAGGAAGAAAGTCCAACGCAATTTTGTGAGTGACTGTGTGAGGCCTACTGCATGTACACTCCCTTTGACAGCCATGAGAGTCAGCTCATGATTAACATGGCCTTAGTTAGCCAAAGTGCATAGGATATTAGGAGAAAGCTGCAGAAACAGGCTGGGTTTGTGGGTATGAATGTGTCGCAATTACTGGAAATAGCTAGCCAAGTGTTTGTAAACAGAGATGCAGCGAGCCGCAGAAAGAGCCGCAAAGAAGGTGAACGCCAAGCCCGACAAAATGCTGACCTACTAGCTGCAGCTATTAGAGGGGTCTCCCCAAAAGGACAAGGGAAGGGGGGCTCCGGGAAGAATACCCAGTCTGACTGTCCATGCTTGCAATGTAACCAGTGTGCCTATTGTAAAGAAATAGGACATTGGAAAGATAAGTGCCCTCAGCTAAAAGAAAAGCAACGTGGCTTGGAGCAAAAGTCCCCAGACAAGGACGAAGGAAGCTTGTTCAATCTGGCCGAGTGGTTGCTGGACTGAAGGGGACCCGGCTCAAGTGCCCCCAAGGAGCCTATGGTCAGAATGACAGCTGGGAGCAAGGACATTAACTTTCTGGTTGATACTGGTGCTGAACATTCAGTAGTGACCACCCCAGTCACCCCCTTATCTAAAAAGTCTATTGATATAATCAGAGCAACAGGAGTTTCAACAAAGCAGGCTTTCTGTTTGCCCCGGACCTGCTGAGTGCGGGGACATGAAGTGATTCACCAGTTCCTGTACATGCCTGACTGCCCCTTGCCTTTGTTAGGAAGGGACCTGCTTAGCAAGCTGAGAGCTACTATCTCCTTTACAAACCAAGGCTCTTTACAACTGAAGTTGCCTGGAACAGGAGTTATCATGGTCCTGATGGTTCCCTGAGAGGAAGAGTGGCGACTCTTCCTAACTGAACCAGGCAAAGAGATAGGGCCAGCTCTGGCCCAGTGGTGGCCAAAAATCTGGGCAGAAGACAATCCCCCCCAGATTGGCAGTCAATCAAGCTCCCATACTCATAGAAGTTAAGCCAGTGAACCAGTCAGTCAGGAAAAAACAGTATCCAATCCCCAGAGAAGCCCTGGAAGGTATCCAGGTTCATCTTAAGTGCCTGAGGACTTTTGGAATTATAGTGCCTTGTCAGTCTCCATGGAACACTCCCCTCCTGCCTGTTCCCAAGCCAGGGACCAAGGACTACAGACCAGTGCAGGACTTGCACTTGGTCAATCAAGCCACAGTGACTTTACATCCAACAGTACCTAACCCGTACACATTGTTGGGGTTACTGCCAGCTGAGGACAGCTGGTTCACCTGCCTAGACCCGAAGGATGCCTTCTTTAGCATCAGATTAGCTTCAGAGAGCTAGAAACTGTTTGCCTTTCAGTGGGAGGATTGGGGTCAGGTGTCACCACTCAGTATACTTGGACCCGGCTTCCCCAAGGGTTCAAGAACTCCCCCACCATCTTTGGGGAGGCACTGGCTTGAGACCTCCAGGCCTCCAAAAGTTCCCCACTAGAGACCTAGGCTGCATCTTGCTCCAGAACATTTATGACCTTCTGCTGGGACACCCCACGGCAGTTGGATGCGCTAAAGGAATGGACACCCTGCTTCGGCACCTAGAGGACTGTGGATATAACGTGTCCAAGAAGAAAGCTCAGATCTGCAGACAGCAGGTACGCTACCTGGGATTCACTATCCAACACGGGGAGTGCAGCCTAGGATCAGAACGAAAGCAGGTCATTTCCAGTCTACCAGAACCTAAGACCAGGAGGCAGGTAACAGAATTCTTAGGAGATGTGGGGTTCTGCAGGTTATGGATCCCAAGCTTTGAAGTACTGGCCAAATCTCTGTACCAAGTTACAAAGGGGGGCAACACGGAACCTTTTAATTGGGGATCCGAACAACAGTGAGCTTTTCATAAGTTAAAGGAAAAAGCTTATGTCAGCCCCAGCCCTTGGACTACTGGATCTGACAAAGCTTTTTACACTGTATGTGTCAGAGAGAGAAAAGATGGCAGCTGGAGTTTTAACCCAGACTGTAGGGCCCTGGCCAAGACCAGTGGCATATCTCTCCAAACAGCTAGATGGGGTTTCTAAAGGGTGGCCCCCGCGTTTGAGAGCCTTGGCAGCAACTGCCCTGGTAGCGCAAGAAGCAGATAAACTAACCCTTGGGCAAAACTTGAACATAAAGGCCCCCCATGCTGTGGTAACTTTAATGAATACCAAAGGATATCATTGGCTAACAAATGCCAGGTTAAATACCAAAGCTTGCTCTGTGAAAATCCCCGCATAACCATTGAAGTTTGCAACACTTTGAACCCCACCACCTTGCTCCCGGTATCAGAGAGTCCAGTTGAGCATAACTGTATAGAGGTGTTGGACTCAGTTTATTCTAGCAGACCCAACCTCCGGGACCAACCTTGGACATTTGTAGACTGGGAGCTATATGTGGACGGAAGCAGCTTCATTAACCCACAAGGAGAGAGGTGCGCTGGATAGGCAATGGTAACCTTGGACACTGTTATTGAAGCCAAACCGCTGCCTCACAGAACTTCAGCCTAAAACGCCAAACTCACTGTTTTAACTTGGGCCTTAGAGCTAAGTGAAGGTAAGACTGTAAACATTTGTATGGACTCTCGGTATGCCTTTTTAACCCTCCAAGTGCATGGGGCATTATACAAAGAAAAAGGCCTGTTGAACTCAGGGGGAAAGGACATTAAATACCAGCAAGAAATTTTACAGTTATTAAAAGCAGTATGAAAGCCTCGGAGGGTGGCCGTCATGCATTGTAAAGGACATCAGCAAGCCACCACTTCTGTTGCCTTAGGAAATTCTCAAGCAGACTCAGAAGCTTACAAAGCAGCATCCACCCAATACCGAGCATCAGTCACAGCCGCCTTGCTCCCTCAGGCACCTGATCTAGTGCCTGCTTATTCTAAAGAGGAAAGAGACTTTTTCCAGGCAGAGGGGGAGCAAGCGATAAAGGAAGGAAGGATCCAGTTACCAGACGGAAGAGTAGCCGTGCCACAGCTACTGGGAGCTGCAGCTGTGCTGGCTGTGCATGAGACCACCTATCTAGGCCAAGAGTCACTTGAAAAGTTGTTAGGCTGGTACTTCTACATTTCACGTCTGTCGGCCCTTGCCAAAACGGTAACAGAGCAAGGTGTCACCTGCCGGCAGCACAATGTTAGGCAGGGTCCAACTGTCCCGCCTGGCATACAAGCTTATGGATCAGCCCTCTTTGAAGATCTCCAAGTGGATTTCACTGAGATGCCTAAGTGTGGAGGTAACAAGTATCTGCTAGGTCTAGTGTGTACCTACTCTGGATGGGTAGAGGCCTATCCAACACGAACTGAAAAAGCTCGTGAAGTAACCCGTGTGCTTCTCCAAGATTTCATCCCTAGATTTGGACTGCCCTTACAGATCGGCTCACACAACAGGCTGGTGTTTGTGGCTGACTCGGTACAGAAGACACAGAAGGTATTGGGGATCACATGGAAACTGCATGCCACCTACTGACCTCAGAGTTCCAGAAAGGTGGAGCAAATGGACTATCAAAAGTAGTTTAAGGAAAGTGTGTCAACAAACATGTTTAAAGTGGGCACAGGCTCTCCCCATAGTACTGTTTAAGATCAGGTGCACCCCTTCTAAAAGAACAGGATATTCTCCTTGTGAGATATTGTATCATAGACCCCCTCCCATATTATGGGGGCTTCCAGGCACTCCTTGAGAGCTAGGAGAAATTGAGTTACAGCGACAGCTGCAGGTTTTAGGAAAAGTTACATGAACAATTTTGGCCTGGGTAAATGAAAAATGCCCCGTTAGCTTATTCTCCCCAGTTCACCCTTTCTCCCCAGGTGATCGAGTGTGGATCAAAGACTGGAATGTAGCCCCTTTGCAGCCGCGGTGGAAAGGACCCCAGAGTGTCATCCTGACCACACCCACCGCCATGAAGGTAGAAGGAATTCCGGCCTGGATCCACCACAGCCGCCTGAAACCTGCAGCACCTGAAGCCTGGGAGGTAAAACCAAGCCCGGAAAATCCCTGCAAAGTGATCCTGAAGAAGACGACAAGACCTGCTCCAGTCACACCCGGAAGCTCACTTGTCTACCCACCGCCAAAACACGAGGAAACTCATTGTGGGACTCATTCTCTTTAGAATTTGGACTTGTACAATAAAAACTTCAGCTGATTTTCCCCACAGGGAGGACTGTACCCAGTGTATTCATCAAGTTACTGAGGTAAGGGAACAAATTAAAACAATCTTTCTGTTTTATAGATATTAAGAATGTCTAGGAACTTTGAAAGGGACTTGCTTATATAATGCCACTGAAGTATAAAGTATGTGGCACAGGGAATGACCAACCTGATGTGTGTTACAACCCGTCTGAGCCTCCTATGACCACAGTTTTTTGAAATAAGATTAAGAACTGAGGACTGGTGGGGACCCGTGAAAGTTACAAGTAAAGTATTAACCAGAACAGAAGAAAAAGGGGTTCCCAAACAAGTCACCTTAAGATCTGATGCCTGTGCAGTCATTAATAGTAACAAGCTAGGGATGGGATGTGGTTCTCTCAGTTGGGAAAAAAGCTATAAGGCAGAAAATAAGTACATTTGTCATGAATTAGGACTATGTGGTATTGAATGTAGTTATTGGTCCTGTGTCATTTGGGCTACCTGAAAAAGGACAAAAAAGATGCTGCTCACCTACAAAAAGAAAAAGTAATTCGTCTTGCACCTCCAGTAACTGTAACCCATTAGAATTAATAATTGCTAACTTCCTGGACCCCCAATGGAAGACAGGGGAAAATGTAAACCTAGGAATTGATGGAACTGTGCTTGACCCCTAAGTCAACTTTTTAGTCCAAGGGGAGATCCACAAGTGCAGTCCCAAACCAGTGTTCCACACCTTTTATGATGAACTGAATGTGCCAGTACCAGAACTCTGAAGGAAGACAAAAAATTTGTTCCTGCAGTTAGCAGAAAATGTAGCCCATTTCCTCAATGTTACTTCCTATTATGTATACAGGGGAACCACTGTGGGAGACCAATGGCCTTGGGAGGCCCGAGAATTAGTGCCCATGGATCCAGTTCCTGATATAATTCCAGTCCAGAAGGCCCACACTGGTAACTTTTGGGTCTTCGAAACCTCAATTATTGGACAATACTGCATAGCTAGAGAAGAAAAGACTTCACCATCCCCATAGGAAGACTCAATTGCCTAGGGCAAAAGCTGTATAACAGCACAAGAACAGTCACCTGGTGAGGTCTAAACCATACTGAGAAAAACCCATTTAGTAAGTTTAGTAAGTTGCAAACTGTTTGGGCCCATCCAGAGTTTCATCAGGACTGGACAGCTCCAGCTGGGCTATACTGGATATGTGGACACAGAGCCCATGCCAAGCTACCTGACCAATGGGCAGGCAGTTTTTGTCATTGGCACCATTAAAACATCCTTTTTTCCTGCTGCCGGTAAAAACAGGTGAGCTCCTAGGCTTCCCTGTCTATGCTTCCTAAGAAAAGAGGGGCATAGCCATAGGCAATTGGAAAGTTGACTAGTGGTCCCTTGAAAGAATGATACAGTACTATGGGCCTGCCACATGGGCACAAAACTTTTCGTGGGGATACCGAACCCCCATTTACATGCTCAACTGGATTATATGGTTACAAGCTGTGTTAGAAATAATCACTAATGAAACTGGCAGAGCTTTGACTATTCTAGACCGGCAAGAAGCCCAGATGAGAAATGCTATTTATCAAAATAGATTGGCCCTAGGCTACTTGCTAGCAGCTGAAGGAGGGGTCTGTGGAAAATTCAACCTGACCAATTACTGTCTGCATATAGATGACCAAGGGCAAGTAGTCAAAAACATAGTCAGAGATATGACAAAGCTAGCACATGTGCCTGTGCAGGTTTGGCATAGATTTGATCCTAGGTCTGTATTTGGAAAATGGTTCCCAGCATTAGGAGGATTTAAAACTCTTATAATAGGGGTAATAATAGTGATAGGAACCTGTTTATTGCTCTCCTGCTTGCTGCCCTTTCTCCTTCAAATAATGAAAAGCTTTGTCACTACCTTGGTTCACCAAAATAGTTCAGCACAAGTGTATTACATGAATCACTATTGGTCTGTCTCGCAGAAAGATGTAGATAGTGAGGATGAAAGTGAGAATTCCCACTAATAAGTGAGATTCTCAAATGGGGGAATAAGGAAGGAGACCACCTCTCCCATTGTCTCCTGTTTCAAAAAGGAAGCAAAAAGTTAAAAAGAAGCAGAAGTGAGATCAACAGCCAGATGGCTTGGTGCCAAGAACCAGGCCTGGTAGTTAAAGATCAGCTCCTGACCTAACCGCTTGTGTTATCTATAGATTTTAGACATTGTATGAGGCAGCATTGTGAAACTTTCTGTTCTATTCTGCTAGCCCCCATCACTGAGACATGTAGCCCTCAGTCATGTAGCCTCTGCTTGCACAATGTATCACGACCCTTTCATTTGGACCCCTTAGAGTTGTAAGCCCTAAAGGGAGAGGAATCTTTACATCAAGGAGCTCGGATCTTGAGATGCGAGTCTACCAATGCTCCCAGCTGATTAAAGCCTCTTCCTTCCTAAAACTGGTGTCTGAAAGGTTTTGTCTGAGACTGGTCCTGCTACAAGAGAACCAATTTTTCATGAATGTTATTTGCTCTACCATCCCTCAGCTAATAGGTAGTCGCTAGAATTTGAACTTGAATAATTCTGAATTTCATGCCATGTCTGATATAAATAGAAAATACAAGAATGGCTTAAAAATATAATTTGCTTAGCAAACAATATAAAAGAGTTATGCCTATAAACCTACAAATCTATCTTTTTGTCCTCTAATCTACTTTTAAGGCTTTGTCCTTTACTTCAGATCCTGATTTGGTCACTTTCATTTACTTCAGAATTTTGCTCAATTATTTATCTTCTATGTTTGTAATCTTTCACTTCCATTTCATTGGATCCTTCATTATCAGCTGAAAAGTCTGTTCATATTTGAAATATACTAAAAACTATACACAAACACCAAAAGTAAAATTCATTACTTAACTTTGAACTCTCCTAGCTACTCCCCAATTTCTGTCCTTTCTCATCTTTATGGTGTGAATTACCATCTCTGTCTTTATTTTTTCATGTCCTATATACCATTTGGGAAACTTACTTCTACTTGCAACATTCAAATAAAATAATGATCTCCTCCTTGATGTAAAATGTACATTGAATTGTTCAGTCCCATTCTAATTTTACCAAAATAAATCATTTGAACCATTTATTTATTCATTTAAATACTTTTTCTTTTGTCCTCTCTACAAATAATCTTCTTCCTTTATTTTTTCTCCTGTACCTAATCATTGTGCATTAAATGATTCTTTTTCAGGCCACATTTGAGCAGAGGGTGCCTATAAATTTTAGCCTAATTTTAAGCTTTCATAACTTCAGAAGTATAAATACATGCTATAAACTGAAAAATATATATATTTGAAAGCTGAATTATTTATATTTTTCCACCTAGTTTTGTAAATTTTAAACAAGAAAATTTTAATTTTTTTAAGTTACACTGAATGAAGATAGTCACTGAAACAAAAAAATACTAATTTATGATTTGTAATTTACAAAATTGTTTCATTGTCTCTAATTAAAGATGGAAAATGCTGACCAAATATCTTTACCATGAACTCCATTCTCACATATTCTTTTACTACTTGCAATCAATCTTCTGGCATCATCAAGGCAGACCAATGTTTCCTTAAAAATACTACTGGATGAGGATAGATTTTTTTATTTTTATTCTGTCTTGAGACAGGATCTCACTCTGTCACCTAGGCTGGAGTACAGTGGTGTTATCTCAGCTCACTGCAACCTCCACCTCCTGGGTTCAAGAGATTCACCTGCCTCAGCCTACTGAGTTGCTAAGATTACAGGTGTGCACCATCACAACTGGCTAATTTTTATATTTTTAGTAGAGATGGGGTTTCACCATGTTGGTCAGGCTGGTCTTGAATTCCTGGCCTCAAGAGATCTGTCCCCTTCGGCCTCCCAAAGTGCTGGGATTATAGGCGTGAGCCACTGCACCCAGCCAGATTTTTAAAATAACATTTTTCTTTTTTTTAAACAGAGTCTCACTCTGTCACTGAGGCTGGAGTTCAGTGGCACCATGTTGGCTCACTGCTACCCCTGTCTCCTGGGTTCGAGCAATTGTCCTGCCTCAGCTTCCTGAGTAGCTGGGATTACAGGTGCCAACCACCAAGCCTGGCTAGTTTTTATATTTTTAATAGAGACAGGGTTTCGCCATGTTGGCCAGGCTGGTCTCAAACTCCTGACCTCAGGTTATCCACCCGCCTTGGCCTCCCAAAGTGCTGGGATTACAGGCATGAGCCACTGCACCTGGCTAAAATAAAATTTTTCTAAGGATTAGTTACATTGACCAAATATTAGTTGTTCCAATGTATGCTAGAGGGTTTCTATGGTAGCAGCTATAATGATACATTATTATATTTGTGTATTAGTCCATTTTCATGCTGCTGATAAAGACATACCTGAGACTGGGAAGAAAAAGAGGTTTAATGGACTTACAGTTCCACATGGCTGAGGAGGCTTCACAATCATGGAGGAAGACAAGGAGGAGCAAGTCACATCTTACAAGAATGTCAGCAGGCGAAGAGAGAGACAGCTTGTGCAAGAAAACTCCCACTTTTAAAACCATCAGATGCCATGAGACTTACTCACAATCATGAGAACAGCATAGGAAATTCTTGCCTTCATAATTCAATCACCTCCCACTGGGCTCTTCCCACAACACGTGGGAATTGTGAGAGTTACGATTTAAGGTGAGATTTGGGAGGGGACACAGCCAAACCATATCAATTTAGAAAGGATACTTTACACTATTCAGTAGGGTCCAAATTTCTTTACAGAATAATCCATTTTGTTTTTAGTTTCTTATTCCTACAGCCCTATTTAATACTTATTGTTCAGTAGTTGTTTGACAAATAATCATTCAAAAATGAAAAATGAAACAAATAAATAATAATAATGAGACAAATAAATAAATATAAAAATTAATGATGGAATAAGCAAATAAATGCCAAAATATAATTAAAAATACTTTTCAATGCAATCTCAGCCAGTGTGGCCAAAAGGTGGTTTATGTGGTGCTTATTTACTGACTTTGATATGTCATATTCTGTCTACTATTCATTGCTATAATCTCCTTTAGCAATGAAACTTTATTGACCTATGAAAATAAAATATTTTATTCCAAGTAGATTTTTAAGACCATATAAATGTGTTAGCTATAATATAAGATGTTTAATTATTTTCTTATGTTAAGAAGCATAAGACACTTCAAGTAAGCTTTTTTACAAAATTAGAGTTAAATCGTTAAAAAAATTGGGGCTTACAGTAGTGCACATAGTCCATATGATTCCCTCTGACATTCTTCTTACAGAGTGCCTTACTGTAGACCTATTGCTGGGTGGCAGTCTGATTGATTGCTCTGTGATAGACCTCCCAATACTCAGCTTAGTCATTCATACAACCAGAGATAAAGATAAATTCAGGGATCTAGTTGGTTCTGTGACCTTCACTGGTAATGAATCCTGTAGGCTCATTAGGTGCAATTTGAAGCATTTTAAAATTAATTGCCTTTAGTATAATAAAGTTTCTGCTTGCTTGGAAATCAGAACAATGGTAAACACTTTAACAAACTTGTTAACAATTGTTTATTACAGAGTAATTGTGACCTTGAGGAGTTGTTTGCTTTTTTTCCATTATAATGGCATGCACAATATACTATGCATAGCAATGGTTTAATTTTAACTTTTTAGAGCCTTACTTTATGTGTTATAATCCTATTATATTTGGAATCATGTATAACTCAGTAAAATGTATTAAAATCTCTTCTAAAATTGTTCTTGATCAGATTCATGTTTTTAATTTCTTGTTTGTTTAGCTTATTTGGCCATACACTTGTCATATTGCTCTGGGCACAAAAGCAACCACCCTGACACAATTTTTTTTAAAAAAGAACATTACATTATAATTTATACAGTTAACAGGAATATGAATCTATGCCAACATGACAGAGAAAAAAATCCATGAAATATAATGTTAGCTAGAGAAATAATATACCTAGGAGGAAAATCAGACTTTTTAATTTCCATATTTTAAATTTCTATTTTTACCTCTACACAAAAAATAGCTTAAAATATGTCTTAATTCAACCAATTTCATAGTGTGTATTTTAAAAGTCACATACTTTTTTTCAAAGTCACGTCTTCTGGTACTGGCTGTTATATTACCGCTAGATTATGCTGTTTCAAACTTATGTTCAAACATATTTTTTATGCTCTCTAATTACAGAGTCCGTCACTTTTTTCATTAGGGTTACATGCACTTTGAGTTGTTTTCGTAGAGTATGATGAGCTATCACTGCAACACACACCTGAGTGATCAACAATAAGTTTAAAGAGGCCTATAGCAAAGTAGCTAATTATATTGGCTTATAACTATGTGAAACAGAAAAAGTTAGTCAAGTTGTATTGTTTCTGGTACACCTATTAATAAAAATATAGATATGGATTATATTATTAAAAATAGTTACATGTATAGTCAATCATATACTGTAAATTAAACCGAAAAGATAAATTCAGTGAGATATTTGTATCAGAAATCTTACAGCAGGGATAGAGGCTGTAATAAACATGTACCTTATCAATTAGTCTTCTTTGGTTAAAGAAATGGAAAAAACCCAAATCATCTCTTACATTCAAAATTATAAAAGATCAGAGGTGTGGCCACAATGGCTGACTAGAAGCAGCTAGTGTGCACGGTTCTCATGGAGAAGAATAAAAGGGGCAAGTAAATACCACACCTTCAATTGGAACATCCAGGTACAAGCATTGAGACTAATCAAGGAAACAATGTGACCCACAGAGAATGGAAAAAAGCAAGGTAGGATGGTGGCCCGTCTGGGAGCAATATAGAGCCAGGGGAACCTCCCCTGTCCAGGGGAGCAGTCAGTGAATGTGTGACCCCGGGAAACCACACTTCGCCCACAGATCTTTGCAACCCTCAGGTCAGATCTCTTCGTGAACCCACTCCACCAGGGCCTTCAGTCTAACAGAGCTACATGGAGTCTTGACAGAGCAGTCACTCAGGCATACACAGAGATACAGGAAACCGAGATACCAAGGCTTTCTGGGCTTTCCAGCAAAAGTAGCTGCAACTCCACCAAAGAGGAATGTTAAACCCTGTATATACCCCTAGGAAAGGCTGAATCCAAGAGGCTGAGTAGTAACAGTCTGAAGGCCCCACTTCTATGGTGCCTCACAGGTAAGACACCATGGTTTAAGACTCCAGTCAGCCACCACTAGCACCATTGCACCTGTCTGAGATGAAGTTCTCAGGGAGAGAAGCTACCATCTTTGCTGTTTAGTGGACTTACTTGTTCCAGCTTTTGGGCTTTGGATAGTCCAAGTCTACCAGGGACAGAAGCAATCCTCAGGCACAGCACAGTTGCTCTATGAAAACATGGCCATACTGTTTTTTTTAAGCCAGTCCCCGATCCTATTCTTGCTCACTGGGCAGGGCCTCTTAACCAAGGTTGCTGCCAGCCACCCCATCAGTGTTCTGTAGCTGACAGAGATTTAAAACTTCCCTGGGATGGAGCTCCCAGAGGGAGGGGTGGGCCACCATCTTTGCTGTTTGGGCAACTTAGCTATTCCAGCTATTGGGCTTTGTAGAGTCCAAGCCAACCAGTGGCAGAAGTGGTTCTTCAGCACAGCACAGCTGCTTTATGAAAACATGGCCAAACTTCTTTTTTAAGTGAGTCTCTGGTCCCATTTCTCCTTACTGGAGGTGACCTCCCAACCGAAGTCTTCAGCCACCTTCTACAGGTGCATTTGGGCTGGCAGCAGTTTGGTAAATCCCTGGGACAGAGCTCCCAGAGAGGGGCAGGCAGTTATCTTTGCTGTTATACAGCCTTCATTGTTGTTACCTCCAGGTACTGGAAAATCTGAGATGACTAGGGAGTAGAGCAGGCCCCCAGCATACCACAGCAGCCCTACAGAAAACGGCCAAACTGCTATATCAGTGCCCATTCCTACATCTCTTTGCTGGTAGGGTTCTCCATACCTGGTCCTCCAGCCACACACCACCAGAGATATCAAGCAAGTAGCAGCTCTGGCCCATGGGGAAACTGAAAGCCTCTCTCTACTGCCTCTGCAGTAGAAATGCCCATGCTACCCTTAGTGTTACGAGATGTCTGGGGTGTTGATTTTTCTAGTCAGAAGCCACTGTGGCCTCAGTGCATTTGCCCAGGTTCTTGTCCTGTGTCTAGGAAGAATGAGTTACACAGACAAGTGAATGGTGAAGAAAAAGAGTTTTATTTAGTGTTAGAACAGCTCAGAAGAGTGGGTAGCTCCTCTCTGTAGGCAGGTTGTCAAGTGTTAGCTCTTAGCAGACAGGAGGTCCTGGAGGAGGTGGCTGCTCTCCTCAGGCAAGTCATTCTGATGTCTCTGCAGGTCTCTGAAGCTCTTAGCAGATAGGGTAGCTCCTCTCTGCCAGCAGGTCATCTCTGCAGCTCTCAGAAGAGAAGGTACTTCTCTCTGCAGCTGGTCATTCCATCATCTCCAGCTAGCATTCCTGTACACCCACAACAGCCAAGCCAAGAGCCAAATCAGAAAGGCAATCCCATTCACAATTGGCATATAAAGAGTAAAATACCTAGGAATATAGGGAAGTGAAAGATCTCTACAATGAGAATTACAGAACACTGCTCAAAGAAATCTAAGAAGACACAATCAAATGGGAAAACATCCCATGCTCATGGAAAGAAAGATTCAATATTTTAAAATAGCCATACAGCCAAAAGCAATTACAGATTGAATACTATATCTATCAAACTACCAATGATATTTTTTACAGAACTAGAAAATCTAACTTAAAATTTATATGAAACGAAAAAATAGCCTGTGTTAGTATTTTCTCACACTGCCATAAAGAAATACCCAAGAATAGTAATCTGTAAAGGAAAAAGGTTTAATTGACTCACAGTTCCACATGGCTTGGAGGTCTCAGGAAATGTAGTCATGGAGGAAGGAGAAGCAGGCACATCTTACATGGTGGCAGGTGAGAGAAAGACCAAAAAGGGAAGAGCCCCTTATAAAGCCATCAGATCTCATAATAACTCATTCACTATCATGAGAACAGCATGGGGGAAACTGACCCCATGACCCAATCACCTCCTGTCAGGTCTCTCTCTAAACACCTGGGGATTACAATTTAAGATGAGATTTGGGTGGGAACACAAAGCCTAATCATACCGTTCTGCCACAGCCCCTCTGAAATCTCATGTCCGTTTCATATTTCAAAACCAATCATGCCTTCCCAACAGTCTCACCAAATCTTAATTCATTTCAGCATTAACCCAAAAATCCAGGTACAAATTCTCATGTGAGACAAGGCAAGTCCCTTCTACCTACAAGACTGTAAAGTCAAAAGCAAGTTAGTTACTTTCAAGATACAATGGGGGTACAAGCATCGGGTAAATGTTTCCATTCAAAATGGGAGTACTTGGCCAAAACAAAAGGGCTAAAGGCCCCATGCACATCTAAAACCCAGCAGAGCAGTCATTAAATCTTAAAGCTCCCCAAAAATCTCCTTTCATTCCATGTCTCACATCTGGGGCACAATGATGCAAGGGGTGGGCTCCCATGACCTTGGGCAGCTCCTTCACAGGCTGGCATTGAGTGCCTGTGGTTTATCCAGATGTGCAGTGTAAGCTGTCAGTGGATCTACGATTCTGGGGTCTGGAGGATGGTGGCCCTCTACTCACAGCTCCACTAGGCAGTGCCTCAGTGGGGACTCTGTATGGGGGCTCCAACCCCACATTTGCCTTCCACATTGCCCTAGCAGAGGTTCTCCTTGAGAGCTCTGCTTCAGCAGCAGATTTCTGCCTGGATATCCAGGAGTTTTCATACATCCTCTGAAATCTAGGCAGAAATTTCCAAACCTCAATTCTTAAATTCTGTGTACCCACAGGCCCAACAATACATGGAAGCTGCCAAAGCTTGGGACTTGCACTCTCTGAAACAATGGCCTGAGCTGTACTTTGGAACCTTTCAGCCATGGCTGGAGCTGGAGCATCTGGTACTCAGGGCACCAAGTCCTGAGGTTGCACACAGAAGGGGAGACTTGGGTCCAGCCCATGAAACCATTTTTTTTTCCTCCTGGGCTTCTGAGCCTGTGATGTGAGGTGCTGCCATGAAGACCTGTGACATGCTCTGGAGACATTTTCCCTATTGTCTTGGCAAATAATATGAGCTTCTTCATTACTTACTCAAATTTTAGCAGCTGGCTTTAATTCCTTCCCAGAAAATGGGTTTTTCTTTTCTACCATGTGATCAGGCTGCAAAATTTCCAAACTGTTATGCCCTGCTTCTCCTTTAAACATAAGTTCAAATTTCAAGTCATCTCTCTCAAGTTCAAAGTTCCACAGATCTCTAGGGCAGAGGCAAAATGACACCAGTCTCTTTGCTAAACATAGCAAGAGTGACCTTGGCTCCAGTTCCCAATAAGTTCCCATCTCCACCTGAGACCACTTCAGCCTGGACTTCACTGTTCATATTACCATTAGCATTTTGGTCAAGGCCATTCAACAAGTCTCTAGGAAGTTCCAAACTTTCCCACATCTTCCTGTCTTCCTTTGAGGCCTCCAGAAGT
Source organism: Homo sapiens (assembly GCF_000001405.40). Lineage (NCBI taxonomy): Eukaryota > Metazoa > Chordata > Mammalia > Primates > Hominidae > Homo > Homo sapiens. The sequence goes on along the minus strand of NC_000001.11, from coordinate 104,451,689 downwards.
TGGACTGTTCCAACTTCTGCTCATTACCTAGTTCTAAAGTCACTTTCACATTTTGAGGTATTTTTATAGCAGTACCCCAAACTCCTGGTACCAATTTATTGTATTAATCTGTTCTCATACTGCTATAAAGAAATACCCAAGTATTTCTGGGTAATTTATAAAGGAAAGAGGTTTAATTGACACAGTTGTGCATGGCTGGGGAGGCCTCAGGAAACTTACAATTATGGCAGAAGGGGAAGTAGGCACATCTTACATGGCAGCAGGAGAGAGACAGACCAAACTGGGGATAGCCCCTTATAAAACCATCAGATCTCATGAGAACTCACTCATTATCATGAAACCAGCATGGAAACTGACCCCCTGATTCAATCACCTCCCACCGGGTCACTCCTTCAATACCTGAGGATTACAATTCAAGATTAGATTTGTGTGGGGACACAAAGCCTAACCATATCATAGCCTGAATAGCCAAGGTAATCCTAAGCAAAAGAACAAAGCTAGAGGCATCACATTATCTTAATTCAAACTATACTATAGGGCTACAGTACCCCACACAGTATGGTACTGGTACAAAAACAAGCACATAGTTCAGTGGAACAGAATAGAGAGCCCAGAAATAAGGCCACACACCTACTGATTTTTGACAAAGCTTGCAAAAACAAGCAGTGGGGAAAAGACTCCCTATTCAATAAATACTTCTGGAAAAACCAGTTGCCATATGCAGAAGATAGAAGCCAGATACCTTCCTTACACCATATACAAAAATCAAGTCAAGATGGACTAAAGAGTTAAATATAGAACCCCAAAGAATAAAAACCCTGGAAGACAACCTAGGTAATACTACAGGACATAGAACCAGGCAAAAATTTCAGGACAAAGATTTCACTACAAAAAGACCAAAAGCAATCACAACAAAAGCAAAAATTGACAAGTGAGAACTGATTAAACCTAACAGATTCTGCACAGCAAAAGAAACTATCAATGGAGTAAACAGACAACCTACATAATGGAAAAATTTTTTTGCAAACTATGCATTTGACAAAGGTCTAATATCCAGAATCTATAAAGAAGTTAAGAAATTTACTAGAAATAAATGAACAACCTCATTAAAAAGCGGGCAAAGTAAATGAGTAGACACTTTTTAAAAGAAAAACAAATACACGCCAACAAGCATATGAGAAAAAGCTGAAATCACTGATCATTAGAGAAATGCAAATCAAAACCACAATGAGATACCATCTCACATCAGTCAGAATGACTATTATTTAAAAAATCAAAAATCACAGATGCTCGTGAGGTTACAGAGAAAACAGAACACTTATACACAGTTGGTGGGAGTGTAAAATTAGTTCAAAATTAGTTCAACCATTGTGGAGAACAGTATTGCAATTCCTGAAAGAGCTATAAGCAGAACTGTCATTCAACCCAGAAATCCCATTACTGAGTATATACCCAAAGGAATATAAACCATTCTACTATAAAGACTCATGCATGCAAATCTTCATTGCAGCACTGTTTACAATAGCAAAGACATGGAATCAACCTAAATGCCCCTCGATGACATATTAGATAAAGAAAATGTGGTACATTTATAACATGGAATATTATACAACAATAAAAATCCAAGATTATGTCTTTTGTGGGAACAGGGATGGAGCTGGAGGCTATTATCTTTAGCTAACTATGCAGGAACAGAAAATCAAATACTGAATATTCTCAATTATAAGTGGGAGCTAAATGATGAGAACTTATGAAAACAAAGAAGGAATAACAAACACTAGGGTCTAATTGAGAGAAAAGAGCAGAATAGATAACTATTGGATACTGGGCTTAATACCTGTCTGGTGAAATATTGTGCAACAAACCCCTATGACAGAAGTTCACTCATGTAACAAACCTTCACATGTACCCCTGAACCTTAATTAAAAGTTAAAAAATATTATAAAGGTGAGAAAAGTGTGCAATTTTTGTTTTAAAAGTTAACCACCAATCGAAATACAAATTTGGTTAGTTACCATTACATGCTAAAGTAGACTGAATGTATCTTCATCATGACCTGAAATGAGTTAGATTACAGCTATTTGATATTGAGATCTCTTGCCTTTCATCTTTAGCTACATGAATACATTAGGGTGTGCTTCATATTTAGACCTTTATATGTGCTTTTCTTCTGTGAGAAATATTCTTCCACCTATCTTCATATGGTCCCTACTTTGAATTTTTCTGGAACAATTTAAATATAATTTCTATTTTGGCTAGAGTGTCGCCTTCCCCTCAGTCATTTTCTATGATTACATATTTTATCTTCATGTTATTGTTTATTGAATCTGAAATTAATTCATTTAGTAGTTAATATGATTATTTTTTTTCTCCTCAGACTGAAATGTTACCTCCTGAAAGTGAAGTTTGCCTATTTTGTATTTTGTTCACAGCTAATTCATCAATACTTAAAACAGTATTTGTCATACAGTAACAAAAGAAAGAGAAAAGGAAGGAAGAAAGAAGAAAGAGAAGTGTGTTAACTCCTGAAATTTGCTAGAATTCCATGTATTCTGTACTGTAAGTTTCTTTTTAAGTGATGAAATGGCACCCTCCGCCCCCAAAAACACAAACACATTTGGCAACGTGGTGTTAGTGAGAGGACATTCATATCATCTGTAATAGAAAGAAGCTGCAAATGTATTGGCAGAAAATACCAGTATTGTCATAGCTGAATCAAGCACTTAAACAAGTATTCAGATATTTTCAACCAAAATTTTCAATCAGAACCACCTTTTTCATAATACTGTTATACCATTTGTACTCCATTATGTATTTTTGTGCTCCAATTGCCAGCTGTCATCATCCCTTGGTAAATATTAGAGTTAACTGTGAGCCTTTTCAGAAAATATGAACATTGGACTCTACCCCCAGAGGCTTTGACTCAGTATGTCTTGGTGGGCTTGACTACTTGTATTTTAAAACGTCACAAGTGATTTTTATACTCTTTCATATGCTTCGATGCTACTATACTAGTTATCCTGAGCACCTTGACAAAAAGATATCTTGCTTTATTCATCTTTGTAGAGCGAGTAGTTTTGGTAGAACTGACAAAGAAAAAAGAAAACGGTTTGTGAATGAAAGATGAAGGATCATTAATTAACTAGTTCACAAACTAATTATTTATTCCTTGAATACAAGATAGTGAAATATAATTCCTATATCATTTTGAATGGCTACTATGGTCCTAGTCCTTTGCACTAAATGTAAAATATGAGGAATCAGGAACATTAAGGAGAAAGAGAGCGGAGACGAGGGGACAAGAGAGGAAAGGAGAGGAGGGAGGAGAAAAGGAAGAAAAGGGGAGGAGTGGAAGAAAATTAAAGAACATATTAGAGAGCTTGACAGGAGTTAATTAATGCATCTCATTACGGTCAAATATATTTCTTACTTTGCCTTCTAGTGAACTCACAGTTTCCCAAATTGTGTTTAAAAAGGCAGTGAGCTAATTTCTTCCTCAATAATAAAACCCTGCTGTGTTCCCAGTTAATTTACTCAGTTCTAGGCCAGGAGGCCCTGTCTTTTAAATTTATTTCTATCTACAAATCCTATATTTTTGGAAAGGCACTTTAAACTTAGGGAAAACTTGCTTATTCATAGATTTTTAAACTTAGCCTAAAGGAATAATCTCAACATTCTTATTTATTGAAAATACAATTAATATTACATACCTTGATACTAGGATAATTTAGTTGAATTTCCCCTATATTTTCATCCTAAAACTTCTCACTTCAGTATGTTCACTTGTGCAAATTTACTAAATAGTTTTCTGCTGCCAACTTTGTCTTTTATGCTCTTGCTACTAGCCAATATTTTGTTTCCTCTGAAATGCAAACATAAAAATCTCTACAATTGTGACATGTTAAACTTCTATACACTCAAAATCATATCTTTGCCCAACCTTTTTTTTAACATACTTAATTCACTAGCGTGACTGAAAGAGAGAAATTGAAAGTTAAAGAGAACAAATGTGACCAAGGTGAAACGCATTTTAGTGAATTTCATTATCTAGAATCAAACTAATTCTACCAGTTTAGGTTGGTTTATTACTATTCCATGTTTGCACAGAACTAGGTTATTCAAATTCTGTTACTCTTTTATCTCCCAAAATATTTTTGGGGGTTACAATTTGCTATGGTAATAATTATATCATTTTTCTATAGATAGTTTTTAAATCTTGACTTTTTCCCTGCAGATTATCCCTACTAAAATTTCAGTTCAAGTTACTTCATCAAAAGAAGTGTGTTGTCCCTTTTTACATACCTAACAATATACTAAGCAATTAGGATAGAACAATGAATTAAAAATAGTCTCCATTCCTAAGCAAATTTGTCTTTATGTAAGAAAGGCAGGCATGCGACAAATTAATTAAGTTCAATATTAGTGCAAAGAATATATAGGCTCAGATTTCTATGGGAGCATGAAGGAAGAGAAGTTAGTTACTAAAATGATAATTGAAAGAATAGAGAACAATCAGCCAAAAGTAGATACCCAGAAAACATATCTTTTAATGCACAAGCAGAGTGCAGTTCCAGAATAATTATAGCAAATTCTATAATTATAGCAAATAATTCTATAGCAAACAGCTGTAGAATGACTAATAATATACCCAAAGGACTATAAATCATGCTGCCATAAAGACACATGCACACATATGTTTATTGCGGCACTATTCACAATAGCAAAGACTTGGAACCAACCCAAATGTCCAACAATGATAGACTGGATTAAGAAAATGTGGCACATATACAACATGGAATACTATGCAGCCATAAAAAATGATGAGTTCATGTCCTTTGTAGGGACATGGATGAAATTGGAAATCATCATTCTCAGTAAACTATTGCAAGAACAAAAAACCAAACACCGCATATTCTCACTCATAGGTGGGAATTGAACAATGAGAACACATGGACACAGGAAGGGGAACATCACACTCTGGGGACTGTTGTGGGGTGGGAGGATCAGGGAGGGATAGCATTGGGAGATATGCCTAATGCTAGATGACGAGTTGGTGGGTGCAGCGCACCAGCATGTCACATGTGTACATATGTAACTAACCTGCACATTGTGCACATGTACCCTAAAACTTAAAGTATAATAATAAAAAAAAGAAAAAAAGATATAAGAGAAAGATGCTATAGATGTGAATGAGGAAAGACTGTAAAGGTAGGGGGCATAGTTCAATATCCCTTCAATACATTATACGCATTATATAAATCTATATTTAAATAATACTGTATTAGGTTTTACCAGAGTAAAAGAACCAATAGGAGATATATCTATCTCTATAATATATGTGTGTGTGTGTGTGTGTGTGTGCATGTGTGTGTATGTATGTATTAATAATAACAAGCACATACAGAGAAAGAGAGAGGGAGGGACTGATTATAAGGAATTGGCTTGAGAGAGAGAGAGAGAGAGAGAGAAAGAGAGAGAGACTTATTATAAGGAATTGGCTCATGTTTTAGAAGCTGACAATATCCAAGATTTGCAGGGTGAATTAGAAAGCTGGAGACCCAGGAGAACTGATAGGTATTTTCATTATAATTCCAAGTCCTGAGAATGAGTAGAGCCAAAACAAAAACAAAAAATAGCAAGCTTGGGACTTTCAAAAACCCAATGTTTTAGTCTGAACCTGAAGGCTATAAAGACCAAAGTTCCACCTCAGGCAGTCAGAGAGGAGGAATTCCCTTTTGCTCAGCCTTTTTGTTATATTCAGGTCTTTAATTGATTGGACGAAGCCCACCAGCATTAGGGAGAGCAATCCTTTACTCAGCCTACCTATTCAAACAGCAAGCTTATCCAAAACACCTTAACGACCACAGAATGTTTGGCCATATGTCTGGGCACCCTGTGGCCAAGTCAAGTTAACACATACAATTAAACTATCACAAATAGTACATATTCATCTATTTAGTTTCAGATAAAAATAATTATAAGATACCATAATGCTTTCTTCTTATGCTCTAATAAAACATCTTGTTTTCACCTCACTCTAAAAACCACTACACTAAATTAGACTGCTGTTCAAAAATAGTCAAATTGAAGAACAAAACAAAGTTATTGATGAAGTGGGAGATAGAGCAACTGAGAAGAATAATAATTGGAAATTAGTAAAAATTGGCAATCAGCTTTGAGAAGCACACACTAGAACAAATGTTTAAGTCCCCTCACTGCATGAGAAAAGAAATAATGGTGTGTTTTAATTTATATCAAAAATTAATCATTACATTAGAGAATATGCAAAGAACATTTAACAGAAGAAAAAATATGTAGTTTTTTTAGTCTAAATTTGAAAGTTTGGGCAATAATGTAATCTAAAGAAAATGGTGGAAGGACTATAATTACTTGATATAACTGGTACTAGAAATGCTAGGTACCTTAAATGAATCTCATCATTCATGTTTGGGTGAATTCCTTCAAACAAGTAGAGCTCGTTAATTAAGATGTCATTGAACACAAAAGAGAAAATTAAATTAGAGGCAGTGGGGGAAGTGAATAACAGGTATGCTAAATTAAGAAACAAAGCACCCCCCAAAATATAATAAAAGATACATCAAATATAAATGATAATTTATATAAGTAAAGTTTGTCATAAATGTTAAATAACGGCTCTTTTTACAAGGCATTGAAGCAGTGATTTGTAATGTCTAGTTGTGATGATCTGATATTTGATTGACCCACCACATATTAATTTGAGCAGAGAACTATATTTAATATTGTGTAGAAATAAAAGGAGTTGGACATGTTATTTTGGCTTTCATCATTTTTTATTCCAGATAATAAAAAAATAAATGTATGTATAAAGCATCACATGCATAATTAGAAGGCAAAACAGGTACTTCATAGTAGTAGTGAGTACTGAAAGTATCTCTTTGGGGCATTACTTAGGAAAAGAAAATTCTTTAACTGAGATTGACAGAATTATAGGATAGAGTTAACAGAGAGTATGGGCAGAAATTATAGCACAGGACTGTAAATCTGATTATGAAACAGAGTCAGCTGAATATAGTACACAAATAATTTGTTAGAAATAAAGATTCTATTGGGGCTGCCAACATAAATTGAATTTAGGATGAAATAAAAAAGTAGATGCTTTCTTCTTTCTCACCAGCAGAAACTTGGAATTCCTTTGATAATTAGGGTCACCAGACATAGTTAGAAATAATTAAATAAAATTATGAATTTAAAGTTAGGCTTAATAGTTGCTAAATCAGTCTGAAACAATAACTACAGCAAAATCCAGACATGTTACAAAAACAATGCTTTGGGAGATGTTAGACATTTAGACATCAAGCAATAAAGAACTGAAATCATTGAGAGATGGAAAATAAATGAGGTGAGCCCCAGATTTTGCCAAATTTACTGCAGACCATGTCATAGCGGAGGAGAAATGAAGTAAAGCCCAGCTGACTTTCTGATTTAGGAGATGGAGGGTCATCCATCCATACGCTTTGAGAGTTTGGTAGAGAATTAATCAACTCATGCATATGAGGAAACTACATCAGGCCAGAAGAAGTGTCACTAAAAATTATTAGAAGGTACAGTGCCTAACACACAGAACCAGAAAAATGCCTGTTCCCATAAGCCAGCCTAGAAAATATTATAATTCACATAATTTTATAAAGAATTCAAGGCAGTCTTTTATTAATAGTGGCAAATAAGTATCCCTAGATAAGCCCTGCTATGATCCCAACTAAACAAAGTTAAGCCATATGTATTAAAAGTATAAAAACATTTCCAAGAAGTTTAACTGCATCATCGGACAAAACTCATGAAGACATACAGAATAAAAAATATCTAGAAATCAACAAGCTAAAGACCCACTGTCTATCTTCCAATCAAATATTACCAGGTGTAAAAAGAGGAAGAACAAAAAATCCTATATGAGGAGAAGAATCAATCAATCAAAATCCACTCAAAACTGACACAGATGTTACAATTAACAGAGAAAAACATTACAATGGTTATTATAATTCTATGCCATATGCGTCTTGTGACATATTGAAACTTGTAACATATTGAAAAAAAACAAATTAAGCTTGTAGAGATAAAAATACAATGCATGAAATAAAAATTACACTGGATGGGATTAACGCCAGATTACACAATACAGAAGAGAAGACGAGGGACCTAAAAAGTGTAGCAATAAAAACTATCCAACATAAAATAGAGAGAGGAAAAAAGAACAATAACAAAAGGACAGCTCACCAATGAGTTGTAGGACATTTCAAGAGACCCAATACACATATAACAGCATCTGTGTGAAAGGTGGGAGGGGGGGAAACAGAAAACAAATATTTATATTAATAATAACTGATTACTTTGCAAATTTGATGAAAATTAATAATTCAAAGATTCAAGAAAACTATCAACCTCAAATATAAGAAACATGAAGAAAACCACACAAAGACACATCATGACTAAAAGTCTCAAAACCAGTGATAAAGAAAAACATATTTACTGTAGTCAGAAGAATGGAAAATTATAGGCCTAGAGGAAGAAAACTAAAAGTGGGAATATTCTATAGAAACAAAGCAATCTGGAAGATAGTTGAAGAATGTCTTTAAAGTACAGAAAGAAAAAAAAAATTCAAATAGAACTCTACATTGAGGAAAAATACCTTTCAAATTAAAAGATAAAATAATGACACTTTCAGACATTAAAAAAACACCTTAAAATGTATCATTAGAAAACTCACAATGCAATAAAATTTGAAGTTTGTTCAGGCAGCAAGAATATGTGACTGGATAGACATATGGATCCACACAAAAAAATGAAAAACAAGTAATAAATATATTAGCAAATATATGACATTTTCCTTGTTTATTTATTTCTTTTCTTTTTTTTTTTTTTTTTTTGAGACCTAGTCTCACTCTGTCGCCCAGGCTGGATGGAGTGCAGTGGTGCAATCTCGGCTCACTGCAAGCTCTGCCTCCTGGGTTCACACCATTCTCCTGCCTCAGCCTCCCGAGTAGCTGGGACCACAGGCGCCCGCCACCATGCCAGGCTAATTTTTTGTACTTTTTTTTTTTTTTTTTTTTTTTTTTTAGTCGAGATGGGGTTTCACCGTATTAGCCAGGATGGTCTCAATCTCCTGACCTGGTGATCCGCCCGCCTTGGCCTCCCAAAGTGCTGGGATTTCCCTTAATATTTTAATGCCTTTAAAGGTAACTGTCTTAACCAAAAATAATAACGATGTATTAGACTTTGCAATATATGTATGAGTAAAATATGTGACTGTAATAGTGTAAATGTTAGGAGGAGAAATGGAAGCTATTGTATGGTATAAGAAACATATACTATGCCTGAGGAAGTGTAATGTCTTTTCAAATAACCAGTAAAACAACAGAGCACAAACCTTGGTTGGCCACTTTGAATTTCGGAAACAGTACAAAAAACACTCACAATACCTTCCAACTTCTTTCTGTGATGTGGAAGACTGCAAGATTGACAGAATCCCAGAATAAAATTAGAGCTTTACAGATGCTTTGATCACAATATAAGTTTCATGGCTGTTTCTTATCAGGCTATATGATCTAGAAGATCCAATATTGCTAGAGAAATTAATAATTGCTGAAGATTTTGTGTGTGTGTGTGTGTGTGTGTGTGTGTGTGTGAAATACCAGGCAAACTCTTATGGAAAAGTTACAAATCTGATTCCCAGAGCTCTGAAAACAGAACACACATTCTGCCCCCAATAAGTATTTATTTAACCATAAATTTTATTGAAGTTTAACATATTCACACAAAAGTGAACAAATCATAAATGTATAGCTCAACATATTTTCACAAAGTGAACACATCTATGTAAACAGTACCCAGCTCAGGAAACAGAACGCCAGACGCAGTGGCTCACGCCTATAATCCCAGCACTTCGGGAGGCCAAGGCGAGCGGATCACCTGAGGTCGGGAGTTTGACACAAGCCTGACCAACATGGAGAAACCCCGCCTCTACTAAAAATACAAAAATTAGCTGGGCGTGGTGGCGCATGCCTGTAATCCCAACTACTTGGGAGGCTGAGGCAGGAGAATCACTTGAACCCTGGAGGCGGAGGTTGCGGTGAGCCGAGATTGAGCCATTGCACTCCAGCCTGGGCAGTAAGAGCTAAATTCAGTCTCAAAACAAAAAAGAAAAGAAAAAAAGAAACAGAACATTCCCAGAACCCCAGAAGTTTCCTAATGCCTCTTTATGATTACTATCTCTTTCCAACCTCAGGGTAGTCATTGCCTTGTCTAACACCGTACGTTAGTGTTGCCTGTGTTTGATTTATATAAATACACGCATGTAAAATATCCTCTTTTAGGACTGGCTTCTTTTACCCATTATGTTGTCTGTGAGATCCATCCACGTTATTTAAAGTCGTAGTTTATTGATCTTCATTGCAAATATCTTGTGAAATCCCAGGCAAATACTTATGGAAAAGTTACAAATCGGACTCCCAGGGTTTTGAAAATACAACACATGTTCTGCCCCACAAAACTGCTAACTATTTAAAGAGCAGTTCTTGGAGACCTATGGGATGCTTTAGAAACTGTGTACCTGGCTGTTGGACGTCATCTGACGATGAAATTGTGTGTCCTTCTTAATTACATATTATCAGAACCAATGAGTCACAAAGTTTAATAAATTCCAAAACACTCTACAATGGTAATAATACATTTGGTATTGGTCCCAACCAGTTCCAGATAGCACAAATAAATTACACAAAGAGGTGGACACAGATACCAATTTCACTTACCCCTGTTGTACTAATGCCTCTAACTGGCCTCAATACCTTTTGCTTGGCAGAAGGTTTCATATGACCAGGTTGTAAGACAGGAAAAATACCGGCATGGTTTAGAGATGTGTTTACTTGGAATTTAGATGTGGGATAAAAATGAAATGTAGCTACACTAGAGTCCTACTCTTTGATGTCTATAAAGAACAGTCATGAATAGAAACCATTCAAGCAAACAGGGATGTAAGCAGTACACGTGGTACTTCTATTTTGTATGGAGAAGAACTAGCCTGAATAAAGGAAATATATACAACAAGGATGACAGTAAATGGCTTGGCTGGTTGATCAGGCACCTAGAAGGTACACGATTAGAAGATCACAAACAGTGCTGGGTAAAAAGCAAGTGGATGGACCTATGGAAGCGAGTAAAAAAGCCTGTGGGTTTTTTCATCTCACCATCAAAGCTCTCCAGAGAGCATCCACGGCAGGGGAATTACTCAACAACTAGGTGGAATTAGAAGTCCTTGGTTGACTTCTGTTCTTGGGTATGACAATGCTTTTGCAAGAGGCCACAAGTGGGGTAGCATGGTAGTGAGGGTAGAGGCTATGAAAGCATTCAGCTGAGTGGCTCCTCTGACATGGAGATTGATTTAACTACTGCTATTGCTGAATGCCCATCCTGTCAGTAGCAATGAAGGATTCCAGTTACCTCATATGATGCCATCTTGTGATAAAAACAGATTGTGATTTATTAGAAAGTTAATTACATCTGTACTGTTCAACTCTAGAAGACTCAGTGATTCATCTTTATTGGAATTTACACTGTTCTGGATATGGGTGTCTGACCACCCATTCTCTGCCAAAATTCCCGCTTAAGGCTTACAGAATGTCTGACTTTCATTCATAGGTTCCTCATAGGATCTCAGGTGGAATTTACATTAATGAGATTTTCACCATCAACCAAGAGATATATTTTCTGATAATTGGAAGTGCAAAACTGTGCATGACCACAAGATCTATGACTCTGTACATCCTCATTCAGAAGCAGTCATTCTAATAGAAAATTGAAATAGTCTATTAAAGGTTCAGATAAAACCCCAACTTAGATATAATACCCTGAGAGATTAGGGTGCTTTCCTAATGGAGTTGATGCATAGGACATACAACAAATATATGATGTTGAGTTCCTAATATCTAGAATGCACAAATCTTGGGAAAAATGGGCCAGATTCGGATTGTCCCCTCTTACCATTACTCCCAGTGACCCCTCTTAACATTACTTCTACTTATTAATTTGTGATTTAGTCTCCCAAACTATAAATCTTACCGTATTAAAGATCCTGAGGGAGACTGCATTCTTCAAGACACTATGTGAGCTCCAGTGAACGGGCATTGATGGACCAGGAGACCAAGAATGAAATTACTGTATTGAAAGGGTTAATTGAATATGTGGAGCTAAGGCTGCTGCTACACAATGAGGAGTGGGATGAGTAGTCTGGAACTCACTGAATTTGTAGAGCTGTCTTTGTGTTTCTCTGCCTGGTGATAATAATGATCTGGTATGAACAAGAAGCTGAGGACTTAGAATCTACAGCTTAGGCTGGCAGAAGTACTAAAAAACTAAACAAAATTCAAAATAAAGATTATGAATGGCAAGGCATGGTGGCTCATGCTTGTAAACCTAGCACTTTGGGAGGCCAAGGAGGGCGGATCATTTGAGGTCAGGAGTTCAAGACAGGCCTGGGCAAAATGGCAAAACCCCATTCCTACTAAAAAATACAAAAGATTAGCTGGGTATGTTGGCATTCATCTGTAGTCCCAGCTACTCTAGAGGCTGAGGTGGGAGGATCGCTTGAACCCAGGAGTTCAAGACTTCAGTGTTCCGTGATCATGCCACTGTACTCCAGTCTGGGCAACAGAGTGAGGTTCTGTCATGATAAATTAAAAAACTAAATATATAAAAGAGATTACAAATAATATTTATTTCTTTGAAACAAATAAAAAGGACTAGTTTGTTCCATTACCATACTACTAAAGGTTGCTTTTCATAGATTCCTGCATCTTGAAGGGTCTATGAGAGAGAAGGTTTATTGACGGGGATTGTGGCAGACATTTTTCCTACCCCCTCGCACATCCTTTCAGCTCACCATGATTTTAGCTGCAGTTACAGCTGATTCTATAAACTCAGGTTCCTAGAAACTAAAGTTATCACTGTGCATTTTTTCCAGTTATTTCTTCAGAGCCTTCTCCATAACCATAGAATACCATTCATTTTATCACCAAGAGAAACCCATAATTGATGGGGGAAGATACAACCCCTGGGATAAACTCTCAATTGATGGGCAATTGAGGGTTGTTTTTGGAAAGACAATATTGGAAAATATTCTATATCTTTCTCTAAGATTCCAGAATACTTTAGTTCTGACTATTCGGAACAAACCTGTTATTAGAATGCCTTCATTTTTTCTTTTCTTCATTATATTTCTGACTCTCCTCACTTCCTAATCTACCTCTAGATTCATCTTGCAACTAAACTGCCCACACTCCGTCCTTTCTCTTAGGCTCTACTATGGGGAAAATTCAAACTGAGAAAGGCAGAGAATGTCTTATTTTGCCATTGTATTTCTAGTTTTCATAACAATTCTTGGTATATTGTAGTACTAAGTGGTTGTTTATTTCCAAATAGTGAAGGTCATTGACCACAAAGGGAAATAATATTTAAGAAAACATTTAACTGAGAAGAGTAGAAACAACAACAAAAATATAGTCTATGTGTCATTATTTTTTTTTGGAATAGTGCAAACATTAGAAGAAAGTAAAAACCAAGCAGATAGCTAATTAGATAGAAAGGAGATAGATAGATAGATAGATAGATAGATAGATAGATAGATAGATACATACATACATACATACATACATACATACATACATAGATACATAGATAGATACATAGACAGATACATAGATACATAGACACGTAGATTAGATAGAGGTACTGAACAAAAGCCAGAAGAAGAAATAAGGAAGGCAGTAAAAGTTCTGAAGAATGGCAAAAAAGAATTATTAAAACGCTACTTTCATTTTCTCTTTATCTCTCTCCTCATCACCACTCCAAAATTTTTTTGAAATTGATGTATTTTAACCCAACATATCCAAAATGTTTATTATTTTAACATGTAGTCAATGTAGAAATTATTAGAATTTTTTTCATTTTTTTGCTACCAAGTCATCAAAATTAGGTATGCATTTTTCACTTACAGAACACCTGAATTTGGATTTAACCCACTGCAGTTACTCAGTAGCCACATGTGGCTAGTGGTTTGATTCATATACCTTTAAGATTCTTTTATTCCTCTGCAGATCACTTTGCTGCTGTTGTTGTTTTTGATTTTCTTTCCAAGACCGCAATGCGACTTTCATAGCTTAAATCTTATATCAATTTCTAGTTCAAGCTGACAACTAGAGTGTCTGAGCTAGGCACCCTAATTGGCAGACTGCAAATCTTCTCAGCCCAACTGTGGCTATAGCACTGTATCCCAGTATACTGTTGCCTGCTCAACAGGGCTCAGAAGAACAGAATCCCAGATTGATTGCCAAAGATATCCCACAGCAAAATACGGTTGAGTAATTTTAATAGTGAATCTTTTTTTGTGTAACTACAAACATTAAATAAACGATATATAATTTTCTTTTCATAAACAAGTGATTCTATAAAGCAGTTATTTGAAAAAACCTAAATTTTACTCTTTAAGATTTACTCTGTGTTCTTATGGGATAGCTACCTATTTTTCTAAAAATCTTTGTATATTTTGTGAATATTATAACTAATATGAATGTGAGTTATCATCTTTGATACTGGTGTTTTAAAAGAAATCTAGAAAATTTGCTATTTGTGCACATGTTCATGTAAGCCTAATGCTCAATTACATATCAGTAATTATATAATACATTTATAATATATATGAATATATATGTAATATATATAGAGAGAGTGAGTGAGAGAGAAAGATAGGCCTCACATAGCTAACAAAACATCAACCTTATGCTAGAATTTTAACAAAATCACTGCTGAATTCCTTGAGCTATACCTGTTGTAAAAGGGATTTTTTTGTGTTTTTTTTTTGTGAGATGGAGTCTCACTTTGTCGCCCAGGCTGGAGTGCGGTGGCGCGATCTCAGCTCACTGCAAGCTCCGCCTCCTGGGTTCACGCCATTCTCCTGACTCAGCCTCCCGAGTAGCTGGGACTACAGGCACCCACCACCATGCTCGGCTAATTTTTTGTATTTTTGGTAGAGACGGGGTTTCACCGTGTTAGCCAGGATGGTCTCGATCTCCTGACCTCGTGATCCACCCGCCTCGGCCTCCCAAAGTGCTGGGATTACAGGCGTGAGCCACCGCACCTGGCAAAATGGATTATTTTTTACGGAAAACTGTATATGCCTAATGAAGATTGGCTTAAAAAATTCCAAATTCACATGTGAAAAAATTGGTTCATCATAGTTTCATGGCTACAAACTTGCCTGTTTATATTTTTGTCAGGCCATAATACTTCATATTGTTTGCTTTTTTATTATTTTTTTTAAACTAAGAAAGGATGAGTGATTAAGGATGCTAGGAAGAAAATGATTGCCTTTTCGAGTTTAATTAATTTGACTTTAACTCAAGACAAGAGATTCTGCTAGCTGTCAGCTACTATTTGGGTCTCTAGCTAATTGAAGCTCTGAGGGAGCCTATTAAAATTGTTCAAAAGTCAAGACCCGCTTAAAACATCTCCAGCATTGCCACACAAAAAGTGATGGTGATATTATTGCTCACATATCTTGTTTATTGCCTTTGTCTTGAAAATTAGCCAGAATATGCCATCAACTTAGCTCTGCCTTTTATTTTTATTTTTGACAAATGCTTTGAAATGCATCAACATTTAACGTACAATACTTTTATCATGCTAATACATACATACCTCGTGATAAAACGGATGTAAGAACAATTTAGAGTCCCCTTCTCTGGAACACCTTCCAAAGTATTTTATTTCTTTGTGTTTTTAGAGCACCAGTTTCTATACTTACAAATATTTCTGCTAAAATAAAAATTATTTGCCTGATTTTGTTTATTCAAAGCACTATCAATTTAATAATCTGGATCTGCTGGCCATGTTTAGAGTGAGGTTTTTAAACTTGAGACTTACTAAAGAAATAAAAGAGTATGTTGCCCATAATTAAACTTATACTCTAAAATAAAATCTATATTAGGCACTCAATCTACATTTATACATTTTAGAGTATGTGACTTCTTCTCTAATAGAATACTCTGGTTTCCCCACTGAGATATAATGTGACAATCTTCATAGTAAAGATTAAAATGTAGCTCTAGGCAAACTGACACACACACCCTCTTGTGTCTCTTCCTTTTTTCCACTTATTTTTACTAGTTCTGCTCTAGGCCGTGGTACCCGCTGCCTACCTAAGGGACATCGATAATGGATCTTAGTCTTTCTACATTCACATGCTCAAAGTTTAATGTGTGCGCATCAAGGCTATAAATTAATTTATATGAGAAGCTTTTCTTTCTCCAATATTCCCTGCAGGATCATAGCTATGACTTTGAGATATTGAAGCTCTCTTTCTCTCTAAACTTACCACATAGGTTGCATTGTCTCTGGAAAGTGAGCTTCAAATTCATGAACTAAAGCACTGAGAGGAAAGAGACCATAAAACCCTTCATGGCAGGAAGAATTCATTTCTTTTCAGAGGGACACTTGCAAACCAATGCTTAAAGTTTCAGCCACTGTGATGCCATAATCATTTCTGAAAAAGACAATCAAACTGTCCCAGGGAAGGCTAGCTAAAATTTTTACTTATTTATAATTTCATCTGCATCATTATATTATTGCTAGCATAAAAACAAGTACCAGGTTCCTACTTTATAAACACTGTTTAATGAAGTGGCCTAGCCTCTATGACATCACCAAATAAATATATCATGCTTCATTTTAGGATTCTTATGAAGGACAGACTCTGTGAGTTAACCTGTGTGAGAAGCTTTAGGCCCAAAGTTTTATAGACTTTCATTACACACACACACAAACACACACACACACAAAACAAAACAAAACAAAACAAAATCTTTTTCTTCCATATACAGTTTTTAAAATCTTCAAATAAAGATTTTTATATATTTTAAAATGATATTTATTCAAATTCTTATTTGAATTCTGGACTATAAGTTGTTTTAGAACTGAGTTTCATTCATCATTAAATGCCTTGCAGTAAACAGTACCTGGCCCATGGTAAACATCAATAAGTGCTTATGAAACGAATGAATACAAAGCAAAGCTAAGTAGGAATCAAGCACAGATTTCATGCTGATCTTTTTATAATACAATTAGTTGTGGCTCATAAACTATTAAGGCACAAAATCAACTCTCATAATTTTATAAAAGATAAGTAAAAATTGTATGTGTAAATAATTTTTCTGATACTGTATAGTCCTATTGGTGTTGGCTTATTTAAAATAGTAAGTTTTAAGATTTGGTTTTCGAGATACATCTGGGTGCTTAACCTGGTACACTTAAATGAGTCATGTGATCTTGAAGGGATTTAAGTTTTCAGCCTGGAAATTAGAGGCCTAAACAAGGGGAATAGCTAAATTCTTTTTCGTCTTTACAGTTAGATTAAATCCTTTGAATTTCTTCTAGGTGTTACCTACTGCCATGTGACCCTAATTCTCTATTTGAAGTATATATTTTCATTGACATTCTACTTATTTAGTTTTGGCCGTAAAATAAGAATTCTATTACCCTAAACTCTGTTTATCTCTTTATTACTGTCAATCAAAATTTAATTCAGTGTTATAGAAATAAGTTAAGGTGGTAATATATATAAATAAAAATTGATAAATGAATAAAGATTATAAACTAGGAATTTAGGATTCTGTTTCATTCTGAAAATGAGAAAGAAGAAAAATTGAGAATGTATACAGAGACTTCAACAGTATTGAAAGTGCTTTTTGCTTAAGCTGTTTTGTGGGTTTATGATGATTCATTATATTGCTTAAAATGAGTTTAAATGATATGCCTGTAACATTTCATAGCAAAAAAGGAGACCAATAATCTTTCTTTTACATTTTAACAATTAGAAAGTTATCATAATACTAGTTCCTCAAATTATTATGTATTTTACCCACATACCAGGCTCTAGAAATAAAAAAGTTCATAAAATAAAGCAAGAATAAATCACTTTCAGGAAGATTGTTGTTAACTTCTACTCTTACAAAATCACTCATTGAACCTAAACCCAAATATCTGTAAAACAAATAGCGAATTAATATTGTTTCCTGAGATCTTAATATTTTTTCTCATAACTGGCCTATTTTATACATATCATTTCTAAATAATTTTGATAATGAGAGTAAACCATATTCCTGCAAACTCTCTTGGTACTATTCAATACTGTTTTATATTAAGTACAAAGTTAAAATTAAAATTATAAACATGTTATTATAAAGAAGAATCACATTACTTAGAAATAAAACTATGTATTCTGTGCTGTACTTCTAGTGAGATATAGTTTTACTGTTATATAGAACAATAATTAGTTAATTGTAACCTAAATGTCTTTTGGTTACTAAAAACGTTAACCTAAGCCTACAAATCTTTAAACATTTAAATTGCCAATAGAAGGTATATATCTGTATGGCCAAAATAGTGATATGTTTTGATGCAAACTTAAAAAAAATACCCTTGTCTTTAAATTGAACTCTCAAGTGAGAGATAAATATACCTAATCACAGACATACCCTGGTTGCATTGGCTTAGATATAGCGCTTGATGGTACCAACTATGTTTATTGAATCCTCGATGACTAACGAGCTCCTGAGTCTTTTTCATTATTATAGCTTCGTATAGTTGTGAGGTTTTCTAGCACATACGCATGAGTACATTTATGTTTAAATAAATGTAGGTTTCAAAATTATGGCATATAAAATTCCTATTTAAAATAATACTCAGACTTCATATCTGCAATATTCACATGCATCTTTGTTGAATAAAGAATATAAAAATAAAAAAATAAATTTCTTTCTTAAACATATCAATTTGTTAAACTCCAAAAGTAATTTATATTAAAGAGTTTATTGTGAAAATTATCAATATATAGCTTGAAATGCCATAGCCTGGTGTGATACTATTTTCATCAAAGAAAAAAAAAGCTACACGAAATGGAATTTTAAAGAAACATACAAATTATGGGCTATTTTAATTTAGCAACAGTTTTCTCCTTTAAGGCTTCCACTCAATTTATGTAAGAATCAGCTTTTATTTCATATATGGCAGTCCACAGAAGAAAAATGTTATTCAAAAAAAGTTCCATGTAATGATTATTTTAAGCGATAATAATTTTTATCTACTTTTTTTTTACTTATTTTTACTGTATATATTTAAATAAAATCAAAATGATAATCTAGAATTCAGTTTTGGAACTTTCCAATATTTTAATATTATATTATGCAATATTTTACAATATGATCGCAACTTTTTAAATATTATTATCACTATATAGAAAAATGCAAGGGAGAAAAATCTAAAGCTTTGAAGCTTTGTGCAGTTACTGTAGTAGCAAATTTAATTATCTGTGAACAAGTGGCAGAAATAATAGAAAGTCAAGTGCCTTAGTTAAGTGGAGATGTTTACTTCCACATTTATAAATATTTACATAGTATTGTTATTTTATATACATTTACCTAGAATAAAGTTAATAATACAAAAATTCAAGAAAAAATGTTCGTTGAGTATACTAAAGTTATAAAAAGTGGTAGAAACTGTCATCTATCTTATAATTTTCTTAAGTATAAAATGGCTTTTTTGTGTATGTGCCATATTCTTTTTAAACTTTACAATTTTCTAAATTTCTGTTTGGACAAATTTATAGGGTACATAAGAAATTTTCTCATGTGTGTATTATGCATAGTGACCCAATCAGAGCATTTACAGTGCCCATCACTTGAGTACAAACCTTTTTTTTCAAGTATGGTCACCATATTCTGCTGTTAAGCATTAAATTTATTACTTTAATCTTATAGTTTATTTGTACCTTTCAACCTACTTCTCTTTATCCTCCCCTTTACCCGTGACTCATCCTTTCCTGTCTCTGTAATCTATTTTTTCCACTCTCTACCTTTATGTGTTCAATTTTTCTAGCTCCTACATGTAAGTGTAAACATTTGATATTTATCTTTTTGTTATTGACTTGTTTCATTTAAGATAATGACTTCCAGTTCTATCCAACTTGTTGCAAATGGCATGGTTTAATCTTTTTATGACTAAATAGTATTCCGTTGTTTATATATACCACATTTTCTTTATTCACTCATCTATTGATGGATACTTAGGTTGTTTTATATTTTTGCTATTGTCAATAGTGCAGCAATAAGCATGTGAGTACAGGTATCCCTCTGATATACTGATTTATTTTCCTTTAGATAAATAAATACACAGCAGCAAAATTGGTAGATTGAATGGTAATCCTATTTTTGACTTTTTGAGAAATCGCCATATTGTTTTGCATAGTGGCTTTGTTAGTTTACACTTCCACCAATGGTATGTAAGTGTTCTCATTTCTCTGCATCCCTGCCAACATTTTTTTTTGTCTTTTTAATAATAGCTCTTCTCACTGGGATAAGACGATATTTCATTATGGTTTTAATTTTTATTTCTGTGATGATTAGTGATGTTGAGCATTTTTTACATACCTGTTAACCAATTGTATGTCTTCTTTTGGAGAATGTGTATTCACGTCTTTTGGCTATTTTTTAATGGGATTTTTTTCCTGTTGAGTTTGTTGTATACTCTGAATATTAGTCCCCTGTTGGATGAATAGCTTGCAAATATTTTCTCCTATTCTGCAGGTTGCTTATTCACTCTACTGATTATTGCTTTCACTATGAAGAAGCTTTTTAGTTTAAGTAGAAGTTTTCTATTTTTGTTTTTGTTGCCTGTGCTTTTGAAATCTGTCACAAATATTTTGCCTAGATCAATATCCATGAGACTTTTTCCTAGCTTTTCTTCTAGTATTTTTATAGTTTCAATTCTTACATAGTAAATCTTTAATCTATCTTGAGTTAATGTGAATATCACTGTACAATATATGGTGCTTTGTGTCTGGCTTCTTTTACTTAGCATAATGTTTTTAAGGTTCACACATGTTATAGCATGTGAAAGTACTTTACTTTTTAAATAAACTGTATTTTTTTTTTTTTTTTTTTGAGACGGAGTCTCTCTCTGTCGCCCAGGCTGGAGTGCAGTGGCGGGATCTCGGCTCACTGCAAGCTCCGCCTCCCGGGTTCACGCCATTCTCCTGCCTCAGCCTCCCAAGTAGCTGGGACTACAGGCGCCCGCCACTACGCCCGGCTAATTTTTTGTATTTTTAGTAGAGACGGGGTTTCACCGTTTTAGCCGGGATGGTCTCGATCTCCTGATCTCGTGATCCGCCCGCCTCGGCCTCCCAAAGTGCTGGGATTACAGGCGTGAGCCACCGCGCCCGGCCTTTTTAAGAACAATTTTAGATTCTAAAAAAAAGCAACTCCAAGTGGAAGGTACAGAGATTTCTAACATACCTGTTTCCCCTACATGTTTAAAGCATCCTTCTTATCAGCATTCCTCATCAGAGTAATACATTTGTTACAATTTATGGATCTACACTGACACAACATTACATTAGGGTTCACTTTTGATGTTGTACATTCTATGAGTTTGGACAAATTTATGTCATCCACCATTATATTGTCATACAAAGTAATTTCACTGACCTAAAAATTATCTGTGCTCTGCCTATTCATCTCTCTCTTCTCTCTAGCTCCTGAAAACCATGGATATTTTTACTCTTTTTCATTTTACAGAATAGTTGAAGTGATACCATATGTATCCTTTTCAGAATGACTTTTTTCTATTTCTTTTTTTCCTTTATTCTTTTTTAAAAATAAAACGTGACATGTGCAGAATGTGCAGGTTTGTTACATAGGTATATGTGTGTCATGGTGGTTTGCTGCACCTATTGACCCATCCTCTAGGTTTCCTCCCCTCTTCCCCAACCTTCACAGGCCGTCGTGTGTGTTGTTCCCCTCCCTATGTCCATGTGTTCTCAATGTTCAACTTCCACTTATGAGTGAGAACATGCAGTGTTTGTTTTCTGTTCCCGTGTCAGTTTGTTGAGGATGATTGTTTCCAGCTTCATCCATGTCCCTGCAAAGGACATGATCTCATTCTTTTTTATGGTTGCATAGTATTGCGTGGTGTATATGTGCCACATTTTCTTTATCCAGTCTATCACTGATGGATATTTGGGTTGGCTCCATGTCTTTGCTATTGTAGATAGCGCTGCAATAAATATAGGTGTGCATGTGTCTTTATAGTAGAATAATTTATATTCCTTTGGGTATATGCCCAGTAATGGGATTGCTGGTATTTCTGGTTCTAGATCCTTGAAAAATCACCATACTGTCTTCCACAATGGTTGAACTAATTTATATTCTCACCAACAGTGTAAAAGTGTTCCTATTTCTCCACAGCCTCACCAGCATATATCGTTTCCTGACTTTTTAATAATCTCCATTCTGACTGGCATGAGATGGTATCTCATTGTGATTTTGATATACATTTCTCTGATGATCAGTGATGTTGAACTTTTTTTCATGTTTGTTGGCTGTGCAAAGCTGTAGGCATCATGCTACCTGACTTGAAACTATACTACAAGACTACAGTAACCAAAACACTGTGGTACTGGTACCAAAACAGAGATATAGACCAATGGAGCAGAACAGCGACCTCAGAAATAACACCACACATCTACAACCATCTAATCTTCAACAAACCTGATTAAAAATAAGCAATGGGGAAAGGATTTCCTATTCAGTAAATGGTGCTGGGAAAACTGGCTAGCCATATGCAGAAAAGTGAAACTAGACCCCTTCCTTACACCTTATATAAAAATTAACTCAAGATGGATTAAAGACTTAAATGTAAAATCCAAAACCATAAAAACCCTAGAAGAAAACCTAGGAAATACCATTCAGGACATATGCACGGGCAAAGACTTCATGACAAAAACACCAAAAGTAATTGCAACAAAAGTCAAAATTGACAAATGGGATCTAATTAAACTAAAGAGCTTCTGCACAGCAAAAGAGACTACCATCAGAGTGAACAGACAACCTACAGTATGGGAGAAAGTTTTTTGCAATCTACACATCTGACAAAGGTCTAACATCTAGAATTTACAAGGAAATTAAACATATTTACAAGAAAAGAACAAACAACCTATCAAAAAGTGGGCAAAGGATATGAACAGACACTTCTCAAAAGATTGACTTCTTTCACTAAATATACCCTTAAACTCTTTGTGTTTTTATGACATGATAGTGCAGTGCCTTTTAGTACTAAGTAATATTCTATTTGCTGAATGTACCACAATTTATTTTTTCATTCATCTACTGAGGGGTATCTTGGTTGCTTTCAAGTTGTGGCAATTAAGAATAAAGCTGCTGGCTGGGCGCGGTGCTCACGCCTGTAATCCCAGCACTTTGGGAGGCCGAGGCGGGTGGATCATGAGGTCAGGAGTTCGAGACCAGCCTTACCAACATGGAGAAACCCTGTCTCTACTAAAAATAACAAAAAGTAGCTGGGCCTGGTGATGCATGCTTGTAATCCCAGCTACTCAGGAGGCTGAGGCAGGAGAATCACTTTAACCTGGGAGGCGGAGGTTGCAGTGAGCCAAGATTGCGCTACTGCACTCCGTGTCAAAAAAAAAAAAAAAGCACTACAAATATCCAAACTTAATAGTTTGTAAAGCTTACAAGGCCTAAGCCTATATTTCTTTTTACTCATTTATTTCCTTTTTCTCATGTGGATATCTATTTGTTATAACACCATTTGTCAAAAATGTTACGGTTGCTCCATTGTATTTCCTTTACTCCTTTGTCAAAGATAAGTTAACTATATTTATGTTGCTCTATTTTGGGCTCTTGGTTCTGTTCCATTGATTGATTTGCCCATTCTTTGCCAATACCATTAGTATAGTTTCACAGTAAGTCTTGAAATAATATTGTGTCAGTCCTAAAACTTGGTTCTTCTCATTTAATATCTTGTCAGTTATTCTGGGTGTCTGGGTTTTCTACATAAACTTTAGAATCAGTTTTTTGATATTCACAGGAAATGTTCTTGGATTTTTATTGAGATTGCATTGAATATACAGATCAAGTTGAAAAGAACTGACATCTTGATAATATTTAGTTTTCCTAGCCATAAACGTAAACTAGTTATTGATTTATTATTTAGTTCTTATTTGATTTCTTTCATCAGAATTTTATAGTTTTTCTCATATTGCTGTTGTACATATTTTTTAGAAATTATATGTAGCTAAGTGTTTCATTTATTGTATGTTAATGTAAATAGTATTGTGTTTTTAATTCAAAATTTCACTAGTTCATTGCTGATATATAGAAAAACATTAGACTTTTTATATTACCTTTGTATTTTGCAATCACTATAATCACTTATTAGTTCCAGGAGGGGTTTTTCTTGTTGATTTCATTAGAATTTCTACATAGGCAACCATGTCATCTGCAAACAGACACAACTCTTTTTTTTTTCTTCCTTCCTAATCTGTAAACATTTTATTACCTTTCCTTGTCTTCTGACATTATGCTGATGTTGAAAAGCATTGACCAGAAGAGACATATACAGAATACATACATATTAGTAATTTGTGTCCTATCTCTTTTTGTTTTAACCTGACTAGAGTTTTATCAAATGTATTGATTTCTTCAAAGAACAATCTTTTAGTTTTGTTTATTTTTTATATTGATTTGCTGTTTCCAATTTTATTGATTTCAGCTCTTTTATTATTTATTTTTGTTTTATCACTTTCGATTTAATTTATTCCTCTTTTTTACTTTGTTGACGTATGTATTCAATGCTATAAATTTTCTTCTAAGCACTTCACTACATCCCCACAAAATGTGATAAGTTGTATTTTATTTTTATATAGTTAAATATCTTTTAATTTATCTTGATATTTCCTATTTGACCCATGTATTATTTAAAAAGATGGTGGGTACTCTCCATATATTTTGAACATTTTTGGCTCTCTTTCTATTATTTATTTCTAGTTTAATTCTGTTGTCTTCGGAGAGCAGACATTATGTAATTTCTATTCTTTTAAATTTGTTAAGATGTGTTTTATGGCCCAGATAGTGATCTATCTTATCAAATTTCCCATTTAAGTTTGAAAAAAAATGTGTATTCTACTGTTGTTGGGTATAAATTGTTTATGGATGTTCATTATCTTCAGAGCTGATTGATGAATTTTTTATGTATAAATATTTCCTAACTGATTTTCTACCTGCTGTATCTATATATTTCTAAAAAGAAGTGCTGAAATCTTCAATTATAACAGTGGATTCCTCTATTTCTCCTTGTAAGTCTGTCAGTTCTTTTGCTTAATGTATTTTGACATTTTGTTGTGAGGTACATACACACTAAGAAATATTATGTGTTCCTAAACAATTTTACCCCTTTCTTATTATGTAATGCCTCCTGTTTATCCTTGATAACTTTCTTGACCCAAAGTCTTCTCTGTCTGAAATAAATAGCAATTCTTACTGTAGTAGTCAGGGTTCTCTAGAGGGATGTAACTAATAGGATAAATGTATATATGAAGGGGAGTTTTTTAAGAAGAATTGACTCACATGATCACAAAGTGAAGTCCCACAATAGGCTGACTGCAAGCTGAGGAGCAAGGAAGCCAGTCTGAGTCCCAAAACCTCAAAAGTAGGGAAGGCAATCAGCCTGAGAGCCCCTGGAAAATCACTGGTGTAAGTCCAAGAGTCCAAAAGCTGAACAACTTGGAGTCTAATGTTCGAGGGCAGGAAGCATCTAGCACGGGAGAAAGATGATGACTGGCAAGTCAAATCTCATTCCACTTTCTTCTGCCTGTTTTATTCTAGCCACACTGGCAGCTGATTAGGTGGTGTTCACCCAGATTGAGGGTGGATCTGCCTCTCCCAGTGCACTGATCCAAATGTTAATCTCCTTGGGCAACACCCTCACAGACACACCGAGGGTCAATACTTCGCATCCTTCAATCCAATCAAGTTGACACTTAATATTAACCATCACACTTACTTTTTTTGATGTGTTAGTATGGTATATCTTACTCACCCATATACATTTAATTTACATGTGTCTTTATATTTAAAGTCAATTTCTTGGAAGCAACATATAATTGAGTCTTATTTTTTAATCTTCTCTACCTGTCAGTACTTATACCAGTGCCATACTGTTTCGTTAGTGTAGGTTTATAGTAAATTTTGAAATTGGGAGTGTGAATCCTCAAACTATGATATATTTTTTTCAAGATGTTTTGGTTATTGTGAGTTCCTTGAATATGTTTATAAATTTTAGGTTCATATTGCAAATTTCAGAAAATATCAACTGGGATTTATCATAGGGGTTGTGTTGAATCTATAGATAAATTTTGGAATTATTGCCTTATGGACATTATTAAGTCTTCCAACTCATGTAGACAAAATGTCTTTCCGTTTTCTTAAGTATTCTTTAATTTTTTTCATTTATGTTCTATAGTTTTTAGTTCACTTGTTTTGATAAATTATAAATCTTGCTCTTGCATTATAAGCAGCAGTAAAAAGGTTATAGAGAGCAAGAAAATAGGGTTCAATTCTTATTTTTTAAAAAGATGTGAACTTATAAGTTATTTTTATTCCTTTGGAGATCTGAGGCAATACTAAAAAAGTTCTCCAATTCAAATATTTCCACTACTCTCCATCTTTCTGACTTCCACTTTTTATTCAGTTTTTATCTAGTTACTTCTTACTCTATTAACTTTATAAGTTCCTCAATGCACTTATGACTTAAGTTTCATTCTAAATTTTCATTTGCTTTAAGCAAAACTATTGATCCAAATAATCTAAACCATCAGGATCAAAATCAGACATCCTGATACTAGGATAACCACCTCAACAAATTAAGCTAGCTGAATCTATTTATTAAATGAAGTTTAATTGTAAATCTATTAGAAACCTAAAACTTGTAAAATGATATTCATGTTAGGATGTAGATGACATCAAGTATTTGGCTGGAAAATGTATATTTTCCTTTATATATCTAAACTATAAAAAATAATTTCTATCCTTTCAGAACTCACCAGTAACGACTGAGGACCAAATTATTTCCACTGAGAGATATACAAAATGTAGAAATAATTTTTATAAAGGAATAAAATAATAAGTAAATTAAATACAAAATATAATAGAATAGCTAGCTAGCTAACTATATAAAGGCAGCATCTTTTAAAAAGTGAAAACATCACCAAAAGATTTGCAATTCAACATTTCTTTAGGCTTAAGCTATTGTGATACCTTTTTACAAATTGGCAAACAACGACAAATATTTTTTTCTCAGAACTAAAAAGCACAGTTTAAAAAATATAAATATAGAGCTGAAATAACATTATTTATGAGAATTTTTCTCCTGTATACAATGATATGTTACCAAGGATGCATTTTTTTTTTTTTTTGGAACTCAAAAGGCAGACAAAAGAGTGAATGCTGACAACATTTTGTCTAGATCCCCTTTAGCCACCCATTGCCCTCATGTCTAACTTCTTTGGGTTAGTCTCTAACAGCTCACAGCTGCTCTCTCTTCTGAAGAATTTTCCTTGACTGTATGGTAGGTTCCTCACCCAGGAGGTGAAATTCACCATTCAGGGGAAACCTACAACCAATGACTGACTGATGGAGGTATAAACAGAACAGCCCTCTTGTCCAAAGGGGTATTTTTTCCCCCAGAGTTTGCCATGAAATTTTAATGGAGCTGAACGCACTCCCACTGAAATAATAATTTTGTTTAGTTTTTATTCTACTTCCCTTACTCTTTTATTCCTTGGATTATTCTCTACAAATTATGCACACCTGAATTTCTGTCTCAGCCCTCGCTGCTGTAGAACCTGACCTAAAATAATTAACCTATCTCTCTTTCACTATGAGAGAGAAGCTGACTTAACTGAATTTGATAAATCATCTTGGTTTGTCCAAACAGCTATGACCGGAAATGTTAAGTGGTAGTGCAATAAAGCAGGTTTGAAAGGAATAAAGGACATTTTGAAAAAATATTTCAAGGTATATTTTGAAAAAATTCAGATCAAATTATATTATGTTTTGTCCATTAAGGAGATAAGATACTCTGATTTGAGCATAAGTCATGCTTTCTCTTTATTGATCAATTATTAATTGTATTGCTAACCTACTTTATTCCTATGGGTCTGATACAATATTGTCTCTGGATATGGAATCTTAATTTTAAATAGTTTTTAAAATGAAGAATTTTTATATTAAATTTTCAAACCCAAGATGAATGAAGAGCAAAGCAAACACATTTTTCTTCCCCAGTATAGAAGAAAAAGATGAATACTAGGCTAATACCCATAAATTCTGTTACTTTTCCTAGTTAAGTCACAAATCCTTAGCATGCCTTTGGAATTTAGCATTTTTCTTTAAAATCAAATGGTTTTTTTATTTAATAATATCAAATATTTCTTCAGTGTCTGTTGTACACTGTAGCAGTATTCTGACTTCAAAATTAAATATGGTAAGAACAGGCTACAGAATCAAGATAAAAATAAATTCTGTGACAGATATATTTTAAAAAATCTCAGGAGGAATTGAATCAAATGGAAAAATTAAAATCTATTGGAGGTAAATGGAAACTTCAGAATGGGCTGATATCTACGGTGAATATTGAAAGTGTGTTGCATATCAACAGAAAAAGAAGGAAAAATTAATATAAGATTAAGGTAACAATAGAGAAAATGCATGCAGACTTCCAAGGACAGAGAACATGCAGTACATTATTAAAGAAAAGTATAATGAATAATGATATATCGATTTGTTTGTAATTAAATCTACAGTTATTAACTTACATGAAAAATAATATTGCTACATTTTATTATTTTATTTAATTTCAAATGCATATGTAACATGATTATCATTATAATTAAGAAAATATAAATAAAATGGAGCATCATCTAGTTTTTAAGCTCATTTCATTGCTATTTCAGACACCTTATGAGCTGGTCTATTTCTAGACAAACTGGCCTTCTTAAAATCTCTTCTGAGAAGACAGCAAAATGAATTAACAATGGATCATTTATTGCAAAGCTTTCTAGGTCAGTTCTGATTTCAGGTATGAGCATGGACTATGGAAGCTTTCTTTGAAATAGTGGTTTAGTTACACAAAATTAAAACGTGTATTATAAA
Source organism: Homo sapiens (assembly GCF_000001405.40). NCBI lineage: Eukaryota > Metazoa > Chordata > Mammalia > Primates > Hominidae > Homo > Homo sapiens. The sequence continues at coordinate 104,422,605 of NC_000001.11, read as the reverse complement.
ATAGTGTAATGGAAAATTATTTAACTGACATAGTTGAAACATATCTTTATAAGAAAAAAAAGAAAGCGTTTTTGTTTTAAAGACTTTAATGCAAAAGCAAGACTATCCTCAAAATAATTTAGTTTGAATGCTCTATAAATTTCTAATGCTTTTTCAGTAAAAGCTTTATTTAGTTTAACACAATGCATCATCTTTCAACAGGGTCTCCTTTTTTTGAAAAGCTGAAGCTAATAATAAATCAAGCACTATAATATAATATCATCAATGAAGATGTCACAATACAAAGAATTGTAAAGAGATGAATAGCCAAATAGGCTTAAAAGGTTATACAAAGAAATACACTATCTTATTAATTCAAAATTTGCTGCGATGTATTGTTAGCTCAGTGTTAACCAGTTTGGCCAGAAGTATGCATTTTAACAATTACAACAAAATAATAACACATTGGACTATTTGATCTGGTATTAGCTTTTTTGGTTTATTAAACACATCACTGAACACCTAGTCAAATTTATTTAACCTCTACATTGTTTACTGTTACAAAATAAAATATTAAATTGCATATGTTAACCAAGTGACAATGTTGGTATTGTATGATTATTTACTTAAGGTTCATGATCATACATGTGCTGCTATAAATATAAAAGTTAGGCGATATAACTTGTTATATGAAATCCACCTTAGCTTTTTTCTGAGCTGTTAAAATTTTAAAAACTCTTAAGTATTATCACTTCTGTAATAAAACTAACCAAAAAGATACAGGTGAACAAAGTTTTTTATATGTTTGTTTGTTTTTGTTTTTTGTTGTTGTTTCTTTTTTTTTTTGAGACGGAGTCTCGCTCTGTCGCCCAGGCTGGAGTGCAGTGGCGCGATTTTGGCTCACTGCAAGCTCCGCCTCCCGGGTTCACGCCATTCTTCTGCCTCAGCCTCCCCAGCAGCTGGGACTACAGGCGCACGCCACCATGCCCGGCTAATTTTTGTATTTTTAGTAGAGACGGGGTTTCACCGTGTTAGCCAGGATGGTCTCGATTTCCTGACCTTGTGATCCACCCGCCTCGGCCTCCCAAAGTGCTGAGTGTTTGTTTTTTTTAACAGAAAATGCAGTAAACTTAACTTGCTGATTATAAACTTAACAACTGTATAGACCATTTATCTTTTTAAATCTTAAAGTATTAAATTAAAATTAAATCTTAAATCTTAAAGCATCTTAAGCCATGTACGATTTACCTGTAACCCAAACATCCAGCAAAAATCTGTTTTATAGAAAGTACATAAAATGTATATAAAATTACATTTAAAATGTTCAACTAAATCACCACATTGATTTACAATAATATGTGAGATTTAAACTCTAGACTTGACCAAAGGTAAAGTACATCTTCACCTTGAAATGAGGCAATATTTTTTTAAATTTTAGCAAATCACACCTATTTTCCTTTTCAATATTGATTGCATCTATTACTGCCTATATCAACAATTGACAAACTTTTGATATAAAACAGTATTAATACATAGATGGATTATATCTACACACATATTGTTTTGTTTAACTGTGTCCTCCGAAAAACGTGCTTTGGAAACTTAATTCCAAATGCAGCAGTGTTGGGACCTGAAGCCTAAAAAGAGATGATTAGATCATGAGGGTTCTGCTTTCATGAATGGATTAAAGTCAGTTCCTAAAGAGCTTGCAATTGGATCTCTTGCTTTCTCTTATTCTCTCTTGGCTCTTATGTCATGGGGTAATGCAGCAGAAAGGCCCTCTCCAGATCTCAGTGCCTTAATCTTGGAATTTCCCAGCTTTCAGAACAGTAAGCCAATAAACTTCATTATAAATTACCAGCCTGATATATTTTGTTTTAGCAATATAAAATGAATTAAGATATATATATACACACACATCTACACATATATACAAATATATAGATCTGTGTTTTATATAAAACAGACTGATTCACCTCCTACTAGACAAATACCATAAAATATACAGATTGAGTATACAAGATGTCTTTTAGCAAAATAATGACAGAACTACGATGAGAAAAGCTTTGAGAATAACCAAAACATTAAGAGTTTGGAAACTTATTCCCATATGCAATGCATGAAAAACAAGTAGATCAGCCAGCTCCACCCTCATTACAATAAGTGAGTAGTAGAGTAATTGGGTGGGACAAAGTTTGGACTAGAAATAAAAAGATTGAGAATATATTCTCAGCTTGCTTCAGAAAAGTGTAACCTTGTCTTAGTTCACATTTTCAGAAATATGACAACCTACTTTCATTAACATGATATTCATATTTATTTCTCCACCTACATGCTTTGTTTTTAAAATGTATATATAATAATATATTCATTTTGTATTATGTAGAGACAGAATGTTATTGTATCATTGTTATGTGGAGACATAATGTTATATATGTGGAGACATATATAACATACTATTATATGTTATATAATAGTATCATGTGTATTAATAAATAATATGTAAATATATAAATATAATTATATATGATACGCATAACATACCTCATGTAATTACATAAACAGAATAACTGACATAAATAGCTTAAAAACAAACACAACTAGTTAAGCATAAAACTGAAATGTTGAATCAAATATACATGCATTTGGTAGAAAAGAGATTGGTCAAATATTCACAAGCATTTATCTTTCAAAGAATGTTGTGTTTTGTAGTGTGCCTTATGAAGCAAATGTGGTGTTGATTAATCAGGAAAGTCAGTTTTAGATATTATTTAAGTAGACTTGTACAATATCAATACACTAATAAACAGAAAGGCCTTGTTTAAACACAGTCAATTATTCTTGTATCTCTATATTGTTAGATCAACAAATTATGAACTCTTTGATACATTCTGTACAATCAAATCATCATCAACTGTCAATTGAAAAATGGTAAACTTAAAATGGCTAAAGGCACACATTGTTTTATGGCACTTTACAGATACTGTGTTCTTTTAACAAATTGAAGATTTGTGGCAAGCCTGATCCAGCAAGCCAGTTGGCACCATTTTTCCAACAGCATATCCTACTTGGTTTCTCTGTATCATATCGCATTTTGATAATTCTCACAATATTTCTAACATTTATAGTTTTTATTTTTATTATTATACCTGTTATGTTAATTTGCGATACGTGATCTTTGATGTTACATTGTAATTGTTATGGGACACCACAAAGCACATCCATATGAGGCAGCCAACTTAATCATAAATGAGTGTGCTCTGACTGCTTCCTCAACCAGCCGTTCCCTTGTCTCTCTCCCTCTCCTTAGGCCTCCTTATTCCCTGAAACACAACAATATTAAAATTAGGTCAATTATTTATCCTACAATGGCCTCTAAGTGTTCAGATGAAAGAAACAAATTATACATCTCTTTCTTTAAATCAAAAGCTAGAAATGATTAAGCTTAGTGAAAAAGGCACATAAAAAGCTAAAATAGACTGAAAGCTAGGTCCCTTAGCCAGGTTTTGAATGGAAAGGAAAAGTTATTGAAGGAAATTAAAAATGCTACTCTAATGAACATACAAATGATAAAAAAGCAAAACAGCTTTATTGCTGATATGAAGAAAGTCTGAGTGATCTGAATAGAATATCAAACCAGCTACATTTTCTTAAGCTAAAGCCTAATCCAGAACAAGGCCTTAAGTCTCCTTAGTTCTATGGAGGCTGAAAGAGGTGAGGAAGCTGGAGAAGAAAGTTTTAGGCAAGCAGAGGTTAGTTCATAAGGTTTAAGGAAAGAAGCCACCTCCATAACATACAATTGCAAAGTAAAGCACCAGGTGTTGATAGAGAAACTCTAGCAAGTTATCTGGAGGCTGTAGCTAGGAAACTGGTAAAGATAGTTACATTAAGCAACAGACTTTGGGTGTAGAATAAACAGCCTTCTATTGGATGAAGATGCCATCTAGGATTTTCATAGCTAGAGATGAGAAGTTAGTGCCTGGCTTCAAACAGTCAAAGAACAGGCTCACTCACGCTCTTGTTCTGGGATAAAGCAGCTGCTGACTTTAAGTTGAAGCCAATACTCACTTTCCTTTCTGAAAATATTGGGACCCTAAATAATTACACTAAATTTACTCTGCCTGTGCTTTATAAATGAAATAACAAAGCCCGAATATCAACATATCTTTTTTCCCCCTTAATTGTGCTCATAAATACTTCAAAATTTAGAATTAAAAAAAAAATACTTGAGAAGTGACCAAATGGAAATTATAATAAAGTGGCAGTTTAAGTTTACAATACTTATTGATTCTTCAAGTCATTTAAGGCACCTTAATATATTTATAAATATTAAATATACATTTTTACTTTATAACACAGTACATAAATCTTGAACAAATTTAGTGTCAGTTACCTTGTGTTGATTAATATTCCTTTGAAATAAGCAGTAATTAACTCAAAAGCTATTTTTATATCATAATTAGTTTAGCATAATTGTACTGAACTAAGTAAAAATACTGACAATTTCTGATATCATGTTCTTTTATGTTGCTCAGTGAGGACAGTCACCAGATGAAATCATAAGTACTATTCTCAAAAAATTTTGGAAGGCTATAATAAATTAGAACACCACATTTTAAAGTTAGATATTAGTATGTTTCAAGGTTTTTGCCTAAAATAGCATATATGGAAATGGCAAGATTTATTACATACTACATTTGCAAAAAACAAAAAACAAAAAAAAACTACTATCATATACATTGATTTTTTACAGTTTAATATGAACATTTATAAACAGGAAACAAGTATTTTAAAGATATTTCATGATTAGATCCTTGAGACGTTTTTAAAGAAAGCCAAATTTAGGCTAGGCACTGTGGCTCACGCCTGTAATCCAAGCACTTTGGGAGGCTGAGGCAGGTGGATCACCTGAGGGCAGCAGTTCAAGACCAGCCTGGCCAACATGGTGAAGCCCCATCTCTACTAAACAAAACAAAACAAAACAAATACAAAAATTAGCTGGGGGAGAGAGAGAGACAGAGAAAAGAAAGAAAAAGAAAGAGAGAAAATAGAAGAAGATATCCATAGGAAACAAACAAAAGAAAGCAAGCCTTTTAGTTACAGCAAAATACAATAGAAAGTTTCAGGAAATAAAGTCAGCATAAATTGAAAAAGTAATGTAAAATTTTGTGGGTTATTTTTTAAAAGAGTAACAAAAGATTATTAGAATAAGGAATTACAGAACTGTTGGATATGCTACTGTAAAACAGTAAATAATTACAAGATTAATCTCAAAAACCTCAGAATGCTATAGCTATACTTTTAGTTTCACATGGCACTGCAAATCTGAAGAGTTTTAAAATGTGCTTTTTAAAATATATGTTTTTGTTGCTCAAATAAATAAGTGACTCAGGTGCCATAGCCTCATTTCTTATGTTGGGATGTTAATGATGTCTGAAATAGAAGATGCAATGTGAAGAAATATATTAAAGTTTCTAAATAAAATAGTAATGTATGGTTACAGGCTATATTCATCATTACTCAAAATTTATCATGTAAAATATTCCAAGTAAATTGATGAAATTTAAATAAATATCTAGAATATTAGAGCAGATGCTTGTTCCCTGTGATCTAATATACTCACCAAATAGGAAACTGTTGACTTTTTAAAGCCATCTATTATTTCATTTGCGTTTTCTTCATTATCTTTCTGTCGGACCATAATTTGTTTTAATCATCTTGAAAAGATCTAAACAGCCAGCAACACCCTGTTTGGTAAAAGTTATGAGAAGTCATTAATTCTTTTAGTGATTTTCATAGCAAGCTCCAGAGCAATTGGAAATTAATGCCAAAGGTCACTTCACATTAAAAATATTCCAATAACTTAAAAATGCAGGAATTTATCAATTATACAGTTATGGCTGGTAAAACAGAACATGTAATGTTTCTATAAATATCTATGAGAAAATTGCACTAGGCCTCTATTCTACTGACAGTATGCTAGAATAGTACCAATATCTTTATAATTATCAACACAATACAACAAATGAGGGTTGGAAGATATTGTTGATATATTTATAAATGCAGAAACATTAGCATTATGATAATTTTGCCCCTATTGTGAACATATCTTTCTGTACTGATGAACAAGAATAAGCATAACCATTGATGTAAATGACAAAGAATATTAAAATCTGTATTCTGTAAAATGGTAATTGTCTATAATATTTTATTTTGTTTAATTTATTTAGTTTTTGAAGTTCTTAATTTTAATCAAAGGAGATTATTTTGGAACTTTAAGGTTTAATGACTGCCCTGCTGGATTTTGGACTTGCATGGGGCCTGTAGCCCCTTTATTTTGGCCAATTTCTCCCATTTGGAATGGGTGTATTTACCCAATACCTGTACCCCCATCGTATCTAGGAAGTAACCAACTTGCTATTGACTTTATAGTCTCGTAGGTGGAAGGGACTTGCCTTGTCTCAGATGAGACATTGGACTTGGACTTTTGAGTTAATGATGAAATGAGTTAAGACGTTGGAGGGCTGTTGGGAAGGCATGATTGGTTTTGAAATGTGAGGACATGAGATTTGGGACGGACCAGGGGCAGAATGATATGGTTTGGCTGTGTCCCCACCCACATCTTATCTTGAATTGTTGTTCTCATAATCCTCACATGTCATGGGAGGGATCCAGTGGGAGGTAATTGAATCACAGGGGTGGTTTTATCCCATGTTATTTTCATAAGAGTGAATAAATCTCATGAGATCTGATGGTTTTATAAAGGGCAGTTCCCCTGCACATGCTTTCTTGCCTGTTGCCATGTAAGACTTGCCTTTACTCCTCCTTGGCCTTCCACCATGATTGTGATGCCTCCTAGCCATGTGGAACTTGAGTCCATTAAACCCCTTATCTTTATAAATTACCCAGTCTTGCACTTGTCTTTATTAGCATTGTGAGAACAGATTAATAGAGTCATCTTACTTTGAATTCCTAGGCAAAAATTTTCATAATTTTACTAAGTTCTATGGACAGAATATAGAGAAAAGAGAAAAGGCTTAGTACAGGTTTCTTTCACTACTTAATAGTAAAAATGGTTAACGGAGGAGGGCAGAAACTAAGATAACATTCTCCTAAAGATGCTTCCCCTGTGGATCACCTGGATGCTGCTGTGTTGACATAAACATCATAACAGTGATTATCTTTATTAATTTAATAATCTGGTTAAAATCAACCTCAAATAGAAAACAGATTTGATTGTTATTGATAAATGAGGAAAACAGATCAAATGTATCAGAGATCAAGTGGGTTTGGCTTGGAACTGACAACAAATGCCAGAAAAATCCACCCACCATCATTTGCCCCAATTATAGACGGTTAAGCAAGAATCTAAAGTTAAAGCTTTGAAAAACTAATACTTTCTAACCAAACCTAGATAAGTATTACTTCTCAGCCCAGAAAACAGTATTGCCAGAGAAAAACAACAAAACAAAAAGACTGAGAAACAGCAAAGGAAACCCAGAACCTTGGTAGTCCAACATTGAAGTTAGAGATGTTTGGGGAACCTCTCGCTGGTGCAAGATAAATGGTTGCAGTAATTTGAAGAGTGGACTCAAATGTAATGCTATTTCCTCAACTTTGTCTCCCAATCTCAAGTTTCTGACCTCAGCTTGAAAAGGGCTTCTATAATCTGTCCAGTTTAATTTTCTGCTCATGACTTCACCTTGCCCTTTTTGTTTATTTGTTTTAATGAGAAGCCTCTGCCAATGCCTAACTGTAAATTTTAACCCTCCTTTGATTAGCACGTTCAGGTTTCTCTCCTACTTCAAATTAACCTCAGCTCCTCTCATGTAACTAAATTTTACTATCTCCAGCACTGTTAATCAACTTAGAACAGCCCCTGAATTCTACTCTTAGATAGATCTCAGTCTTCAAAATTGTAGCCAGAGCCTCTAAGGGTAAATTGAGTGAAACTTCTTATCAGCATTTATCAGATTTCTACACTCAGGCATTTCTCCTCTGGCTGCTGAAACTGTTCCTGTTTCTTACTCTGTGGCTACTTGGGGAATTTCTCCTGAGCTCTAAACTCAAATCCAAAAGCCTTCTATTGAACGAAGCAGAACAGAAATTGCTGAAAAATTAGAGCACTACAGTCCCTCATTAAGAATTTACAGAATTATTATTCACAGAAATATAGAAGTTCCCTTTTTTTTAAATTAAGTTTGGTTTTCTGCCAGTTGTACTTCAGGGGGGAAATTCATGAAAGGTAGGACTGCCTGATATACCAAATGCCTGAAAGAACCCATGATATAATGTACAAAATTTAATGAAAGATTTGGAACATTTTGGCTATAGTAAAGCATATTATAACCCCAGAGTACCTTTTTAAGAAAAAAAAGTTGTTTTTGTCTGCATGTATTCCTGCAATTCACCTTTTGTGTAAGGGTTCTACTTTTTATTAATAAAATGACAGCTGATGCAATATTCATAAGTTGCACATTTATAAAATGGTATCTTCCCATATATTTACCATGTATCTTCTTTCATGTAAAGAAACAATATCTGTCCATCAAGACTCTTTTGGTATTTCTGTTTTGAATTATCCAACATGAATTTCACTATCAAACTAACAGAAATAGTTATAAATCAGTACTTTCACATGAGTTGACTATCATCTCTCATTATTAATACTGTAAAGCTACACTCCTAGATAGTATATATCAGCTTCTAATTCCCATTATTACCCATAAAGGATTACGATAAAATTTTGTACTTAAGTTTTATTGAAGATTTTCTTAAGAATTGCAATCAGTGTACATAAAACTTCAAGACAATGGAAATAAATCATTTTTATATATGCTTTAAAGTCTCGAATACGAAAAGCAGCTCATCATATTCTTTTCAGAATTTAGAGCTATAAGTAAAACAAGCCCATGGTTTAAAAAAAAGTATGCTTTGTTTATTAGATAATAAAAACTTCATGGCATTTTTATTTTCTTCTTCTTTTCAAAGAAACTCAGTGTTAAGTTCTCAGACTTTCTTTATCATCATAGATGTTCAAAAAAATTTACATTTTTATTCACCTCCCTTTTCAATTTATTTAGCTCAAGGATTTTATTTTATATAGTGCTTTTTTGATTTATTATATCCGTGATTTTGTTATAAATTAGGTAAAATATACTTTAGAATTATATTGGCTACATATTTTAAAGTATTCTGATGATTCATATTTCTATTTTCACAGTGAACTGTAGTTAAGATAGGAGCAAAACTGACAATAAAAGGGGCAGAAAAAACAAGGTATATTTTTGGTTTAATGTGTTACATGGGTACAAGATGATAAAAGTTATGTACATAGATATGAATAAAAAATTGTTAATTTTTATAACAAGTAGAAATTACTAAAGATTTGAAGAAAGGTACATATGACATCATGAAAATTCTTCTGAGGTGTTATTTTGATATCAGTTCTTTAAAAATAAAGACTTTTGTCAGTTGGATGGTCCAAAGAGAAGAGACAAGAATAATTCTAATTTATGCTATGCTAAAAAACAAAATACAAATTACTCTCATGGAAAATGGTGGGCAAAGAGCTGTTGGAGCAGGGGTAGGTTTAACAAAAAAAATAAATAAATAGAGGAAATGACAGAAATAAATGCTATGGCCAACATTTTCTATACATAACAAAACTATTCACATAATACTACAGGACAGTTCTAACAAGGCATATACACTTATTTTACAGCTTAATATATAAACATTATCCAAGAAAGCATCTACCAGGCTGTCAAAAAACAAATGCACATCATCATTAGATAGTGGGGAGAAAAAAAGCATTTAAATGTTATTGAGACCATTCTCATTTTTATGAGTGTTCGTTGTATCATTCACATTATAATTATCATCATTTACATTGATTGAAAATTAGAGATTAGATTATATCCTTCAGGATATATTGCTGCAGGCTTAGTGGCTTAAATTATATTATTTTCATTGAATATAAAAAACATACCATGCAAACATTTACATTAAGATCTAATTTCCCTCATTGTTGAACACTTTAGACAGATATTCCCAATATTTCTTGGAATTATTACTTTCAGGAGAAATTCATAAGAAGGAATATAGTACCTCTGAAACAAATGATAATGTCCTAGAGAAATAAGAGCATACAAGAAAAAAAAAAAAGTGAGGCACTTTCAAAAGCCGTATCCAAAGCCTTCAGGAAACACTTTGTGCTGCTCTAAACATAATGGTATTCTAGTTTTTATATAGATTCACATCAATAAGACAGGTCTTGTTAACAAAGTTTTCAAACATTTTAATACATATTTTAAACAAAGTTTATTCTTTATTGATATTTATGCTTTAAAAATTCCCTCTTTAATATTCATTATTTGAGTACATTTTTACAAATTTTCACTCATTAATTTTTAATATTATTTTGTGTATATTTTTAATGAGTAAAGCAATTAACATGCAGTTTGTATAAATAATTACTACAGGATTTCTGCTCCCAGCAATAGAAGAACGGCTTAACTGAAAACAACTGTCTCAGTGAAGACAAGTAAAAAAACCTATATTTGGAAGGCAAAAAAAAGGATGTGAGGGAAAAAGATCACGCAAAAAGTAGAAGCCTGGATAAGTTTTGCCTTTTGAAGCATTTTTCAATTTTAAAATAGGTGCTGAGAAGCAAAACATTTGGCAGAGCTTTTTACAGTCACATAAACAGTGGCCGAAGCATTGAAGTTTAATGTCCGACAAAGAAGTCAAGCATGACTGTTAGGGAACAGAAAGGAATAGGCCTTAGTGATAAAAGAAATTGTCAAAATCTAGAGATCACCAAGACTGAAGTATATCTTCCAGTCATTTGATTAAAGGTTATCTGTGCCTAATTAATCAACTCCTGGAAAGCAAGAATATATTATTTCTGAAGAAAGGTAACAGGATTAAGAATTTCAAATCTTGCTAATTTTTTTAATTCAATTTTTAGCATTCAATTAAATTATGTAAAAATGACAAGAATTTACAAGAAACAAATAAAATAGCAATAGTAATGGCAGCAAACTTTATTCAGATGTTAGGGCTAATATGTATATATATTATTTTAATAAATGTGTTATGTTAAAAAATTTTAAGTGACAAGATGAAATATTTTAGCAAAAAAATAAAAACATAACAAGGAATCAAATAGAAATATTACAACTGGGAAACAAAAGATAAAATTAAGATAAAAGGTATACTTTAATGGCAAATTAGACAAATCAGAGTAGAGAATTATAGACCAGAGACTGAAATACATGTAGAATTCCAGAATAAAACACATAAAAAATAAAATAATATATCAAAAAACCCACCTTTTTCAAATGTGACATATGAAACCTTGAAAATCTCTCCTGTTCTTAGAAAAAATAAACCAATGAGTAAACTAAACATCAGTGATTTTTTTGGGACTATCAGTAAACTGAATTTGCAGTGCAAACCACCACCCTGAAAATATGGAGATAAGAAGTCCAGAGGGTCTCAGCCATGATTTGATACCCTGGAGCAGAAGTTACTGGAGCCACAGATTGGTAGGAATACTAAAATGTTCATTATAATAAATTGCTAGAGCTTAAATGTAGACTGGAAAAAGAGTAAGAAACTCCAAGGGCTCTAGTATATGGGTGCTAACACATGTTTTTGTGGTTACCTCTTGGAATCCCACCAGTTCTCATATTGTAAAGCTAAGAAATATCCACTGACAGACTGTCAGGGAGACTGGAAATTAAGCATTGTGAAATATGTTCAGAACATTATCTATTAAAATGACCTACTCTCCAGAGGGAAATACTTTATCAGAATATGTCTTTAGTTGCAGGAAGACATTTCTTCACACTCTAGCACCTCTTAACATTTCTTTCTTACATAGGAGGGAAAAAAATTTACAGCACTGGGGAGACAGTTGTGAATGTCACAGTTCAGAGACATAGGATTACTAAAAGACTGAGATTTAATCATAAGATTTAGACTGCTTCCTCATCTTCACATATTAACATCAAACCAACAGGTACTTTAGTGTAATTACAGTAGATTGCATCTGAAAGCGGGAAAAGAGGCAAATTTTTTCTGAGGAGAGTACATAGGGAAGTAGAAAGTCAAAAGTGAAGACAAAAACAAGGACATTAGAAAAAAGTTAAACCTCTGGTAACTACAGTTATAGAAAATATTAAACACAGCACAACTCCTATTCAGATTTACATAAACCCTCACACTAAAGGTGTACTTACCACAGATGTTATTACTCAATACAATATTTCTGATTTTCAACAAAAATCATAAGCAATGCTAAAAGCCAAGAAAAATACAATCTGAAGTAACTAAGCAATCAATACCAGACTCAGATATGACACAGATATTGAAATTATTAGACAGAGAATTTAAAATAATTATTATTAATATTTTCATGGCTCTAATGAAAAAATAGATAACATGTAAGGAAAATAGATTACATTAGCAGAGTAATAGAAACTCAAAGGAAGATTCTAAAGGAAAAGCTAGAAATAAAACAATTGTAACAGAACTAAAGAATATCTCAAAAATACTATAACATATATGAAGCCTAGCATTGACAGTGTCATCAGAAGACTGGACACAGCAGAAGAAAAAGCAACATTGAGTTTAAAGATAGATCAATAGAATATTCCAAAACTGAAATGTGGAGGAAACATCTTTAAATAAAATATGCACAAACTTTGGGACAATTTCCAAAGGTATCACACATTAATATTAGTGATATCTAAAAAAAATAGAAGACAGAACAGAGCTGCAGAACTATTCAGTTAATAATAGCTGTGAATTTTTCCCAATTAAAAACACATAACAGATATAAAAAATAAGGAAACAAATATGAAAACAAAATAAGACAAGACCAAAACACCTGGGCATATTATATTCAAACTGCAGACAAACTAACACAAAGAAAATATCCCGAAAGAGACTGTGGAAGGAGTTGAGTAGGAAACACCTTAGCTATATAAGAATTACAGCACACTTCTCATGATAAACCATACAAGCAAAAACGTAGTGGAATGACGTTTTAAATATTGGAAGGATCATCATTCTCAGTAAACTATCGCAAGAACAAAAAACCAAACACCGCATATTCTCACTCATAGGTGGGAATTGAACAATGAGATCACATGGACACAGGAAGGGGAACATCACACTATGGGGACTGTTGTGGGGTGGGGGTAGTGGGGGAGGGATAGCATTGGGAGATATACCTAATGCTAGATGACGAGTTAGTGGGTGCAGCACACCTGCATGGCACATGTATACGTATGTAACTAACCTGCACAATGTGCACATGTACCCTAAAACTTAAAGTATAATAATAATAAAAAAAAATTATAGAAGAAAAGATAGGAGAAAAGCTATGAGATCTTGAGTTTGGCAATGGATCTTAAGATTACATTCAAAGCATGACATAAAAAATTGATAAGTTGTACTTTATTAAGATTGAAAACTTCTCCATGAAATACTGTTAAGAGAATAAATAGATATACCACAGATTGGGAGAATATATTTGCAAAACACATATCTGATGAAAAATGTGGATTCAACATATAAAAATAACTTAAAATTCAACAATAAAAAGAAAAACAATAAATTTTTTAAATTCACAAATACACGAATTGACCTTTTACTAAAAAATATAAAGATGGAAAATAGGCATAAGAAAAGATGCTTTAGTTTGCTTGTAATTAGAGCATTGAAAATCAAAATAACAAGGTGAAACCCTACACACCTGTTAGAATAGTAAACATGAAAAAAAACTGTCAATACTAAATATTACTGAGAATGTGGAGCTATAGCAACACTTATTCATTGCTGGTGGGTTGCAAAATTGTACAGCCACTTTGGAAACAGCTTTACAGTTTCCTGAAAAGCTAAACGTTATCTACCATATTATCCAGCAATCATGCTCCTGGCGTATTGACTTAACAATTTTGAAAGCTGATGTTGAGAGATGACAACATGCTAGCAGCCCTTGCTCGCTCTTGGTTCCTCCTCTGCCTCTGTGTGGGCTGCACTGTGGGGGCCCCTCTCTGGGGTTGGCCAAGGCTGGAGTCGGCTCCCTCTGCTCGAGGGGTGGTATGGAGGGAGAGGCACGGGTGGGAGTGGGGGTTCTGGATGGGTGCGGGCTCCACCAGTCCCACACTCAGCAGTGCCAGCTGTCGCCTGCCTGGGCTTGATGGGGGGATGAGCTCCCTCTGAGCTGCCAGAGTGCCTGGGCTAGGTGCCCCAAAGTCGGGCAGGGAGTGTCAGTGAGAGGTGAAGCCGGCTGGGCTTCTGGGATGGGTGGGGACTTGGAGAACTTTTGTGTCTAGCTAAAGGATTGTAAACACACCAATCAGCACTCTGTGTCTAGCTAATCTAGTGGGGACTTGGAGAACTTTTGTGTCTAGCTAAAGGATTGCAAACGCACCAATCAGCACTCTGTGTCTAGCTAAAGGTTTGTAAATGCACCAATCAGCACCCTGTCAAAATGGACCAATCAGCTCTCTGTAAAAAACGGGCCAATCAGCTCTCTGTAAAATGGACCAATCAGCTCTGTGGAAAATGGACCAATCAGCAGGATGTGAGTGGGGGGGGTGGTCAGATAAAGGGATAAAAGCAGGGTGCCCAAGCCGACAGCGATAACCTGCTGGGGTCCCCTTCTGTGTTGTGGAAGCATTGTTCATTTGCACTTTGCAGTAAATCTTGCTGCTCTTCACTCTGGGTGTGTGTTTCTTTTGTGAGCTGTAACACTCAGGGCAAAGGTCTGTAGCTTCACTCCTGAAGCCAGCAAAATCACGAACTCTCTGCAAAGGACAGCTACTCGGGCCAGCAAGACCATGAACCCTCCGTGAAAGACGAACAACTCTGGATAGGAGGAAGGAACAATTCCGGACGCACAACTTTTATGAGCTGTAACATTCACTGGGAAGGTCTGCAGCTTTATTCCTGAGGCCAGAGAGAACATGAACTCACCGGAAAGAATGAACGCCATCTTTAAGAGCTGTAACACTCACTGCGAAGGTCTGCAGCTTCGCTCGCGAAGTCAGCGAGACCACGAACCCACCAGAAGCGAGAAACTCCAGACACACCATCTTTAAGAACCGTAACACTCACCGCAAGGGTCCGTGGCTTCATTCTTGAAGTGAGCAAGACCAAGAACCCACCAATTCCGGACACAAGGTCAGCACAAAAATTCAAATGTTTATAGAAATTTTACTCATGTTACTGAAAGCTGGAGTCAACCAAGATATCCTCCTATAAACAAATTAATAAATACAGTACAACCATACACTTAAATGTTATTATACATTAAAAAGGTTGAGTTACCAAACAAGGAAACAACATGAATGTTGTTGAACGCATATTGCTGAGTACAAGGAAGCAGTCTGAAAGATTACATACTGTATTATACCAGTAATACAAAATTCTGGAAAAACACAGTAGTGAGTATAAAATGATCAGCGGTTGCCAGGGGTTTGGGTTGGGCAGACAGTGTGGGATAGGTGAAGCACAAGGAATTTTTTTTTTCCTATTTAAAGGTTAACCTTAGACTTAATTTATAAAGAAAAAAAGATTTATTTGGCTCACTGTGCTGCTGGTTTGAACACTGGGCCTCTGGTAAAAGCCTCAGGCTGCTTTCATTCATGGCAGAAAACAAAGGGGAGCCTGTATGTGCAGAGTACACGGTGACAGAGGAAGCATGTAAGGGGGAGTAGGGGCAGACTATTTTTAACCATCGGCTCTCATAGAAACTAACAGTCCAAGCACTCACTCAGGCCCCCCCATCACCACAGGGAGGGGATTAATTTATTCATAAAGACTCTGCCCCAATGACCCAGACACCTTCCATTAGGCCTCACCTTCAACACCATAGATCAAATTTCAACATGAGGTTCAGGGAAGCAAACATCTATACTATAGCAGGATGCATGACATTGCATTTGTCAAAATCCATTGAATTATATGGCACAAAAATATGAACCTTAATGAATGCAAATTTTTAAAATATCATGTAGGAGGTGTAATGATTCAATTGTGGAATGAGGAATGTGACAAAACAATGTGACTGTGTTCAAAATGTATGAAACTGGCTGGGCGCCGTGGCTCAAGTCTGTAATCCCAGCAGTTTGGAAGGCCGAGGTGAGCAGATCACCTGAAGTCTGGAGTTTGAGACCAGCCTAGCCAACATGGCTAAACCCCATCTCTACTAAAAATACAAACATTAGGTGGGCATGGTGGCAGGCGACTATAATCTCAGCAACTTGGGAGGCTGAGGCAGCAGAATTCCTTGAACCCGGGAGGCGGAGGTTGCAGTGAGCCGAGATCACACCATTGCACTCCAGCCTGCGCAACAGTGAGACTTCATCTCAAAGGAAAAAAAAAAAAAGTATGAAACAACCTTACTAAAGAAGGTTGAGGGAATAGTAACTCCAATAGAGTTTGTGATACTAAAGGCAAAGAACTGTACATAGCTATTATATTCTGGTTGATAAAATAGTTTACCACAGGGGTTGGATAAAAAGTTTGAATACTCTTATATGTATACTGGAATTGAACAATTAGGCAAATGGATGGCAAATGATAGAAGTCAGATTTCTCACTGTGTGAGTTGGAAGTTACAGGTAAGCAAGAGAAGATGGGCAGAACAATTCACATAATAGTGGATTAGAGTCAGAGACACTAGTATGAATTTGTGCTTACTCTGATATAGAAAAATTGGTAACAAAAGAAAATATTTACAGAAATGCGTATGTACACATACTAGTATACACACCTGTATTTGTGTATGTATCTATGCCTTGTTTTGTCTGGGCCTAGAGGACCTTTTGAGAGGGTCTAGAAATAATGACACCGTGGTAACCCAACAAGGATCTGGATCTTAGTTTCCATTCTCCAATTAAAAGAACCAGAGTTCACTAAATACAATTCTCGGATGGGTTCAAGAAGTATACAAGATAAGTTTGGGCCATCTTTCAGTGTCAGAAAGTAAGGATGTGTACCACAATACGTTCAGTAAGTACTTAAAGAGTACCCTTGCAGATGATCATTAAAGTATTTGAACTAAAATGACTCTACACTTCTACAGGGAGCCACAATAACACACTAAAAATAATTAAAGTAAATTTTGAATTAAAATAAAATTTAAACCCCCATTTTGCTCTTTATCTGTCTTTAATACTGTAAAAATACTTGAAACTTCTCTATTGAAAAATGCTAAAATATCTCTGTGGGTATAACGGCAAATACAAAACATAAATCAGCAGACACTGAAATTTGCAGCTCTACTAATCAAACAAATGGGCTCTTCTTACTATAAAATTTAACACTGAAAGTTTGAGCATGCTTATATTGATATTTTGGACAGGTTTTATTGCTTTAAATGTCTACAGATGGAATTTTTATGAAACCTCTGATAAAACAGAAGTAGAGTTATAAATCAAAATTTTAAACAAAAGCAGTTATAAATCAGAAAATCAGAGAAAAAAGAGCATAGTAAAGCCTTAAACACATAATGAAAGAGTATATATGTAATAAGAAAAGATATTATATCCATGAAATAACAATACAATACAAAAGTCACATGAAGAGAACAAAAATTGTTGTGTCTGGGTGTATCTGCCTTTGCGTATGAAGTAATCCAATCATAAAGTTAGAATATAAATTTGAGAATATTCTCACAGTAAGCCGAGCATGAAAAAAATTAATTACAAAAATTATCAGAGATAAATTTCTAAAATTTGAGATATAGTTCAGGGAGGTTAATATCCAAACTAGAAATTCCAGAAAGGTTGGAAGAATAATATGGATGGGGAAAAAAATCAACAAAATATAACACAGAAAATTTCTCAAAACTTTGTTAACCATAGTGTTTAGAATATTGGATGAAATAAAAATGTGAATTTGATATTTTGTTTTCAAACATATACAAATTACGACATTCTTAAAATATTTTAAAAATGTAAGTAATTTTTAATCTGAAAAGCTAAACTGGAAGCTAGAAAGCATTTTTTAGTTTTTAAGTCTTCTCTTTTTTTACATTGAATTCTATATCTATCCACTTTATCAATGTAATATTGAAGTAAAAATATTTTCAGACATGTGTGGTCTCCAAATACTCAACTTCTTGCTCACAGTTTCTCAGAAACTACTGGAAATTTCATGAAAAAGAGTTTAAACAAAAACAGCATCCAGAAAATAGGGAAATCAGTGCAGGAAAGAGACAAAGGGGGAAAAAAAGGAAAAAAGAAAGAGAAAAAAAAGAAACCCTGATTTGATAGTAAGAAGAGAATCACTTCTACATCAGATCTACTGAGAACCACTATTTATAATTGGTTAGTAATTTGAATATTTGTTAACATATTGAATGTAATTTTCTGGCAGAATTTTGGCATGAATTAATCATAAGTACTTAGAAGAAACTAAGCAAATGGAAAAGAAAACAAAAGAAAAATAGTCATTTCCTTCAGGAAAAATAAGCAAATTGTGTTGAGAAGAAAATGTAATTTTATTTTATTTGCTGACTCAGCTTTGAATACTTGTATAATTACATTAATGTTGATCTAGACAAAACTATTATAAAGTTGTTTTGCATGTGGTAGAAGAACTGTATGTGTCTGTGTGTTTGTGGTAGAGAGATAATATGAGGGGCATAAATAGGTCTTCCTTTTTCCCGATAGGAAGTCAGTCTAAAATTAGTAATATTAGCATATTTAACATGTAATTTTATAATATTTAGCATGTTTTATAACATTTAGCATATAATATTTATATGCTAATCATATTTAATTTAATATGCTAATGATATTTAAATTAATATATTTAGCATATAATTATATTTGGCATATAATATTTAGCATATTATTTTATAATATTTAGCATATTTAACATGTAATTTTATAATATTAAGAAACAAAGGAAACAGCTAAAAGCATGAAAAATACCCGCTTTTAAGAAGCAGGAATTGACAAAAGTAGAAAAAAAGAGACTAGTTTTTTTTTTTTTTTCATTCTCCCCATCGAGTGTTTACTCATTATTTACAAATAGTTGCCCAAGGCAAGAAGATCGCTTGAGGTCATCAGTTAGAGACATGCCTGGGCAACACAGCAAGATCACATCAATACAAAAAACAATAATAATGATAAATAAACAAATTAGCTGGGCATGGTCTCACACACCTGTTAAATCCCAGCTATTCAGGATGCTGAAATGGGAGGTGCATCTGAGCCCAGGAGTTTAAAGCTGCAATATGCTATGATGGCATCGTTGTACTCCAGCTTGGATGACAGAAACAGACCCTGATCTCTAAGAAAAACAAGAAAGAAAAAAATAAGAAAACGAATAAATACTAGTAACTTCATTTCATACACAAGAAAATTGAAATACAAGTATGTTAAGTGATTTCCTAGGTCACCAAACTAGTAGTAGAATTTCAGTATCAAGCCACGCAGTTTGCTTTTAATGTCTACGTCCTTAACAACAGTAGTTATAGTCCCTAGAATGCTTTGACTGGATAAACTATAAGTTAATCAATGTTAAAAATAAGACGTAAGTTTGAAAAACTTAATGTGTTCTGAAACATTTAAAAATATTTTATGTCGACATTATTCCCATGTCAAAGATAATTCAATGTGTAAGTCATGTTTAATTTGAATGTTTGTGTGAATTTAAATATTGGGGCACGAGAAAAGCTTATGAATATATTGTGTGTAAACATTATTACCACTAAAATTCAGAGTCTCTTGAGAGGTGAAATTTATTGACCAATTTTTGTGAGTCAATAGTTACTTTATTGAGGAAGCTTGACATAGACAAAACCTGAGTCTCAGAAACACACGAGTTCATTGCCAATATTGTGACAAAACTGCACTAGGCTACTTACGTTGATTTACAGGGGAAGCTAAGTAAATTTAAACAAAACAAAAATGATAATTCACAAAAAAAAAGAAAAAATAAAATATCAGAAAAACACTCTTAAATTTAAAAATAGAATAAATAATTAAAAATTTGTTTCTGAAGCATTCCTAAGACATCACCTTCCTATCCTGGTTTGTTGTTAGGTAATGAATCAAATGACACAGAAGTTAGTGCAAATTTATTTTTTGTAGACGTTCAACCTACTCTATAAGGGTGCCCCTGGGCAGACTTCTGATGCAGACGTCTTCTCATTCTCTCCTTCAAGCATAATCACCATTGAATGTGATAATAAAGGATTCCAGCCATGGCAAATTTGGCATTGTGCCCAGTTTAGTTAAACCCAGTATCAAACAATAACTGGAGCTTATTCCAAACCATTTATATGTAAATGTCCCAAACATATGGATCTTTTTAAAAGAATGTACTGACAAGATATTTTCTCTTTAGCAATCCTGCAGCTCAAGTTATGAACTTCAGACATTTGACATAATTTCCTAACATCCAAGAAGATACTAAAATATGAAAATTTAGAAATACATATTTAACATATTATAGTTCTACATAAAGAGATTTCAGCTGATTTATGAGTGCAAAGACACTCTTCACATTTAGAATCAACCTCAATCAGAGAGGCTAAGATGTTTGCCTACATACCTGGTACCAAAATTACTCTCAACCTGGCCTGAAGCCACCTAACAAATGTTGAATTAAGAAGATGTTACAACATGAGTTAGGTTAGAATTCAAAGGACTTGTCTACATTCAAGGAGTTTTAAAATAAACACTCAGACACAATTCAGGGTTGTTTGGAATTTTGTTTAAGAGCCAAGCAGAAAACAAGTGATGTAAAAGAGAAATAACTGACAAGAATATATGCAAGTATGTATGTATTCAAAAACCACAAGGGAAAATTATATCTTTGTTTCATTAGGCAATATACTATGAAGCAGATCTACATATTCCATGAGATTATAACTTTTGATTGCTACATTTTTTTCCTTTCTGCAAAAAGGGGGCATATTCATTAAATTTGTTCTCTAACTTTAACATTAACTGGACTAGTTTTAATGTGTTATCATTCTCCTAGCCAGTAATAGGACATGAAGCTAAGGCTGAAAATTTAACTTCAGAAATGTTCACACTTGCATATCGACCACTAGCCAGTCGACCTCTAAAAATCTCACTCAGTTCAGCTGACCTTTCCACATGAACTTGCAGACTTAGTTTGTGTTTTGTCTAATCGCCTGGCATTTTTCATTTTAGAATATATTGAAAATTGAATAGATTCATTTTAAAAGATGCAAAACTTTTACCAAAAAGTCTTAGAGACATAGCAGGAAATGAAATTAAAATGATGCAATTGTAGCACAAATTTTCTTTTGATGATTATATTAGCCATGGGATTTCATTTTCTTTCAGGAGATGATATGTGATCCAGAACTTAAATATATTTAGGTTATTTTAGGAAACTCAATAATCCATGGGAAGGTCCAGAATATGTAGATTGCCAATACTGCTAAATTGTGTGTTCAATTTACTCCATCAAATACAGATTAAATTAATTAAAATAAAATCTCACATTGTCACTGATAATTGTATCTCACACCTTTTATAGGTGAGAATTTTATTATAACATTTTTGACATTAGCTTATAGTAATTAAAACTCCAAAGTAGTCTCATTTTAAGGGTCTCTTTTGTATAAATGTATTTCATTGCATAAACCAACTGAAATAAAATGTTCTCAAAAGCTTATTTTGCTAAACTATATACTTCCATTTTTTCTCCCTAAATATCACTTTGTATCTGCATTCATACACAGCAAAACAATTCTATGAGTGCTTTCATTTCTATTCCAAACTGCAACTGAGAAATGTTTCTAAAAATGATGGATATAAAACATTTCCTCAAAACTGATGTTAACAGAAAAGACATTAAAGGTTGCTACTACAAATGAGGACAAATGTTGGTTTTATATAAATAGAGTTCTACTGTTCTTTTCATGTGTTCAGTCATTAACCAGAGTATCTGGATTATACAGATTTTATGATTCTCTCAACACATATAGTCTGATTTAATTTTAACATTCTTATTGATTTCAAGGGGTGTCACAGAGGGCAGAAGGATGAAAAGGGTTGACAGAGTTCAACATATGGCATCCAATTAGAGACACAAGAGAATATCAGTACTTTCTCTTTTACTCATAAAAAAGGAAACACTCTACTGCTATTTATTCTTGAGAGAAGAATACACACTAGATTCCACTCAAAGACGTTATGAAATATTTGTTTTTATCATATTTTATCATAGTAGATTTCATGAGTTATACAGAAGTTTTATGTGATTTTTAAAACAACAAGAAATACAGTGAAAAAACACTGGGTTTGACACAGACAATATTACTTACCATCAATATGGTAAACTTGGATAATTTATTTAACCTTTCTGAGCCCCTGATAGAAATGACAGTCTTTCTCACAAAATTTATATTAGTTTTCTAGGTGTGCTGCAACAAAGTAACAAAAACAGCGTGGCTTAAAACAACAAACATTTATCATCTCACAGCAGTTGAGGCCAGAAATTCAAGAACAAGGTGTTAGCAGTGCCATACTATTTCCGAAACCTGTATGAAAGAATCATTTCTTGCCTCTCTCCTAGCTTTTATAAGCTTGCCAGCAATGCTTCTTTAATTTGGACTGTCTACCTCTGTTGCAGATGTCATTCTCCCTGTGTCTCTGTCTCTGTGTCTCTTCTCTTTTGATAAGCACACCAGTCACGCTGCAATATGAGCCCACTCTAACCAAGAATTACCTCATTTTAACTACAGGCATACCTTTCTTTTAGTTTGCTTTACTTTGTTTTGATTCATAGATACTGCACTCTTTTTTTGAGATGGAGTCTTGCTCTGTCACCAGGCTGGAGTGCAGTGGCGCGATCTCGGCTCACTGCAACCTCTGTCTCCCGGGTTCAAGCTATTTTCCTGCCTCAGCCTCCTGAGTAGCTGGGACTACAGGCTCATGCCACCATGCCTGGCTACTTTTTTGTATTTTTAGTAGAGACGGGGTTTCACCACATTAGCCAGGATGGTCTCGATCTCCTGACCTTGTGATCCGCCCGCCTCGGCCTCCCAAAGTGCTGGGATTACAGGGGTGAGCCACAGCTCCCGGCCCAGATACTGTACTTTTTAAAAATTAACAGTTTGTGCAATCCTATATCCAGCCAATCTATCAGTGACTTTTTTTAACAGCATGTACTCACTTCATGTCTCTGTGATACATTTTCATAATTCTCACAATATTTCAAATATTTTTATTATTAAACCTGTTATGGTAATATATAATCAATGACCTTTTATGGTACTGTTATAACTGTTTTGGGGCACCACAAAGTATGCCCATGTAACACAGGAAACTTAATTGATAAATGTGTGTTCTAACTGATCCACTAACCAACCATTCCCCTGCTTCTCTCCCTATCCTCAGGCCTCCCTATTCCCTGAGACACATGATAATAAAATTAAGCCAATTAATAACCCCATATTGGCCTGTAAGTATTCAAGTGGAAGGATGAATCCCAGGAACTCACTTTAAATCATAAGCTAGAAATGATTAAGTTTATTGAAGAAGTCAAATCAAAAGCTTAGGTTAAAAGCTGGACCTTTTGCACCAGTTGGATAAGTTGTAAATGAAAAGAGAAAGTTTTTGAAGGGAATATAAGGTACTACTCCAGAACACACAAATGAGAAAAAAAAAAAAAAAAAAGCAAAAAGCCTTGTTACTAATATAGAGAAAGTTTGGTCTGGGTAGAACAAGAAGCCAGATGCAATATTTCTTTAAGTCAAAGCATAATCCAGAGCAAATCCCTAAATCTCTTCAATTTTTTGAAAGCTGAGAGGGGTAAGGAAGCTGCAGAAGAAAAGTTTCAAGCAAGCAAAGGTTGGTTCATGATGTTTAAGGAAGGAAGCTGTCTCCGTAACATAAAATTGCAAGATGAAGCAGCAAGTCGTGAAGTAGTCACTTTAGCACGTTATCCAGAAGATGTACCTAAGATCATTGATAAGAGTGGCTACACTAAACGAGATTTTTTTGTAGACAAAACGTTCTGTTACTGGTAGATGTCATCTAGAACTTTCATAGCTAAGGAGGAAAAGTCAATGTTTGGCTTTCGAAGACATGCTGACTACCTTTTTAGGAGCTAGTGAAGCTGATGACTTTAAGTTGAAGCCAATGCTCATTCAACATTCCAAAAATCCTAAGGCCCTTAGTAATTATACTAAATTTACTCTGCTTGTGCTCTGTAAATTAAGCACAGCCTGGATGGTAGTGCATCTATTTAGAGCAATGTTCAATGAGTTTTAAACCTGTATCAGTCTGTTCTCACACTGCTATGAAGAAATACCTGAGACTGGCTAATTTGTAAAGAAAAGAGGTTTAATTTACTCACAGTTTTGCCTGGCTGGGGAGGCCTCAGGAAACTTACAATTAGAGTGGAAGGCACTTCTTCACAGAGAAGCAGGGGGGTTCTCTGTGAGAAAATGATTGCTGAGCGAAGAGTGAGGGAAGCCCCTTATAAAACCATCAGACTCCTGAAAACTCCCTCACTAACATGATAAAAGCATGGGGGACCACCCCCATGATCTAATCACCTCCCACGAGGTTCCCCTCTTGACACATGAAGATTATTACAATTGAAGGTGAGATTTGGATGGGGACACAGAGCCAAGCCTTATCAATGCCCATTGTTGAGATTTACTCCTAAGAAAAAAAAAATCTCCCTCCAAAATATTACTGTTCATTAACAATACACCTGATCACCCAAGAGCTCTGATGGAGATGTACATGAAGATGAATGTTTTGTTCTTGCTAACACAATATTTATTTTGTAGATCATGGATGAAAAGTAATTTTAACTTTCAAATCTTACTTAAGAAATACATTTTGTAAAGTTGTAATGCCATAGATAGTGATTCCTCTGGTGGATCTGGGTAAGGTAAATTTAAAACTCTTTAGAAAGCATTCACCATTCTAGATTCCATTAAAACATTCATGATTCACGAGAGGATGTCAAAATATCAAAATTAATAGGAGTTTAGAACATGTTCATTTCAACCGTCATAGATGATTTTGTAAGGTGCAAAATTTCAGTGAAGAAAGTCACTGCAAATATGGCGGAAATAGTAAGAAAACTAGAATTGGAACCTAAAGATATAACCGAATTGCTATAATCTCATGGTAAATCTTGAATTAATGAGGACTTGCTTCTTATGGATGAACAAATAAACTGGTTTCTTGAGATGAAAACTACTACGGTGAAGATGTTGTAAATACCGTTAAAATAACAAATGATTTGGAACATCCCATGAACTTAGTTGATAAAGCCGTGTCAGAATTGGAAAGGATTGATGTCAATCAATGTGACAAAGTTTATTGTTATCTTATTTTAAGAAATTGCCACAACTACACCAGCCTATAGCTACCACCATACGGATCAGTCAGCAGCTATGTACATTTGAGCCAAGACCTCCACCAGCAATAAAGATTACAACTCACCGAGGGCCCTGATGACAGCTAGCATTATAGCAATAATGTAATTTTTCATTAATATATGTACATTTTTAGACATAATGTTACTGCACAATTAAAAGATGAAGACATAGTATAAAAGCAACTTTTATATGCACTGGGAAACCTAGAAATTGGTGTTGCTTGCTTTATTGTGTTATTTGCTTTATCATGGTGGTCTGAGTCAGACTTGTAATTACATCTGCAATGACTGTATTTTCAAATAGGAACACATTCTGAGATACTGTGGGTTAGAAATTCAACATATTCTTTTTGGGGAGACAATTCAATCCACAACAGAATTGGAATAAGGGCTCAAGAAAAATATGATTAAATTTTCTTGCACAGTATTTAGCAACAGTTTCTTAATAAATATTAAAAAATAATTGAGAAGAGAAAGTTTAAAACAAATAGTCTTTGGGTCAATCAAGAGGCTTATACTTACAATAATGACTAATAAAGATAATAGGACATACCTCACCAACTAGGGGGTTAATTCAGAGATTCAGTAACACATTGTATAGACAGGGGACTACTAGGTTAGATTTTACAGAATACACATTGGAAGAGGTTGTACCTGTCTCATTTTGAGAACTTTAAATACAGTGAGGGGACCCCTAACCATTCTGGTTCAATAGATTAAGGAAGCCAGGATGTGCTAGAGAGTTAGTATTTTCATAAAGTTTCATTGTTTCTGATACCAAGCTCTTGCTCAAAAAACAGACATATTTCAGTGAATCCTACAAATTTTAGACTGTTTTCAATCTTAACGTAAATATTTACTTTTAGAAAGTAAATTTTCCTCTGGAGCTGTTCCTAGTTTACATGTCAAGATTTGTCTGTTATTTAGCTACTTAGATTCCATACCTTCCTTCTATAAAGTACATGGTATGAAGCTAAAACAAGGAAGAAAATTAAGTTTGTTACTACAGTCAGAAAGAAGTAGTGACCATGATAATCAGGCTTCTTAGAAAGAAAAAAAAAGAATATGAGAAAATAGCTTTGAAAGGCATTCAGATTTCCAGATTCTTTTTCCGCTCTGTTCCTCTGAATGACTGAAATTCTGCTACATATAAGTCAATGTGAATTATCTGAAGAAGTTAAAAATGTGGATTTATGTGCTGGGGGTTAATGGGTAGAGTTAAGAGGTTGAACCCTCCCTATAGACAGGTATAGGTCAATAATTATAAATCAAAAAATTTATGTACTTTAAGGTGCTCTCTTGAAGAGCAATAATATAAAATTATAAGTACATAATCAGATTAAACAGTGAGTACTCTATTAGAATGAGATAAAAATTTACAAATTACAATGCTGATAAATACAAAAGGTCACAAAGTTTAGAAAATAAAAAATATATTTATACATTGTCAGAGAAAATTCTATATTTCTCCTATATATCTGTGTTTTTAAAAGTTTCATTTTGTTTTTAATTGACACATAATAATTGCACAAATTTATGGGGTATAATGTGATGTTTTGACACATGTATACATTGTGTAATGATCAAATCAGGGTAATTAACAAATTCATCATCTCAAACATTTATATCTTTGTGGTGAGAACATTCAAAATCCTTGCTTCTAGCTATTTTGAAATGTGAAATACATTATCGTTAACTATGCTCACTCTGCTGTACAATTGAATTAATATATCCTAACTAACTTTGTACCTGTTAAACAGCCTCTCGCCTTCTCCCCTCTCTTCTACGCTCCCCAGCCTCTGGTAATCACCATTCTATATTTCCTGAATCTGAATGTTGGCCTGCCTTGCTAGATTGGGGAAGTTTTCCTGGATAATATCCTGCAGAGTGTTTTCCTCGTCACTTTCAGGTACACCAATCAGACATAGATTTGGTCTTTTCACGTAGTCCCATATTCGTTGGTGGAACTGTAAACTAGTTCAACCATTGTGGAAGTCAGTGTGGCGATTCCTCAGGGATCTAGAACTAGAAATACCATTTGACCCAGCCATCCCATTACTGGGTATATAACCAAAGGATTATAAATCATGCTGCTATAAAGACACATGCACACGTATGTTTATTGCGGCACTATTCACAATAGCAAAGACTTGGAACCAACCCAAATGTCCAACAACGATAGACTGGATTAAGAAAATTTGGCACATATACACCATGGAATACTATGCAGCCATAAAAAATGATGAGTTCATGTCCTTTGTAGGGACATGGATGAAACTGGAAACCATCATTCTCCGCAAACTATCGCAAGGACAAAAAACCAAACACTGCATGTTCTCACTCATAGGTGGGAATTGAACATTGAGAACACATGGACACAGGAAGGGGAACATCACACCCCGGGGACTGTTGTGGGGTGGGGGGAGGGGGGAGGGATAGCATTAGGAGATATACCTAATGCTAAATGACGAGTTAATGGGTGCAGCACACCAACATGGCACATGTATACATATGTAACAAACCTGCACATTGTGCACATGTACCCTAAAGCTTAAAGTATAATAATAATAAAATTTAAAAAAAATCACCATTCTACTCTCAATTTCTATGAGATTAACTTTTTTAGATTTTACATTTGGGTGAGATTATGTGGCATTTGTCCTTCTGTGTTTGACATATCATACTTATATAATGTACTCCAGGTTCATCCATGTTGTCACAAATGACATTATCTAATTATTTTCAATGGCTGAATAGTGTCACAATTTATAAAACCTTTTGTTTATCCATTTATGCATTAATGGGCAATTTGGTTGGTACCATATTTTGGCTATTGTGATTAGTGTCGCAATAAATATGGGAGTACAGATATCCTTGACATACTGATTTAATTTCCTTCGAATGTATATCCAGCAATGAGATTGGTGGATCATATGGTGATCCTATTTTTATTTTTAATTAATTATTTATTTTTAATTTTTGTGGGCTCATAGTAGATGCATATATTTATGAATTACATGAAATATTTTGATATAGGTATGCCATGCATAATAATTAAATCAGGGCAAAAGAGGTACCCATCACATCAAGCATTTATTCTTTGTTTTCAAACACTCCGATTATATACTTTCAGTAATTTGAAAATGTAGATTTAAATTATTTTTTACTGTAATCCCCCTGTTGTACTAGCAAATACTAGGTCTTATACATTCTATCTAATTATTTCTTATACTCAATAACCATCCCCACATCCTGCCTATCCCCCAAATACCCTTCCCAACTCCTGGTAACCATCCTTCTACTCTCCATCTACACAACTTCAAATGTTTTAACCTTTGGCTCCGACAAATAAGTGAGAACATGCAAAGTTTGTCTTTCTGTGCCTATCTTATTTAACTTTACGTGATTACCTCCAGTTCTATCCATGTAGTTGCAAATGACAGGATCTCATTCTTTTTTATGACCAAATAGTTATCCGTTATGTATATGTACCACCTTTTCTTTATCCATTCATCTCTTGCCTATGAATATGAAGTTTTCCTAGAATTATTTATTGAAGAGACTGGCCTTTTCCCAGTGTACATTCTTGGCAATTTTGTCCAAAATGAGTTCACTGTAAGTATATGGATTTATTTCTGGGTTCTTATTCTGTTCCTCTGATCTATGTGTTTGTTTTTATGCCAGTATCATGCCGTTCTTTTTTAACCATTTGATAGAATTCAGCAATAAAGCCATTGGGTCGTGGGCTTCTTTTTGCTGGGAGACATTTTATTATGGCTTTAATCTCATTATTTGTTATTAGTCTGTTCAGTTTTTGGATTTATTTATGGTACACTCTTGGTTAGTTTTATAGGTCTAGAGATTTATTCATTTTTTATATATTTCCTAATTTATTTGCAGACAGTTGCTCATAGTTGCAACTAATGATCCTTTGGATTTCTGCAGTATGAATTGTAATGTCTCTTTTTTGTCTCTGATTTTATTTATTTGAGTCTTCCCTCTTTTTCTCTTTCTTAATTTTTTTTTATTAATTAGTCTGACTAAAGGTTTGTCACTTCTGTTGACTTAAAAAAACTTTTTGTTTCATTGATCTTTTGTATTGC
Organism: Homo sapiens; assembly: GCF_000001405.40. NCBI lineage: Eukaryota > Metazoa > Chordata > Mammalia > Primates > Hominidae > Homo > Homo sapiens. The sequence goes on along the minus strand of NC_000001.11, from coordinate 104,393,107 downwards.
TTTTTTCGTTTCAATGTCATTTGTCTCTCCTCTGAGCTATTTTTTTTCTATTAATTTTGGGGTTGGTTTGCTCTTGCTTTTATAGTTACTTAATATGCATTCTTAGGTTGTTTATTTGAAGTTTTTCTTATTTTTTGATGTAGGCACTTCAAATGATGTATGCACTTCAAAAAAAAAACCTGATGTGATCTAACATATGGTTTATCCTTGAGAATAATCCATGTGCTGAGGATAATAATGTGTATTCTGCAGCTGTTGGATGAAATGCTCTGTAAATATCTACTAGGTTTATTTGCTCTGTAGTTACGATTAAGGCTGATGTTTCTTTGCTGATTTTTGTCTGAAAGATCTGTCCAGTGCTGAAAGTGCAGTGTTGAAATTTCCAGCTGTTATTTTATTGGAGCCTATCTCTCTCTTTAGCTCTAATAATATTTGCTTTATACCTCTCTGTGCTCCACTGTTGGGTGCAGATATATCTAAAATTGTTATATCCTCTTGCTAAATTAGCCCTTTTATCATTATATAGTGACTTTGTCTCTTCTTATAGTTTATGTCTTAAAATATATTTTGTCTGATATAAGTATAGTAACTCTTGCTCTCTTTTGGTTTCCATTGGCATGAAATACCTTTTTCCATAACTTCATATTCAATCTATGTGTGTCTTCATAGGTGAAGTGGGTTTCTTGTAGGCAAGAGGTTAATCGGTCTTGTTATTTCATTCATTCAGCCAGTCTATAACTTTTGATTGGAGAGTTTAGTCCATTTACATTCACTGTTATTATTGATAAGTAAGGACTTGCTCCTGCCATTTTGTTATTTGTTTAGTTGTCGTTTTATGGTCTTGTCTTCCTTCTTTCTGTTCTTCCTGTTTTCCTTTTAGTGAAAGTAATTTTCTCTGGTGATATGATTTGGTTTCTCACTTTGTATTTTTTTGTGTATCCATTGTATTATTATTATTATTATTATTTTGGTTTGAAGTTTCCATGAGACCTCCATATACTATCTTATAACCTATTATTTTAACCTGATAACAACTAACAGCATTTGCATAATCCAACAAGCAAAAAAAACTAATAAAAACTTTTTTAACCTCATTTCTCCACTTTTAATCTTTTTGTTGTTTTTATTCATGTATTATTGTACTAAGTCTTGAAAAATTGTGGTAATAATTATTTCTGATTGGTTCATCATTTAGTCTTTCTACTGAGGATAAGAGTAGTTTACACACCACAGTTATGGTGTTATAATATTCTGTGTTTTGCTGTGTACTGACTATTACCAGTGAGTTTTATACCTTCAGGTGATTATTTACTGCTCATTAATGTGCGTTTCTTTCTAACTGAAGTACTCCCTTTAGCATTTAATGTAGGACAGGTCTGGTATTGATGAAATTCCTCAGCTTTTGTTTGTCTGGGGAAGTCAATTTCTCCTTTATGGTTAAAGAATATTTTCACCACATATACTATTGTAGTGTGAATTTTTTTTTTCTTCAGCACTTTATGTTATGCCTCTCTCAGCTATAAAATTTCTACACAAAGTCTGTTGACAGACATATTTGAGCTCAGTTGTATGTTATTTGTTTCTTTTCTCTTGTTGCTTCTAGAATTATTTCTTTATCCTTGACCTTTGGGAGCTTGATAGTTAAATGTCTTGAGGAGTCTTCTTTGAGTTAAATCTACTTCGTGTTCTATAACCTTCTTGTATTTGAATATTGATATCTTTCCCCAGGTTTGGGAAGTTTTCTGGTATTATCCCTTTTAACTAAATGTCTATCCTTATCTCTTTCTCTGCCTTCCCTTAAAGGCCAGTAACTCTTAAATTTGTCCTTTTAAGGCTATTTTCTAGATCCTGTAGGCATGCTTCATTGTTTTGTTTTGTTTTTGTCTCCTCTGACTGTGTATTTTTAAATAGATTGTCTTCAAGCTCACTAATCTTTCTTCTGCTTAATCCATTCTGCCATTGAAGGATGCTGATGCATTCTTCAGTATGCCAATTGCATTTTTCAGCTCTGGAATTCCTGTTTGATTTTTTAAAATTATTTTGATCTCTCTGTTAAATTTATTTGATAGATTTCTGAATTTCTTCTCCGTATTATCTTGAATTTCTTTGCATTTCTTCAACACATCTATTTTGAATTCTGTCTGAAAGATCACATATCTTTGTTTCTCCAGGAATGGTCCTTGGTTCCTTATTCATTTCCTTCGGTGAAATCATGTTGTCCTGGATGCTGTTGATGCTAGTAGATATTCTTCAGTGTCTTGGCATTGAAGACTTATGTATATATTGTAGTCTTTATTGTCACAACTTATTTGCAGCTGTCCTTCTTGGAAGGCTTTTCACGTATTTGAAAGGACTTGGGTGTTTTCCTCTAAGCCGTGTCTATTTTAGGGGCACCACAGGCCCAGTAATGCTGTTCTTGCAGACTCATAGAGGTACTGCCTTGATGGTCTTGGACAAGATCTGGGAAAACTTTCTGTATTACCACATAGATCCTTTTTCTCTTCTCTTACATTGTCCCAAACATACAGAGTCTGCCTCTCTGTTCTAAGCCACCTAAAGCTGGAAATAGAGTAACACAAGCACCGCTGTGGCCACCACCACTATGGTTATACTTGATCAGACATGAAGCCAGCACAGTGCTGGGTCTCTCCCAAGGCCTGTTGTAACCAGTTCCTGATGACTGCCTATGCTCACTCAATGGCCTGAGGCTCTCCAATCAGCAAATGGCAAAACCAGCCAGGTCTGTGTCTTTCCTTTTAGGGCTGTGAGGTACCCTAGGCCCTGGGTGGGTCCTCAAGTGCCAGCAGGAAGTCAGGGGCCAGAATCAAAAATCTACCTGGAATCTATCTGGAGTTCTCTTGTATTGTGGCTGAACTGGCACTCAAACCACAAGACACAGTCTTTCCCACTCTGCCCTCTCCTTTCCAAAGGCAGAGAAGCCTCAACTCATAGCTACCACCACCCAGGCCAGGAGGAGTACAGCCAGACTACTGCTGATGTTCCGTTAAGGCCTAAGGTTTCTTACGTCAGCTTGTGGTGAATGCTCTCTGGCCTGAGATCACACTTTAGGGCAGTGGGCTCCCCTCTGGGAGTCAGCTGAGTTTGGTCTGGTTTTTCTTTCTGCTGTAACAGGACAACACTGAGTTCAATGTCTCACATTTGCTGTGTTCTCCATCCCCCAGCACCCAGAGATACTGTTTGCACCTTGCCTCTGCTGAGGGTTAATGTCAGCCATTCAGGACTGTGTTTTCTATCTCTTCAGTGCTTCTTTCAGTGATGTAAAGTTAAAATGAGGTAGTATGAGTGCACACCTGATTTCTAGTGCTTTTAAAGGTGTGTTTTCTGTGTACATAGTTGTTAACTTGGTGTCCTCACAGGGAAGATGATCAGTTGAGCTTTCTATTCCACCATCTTGTTCTGCCAGCACAATCTATTTGTATATCTTCTTTTAAGAAATGTCTATACAGGTTTTTTGCCTACTTTTTATTGAAGTATAATAACTGCTGAATTATTTGAGTTTCATACATATTTTGGATATTAAACTCCTATCAGATAATCAGATGTATAGTTTGTTAATATTTTGTTTCATTATGTAGGCTTTACTTCACCCTGTTGATTGTTTTCTTTTTTTGTGCAGAAGCTTTTTAATTTGATGAAATCCTTTGTCTATTTTTGCTTTTGCTGCTTTTATGTTTGAGATTTTTATCTAAAAAGTCTTTATGCCGAGCAATGTCACGAAGTGTGTTCCCTACGTTGTCTTCTAGTAGTTTCATACTTTTCATTCTCACATTTTAGTTTTTAATTTGAGTCAATAGGTGTCTAGTTTCATTATTCTTGCATGTTGATATCAAATTTCCATCATACTATTTATTGAAGAGACTATTCGTTCTCCAATGTGAGTTTTTGACAACTTTGGAAAAACTTAGTTGGCTGTAGATGCATTTTTTTGAAGCATTTATTCTATTACATTGGTCTGTGTGTCTCTTTTTATAACAATACTATGCTGTTGGCATGACTATAGCTTTGCCTGTCATACAAATCTTTGTCTTAGTCTGTGACTAACACCAAATCTTAGGTAGTGTGATGCATTTAGCTTCATTTTTTTTGCTTCCATAATTACTTTCATAATTCATAGTCATTTGTGCTTTCATGGGATTTTAGGATAGTTTTTTTTCTGTTTCTGTGAAGAGAGCCATTGGTATTTTTATAGTGATTGCGTTGAATCTGCAGACTGCTTTGGCAGTATAAACTTTTTAAAAATATTAATTCTTCCAATTCATCAACTTGGAATATATTTATATCCTCTTTAATTTCTTTCATTTATGATTTATAATTTTCATGTAGTGCTGTTTCACTTCCCTGGGCAAATACATTTCTAGAAATTTTATTTTTTATAGCTATTGTAAATGGGATTATTTTCTTTATTTCTTATTCAGATAGTTTACTATTAGCATGTAGAAGTGCTACTTGTCAAGCACATCCATGTGAAGAGAGCCACCAAGTTGTGTCTTTGTGTGAGCAACAAGGTTGTTTATTTCACTTGGGTGCAAGTGGGCTGAGTCCGAAAAGAGAGTCAGCCAAGGGAGGTAGGCGTGGGGCAGTTTTATAGTATGGGGGCAAGCAGTAGAAAGTTACAGTTAAAGATGGTTATCTATTGTCAGCAGAGGAGGGGGGTCACAAGGTGCATGGTGGGGAGATCATAAGGCTCATTGTCCAGAAGAAGAATGTCACAAGGTCGACTGATCCATCAGTTGCTGCAGGGCAGGAACAAGTCATAATGGAATGTTGTAAGGCTGACCAATCAGTTAAGACAGGAGCTGGCTGTTTCACTTCCTTTCTAGTTTTTGGTTGCCTCAGGCCATCTGGATGTATACATGCAAACTTGGTCCCAGAGGCTTTACATTCCTGTCTTCTTATATTAATAAGAAAAATAAAGCAAAATAGTGGTGAAGTGTTAGGGCAGCAAAAATTTTTGGGGGTGGTATGGAGAGATAATGGGTAATGTTTCTCAGGGCTGCTTCAAGAAGGATTAGGGTCTGTGTGGACACCTTAAAGAAAATTTTATAATGAGTTACAAGGAAGAGGAACTTAGGCTGTGGGGAGATCTTGAGGCAGAGGATGGTATCGTCGGGTTGTTAAAAGTAGCATTTGTCATATAGAATGACTGGTGATGGTCTGAATGTGGTTTTGTATGAATCGAGAAACCAAACAAAAGACACAAGACCTAAATAAGAGAAAGAGAAGCACAGGGACCAGGGAACTAAGAATAGGGAGGAGACAAGAGACCCAGTTAGAGAGTGTCCAGGTGGGTCCAGTGTAATTATTTGCCTGGTTGGCGAGTTTTGGGGCTCTATCCTTGAGTTTTTTTTATGTTGTCATATAACAGGCAAGATTGATTTAGGTAAAAACAACACTCTTCATTTAAAAATATACAAAGTCCTCCTTTTTTAGCAGTGAGTAGGTCAAGTCCTCAGCAATTTTGGAGGACAACTGTGGCTGAGGAGTCAACCTGGGCCTGACGGACTGATAAAGTTTGTGATATATCTGTAATGCTAATAGAAAAGTCACTAGAAAGGCTGTGGAAGGTTGTGACAGAAGTTGAAACGCCTGCTATTCCAGCTCCAAGGGCGATAGTGGAAGCAGAAAGTCCTAACCCTACAAATAGAGGGATTCAAGGAATAACTCTTTTTTGTCTGGTTGGTGTCATTAGAGGGACAAGAAGTTGTTCAGTCCCATTTACAAATTAAATTTTGGGAATCAGAAAAACTAGTGAACATGTACCTGTCCTATTAGCAGGTAGACACATGTAGGCGGAGGAGCCACAGAGGCAGAAGAGGCCTTGTGCAAGGCAAAATTGGAAATGCAAAGTGAAAAGATGAGAAGGAGTAGTAAAAGAGGTGTCTTGTACCCAGTCTCCTAAGGATCCAGCTAGGGCGGCAGCCATCAGAGGTTGTAATGGGGACTGATGGGGTAACTGCATAGAGGGGGAGGTTCAGTTTTCATGGTGTATGAGAAAACATTGAGTATCTATGAGCAATCTTTCACTGTTATTTAAAGGGCTGGGTATAAGTAAACAAGAAGAGGGCATGGGAGGAGAATCTGGAGAGCAAGGGGAAGGTAGCCGAGGATGGAGTGAAATGCAGGGTAAATGTTTTCCTAAGCAATAATTACTGCTAATGTTTTTAAGTTTGTAAGTATTGATAGAGAGCTTATCTGTAATATGGAGCTGGAAAGCCCCAATTGTTTCAGTGATGTGTGTAGTTGAACTTTGGAGAGGAAGAGTGAAGGAGGATTGAGAAGGGAAAGGTTACCCAGTGGAATTCCAGTGGGTCTTTGCCGAGAGATGCATAAAGGAGCAGCCACAGGAATAGTAGTTTGTGTTGTGAGGGGTCCAAATATGGGGGAAGTAGAGTTGATATAAGGAGAAAGTCTTTTTCAGTAAGTGCAGAGAAGGGCAGCAGCTTGCTGATGTGAAATGTCTGGGGAGGTTTTGCTGGACCTGTCTAGAAAGTAAAGAAGTTCTTCAGGAGGGTAAAGGTGAGGGCTGTTAAAGGAAGTTCAGAGGTGTAGGGAGACAGGAGTTGTTGCCCAGTCTGTATGTAAGGCAGGGACAGCTGTGTAAGCATAGGAAGAAATGCAAATGCAAAGCCAGCAATTGTCCACTAAGGAGGGATTAGAAATGGCTAGGAGAGAGTGAGTGAGATTGATAGTGTGGTGGAGATAGCTGGGGAGAGGTAGAGGGTGGCATGTAATGGGAATGAGAATAAGAATAAGAGTGAGTATAAAACTAAAGAATAGGACTTCACCAGGGTGAAAGTATTGGAGGGTCCCCTGCCAGCAAAGATCCTCTATCCACTCCAAGAGGGAGTCAAGAGTGGCAGATTGAGGATAGCACAAGAAGATATCAGTTGTGATGGTTTGGAGAAACATTGGAAACTGGCAGTGTAAATAAGAGCAGGGCATTTATGAGTAGTTGAGAATGGTGAATAGGAGTATGACTAGACAGAAGATAGTATGGATGACAAGTTTTCAGGGCACAGTCTAATTAGTGGGGCTGACTGCATAAAGTCCTGTTGCAAAAAGTGGGGTAAAGGATGAATAGATCTAATAGAATGAAGGGATGTATTAGGCTCATAAGGTTTATTAATGTTCTTTAGAAATGTGAGTGAATTTAAGGGAAGAAGGAGAGAGTACTTGCGACTTCCAGGAGGAAGAAAAGAAATTGGGCTAGCTGTCTGATGGGCACAGCTTTACTCTGGAATGATGAACCCAGTGTGGGTGCGGTGTGGGGGTGGGTTCCTGCAGATGAACAGCCATTGGGGTACTATAGATGACTAAGTGGGATCCGGTCCACTGAGGTTGTAGAGTCTGAGGGGTCAGATTCTTAGCAAGAACTGACTGTCAAACTAGAGTGTCTTCATATGGCTGGAAATCTGGGGTAGGCAAAAGAAGATTAGCAGCTCGGAAAATTTCCTGTCTAGCTTGATGGAGGACTGGAAGATAATCACCTAGAGAGCAGGTGTCTGGAATGAGACTGGGGCCTAATAAAAAGGAGCGTCCATACAGGAGCTCAAATGGGCTGTACCCTGTAGCATCCTGAGGACAGGCCTGAATTCTGAGAAGGGCAAGTGGTAAAAGTACTGTTCAGTCGTTTTTAAATTGGAAGCTGAGTTTGCTGAGGTGTGTCTTTAAAAGACCATTAATTCTTTCTACGTTTCCTGGGGATTAAGGGCGATAAGGAGCATGACATTTCCATTGAATGCCCAGGTCCTGGGAGACTGCCTGAGTGACTTGACTAATGAAGGCTGACCCATTGTTGGACTGTATAGAGCTAGGAAGGCCAAATCGAGGAATTATGTCATATATCAAGGAGATGATCACAGTGGCCTTCTCAGACTCTGAGGGAAAGACCTCTACCTACCCAGTGAAATTGTCTACCCAGACCAAGAGGCATTTTAGTTTTTTGTCTCGGGGCATGTGGATAGATTCAATTTGCCAGTCCTGGGCAGGAGCAAATTCTGATGTGTAGGGAAGGGGGGAGGGGGCCTGAACAATCCCTGAGGAGTAGTAGAATAGCAGATGGAACACCGAAAAATTATTTCCTTGAGTATAGATTTCCACAATGGAAAGGAAATGAGAGGTTCTAAGAGGAGGGCTAGCAGCTTGTAACCTACATGGAAGAGGTCATGCAATGATGACAGAATAGAATGGGCCTGTGAGGCTGGAAGAAGATATTTTCCTTGGTCCAAGAACCATTTGCCTCGTCTGGGAAGAGATTGATAGGTGGAAGTTTCAGTGGGAGAGTAGGTAGGAGTGACCAATGAGAAGGAGAAAAACTGGCCATGAGGGACAGAAGTTGGAACACTAGCTGCTTCTTCAGCTACCCTATCAGCATAAGGGTTGCCCTGAGCAATGGGATCTAATGCCTTTTGGTGGCCTTTGCAGTGAATGACTCCAGCTTCCTTTGGAAGTAAAGTGGCCTTGAGAAGAGTTTTTATTAAAGAAGCATTAATGATGGAGGACCCATGCATAGTGAGGAAACCTCTTTCAGCCCACATAACATCATGGTGGTACAGTATATGGAAGATATATTTAGAGTCAGTATAAATACTGACACATTGTCCCTTTGCAAGACTGAAGACCTGAGTTAAGGCAATGGGTTCAGCTTGCTGAGAGGTAGTGGAATGGAGCAGAGCAGTAGCCTCAACGATAGATGTGGAAGATACTATAGCATAACCTGCCTTTGCTGGTGAGTGGTGATTAGGCCTGGTGGAACTGCCGTCAATAAACTAAGTGTGGTCTGGATAGGGAACAGGAAAGAGGGAAATATGGGGAAATGGAGTGAATGCCAAGTGGATCAGAGAGATACAGTCATGGGGGTCAGATGTGGTATCAGGAATAATGTGGGGGCCCGCCTAAAACAGTAAGGTCAAGTTGTTTGGGCAGAAAGGCTACAGGGTGTGGTCCCAGCTCTTGTGTAAGAATTCTGACCCCATAGCCCTGCACTTCAGCTAAGTGTAATGGAAAAAGTTTGGGATGAGTTGGGAGAGCTAGTGGGGGAGCAGCTTCTAGGGCTGTTTTTAAAGAATGGAAAGAGGAGTGGGGAAAGTATTTAGGATCTATGGGGTCAGCTAGGTTTCCTTTTGTGAGTTTATGTAATGGTTTAGTCAGGATGGCAAAACCAGGTATCCAGAGGTGAAAGTACCTAACTATGCCTAGGAAGGAAAGGAGTTGTTGCTTTGTAGAAGAGGATGGGGTTTGGGAAATTAGCCAAACACAATCGGCAGGGAGAGCATGTGTGTTTTTATGAAGAATTATGCCAATGTAGGTAATGGATGGGGAAGAAATTTGAGCTTTAGAGGGGGATACCCAATATCCTCTGGAGAATAAATGTTGAAGGAGCAGGAGGGTATCTGCTTGAGAAGACTCAAAGGAGGGACTACAGAGTAGAAGGTCATCAATTTTGAATTGAATAAGGTGAGAAGCAGAGGGGAGGAAAGAAAGTAAATCATGAGAAAGAGTTTGGCTGAAGTAATGAGGGCTGTCCTGCAAGCCATGTGGCAGTACAGCCCAGGAAAGTTGCTGGGACTGATGGGTGTCAGGGTCAGTCCAGGTAAAAGCAAAGAGAGGCTTGGATGAGGGGTGCAGGGGAATAGTGAAAAAAGCATCTTTAAGATCAAGAATGGAATAGTGAGTTGTAGAGGGAGGTATTGAGGACAAGAGAGTGTATGGGTTGGGCACCACAGGGTGGATTGGCAAAACAATTTGGTTGATAAGGCACAGATCCTGAACCAACCTGTAGGACTTGTCCAGTTTTAGGACAGGTAAAATGGGGGAATTGTAAGGAGAGTTTATAGGCTTTAGAAGCCCATGCTCTAGTAGGCAAGTGATAACAGGCTTTAGTCCATTTAGAGCCTGTTGTGGGATAGGATACTGGCTTTGAGTGGTGTAAGGGTGATTAGGTTTTAATGGTATAGAAATGGGCTTGTGACTGGTTGCCAGGGAGGATGTAAATGTGTCCTATACTTGTGGATTAAGGTGGGGGTATACAAGAGGAAGACGTGAAGGAGGCTTTGGGTTGGGAATAAGGGTGGCAATGAGATGTGGCTGTAGTCCAGGAATGGTCAGGGAAGCAGATAATCTGGTTAAAATGTCTCAGCCTAATAAGGAAACTGCGCAGGAGGGGATAACTAAAAAGGAGTGCATAAAGGAATGTTGTCCAAGTTGGCACCAAAGTGGAGGAGTTTTAATCGGTTTAGAAGCCTGGCCGTCAATACCCACTAATAGTTATGGAGGTAAGGGAAACAGGCCCTTGAAAAGAAGATAATGTTGAGTGGGTAGCCTCTGTATTGATTAAGAAGGGGATAGGCATACCCTCCACTGTAAGACTTACCCAAAGCATCTGTGATGGTTCAGGAGGCTTCCAAGGTGATTGGGTAGTGTCAGTCTTCTGCTGCTAAGCTGAGAAAATCTGGGAAGGGGTCAGTCAGAGAGCCTTGGGCCAGAGTTCCAGGGGCTCTGGGAGTGACTGTCGGGTGAGTTGGACAGTCTGATTTCCAGTGGGGTCCTGCACAGATGAGACATGGCTTAGGAGGAATCCTGGGCTGTGGGCACTCCTTGCTCCAGTTGCCAGATTTCCAGCACTTGAAGCAAGATCCTGGGGGAGGAGGTCCTGGAGGAATGCCTGGCCACTGTAGTTTAGGCGTTTTGAAGTTCTTGTGTGCTGGAGGTGCGGCTGGGATTTCTTTCACAGGGGAGGCAAGTAATTGCAGCTCAGAAATATGTTGCACTTGGCTGTCATTTCTCTATTATTGTACACCTTGAAGGCGAGGTAAATTAAGTCCTGTTGTGGGGTTTGAGGGGAGGAATCTAATTTTTGGAGCTTTTTGTAATGTTGGGAGAAGATTGGGTAATAAAATGCATATTGAGAATAAGACAGCCTTCTGGGTCTAGGGCAGTAAAGCATCTCAGGGTTGCTGCCAAATGAGCCATGAACTGGCCTGGGTTTTTGTCTTTATCTTGGGTAGTTTCTTTAAGTTTGTTATAATGAACAGCTTTGTAAGCTGCCTTTTTAAGCCCTTCAACTAGGCAGGAAATTATATAATCTTGCCTAGCTATACCTGGGGAGCCTGTCTGGTATTCCTCTTGGGGATGTTTGTGGGGAACTGCCCTCATGTCTTCTTGAAGGTCTGGCTTATGACACCGGTGGGTGTCAGCATGAGATTGGGCCAGGGTATAAACTCTATCCCACTCATCTGGGGAAAGCTTAGAAGTTAGAATGACATTAAGTCACTCCAAGTTAAATTGTAGGACTGGGTTAAATACTGGAATTCCTGCATATATTTAGTGGGGTCTGATGAGAAGGAGCCTAAGCATTGATTAATTTGGGAAAGGTCTGATAGAGAAAATGGTACATGCACGCACTCTGACAATACCATCAGATCCAGCCACCTCTCAAAGAGGAAATTGTTGGGCAGGTGGGGGAATATTTGCTGCAGAACAAAATTGTAAGCCGGACCAAGTGTGGGGAGGGGAGGTGACAGAAGGGTTATAGGGTAGGGGAGCAGAGGCTGAGGAAGAATTGGGACTTGATTCAGCCTGCCAAGGATTGACCTGGGGGGGGTGGAGAGATGTCAGAGGGGTCTTCAGAAAAGGAGGATTCAGAAGACTCAGCAGCACGTGGGGTTGGGACTGAAGGGACAGGCAGGAGGAAAAGAAGGAAGATTTGGGACTAGTTGCATTGGAGCAGAGGCTAGGGAGGAACCAATGTGTAAAAGAATGTCTGGATGTCAGGCACCTCAGACCATTTGCTCATTTTTTTGACAAAAATTATCTAGATCTTCTAGGATGGAGAAATCATAAGTGCTGTTTTCTGGCTATTTGGAGCCATTATAAAGTTTGTATTGGGGCCAAGCAGTGTTGCAGAAGAAAATAAGATGCTTAGGTTTTAGGTCAGGCAAGAGTTGAAGAGGCTTTACATTTTTTAGAACACAAGCTAAGGGAGAAGAAAGAGCAATGGAGGGCGGAAGTTTGCCCATAGTAAAAATGTAAGTTTAGAGAAAAGAGGGGTAGAGACACGGAGAGAGGGGGGTGGTATTTGCCACCCAGAGGAGGTGGTACTTGCCACCAAGGTGAAGGATCAAGGCAGGTGTCCCCACGGTGATCGAACACATCTGAAATGTGTGTGAGTAATCAGGCAGGTGTCCCTGCAGTGCTTAAATACCAAGAGAAGACTGTCTTCCTGAGTCCATGACAAGCACCGGGGTTTTGGGCCCATGGATAAAACGTGTCTCTACCAGAAAAGGAAAGGAACTGAAATTAAGGGAAGGGAGAGATTGAAGGGTGGCACTGAAATTGAAAGGAGAAAGAGGTTGAGGGATAGTGAGAGAGGTTGGAGAAGAAAGTAAAAATAGACCACTTACCCAATTTAAAATTGATGAGGTGTTTTTTGGGCCGATCTGAGGACCCTAGGTCATAGGTGGATTTTGTCATGGAGCAAAGTACAGGAGGACAGGGGATTGATCTCCCAAGGGAGGCCTCCTGATCCAAGTCATGACACCAAATGTCAAGCACATCCGTGTAAAGAGACCACCAACAGGCTTTGTGTGAGCAACAAGGCTGTTTATTTCACTTGGGGGCAAGTGGGCTGAGTCCGAAAAGAGAGTCAGCCAAGGGAGGTAGGGGTGGGGTAGCTTTATAAGACTGGGACAGTAGAAAGTTACAGTTAAAGGTGGTTATCTATTGTCAGCAGAGGAGGGGGGTCACAAGGTGCATGGTGGGGAGATCATAAGTCTCATTGTTCAGAAGAAGAATGTCACGAGGTGGATCGATCAGTTGGGGCAGGGCAGGAACAAATCATAATGGAATGTCCTAAGGGTGGTCAATCAGTTAAGACAGGAGCTGACTGTTTCACTTCCTTTGTAGTTTTTGGTTGCCTCAGGCCATCTGGAAGTATACTTGCAGGCTTGGGCTCAGAGGCCTGACACTACTGATTTTGGCATGTTACTTCATATACTGTAAATAAACCAAGTTTATTGGTTCTAACTGTTTATGATGGAGTCTTTAAGGTTTTCTATATATAAAATTATGTAATCTGCACATATGAATAATTTGATTTCCTCTTTTTCAATTCAGATGACTTTTATTTTTCTTTCTTGCCTAATTGATCTTGTTAGGAATTCCAGTATTATGGAATAAAAGTTATGCAAATGGAATCTTTGTCTCGTTCCAGATCTTAGAGGAAAAGCATTCAACTTTTCCCCAAACTGTGAGGTTGGCACATATGGCTTTAATTGTGTTGAGGTATGTACCTTCTATGCCTAACTTGTTAAGAGTTTTTATTATGAAGGATGTTGAATAATATCAAATACTTTTTCTGTATTTATTGAAATAATACAGTTTTTGCCCTTCATTCTATTAAAGTAATGACTTGCACTTACTGATTTGCATAGGTTGATCCATCTTTGCATTGCTGAGATAAATCTCACTTGATCATGGTAAATGCTATTTTTAACATTTTGCTAAATAAATTTAGTTTGCTAATATTTTGTTGATGTTTGCATCAATGTTTATCAGATATTTTGGCCTATAAATTTCTTTTTTTCTTGTCTGGTTTTGGTATTGGAATAATGTTGGCCTCATAGAATAAGTTTGAAAGGTTTTCTTCCTTTTAATTTTCTGGAATATTTGAGAAAAAATATGTTAGTTCTTCTTTAAATATTTGGTAGAATTCTACAATTAATATTTTAGGTGTTCGGCTTTTCTTTGATGGGAGATATTTTATTACAGATTCAATCTTATTACTTATTATTATTCTGTTTATATTTCCTTTTTTGATTCAGAATTTGTAGGCAGTACGTGTCCAGGAATTTGTTTTTCTTATAGGTTTTCCAATGTGTTGGCATATAGTCATTCACAATAATCTCTTATAATCCTTTGTTTTTCTGAATCAGTACTGTCTCCTATTTCATCTCTGATTTTATTTGAATTTTCTCCTGCTTTTCCTTTGTAAGTCTGACCTAAAGCTTGTCATTTTTGTTTATCTTCTCAAAAATCCAGCTATTCATTTCATAGAATTTTTTTACCTATATAATTAATTGACACATAATAATTGTACATATTTATGGGATAGAGAGTGACATTTCAATGCCTGTATACAATATATAATGATCAAATCAAGTGTGAAACCTGAATATCTGAGACAGACTCAGTTACTTTAGAAAGTTTATGTTGCCAAGGTGGAGAAAGTGCATTCTTGACACAGCCTCAGAGAGCCTGATGACATAGGCATATGATGGTCAGGAACAAGATTGGTTTTATACATTTTAGGGGGACTTGAGACATCAATCAATACATGTGAGATGTTATTGGTTCCATCCAGAAAGGTGGGACAATTCAAAGCAGGTAGGGGGCTTCCAGGTCACAGATAGGTGAGAGAAGTGGTTGCATTATTTTGAGTTTCTGCTTAGCCTGTCCAAAGGAGGCATTCAGATCTGCATTTATCTGAGTGAAAAGAGAGGTGACTTTGAATAGAATGGAATGCAGGTTTGCTGTAAGCAGTTCCCAGCTTGACATTTTCCTTTAGCTTAGTGATTTGGGTGCCCCCAAATTTATTTTCTTTTCACACAAGGTAATTAGCATATGTGCCACCTCAACATTTATTAATTTTTTTAAATTTCAATCGTTTTTAGGTAGTTTTTTGTTACATGGTTAGGTTATTTAGCAGTGATTTCTGAGATTTTGGTACACCCATTTTCTGAGCAGTGTACATTCTACCCAATATGTAGTCTTTTATTTCTCACCCCCCTCTGATCCTTCCCCCCAAGTCCACAAAGTTCATTATATTATTCTTATGCCTTTGCATCCTCTTACCTTAGCTGCTACTTATAAGTGAAAACATACAATATTTGGTTTTTCATTCCTGAGTTACTTCACTTAGAATAATGGCATCCAGCTCTATCCAAGTTGCTGCAAAGGCCATTGTTTTGTTTCATTTTATGGCTGAATAGATTGTGATGTGTATATATACCACATTTTTTTAAAACCACTCATTGGTTGATGGGCATTTAGGTTGGTTTCATAGTTTTACAATTTTGAATTGTGCTGCTATAAAGATGTATGTGCAGGCTTCTTTTTCATATGATAACTTCTTTTCATCTGGAAAGATATCCAGTACCAGTAGTGGGATTGCTAGATTGAAAGGTAATTCTACTTTTAGTTCTATAAGGAATCTCAATACTGTTTTCCATAATGGTAGTACTAGTTTACATTCCCATCAGAATTGTAAAGGTGTTCCCTTTTCACTACATCCACACCAACATCTATTATATTTTGACCTTTTAATTATGGACAATTTTGCCAGAGTAAGGTGGTATTTTATTATGGTTTTAATTTGCATTTCCCTAACAATTAGTTATGTTGAGCATTTTTTTCATGTTTGTTGACCATTTGTATATTTCCTTTGAGAATTGTCTATTCACGTATTTTGCCCACTTTTTGATGAGATTGTTTGTTTCTTTGCTTTTTCTGATTTATCTGAATTCTTTGTAGATTCTGGATATTGGTCCTTTGTCAGATGCATGGTTTGCAAACATTTTCTCCCACTCTGTGCATTGTCTGTTTACTCTGCTAATTATTTCTTTTGCTGTGTAGAAGCTTATTAGTTTCATTAAGTCCCATTTATTTTTGTGTTTATTCCATTTGTTTCTTTGTTCTTAGTCATAGTTCTTTTTTTTTTTTTTTTGCCTCGGCCAATGTCTAGAAAAGTTTTTTTAATGTTATCTTCTAGAAATTTTGTGGTTTCAATCTTAGATTCAAGTCTTTGATCCACCTTGAGTTCATTTTTGCATAAGGTGAGAGATGAGGATTAGGTTTAATTCTACATGTGGCTTGCCAGTTTTCTCAGCATGATTTATTGAATAAAGTGTACTTTCACCACTTTATGTTTTTGTATGTTTTGTAGAAGATCAGTTTGCTGTATGTATTTGGCTTTATATCTGGGTTATCTAATCTGTTCCATTGATCTACATGCCTATTTTTATACTAGTATCATGTTTTTTTGGTAACTATTACCTCATAGTAATGAAGTCAGGTAATGCGATGCCTCCAGATTTGTTCATATTGCTTAGTCTTGCTTTGTCCATGTGGGCTCTTTTTTGGTTCCATATAAAATTGAAATTTATTTTTCTAGTTCTCTCAAGAATGATGATGACATTTTCATGGGAATTACATTGAATCTGTAGATTGCTTTAGGCTGTATGGTCATTTTCACAATACTGATTCTACATATCCATGAGCATGGGATGTGTTTCCATTTGTTTGTATCGTCTATGATTTCCTTCAACAGTGTTTTGTAGTTTTTCATGTAGAGATATTTCACCTCCTTGGGCAAGTATATTCGTAAGTATTTTTATTTATTCATTTGTTTATTTTTTTATTATAATTTAAGTTTTAGGGTACATGTGCACAATGTGCAGGTTTGTTACATATGTATACATGTGCCATGTTGGTGTGCTGCACCCATTAACTCGTCATTTAACATTAGGTATATCTCCTGATGCTATCCCTCCACCCTCCCCCCACCCCATAACAGGCCCTGGTGTGTGATGTTCCCCTTCCTGTGTCCATGTGTTCTCATTGTTGAATTCCCACCTATGAGTGAGAACATGCAGTGTTTTTGTCCTTGCGATAGTTTGCTGAGAATGATGATTTCCAGCTTCATCCATGCCCCTACAAAGGACATGAACTCATCATTTTTTGTGGCTGCATAGTATTCCATGGTGTATAGGTGCCACATTTTCTTAATCCAGTCTATCACTGATGGATATTTGGGTTGGTTCCAAGTCTTTGCTATTGTGAATAGTGCCGCAATAAACATACATGTGCATGTGTCTTTAGAGCAGCAAGTTTTATAATCCTTTGGGTATATACCTAGTAATGGGATGGCTGGGTCAAATGGTATTTCTAGTTCTAGATCCCTGAGTAATTGCCACACTGACTTCCACAATGGTTGAACTAGTTTACAGTCCCACCAACAGTGTAAAAGTGTTCCTATTCTCCACATCCTCTCCAGCATCTGTTGTTTCCTGACTTTTTAATGATCGCCATTCTAACTGGTGTGGGATGGTATCTCATTGTGGTTTTGATTTGCATTTCTCTGATGGCCAGTGATGATGAGCATTTTTTCATGTGTTTTTTGGCTACATAAATGTCTTCTTTTGAGAAGTGTCTGCTCATATCCTTTGCCCACTTTTTGATGGGGTTGCTTGTTTTTTTCTTGTAAATTTGTGGAAGTTCATTGTAGATTCTGGATATTAGCCCTTTGTTAGATGGGTAGATTGCAAACATTTTCTCCCATTCTGTAGGTTGCCTTTTCACTGTGATGGTAGTTTCTTTTGCTGTGCAGAAGCTCTTTAGTTTAATTAGATCCCATTCATCAATTTTGGCTTTTGTTGCCATTGCTTTTGGTGTTTTAGACATGAAGTCCTTGCCCATGCCTATGTCCTGAATGGTATTGCCTAGGTTTTCTTCTAGGGTTTTTATGGTTTTAGGTCTAATATTTAAGTCTTTAATCCATCTTGAATTAATTTTTGTATAAGATGTAAGGAAGGGATCCAGTTTCAGCTTTCTACATATGGCTAGCCAGTTTTGCCAGCCCCATTTATTAAATAGGGAATCCTTTCCCCATTTCTTGTTTTTGTCAGGTTTGTCAAAGACCAGATAGTTGTAGATATGTGGCATTATTTCTGAGGACTCTGTTCTGTTCCATTGGTCTATATCTCTGTTTTGGTACCAGTACCATGCTGTTTTGGTTACTGTAGCCTTGTAGTATAGTTTGAAGTCAGGTAGCCTGATGCCTCCAGCTTTGTTCTTTTGGCTTAGTATTGACTTGGCAAAGTGGGCTCTTTTTTGGTTGAACATGAACTTTAAAATAGCTTTTTCCAATTCTGTGAAGAAAATCATTGCTAGCTTGATGGGGATGGCATTGAATCTATAAATTACCTTGGGGAGTATGGCCATTTTCACAATATTGATTCTTCCTACCTATGAGCATGGAATGTTCTTCCATTTGTTTGTATCCTCTTTTATTTCATTGAGCAGTGCTTGTAGTACTCCATGAAGAGGTCTTTCATGTCCGTTGTAATTGGGTTCCTAGGTATTTTATTCTCCTTGAAGCAATTTTGAATGGGAGTTCATTCATGATTTGGCTCTCTGTTTGTCTGTTATTGTTGTATAAGAATGCCTGTGATTTTTGCACATTGATTTTGTATCCTGGGACTTTGCTGAAGTTGCTTATCAGCTTAAGGAAATTTTGAGCTGAGACGATGGGGTTTTCTAGATATACAATCATGTCATCTGCAAACAGGGACAATTTGACTTCCTCTTTTCCTAACTGAATGCCCTTTATTTCCTTCTCCTGCCTGATTGCCCTGGCCAGAGCTTCCAACACTATGTTGAATAGGAGTGGTGAGAGAGGGCATCCCTGTCTTGTGCCAGTTTTCAAAGGGAATGCTTCCAGTTTTTGCCCATTCAGTATGATATTGGCTGTAGGTTTGTCAGAGATAGCTCTTATTATTTTGAGGTATGTCTCATCAATGCCTAATTTATTGAGAGTTTTTAGCATGAAGAGTTGTTAAATTTTGTCAAAGGCCTTTTCTGCATCTATTGAGATAATCATGTGGTTTTTGTCATTGGTTCTGTTTATATGCTGGATTACATTTTTTGATTTGTGTATGTTGAACCAACCTTGTATCCCAGAGATGAAGACCCCTTGATCATGGTGGATAAGCTTTTTGATGTGTTGCTGGATTCTGTTTGCCAGTATTTTATTGAGGATTTTTGAATCGATGTTCATCAGGGATATTGGTCTAAAATTCTCTTTTTTTGTTGTGTCTCTGCCAGGCTTTGGTATCAGGATGATGCTGGCCTCATAAAATGAGTTAGGGAGCTTTCCCTCTTTTTCTATTGATTGGAATAGTTTCAGAAGGAATGGTACCAACTCCTCCTTGTACCTCTGGTAGAATTCGGCTGTGAATCCATCTGGTCTTGGACTTTTTTTGGTTGGTAAGCTATTAATTATTGCCTCAATTTCAGAGCCTGTTATTGGTCTATTCAGAGATTCAACTTCTTCCTGGTTTAGTCTCAGGAGGGTGTATGTGTCTAGGAATTTATCCATTTCTTCTAGATTTTCTAGTTTATTTGCATAGAGATGTTCATAGTATTCTCTGTTGGTAGTTTGTATTTCTGTGGGATCAGTGGTGATATCCCCTTTATCATTTTTTATTGTGTCTATTTGATTCTTCTCTCTTTTCTTCTTTATTAGTCTTGCTAGTGGTCTATAAATTTTGTTGATCTTTTCAAAAAACCAGCTCCTGTATTCATTGATTTTTGAAGGTTTTTTTGTGTCTCTATTTCCTTCAGTTCTGCTCTGATCTTAGTTATTTCTTGCCTTCTGCTAGCTTTTGAATGTGTTTGCTCTTGCTTCCCTAGTTCTTTTAATAGTGATGTTAGGGTGTCAATTTTAGATCTTTCCTGCTTTCTCTTGTGGGCATTTAGTGTTATAAATTTCCCTCTACACACTGCTTTGAATGTATCCCAGAAATTCTGGTATGTTGTGTCTTTGTTCTCATTGGTTTCAAAGGACATCTTTTTTTCTGCCTTCATTTCGTTATATACCCAGTAGTCATTCAGGAGCAGGTTGTTTAGATTCCATGTAGTTGAGTGGTTTTGAGTGGGTTTCTTAATCCTGAGTTCTAGTTTGATTGCACTGTGGTCTGAGAGAGAGTTTGTTATAATTTCTGTCCTTTTCCATTTGCTGAGGAGTGCTTTACTTCCAACTATGTGGTCAATTTTGGAATAAGTGCAATGTGGTGCTGAAAAGAATGTATATTCTGTTGACTTGGGGTGGAGAGTTCTGTAGATGTCTGTTAGGTCCGCTTGGTGCAGAGCTGAGTTCAGTTGCTGGATATCTTGTTAACTTTCTGTCTCGTTGATCTGTCTAATGTGGACAGTGGGGTGTTAAAGTCTCCCATTATTATTGTGTGGGAGTCTAAGTCTCTTTGTAGGTCTCTAAGGACTTGCTTTATGAATCTGTGTGCTCCTGTATTGGGTACATATATATTTAGGATAGTTAGCTCCTCTTGTTGAATTGATCCCTTTATCATTATGTAATGGCCTTCTTTGTCTCTTTGATCTTTGTTAGTTTAAAGTCTGTTTTATCAGAGACTAGGATTGCAACTCCTGCCTTTTTTTGTTTTCCATTTGGTTGGTAGATCTTCCTCCATCCCTTTATTTTGAGCCTATGTGTGTCTCTGCACGAGATGGGTTTCCTGAATACAGCACTCTAATGGGTCTTGACTCTTTATCCAATTTGCCAGTCTGTGTCTTTTTAATTGGAGCATTTAGCCCATTTATATTTAAGGTTAATATTGTTATGTGTGAATTTGTTCCTGTCATTATGATGTTAGCTGGTTATTTTGCTCATTAGTTGATGCAGTTTCTTCCTAGCCTCGATGGTCTTTACAATTTGACATGTTTTTGCAGTGGCTGGTACCGGTTGTTCCTTTCCATGTTTAGTGCTTCCCTCAGGAGCTCTTTTAGGGCAGGCCTGGTGGTGGCAAAATCTCTCAACCTTTGCTTGCCTGTAAATTATTTACTTATTTATATTCTGCAGCTGTTGTAAATATCATTGAGTTCTTGATTTGATTCTCGGCTTAGTCATTTTCGGGGTATAGTAGTGCTACTGATTTATTTGTGTACATTGATTTGTATCCTGAGAGTTTACTGAATTCATTTTTTCAGGTCTAGGAGCTTTTTGGATCAGTTTAGGGTTTTCTAGGTAGGCAATCATATCATCAATGAACAGCAACAGTTTGGCTTCCTCTTTTCCAATGTGGATGTTATTTCTTTCTTTCTTTTTTCTGATTGCTCTGGCTAGAACTTCCAGTACTATGTTGAATAGAAGTGGTGAAAGTGGGCATTTTTGTCTTATTCTAGTGCTATTGTCTTATTATTTTTGGAGAGGGGCTTCATTTGATTTATTTCTGCTTTGGTCTTCATTGTTTGTTTCCTTATATTATTTTTTGTTTATCTTGTTCCTGTACTTTTAATTTATTGAGGTGCGACATTAGGTTGTTTGAGATCTTTCTTCTTTTTTGATATAGGTGTTTATTTCCTTCTGACTACTGCTTTGACTGTATCCTGTGGGCGTTTGTATGTTGTGTTGTGATTTACATTTGTCCTTAGGAGATTATTTAAAAAGGAATTTTAATTTCTAAATTGACCCATTGGTTTTTCAAGGATTTACTTTCCATATATTTGTACAGTTTCTAGAGATCCTCTTGTTATTGATTTCCAGTTTCATGCCATTGTGTTTGAAAACAACAGTTGATGTAACTTCAGAGTTGTTTTTTTTTTTTAATTTGTTAAGACTAGTTTTCTACTATACTAGATGGTCGATCCTGGAGAATGTTCTCTGTGCACAAGAAAAGAATGTGTATTCTGCTGCTGTTGGATGGAAAGTTGTACTTTTGGTCTATTTTGTCTAAAGTACTATTTGATTCCATTATTTCCTCATATATTTTATGCCTAGATGATCTGTCCATTGTTGAAAATGGGATATTGATGTCAGTCTTGTTCTAGAGTCCATGCTGTTAATTCATATACTATTCTACCCAAATAAGTGCAATTGTCTTTAATATACATAAATATATGTAAATGCTAATAATATCTCTAAAAGGATTTGCAGTAAGTTGGAAGAGTGGTTACCACAGGTAAGGCTAAGGAAAAAGGATGTGAAACAGAGCTTTTTAAGTTTTCCTCTTTTTTCTTTTGATTTTTATATTATGTTCACGTTTTCATAAATAAATAAAGTAGAAAAAAAGAAAGAAAGGAAGGGAAGAAGGTGAACAGAAGGAAGAAAAGAAGTAGGAAGGAAGGAAGGAATAAAGGCAAAGAGAAACACCACAGAGGGAAGAAACTAATATAGCCCATGTCTTTGGAGAATGTTTTTTTGCTTTTAAAATAACGTAAAAGAATATTTATTGACATAAAAGTGTATATATTATTAACCACACAAGCAATTTTTAGAACATTTGTATAGTTTGATGCTTTTAAGGGAGAAAAATTTTGTATGTGTACATTATAGATATCAATAACATATAGAATGAAAAAATCTCAAAATTAAAAAAATTATAGGGACAGATATGATTTTTTTCTTGTGACTGTGTTTTTTTAACCTCTTACCTAAAATCAAACAGTATACAATCTTATTATAAAATAAATATTTCAACAAAATATTGATTTGGCTTAGAAAACAACCATATAATAGTGAACCATGTATTTTAGGCTATACTTAGTGTTAACATAATTAGTGACTTTAAGGAAATGAATTACTTTTTATTTATAGTAGTAAGTATAACAAGCTTTTATTATGAATTATGGGAAGCCAAGAAACAGCCTTCATATACTCAGGGCATAAAATATTTTTAACTTTGGAGAACATAGTCTTCTTGACTAATTCCTTTATATAAACACATCAAATCTACAGACTTATAAAGAACATTAGACAGACACATACTATAATCTTCATTATTCAAGAATAAATAACACTTGCTATCTGGTGGTACACGGTGCCTATTTATCTATAGCTATGATCATACTAGCAATACATTTTGATAAGATTGTATTGATTTGATAACATAATTGTAAAAGTGACAAAATACAAAGGCAGAGATACACAGCAATGACAGCATTCAGCCTCTCACTGCTTTGTGCAGAGTACACAGAACTCTGGATGAAGAAGATAAGAGTTCATCTCTGTCAAATGAGAAAATGCACATAAACATCCTTTGATGAAACACCAAATGTCTGCTAACCCTGATTAAGTTTCTTTTCTCCAAGAAGGAAAATAAAACCAATAAAATAGAAGTCAGAAATCTGACATATATGTGTAGATGCATATTTATATTATCTTGTGTTTATATGTATATATATATATATATATACACACACAATTTTTAAGGCAAAATCAAATCAATAAATACAAAATATTATTAAGTATAAAAACGAATTAAATATTGGTCATAGAAATCATTAATGGGGTTTCAGGGAAATCTTTAAAGGAATGTGTAAACATAATAAAAATGACTGACATTGCTGCATGGTGGCTACCTGCAGCTCTGAAAATAATTCTTAACTACTAAGCTTGAATTTTCTCTCCTATGTTCAATAACGAAGTTGTTCTCCAAAGCCTCCCTGGCATTTTACTTTTATTATGCAGTTATATCCACAGCAGAATAACTAGTGCTTTATTCAGTTCCATAGGCCAATTTATTATTCAGTTTTGTTTTGTGGTTTTGGTTATCTGCTCACTGTACGGTCCCATAAGTAAACATCTTATTTTCATGAAAGAATCAAAGAAAGAGTTGTTAAACAAACATTATTTGAGTTAAAAAATGTATTTAAACTCAGGACACAGAACAAAAAATTAGATATGTTAGTAAAAGGTTTTTATGACTTCTTGAATAAGGCATATACATTCCTTTATTATATATAAATTTCCTCTGAAGATTTTATTTTTGCCATAGGAGAAAATAGCATGACCTATTAAACAATAAAAAACAAATTATAAGGTAGGAGTTTATTTTCTCCAATCATATAATTTTATTCTGTTCAAAGATTCTGTATGAATCAATTTTTCCCTCTCTCTCTCTTTGTATATGTTGTGTGTGTGTGTGTGTGTGTGTGTATGTATACAACCATTTTAGAAGGCATGGTATCAGGACAAGATCCAGTTAAATCAATGCAGAAAGAAATGACATTTACTTCCAGGAGAATGTAATTAGCATCTACTATGTCCCTGGCATTGTTATGAGAGTATAAACGCCTTTGGGTGATTTCATCATGCCCAATATAATACACATTCATATCAACGTGTTTATACAATATAATGCATTTCAGATTTTATACAAGTGGACGTACCAGTTTTCCCCAGATCTACTGTTAACGCTTAAAACTACTAACACACTGTTCCTCTTTTCTATGTATTTGTTACATTCTGGAACACAGTGGGGGATTGAAATTGTGCCACTGTTGCCTCATAAGCATGGGAACTGAAAGGCTCATAAGGGATAGAAAGAGTGTGACTTGGTTATGATTGATTTGGAGATTTTCTGTTATTGATTAACAGAATTGAGAAGACTAGAATTTTTCTAGGATGTAGATTCCATTTGTAATGAATTTTCCATTAAAAGTAATCATCAGAAAGTTCTGCTTCTGTAATAAATTTTATATGATTTTGGAGGCAGGTGAGAAGGGAAGCATCAGGTTACAGGCATTTCTATTATTGTTTTTTCACATCGTGTTATAATTATTAGTTTACATATTGTCTTCCACTGAACTCAAAAAGGACAGGAGTCATGTGTTGCTACAAATGAGCACAGTGCCTGACACCATAGCAAACAAACAAACAAACAAAAAGTGTTGATTTAGATCCAATCAGTGATAGCCCTCAAAATGATGATAATAATAGATATGACTTTTAGAGTGTTCAATTTCTTGGAAAGGAAAATAAATGGCGATTATTTTTTGATATATTCAGTCCTTAAATAAATTCACAAAATGAACCTCTAATTTTGTGTTATTAAAATTATTTTCCCCAATTATCTAGGCATAAATCTGAAAAGTTAATGAATGAATTTTAGCTTTCGTAACAGATTATTCTTCCATCTTTCAGCTGCAGAGCTGGAATTCATATGCTAGTTTAGCAAGTTGAAACACCCATTTGTATTGCTAAGATGTCTTTTATTATGTTTGTAGGCAGTTATAGAACTAGAGAAAATTATTGAAAAAAATATTAGTGACTTTGTTTTTGCTGTTGTTGAAATTTATGTTTATGTTTTTACCAATAGCCTTTTAGTAACAATGCCATTTCTAACAAACTTTCCTCAAGCTTCTATGAAAAGTAATTATAACAATTTGTGATATGACAGATTAGTTAGATCATCTATCTAAACAGTAGCAAGACTATTAGGAATTATCATTAACTATCAGAGACTCTCTAGCTTATTTTTATTTAACTTCACAATAATCATCACAAATATAACTGAACACATACACATGTATACACACATGAATATGTAATTTCTCTGTCTTCTGTGTATCTCTCTGTCTTGAATATAAGCTCAGTGAGCTCAAAGCCCATGGGCCTTAATTCTTTTTCATTGAATGAAATATGCCACCATAGTAAAGGCACCCAAGTATACAGTGAGGATTGTGATGCATGTTCAAGAAATGATGCACCTATCTTTTATGAGAGTCCCTTTGTTTTTCCATTCTCCGGCAGGAATGTTTAGCTTTAAAAATGGTCTTTGTTTGCATCCAATTTTGTTAGCTTTCAGTACCTATTAATTTATTTTGATCAAAGTTAAGATAACGCATAACATGTAAGTTAGATATTCAGACAATGGTCAGTAAAATAGTAAAACTTACTGTACCATGATATTTTGAACCATTCAATTAAAGCAAAAAATGTCAAGATACTTTCACTGTTTTAACAAGTTAAATGATACAGCAGGATTTCAAACAATGATGTCAAACTATCCCCAAATTAAAGGGTTTTCAATTGTTCAAATGCAAAAAAGACTATGCAGAATAAACAAGTAATAGTGATAGCATGAACCATTTACAACCAAAGCTTGGTAGTTAGTAACATGGAAATGCAATGATAATTAGGAGCTGACAACTCAGAGAAATCTGTAGTCTTCACAGATGTGTTTATATAAATAAAAAGGAGAATTTTTCTGAAGTTCTTGGGGTTAAAGATAAATGATCTGTTTCAGAAATTACCCAAGCAAAGGCCAGTCTAAATACAATAAGTAATAGAATAACTCAACCAATGGGGCAATGTAGAAATGGGAGATTTAAGTGAACTTTACGAACTCAGGCATTTAACAATCCAAAACTATGGGAAACACAGTTGCCTAGCAAGATTTCATCTTCAAGAAAAGTGCCTGTAAAGGGCCAGGTAACATCCCAGAGTTAGAAAGACACTGGGGATTAACAAAAATAGATACCCATAAAGATCAATTGAAAAAGAAAAAAATATTCTCATTATGTATAGAATTGCCATTAATTTATTCACTCATTTACTCTACATAATGCACAGTTTAACTGAAAAAGAAAAGGCTTGTTTTGGACATACGTGTACAGTGTCTCCATCATCTTAGTATGTGCTCAGCACTGAGAACAGTATAAAGAGCATACCTCTGAAATTAAACAGACACATTGTTATGATTTAGATCAGTTACTAAAAATCATGGACTAGTCACTTAAACCACCAGTGACTCTATTGACTCATTGTAAACAAATAATAGATACAAACAACTTCATAGGATGGCTAGAAGGTTGTAAAGTTTCTACAGGAAAATGTATATAAAATACCTAGCATAGTAAATGCCGGCAGAAGGCACCAGTATATATTAATTTTTTTTCCTGTAATATGCGTATAGTATGGTCAGGGTCTTCTAGGAAATGATTTGTGAGCTGAATCAAAAATCAGCTTTGGGATATGAAATAATTTCTAGATGATGATAAAGGAAGAGAAACAGTAAGATGTGTAATACAGTTGTTGCTTTGGGAAACTGTCAGTATTAATATTTTGATTGAAACCATGCTCCACTTTCTTTTTTATCTATTATTTATTTGTAGCCACTGAATTGAGGTATGATTGACTTACAAAGAACTGCGTGCATTTAATATATGAAATTTGCTAAATTTGGACATATATAAATATCAATGGCACTGTCATTACAATTGAGGTAAAAGATATATCCAACACCTCCCAAACTTCCTTGTGCCTTTTTGTTTGTTTGTTTGTTTTATCTTCTGTGGTGAGAACACTTAACTTGAGATCTACCTTCTTAAATTTTGAAGTGCACAATATATAATATAACTTTAGACACTATGTTGTAAAGCAGACCTCTAGAACTTATCTTTCATAACTAAAACTTCAAATCCATTGAATAACTCCCCATTTCCCCTACTGTCAGCCCCCGACAACCACCGTTATATGTTATACTTCTAAGAGTTTAGCTATTTTATATACCTCAGATAACTGGACTCATGCACTATTTGTTCTTCTGTGATTGGCTTATTTTGTGTTACAAAATGTCCTCTATGTTCATCCATTTTGTGCATATGACAGGATTGCTTCCCTTTTTGAGATTGAGCAATATTTTCTTGTCTCTCTATACCACATTTTCTTATCTGTTCATCTGTTAAAGGAAATTTGGGTTACTTCCATTTCTTTGATATTGTGAATAACGTTGCAATAAACGAGGAAATACAGATATATCTTTGAGATCTTAATTTCAATTATTTTGGATATATATCCATATGTGAAATCACTGGATTATATGATATTTCTATATATATGTATATATTTTTTTAAATGGAGTCTCACTCTGTCGCCCATGCTGGAGTGCAATGGCACAATCTCGGCTCACTGCAAACTCTGCCTCCCAGGTTCAAGCAATTCTCCTACCTCAGCCTCCCGAGTAGCTGGGACTACAGGCACGTGCCACCACGCATGGCTAATTTTTATATTTTTAGTAGAGACAGGGTTTCACCGTGTTAGCCAGGACGGCTTCGATCTCCTGACCTCACGATCCACGTGCCTCAGCCTCTCAAAGTGCTGGTATTACAGGCATGAGCCTCCGTGCCTGGCCTCTATTTTCAATTTTTCGAAGAACCTCAGTACTGTTCTACATATCCGTTGTGCCATTTTACATTCCCACCAACAGTGTACAAGAGTTTCAATTCCTCCACATCCTTGACAACACTTGATTTCATTTTGTTTTATTTTTGATAATAACCATTGTCAACAGGTGTGAGGAGGTATCTCATTGTAGTTTTGATTTGTCTTTCTTTGATAATTAATGATATTGAGTATCACTTCATATATCTGGTAGCTATTTGTATGTCTTCTTTGATATAGCTGTTCAAGTCTTTTGCCAATTTTTTTTTGTGGGGGGGTGTCGTGTTGTTGAGTTGTAAGAGTTTCTTTTATGTTTTGGAAATTAACTGCTTATGAGATATATGGTTTGCGAATATTTTCTCCCATTCCAAAGGTTTCCTTTTCATTCTGTTTATTGTTTATTTTGCTGCTGAGAAGCTTTGTAGTTTGACGTAGTTACACTTGTACATTTTTGCTTCTGTTAACTGCTTCTGAGGTCATATCCAAAATTCATTGCTTCAACTAATGTCAATAGGTTGTTTCCTTGTTTTCAACAAGGGGTTTTTATCCTTCTGCTAGGAATTTTACCGTTTAAGTTCTTACATTTAAGTCTTTAATCTATTTTTAGTTAATATTGTGTATGGTTTAATATGGAGGTACAGTTTTATGTTTTTGCATGCTGATATAGAGTTTTCCAAAAACTATTTGTTGAAGACCATATCCATTTTATATTCTGTATTCTTGTCAGCTTTGTTGGAAATTGGGTGACTTTATATACATGGTTTTATTTCCGGGGCTTTTATTATGTTGCATTGGTGTACCCATCTTCTTTGAGCTGGTACCATACTGAGTATTTTCTGTAACTTGGTAATATATTTTGAAATCAGAAAGTGTGATGCCTTCTGCTTTGTTCTTCTTTCTTTGTGGCTCCACATAAATTTAAAAATAGTTTTGTTTTAGTTTCTGTTAAAAAATCTCATAGACATTTTATGGAGATGGCATTTTATGGAGATAGCATTGAATCTGTAGATCAACTTGGTAATATTTTAACAATATTGTCTTCTAATCCATGAACACACTGTGTCTTTTCATTTATTTTTGTTTTATTTTATTTCTTTTTATACATACTTGATCAATGCTTTGGTTTGGCTTTGTAGTTTTCAGTGTATAAGTCTTTCACATCCTTGTTTTAATTTATTCCTTTTTTATATTTTAAATGAGTTTTTTTTTAATTGCCTTTTTGGATGATTTGTTGTTGGTGTATAAAAACACTTAATTTTTATATCTTGATTTTGTATAGTATAACTTTACTGAATTTTTTCACTACTAACAAGGTTTTATGGTGTCTTCAAAGTTTTCTACATATAGAATATGTCATCTATAAACAGAAATGATTTTATTTATTTCCTTCTGATTTGGATTCTTTTATTTATTTTTCTCGACTAGTTGCTCTGGCTAGAGTTTCACTGGTCTAAGAGGAAAAGCTTTGAAATTTTCACCATTGAAGAAGATATTGGCAGAAGGTTTGTCATATATTACCTTTACTATTTTGAGGTGCATTCCTTCTATACTTAATTTGTTGAGAAATTTTATCATAAATTAATATTGGATTTTGTCATGTGCATTTTTCACAGCTCCTCAGATGATCATGCTATATAAATGTTAATTCTGTTAATATGATGTATTGCATTTATTGATTTGCATGTGTTGAGCCATCTTTGCATCCCAGGGATAAATGCTACTCATCATGGTGAATAATATTTTTAATGTGCTGTTGAATTTGGTTTGCTAATATTTTGATGAGAATGTTTTGCATCTGTGTTGATCAGGGATATTAGACTATAATTTTTATTGTAATGTCTTTTTCTGGCTATAGTATCAGAATAATGCTGGCCTCATAAAATGAATTTAAAGGTATTCTCTTAAATTTTTGGAAGGATTTGAGAAGCATTGTTGTTAATTATTTAAATGCTTCAAACAATTCACTAGTGAAGTCGTCTAGTCTTGGGCTTTCGTTTGTTGAGAAGTTTTTGAAAGCTGATTTAATCAATTAGTCATTATTGATCCCTTCAAATTTATCTACTTCTTCATGAATCAGTCTTGATATGTTGTATGTATCTATAAATGTATCCATTTATTCTAGGTTATTCAATTTCTTGGTATAAATTGTTCAGAGTAGCCTCTTATGATCCTTTGCATTTCTGTGGCATCAGTTATAATTTCTACTCTTCCATTTCTGAACTTATTTACTTATGTGCGTTTTCCCGTTTTTGTGTGTGTGTGCAGCTAAAGTTTTGTTCATTTTGTATATCTTTCCAAAAAAACAAACTCTTGGTTTCATTCTTTTTTCCCCTATTATTTTTCTAGTCTCTATTTCATGTGTTTGTGTTCTGATTGTTATTATCTTCTTTATTCTGCTTTGAGTTTAGTTTCTCTTCTTTTCTTGGCTTGAGGTGTAAAGTTAGGTTGTTTATGTGGAGTCATTTTTTTTTTCAAGACAGTCTCCCCCTGTCACCCAAGCTGGAGTGCAGTGGCGCGATCTTGCTCACTGCAACCTCCTCCTCCCAGGTTCAAGCGATTCTCGTGCCTCAGCCTCCTGAGTAGCGGGGATTACAGGCGCCTGCCACCACGCCTAGCTATTTTTTGTATTTTTAGTAGAGACAGGGTTTCGCCATGTTGGCCAGGCTGGTCTCAAACTCCTGACCTCAGATGATTCAACCACCTTCGCCCCCAAAAGTGTTGAGATTACAGGCATGAGCCACCACGCCCGGCCTTTATGTGAAGTCATTTTAAAAATGTTTGTGTTATTGCTGTAAACATCCTTCTTAGTAGGCTTTTGTTGTATCTCATATATTTTGATGTGTTGTACTTTCATTTGTTTCAAAACATTTTCTGACTTTCTTTGTCACTTCTTTGATCAATTGATTGTTTAGGGTTGTGTTGTTTAATTTCCCCATATATAAGATTTTCAATTTTCTTCTCATTATTGATTTCTAAGTTCATACACTTTTGGTTGGAAATAATATGTGGTATTATTTCAATCTTAAAATTTTTTATGACTTGTTTTATCATGTGATCTCTACTGAAGAATGTTCCCATGCACTTTAGAAGAAGGCATATTCTGCTTCGGGTGAAATATTCTTTATATGTCTTTTGGGTCTATTTGGTCTATTAGGTTGTTCATTGTTTCCCTATTAATTTTCTGTCTGGATATTCTATTTGTGAAAGTGGGTTATTGATGTCTCTTACCATTTTTGTATTGTTGTATATTTCTCTCTTTAATTCTGTGAATATTTGCTTTATTTATTTAGATGGTCTGATGTTTGGTACATATGTATTTACAATTGTTATAGCTTCCTAATGAATTAACTTTTTATCATTATATAATGCCCTTCTTTGTCCCTTGTGGCTATGTTTGGCTTAAAGTCTGTTTTGTCTGGTATAAATGACTTACCATTGCCATTTTTAATTTTTTTTGTCTTTTTTGAAATTCTTTCCCCCCTCTTCTCCTGTCTTTCTTTATGCTTCTTAGATTGTTTTTGTAATGGTATTCTTTGATTTCTGTCTCTTTTTGTTTGTTTATTTGTATTTAGTATTCTTTTTGTTGTGGTTATCAAGAGACATATATTAAACATCATATAATTATGCTGGTTTATTTTAAGCTGACGACTTTAATTGCATATGAAAACTCTACACTATTACGTCTCCCCCAACACATGCTTCATGTTATTGATGTCACAATTTGCATCATTTAATATAGTGAATCCATTAGGAAATGTTTGTATTTATAGTTATTCCCAAATTTTTTGTTTTAGAACTTTTATTCTAAAAATTTTTAAGTGATTTACATACCACCATTACTGTATTACATTATTCTGTATTTGTTGATAAATTTACCTTTAGTAATGAGTTTTATACTTTGAAATGTTTTGACTTGCTGTTAGTAGTCCTTCATTTTTAATTGAATAATTCACTTCGGCATTTCTTGTAAAGCAGGTCTAGTGGTGATGAGCTCTTTTAGGTGTTGTTTATCCTGGAAAGTTTTTATCTCTCCTTCATTTTTGAGGGACAATTTTGCCAAATATAATATCTTGGTTGGCAGATGTTTTCATTTAGTGCTTCGACTACATCATTCAACTCTCTTCTGGTCTACAAGGTTTCTGCTGATACATCCACTGATTACCTTAGAGAGGCTCTCTTCTACAGTATAAGTCATTTTTTTCTTGCTGTTTTCAAAATTATCTTTTTCATTTTTGACTTTTGACAATTTGATATAATATGTCTCCATGTGGATTTCATTAGGTTCTTATCTGGGTCTTTAAATCTTCAAAAGGCCAGGTGCAGTGCTTCACACCTGTAATCTCAGCACTTTGGGAGGCTGAGGCAGGAGATCACTTGAGCCCAGGAGTTTGAGGCCATCCTGGGCAACATGGTAAAATCCCATCCTACAAAAAATAGAAAAATTAGCTAAGTGTTGGGGTGTGTGCCTGTGACTCTAGCTACTCAGAAGGCTAAGGTGGGAGGAGCACTTGAGCCTGGTAGGTGAAGACTGCAATGAGTTGTGACTGTGTGACTGTACTCCAGCCTGGGCAACACAGCAAGACCCTGTTTCAAAAAAAAATAAAGCTTCAATAATCTTGGTACTCATTTTTATGATGTTTTGAATGTTATTTCTTTAGATAAGCTTTCTGTTCCACTTCTCTCTCTCTCCCTCATGGGAGAGAAGTTTCATAGTCATATGCCTTTTCCCAATATCAGAGAGCCATGCTGCCCTCATCTTTACCCAAATGCAGTGCACTGATAGGCTTGAGTACTGCATATACATTCCATTGCTTTGCCTTGCTGCTGGAGGAAAATGTCTGGGTTGTGTGCCTTTTTTCCAATCTTGCACAGCTATGTGAACCACCATAAAACTCCATTTACTTTGTGAAAGTGTGCCAAAATTGTGAGACACTGGGCACAAGCTCTACTTCTCTTTCTTCCTCCTGAAGGATAAGATTATGGGTTGCCTGTCTTCTTCCCCTCATCCTGCAGAGCTTTGTCAGCTGCTGAGAGCTGCTCACCCATTTCCTTCAGGCAGGGACTGAAATGCCAGGACATTAGGTGCAAGCTTCACTTACATTTCTTCCTTCTGAAGGAGAACTCTCAGGATTGTGTACCTTCTTTCAATTAAGCAGATTCATCCCCCTTCCCCTTTTCCTTAGGAAAGTGTACCAGAATGCTGAAAGGCTAAATCCAAGCTACGGTTTTCTCCCTTCTTCTTAAAGTAGGAGTCTCAGAGTTGTACACCTTCTCTCAATCCTGCAGCACTGTGCAGGCTGCTGAGGGTCCCTGACCCCTCCCTTCATTCTTAGCTGCCCCATGGTGTTTTTCATATGCTGCTGGCCTCAGTGTTCTGAGCGAGGTGAGACAAAAGTAGAACTGGTGGATAATGCCCTGAAATGCTGGGGGATATAAGAGGCATGCGCCCTCACTCTTTCTCCCAAGAGAGAAATCCGAAGCCTGGATCTCAGTAGGTGCTAAGCTATGTCAGCTTAAAAGAGGCACTAACATAAATAAAATTAAACTGTTCTTTATATGCATTTTCAAAGTCATTTTTCTTGGTTTGGTGCTTGCCTGAAGTGTTGTAACTTTTACAATGGATTCTGGAGTTCACATACAGGTATTTTGAGATTGTTTCATTAGTGTTTCTTCAAGGAGATGACGGCTGCAACTTCTCATGTGCCATGTTGCTGATGTCACTTCAAACAAACATTGTTCAGTGGCAGTTCTAAGAAGTTAGTAACTGTTTATATACATGTAGGAAAGCATATGCAGGGATCCACAAATTTATAATTCTTTATGCCAATCTCCTTCTTTTCTTAATAGCACTGACATTTTAATATTTTCTTTTTAACTTAATTTTTAAAATATCATATATTTTCTTTTCCAGGTCCACTACTGTGTCACATAGGGACATCCGTCACATAGCCAGATGGAGAGCTATGTGGAATAAAATCTGGGAGAATCTCAAGCACAGGAGCTTATTTTCCCATGGAGTCGGGTCATAACAACCTCCCAGCTCATAAATGCATTCATTCACCTTGAAGCTTCCATTATTCCTTTTTAAATTTTAGTCATCTTCATTTTTTTCAGAGTTACCACTAACTACACTAAATGCATTATTCTAAGCACATTGCATGAGGATATAATTTTTATGGAAATTCTAAATGAAACAGGTTAGGCATGTGCAATTCAAAACATTAACCAAGAATAGAAATTTCAATCATATCATTTTCTTACCATGTCTTAATATTTTTTTAAAATGTGTTTAGATATAAAAATCTTCTATAATTTTCTAATGTAATTTCTACTAGAAAAATTTTTAAAGTTCTTGTACATACAAAGTATCTAAGTAAAATGTCTAAAGCCATTAATGCCCTATCAGACTCTGTTACAGATCTAACTGATGGTTAAGTGGTGATATTATAAGGTTGTCTTGTTCTAGGAAAGTAACGTGCTAGACACAGCCCTCTCTGAAGAGCTGCATGATAGTTGAGATTCAACTGAAAAAGGAAATGATGACCCTTACAAAGCTACGTGTTTGAATAAGAACTTTGTCTTGTACAGACGTATTTTGAAAGAAGAATCAAGTTGAAATCTTAGGAAAAAAAATGAGTCATGTTCCACAAAATAATCTGAATAAAAGTTCAGGCATTTGGCATAACATGATATTTTTACAATGATGCCTATTAATGTTTTTCTACTTTTAATACAAATGCTTTGAGCATAAATTTAAAAGAAAGAGAGACAAAGCCTTTTGTTTCATAAGCTGTGTGTTCCTTTCTCTCTTAGGAGGATCATGTTTTTGTAAGATTAATACTGAATGACTCAAGAGGCTTAAATACAATTTACTTCTTTCCCTAAGGTTGATGGAAATGGTAATACAGAGAACTAAGCATAATTTTCCACAAAAAATTCTCACTTCAGCAACTATATTCTCTTCTAGGCTCCTAGCATGCTATAAAATATGTCTGCAGTTTACAGCACACTGTAGAGAATACATTAAAATGCACACTCACAGTTTCGTATACAGGGATGGAGACACATTTGATGGATGAAGAATTCACCATTCATCCTCTGATATGTTCCAATTTGAACAAGCAAAGGAGCTGGCAGACCAGACACTTCTACTTGAGTCAACCTGTGACAGAAGCAGTACCAGGTCAACTCTTGTGACTATAACAGATTAAGGCTTTGGGACATTGCAATTCCCATAACAGCATAAAAATCACAGCCATTCAGGTATCTCTCAGTGTTATGTAACATAGGTATTAATGGCAATTTTATCTCATATTTTAGTAATTTTCATAGTAATAGTATTTCTCTATTGAAAACAATATAAGCCATACTCTGTTTATGATTTTCTAATCATTATGAGTTGGTAATATTATTTTTTAATAAAAAGTCACTTTAAAACTAAATAAGTGGTGATTACAGTAAATAAAATTGAACATAAATTATAATTTATTATTGCTATAATCTTACTAGTTCTTTTCAACGTGCAAGACAAAAAAGGGCTAGTTTTTCTGAATATATGTTAAGAATTAAAACTTAGCTGTGAGTTACTGACGGTAAATAAATGAATTAATGAGAATGCTGTATATCTGTGTGCCAGTTTTTCTGCTATAGGTAAGTTCCATGATTTAACAGTAATTTGTATTTAAATCTGTTCTTTTCTTTAATTCTTAAACTTACTATTATTTTGTTATTTCAAAGAACAACATTAAAATTATTCAAAGAACTTCATCTTAATTTTTCATCAGATTGCATCTGTATTCACAAATTAAAATTTATTTGTTGAAAATAATCACTCTTTTAAATGTAGGTGAAATATATAAAGCTGTGCCTTCCATTTGTTCAATATACGTTAAATGACGTTTGCTAAAATAACTTGTTAAATTCATTACAGAGAACTCTTAAAATGACCATAAATATATCTTATTCTAAAACCAAATAACTTAGCAAATATGAATAATTCAATTGAGTGTAATTTAAATATTGGTAAATGCTGTAGTGTTTTCAGAAAAACGTAAAAAATGCAGAAAATAATCAAATTTAAATATAGTTGAGCTCAATCAAGTGGTGAAGTAATCAGTAAATA
Organism: Homo sapiens; assembly: GCF_000001405.40. Classification (NCBI taxonomy): domain Eukaryota; kingdom Metazoa; phylum Chordata; class Mammalia; order Primates; family Hominidae; genus Homo; species Homo sapiens. The sequence continues at coordinate 104,357,231 of NC_000001.11, read as the reverse complement.
TATCACAGAATTTCATCTTCTAAAACTCCTTGGCATTAATCTAGAATGTCTTCTACTTCACAAACAAAGATATCACCTCATAGTGTTAAGGGGAAGAGTGGAGTTCAGGTAAAATCTAAACAAAGCAGTATTTTGATAGGTGCAATGCGTGACTGGGCTGTGTGAAAACGTAGCACATCAGACCTTGGCTGAGAAGTATACTCATTAAGAAATTACAAAGTAAGCTAGATATAGAGTATTGGGTTTAGAAACTCCTTTTCTAAAGCTCTAAACATGGTCTAGAAATTGAGGGCTTTTCTCTGTCAAAGTGGTTCAGATCCTCCATGTAACTGTATGATACTCCATTCTTACTCATTTTACTTTAAACAAATTTCTATCTGTCTATAATTTGATAAAACTGTTTCAGTACTATGTCTTTCTTATTAATTGACAATAACAGTTTTCTCAGGTTAATACAGAACATGAATTTGAAGGAAGTTACCCAGGAATTAGGTAAGGACGTCACTTGAACTCTAGAGACTTGGACTGTGCTGCCAACCTCATTTACAGCCTTTTAAAGGGGCTGAATGTGATAATTACCCTTGTGTCTCTAGAATTCATTCCTTGACCAAATTTTTTTAATAAGCAACCTCAATCAACTGTGAAAATAAATTCAAATTTGCTTAGCATAGAAAACCCAATTATCTTGGAAAGTATAATGTTATTCTTATGAAAAAAATGCCTTTACCATGAGAATGCTTGTAATTAGGTATAAATGATGAAAGAAATGAACACAGGCTCTTTCACTGAAACTCAAATGATCTGTTCCTGAAATCCCATGTCCTACATAAAAAGAATAACTGAGAATGTATGCCCCATTATTTCTAATAAGACCCTATTGTAGTGTATTGCCTATTAACCCAATGCTGCCTGAAAATTTCTTAAAACTTGATTAAACCACAGGACATACTTAGGTATAAATAATAAACTGTCATAGTAGGATAAAATGGGGAAAATTTTGTTGATCACCGAAAATATTGCTTTTTGATAATCAAAGTGCTAATATTGTAGTTAGCAATATTGTCATTAGTGCTAATATTGTGGTTAGTAGTAAGTTAATATTGTCAGCTCGACAGCTGAGGGGATATCTATTGATACTTGAAAGATGTTTCTCAGGGCACATGATTCCAATTTCTACAAGTTACATTTTGTATGTAACATTTATTTTGTTATGCAACTCATATTGAGATTTGGGAATGGAATTATATATTTCTTCTGATCTGGCTTAAGATGTTATCTTGAGAGAGTTACATTCTATGAAATGTGGCTATTACACACAAAATATTAGGTAAGTGTTTCACATGAACTCAAAAGAGTTGGACTGTGCTGTCAAGGAGATGTTAACTATGGAAATATTCTAAGGAGGACATTCATGTTACATATTTATTTTAACTGAGGATGATTTAAAAAAATAATTTGGCATGTTAGAATATCTAATTGATTAGTTTCTTAACTTTAATTTACCTTTTTAATTTCTAACTTATGTATGAAACAATATCGAAAATTTAAAGAAAAATATTTTTCATATTTATAATTTAATATATCCAATTTAGAGAAGTCATATTTTGGAAAATTTAATTTTTAGACAAACAATATATGTCCTTAACTATTTAATGTAGTTTAATATATAACAAAATTTAATTAGCTTAAATAATTATTTAAGGTTTACATTTCCGAACAGAATAGTATAATTTGTTTGTAAGATAAACTCAAAAACTAATAGAAATATACTCTTAATTTTTTATATATAAAACACTTACAAGTTGAGTAATAATTCCATGATACAAGTAGCCACATATATGTTTATTAAAAACAAAGGCCACCATAAAGAAACAATGAAGCTCATATTGATGGGAATTAGGGAAAATGAATTTTTCTAGATTTTATCTAGAAATTCTAATTTTTTGAAGAAGTTTAAAATTATCTTTTAAATTAAAAACTTTGGTTCTCTTTGCCTCTCATCTGATAGCTCAAAGTTTGTTATTCCAAGGCATGATACTGACACTTTCTGTGTTCCTTGTATTACAATCAAATGTAGAAGACCACTTTAAAATGGTGACTCAGTTTTGAATAGGAGGTTGATATGATTTGGCTGTGTTCCTACCCAAATCTCATCTTGAATTTTAGCTTCCATAATCTCCACGTTGTGGGAGGAACCTGTTGTGAGGTAATTGAATCATAAGGACAGATTTTTTCCCATGCCGTTCTCATGATAGTGAATAAGTTTCATGAGCTCTGATGGTTTTATAAAGAAGAGTATTCCTGCACATGCTCTCTTGCCTGCCACCATGTAAGACATTCCTTTGATTCTTCTTCACCTTCCACCATGATTGTGAGGCTTCTCCAGCCATGTGGAACTGTAAATCCATTAAACCTCTTTACTTTATAAATTACCCAATCTCAGGTATGCATTTATTAGCAGTATGAGAACAGACTAATACAGAGGTGCTACCTTGGTTTTATGTAGTTATATCATAAACACAAAAAGAAAAATAATAATAAAATGTAGCACTTTGATATGCTCAAGATATTTATTTTGGAAAGTTAAGTTACTATTCATACACTATTGCTGAAACATAAAACTTAAGGGTTATATAAAACATGTATTCTTGAAGCTGATTCAGCAGGCTGGTCCTAGCATAAAGTAGCTTAGATGGGAGATATTTACTAAAACCTATTTTCTACTCCTGAGCCAGCAGGTGATAATGCTGCTGCTGCTGAAGCTTTATTTTTGTTTTGCTTTATTTTGATTTTGATTTCTGAAGCTTTGTTTTTGGTCTCGCAATTGGTGGGAGTGCAAACAAAAATTGCTTTTCATCATTTGGCAGCAGCTGTTCAGCCAATTTATAACCTTTGGAAAGAGGCTTAACTTTAAGGAAACTTCCATTGTATCAGATTACGGTAAAATATGCATTTCAATGTTTTAATACAACTAAATGACTTTATACCAAATTAGAAAGAGAAAATATTACTATATTGTGCACAACCTTACAAGCTAATAAAGTATAATTTTTGTATTGCTTGGTAGTTAACATTCTGATTATTCAAGATTATGAATAATACAATTATTTGATTAACATAATATTTTAAAAGATTACTTTCAACTCACTTCAAGGATTCCCGAATGCTAGTGTGAAGCTATTAGTATAGAATACTGTAGAATAGTGGTCCTATTCTGTAGCAGCTGGAAAATTTTTTTTGGTAAAGGTTAGATAGTAAATCTTTTAGGCTTTATCAACTATACAATGTCTGATGTAAGTATTTAACTCTGGTGGTGTATTGCAAAGGAAACCATAGACAATATGTAAATGTATGTTCCAATAAAACTATTTACAAAAATAGACAAGAGACCTGAATTAGCTTGCAGGCCACATGTTGCTGATCATAATCTTGGAAACCAATCAGGAAGTCATTATAATAAATATATTCTCTGACTTCCTGGAACTTCAGAATGAGGTGTTTGTAAGCTTCACACTAGAAGAGCTTTACTGAATATAAAACACTTGGCCCGCTCATTTAATAGACTTCTTAGAACTAGATTTCTACTCTCTACAGACATTAGAAGTTGTGAGAAATGTGATTTTACAATTTATTTCCAAGGGGAAACTCTTTTGAGAGAAAAAAATAAGAAAAAATTTGGACGGCACTCAAAACATAAATCAGCAAAGGCCCAGGATAACCAAAATGTGGAGTTATTCTCCTTAAAGTAAATTGATCTTTTACTTAGACCACCAAAGGATTTTTTTTTCTTTTTATTTATAATCCAACCAGTTTACTAAAATATTTTCATTCTGGGTTAATTTTTCCTGGAATGCAAAGTATTTTATTTTTAAAGCATGTACACTGATATTCTCTATTATTTTATAAAGTGCTTTTTGAATTTTATTTTTGAACATTTAGTTTTGGTTATCTTTTGCAGGGATTTTAATACGAATATGTTGCCGCTTCTCTGAGGTCTTATCTAGCTATTGCTTTAAAAATTTGTTTATATCTCTTTGTGATTCATTCTGATCATAATTTTTATTATAAAGTTTACATTCTTTTTTGCACATTTTTAGCATCTATTTTTCATTTTGTTCTTTGTAGCTTAGCCTTTACTTTCCAATTACTTTGTATTTTCTTCTACTTCTTTCAAAATTTAACCAGTTCTACCAGGTTCAACATTTGGCCACAGTCTTATGTTATCTGGCCATATTTTGCTGTATGCTTGTGGAATTTATTCCTGTTTTCTGATTTTCTTTATTTTTTATTGAAATATTAAGATAATAAAAAGTGGTGTATATTTGGCTCATGAATTTCCTGTGTCACTTTTTTCTTAGGTGAATTTGTCATCGTCAGAGATATTTTACTGCCTTTACTTAGTTATCCCCCTTTTTCCTCTGGATATTACTTGTATTAATAGTATATTTGATTGAAACATTCCTTAGGCTTTTTTGTCACTTATATCGAAGATGGATCTTCCTATTAAGCAATGCCAAGTCCTGAGAAGTGAGTAAAGGAACAGTGCAGTTTGTGCCATCTCTTGGCAATCAAATGGGCTCTTTGTGTAGCTAAAATAAGGAACAGGTTCTTTGCAAACGGTGCTTCTGTGTGGCCAAGCCACCTCTGATTCTCTCAGGACAGAATACAACTAATGATAGCTTCTACTCAGGGGTTGGAAATTGTCTGAGTTGTTCATGATTGACCACTGAAGAGACAGTAAGGGATACTATTCCCACTTTCAAAGGATGGAACTTCTCTTTAATAAGTGGTAGTTTCTTAAATTTACCATGTCCATGCTCCCTAGGAACCTGCTCCCCATCTCCATCTCTAGCCCAATCCTATCTTTATTTTGCCTACTACTCTACCTGTACTCAGTTTGTTTCATATCAGTTTTCATTCAGTGTTGGGCCATCTCCTTCTGGATGTGCATATTTGATATAATTTCTAAGATCTGTCTTACACTTTCCCTGACCATTCCCACCAAACGTCCTTTACCTCTTCAGTTTTTGCTGTTGATTCTGCTGTATTTAGTTATTAGTCATATACATATAGAGTACAAAAATTTGTTAGCTTTTTTAAAAAGGTGTTTTAAATAAATTTGCATTTTTGGTTTATTTTAAATCTCTTCATTGTAATCTCTGGCTTTGAGGACAATTACTGGCTCAATTTGAATCTAGGATGTTGCTATGCATGTATCAAAAATGTAAGGCATTGTTTTTTATATCCCAGAAACCAATAGTATACTATTACATCTACTGTATGCTATATTATTTTCACATTTTAACATCTCTAAAATATGGTTGCCTTTTGCATTTAGTGAAATCTTAAAATTATAATTACAAGCATTTAAAAAAAATACTGGCATACAACACAATAATTTTTAGAGTATATGTATTCAATTCTATATAATATAGTAAAAAGAAAATGTATAACTTTTCACTAACATTAAATGAATGAATGGTTTAGTTTCATTGAACCTCATCAAAACCCTTTTAGTGTTTGGAAGCTATGAATTCTCATATTTGGGCAGGGTGTGGTGGCTCACATCTGTAATCCCAGCACTTCGGGAGGCCAAGGCGGGTGTATTGCTTGAGTCTAGCAGTTCCAGACAAACCTGGGCAACATGTCAAAGCCCTGTCTCTACCATAAATAGAAAAATTAGCCAGGCATGGTGGCACACACCTGTAATCCCAGCTACTCGAGAGGTTGAGGTGGGAGGATGGCTTGAGTCTGGGAGGCATAGGTTGCAGTGAGCCAAGATCGTGCCACTGCACTCCAGCCTGGGAGTGAAAAAATAATAATAATAAAGCAAAAAAAGAAAAAAAAAAGAAAAGCTCATATTTAAGAGTTGAGTTAAAAAAAAAAAAGCTGTGCAGTTTAAATAATCCTGAAAACTATTACAGTTAAAGGATATTTCCTGGATATATGAAAATAAAATCATTTAACTTTAAATTCACTACTATAGGGAGAGACTAAATCTATGCCTATTTTTTCAAACAGTAGTAGTTAGGGAATTAAATGGATAAGTCATAATGCTTTGTTCTATCAAGGAAGGTGAAGTTCATTTTTCTGAAATTTACAGAATGAAAATAAATGACACTTTACTAAGTCAAAATGATCAGAAAATATGAGCATCAAAACCACTGATATCAAGATAAAATATTCTTCAAACAGTACAAGCCAAATTTGTATAAAAGGTGCACACACACACATACACACACACACATAATCACTTAAATGAAAATAGTAATGAAAGAATAAAAAAGAAAAATGCAATTAAATATTCAGGCATGGTGGCGGGCACCTGTAATCCCAGTTACTCAAGGCCAGGGTGGTGGGGGAAGCAGGGGAGCTAAGGCAGGGGAGCTAAGGCAGGGGAAACACTTGAACCCAGGAGGCAGAGATTTCAGTGAGCTGAGATAGCACCACTGCACTCCAGCCTGGGCGACAGAGCAAAAAACTCAGTCTCAATAAAAAGAAAAAATGCAATTCAAAACGTCTACATACCTGGGGATTAAAGAAAGGGACACAGAGAAGTAGAGACTTAAACCGCTTTTTTTCTTCTTTTTTTGCCCAGGTTGGAGTGCAGTGGCGGGAACATGGCTCACTACAGCTTGGACCTCTAAGGCTTAAGTGATCCTCCCACCTCAGCCCCCTGAATAGCTGGGAATACAGGCGGGTGCCACCACAACCTGCTAATTTTTAAATTTTTTTGTAGAGACAGGGTCTCCCTGTGTTGCCCAGGCTGGTCTCAAACTCCTGGGCTCAACAAATCCTCTTGCCTTGGCCTCCCAAAGTGCTGGAATTACAAGCATGAACCATCTTGCCTGCTTATGCCTACACCAGTTATATTTTAAACAAACGTTATTAAGAGTAGGGTGAAGAGTTAGAAATGATGCTATAATTTAGGATGCCATGTTTCAGCCACTGTCTGTATTCCAGCTCCCTGGGCAGTACCATTCCTCTACTCTCTCTGGCCTAGTCAAATTGTCCAATAATTAGTTATCAGAAAATACCATGATCTCAAATATCATAGTGCCTTTGCCTGAGCTGCATGTTCTGGAATGTTCAACCCTTCTCTCTCTTTCAGGCTAACTAGTTAACTACTAAACATAATATATGTCTTTTGTTTCAGATCATAAGTCACCTTCTCAGGGATACTTTTCCTGATACTGTCCCTGTTACCATATGGTGATACTCTCTAATTCGAGTTGCTTTGTTACATACAGTTGTCCCTTGGTATCCACATGGGTTTGCTTCCTGTACATCTCTTCCCCAACCCCTACAGATCCCAAAATGTGGACACTCAAATTCCTAATATAAAATCGCATAGTATTTGCATATAACCTACACACATTCTCCCATATACTTTAAATAAATTCTATATTGCTTATAATACATAATGCAATGTAAATATGTAAATAGTTGCTATCCTATATTTTAAAATTTGTATAATTTGTATTGTATTATTAATATTATTATTACTCTATTTTCGGAAGACAATTGACCCTTGAACAAGGCAGGACTTAGGGGCCCAGTCACAAATTGCATACAACTTTTATCTCCCCCAAAACACAACTACTAATATCTTATTGTTGTCTGAAAGGCTTACTAATAAAATAAACAGTGAATTAACACACATTTTGTATGTTATATGTATTAAATATGATATTCTTACAATAAAGAAAGCTGGCAAATGTTATTAATAAAATCATGAGGAAGGGAAAATACATTTACTATTCATTAGGTGGAATTGGTTTATCATAAAGGTCTTCATCCTCATCATGTCTCAGGTTGAGTAGGCTAAGGAGGATAAAGGTCTTCATCCTCATCATGTCTCAGGTTGAGTAGGCTAAGGAGGATAAAGGTCTTCATCCTCATCATGTCTCAAGTTGAGTAGGCTAAGGAGGAGAAGGAAGAAGTTGAGTTTGTCTTGCTGTCTCCGGGGTGGCAGAGGTGGAAGAAAATCCAAGTATAAGTGAATCTGTCCAGTTCAAACCTGTGCTTTTCAAGGGCCAATTGTATTTTCTATCTGGTTGGTTGAATCCGATATGGAGGGCCTCAAAGAAACACTCAAACAGTGGTGGATAGTGATGTGGATGAAATGTAAGATTTGAGATCCCTCACTTCCTGGCACGCCTTCTAATTTCCTTTACCTTAGGTTTTGTTTGTACCTGTACTTTGTATTTTTTTTCTTAAAACAACTGTCAAATTATTAATACAATAGTTTCAGGCCTATGACACCTAGGTCTATTTTTGCCTTCAAAGAATCCTTATTTTCCTCCTAGGGCATCTTTATCATTATTATTTAATATCTGTCTCCCAGAGAGAGTAAGAATTCTGTCTCTTTATAGTCACCATTTTATCCTAAGGGCCTGAAACACTGTCAGGCTTAACAGGAGTGTCAAGTAAACATTTACTGGATGAAGGAGCATAACTGTAGATAATGATCTTTCTTCTCTTCATACACAACTTTGTATTTAGTCAAAGGTATCACAGACACAGGTATACTGCATTTCTTTTAATATATCTTCTGTAGAATTGAAGGTAAAAAAGATTATGACTGTTTAGCATAACACTGCATTACAGATAACATTTGTTGTAAAGGCAGGATTACTCTGAGATATCTGTATTTGTAAGCCCTTAACAACAAGTAAGACATATTTCTTCAGAGCTCTCTTTCTTAATAGGATTTCAGGCAGCTTGTGGAAGCAGCTAAAATAAATGGCTTTTAAAAACATGTGTGTCGTATCACATTAAATGGGGTTATGAATCAATATCCATGTGCTATAATATATATCCTAGCCATACAATGGGATTAATTCTGGATTAAAAAGAGAAATCCATTCCTAATTTTCCCTCCAGCCCACTTTCCCTTCTCTTCTTGAAAATATGAGTTTTTCAAATGACATATGAGTGGAAGAATCCATTATAAGCATCCACTGTTTTGCCTGCTCTAAAGTAATTTGGTTCTGCATTAATAACTCTCACTTCACAATCTCTCATAAACTATGTTTAAATGCCTATGCTTTTAAATGAGATTGCTTATTTTATGAAGGAATGTTTGATGGTCCACATTTTCTGTGTTTCATCATGTGGTGTAAAGAGTACTGGATGAAACTGTAGAGAGCTCCCTCAGGTTTGTCCTCTGCACTTCCTCTCTGCGTCTTCAGCTTACTACCCTCAGCTTGTTTTTGAAATCATCAATTTAAAAGCAAACACCTATCAAGGTGTCAATAAACCCAGAAACTAGTGTAAAGGACAACTATATTAATAGGTAAGTCTGATTCAGTGTAATCAATTTTATATGAGAGTTAAAATTATATATAAATTTGTAGAGACAGAAAGACGATTTTAACTAAGGCAATCAGGCTATTTAGAAAATATTTCACAGAAAAGTGATATTTCAAGCTTTTAGAAAGATAAAAATCCTGCTGTTGGAGAAATATGTAAAGCAAGCAGGGCCATTTCAGGAATGATGAGAATTTCAAAGTCAATAAAGGAAATTACAAAACTGGAAATGAATGAATTAACAGAATATAAAGGGCCTTCTAAAGACCTATAAAGCAAGTTACATACTATCTGCAGACTACAGGGAGATTGAGGAGTTTAAACAGAATATAAAAATATTAAGACATGTTTTATTTATGTATTTATTTATTCATTTATTATATTCTTGTGAAGCAACATATGACACTTATGTAGAGAATATACTTAAGTGATCAGGTCCAAGTTGCAATATTCCAGGTAAGAAATCAGGTGGCCAGAACTAACACTGAGCTAGAAGAATATAAAGGGGGATCAACATGCAAAGGTATTTATAGTGATATGCTGGTAAATATTTCACAACTAGTTCAAAACAAACAGTACCTGATGAGTACCATTTGCCAGATCTGTGGTATATGAATGCTCCTACCATGGCCAATTTCAAACTGCCAATGTTTTTATCACTGAATGCAAAATTGGGAAGAGATGTGCACAGTCAGCTCTCCTGAGCTCATACCAACCAACTCCAGAGCACCACTAGACATTTCTGAGTTGCAATCAATAAAATGTGGAGGTCGATGGAATACAGTGTTGATAGAAAAAAATTGTATATAAATCCCAGATTTCCATTTTGAGAAACCAAATGTGTTAATATTTAATGGCTTTGCTGCTTTCTAAAAAATAATAACAATAAAAATGCTTACTAAAGGAAATATTTCAAGTAAATATTTGCATTTTAACTAATATTCTTTAGAAATATAATATCTTAATTTAGAGATACATAATTCTGGGGATTTCAGTAAAGGACATCAGCTAAGTAATATTTGATGTTGAGGACAAGAGAAGTTAAGCACACTTCGATGATTCAATCTAGGTCAATAATCCCCAAACCAGCTCATTTCTAGTTATCAAAAACTTTAATAAAGTGTAAAAAAAGCTTTCTTCTGGACTTTTCAAATATTTTTTATGCTACTTCATTTTGTGTCATTCTAAAGCAGGAATAAACTTCAGAATTTTTTCAGATTTAGTTGGATAAGGATTTCTATTTGGACTAAGCACCCTGGTGAAGATATCTTCTTCCCAAACCATATTATACAGGAATTCGTAGAACAATTTTGAAGATGTGTACATTACAAAACAGATGAGCAGGTGAGGTATGGGGAAATTAACTCACTGACCAATTGCATTCAAAACTATACCTATGACAATTGGATAGTACCTTGTCTGATGAAATAATATGCACAGCAGGAGGTATGCAGCATGTAGTATTAAAAGAGAAAGGCAGCCCGAGGCGGGCAGATCACGAGGTCAGGAGATTGAGACCATCCTGGCCAACATGGTGAAACCCCACCTCTACTAACTGGTGGCGCGCGCCTATAGTCCCAGCTACTCGGGAGGCTGAGGCAGGGGAATAGCTTGAACCCGGGAGGCGGAGGTTGCAGTGACCCGAGATCGCACCACCGCACTCCAGCCTGGCCACAGAGGAAGACTCCATCAACAACAACAACAACAACACGCCCAGCTGCTACTTATTTCCAGATGAAAATAATAACACCAAACGAACAATAAAAGTTATCAGGAACAAGGTATGTAACTTATTAACTTCTTTAATCTTCTAATGCCCCTATGAGTTATAAATATTATTGTCTCTATCTTTCATATGAAGAAATTCAATTTGGGGAGGTTAAAACACTTGGTATATAAATTAATTTCTGTCAAGATCATTAATGTTAATGCTCTCAAGCATTGCATTTTACTGTTTTTATTTTATCAAAAGAAAAAAATATTACTCTGTATTCATCACTGTGTGAAAATTAATATGTCCAAAGATACACTTTCTAAGAGGCAAAGCTGATAAGTTTTCTCAGTAAATGAATAAATGTCCTAACATTTCTCAGAACAAAAATATATATATATATGCACAATGGAAATTTGACTTTTACATTAGCTTACGCCCAATAACTATTTGTAGGATGATTCATGCTATTGCACCAATGAAATATTTGCAACTCTTTGTGTAATAATCTTTGCAGAAAAAAATCAAGATTGCCCTTGACTTATTTTAGGAAGGTGTCTGTAGACTCTTGACATTGAAATTTTGCTGAAAATATTACTGCAGGGGACAACAGAGACACACAAATCTACTTTCTCAGTATACACAGAAAAAACCTTCTAGGCAGAGTGTTCAGTTCAGCACATTCATTACCTTTTAATTGCTTCTAAATTGCATAGTGACCTGTTGCATGAATAGCAAAATCTATCTAACTGAAACAAGCATAGTTCGGGCATGTGTGCTGTGAAAAGCTTTTTCATCAATTGGTATGTGTGTTCATTCGGGCATGCTTGTTCAGCTGTACCTATTATAAAACCAGGTAAAGACCTAGTCAAAATAAAAAGGTAAATACATTGTTAAGAAAACAGCTACATATTAAAAACACACAAATTTCATCCAACCATTTGTTACGTTATACATGGTTAAATAAGGAGCGTGTTAATAACTGAAAACTTATAACTGTTAAATATGATTACAATACCAGACTTTTCATATGTCAGAAGAAAAAGCATGGTAAATGACTGTAATGTTGAGCATTGTATTTAAGAATCTAAGCTATAAAGAAAAAATCCGCTAGGAGAAAAGATAAGTTTGAAAATTTTATTCTGGGCCACCATAAATGCAATGCCATAAAAAATAAACTATTGCACCAACCACTGTGAGCAATGAGGTATAAAAATTATAACACCCCTAGAAGATTTACTCAAAGCTATTTCACAGTCCCTCATAGACTATACACACATCATCCTCCCTTCAAAAAAGTGCAATCCTAAAGCTCATGCTTCTGCACTTTCAAAGAAAAATTCCATAATTAAGAAATTTAAGTAGTGCTTTCAATTCACCTTACCAATTTACATTTCTTTCCTATATCCATTTTCATAGTTTAGTAAAATAAAATATAGACAGAGAGGAAATTAACTTATTGTCTTCTTTGCGTTCTTAAAAAAGTTCCTTGTTGCCAATTAAAATCTTTTTCAAAGAAGCCGTTGGGAACCACGGGAAATGCAACTTCTACCCAAAGGAAGAAAGCGTCACAACCAGTCAGTCTGTGGACAAAAGGCCTACCAAGATTATAGTGGCACTGCGCTGAGTCAGCCATCACGAGTAGCAAGTTCAACAGTGTCATTGGCATTCCATGAAGGAGTGTAAATGAAATATTCTGCTCCCTACACCTAGATGTATGCAGTGATTTAAATGGGAGACTAGAAGAGAAGAAGGATGAATAGTAAGACCAGATCATTTGATTAGAAATGAAGAGCCAGCAAAAGAAACTGCAAGCACTAACACTAATCAGTGAAGTTGGAGGATAATGAAGAGAGAATGAGATTCCAAAGGCCAGGTAAAAAATGGACTTCAAAAAGTTGAGACCTGCTTTCCAGATAGGCCAAATAACACAGACACTGAGAATTAATCTTTGAATTTCACAATATCCAAGTTATTGCTGATCTTCTCAAAAAAACTTCTGATGAAATGTTGAAGGATAGAAAGCATTTAGGAAAGAATAGGAGGAGAAATATAGACAATGAATATAGAGGGCTCTTTCAAGGTATTTTGTTATAAAGAAGAAAGGACATAACACATTGAACGATAGTTGCTGGAGTGTGTGAGTTGAGATAATTTTTAAGATAAGGAATATCATATTACTTGAATAATGGTGAGGATAAATGAGACACGAGAGAGAGAAAATATAACCCTGATGATATAGAGATATTACAGTGACAATTCTATAGGAATATTCTTGGAAAGACTAGAAGTGCTGGAATTCAGTGCACAAATAGAGTCCTTTGTATTTCAAGGCATGTGTAATCCATTAGTTGGAAAATAAGGGATTGTGGATTGTATGAGTACAGAAACAAACAGGAAATAATTGTTGGTAGGAAAGTGTGGAAGTTTTTATTTGATTTCTGTTACTTTTCCCAGTGAAATAGGAAATTAGATCATTAACTAAAAACGATGAGAAAGAATGACATGCTTAATATTTGAGGGGATAAAGTAAGAAATGGTTATCTCAGAGAATGAAGGAGAAAATGTCATAGAAAACTGTAACAGTATTACTGGACTAACTTGAGATTCCACTTAAGTTTAAGTTTCAGTAATTTAAAGTGTGGTTAATCTTTATGGTTGCATTTTTTCTATAGCCATACATAGGTATGAGGGTGCAAATTAAAGGTTGTAAAGCTGGATTTAATCATGGATGAGATTTTTCTTACTGAGTTGAGAAATGTAAGGAAATAGAGGTTGCATGTGTGGGAATAATTGAAATAGTGGACTATTGAATCTAAGATGGGGAGTGAGGGAAGGAAGAACATGAAGATTGACAGAAAGTTTTAAAAAATGGTTGGTTAAGAACATAAGAGTAAGTCGCTTTTATATCAGATAATTGTGGGAGTTAAAGTTCTAAGAATGAGAGCTGGAGAGGTAAGAGGGGTTGCCAGAGGCTAGAAAGCTTGAATATAAGATTATGGACTGGAGAGTGATTGAGAATATTGATGTCTAGATCATGACCATTGGAGTAAGTCACTAAAATGTTGTTAAGAAAAAGATCATTACAGAAAAGGAGGTCAAGAAAATAAAAGATCATGGAGGCACTAATTAAGTGGCCATAAAACCTCCAGGAATTATGACAGGAATAAATGAAAACAAGAGTGAAAGTGAGCTCAATGTGGAATTGGTGTTTAAAATGGTGGACTCCGGAGGCAGGCTGGGCTCTCAAAGCTCAAATGTAGTTTCCAAATGAACCTGTAGAATTTGAATAAATTACTAAAAGTTCTCTTTTCCCATATATAAAATTGAAGTAATAGTAATAATAAATAATAATATCATTATTAATTAGAAAATAATAATGACACTAAGACCTCATTTGAGCATTAAATAAGTAAACATTATGTCTGTAAAAAGCTCCATAAGGAATTATTTTAGCAGTTCTCTCTTGTCTAACATTATCTTTTTCCTACACTATTATTAGCTTCAATACATGTTTTTATTTCTCCTATTTAAAAAGCAAACTGTTCCCCTTTGGCCCACATACGACTTTATCATTATTTTTATTTCTAGTCCATCTGTATTTGTTTGTCATAGCTTAGATTACTTTCGTTTCTTATTGAGGCAAAATTCCTAGCAGATCGTCTATATTTATTGTCTCCAAATAATTTGTCTTTTCTTTTTAAAACCCACTTCAAATAAAGTTTTTTCCCCTTGAAACTGCTTTTGTCAAGGTCATCAATATTCTTTATGTTTCTAAATCAATGACAAAGTTTTCATCATTGTTACCTAGAAAGAGCACTTAATTCTGCTCATTAATCCTTAATCCTATTCATTCTCTTCTTGAAATATTTTCACATTTGGTGTCTTAGACACCACATTCTATTTATCTTCTCCTCATTTTGGTGCTCATTCTCATGATCTTTACTCCTTAACCTATAAATATTGGGGTGCCCCAGAATTCAGCCTGTGTTCCTCTTCCCTTCCCTATTTATCCTTACATCATTTGTGATCTGTTCTAGCCACGTTTTATTTATTTATTTATTTATTTATTTATTTATTTATTTATTTATTATGCTTTAAGTTCTGAGATACATGTGCAGAACATACAGGTTTGTTACATAGATATATACGTTCCGTGGTGGTTTGCTGCACCCATCAACCTGTCACCTACATTAGGTATTTCTCCTAATGCTATCCCTCCCTCAGCCCCCACCCCATGACAAGCCCCAGTGTGAGATGTTCCCTCCCTATGTCCATGTGTTCTCATTGTTCAATTCCCACTTATGAATGAGAACATGTGGTACTTGGGTTTCTGTTCCTGTGTTAGTTTACTGAGGATGGTGGTTTCCAGCTTCATCCATGTCCCTGCAAAACACATGGACTCATCCTTTTTAATGGCTGCATAGTATTCCATGGTGTATATGAGCTACATTTTCTTTATCCAGTCTATCATTGATAAGTATTTGGGTTGAGTCCAAGCTTTTGCTATTGTGAATAGTGCTGCAACAAACATACGTGTGCATGTGTCTTTATAGTAGAATGATTTATAATCCTGTAGGTATATACCCAGGAATGGGATTGCTGGGTCAAATGCATTTCTGATTCTAGATCCTTGAGGAATTGCCACACTGTCTTCCACAATGATTGAACTAATTTACACTCCCACCAACAGTGTAAGAGCGTTACTATTTCTCCATATCCTCTTCAGCATCTGTTGTTTCCTGACGTTTTAATGATCAACATTCTAACTGGTGTGAGATGGTATCTCATTGTGGTTTTGATTTGTATTTCTGTAATGACCAGTGATGATGAGCTTTTTTTCATAAGGTTTTTGGCTGCATAAATGTCTTCTTTTGTGAAGTATCTATTCATACCCTCTACCCACTTTTCGATGGGTTGTTTTTTTCTTGTAAATTTGTTTAAGTTCCTTATAGATTCTGGATATCAGCCCTTTGTCAGATGGATAGATTGCAAAAAAATTTCTCCCATTCTGTACATTGCCTGTTCACTCTGATGATGGTTACTTTTGCTGTGCAGAAGCTCTTTAGTTTAATTAGATCCCATTTGTCAATTTTGGCTTTTGTTGTCATTGCTTTGGGTGTTTTAGTTGTGAAGTCTTTGCCCATGCCTATGTCCTGAATGATATTGCCTAGGTTTTCTTCTAGGGTTTTTATGGTTTTAGGTCTTATGTTTAAGTCTTTAACCGATCTTGAGTTAATTTTTGTATAAAGTGTAAGGAAGGCATCCAGTTTCAGTTTTCTACATATGGCTAGCCAGTTTTCCCAACACCATTTATTAAATAGGGAATCCTTTACCCATTGCTTGTATTTATCATGAGTTAACTCCCATTCACAATTGGCACAAAGAGAATAAAATAACTAGGAATACAACTTACAAGAGATGTGAAGGACCTCTTCAAGGAGAGCTACAAACCACTGAGCAAGAAAATAAGAGAGGACAAAAAGAAATGGAAAAACATTCCATGCTCATGGATAGCAAGAATCAATATCACAAAAATGGCCATACTGCCCAAAGTAATTTGTAGATTAAATGCTATCCCCATCAAGCTAACATTTACTTTCTTCACAGAATTAGAAAAAAACTGCTTTAAATTTCATATGGAACCAAAAAAAGCCCACATAGCCAAGACAATCCTTATCAAAAAGAACAAAGCTGGAGTCATCATGCTACCTGACTTCAAACTATACTACAAGGCTACAGTAACCAAAATATCATGGTACTGGTACCAAAATAGACATATAGGACAATGAAACAGAACTGAGACCTCAGAAATAATGCCACACATCTATACCCATCTGATCTTTGACTAGCCACATGTTTTAAAATATTGGTATAGGTTAGTGACTCTTCTATTTATGTCTGTTTTCCAGTTCCCAATATTGATTTGGAATTTATATAATAAATTCTCTTCTCAAAACTTTCAGCATCTGCTGTTTTCCCCCATCTCACTTAATGGTAAATCCATTCTTTAAGTGGCTGAAGCCAAAAATCTTAAAATCATCTTTGATTCCTTTACTTTCTGACACTCTATCTCCAAACCAATATCAAGCCTTGTTGGATTTACATTATAAATATTCCCCAAACTGGCTTCTCCCAGCTATGAAAAAGTAGCTTATATCATAAAATAACCTTTCCAATAATAACAACTTAATAGATGATGGCTTCCAATAATAACAACTAAAAACATAATAAAAAACAGAATGTACACACACACAAACAAACATACACAAGTAGGCTTCACAGCAAACTAAGTCAGCTGGAATCTGAGAGAGAAGCTAAGATTCCCCCAAAAAAGGAAACGTTATATTGCATTATTTATCTTGAGGAATCTGCAAGTTTGTAAACATAAAAAAGCCAATTTGCAGTTCCTATGTGATCTTCACTCATTGCCATAATGGTCTCATCTACTATTCTTTTTTACATTTTCTTGCCTTATAGTCCTGACTGGCACATGTACATGTCATGCATACTTTACTTTTGTGTTTTTAATTTAATAGATACATAATAATTGCACATATCTTTTAGGTACATGTGATATTTTCATACAAGCATACACTACGTAATTATCAGATTTGGGTACTTGGGCTATTCACAATAATGATTATTTTGTTGTCTTGGGAATATTCCATATCTACTCTTCCACTTATTTTGAAATTTATAATAAATTATTGATAACCACAATTGCCCTATTTTACCACTCTAGATCACCAGACTCCTATTTCTTACCATATACAAAAATCAAATCAAAGTGGATTAAAGTCTTAAATTTAAGATGTATAACCTTCAAAAATACTAGAGATAAACATTCAGGAATTGTTTTAAGACATTAGTTTGAGAAAGATTTCTTGAGTAAGACCTCAAAAGCATGGGAAAACAAATCAAAATGGACAAATGGAATCACACCACACTAAACAGCTTCTGCATAGCAAAGGAAACAATCAAACAGGAGAAGAGGACATCTACAAAACCCAAAATAGTAGATAATATTTGCAAAGTATTCAACTGACAAGAGATGAATAACAGAATAGGAAACTCAACTCAACAGCAATGTATCTATCTATCATCTATCTGCCTATCTATCTAAATTCTAATTAAATATTGATGAGCAAAACATCTGAATAAACATTTCTCAAAAGATGACATACAAATGGCCAATGGGCATATGAAAATATGCTTACCATCACTAATCATCTGGGAAACACAATTCAAAACTATATTGACATTATCACTCCACCCCAGTTAAAATGGCTACAATCAAAAGGACAGAAACTAACAAATGATGGTGAGAATGCAAAAAAAGAGGAACACTCAGACATTTTTGTTGGAAATGCTAATTTGTACAGCGACCATGGAAAACAGTATTGATGTCCCTCAAAAAACTATGAATAGAACTACCTTAGGATAGGGCAATTCAACTAGTCATATATCTAAAAGAAAGAAAATTAGGATATTGGAGAGATATCTGTACTCTCATGTTTACTGCATCATTATTCACAATAGCCAAGATATAAAATCAACCTAAGTGTTCATCAATGAATTAACGGATAAAGAAAATGTGGTATGGGTATATATATAAAGAAATATTATCTAGCCATCAAAAAGAATAAAATCCTGTCATTTGCAGTATGGAAATGGAGGACATTATGTTAAATGAAATAAGACAGGCTGGGGTGGTTTTAAGATGGCTGAATAGGAACAGCTCCAGTCTGCAGCTCCCAGGGTGAGCCACACAGAAGACATGTGATCTGCATTTCCAACTGAGGTACCAGGTTCATCCCATTGAGATTGGTTGGACAGTGGGTGTAGCCCACAGAATGTGAGCTGAAGCAGGGCATCGCCTAACCTGGGAAGCACAAGAGGTTGGGGAATTCCCTTTCTTAGCCAAGGGAAGCCATGACAGATGGTACCTGGAAAATCAGGACACTTCCACCCTAATACTGCACTTTTCCAACAGTCTTAGTAAATGGCATACCAGGAGATTATATCTTCTGTCTGGCTCAGCGGGTCCCACGTCCAGGGAGCCTTGCTCACTGCTAGCACAGCAGTCCAAGATCTAACTGCAAGGTGGCAACGAGGCTGAGGGAGGGCTGTCCACCATTGCTGAGGCTTAACTAGGTAAACAAAGTGGCCAGGAAGCTCGAACTGGGTGGAGCCCACCACAGCTCAGCGAGGCCTGCCTGCCTCTGTAGACTCCACCTCTGGGGGCAGGGCATGGCTGAACAAAAGGCAGCAGAAACTTCTGCAGACATAAACGTCCCTGTCTGCCAGCTTTGAAGAGAGCAGTGGTTCTCCCAGCATGGAGGTTGAGATCTGAGAATGGACAGACTGCCTCCTCAAGTGGGTCCCTGACCTCTGAGTAACCTAACTGGGAGGCACCTCCCTGTAGGGGCCGACTGACACCTCACACAGCTGGGTGCCCCTCTGAGATGAAGCTTCCAGAGGAAGGATCAGGCAGCCACATTTGCTGTTCTGCAATATTTGCTGTTCTGTAGCCTCTGCTGGTGATACCCAGTCAAACAGGGTCTGGAGTGGACCTCCAGCAAACTCCAACAGACCTGCAGCTGAAGGTCCTGACTGTTGGAAGGAAAACTAACAAACAGAAAGAAATAGCATCAACATCAACAAAAAGGACATCCACACCAAAACCCCATCTGTAGGTCACCATCATCAAAGACCAAAGGTAGGTAAAACCACAAAGATGGGGAGAAAACAGAGCAGAAAAGCTGAACATTCTAAAAACCTGAGCGTCTCTTCTCCTCCAAAGGATTGCAGCTCCCTGCCGGCAATGGAACAAAGCTGGACAGAGAATGACTTTGATGAGTTGACAGAAGTAGGCTTCAGAAGATTGGTAATAACAAACTTCTCCGAGCTAAAGGAGGAAGTTTGAACCCATTGCAAGGAAGCTAAGAACCTTGAAAAAAGATTGGACAAATGGCTAACTAGAATAAACAGTGTAGAGAAGACCTTAAATGACCTGATGGAGCAGAAAACCATGGCATGAGAACTATCTGATGCAGGCACAAGCTTCAGTAGCCAATTCAAACAAGTAGAAGAAAGGGTATCAGTGATTGAAATTCAAATGAATGAAATGAAGAGAGAAGAGAAGTTTAGAGAAAAAAGAGTAAAAAGAAATGAACAAAGCCTCCAAGAAATATGGGACAATGTGAAAAGACCAAATCTACATTTGATTGGTGTACTTGAAAGTGATGGGGAGGCCGGGCGCAGTGGCTCAGGCCTGTAATCCCAGCACTTTGGGAGGCCAAGGCGGGCAGATCACGAGGTCAGGAGATCGAGACCATCCTGGATAACGCGTTATAACCCCGTCTCTACTAAAAATACAAAAAAATAGCCAGGCATGGTGGCGGGCGCCTGTAGTCCCAGCTACTCAGGAGGCTGAGGCAGGAGAATGGCCTGAACCTGGGAGGCGGAGCTTGCAGTAAGCCGAGATGGCGCCACTGCACTCCAGTCTCTGGGCGACAGAGCAAGACTCCATCTCAAAAAAACAAAAAAAAAAAAAGAAAGAAAGTGACGGGGAGAATGGCACCAAGCTGGAAAACACTCTTCAGGATGTTATTCAAGAGAACTTCCCCAACCTAGCAAGGGAGGCCAACATTCAAATTCAGGAAATACAGAGAACACCACAAAGATACTCCTTGGGAAGAGCAACCCCAAGACACATAATTGTCAGATTCATCAAGGTTGAAATGAAGGAAAAAATGTTAATGGCAGCCAGAGAGAAAGGGCAGATTATGCACAAAGGAAAGCCCATCAGACTAACAGCTGATCTCTTGGCAGAAACTCTACAAGCCAGAAGAGAGTGGGGGCCAATATTCAACATTCTTAAAGAAAAGAATTTTCAACCCAGAATTTCATATCCAGCCAAACTAAGCTTCATAAGTGAAGGAGAAATAAAATCCTTTACAGACAAAAAAATGCTGAGACATTTTGTCACCACCGGGCCTGCCTTACAAGAGCTCCTGAAGGAAGCACTGAACATGGAAAGGAACAACCAGTACCAGCCAGTGCAAAAATATGCCAAATTGTAAAGACCATCAATGCGAGGAAGAAACTGCATCAACTAATGAGCAAAATAACCAGCTAACATCATAACAACAGAATCAAATTCACACATAACAATATTAACCATAAATGTAAATGGGCTAAATGCCCCCATTAAAAGACACAGACAGGCAAATTTGATAAAGAGTCAAGACCCATCAGTGTGCTGTATTCAGGAGACGCATCTCACATGCAGAGACATACATAGGCTCAAAATAAAGGGATGGAGGAAGATCTACCAACCAAATGGAAAACAAAACAAAAAAAAAGCAGGGCTGGCAATACTAGTCTCTGATAAAACAGACTTTAAACCAACAAAGATCAAAAGAGACAAAGAAGGCCATTACATAATGGTAAAGGGATCAATTCAACAAGAAGAGCTAACTATGCTAAATATATATGCACCCAATACAGGAGCACCCAAATTAATAAAGCAAGTCCTCAGAGACCTACAAAGAGACTTAGACTCCCACACAATAATAATGGGAGACTTTAACACCCCACTGTCAATATTAGACAGATCAACAAGATAGAAACTTAACAAGGATATCCAGGACTTGAAGTCAGCTCTGCACCAAGCGGACCTAATAGACATCTACAGAACTCTCCACCCCAAATCAACAGAACATACATTCTTCTCAGTACCACATTGCACTTATTCCAAAATTGACCACATAGTTGGAAGTAAAGCACTCCTCAGCAAATGGAAAAGGACAGAAATTATAACAAAGTGTCTCTCAGACCACAATGCAATCAAATTGGAACTCAAGATTAAGAAACTTACTCAAAACCACACAACTACATGGAAACTGAACAACCTGCTCCTGAATGACTACTGGGTAAATAACAAAATGAAGGCAGAAATAAAGATGTTCTTTGAAACCAATGAGAACAAAGACACAAAGTACCAGAATCTCTGAGACACATTTAAAGCAGTGTGTAGAGGGAA
This sequence comes from Homo sapiens, assembly GCF_000001405.40. NCBI lineage: Eukaryota > Metazoa > Chordata > Mammalia > Primates > Hominidae > Homo > Homo sapiens. The sequence continues at coordinate 104,335,158 of NC_000001.11, read as the reverse complement.
ATTTATAGCACTAAATTCCCACAAGAGAAAGCAGGAAAGATCTAAAATCAACAACCTAACTTCATAATTAAAAGAACTAGAGAAGCAAGAGCAAACACATTCAAAAGCTAGCAGAAAGCAAGAAACAACTAAGATCAGAGCAGAACTGAAGGAGACAGAGACACGAAAAACACTTTAAAAAAATCAATTAATCCAGGAGCCGGTTTTTTGAAAAGATCAACAAAATAGATAGACCCCTAGCAAGACTAATAAAGAAGAAAAGAGAGAAGAATCAAATAGATGCAATAAAAAATGATAAAGGGGATATCACCACCAATCCCACAGGAATACAAACTACCATCAGAGAATAATGTAAACACCTCTATGCAAATAAACTAGAAAATGTAGAAGAAACGGATGAATTCGTGGACACATAACCCTCCCAAGACTAAACCAGGAAGAAGTTGAATCCCTGAATAGACCAATAACAGGCTCTGAAATTGAGGCAATAATTAATAGGCTACCAACCAAGAAAAGCCCAGGACCAGATAGATTCACAGACAAATTCTACTAGAGGTACAAAGAGCAGCTGGTACCATTCCTTCTGAAACTATTCTAATCAATAGAAAAAGAGAGAATCCTCCCTAACTCATTTTATGAGGACAGCATCATTCTGATACCAAACCCTGACAGAGATACAGCAAAAAAAAAAAAGGAATTTTAGACCAATATCCCTGATGAACATCAATGTGAAAATCCTCAATAAAATACTGGCAAACTGAATCCAGCAGCACATCAAAAAGCTTATCCACCACAATCACGTTGGCTTCATCCCTGGGATGCAAGGCTGGTTCAACATACATAAATCAATAAACGTAATCCATCATATAAACAGAACCAAAGACAAAAACCATATGATTATCTCAATAGATACAGAGAAGACCTTTGACAAAATTCAGCAGCCCTTCATGCTAAAAACTCTCAATAAACAAGCTATTGATGGAATGTATCCCAAAATAATAAGAGCTATTTATGAAAAACCCACAGCCAACATCAAACTGAATGGGAAAAACTGGAAGAATTCCCTTTGAAAACTGCCACAAGACAGGGATGCCCTCTCTCACCACTCCTATTCAACATAGTGTTGGAAGTTCTGGCCGGGGCAGTCAGGCAGGAGAAAGAAATAAAAGGTATTCAATTAGGAAAAAATGAAGTCAAATTGTCCCTGTTTGCAGATGACATGATTGTATATTTAGAAAACCCCATCCTCTCAGCCCAAAGTCTCCTTAAGCTGATAAGCAAATTCAGCAAACTCTCAGGATACAAAATCAATGTGCAAAAATCAAAAGCATTCCTATGCAGCAATAACAGACAAACAGAGAGCAAATCATGAGTGAACTCCCATTCACAATTGTTTCAAAGAGAATAAAATACCTAGGAATCCAACTTAAAAGGGATGTGAAAGACCTCTTCAAGGAGAACTACAAACCACTGCTCAACAAAATAGAACAGGACACAAACAAATGGAAGAACATTCTATGCTCATGGATAGGAAGAATTAATATTGTGAAAATGGCCATACTGCCCAAGGTAATTTATAGATTCAGTGCCATCCCCTTCAAGCTACGGATGACTTTCTTCACAGAATTGGAAAAAAACTACTTTAAAGTTCATATGGAACCAAAAAAGAGCCTGCATTGCCGAGACAATCCTAAGCAAAAAGAACAAAGCTGGAGGCATCACACTACCTTACTTCAAACTATACTACAAGGCTAAAGTAACCAAAACATCATGGTACTGGTACCAAAACAGAGATACAGACCAGTGGAACAGAACAGAGCCCTCAGAAATAATACCACACATCAACAACCATCTGATCTTTGGCAAACGTGACAAAAACAAGAAATGGGGAAAGATTCCCTATTTACTAAATGGTGCTGGGAAAACTGGCTAGCTATATGTAGAAAGCTGAAACTGGATCCCTTCCTTACACCTAATACAAAAATTAATTCAAGATGAATTAAAGTCTTAAATGTTTGACCTAAAACTCTAAAAAACCCTGGAAGAAAACCTAGGCATTACCATTCAGGACATAGGCATGGGCAAGGACTTCATGACTAAAACACCAAAAGTAATGGCAACAAAAGCCAAAATTGACAAATGGGATCTAATTAACCTAAAGAGCTTCTGCACAGCAAAAGAAACTACCAACAGAGTGAACAGGCAACCTACAGAATGGGAGAAAATTTTTGCAATCTACCCATCTGACAAAGGGCTAATATCCAGAATCTACAAATAACTTAAACAAATTTACTAGAAAAAAATTTAAAAAAAAATCAAAAAAGTGGGCGAAGGATATGAACCGACACTTCTCAAAAGAAGACATTTATGCAGTCAACAGACACATGAAAAAAATGCTCATCATCACTAGCCATCAGAGAAATGCAAATCAAAACCACAATGAGATACCATCTCATACCAGTTAGAATGGTGATCATTAAAAAGTCAGGAAACAGCAGATGCTGGAGAGGATGTGGAGAAATAAGAACACTTTTACACTGTTGGTGGGGGTGTAAACTAGTTCAACCATTGTGGAAGACAGTGTGGCGATTTCTCAAGGATCTAGACCTGGAAATACCATTTGACCCAGCGATCCCATTACTGGCTATATATCTGAAGGATTGTAAATCATGCTACTAAAAAGACACATGCACACGTATGTTTATTGTGGCACTATTCACAATAGCAAAGACTGGGAACCACCCCAAATATCCATCAGTGATAGACTGGATTAAGAAAATGTGGCACATATACACCATGGAATACTATGCAGCCATAAAAAAGGATGAGTTCATGTCTTTTGTAGGGACATGGATGAAGCTGGAAACCATCATTCTGAGTAAACTCTCATAAGGACAGAAAACCAAACACTGCATGTTCTTACTCATAGGTGGGAATTGAACAATGAAAACACTTGGACACAGGGTGTGGAACATCACACACTGGGGTCTGTCGTGGCGTGGGGAGTGAGGGAGGGATAGCAGTAGGAGAAATACCTAACGTTAAATGATGAGTTAATGGGTTCAGCACACCAACATGGCACATGTATACATATGTAACAAACCCGCAGGTTGTGCACATGTACCCTAAAACTTAAAGTATAATAATAAATAAATAAATAAATAAATAAATAAATAAATAAAAGTCACAGAAAGAGAAATGTTGCAAGTATTCATTCACATATGGGAGCTAAAACACTTGATCTCATGGAGGTAGTAAATAAAATGGTGGTTACCAGAAGCTGGGAAGTGTAGTGGAAAGTAGGTAATAAAGAGGAATAGTTTATTGGGTACAAAATATAGTTAGATAGAATCCAGGCACACTTAAGCTTTACTGTCTTGGCACTGGCTTTGGCTTTACCTGGAATATTAATCCTTCATCTACATGGATGGCTCAGGTCTACATCTCTTTCAAGGGGCTGAAGAAACAAACAGAAAACAGCAGCTCAGAATTTGGGGGAATTTCATCAGTTTAAGGAAGGGAAGCAAAAATGTGTTTAAGGCCTACCAATAAGAGACATTTGGAAACACCACTGATTTTTATTTGAGAATCCTAAAGTCCTCTAAAAAGAAAGTCACATTGAAAACAGACAAATCCCAGGATGTCTGAAATCCAGTCTCCAGTCATATTAAATCCTGACTGGATGAAGATGATCTGCTTTTCTCTAACTGCATAACAGAAACAAACAAACCAACAGAAATTATGTTATTTCTGGAGGAAGATAACATTATGGTAAATCTAAATTTTTCCACCACAATGTCTAGCATGTAGTAAAAACTTCCCAGGCATGAAACATACACATACAAACACACAGAAGAAAAATGACAACGAACCAACCAAAAAACAGAAACAAATGACAAAATCCAAATGAATCAAATAGGTTTTCCAGTGATTCGAGTATTTGAATTATCACAGTTAGATTTTAAAATGATTATGATTGTGACTTTATCTTCAATAAAATAGATGACAGGATAGAGAAACTCGCCAGAGAATAAAAACTGTACTGAAAAATAAAATGCAATATTCTGGAACAAAAAATACAATAATTGCAGTAAACAACTAAAAAATATAGATTTATCCGTACATATGACACAGTAAAATTTAGCATTTGTAAACTAGTCTTTAGTTCAGTATAAATATGTAATGTGAAACACAGTAAGAAAAAGAAGTATGAGAAACAAGTAATATGTGGGATAAGGGCAAATGTTGTAACGTATGTATGTGTAATTTCAGTCTTTGAAGGGGATAAGAGAAAGGCAGGAGCAATATTAGAAAAGAAACTAGGAATTGTCACAATTGACAAAACTTCATAAAAAGATAAAACTACAAATTAAGAAAGCTCTATAAAAACAAGAAATGGATATAAAGAGATTTCCACTCCTGGATATATCAGTAAAACTGCTAAAAATGACAAAGTTAAAAATTAAAAGCAGCCAAAGAAAAATCAAGGAATAATACTGTTTAATAAGAAGAGTAAAACTAGAGGTTGTTTAATAGAAACAATGGAAATCAAAAGAAAGTAGAGTGAGTCCTGAAAGAAAATACCTGACAACTTAGCTTCTAAGTTTCTTTAAAATTATTCCTCAAAAATGATAACTATGTAAAGATATTTGTAGATCTAAAAAACCCAAAAGAGTATTCTGACAACAGACTTAATAGAAATATCTAAGGGAATTCTTAAACAAAAGGAATATTATCCCAGGTGAAAATATGGCAATGCAGGAAGGGAGGAAGAGTACTGGAAAGAAGACACAAATAAGAAGTAACATTGCCCGGGCACGGTGGCTCACGCCTGTATCCCAACACTTTGGGAGGCTGAGGCAGGCAGATCACTTAAAGTCAGGAGTTCGAGACCAGCTTGGCCGATATGGCAAAACCCTGTTTCTACTGATAATACAAAAATTCACTGGGCGTGGTGTCAGGCATCTGTAATCCCAGCTACTCAGGAGGCTGAGGCTAAAGAATGGCTTGAACCCCAGAAGCGGAAGTTGCAGTGCACCAAGATCAAGCCACTGCACTGCAGCCTGGGAGACAGAGTGAAACTGTGTCCAAAAAAAAAAAAAAAAGAACATTGATTAAAACAATAATAATGTTTTGAAAGTTTAAAATATATGTAAAATAAAATACATAAATACATTAGACAAATAATAGGAGGTAATATATGGAATTAAATAGTTCTAAGTCCTTGTTCTAAGTCTGAGAAGCAACAACACTGCTAATTAATAGTAGACTTTAATAAACTAAAGATGTATATTGTAATCTCCACTGAAATTAATAAAAATAATTTAAAACATATAACCAGTCAGCTAATTAAAGTGTAAAATGGAATGATAGTTTCTGAATGATAAAAATCTATTCAGAATTTAACTATCCCTTATTTATTCCCCTGCTACTACCTAGGCTTGATTCATGAACAGCTCTCACCTAGACTACCACGTTTTTATGTCTATGTTGTTACTCTTTTCTATCCCATAGTATTCTCGATACAGCAATCACTAAATTTCTACTAAAATATGTCAGCTCATCACATTGCTCTGTTCAAAACTTCCAAATGCATTTCCTTGCTTACAGAGTAAAAGCCAAAGTCATTGCAATGACCTGAACGCCCTATGTGGTTTTCGCTCATGACATCAGTGGTCTCGACTACTATCCTCTTCACACCCTTGCTGTCTCAGAGGCCTGAATGACTCAAGTATATGTCAGGTACATTTTAGCTGTAGATTGTGCTGGCTTTGGCTTTGGCTCTGCCAAAGTTACAGGGCCAAATCATTTTGTGATAGACTATCCAACATATCTCCTTGTTGATTATTCTCAATACACATCTGCATAGGCCTGAATAAGCCCTTCTGTACATAAATTTGTTTGATTATTTTACAGTAAATGTTTCTCAAACTTATTTGAATACATCATTTTCTTCCAACACTTATTCTTGGAACTAGCATTCAGTAGAGCATACTTCAGGAAACATTGATGCAAAATTTATCAGGGTTGCTATAAATCTGATAGATTTGGAATCTATGAGGAAAAAATAAAATCTTAAAGAAATTATGAATGATGTTAGGAACAATCTTTCAGACCAATTAGGTAGACCTTGCTTTATGCAGGGAGATTGTGTCTCGATTCTCTGTCCGTTCAGCATAAATGATTTTCATGGGACATTAATACTGACTCAATCATATATTGTGCTCTAAATTTTCTGATTTTTTTTACCCATGTGAGGGTATTATATTAGATTTATATAAGATTGCTGGATCACGTATATGAAAATTATTTCTTTTACATCCCACAAAGAAATAGGAATAAAGATCCTGATGTGTGTCCCTGCCCAAATCTCACATTGAAATGTAATCCCCAATGTTGAAGAAGGTGGGGCCTGCTGGAAGTTGATATATAAATATCCCTCTATTTACATATATGAATTGGTCAGTTCTATCCTTCCTTCAAGGCTATGTTCAAATATTTCTCAGTTATCAACTGAGGCAATTATGTCTTTCCAAGAATGGTATATATTTAGCAAGATGTGGATACATTTACTTGTCACAACTGAGGAAAAAGGGTGTTCCTGGTATACAGTGGATAGAGGCAAAGCATTCTGTAAAACAATATAATCAACAAGATAGGTTTTTGTATGCCACCCCCCGGCAAAAAAAAAAAAAGTCAGACCCAAATTGTTGATAGTGCCAAGGCTGAAACACTGGACTAAGATAAATTTAAATTTAAAGATTAGTAAAATTATTTTATATTAGAATCACAACAAAAATTAGTTTCTATAGTGCTTTAAAGGCTTCAATGTTGTTTTATATATGCTTTCTCTCATGAGTACAATTTCCTTTTTGAGTTATCTCCACTCCAATTTATCTTTCACAACTTGTCTAGCTATCCGCTGTACAGAACTAATCGCATTTCTTCCTATTGTCTTTTTACTTCATCCTTTTCCATCTGGTATAATGCAACTTCTCTTTAAGATTGAGCTCACCTGCCATGTTGTTATTTATTTTTTCTTAAATTAGAATAAATCACTCTTCCATCATGGTACTGCAGGTAAGAGAGAAATTCCATTATATCATGCCAATTATCAGCATGACACTATTGTCTACAAAATTATAGGATCCTTCAGGAAGGATATATTTGTTGTTCCATCTGATATTATACTCTCAATAAAGCCATTTATAAACAGTAGGAAATATAATTAAACAAAATCCTGCCTTCAATATTCTTAAAAGAGATGTGGATAGCTCAAGATTTGAAGATATGAAGACTGATAAATAAGAATAATTATTCTCACAATGGAATCTATATAACAAGGAAAAGGAATAAATTATAGATACACAACAGAAACATTTATGTGTCTTAAAAATAATGATCAAGGATTTTGTCTTAAATGTCCACATATATTTTTAGTAAAGCAAAAAAAAAAAGGAAAATAATATATCATTTATTTGCATGTATAGTAAAAAATAATTTGAAAAGGAAAAAGTGGCATTAGAGTCAGGAGATTCATCTCCAGGATTAAGCAGGGAATGCGATAAGGATGGAGCATACTGTTAGATATAGTATATTGGCAGTATTTGCATTCTAAATCTGACTGGTGAATTCACAAAAGTTCATTTTACTATTACATTTCAAAACTCACATTATGCTTTGTTTTTAATATTTACTATGTAACAAACATTCTATAAATTACCCACAATTTAAACTTTTAGAGATTCTAGGGACATGGGTTAATGTCATGAGCTGAGTTCCATACATTCAGTTAAAATAGGCCTTCAAAATTAACCTCATCTTGTCTTCAAAATATCTTCCCTGGAACACTTTTATAAAGAAATGTACATGATAAATACAAAAAGTTACAGACCAAATCATTTTGTGACAGACTATCCAACATATGTCCTTGTTGATTATTCTCAATACACATCTGCATAGGCCTGAATAAGCCCTTCTGTACATAAATTTGTTTGATTATTTTACAGTAAATGTTTCTCAAACTTATTTGAATACATCATTTTCTTCCATCACTTATTCTTGGAACTAGCATTCAGCAGAGCATACTTCAGGAAACATTGATGCAAAATTTATCAGGGTTGCTATAAATCTGAATAGATTTGGAATCTATGAGGAAAAAATAAAATCTTAAAGAAATTATGAATGATGTTAGGAACAATCTTTCAGACCAATTAGGTAGACCTTGCTTTATGCAGGGAGATTGTGTCTCGATTCTCTGTCCGTTCAGCATAAATGATTTTCATGGGACATTAATACTGACTCAATCATATATTGTGCTCTAAATTTTCTAATTTTTTTTTACCCATGTGAGGGTATAACATATATTAGATTTATATAAGATTGCTGGATCACATATATGAAAATTATTTCTTTTACATCCCACAAAGAAATAGGAATAAAGATCCTGATGTGTGTCCCTGCCCAAATTTCACATTGAAATGTAATCCCCAATGTTGAAGAAGGTGGGGCCTGCTGGAAGTTGATTGGATCATGCGGGTTATTTCTCATGAACTGTTTAGCACCATCCCCTTGGGACTGTTCTTGCAATAGTGAGTGAATTCTCGTGAGAGCTGGTAGTTTAAAAGTGTGTAGCACCTCCCCACTTCATTCTTTTGCTTCCATTCTGGCCATGTGATGTGTCTGCTCCTGCTTTGTCTTCCACCATGATTGTAAGTTTCCTGAGGCCTCCCCAGAAGTTAAACAGATGCTAGCATTACACCTCCTGTACAGCCTGGAGAACCGTGAGCCAATTAAATGTCTTTTCTTTATAAATTACCCAGTCTCCAGTATTTTTTATAGCAATGTAAGAAGGGACTAACACAGATTGGGAGACACACAGGGTGGATTTTTTTAAGTCAATTTTTACTGTATTTCGGGCTGCCAAATTTTTATCTAGATGTGTTTTCTTCTAACTCTTTTTTTATATGATTCTTTTAACCAAACTACATAATCAAAACTAAATACATAGATTTACTAATACAGAGGTTTTTCTTGAAAAAAATCTTTGTATAAAGCTTACTAAATACATAGATTTTTCTTGAAAGTGAGGTAATGCTACTTCCACGCTAATTTAAATTAGTAGTGGTAATATAGAGATTACAATTTACTCAACAAAGTATATTAGCAATTTGGGATAAGTTTCATAAATAAGGACATGGCATAATTCTGTTAGTTTAATTATTATTTGCTCCAAGAAGAAAAGTAAACATTCTCTAATTTTCCAATTAACCCATAAGAAATTAGATGTTTTATTTCGGTAAGCTCCTTAATACTATTTATATAATTTGTTTAAAACTGGGAAATGCTATCATTCTGTTTTTAATAATTTTAAGGTTATTAGCAAAAAAAACTTGCTCTAAAAATATTTAAAATACAACACTATGAAAATTTCTTATGGCATTTCTAGCATTTAGTTTTATTCAGTTAAAGATATCTGTTTATGTTACTCTGAAAACTTGTGGTTTTAGTACACTTAATGAACAATTTTAATCTTTCTCCTGGAAAACATAGCAGTTCAGCAAAATCTATGTTTCCTTGAATGGTTCTTTAATTTGTTTTCCCGTAGATACATGGGGAAGGACTCAAAGGTCATTAATGCTGGCATTAATATACATTAGTCATTGGAGTAGACCATTTCCCAACTGGGTAACACCACATTTCCCATGGCCACCTAATTAATGACTGTCTAATTGACTCATGTGCAAATCTTACAAGGCAATACTTTACTAAGTAAATTGAACCTGCCATTGCAAAAACTGCAGGGCTGAGGGCATAATTAGCTATACTGAGGCATAGTTGATCTCAGAAGCCCTAGGGATAATCAATAATTAGTTTCATCAGAAATGGTTTTGTTGTTATAACCATGACACCGTGTTTCTGAATTATGGAAGTTTTGATGATTGTTGCTTATTTGGATCAGAATAGGAAAGCTGTAGCTAACTCAGGGTTTATAGCATAATAAATTTTCCAAAGTATCTTGAGATTAAAAACAATCAAAGTAAATGAAGCATCAAGTACTATTCATCTTTCAAAATATTAGTGCTTACAAAAACAAAGAAGGCCAAACTAACAAACATTCTGTATTTATCACATTTAAAGCCATATAGAAACCACATTTCATTTCATAAAACAAGAAAATAAATTAAAAGATGTGATTGGTTGATAAATATTCTAAACTTTGTCTTCCTGGACAATTTGTGGTCCAAAATTTATGATCCTCATCACTTCATTAAGAGTACAAATTCTGAGCACAGAGTCTGTAATCAGTACAATTCATGGGGTTCAATATTTATGGGACTCATTAATTAGCAAGGGGGGCAAAAGTAACTGAACACTCTGATAGTCTAATAATAATTCCCCAACAGGAATTCTAAATAAAGTAAATTCATATAACTCAAAATATATGCTTAGCATATGCTATGTAAATAGATTTTCAAATATAATTTTCTAGCATCACGACCTTATTTTGCTTTAAAAGTAGCGAAAAATGCTAAATTATTGAAGCTATCTTTCTGTTTTAATTCAGATGATACTGAAGGAGCTTTAACTTTCTGCTTCCCAGTTGTAATACAGTATCTTTTGTCCCTTGTGTTTTAAATGAGATGAAATATTCTTCCAATGACATAGTAAGATTTTATCCTAGATTTGAAGTAGATATAACAGTATAGAAAATTCACACAATAATTTTCTTAGTCATGATCATAGACAACTTGATATGAAAGGGAGTAAGCCCTCTGCAGTATAATTTCACCAATATATAGTAACATTTATCAGACTTTTAAAAATCAGTACTGAATAGTGCTAGTGCAGAGGCTTTCAAATTGTGCAACGTGTCAAATTTTTACTGAAATATTAAAATGTGTAATTTATAATACGACAGTATGACTGCTGAGATACATAACTAAACTAATAGGGAATAGGGGAAGAAGGGGAATACAGTTTTTCTGTGTCTCAGAGGACAGTTATATAGCTTGAGGACAAGCTTAAGTCATAATAGTCACAAAAAACATTTCTCAGAAGTGAATTAAATAATTGAGTTTTCAATTACTACAGATCTTTGTTGAAGGGTGTTCCTGTATTAACCTGTCCCATTCACCTGGCTACCTAATATCCTTATGGCCACAAAGTTCTCCAGTCCAACTGGGTTTTTTGGCATGTTTGTCTCTTCATAAACTTAGGAACAATGCAAGAGAATCAGATAGATAGTCTCATACAAATCTACAAACCAAAACCTATGATTTTCTAAAGCATATTTCAATTACTCTTCAAGCACCTGTTTCATTTTTTTTCTTAATCAAAGCTCCCAATGTTATTTGCCCTTTTCAACATAGATATTTAGAGATGGACATCACCTTAGATCCAATGTGGAGATGACCAACAGTCCTCTTGATAGCACTGTTTTTTCATTTGAGATTCACATCCTTATACCCTATTTACAATAACTTGTGAGTAAACACCACAGCAAAGATTTTGATGAGTGATAAAGAAACTTTTATGAGCTCTCTTTTCCTTTAAATAACAAATTTGAACTCTTGCAGAAAAAGCATTGTTGGCTACAACTTTCAAAGTTAACCAAATTTCTAAATCTGTTTATATTCTATGGAAAATGAAAGAAACACATTTTTAAATCAAAATGAGACAAAGGCCATATGAAGACAACACTATGTTGTGTTTAGAATATAGCATTTTTTTGAAGATTAGGCTTTGCATTTTAGCACAGTCTGTACTTTTCCTTTAAACAATTTCTTTCTGCTACCACTCTATTTTGTATCGGAAACTTTGAAAGCTAATTAAAGCCATATTGAATGGTTTGTCCCAAAACTAAACAATGATGAATTTTCAGTGTTTATGTGTTCAAGGTTTAAGTCTCCATGGATAAAATGTTTTATCTCATTAAAAAATACCCTGTTCTAGCCTTTCTTTCTAATGTGGCAGCAATAAACACACTAAGAAAAACACTGAGGAAATAAAATCAGAAATTTAAAATATTAAAAAATAAATTTTCCAATTTTTGTGAAAGATTTTCTAAATTTAAAAGAGCTAAATTTTGGCTAAATATAAACAGGCAGGTAGTTATTATTTTATCTGCCTTTTGGACTCATTGAGTAAGTTGGTATTGTATGAACTTTTTAGAAAAAAATTGATAAATTAAATTTTGTATTCTTCAGTTGCAGCAAAGCAGATTTCCAAATTTCATCTAAACTAAGTAAAATAATGAGACAAATTGTTAAAATCTATAGGTACAGAGTATAAAATAATAATATCACAGCTATAATTTGTTATTAGTCCCCTAAGTTAAGTTATATAATTTAACTAATTCATTCTTCTGGTTTCGGTTTAAGAAACAGAGTGTCTCACATGTTGATCCAAAACATCATGACCATACTTTTCTACCTGGTTTTTTTCCATTTATTCTGTAAATCTCCAAACTTCATTAATTATTGCCCAAGGCACCGCAGTAGTCATTTGAAACTTAAGTCTGGAGTGGTTTAAACCATGTGTCAATTCGTCTCTTGCAACTATTTAGCTCGGGTAGTGTGCAAAGAAAGATAGTCAAGGTGAGTTACAACTCTACTTGTCCCTTGGTATACACAGTCATGAAAGGCTGGCCCTCCAAATATATGGATGTTGAATCCTGTAAATACTGTATTTTTGATCTGCATTTGGCTGAAAAACTCCACAAATAACTGGGCCCGCACAGTTCAAACCCTTGTTGCTCAAGGATCAACTATGCATGTTTTGGAAGTTATCCCTTACTCATCTCCTCTTGCTTTAACCATGGGTTGGGCAATGTCTCAAGTTTTGCCAACAAGTTTCCTAACGGCAAAATTGATTGAAGAGAAAAAGATTGTGGGTCTTTTATTTATTGCTTATGAAAACAATATGTAACCACAAGCATGCAATTAATTACCCTTTGTTAGTCCTTTTTTCCTTTCTCTGTCTCCTTTTTCATTCATTGCTTATCAGCTCCAAACACATAGAAAGAAAGAAAAGAAAGATTTCAAATTTTGTCTCTCTCATACGAACCTTTCAGGCTGCAGGGATCCTGTTTTAGTCATCTTTGTATCTTAAGCACATAGAATAGATCATGTTCATTGCAGGCAATCAGATATGTTTAGAAATTTTATATATAAATTCGAAGTTGTGCTTGATGCTCGTTATAACCTGCATGAAAGTGCTGGGTAAGGAGGGCACACAATACAACAGATTTAATTCCAGCTACATGTGCAGTTAGCCTGTATACATTTGCAATTGCAGTTAGCCTGTGTGTGTGTGTATATATATATGTGTGTGTGTATATATATATGTGTATATATGTATGTGTGTATATATATGTGTGTATATATATATGTGTGTGTGTATATATATATATAATGGCTCACTGCAGTCTCAAACTCCTGGGCTCAAGCCATCCTCTTCATGAGCTGCCCAAAGTGCTGGGATTACAGGTGGGAGCTACCACACGTGTACCTGGATTTTTTAAAAACAAGTGAATTTCTTGTTGACAGCAACTAAATGGTGTTCGTAGAATTTTTTTTTTATGTCAATAGGTTTTGAGAAACAGGTGGTGTTTGGTTACATGAATAAGTTATTTAGTGGTGATTTCTGAGATTTTGGTGCACCCATCACCTGAGCAGTGTATACTGTACCCAGTGTATAGTCTTTTATTCCTCACCTCCATCCCACGCTTTCCCTCAAGTCCCTCAAAACCATTGTATCATTCTTATGCCTTTCCATCCTTATAGCTTAGCTCCTACTTATGAGTGAAAATATATTATGTTTAGTTTTCCATTCTGGAGTTACTTCACTTAGAAAAATGGTCTCCAATTCTATCCAGGATGCTATAAACACCATTATTTTATTCCTTTTTATGGTAGTGCCTAACCAAGGAGGTGAAAGGCCTCTACCAGGAAAACAACAAAACACTACTGAAAGAAACAGATGATACAAGCAAATGGAAACACATCTTACACTCAAGGATGGGTAGAATCAATATTGTGAAAATGACCATACTGCCAAAAGCAATCTACAAATTCAATGCAATTCCCATCAAAATGCCACCATCATTCTTCACATAACTAAAAAAAAAAAAAACCCTAAAACTCATATGAAACCAAAAAGGAACCCACACAGCCAAAGCAAGACTAAGCAAAAGGAACAAATCTGGAGGCATCACATTACCCAACTTCAAACTATACTATAAGGCCATAGTCACTGAAACAGTGTGGTACTGGTATAAAAATAGGTACATAGACCAATGGAACAGAATAGAGAACAGAAATAAATCCAAATGCTTAAAGTGAACTGAGCATTTACAAACCAAACCAAAACATAAAGTGGGGGGAAAAAGCCCTATTCAACAAATGGTGCTAGGGTAACTGGCAAGCCACATATAAAAAAATGAAACTGAATCCTCAACTTTCCCCTTAAATGAAAATCAACTTAAGATGTATCAAAGTCTTAAATCTAAGAACTGAAACCATAAAAACTTTAGACATTGGATTAGACAAAGATTTTGTGACCAAGAACCCAAAAGCAAATGCAACTAAAACAAAGATAAATAAGTGGGACTTAATTAAGCTAAAAAGCTTCTGCATGGCGATAGATACAATCAGCAGAGTAAACAAACAAACCACAGAAGTGGAGAAAATCTTCACCTGACAAATGGCTAATATCCAGAATCTGCAAGGAACTCAAGCATATCAAGAAAAAAAAAATCTCATCAAAAAGTGGGCTAAGGACATGACTAGACAATTCTCAAAAAAGATATACAAACAACCAACAAACATAGGAAAAAAATGCTCAACATCTCTAATGATCAGGGAAATGCAAATCAAAACCACAGTGTGATACCACCTTACTCCTGCAAGAATAGACATAACCAAGAAATCAGAAAATAATAGATGTTGGCATGATGTGGTGAAAAGGGAACACTTTTACCCTGCTGGAGGCAATGTAAACTAGTACAACCACTATGAAAAACAGTGTGGAGGTTCCTTGAAGAACTAAAAGTATATCTACCATTTGATCCAGAAATCCCACTACTGAGTATCTCCCCAGAGGAAAAAGAAGTCCTTAAACGAAAAATATATCACACATGAATGTTTATAGCAGCACAATTCGCAATTGCAAAAATGTGGAACCAGCCCAACTGCCCACAACATATATACACAACATTATCTTTGTCTACTCTTTGGAGACATATGTCCCATTGAATACTACTCAGCCTGGTTTATATTCTTAATGCTGAATTTTAAAATCTCTATGAAACTTTTGAAATCCATGAATTACCATCTTAGTGTCCAAAGTTTAATAGACAGACACTTAATATCCAAAAATAAAGTAAATGGTCATCAAACTAAAATGTGTCCTTAAGAATAACATTCACGTCACATACCTTTAACTCGTCCTTATTTTTGTTTCAATTAGGACATTTTTTAATTAAAAAATTTAATTAAAAACATGACAATGACAAAGATTGCCAATAAATACATTTTTATCACAAATTTAAAGGAACTTTTAAAGTCTCCTCAGAAGCCATCATCACCTGCACAATCTTTTAAAACCCTTTATAGATTGGGACAAAAAAATTGTATAAAAATTAAAATATACAAAGCTGAAAACTATTAGATAACTTCACACATGTGAAGAGACTTAGTTTTTATTTTTAAATTTTCTTTAGCACACATGATTCTCATCTAAATTAACTTTTTTTTTTTTTTTGATATAGGGTCTGGCTCTGTAGACCAGGTTGGAATGCAGTGGCATGATCTCGGCTCACTGCAACCTGTGCCTCCTGGGTTCAAGCAATTCTCTTGCCTCAGCCTCCCAAGTAGCTGGGACTACAGGCATGTGCCACCACACTGGGCTAATTTTTATATTTTTTGTACGAGGGGAGGTCTCACTATGATGCCCAGGCTGGTCTTGAACTCCAGGGCTCAAGCGACCCTCCCATCTTAAATCTCTCAAAGTCCTGGGATTACAGGTGTGAACCACCTTGCCTGGCCTTGCAGAGACTTTAAAAGCAAAACTAGTTCCTGCCACAGAAAAGGATGCTCTTCTCTAGATCTGAAATTTGATCCGCCTGAAAATTAGAGGAAATACTTGGGTCTGTAAGACAACATGTGACAGTCTGTTGCCCACTGAACAGCTATCTTCCAAACTCCCTACACACTCTTACCCCACCAACTTCATCCAGAACCTGGAAATTGTTCCCCTTTTTCTGAGCAGCCATTCATCAAGGGGAGGTCATTTGTATTTCAAGAGAATATCTTCATGGTCTGAGCCAATTGTAGGAGCTTTATTCCCTTTGAAAAGTAATTGTTTTACAGATAACACACATTGCTATGGTCATGAGGGCAAGTGAATGGGGGCAAGTGAAAACTGCCTCTTTAAAAAAAAAAAAAAAAAAAGATATATTTCAGCCTCTTGTCATCCACCACCTGGAAACTTTGTGGTCACTTTGGAGCCATAAGGGGAGACATCAGACTCACTTGGTCAGAATGGTAATGAAAGGCAGAAGGCACCCAGGTTTTGATGACACTGTTCAGCTGCTGAATTAGCCAATCCAGGAACTGCCCTCCACCCAGAATCCTGGTTCTCAAACACCTCAATCCCAAAGATTCTACAATTGTTTTTGATTGCTAAAATAATCCAGACACATCATTTGAGGAAATAAAACATTTACTGAGATGTTTATTTAGTAACAGCAACACATAGTTTCTCAAGAAGAGGATAAACTGAAAACTCCTCTAAGGTAAAACAAAGCAACTTTCCACTGTTCTTAGCTTAGACAAAAATCTAAAATTTTATATTCTCCTTTAATAACTGTCAAAATACACAAAATGCTTGGAGGAAAATATTCACATTATACCAAAACATTTTAAGATAAAGAGCAGTGTAAGAGCAGTATTCTCTGCATATCACAGTATACCACGATGCCTTCCTACAGCTTTAGACCTATTAATACTCAAAATATTAATGCATTTGTGCAAAATGATTGGGAAAATTGAAATTCCTGCAACTTTTTCCAGTTTCTGGCTTCAGGAACAGGTGCAAACCACCATCTGCTTCATAGATCTTCTGTTACAGCATCCATCAAAAAACACTGGTCCAGCTCTCAAATATTGATGACAATGCATGTGTGCTCTGCTAAGTGTTGAACAGATAACATGTTCTACAGCAATGCTCAAGCTCTGGATTATTTTTGCCTGACAAAAATAATATTCCAATATTCCCTTAAGAGATTTTATAAAAAGGTTGAAAATGGCTGTTTTTCACAGTCAAAGTCAATTTCCTTTATTTTTTGAGACAGAGTCTCGCTCTGTTACCCAGGCTGGAGGGCAGTGGTGCAATCTTGGCTCAATTGCAGCCTCAAACTCTTGGGCTCAAGCGATCCTCCTGCCTCAACTTCCTGTGTAGCTAGGACCACAGGTGCATGCCACCACACCTGGCTGATTTTTTAATGTTTTTCTAGAGACGGGGTCTCAATTTGTCGCCTAGGCTGGTCCCAAACTTACACGCATAAGCCACCACACCCAGCCAATTTACTTTTTAATGGAATATACACTGTTGCATTTTCTTCACAATTTTTTACAAGAGGTTGCTATAGTGTGCTACATGTGTGAATATTCAGATCCTGTATATAAACTAAATATAATCAAAGGCTCCACATTGGTTCTTAAGTATGATATTGAAATGTCTGATCGGGGACCCTCCAAATAGTATTCACAGTATTAATGGCGAGAGAAATTTTCATTTCTATTTTTTCTTACCTTTACAAAGGCTTTTGTTGGAAAACTGAGCTTACAGTAAATTCTAATGAAATAGTCCCATTAAACATTTGAAATTATTGGTAGAAATGAGGCGATAATAAATTTTTTCTATTTAAAAGTTAAGTTTGACATTTATTTGCAATCAATTTTAAACTGTTACATCCAATATGGTATTCTGTTTTTCTGATTCTTTAATTGGTAGATATTTGAATAACATCATATTAATTTGTTGTTTTTCAAGAAAAGAATTTTCTTGCACCATTTTTAGACTTCTGTCTTAAGTTTATATAATTTAGCTTTTAAAACCTAGTTTCATGTTTAATGAATTAAGAAACAATATCAGAACAGTTTAGCCAGACATTAATAGGCAAAAAAGGGTTGCTTTGGCAATGTATACATGAATAACTGTTATAATACAAATCATTATTTAATCTAGTTTTATTAAATATTAAAATGCAAAAAAGAATAACACATATCTTCAAAAAATTTTGTAAAATGTTCTAAGTTTAATAGTAAAAATATATTTTCTCATGTTAGCACAAAAGCAAGAACATTTTTATAACTTGTTAAATGATATTAAAACAAAAATACATAGTATTTTACATTTTTGCAATAATTACATGCAAAAAGTGTCCATGATATAGAATATAATTTCTAGACAATGCAAACTTGAAAATAAAATTTTAAATGCTCTAATAAAATTATATTTATTTATGAACTTATAAGGCAAGTAGATCCAATTTTACTGCTCTTAAGTCTCTCTCTGCTCATTTAAGTCTTCATAATCTTTCAATTTATAAGTAATTATCATCAGTAATTCTTCTATAACATTGTCTTTCAAGATACTTCATTGTGATTATTACCATTATACTATAATTTGTATCAACAACAGACACAAGCAGTTTTAAAAGAAACCTGGAATACATGAATTATTTGGGATATTCCTTTAATACGTTAGAAAGAAAACATATTTTGAACATTTTTAATACCAATTTGTAAGTCAGAACTTCCCATTATCCTTTATTTCTATTTCAGTCTGTGTCTTCTGAAAAGTCTGAAATAAAAATGCTAATGTATTTTTAAAGGTTAATAGTTGCCTAAGTGGTCCATAAAATAGAAACTTAAACATAGCAGCTTGCAAAATTTAATGAGAGGGCAAACACAAGTTCACCTTGTCTTTTTATCTTCCTTAGCTGTGTTGTCTGGAGACCTGTGAGTGTCTGAAAATGATTATATCAACTACAGGATTAGGCGACGTAGTCTCAGAGCAGATTAAATGGCTCAATGTCTATGCACTTGGGGGTTCTCATGGCAGAGTGTGTAGGCTTCATTCAGAGGGCAAACACATATTCATGATGTCTGTGCTATCATGAGAATAACTATCAGGTTCTGAATTTCATCCATCATTTTTATATCTGAAGAAAGCCTGCCTCTAGCCTAATGAGTGCTGCAGAAAACTGAAGTCAGTGGAGCCACTTGTCTTCCCAGCTATCAAAGTACTAAATTACTCAGGAATTGAATCCACATAATGGAACTAACTGGTATATTTTGCTTTATTTTCCACTATTACAGATGTTTGAACTTACCAAAATAACTATATTGATGGTAACAATAATCCATTTAGCTAAATGCTTTAACACATGACTGTCAAAATTATACCTAAAACGCTTTATTTTACCTTCTAAAATGATCCTAAATAAGTAGTTCTCAATTTAGAGCAACTGTGCTCCATGCCCCTAATTCAAGTAGAATTGCCAGGTTTAACATAGAAATGGAGAAGACCTTGCTAAATTTTAATTTCTAATAAACAACTTATTTAGTATAACTGACCCATACAATATTTGGGATTATACACATGTACACACACACTCATATGTGTTGCTTTTCTGAAATTCAAATTGAGGGGATATTCTGCATTTTTTCTGGCAATGCTTTGAACCACAGGGGACATGTCACGATGCCTTGATACATTTTTTATTTTGACCAAAAAAGGTGGTGGTGCTACTGGCACCTGGTAGGTAGAAGCCAGGGATACTTTCAAACATTCTACAATGAACAACGTAGTCTTCTACAACAGAGACTAATGGATAATAGTCTCCATTATCCAGTCTAAGTATCAACAATACTCAGTTTGAGAAACCCTGTCTTAGATTATAACAGGAAATGTATTGCATTACCATTCAGACTACTTCTTGCTATATTTTGGGCCTTTTGCTGCTCTGCTGTTAGAGTAGATTCTAGCTACTGGATAGCAAGTGCTTATAAGATACCAATGGATAAGTGATCAATGGTACAGAGGAAAAATAAACCATTGTTGGAGCTCTCAGATGTTTGGTGAAAGGGTTGGTAAGCTTGGAGAGATGAATGAAATAAAACCGTACATTCTGAAAGCATTCTGCAACATTGCAGAGTGGATTGGCGGCAGAAAAAAATCTTGACTGTTTTTCCTTCTTTAGGAAATCTTAATACTATTGAGATCACAGAAAAAATTTAACACAAAATGTGTGGGATTATCAGAAGATTACTTGTTTCGTTACTATCTAAATTTATTTCTATAACAGTGAATTAAATTTTGGTTGACGGTAAAAAAAAAAAGATAAAAAGAGCTTAGGGTTATGATATCTTTAATTTATGAGCCAAACTGAATAATCATATTGTCAATGGAAATCAATCCTTAAAATAGGGCATTAAGGTCACCCAGCAGTAAGTAGCACATAGAAAAAATTCAAAGGATGTAATCAAACAGTAAAGATGAAAAAGAATTTAGCGATTTCCTTGTTTAGATCTCAAATTTACAGATTGAAAACTTAAAGCCCTTCAAGATCAAATGACTCATTTAAGTATATCCAGGATAAAGGAACAGAAGTATCCAAAAAAGTAAATCGTAAAACTTACTATTTTAAATAATCAAAGTCACACCAATGCCACTATTCATTACAAGTACTATTATTTATATAGAAAATATAATCCTTACTTATCTTTTAGAAAATGTTAAATAGCAAACCCTTTCTGAAATCTCTACTGATGTCTCCAACCATACATTTATTGACACATTTCTCTATAATCCCTTCTCACGTACACACAACTCTGCAGGAAATACATCTCATTCAATCTGGAATGCCCAGCACAGTGTCTAGTACAAAATGAGGCCTCATTCATTTCCTATGTCCCATTTTATGGTTATATCTACTCATGAACTTCACCCAATCCTTGAATTTAAGGAGTATTCCAATATACGTTTTAAAATATCTAACTATTCCTCTAGGCAACACATTTCTTCAGAATAAGAATAGTACCATTAATAATTCCAAACATGGTCAGCCAAATATTTTGCACATAGTAGGGGAAACACTCAATACATATGCATTTAAATAAATATTTTTCACTTCACAGTAAAAACCTATGATAAGGGGAGTCTGAATTTTAATAGGTAAAAGACTCTCCTTAAATTCAAGAAAAGTGCCTTTATGTAAATTTTTTTGCGATTTTCATGAAAATATACATATTTCTTTTGCAATATTTATCAATATTTATACACAATTTCATGTAAGTTTCTTCATATTTTACGACTATTTACAATGGACGCCCTAGCATACATAAATGAATGTTAACTCAGTGATAAATATAGTGATTGGTGTTATGTGAAATCAATAAAGGCCCATAGCAAGTTGCTGATTTTAATAATGGAAATAATTTGAGATCCTCTTGCTGAATTTATTAATATGTCATAAATTAATTTTCAATCATCTGGGAAACTAATTAATATCTTTGTTTTTCTTTTGCTTATAAGAAAAAAAAAGTAGTCCGAATTTTCCAGAGCAGAGAATTCTAAATTTTAGAAAAAGGGACTATGGTTTAATTACCAAAAGGAATGTCATGACAATGATGAGGTTGAAAGAACTGAAAATGAGGTCTCAGACCACAAATATGAGGCTTTGTCAGTGAAATCCATGGAGAGAGCTTGAGAGAGAGAGAGAGATTTTGAGACACTGAGACTTGTTTTAGGGAAGAAGAAAATCCCAGTTAATTATGAAAAAGTTTAGACTTTAGAAGCAGCCTGGTCTGTCAAGACCCTGATATATTTTCCCTACTTTAGCTTTGCATATTACTAACTTTTCCAGTGTATAGAAGCCTTCCTTAATCATAATGGTTTTATTATCAGTGTGATTTCCTAGGGTGTGAGAACTGTAGCAGCTACTAAATCTTGAATACGTAATTGTGCTAAGTTCTTCAGGACAGTCAAAAAGATACAATATATTCAGTGCTGCTCCCCTTATTTTAAGAAAGTCATGCTCTCTGTAAGTGCTTTCATCTCCCTTGCATTTCTTTTTCCTGCCAGACCCACATTTGTCAAATGAATCACTTTTCACTAAGATATAGCTTCATCACCCATCTTTCCTACTCGCATTCACCGTTTACACCAGCCTCACTGAATTTGGTTTTACCTCAAAATTCTCCATGCCTGTGCCAAAATACTCAACCCCTTTTCTCAAGGACAAATGCTACTCTTTATGCAAAGTATTAATTCACCATTTTGTAACATCTTGTCAAAATTCCTACTAGGGACCCATGCATCATGTTTTCTTTGCTATAAATCAGTCTTCTCCACTAAACAGTATGATCTTCAAAGGAAAAGATAATGTATTTTTGCCATATTTATGACAGATAGTCAAAATTGTTTGAATACATGATTTAATAAATAAATTGTTAAAAATATCTAATTGTTATATATATAGAATATAAGCAGATAAATATATTTTGGCCAACAATTAGGGTTTCAAGTGTCTTTTACTTCTTGAGTACACATTTAATTTAGACTCAGGACCTAGATTCTAGATATACTAGCTGGTAACCATGCACTGTAACCAGAAATCATCAAATAAAAAAAAAGTAAAATAAGGATAAATTACATATATGACAACGTATAAGACCAAAGTTAATAAAGGAATTCATTAGTGAATAAAAAAAAGAAGTTAATGAATAGAAAAAAATTTAAAAAGCCTTGAATTATAAAATACAAAGTTAGGTCATTGAAAATAAAAATAAAAGTACTGAACATTGTAAGTCCAATTGTGAAAAATGAGGGAAAAAAAAAACTCAAGAAAAACAAATAAACGAAAATCTTAAAAGAACAATTCCATTATATTTTCTACTTGACTCTCTGGCCTTCTTCCTGCATCAACTCAATTTATTCATTTTCTTGGTTTCACACCATGATTAGCTACTTTTTTTGTTTGTTTGTTTGTTTGTTTGAGATGGAGTCTTACTCTGCTGCCCAGGCTGGAGTGCAGTGGCACGATCACTGCTCACAGCAACCTCTGCCTCCCAGGTTCAAGCAATTCTCCTGACTCAGTCTCCCACATAGCTGGGATTACAGGCATATGCCATCACACTCAGCTAATACTTTTGTATTTTTAGTAGAGACAAAGTTTCACCATGTTGGTCAGGCTGGTCTCGAACTCCTGACCTCAAATGATCCACCCCTCTCAGCCTCCCAAAGTGCTGGGATTCCAGGTGTAAGCCACCACGCCCAGCCATGATTAGCTATTTTTAATTGGAAGATTTTATCAACAAGTGGCTTCAAATGCCGCTGATACTTCCTAAATAGGTATACATACAGAATTTTCTTCTGGAATACAGACTAATGGTTCACTAAAATTTAAGGCATATCAAATGCCACATAACTAAAACTAGTCAATGTTCAGTCTCATCTTACATTAGTTACTGTCAGTATTTTACTCACTTACTCCCTTCTCTCTAAATCACTTTCTTCCCTTGATTTTCAGGACATCACACACTACTGTCTTCTACCCACATAACTACTCCTCAGATCCTTTCCTGTTTTTCCTCATTTTCCAGACTGAACAACATTATAGTTACATATAGCTTAGTTCTTGAACCTCTTCTCTTTGTGCCTACTTCTAAGTGAACTCACTGAGTCTCATGGATTTGAATACGTTTGGTATATTGGTGTCTCCACAATTTATTCAAGTCAGGTACATTCAGTGGACTCTTAACTGGCATATCTAGTTGCCTCCCCTTTACATCATCACTTAGATGTCTTGAGAGTATCTAAAAATTAGCTTGTTCAAAACTGACTCTTCACAACTGAACTCTCATGCAGAAGACTCCTTTTACAGTTTTACCAACTCAGTTGATACATATTCCATTTTTCTAAATCTTCAAGCAAAATTTTACCCACTTATGTTATCTCTTTCTTTACTTCACATTTCAAATTATTTTGCCTGTGGTTTTGAAATAGTTTCAGCAACTAGCAACTTCCTATTATCTTTACTTCTATCAGTATAATCCAAACTACAATAATCTCTTGCGTAAATGATTGTAAATGTCTAAAAATTTATCTCTTTGCTTCTACCATGTGCCTTTTTGGTTCCCAACAATGTTCTTTAAAAAATTATATCATTCTTCTATTCAAAATTCTGATGGCATCTCATCTCATTCAAAAGCCTACATCCTTATGTTGGCCCGCAAAATACTAGGTGATCCATTAACTCCACCCTCTCAAACATTCTCTTTTGCTGCTACTGTATGTCTTGCTCACTTGGCTGCAGTCATAGCAGCTTCCTTGATAATCCACAAACATGCTGGGCATGTTCTCACGGCAGGGCCTCTAAATGGCTGCTCCCTTAACCTACAGTTTTGCCTCCCACTTCCATCTCAAATAGCCTCAAACTTATTCCTTTAGCTACCTTGGGTTTTTCCTCAAATATTGTGTTTTTTAATGAAGTCTCCTGGCTGCATCACATAAAATGACATTCTATTTCACATTCTTTTGCTCCCTAAAATCCTAACTGTAGCTATTGCACTTATTACTGTTAACCACCCCCCGCCCGCCCCACACACAATTTCTACATTGCCTTTGTCTCCCATTAGAAAGTATCCTCTTAAAGGATAGGGTTTCTGTCATAGTAAAGGCTCAATACGTTTCTGATAAATAAATAAACTAAACGAAATCACCATGTTATCTCCATTTCCGCTCCTCCTTCTTAGTGTCTTATATTGGTAAATGGAGATTCTATGTGGCAGTCACTTATGTCAGAAAATTGTTGCCTCTACCCGATCTCACACTTTCAATTAATCACAAACCTTTTTCAATTTTACCTTCTGAATTCTCCCCATATCTCCCCACTACTTTCTCTTTTTTAACCTGAGAACTAAAAATTTACTATCTATAATACTGGGGATCATTCCACTTGTAATGTAACATGCCTCAGATAACCACAAATTATTTTCCAGAGGAGACTTTCTACTGATCTTGTCACTCCTTGATTAAAATCAGTCTCCATTTGTCTTTCTAAACTCTGTAGAATGACATTTA
Source organism: Homo sapiens (assembly GCF_000001405.40). Classification (NCBI taxonomy): domain Eukaryota; kingdom Metazoa; phylum Chordata; class Mammalia; order Primates; family Hominidae; genus Homo; species Homo sapiens. The sequence continues at coordinate 104,310,003 of NC_000001.11, read as the reverse complement.
AGACATTTTACTTTATGGTCTCTAGCTTTCTATTTTAACCTGCTGATATTGTTTTAGACATACTAAATGATTTGCACACAATTTGCAAAGCATAAATTACATTCTCTTGACTGCAGCACATGCTGTTTCTTTTCTATTCAATGTCAATTGTGCCTCTTCATCTGACAAAGTTATATGTTTTCCAATAATCAACTCACTTACTTACCCTGTGTGTGGAAAAAAAAACCTCAATAAATATTTATTGAATTATACCTTATTTAATCTCCCAGGCGGTTTCATGTGAACTTGCTATGTATACCCATAGCACTTGGTGCATACATTTATATTAGTGCATATTACACTATATTTGTTTGCCTCTCACTATCTGCTACTCCCCAGAAATGTGAAGTTTGTAAAGGAAGACACCATGTCTTTCATCCATGTATCTCTAATGCCCAGATCAGTTCCTGAGGGTACTTTAAAAGTATTTGTGGGTAGAGTAAGTAAAAACTTGCACAAAATGCTATTATTAGTAGAGAGACAAAAGGAAAATAAAAAGTTATCCTCATTAGGAATAATTACCATGAGACCATGCTTGCGATCATGTAAATCATGAAGAGAATTATCCAGCCTCAAGGGGTTCAAATATAATATAAACCAGCTTTGATGTCAGAACTGGCTTAGAGACTCAAGTAATTAAAGAGCCTGATCCTGCAGAGGAGGCTTTATGATTTATAGAATATGTCTTTTGGACTAAATTTTCCAGAGGCTGCTTTATCTCTTTGTAAAAATAAGTGAGATCAAGATAATTAAATAAACAAAAAGGAAACAAAATAAGCTCTTGTGCTTACTTTATGCACCTCCATCAGTGTCTAACCTAGATTTAATCCTCTATAAATATATGTTGACTAAAACACTTGTTTTTTAATAATTTACCTGATAAATTATTGAAGCTTTCAGTTATGATTTCTCATCCTATTCTTCCTTGTCCTGAAGTTATAACAGAAAGAGAAAACATTCCTTCTTGAATTAAGAGCAAACTACGAGATAAAGCAGATCTTTTTTGATCTACTACATATTTTTAAGTTTACAGTTAGATAGGGATTGAATAACTCCTGTAGCTATGAACATAAATTTGATTTACAAAGACTTTAAGAATTGAGACAGCAAACAGTGAGAAAACGTAGAAATTGTTCACACACACAAGATTAATTGAAAAAATAAGTATTTTTGAAAAAAGCTAAATTTAATTATTTGAAGAAAATAAAGTTTGTATAGAGTAATATGTCAGACCCTCTTCTAGCAATTTATAAATGCCATCATGATAAGATGATTATCTGCTACTACTATATCTATTTTATAAATAGAAAAACTGAGAAAAAAGATTTAAATAATTTTTACTTTGCAAATATTAAGTAAATTTACAAATTCAAATTCACTCAAAGTTAAAACTGTAGAGATGGAATATACCTAATAAAATATTAATTAAGACAGTGTTGAATTAAACCTATGAATATAGTTATCCCACTTTCTCCATGGGGGATTGGTTCCTGGACCCTACGCAGGTACCAAAATGCACAAATGCTCAACTCTGTTATAGAAAATGGTGTAGTATTTGCATATAACATGTGCACATCCTCCTGTATACTTTGAATTATCTCTATATTACTTATAATATCTAATGCAATGTAAATGTTACGAAAATACTTGTTATGCTGTATTGCTTAGGGAATGACAAGAAAAAAAGTTTGCACATGTTCAGTACAGACACAACCATCCATTTTTAATAATTTCTTTTTAATTTTTAATTTTAATTTTTAATTTTTGTTAGTATATAATAGGTACTTTATGAGGTGCATGAGACATTTTGGTACAGGAATGCATATAATGCATAATAATCATGACATTGAAAATTGGGTATTCATCCCTTAGAGCATTTATCTTTTGTGCTATGAATAATTCAATTTTTTAAGTTATTTTTAAATGTACAATTAAATTATTATTGACTGTAGTCCCCCTATTATGCTATCTAATTCATTCTTTCAAACTATTTTTGGTACCCATTAACCATCTCCATCTGTCTCCTATTTTCCCACTACCCTTCCCAGCTTCTGGTAATCATTCTACTACACTCCATCTCCATGATTTCAATTGTTTTTATTTTCAGATCCCACAAATAAGTGAGAACAGACAATGTTTGTCTTTCTGTTCCTGGGTTATTTTACTTAAATTAATGACCTCCAGTTCCATCCATGATTTGCAAGTGACAGAATTCCATTCTTTTTTATGGCTAAATTGGGTAAATGTGCCACATTTTCTTTACTCATTCCCCTATGAATGGACACTTAGGTTGCTTTCAAATATTAGCTATTGTGAATAGTGCTGCAACAAACTTGAAAGTATAGATATCTCTTTGATACATTGATTGCCTTTCATTGGGTAGATAACCAGCAGTGGGATTTCTGGATAGTATGGTAGCTCTATTTTTACCTCCAAACTTTTCCCCACTGTGGTTGTATAAATTTACATTCCCATCAACAGTGCACAAGGGTTCTCCTTTCTCCACATCTTCCCCAACATTTGTTATTGCCTGACATTTGAATAAAAGTGATTTTAACTGGGATAAGATGACATGTCATTGTACTTTTGATTTGCATTTCTCTGACCATGAATGATGTTAGGAGCTTTCATATGCCTGTATATCACTTGTATTTATCCTTTTGAGAAATGTCTATTCAAATCTTCTGCCCACTTTTTAACCAGATTATTAGACTTTTTTCCTATAAAATTGTTTGAGCTTCTTATATATTATGGTTATTAATGCCTCATATTTTCTCCCATTCTGTGGAGTTTGCAAATATTTTCTCCCATTCTGTGGGCTGGCTCTTCACTATATTGATTGTTTCCCTTGTTGTGTGGAAAGTTTTTAACTTGATGTGATCCCATTTGTCTATTTTTTCTTTGGTTACCTGGCTCGTAGGGTAATACTCAAGAAATCGTTGCCCAGAACAATGTCCTGGAGAGGTTTCCTAATGTTTTCTTTCAGTAGTTTTATAGTTTGAGGTCTTAGCTTTAAGATTTAGGTCTTCAATCTATTTTCATTTGATTTTTGTATATGGTAAGAGATAGGGATCTAGTTTCATTCTTCTGCATATCTATATTTAGTTTTCCCGGCACATTTATTGAGGAGGCTGTTGATTCCCCAGTATATGTTCTTGTCACCTTTGTGGCTAATGAGTTCACTGTGAATGTATGGATTTGTTTCTGAGTTCTCAATTTTGTTTCATTGGTTTAGGCATCTGTTTAAATTCTGTTTGTGCACTTTTGGTTATTATAGCTCTGTAGTATAATTTGAAATCAGGTAACAGATTCCTCTAGTTTTCAACATTTTGCTCAGAATAGCTTCGGCTATTCTGGGTGGTTGTAATTTCACATAAATTTTAGAATTTTTTTTCTATTTCTGTTAAGACTATCACTGGTATTTTGATAGGGATTGCATTAAATCTGTAGATTGCTTTGGATACTATGAATGTTTTAATAATATTGATTGTTCCAAACCATGAACGTGGAATATCTTTTCATTTTTTGTGTGTCCTTCAATTTTTTTCATCAGCATTTTACAGATTTCATTGTAGGAATCTTTCACTTTTTTGGTTATTTCCTAGGTATTTAATTTTATTTGTGGCTATTTTAAATGAGATTTTTTTTGTTTTTTTTTTCAGATGGTTCACTGTCATTATATACAAATGCTACTGATTTTTGCATGTTTATTTTGTATCCCACAAATTTACTGAATTTCTTTATCAGTTTTAACAGCTTTTGGGGAGAACTTTAGGTTTTTGCAAATATACAATCATATCATCTGTAAACAAGGGTAATTTGACTTCTTCTTTCCAATTTGGATGTCCTTTTGTTTATTTATTTAGTCTGATTACTCTAGCTAGAACTTCCAGTAATATGTCATTGATTTGCATATATTGAACCATCCTTGCATCACTGGGACAAGTCCCACTTGATCATGATGAATTTTTTTAAGGTATTCTTGAATAAGGTTTGTTAGTATTTCATTGAGGATTTCTGCACTAGTATTTATTAGTGACATTGGCCTTTTTTTTTTTTTTTTTTTGATGTGTCTTTGTCCTTTTTTTTATATCAGGGTACTATTGGCCAAGTTAAATGAGTTGGAAGTATTCCCTCTTCCTCTATTTTTTTTTTTGGTACATCTTTAGTATGATTGATATTAGTTCTTAAATATTTGGTAGAATTCAGCAGTGAAGCCATCTGATTGTGGAATTTCCTTTACTGGGAGAGTTTTTATTATGGCCTTGATCTTGTTAGTTGTTATTGGTCTGTTTAGGTTTTCAGTTTTCCTGGTTCAATCTTGGTCGGTTTTATGTGTCTAAAAATTTATCATAGATTTTCTAATTTATTGGTTTATACTTTTTCATAGTAGTCATATATCCTTTGAATTTTCACCCTACCAGTTGAAACGTCTGCTTTTTCATTTCTGATTTTATTTATTTGGGTCCCTTTTTTTCTTAGTCTGGCAAAAGGTTTATCACTTTTGTTTTTCTTTTCAAAAAAAAAAACAACTTTTTTGTTATATTAATTGTTTTTATTGTTTTCTTCTTTTTAATTTCATTTATTTCTGCTCTAATCTGTATTATTTCTTTTCTTATCATAATTTTGGGTTGGGTTTGCTTTTGCTTTTCTAGTAGTTTCAGATACATCATTAGGTTACTTATGTGAATTTTTATATAAGCACTTACATCTATAAATTTTCCTGTTAATACTGCTTTCACTATGTTCCATAGGTTTTCATGTGATATGTTTCCATTATCATTTGTTCAAAAAATTTTTCAGTTTTCTTAATTTCTTTATTGACACACTGGTCATTCAAGGAGCATATTGTTTAAGTTCTACACATTTGTTTAGTTTCCAAAATGCCTCTTCTTATTAATTTTTAGTTGTATTCCATTATGGTGAGAGAAGACAATTGATATTATTTCATAAGATTTGTTTTGTGACCTAACATACAGTCTATCCTTAATAATGATCTGTGTACTGAGGAAAATAATGTGTATTCTGTAGCCTTTGGGTGAAATGTTCTGTAAATAACTATTAGGTTCATTTGTTCTAGAGTACAGATTAAGTCTAATGCTTCCTTGTTCTTTTTTTTTTTTTTTCTTTCCGGTCTGGAAGATCTGTCTAAGGCTGAAAGAGGGGTGTTGAAGTTTCCAGCTATTATTGTATTGAAGGCTATCTCTCTCTTTAACAGCTCTGATAATATTTGCTTTCTATATCTGGGTGCTCCAGTGTTGGGTGCATATTCGTTTACAATCAATATATCCTCTTGCTGAATTGACCCCCTTTTCATTATATAATAAGCTTCTTTGTCTCTTCTTACACTTTTTGTCTTAAAATTAATTTTATCTGATCTAAATATAGCTAAACTTTTTCTCTTTTTTGCTTTTCACTGGCATAGAGTATCTTTTAATTTTCAGTTTATATGTCTCTGATATGGTTTGGATTTGTGCCCCTGTCCAAAGCTCATGTGGAATTGTATTCCTCAACGCTGGGGGAGGGGCCTAATGGGAAGTGGTGGATCATGGGGAAGGATTTTCCATTTGCTGTTCTCATGACAGTGAGTTCTTACCAGATTTTGTTGTGTAAAAGTGTACTGCACTTTCTCTTTCACCTTCCTCTTCTCCTCCTTCTCTGGCCATATAATTTGTGCCTGCTTCCCCTTCACCTTCTGTCATGATTGTAAGTTTCTAAAGCCTCCCCAGCCCTTCCTTACAGCCAATAGAACTGTAAGTAAGTTAAACTTCCTTTCTTTCAGTCTCAGATAGTTCTTCATAGCAATGCAAGAACAGACTAATACAGTATCTTCATAAGTGAAGCATGTTTCTTGTAGGCAACAGATTATTCGGTCTTGTTTCTTTTCATCCATTCAGTCACTGTGTGTCTTTTGACTGAATACTTGAGTCCATTTAAATCCAACGTAATTGGATAAGTAGGGATTTACTCCTGACATTTTGTTATTTGTTTTCTGGTTGTTTTATAGTCTCCTCTTCCTTCTTTTATTTCTTCTTGTCTTCCTTTTAGAGAAGGTGCTTTTCTCTGGTGGTAAGCTTTAATTTGTATCAGTTGTATGCTTTTTTGTGTCAGTTGTATGTTCTTCCAATTTGAGGTTACCATAAGGTTTATAAATACTGTTATATAACTCATTGTTTCACACTGAGGATAACTTAACACTGATTGCAGAAATAGACATGCAAAAGGCAAACTAATAAAACTCCACTTTAATTTCATCCCCCGACCTTTATAAATTTTTTGCTTCTCTTTATGTGTTATTGTACAGTCTAAATCTTGAAAAGTTTTCATAGTTATTATTTTTGATTGGTTCATCATTTAGTCTTTCTACTTAAGACAAGAGGAGTTTATGAACCATAATCACAATGTTATACTATTCTGTTTTTTTGTGTGCTGACTATTACCAGTGAGCTTTTTACTTTTAGATGATTTATTTTTGCACATTAACATTATTTTCTTTCAGATTAAAGAACTCCCTTTAGCATTTTGTATAGGACAGGTCTCGGTTGATGAAATTCTTCAGCTTTTGTTTGTCTGGTAAAGTCTTTATTTCTCCTTCACATTTAAATGATATTTTCAAGTGATTTACTACTCTAGGGTAAAAGGTTTTTTCCCTTAATTTCTTTAAATATGTCATGCCACTATATTCTGGCCTTTTAGATTTTAACTGAAAAGGCTGCTTCCAAATGTATTGGAGCTCCATTGCATGCTGTTTGTTTCTTTCTTCTTGCTGCTCTTAGGATTTCTTCATTGACCATTGAGAGTTTGATTATTAAATGCCTTAAAATAGTCTTATTTGGTTTATATCTGCTTTGTGTTCTATAAACTTCTTGTACTTCAACGATGATATCTTCCTCTAGGCTTTGAGAGTTCTCTGATATTATCCCTTTGAATAAGCCTTTTTCTCCCATCTCTTTCTCTACCTTCTCTTTAAGGTCAACAACTCTTAGATTTGCCCTTTTGAAAGGGCTATTTTCTAGATCCTGTAGGTATGCTTTTTTTAAAATTCATTTTGCTTTTGTCTCTTCTAATTGTACTTTCAGATAGCCTGTCTTCAAGCTCACTAATTCTTTCTTCTGCTTGGTCAATTCTGCTATTAAGAGACTCTCATACATTTTTCAGCATGTCAATTGCATTTTTAAGCTCTAGGATTTCTGCTTGATTTTTTTAACATTATTTTAATCTCTTTGATAAATTTTTCTGACAGAATTCTTAATGCCTTTTCTGTGTATCTTAATTTTTTTTTAGTTTCCTCAAAACAGCTATTTAAAATTCTGTGTCTGAATGTTCACCTATCTCTGTTTCTCCAGGACTGGTTGCAGGTGCCTTATTTAGGTCATTTGGTAAGGTCATGTTTTCATGGATGGTGTTGATGCTTGTAGATATTTGTTTGTGTCTAGGTATTGAAGAGTTAGATGTTTGTTGTAGTCTTCACAGTCTTGGCTTGTTTATGCCTGTATTTCTTAGAATAACTTTCCAGGTATTCAAAGGGACTTGGGCCTAAAGTCCAATAACACTGTGGTTTTTGCAAGCTCTGGAGGTATTACTTGGTGGTTTTGTATGACGTTCAGAAGAATTCTTTGGATTACCAGGCAGGCGCTCTTGTTTTTTCCATTACTTTCTACTAAACAAATGAAGTGTGTGTGTGTGTGTGTGTGTGTGTGTGTGTGTGCGCGTGCGCACTGAGCCACCTGGAACTGGGGGTGTGTTGATGCAAGCACCACTGTGGCCATCACCACTGGGACTGCAACTGGGTCAGAACGGAAGCTGGCATGGTGATGGGTCCTGCCCAAGACCTTTCCCTCCAGGGTGGTGAGTTTCCCCAGGCCCCAGGCATGTCCAGAGATGTTTTCTGGGATCCAGCGATTGGCGTCAAAAACCTTAGCAGTTTACCTGATGTCCTGTTCCACTGCGGCTAAGCTGGCACTCAAATGACAATACAAAATTTTTCCTGCTTTTTTCTCTCTTTTCCACAAGCAGAGGATCCTCTTCCAGTGGCCTCCACCACCACCAGTCCTTGGAGGGTTCTGCCAGGTCACCACTGATGTTCACTTAAAGCCCAAAGGTTCTTTTTTCAGCTTGTGGTGAACGCTGCCAGGGCTGGGACTCAGTTCAGGGGAGGCTGCTCCCCTTTGGGTGTAGGACAGATCCAGAAGTGCTCTCCAAGAGCCTAGGCCTGGACTCAGGGACCACCAAGATCCTGTTTGCTGCTATACCTCATTGTGGCCAAGCTGGTACCTAAGGTGCAAGATAAAGTCCCTTTTACTTTTCCCTTAAACCAAGGGAATCTTTCATCATTGCCACCACAGATGGAAATGTGCTAGGTCACTCCTGAAGCCACACATCTCGGAACCCTAGACTCATGGCATAATACTTAGTTATTGCTGCTGGCTATTCAGGGCCCAAGGGCTCTTTAGTCAGAAAGTGATGAATTATGCCAGGTCTGTTTCCTTCCCTTCAAGGCAGCTGGTTCCCTTTTGGCCCAGAGTGTGCCTAGAAATGTTGTTGAGAAGCTAGGGCCTGGAATGGAGGCCTCATGACTCTGCCTGCTGCCCTATCCTGCTGTAGCTGAGCTGGTATCCAAGATGCAAGACAAAGTCATCTTTAATCTTCACTCTTCTCTCCTGAAGCAGAAGGAAAGAGTCACTTTTGTTTCTGCAAGCTGCACTGCTTGGGGTTGGGGGAGAGATGGTACAAACTACCTTAGCAGGTCAGCTGCTATTTCCTTAAGTCATGTACCACTGTAATCTACTGGCTCTAGGTCCACCCTAGCAGTAGGAGTTGGCGAGGAATTGCAGTCCTTGTGTTCTAGACTGTTTTTCATGTTTACCTAGGACCAAACTGCATTTCAACCCACGGTGACCACTGGGAAGGGCAAGTCCTCTCTAGTTAGAGCACACACAAATGCTCCCTCCATACTCGAGTGACAGCCGAGATCAGTATGGCTTTATTTTCAGCTGTGACAGGGCAGGACTGAGTTCAATATAAAGTCCTTCAGTCACTGCACCCTCCCTCCCCGAAATGCCCAGATTGTCTCTCCGTGTCACTGCGGGGGGATGGGGGAGGGGTGGCATCACCATCCAGACTGTCTCTCCTGCTCTCCTCAATTCCTCATTCAGAGAAATGCAGTTAAAAATAGGTACTGTGATTGTTTACCTGATTTTTGGTTCTTGTGATGGTGCTTTTCTGTGTGCAGATAATTAAGATTTGGTGTTCCAGTAGGGGAGAGAAACAATGTATGCTTCTATTCCACCATCTTGCTCTGCCCTTTTTCCAAATATTTTCAATACAAAGTTGGTTGAATCTACAGATGTGGAACCCATGAATACAGTGTTAGACTGTATATAAGTATATGTATATGTGTGTGAGACACACATATATCTAAATATATATACATGTATACATTAAAACGTAGATAAATATACAGATAAACACACATAGACTTTCTGAAGAAATACAAGACCAAATGTTACAATGCATTTCCTATCTATCTTTTAGTGTATTTAATACAAAGACTTCCTCAACTTGAATCCATATTTCATTTATGTACTGAAATAGACTTTGAATAGCTACCCACGAAGAAAGCCCCCAGGTTTCAGGAGCATGTGATATCTTAAGTCATCTGTGAACTTTTTTATAAAGCTCTTTAAATAGGAGTTCCTGTAATGTCTTTTCCAAATATAATACAAAAAAATATAGGGAGAAATACAAAAGACACAGAAGCAATAAAACAGATGTATACTAATCTTATGTTTGCTCACATTAGCAACATGGCATTTCTTAGTGTCAGTATCTCTTATATTTGAATTGTAAAGTCTTAGATGTGTAAACTTTATTTGTAAACTATCACATTCATTATTGACATTTTATAAATAATAAAAGCAATAATAATGAAATAAATATTTATGAGACTATTTACTTTTAGGTTGATAAAAAGTAACTTTAAAAATTATTTGACCCAACAGGAATATTAGCAAGAAAAAAATGCTTTATATAGAACCTCAAGGAGTCAAACAAAATTGCATAATTTATTTAATTTTTTGATCTAGGCAATACTTGCAAATAGTAAAATCATAAATTTGATTTTCATTAGTTGATAAGTCTAACTAAATATACAGCCCTTTGTAGCCAAAATCATTATCAAAAGGGATAATTTTTACATCACCTTATATCAGTCCCATTACAGTCAATCCACATTCCCAGTAGGCAACCACTTCTCAAATTCTATCACTAAGATTTCTTTTGCCTTTTCTTGAACTTCAAATAAATGGAGTCAAATAGTATAAACTCTTCTGTGACTGTCTTTTTTTGCTCATCATATCTTTTCAATTTATTCATATTGTTGTAGCACTAGCACTATTTTTTGGAATAATACTCCATTGACTGAATGTGCCACATTTATTAATTATCTTATGATGAAATTTGAGTTATTTTTAAATGTCTGACTATTATGAATAAAGGTATTATAAACATTATTGTGCCAGACATTTTGTAGCCATATGCTTTCATTTCTCTTGCCTAGGTACTTAGGAGTGGAATTGCTAGTTCATGAGGTAATTATAGACTGAATTTTTAAGAAAGTGTCAGTCTCTTTATAATTTATTTGTTTGAGCGCTTTATATATTTTAGATACAAGTGGTAAAAATGAAAATAAAAATTGTCATTATGTATTATAAATATTTTTCTCAGCTTTTGAATTGCATTTTCGCTTTAATAACAATGACTTTTGATAAGCAGAATTATGAATGAATTAAATATTTTTATCATTTCATTGTAAGTGCTCTACTAATTTTCCAGTAAATCTTTTTATAATCTTTTATAGTTCTTCTAAGGATTAAAATATCCACTCATCTTTTATAGTATTCTTATAAATATTTTCTCTTTTTAATTAAAATATAATAAACTTATTGCAGTATATTTCTATTAACCCATCATTTTATGCTATTATTATGACATATTTCATATTTGCAAATAATAAAAGACCAACAATACAATACAATTTTTTTTTTTATGTCAATGCTTCACTCTGGTCGCTCAGGCTGGAGTGCAATTTCACGTTCTCTGCTCACTGCAACCTCTTCCTCCCGGGGTCAAGTGATTCTCCTGCCTCTGCCTCTCAAGTAGCTGGGACTACAGGAGCGTACCACTGCACTCAACTAATTTTTGTATTTTTCTGTAGAAAAATACATAGTTTCACCATGTTGCCCAGGCTGGTTCCAAACTCTTCAGATCGAGCCATCGGCCTGCCTGGGCCTCCCAATGTGCTGGGATTGCAGGCATGAGCCACAGCAGCCAGCCCTAATTTTTGTTTTAAATTGTCAGTTCTCTTGTTTTAAAATCGTGTAAAAGTATTTACTAACACATTTTCCTTTTTTGGTTCTTTTTACTCCTTTCTTTGTTGCTGAAAATTACCTTCATGGCCATGTCCTTTCTGTTTAAAAAGCGTACTTTTAGGCCAGGCATTGTGGCTCACACCTGTAATCCCAGCACTTTGAGAGGCCGAGGCGGGTGGATTGCCTGGGCTAAGGAGTTTGAGACCATCCTGGGAAACATAATGAAGCTTTATCTCTACTAAAATACAAACAATTAGCCAGATGTGCTGGCTGGCACCTGTAGTCCCAGCTACTTGGGAGGCTGAGGCATGAGAATTGCTTGAAACCGGGAGGCAGAGGTTGCAGTGAGCTGAGATCATGCCACTGCACTGCAGCCTGGGCAGCAGAGTGAGACTGTCTCCGAATAAAAAGAAAAAAACAAACAAACAAACAAAAAAAACCATTTTTGTCTTTCTTTAGGGACAGATTTCCTGGTCCTGAATTCTTTCAACTATAACTTACCTGAAAATGTCTCTATTCAACCTTCATTTTTTGAAAGATGGTTTTGCTGGATGTTAGGAATTAGGTTGAAACTGGTTTGTTTGTTTATTTTTCAACACTTTAAAGATTTACTGTCTTATGACTTTCATTGAAATCATCCACTGTCATTTGTGTCATTATTCCCAAGTTTAAATATATTCTGTTTTCCTGATCTTCAAGGTTTTTCCTCTTCATCTTTAAATATCTAGACTATGATATGCCTATGTGTGGTTTTCTTTCTATTTATTCAGGATTTGCCAAGCTTCTTGGCTTTATAAAGCCATGCTTTTCACTAAATTGGGTTTCTTTTTTATTTCTATTTTTATTTTTTTCTTTTTGAGACGGAGTCCCACTCTGTTGCCCAGGCTGGAGTGCAGTGGTGCAATCTCAGCTCACTGCAACCTACGCCTTCCAGGTTCAAGTGATTCTCCTGCCTCAGCCTCCTAAATAGCTGGGATTACAGGCACCCTCCACCATGCCTGGCTAATTCTTGTGTTTTTAAGAGAGACAGGATTTCGCCATGTTGGCCAGGATGAATTGGGCACATTTTTAGTCTTCCTTCCTTTTCTGTATATATATATATATATATATATATATATATATATATATATAATTTTTTTTCCTATTCTTTCTATTTTGTCTTTCTGGGACTGGAATTATACAGATGTTAGACCACTTGATATTTTCCCAGAAGTTATTTGATCTCTTCAAGTTCACTGTCCCTGTATTCTGTCATCTCTAGTATCTTGTAAAGCACACTAAGTACATTTTTCATTTCAGACTGTGTACTCTTAAATTGTAGAAATTCTATTTGTTTATTTTTGTTTGTTTGTTTCAGTAGATCCCAGTTTTATTCCAAGATTCTCCATTGGTTTCCTTAATATGTCCATCTTTTAATTTAAGCCTTGAACATAACTAATTTAGCCACCTTAAAGTTCTTTATCTGCTATTTCAGTATCTGAGTCAGATATAGCTATGTATCTTTTGATTGCTTTTCTTTTACATATGAAAATTTAGTTTCTTTTATTTTAAATAATTATTACATATTACATATTGTGAATAAAATGCTTTAAAATTCTAGGTTATAATATATCTTTCTGAAGATATTATAATCAATTATACCAATGAATGATCACTTTTAACTTTTGATTGTGTCAGTTTGGGGAAAGCCCAATATTTTAACCAAGGTCTTTTAATCAGAGAACTCAAATTCCAGACTGCCTCCTTTGATGGAGAGAACCGAAATTTCTTCTAAGGGTTTTCTGCTTTCCAAATATTTTTTTCCATCAGTTTCCTCAGAGTCTTCTGCATTCATGTGTAGCCCAGGGTTACCAAAGCTTTTAAGATGAATTTACATGCAGACGCTGGTGCTTTCTATCTCTTTGGTTTCCTCCTTGCATCATTCCTTATCCTTCAATTTCTAGCCCACCAGACAACCCCAATGCTTATCTTCAATTTCGGTCAAAAGTATTGTGCTTTACTTGAGTTCTAGCTCCCAATTGCTTGCAGACTGAACTGGGCCTTCAGGAAGAAAACTACATAAAGGGTAATATCGCCCAGTATGTTTTTGTTTGTTTGTTTGTTTGTTTTTAATAGGTTGAATCCTCTTCGGTTTCAACCTGCTTTTGTTCACTCACCACTGCCTACAAACAAAATGTTTCTCATATTTCACAAGTTTTATTCATGGAAAAACTCGTGTTATAAAACAATTTCTTCATTTCCATAAGATACTTTTTATTGTATATTTCAATAACAATACTGTCAGGGGCAGCTAATATCTGAGTCACCAGTGGCGAATCTGTACAGGTCTCCAGCAACCTCAATTCTTGCCTCCTTACAAGAAACAGTTGGCATGAGGGGCATAAGGCAGAAAAAGAGACTAAGGCAAGTTTAAGAACAGGTGTGTAAGTTTATCAAAAAGCTTCACAGCAGGAAAGAAAGGAAGGTACGCTTGGAAGAGACCCAAGTGGGTACCCTCGAGATTAAATGCCCTATTTAATCTTGAACCCAGGACCTTATATACTGGTCCACTTCCGGCATCTTGCCCCCTTTCCCTTCATTCTTCCCTTAGGGTGAGCTGCCCGCATGTGAAGTGCCCTCCTTGTGCTTGGGAGGTGAGGCTGCAGTGTGTTTAAGAAGTTGTATATGTAAGCTCACCTGAGACTTTCTTCCCTTCTCCGGTAGAATGCTCCCAGATGGTCATATTCTGCCATTTTGTCTCTTAATGAGCATGCACCAGCCCACTGGCCTAATTCCTGACTTTTTATTGGAGGTTGTCAATCACCAATTTCAAGTGTCTTTATCTGTTGGGAAATTGCCTCTCCCTGGTGCCAGCTGTGGCCAATTATCATTTTAGTGTAACAACTGCCAGACCATCAGGAAACTGCCTCTCCCTGGTGCCGGCTACAACCAATTATCATTTTAGAGAGACAGTAGGACGACTGTTGGACTATCATCTGATGGATGCCTGAATTCCTGGTGGATGTGGTGAGCCCTCTTCTGCCCCACTCATGCCTGACTAGCTACTTACTGTAACAATACCTCTTGAACTTGTATTTTATCCCAGTTCTCAATTTGCTTTTGTGTTTATTTAAAAAATTATTTGAACGTTCATGCAGTTGAACTGTTTTTTAATTGCACAGTATACTGAACTAATTTCAATTGGTGAACCCAATTTTGTAAGTTTTCACTGATCAGAATTATTTCTAGTAACCAAATACATTAGTAATTAATCTGCTTGAAATTAAAATATCAGATGATGCCTTTTACTATGGGCGATACATTTTAATAAATTTAAAGGTTCACTATTTTCATATTAGGGATGTCTATGAAAATAACCATATATCATTAATATAACATTAAATGAAAATACTATTTATCTGATTTTGAATATCAGCCCCACATTCTTCTGTGTGTAATTGAAACTCCTGATATAATTTATGTTCACGAATATGAGCACTGGACACCTTGTACATTCTAGAAACAAAATATTCAAAATCACAAGCAGTGGAATACTTTACAGAATGAAATCTTAATAGTCCCTGGCTTAACATACAGTTTTTAATTGATGATATGAGATATTTAACTTTCTTTTCAGTTAAATGTATCATGCATTGAAAAAAAAAATCACTGAGTTTAACTCTCATGCATGGCAGCAGAAATGAAATAAGGAAAATGTCTGCTGCATCCACTCACTATTTTGAATCTTCCATGCTCAGCAGAAAGTCAGGATGATCATACTCTCTGCTGTTAAAGTTCATAAACCTCAGAGACTTTAAATTTTCAGACAATCTAAAAGCTATTCAGCTTTAATGTAGTCAATCATCTATATCAAATAATTTGTTTATAGCAATATATTTCACTTCTTCTTCCAGAAATTTAACTTTCATCATACTGTGTGATGTGCTCCATAATGCATCTAGAAATTCTCTAATCTTTCTCTGCACATAAATGACAGAATCCAAAATGAATGGCTATTAATTCTTTTCTATTTTCCTATAGCCTACCCAATTATGAAGAAAATTAATGTGGTAACTATAGGCTTAGCCGGTCCCAGGCTGACAGCCAAGAACAGCCCAGTGTAGAGTACAGATTAGTAGGAACCAGAAATAATTTACTGCCATGAGACCAAGTGTAAACACAGATGCCTATCGACTTTGCATGAGCCTAGAGATAAGTTCATTTTCCAAACCTCCCACAGAGAAAGGGCAAGGCCAATCTGAATAATTGCCTATAAAGCACTAATTCCCACTCTATTTGCATACTAGGATTGGAGTCCTGCAGAGTATACCAGAGAGATTGCGTATAGCTTAATTCCTATATGTAGTTTCTAGTACTGTTCAATGCATAAGGTGCTAAAACCTATTTCCAGTGTTACTGCCAACATAGACTGCATTTTACCAATAACCAATAATGTATCAAAGATCTTGATACTTACAACTCATCCTTCCTTCAATCTCCATCCCTCAGAGTCTACTTAGACTACCTGGATGATATTTCTAGTTCTCTAAGAACTAAATTTGCAATCTTCTAAGGTTATTCTCCAATAATAAGTCATGTGGTTCCAGTTATTGTCCAGTCCCTCTGTAGCACTGGCCTCTCCCTCCTTCCTTCTGGGTTTATTACTGTTCTGCACATATCTTAGGCCAGAAACTGTTTTAGATATTTTCATTGTCATCTCATTTAACACACAAACAATTTCATGAAGATGGTACAGTAATACTCTTAATTGACAGATGAAAGCACTGAGAGTATAGAGATTCAATATTGTTTCTAGTTATACCAGTTATGAAATAGTTGTTCAGATTTGAACCCAGTCTATCTCATTCCACAACATGCTTTTGCTCTAAATCATGCAACCTCCTATAACTCTTGTAGCTCAAAGCTGATATTAGATCTCAATCTCATATTAGCCAAAGACATGAGTTGAAGAAGTAAGTTTTACTAAAGAGAGATAGCACAGATATTAACAATAAATTAGCCCACAGTTTGAGTCAAAGAAAATCAACTTGAATGTGTCAAGATTGAAAAAATCATACATTTTGTAATTAAACAGATCTACATTTAAACTCTAACGCAAACTGCCTCTATGCCTTTGGTTAAGTTGCTTAGCTTCACATAAAATGTTGTATGTGTGTGTGTTTGGTATTCTTTATTTGTAAATTCATGATAATAATATTGCCTACCTCAGAATTTTTATGAATTAAAAATGCAAGTTTAAACAGGTAGAGAACTTAGGAGGTATGTTCATTATAATCTTTTTTTATCTGGAGAAGAGACACTAAGACAGTTAAAGTTAAGTATAGACCTAAAGGCCCATGTACTTAAATACTAGAAATCTAGTTTGAAGAGAGATTACAGTTCCTTACCTGCCTAACAGAAGCACTAACATAAAAAGATCAATTCTTATTTCTTCCGAAAGAATGAGAAATAAATAGAAGTTGACATATTTAGTGCACTCTTATTAAGTAATAAACTATTATTGCAGAAACATGTAATTTTATCTTAGAAATATTGCTTTTCCTGTTATAACTAAGGTGTGAGGGTTGCCATGGCAAGATCACCATGTTGGTGTTCTTTCAGCAACGTGGAGGTTGCCAGTATGAGAAAACTAATCTGACATGTAGAAAGAAGAATGGTCTAATAGTTCTTAATTTCTATTCTTTCTCATAAGCAGTTATGATCCAGTCCATCACTCCCTTCTCCTTGACACTTGGCTATGAGGACATCACCTATTTCCACTTGCTTATTTCTGAGTCTGCCTGCTGGTTCTTCCTCATCTCTGTAATGTCTAAACATGGATCTGCAGGGTTCCTTTTAAATACTTAGTTTTCTCTCCATCTATATTCACTCCACAGGCAATCTCATCTAGGCACTTTAAATATGCTATCTATGCTGGTGACTTCCAAACTTAAATATCCCACCCAGACCTATTCTCTGAAGTCTACACTTACGTATCTTACTCACCATAAACACTTGTATATTTAATAGACATCTTAAGTTTAACATGAACAGAACTGAATTTCTAATCTCTTCTACACCCCAGTTTGGTTCTTTTCTTTTCTGGAACAAAGTAAATAGCAAATCTATACTTCCAGTTCCTCAAGCCAAAAGCCTAGGAACCAACTGAATCATCTCTTTATACTACACCTATTCCTACATTACAACCCATTGGCTCTACAGCCAATGAATAACCAGGCTCCAAACCACTTCACATCTATGCTATGACCCTCATCCAAGTCATAGTCATGTCTCTTCTGAATTAATTCAGTAATTTTCTAACATGGCTTCAGCCATTTCCTACTTTTGGACTGGTCCCAATAGTTTAATCACAGCGACCATATTAAAACATGAAGCAAGTATTGTCATTCTTTGTTGAATGACTCCAACAACCTTCCACCTCACTTAGAGAAAAAGCCTGTTCAGTTACATGCTGCTTCAGTCATGTTGGTCTTGATTTTCCTGGCATCTGAATAAAGAACTAAAGAAAAGACATCTTGTTATCTTCCAGAGAAATATTTTAGGCTGAAGAAATGGTAAGTGCAAATTATTTGAGATGAAAGCATGCATTGCAGCTTTAAAAATCCATAGGGCATGGTGGCTCACGCCTGTAATCCCAGCATTTTGGGAGGCCGAGGCGGGCGGATCATGAGGTCAGGAGATCGAGACCATCCTGGCTAACACAGTGAAACCCTGTCTCCACTAAAAATGCAAAAAAAATTAGCCAGGCATGGTGGCGGGCACCTGTAGTCCCAGCTACTCAGGAGGGAGGCTGAGGCAGGAGAATGGCGTGAACCTGGGAGGTGGAGCTTGCAGTGAGCCGAGATCGTGCCACTGCACTCCAGCCTGGGCAACAGAGCGAGACTCTATCTCAAAAAAAAAAAAAAAAAAATCCATAGCACCAGCATGGAATTTGGACTCATGTAAGCCTAGTATTCAAATTCTGTTTCTGGAACTTACTGAGTCTAACTTTAAGTAAAACTATAGATAAGGCAAATGATCAGGGAGTCAACTGACACTGGGATGCTGTTTCTGAGCTCCCTCAATAATAAATCATATTCAGTACCTTCTATGAAGCTATTTTAATTAACAAAAAAATAAAGTTTTTGTCATCATTGAGCCCATATGCCTGTGGTAGTGAGGCAGGATAAGTAGGGTAGGACTTGTTCCCTGTGTGAAGCATTGCGGGTTCCTTTTGCATTCCTTGCACCCTTGTGAGTCAGCACCTAACTCTTTTGCAAGATAAGTGGTCCTACAGGACACCAGCCCATTGCTATTTGGTTACATTAAGTCCTGAGAAAGAGAACAAAAGCCCCTTATTCATGTTGTAGCTTCCCTAATCTCCAGCCAATCAGCACCAAAAGCTAAAGAAACTATGAGCTACAAATTTCTGCCTTCTCAGGATTCTGAATGCACAGCTAGACTCAAAGTTTACCTTACAGTAACTTTTTCTCATTTTAATAGTAAAACACACCCCTCAGTGGAGATTTTATATGTTAATAATACATGCAATGCGTATTAGAGCATGTAGATGCTAAGTGCCTGCACCAACAGCAGGTTCACCTTTGTATAGCTGACATCCCTAGTATTTTATGAATATGTATGTACAGTCTCCTTAAGGCACTAGGAGCTATCTCTCTCTTTGAGGAGGTTGTTCACCTCTCAGATTGTGCTTTTGCTTTGTAATAAACTTGTTTGCCTACTCTTACTTTGGATTAACTCAAAATGTTTTATACAGCAAAGTCAAGAATCTGAAATAGCCCATGGACAGCAATGCGGGAGACAGACATTAAATAAAGTGAGTAATGCAGGATAGTGGGAGCTGAACAGTATGGGGGGTGTTTGTTGTGGTGATTACAGTTTGAGATAGAGATAGTATTTGTATCCAGGCTCAGGTAACTCTAAATTCTGTAGTTTTTAACCTTCTGATGTTGCTCTTTGTCTTGACATCCTTGACATCTTCAAAAATGTCCACAACATAGTAAGGTGGTGGTTGGTCAAGCACTTACTCCTTAAATAAAGTTGCATTCTGACATAAGCATTGAAAGGATTAGAGATGGAAGAAGAGAGGAACTGGAGAGCTGACTTTGCTTTATGAACTGATATAAAGCTAGCACTGGCAGTTCTTAAAGATACGTTAAGGAAATCTAATCATGCCTTGCATGAAAAACTGACTATTCCCAACAGAAATAGCTATGACTTTTGCTTCCTTTCCATGAGTTTGGCTACTATAGAGTCTTGATTAAAAGTTAAATGCCGGTGTCTCATGCTGGTAAACCAATTTTTATTTTTTAAAGTAATATCTTACATTTTATTTTCAAAAACATATTGATTAAAGCAACATTGTGGTAACATTAAAGAAATAACATATTTTATGCAAAGTCCTACCATCTTACTTAAACAAATGTTTACAATTTTACAGGTAAAATTTAAATAATGTGCATTTGTTGTTTAATTAGTATGTATTCATAGTGACATGGTTGTTGTCATAGTATATGAAACATTTTGTGTACGGCGTGTATTGTCCCATTTTCTTTTCAATTAATGGGTATACAAGAATCCATGGACTAATTCTGTCATAGTGACATCTGCACTTTGTGTTTGTTTATTTGAAGATTTAGGCACCTCTCTCAATGTCAGCTCTGCTACCCAGTTCTATTGCAATTCTAAATCAATATTGCCCAACACTGGCTGCAGGGAGATTTGAAATATAAATAAAACCACAGAAAACTCACTACCAAAAAGTGATTAAATTGATCAGGATTGGACTTAAGCACTGGCATTTTTAAGACTTCTCCAGGTGTTTCAAATATACAGGCAGAATTGAGAATCACTATGAAAAATTAGCAAATGTCTCATTTAACATAACATATGTTAACATTTAACATAGCCTTACAGTTCTTCAGCTCCTTGCCTTGCTCATACCTACACTTGGTCATCAATACCTCATATGTCAACTCCACAATCCTGACAATAATTTTGTAACCTTCCAGGATGTAATTTGTTATTGCTGTTACACCTTGCTCAGAGAATCTCAGTGGGATATTCTCAATTAGAGGAGCATTCTGGATTCAAACCTTCCCCCCTTAGTGTGTACTTCTCTCTTTTATTTATACCATATTGTGCAGTTATAAGTTTCTAATATGGTACTTGATCACTTTTACTAAACAGAGCCACCAAATGTAACATGTGTCTTCTTCTGTCTTAAAACAGTTGGTCTTCATCTTTGTCCTATTTAGTAACTGGGATTTCTTCATTACTGATACTTCTTTATTGATAGTGTCAATTAACTTACATACAGCAGTTAACATACAATATTTTCTCTTGACAGAATCCAATGTGTGCACTTAAACAGATAGGGTTTTGTAAACTTACATTTCCTATGATGACAGGAGACAAAACTTTATCTTCATAGTCCTAAAAGCAAAAATTAATTACATAGGTTAAAAAAAATGACTGTAATCTTACCACCTGGTTTTCCTTATTCAAATTCACCTCTGTTATATGACACACATACACACATACACAAATTGAATTCTGCTCAGTTTTTTCTGAGTAATATTGATGCAATGGGACACCTTACTTTTTTATTACAATTTTTTTATCTGTATATTTAGAAGATTTATCAGACTGAATACTAGATTTAATAATAATGTAAGTATGCTGGGAAAATCACATTGAAGCAAGTTTGCAAAAAAAGATATAAATCACTTCTGAGTTTAAAAAGAACAACAAAGTCAACTGGGCATGGTGGCTCACACCTATAATCCTAGCACTTTGGGAGGCTGAAGCAGGCAGATCACTTGAGATCAGGAGTTCAAAACCAGCCTGGCCAACATGGTGAAACCCCATCTCTAATAAAAATACAAAAAAATTAGCCAAGCGTGGTGGTGCGTGCCTGTAGTTCCAGCTACTCGGGAGGCTGAGGCAGGAGAATTACTTGAACCTGGGAGGTGGAGGTTGTAGTGAGCCGAGATTGCTCCACTGCATTCCAGCCTGGGCAACACAGTGAGACTCTGTCTCAAAAATAAATAAATAAATAAATAAATAAATAAATAAATAAATAAATAAATCAAAAAACCAAAAAACAAAGTCAATTGTTCAGAAAATTTTGATAATTTAAGGTAATCTTGCTAAATAAAAACCAATATTCTACTGTCATGAGAAATTTAATAAGTGAAACTCATTAACAGGAAGGCTTAATTTAGATTCTGTGGTTCTAATCTTTGGATTCCATAGTTTAAGTGAGATCTTTACATTTCTTGATATCATCAAAACATCCTTTCTTACAGCTGTTACTTTGAATAAATAATTCAACCAATGAAACCAAAAGGAATTTTTTTATATCTAGATTGTATAATATCATTATTCATTTTCATATGTGAAATAACCAAATCTGGCCCTAACATACAAAAAAGACTTATATGAATCCCTCCAGGATTTTTCTTTTTTTTCCTTTTTTTTTTTTGACAGAGTCTCCCTCTGTCACCCAGGCTGGAGTGCAGGGGCAGGATCTTGGCTCACTTCAACCTCTGCCTCCCAGGTTCAAGCGGTTCTGATGCCTCATCCTCCCAAGTAGATGGGATTACAGGTGCGTGTCACCACATCTGGCTAATTTTTGTATTTTTATTAGAGACGGGGTTTCACCACGTTGGCCAGTCTGGTCTCAAACTCCTGAGGTCAAGTGATCCGCCCGCCTCAGTCTCCCAAAGTGCTGGGATTCTGGCGTGGTATCAGTTCCATGTGACAGATATGTGGGTTTTCTTAAAGACTTTTGCACATATTAAGATTAATAGATTGTTTTAAATCCACTATGTATTATATGGTAGTTCTATTTTTTAGTTTTTGAAAAACCACACTGTTTTTCAAAGTTTCTGTATTAACTTTTATTCCCACCACCAATGTACAAGCAGTCTCCTTTCTCCACATCCTCACCAGTCTGTTATTCTGTTTTTTTTTCATCATAGCTTTTTTAATGAGACTGAAATAATATCTAACTGTGATTTTGATTTGCCTTTCCCAGGTGATTAGTGATGTTGAACATTTTTTATATACCTGATAGTCAATTGTATGTCTTCTTTTGAGAAATTTCTATTCTGATCTTTTGCCCATTTTTAAATAGAATTATTTGTTTGTTTGTTTTTGCCACTGAGTTGTTTGAGTTTCTCATACATACTGGTAATTAATCTCTTGCTTAATGGATAGCTTGCAAATATTTTCTCCCATTTTGTAGGTTGTCTCTTCACTTTGTTGATATTTTCCTTTGCTATGCATATCAAGCGGTTCTCATGCCTCATCCTCCCAAGTAGATGGGATTACAGGTGCCTGTCACCACATCTGGCTAATGAAATCAGTATATCAGTACGGAAAAGAAATCAATATATCAAAGAGATAGCTGCACTGCCATGTTTACTGTAACATCATTCACAATAACCAAGATATGAACTCAACTTAAGTGTCCACCAACAAATGAATGTATAAGGAAAATATGGTATATATACACAATGAAATATTATCTAGCCATAAAAAAGAATGAAATTTTGTCATTTACAGCAACATGGATAGAACAGGAGAACATTATGATAAGTCAGCAAACCAAATACCACATGTTCTCACTCAAATGAGGGAGCTAAAAGAGTGGATTTCATGGAGATAGTGAGTAGCATAGTGGTTACCAGAGGCTGGGAAGCGTAAGCGGGGGGAAGTATGAAGCGAGGTTGGTTCATGAGTATGAAAATACAGTTAGAAGGGATAAGTTCTAGTGTTCAATAGCACAGTAGGGTGACTACAGTTAACAAGAATGTACAGTATATTCAAAATAGCTAGAAAATTTGAAAAGTTCTCAATACAAATAAATCAATTGTTTGAGATGATAGTTATACCAGTTACTCTTATTTGATCATTATACTTTGTATGCATGTATTGAAATATCACATGTACCCCATAAATATGTATAAATTGTATGTATTAATTTTAAAAGCCAGCACATACATATTAGTACTATACTGATTAACATAATAATCATAATAATATTATAGTAGCAATAATAGTAATAGTGATAATGAGTAGTATAATACTATAACAGAAATTTCAAATTTATAATTTTTAAGTTAGTATAACCTCAGTTCTGTTATTTTACTACTGCCAGTAAGACGAAGACATATATTTCTTGTTTAGAAACACCCTCTAAAACTATAGGCCTAAACTGTATCATTCTTAAACCTGGCAATGTCTAAGGGACCTGCTCTGGTCCACTTCTGGAACTTCTACTTCTCCTGGAGCAAAAGTCACAAGGCCAAAGGACATGTCAACCTGGATCCCCTGCCATGCCTTTCTAGACTGTGTCCTAGGAAATTAAGAACCCAAAATTCTTCACCCAAACAACCCTAAAGCTTCCAATGTTCAAATCACTATGCATGAGGCCTGAAAAGGAGTAGCTTCTTGCATGAATATTGATAGAGCTTGGACTGAAGAAACAAGGTAGCCATACCCATACACATGAGAATGAATATGTATATTGCGGTCAAGATAAAGTGAGGAGCTAGAGGAGAAGGGTAGAGTATGGGCCAGGGAACTGACTCCCACTATGCTATCACATTCTGGTGAGAAAACATGCAGCAGTCTGAAATACTACATTTTAACCTCGCCTTTTTTTTCTAGGTGTTATGAAAATCTATTTGTCAAGTTTAGAAGATTAGATCTTTTCAACATTTGAAATATGGGATGTGGAACTATATTTGCACTCGTA
Source organism: Homo sapiens (assembly GCF_000001405.40). Lineage (NCBI taxonomy): Eukaryota > Metazoa > Chordata > Mammalia > Primates > Hominidae > Homo > Homo sapiens. The sequence goes on along the minus strand of NC_000001.11, from coordinate 104,285,829 downwards.
TTGTGGGCCCTACAAACACAGTTCTGGAATCTGGCTGTAATTGGAGGGTCACAAGTTGTGAAGATATTGTTCACACTTTGGGAAACCAATGGGAATAGAAATGGGCAGACAGTGAAGTGAATGCCTGAATCGTGGAGTGTTTCTTAGCCAGCCACAAAAAGCTCAAGCATCACAATTTCTATAGAAGCTACATTGAACATAACAAATGCCTCCTATTTATGCCATGCTTCTGATGAAAATCTACTGCTTTTTAAATTAAAAACAATATATTTTGTCATTCTAATGATTTGAATTATGTCACATGTGATCATTTCATAAGATACTACTAGTCTATCATCAAATTAAAATATATAGAAAAGTTCATCATGTGGAGAGGTTTGTTGGAGAAGGAAATGCAGATTTAGGACTATAGTGAGCTGGAATTCTTTTTGTTGGTGATTAAAATTCTACTCCACAGTCATTGTGTATGGAGATATAATTTTGTTATAAACATTTGGTTTAAAATATTTATTTGAAAGGTATTTATCCTCATTAGAATGCTCAGGTTATGTCTGTAAATACAGGCTGGATACAGCTATAAAGATGAAACAAAGTGTTGGGATTCTGCCAATGTTCCCTAAAATTCATGTCTTCATAAACTGACTTCTGGAAAATAAGAATTTAATAGGCACAGACTTAAGAAACATGAGGAACCCAAGTTCTCCTGCTCATAATATAAATTGTGTGGCCCCTTATTTATTTCATGCACTTACACTTTCTCCATCTGTGGTCCCAGAGCTCTCCTGTACCAGGCAGTCATATTCCCCAGGGCTCCATTACACTTTGTACTTGTTGATCCATCTTTTATTCTCTAAACATTTCTCAGAGTTTTTGTGTTAATTGCTCGACATAGAATCTTAGTGCTGTGAAACTCCTGATGCTCCCCTGAGAATCTCAAGTTTTACAATTTAGAAACAAAGTCGGCAGCCAATACAAGATTATCCTCATGTCCAAAGTCAGAAATCACTGACATTTTCTTAGAAGCTGTCAATGGTTTAATCTGGCCCCACTTTAACTTTTGCAGGTGCCAGTGTTGTTGCTTTTCTTCTTCATTGTGTCGAACACAAGAAGCATTAATGTAACGAGTAGGAAATGAATGTTGCCCGTTCAATCTCTTTGTATTATGTAGTACTAGATTTCATTGTTAAGCAGGGCTGGCACCATGAGATTTCAAAAGTTGTGCTGAACAATTAAGTAGTGTTATTCTGAGATTAGTTGATGCATATTTTTAAAAGTGTTAATATCTTTAGTGCTTTGATATTTAATTATCAAATTAATCCTGTGTAAATTACATATCTACAAAATTATGAAGTGCTATATACTTGCAGAAGGTGAGCCATTCATTTGACTCTAAGTTTTGTATTAATTAACAGAAGTGATATAAGATCATTGTGAACCACAGACAAAAGTGTATCCAAAAAAAAAACCTAATATTCAAGTCTGTTTTCTTGGCAGTCACACTTTTTTTAATACACAAAACAAAGTAATTAAATTTATCATTCCCCATGCAGTACTATTATCGATATTTAAGATGACTAGAGGAAAGGATGGTGATGAATAAACTTTTGTTGGCTTTTTAAAGTTAAGTTAAGCAACTAAGATGTCTTCAGTCTTCTTAGTTGCTTCAACCAAATTAAGCAATGCTGCTGCATGCTTACTTCCAGCTCCCAAATTTAGGAATTGCCATGGCCCTCTACTTTATTCCTGAAGTATGGAAAATAAAGTAATCTTAATTAAATGCTTGAAATATGTATACATAAAATCAAGCCACTCCTTTGCTCCAAATAATCTGTTGACTTCCTGTCTGAATTTCTTGAAAGAGTCTACACCATCTAGCTCCTGCTTACTTCTGTCATCTTGACTCCTATCCCAGCATGACCATTTCACAAATTAAGATACTGTCTATTATTTTCTTCAGCCAGTATCATCTATTAATCATTTCTTTATTAATTTATGTATTCAATAAACAGTAAATGAGTATCTACAGGAAGAGTATAGATATAAGTACACAAAATAAAAACTCCTGCCCTCATGGTGCTTCCATTCTAAATGTGTAGTGGTCAGCAGAGATGAAGGTGAAATGAATCACAAATCCATAAGTGAAATGTACAGTATATCAGATAGCAATAAATAATATTACTAAAAAGAAAGAAAGCACAGAAGATAAGTGTGGAGTGCTGAAATTTGAAATACTCTGATCCGGGAAGGCCTTATAGAGAAGGCAATATTTGAGTAAACATTTGAAAGAGCAAGTGCAGGACAAAGGTCTAAGAATAGAGTAAGCAAATGCATAGCAATGGGAGAGGTAAGATCAAAGAGGTGAGTGGGAGCCAGATAACCTAGACCAGTGTAAGAACTTTGGTACTAAATGGAAAATATATCATTTTTCCAATATCCGTGGATATTCCATATCCATGGATAATTTTGAGCAAGGGAGTAATATGGTTTTATGTGTATTTCAAAAACAAAATTATAGGGTTGCTGTGCTGAAAACAGACTGAACTGGGAAACAAGGCATAAAGTAGAAGAACAACTAGAATATTACCACAATAATCAGCGTGAGGAACAATTGTACTTTGGACCTGATGATATCAACGGAAGGGTGAAAAATGATCCAACTGACAAGATTTGCAGATGATCTATACCAACAGATGTGTTGGTAAGTAGGAGATAAAATTGATGACTTTAGGATTCTGGACAAGAGAAATATAGGGGGAAAAAGGTGTGGGATGTGTTTACAAATCAAGTTGAGAACAATTGCAGGAGCAGCAGGCAGTACCAGGAGGGTGCATAGAAGGGATGTGCTATGTTTGAGATGCCCATTGGACATGCAAGTAGAGAAGTCAAATAGGCCGCAAAGCATACAGGTGTGGAGTGCAGGAGGGAAATCTAGGCTGAAGATAAAATTTGGAGGTTCACAGCATATTGATGGTGTTTACAGCTACGAAGCCAGATGACATTGCCAGGAAAGGTTATAAAACAAAAACAGAAGAGTCTGATGGCTGTAGCAAGGAAATAAGAAAAAAAAAAAAGGAAAAAAAATGTAAAAAAAGACATGAGAATAGAACTATAAATGAGAATATGGGCTCCAGAAAGCAGAGTGGTGAGATTGCTTTAATGGAGGAGGTGATTAATGCTGCTCATTAATGCTTCTAAGAGATCCAATGAATGAGGACTTAAAATTGACCATAAGATTGAATATCATGGAGATTATTGGTGAGTTTTAAAAGACTCATTTCACTGAAAGGACAGGGGTAAAGAACCTGATTAAAGTCGTTTCAAGAAAGAAGGAGAGAGGGGTAGAATGGAGACCTTGACCAATTCTGAGGGTTGTCATTGTCAAGAAAGTCAAATAATTGAGGTGTAGAAGATATGTCATAAAGAGATGATTGTCTTTAGCTTACAAGAAATTTAAGTGTGCTTGAATGCTGATGTAAATAGCAAGTAGAAGTTAGAGTAGATGATGAGATGTCCCTGAATAGAAAAGAGATGTGCACAAGTGAAGCTGTTGGCCTTAGGTAGCTACTCAAGCAGTTTGGCGTCAGTAACAGGAAGGCAGAGAGTGTATAGATGTTGTCACAGGTAAGTAGATGTAATAGTGGATGTTTGTGAAGGCCTTTTTAAAATCGCTTCTACTGTAACTCTGAAATAAGATCTAGGTAATCAGCTGGAAGTAATGGGAGAGGAGATACTGGAGGATTGAGTGGGAATGTGAAACTATGACCGAATCATTGCGGAGAATAGGAGAGTGAATGGATTAAAGCACATTTGAAGTTAGTGATCTTAATATAAAGAAACAATAATCAGATTGTTGTGTGATTTTTTTTTTTTTTTGCCTCCAGCTACATTCATCTGTGATGGTACAGGCAAACAGTGGGTAGAAACTGTATTTTTTTTTCGCTAGCATTGAGGTTTTGCCAGGCAAGTTAGTGTAATGGAGAGAATAGTAATAGCTTTGAGAGTATAGTAATTTAAACTGGCAAAGGAGGGCAAGAAAAGTCTTAAGATATGAGGAATAATGAAAGGATAAATTACATGCCTGGCAGGTTCAAACAACTGGTGAAATCAGAGGTTAAGAAGTCACCTAGCAATATAGTAGATGGACATCTGTGTGCTAGAAACTGAGATTATGGAGAAGTTGAAATTATTGTTAATGACAAATCTCAGGCCTCATTATAGATAGGATTGAGCTATTCAATATAAGTAGATTAATCGGTATTCAGGAAGAAAGTCAAAGAACTGTTAGAAGAAGCCCTAATAAACACAATGTATCTGGATATTGAAATCAAGTAATGTGGCAGGGAGGATGTTGAGGGTCAACATGGAGACAGCTGCTAAAATCTTCAAGGAATGAAAGGGAAGACGTATGCTCGGAGTCAGTAGAAAAATATGCTAAAGAAGGGCAACTGGGAGATGTAGTCTGGGGATGAGATTTAAACTGAAGTGACTTCTTTTTCCATCATGAAAAATGGGGTTGACAAAAGAATTAGAGAGCCCTGTGGGGATTAGGAAACTAAGCATTTTGTAATAATTAAAGTAAATGGGAAAAACTAGTATAATCACTGAGGCAAAAATAATAAGGTCAGGAGTTCCATAAATAAAAGCAAGAGAAAAAAAGATAATAATATTTACTTAAAAATATACTTGACAGAATTAGGTGGCAGAATGGATATAGTGAATAGAGGGTGATGAATACTATGTTTGGCCTGGAAGATGTGACGTTTGAGATGCCCGTAGTACATCCACAGGCTGACATCCGGTGCACAGCCTGAAGCCTGTGTCTAAAGCTCAAGCCAACTGATACAATATTGGAAGTCACTGGTGATAACTGAAACCATAGAAACTTATGAAAAATTCTAAGTGAAGCATAGTATTTGAGACTGTAGTACAGGAAAAGTACCAATAAATAGTTTGTCCAATTAATTCTTTATATTAAAATGAGCAGCAGTAGTGATGATGCTGATTTAATGGTAGCTAGAGGTGGTAGGAGTAGCAGTAAAAATGAAACACTACTTACAAAGAAGAGTCAAGTCAAGGTCTATTTTTCCACAGGTTTGTTAAAGGCCATGCACTTTCAGAAAAATGAGGAAAAGAATTAAACCTCTTGAACAAGGTCATCCAGAGTTAGAGTTACAAAGTAACTAGAAATGTAGAGACAATTAACCAGATAATATCTTCACTGTAGGTTCTAGCAAGGGGAGTCCTACTTCCTTTCTATTCTTTCACTTCTTTCTTTTCAAAATTCCCTCATAGTCTACAGGAGAAGCAGAAAGGCACCCTATTGTACAAAACATTTTCCTTCTTTCCTGACTCCTACTACACATAATGGGCCTTTCCTTCTGTGAAAGCTTCCCTAGCTTCTTCAAAATTTTCAAACTATCTCTGAATTATCAAATTAGCACTATGGGAAAACAGATCGTTGAGTGACTATCTCTATTTATATGTTTATTGTTATATAACATAACCACAGTGTGACGTTATTAAAAGCAAAGACTATATTTTATTCAATGGTGTTCATCTTAAGCACATTTCCTGACCTAAAACAGGCATGAGGTGTAAGTGTTGGGTGAAAAAAAAAACTGAATATTTCCCCTAAAACAGTCTGATCAAACCTGTACATTATTGAAATAGCTTGTTGAAATTCAACCATGTTTTACCCCAACCTTGGTCCCCAAATTTTGCCATTTTGTGCTTAGAGTATTTCAGAGATCTATCTGCAAGTCAGATATTCCCTATTTTATTGTAGCCAACTACTAGGCATTCAGCATCACATCAGGGTAACTGGACAAAAAGATTAGTATGAAAACAATTAGCATAAAAATGAAACTATTTGCATTTTCTTGTTGTAACCATTTTGACTAAACAAGACATGTACCTAAAGTTTTTCTTGGGATTTGTTCCATTCTTTTCCCTCATGCCACATCTTCACACTTATATTAAATTCCTCTAGTGAATACAGGTTAGGTTCAGAGTAAAGCTACTAACACACCAATTTTGCAGATAGGAAAAATGAGATTTAGAATTATTACTATAAGGAGACAGGGAACTAATGCATTGTAGAATCTTGATTTTCAGTTATACTTACTGACTCCCAAGACCAAGCCCTATCCGTAGAATATATATCATTTACAACTAAAAAACATTCTTAAAATATAACTAATTTATAGTAACTTAACATTTTACTGATTTCTTCTCAAATCATAGACCTAACAATGCTGTTGGCAAAAATAGAATTAAATATTAAAGAATGTAAACAAATGCAGATTACCTATGTTTCACAATACCTATTTTAGAAATGCTGCATTTCTGGAATTGGATTTGTTGTACAAATTATGCTCATAAAATAATGTAATTGAGTTGACACTCATGATTAGGAAAAGAGAATTTTTGTTAATGGTTTGTTTTCTCATTGTTTATAAAATATTATATGACTGCCAAAATTGTAAATAAGATGTAAACTATGTTAAAGTTCTATTTCATTATACCTTAAATTTGCACCCTGCCAACATATTAGTGTATGTGTGTATGTTTGTCTATATGCATATGAGGATACCTTTGTAACTATTGATAAAAACAGTACTTATCAGAGTTCATTTTTAAGAAACTATTAAGAGCAGAGTTAACTGAAGAATATTTATGTAGTTTTTTAATTTAGAGATAGCTGACAAATTAAAAGTAAATGCCATTCATTGTAATAACATTTAATAAATATGCACTAATATATAAAATAAAGTTTACTATCCATTTGGAATTTGTTTAACATATGTTCTTAAAACTCTTGGAAAGAATCTCTAAGCCTTTTCCATGTAACAAAATTCTGCTCCAAATAGCATTGCTTTGATTCCAATAAATTAATTTGCAATTTACTAAACCTTGGAGAAAAATGCCCAAGGGGATTACACAAAATCAGTGCTACCTACATTTAATAATAGACAAATAGTAGATGAGTTCCATTTTATTCATTCACTAAAGTTTAGCTAATTTTCCGATACCACATTTTAAAACGGTTTCTGTTTTATGGCTTGTATCAAGCCAATCCATAATCTAATCTATCAAAAAGGCATTTAAGACTAATGGGTTACAACTGGATGGGTTATAAGATAAAATGAGGGAGGGGGAAGATCTAAAAGGAGCTCAAATTTGATGGTTATTGGAATGAAAACTTATTTAAAATCTGAAATATGAAGACACTTGGTTAAATGGAGCATATTTAATAAATGGGTGTGGCATTGTGACTGAGCACAATGTGGGAAAGATTGTATTATTTTTATTATCATCTTTATTAAAAGAAAAATAACAGAAGTTGTTACCCAGATAGAATGTATCAAACATATGTGCCTCTAAGTTTTTTAACTTGATGAGGTGTAAAAAGAACATGTCAATAATGAAATGAATCTTTATCTTTGGAAATAAAGGTAAATTTGATGCTTTGAATGAACAGACACCTTGTTTGACTAGAAATGATCATGGTCCCAATTTCTTGTCAAACATGTTAGTTTCTTGCTGTCAGAGAATGCTGTTCCATTTCTGATATTTCAGCATCAGTCTTTTGCTATTACAAAACCAATGCCATTGGCTGTCAGGACTTACAGTTTCAATTGGTAGACTTATCTGTCTTCAGCAGGATTAGACGGAAATATTTCTTATTCAGAGGCTGCTCCTGTGGAAGACGGCAGCAGCTCCAGGAAATTTGAGTATATTAGCTTCAAAGGACCTGTCTGCCACCCTTCTGACAGTGCACTCTGCAAAGAACCTTCCGATCTCCTGCTCCCTGGGCGGTTTTCTCTGCATCTTAAATATGTATTTTCGGCATTACATACAAACTTCAGCAAGTTCTATGTTTTAATATTAATTTACATAAGCACAAAAACAAGCTATAGATTTGCATGTAATTGGCACTAGGCCTTTCGGTAAATGACATTAAAACCATGAGGAGAGATGGCAGACAATGAGTCTAAGATAAAATTGTCAGTAGAAAAAATCAAAACAACAGAAGAAATGAGAATTTTTACCAATTACTTATAACATTAAAATAGTACTTTTCTTTTAAAAATGTTAAATAATAGTTTCAATTATTATTTGATAATAATAATACAGGAGATCTCAGAGAAAGTCAGTTATTTGCCAAAAGATCTATAATTATTTCTGTACTTCTGGAAGTGTGCAAACTGCTTTAAAACATCCCATCTGCATTTTCCTTTTCTATTTTGTATTTTCTCCCTGCTCGCTGCCCCCTTTTACTCCTTCCCCCATCAAAAAAAGACCAACAAAGCTGCTGTAAGTTTAGAGTGTGCGTGTGTGTGTGTGTCCGTGTGTGTGTGTGTGTGTGTGTGTGTGTGTGTCCTTTTTCTCAAGGGACTACATGTCTTAGTATTTATATGCCTCTAAAATTTTATCAAGTGCTTTATAATCTATTCATTGAATATTTTATTACTCCGTAAAATCTGCAAACATCTCTACTTAGAAAATCCCAACCCTCTCTCTAGCATAGGAAAATGGCCTGTAACATTGAAAAATGTCAGTGACCACAGTCAAGTATGACTGTTTATTTTCGTAGAGACAGAAATAAAATCTATGTGGAATATTTATTTAATTCTCATTTTTAACATGCTATATTGGTAAATCATGGGATCTGTTTGGTTTATGTCACTGTCTTTGTTATCAGTGTGAAGTTTTATTTATTTATTTTTATGCCACCACTCTCCCAGAAGGATCTCAACTGATGAATAAGTAGCATGTCTCACTGACTTATTCAGTGCCTTTGAAAGAAACACTATAGTGTGTTATTTTCTTAACTGGATAAATTTTAAGTAGCTTTTTAAGGCATAGCCGTAAAATGCAGTTCATGCAATAGTGATAATCAGAAGCCTTTATGGCAGAAAAAAAATAAATCATTTTACATCTTATGTTGCTTTGCTGCAGAAAAGTAAAATATTGCCTTGTTAATTAACCATAAGTTTAGTAACTTAAAATGTATGACAATCAATAGCTTTAGAGCTCAAAATATTTATTTGAAACCTAACAAACAACTGCTTAAATTGATCAATAAAAATAACTTTACTGCTTAATTGTTATTTAATACTGATTTATTTTTCACCAGGGCCCCCAAAATTATACAATATAAGCATGTGGCACTGTCTCTTTAGGGCTGACTTCACAATCACAGATTTCATTGTCATTAAATACCTTGCACTCATACACATTTGCAGTTATACCCACTAAAACACAGTTGACTAATTACATTAGGTTTTTCTCATAGAAATTTTGTTTTCAATTTTATAATTTTCTTCAGTGCATTTCTCTGGCAAAGTGTTCCACATCTCAGTCAAGCTGCAAAATCTAAATTAAAAACAGCATATTGATGCCATTAGCTTATGGTCCAATCTGAAGTTCCCATATCTCCATTACATGGCACTGATCCAGTCAAATGACCATTATGAATTAAGCATCATGAGAGCACAGAGGATTTCCCTGAAGGTGTTTGAAAAGATTTCAGAGAAAATATTAATTTATCCCCTCTCATACTGAGTATTAATTTAGTATCTACTATGTGAGAAGTATTGACTAAGCATAAAGCTTCTCCTTTAGGAAAAAAATACCAGTGAATTTTAAAAGGCATTTCATCTTTATTTGAGTATCATTTTCAAAAAACAAAGCTCCTATTTTTTCTGATTTTGTGTGCATGTACATGTTTGTATGTAACAGAAAATAATATTATTGAACAAGTAATCAAGATAAATTATGTTTTTCTTTTTGGACCATAAGTGACAGTTTATATAGTTAGTATTATAAGGAGAAAAACAGTAGACTGAAGCTTTGTCACACCTTTTTGCATCTATGAAAAGAAAATAATTGAGGGATCAGTTGTCTATCCAGTAAAAGGGGCAGCAGGAATTAATAATACACTAAATGTTCTAAAAGTTTTACTCAACTACTTCATTTATGTGTCCTTGCATCCATTACAAATACACTTACTCATACTCATCATCAAGAAAAAAAAACAAATGAATGAGATGTGTTCCACTCATAAGCTGTGTTTATCTCAATGTTCTAAGCCTGAAAATAAATAAGTTCTAATTCAAAAAAAATTTAAATATTTATCAGCCTGGAAATAATAATATGTATTTTGCTAACCTTGCTACCTCTTTCCCTATTGATGCTTATTGCCTTTGGTTTATATAATTCTAATTTGTCTATTTTAGAAATCAACATTGCAGTGAAATGAAGTCTTTAGAAAAGAGCAAAGGCTGAGAAGAGGCATGGTTCTAATATCACAGAAAATGATCTGTTTTCATTATGACATGATGATTCATTTTTTTCCCTAAGTGTGACTCTTTAAATAGAGAAGCAGCTTATTTTCTAATATTTATTTCCTCTCTAAGTTGTTTTTTATTAGAAATTGTATTGCTTCAAGCTGACATTTTTCTAATATTGGTATGGTTTTTCCTACACTTTATGTCATTAAAAATTATGCATGCCTCAACAACAGCATATCCCAATTGAGTCATATCAATGTAAATAAAAATGCAAAGAGGCGAAGTTGATAATATTACCAAAAAATTGGTGTTTAGGGTATAATATGGAGATTCAGTCTGCACAGATGTTCAGCAGAAATAAGATCTGCACCTCAATTGAGTAAGAGTATTACCTGTTTTATTGCTCTGTCTATGTACAGCAGGCAAGGGTAGAGAGACTGTGACCTTGAATGCATCACAGAAGAACATGCTGCTTTAGAAAAAAGAAAAAAAAATCACTACTCCAAGGTATGTTCAAACAGTTGAAAAACAGTAATAATAAAAAAAGTTAAAATTATAAAAACATTAAACCAACAAACATGACAATATCTAGTGTTTACATTTATGGTGGAAGCTGTGAACACATAATTTTAGACAAGATAAAAAATGGAAAAAGAGAAGCTATTTTATTTTCTCATTTAGACAGGGGATTCAAAGAATGAATCACTACCTACAATTCCTATATTGTATGTAACCAGATAACGAAGGGCTATAATTTGCAACATGATTATTGTGCATTTTGTCTGGGAGGGTTCCACCAAAGTATTCGCTTTGGTGGAGTTTGTAACTAACTCATTTTCCTTCTCAATGTGTTGTGTATACAAATATTTTTATAATCAATTAATTAAAAATTTTGTTATCCCCAGTCCTAATGCTAATAGTCAGAAGCAAGAGTTACCCATTAAATTCAAAGGGGAAAGGTCATTTCTAATAAAATGTGAGCATCATCATGAAAAGACAACACAAAACAAAAACAAAAAATAACTCTAGCATTTCCCTAAATCAATGTAGTTCAACTTCCTAAACTCCTTCCCTTAGTTTAGCTTGACCTTCCAACCAACAGTTATCTAAGGGAATTGCAGCATTGATTGGGTCTTAAACAGTAGTATTTCCTGAATTTTGGCATTTTCTTCACTAGCAAACATAACCAAAAAACATAACTAATATTTTCATATTTGTCACCAGACATAGCAATAATTTTATGTCACAGTAGAGATATATCTCCTCTCCTCAGAATGAAGATTGAAATCCATGTCTCCTCAAACAAAAATCAGAATTTTTCTTTTACTCAACAAAAATTGTCTTAACAACCACCATGATTCAAGTATCTTCACCAAGGTATAGAGATAGGTTTATTCATCCCTCGATCTTCAAGGCTCAGTCCTGGGTAAGGATAAGTTTGTTAAAGCAACTTTTTTTTTTTTAAAGAGACAGATCTCTTCCTACTGTAAGGAAGCACTTAAACTGTCTTACAATAAATAACTATTAACTTTGTCCTTAGTAATATTTAATTTTATATGTAAATTTTCCTTTATAAAAAAAGTATTTCAATGTTATTATTGGGATCACATAGAAATTTATCATGTCAGTCGTCTTCATAGAGTAGGACACACTTAGATTAGGGATTAAAACTTCAGTATTTTTTCAAAAACTAGGGCTTCAAAAAGAAGGGCTGTCTGTGATAAGTGGAGGACTCTTGACTATGGAAATGGCTGAGATCCTGTCTTTCTCACCTGAGGAGCTCCATTTGGGTGTTCTTAGCACCAATGTTTGAATAGTTCTATGGAAATAGTAAAAATCACAGATATACTAAGGACTCCAATTTGAAACTATTTTTAACCATTCTCTAATTCCTATGATGTAAGTTGAGAGTTAGTAGTTAAAACTGAGAGAACATAGGAGATATCACAAAGATAGCATAGAATGGAAAGAGAAAAGGAAAGAAGATAAAATATAAAGCCTTGGATAATTGTGTGTGTGTGTTTGTGTGTGTGTGTGTGTGTGATCATAAAACAACACAAATAATGAGAAAGATTTCTGCTTTGGGCCAAGATGGAAAAACAGAGACTGGATTTATTCTCCCACTTAACCAAATACAGGGGCAAAATATACAAAACAATGATTTCCTCTTTTTTTCAAGTTCTGTTTATTTATGGAGGAAAGGATTCTTGTGATGTCACATGTAATGGTAAATATAAAAATGGCTTTTGAGGGCGGGGTGTGGTGGCTCACGCCTGTAATCCCAGCACTTTGGGAGGCCAAGGCAGGTGGATCACAAGGTCAGGAGATCGAGACCATCTTGGCTAACACAATGAAACCCCGTCTCTACTAAAAATATAAAAAATTAGCTGGGCGTGGTGGCTGGCACCTGTAGTCCCAGCTACTCAGGAGGCAGAGGCAGGAGAATGGCGTGAACCCAGGAGGCGGAGCTTGCAGTGAGCCTAGATGGCGCCACTGCACTCCAGCTTGGGTGACATAGCGAGATTCCAACAGAAAAAAAAAGGCTTTGAAAACACTTAACTTGAAGAAACAGGGTATTTATATAACATTGAAGTATCTGTCCCAAAGTAGTTGTTAATTACTGAGGTGATTTTCTTTTAAAAATTTAGACCTTATACAAAAATTAATTCAAGATGGATTAAAGACTTAAGTGTAAAACCCAAAACCATAAAAACTCTAGAAGAAAACCTATGTAATACCTTTTAGGACATAGGCATGGGCAAAGACTTCATGATGAAAACATCAAAAGCAATTGCAACAAAAGCCAAAACTGACAAATGGGATCTAATTAAACTAAAGAGCTTTTGCACAGCAAAAGAAACTTCATCAGAGTGAACAGGCAACATACAGAATGGGAGAAAATTTTTGCAATCTACCCATCTAACAATGGTCTAATATCCAGAATCTCCAAGGAATTTAAACAAATTTATAAGAAAAAAAAAACAAAAAACAAATAACCCATCAAAAAATGAGCAAAGGATATGAACAGACATTTCTCAGAAGAAGACATTTATGTGGCCAACAAACATAAAAAAAAGCTCAACATCATTGGTCATTAGAGAAATGAAAATCAAAACCACAATGATATACCATCTCACAACAGTCAGAATAGTGATTGTTAAAAAGTCAGAAAACAATAGATGCTGGTGAGGCTATGGAGAAATAGAAATGCTTTACACTGTTGGTGGGAAGGCAGTGTAAATTAGTTAAACCATTGTGGAAGACGGTGTGGCAATTCCTCAAGGATCTAGAACCAGCAATACCATTTGACCCAGCAATTCCATTACTGGGTATATACCCAAAATAATATAAATGATTCTGCTATAAAGAGACATGCACACATATGTTTATTGCAGCACTATTTACAACAGTAAAGATATGGAACCAACCCAAATGGCCATCAAAGATAGATTGGATAAAGAAAATTGGTATATATACACTGTGGAATACTATGCAACCATAAAAGGAATGAGATCATGTCCTTTGCAGGTAATGGATGAAGCTGGAAGCCATCATCCTCAGCAAACTAACACAGAAACAGAAAACCAAACACCACATTTTCCCACTCATAAGTGGAAGTTGTACAGTAAGAACACATGGACACACGGAGGGGAACAACACACACCAGGCCCAGTCAGGGGGTGGGGGATAAGGGGAGGGAGAGCATTAGGACAAATAGCTAATGCAAGTGGGGCTTAAAACCTAGATGATGGCTTGATAGGTGGAGCAAATCACCATGGCACACAATACCTGTGTAACCTACACATTCTGCCTTTGTATCCCAGAATTTAAAGTAAAACTTAAAAAAATACTATTTTAAAAAAATGTATTTCAATAGGTTTTTGGGGAACAGGTGGTGTTTTGTTACATGGATAAGTTCTTTAGTGGTGATATTTGAGATTTCGATGCACCTATCATCTGAGTAGTGTACACTGTGCCCAATGTATAGTCTTCTATCCCCCACCCTACCCTCACCCATGCCCCCAAGTCTCCAAATTCCACTGTGTCATTCTTATGCCTTTGCATTCTTATAGCTTAGCTCCCACTTATAAGTGAGAACATATGATGTTTGGTTTTCCATTTCTGATTTACTTCAGTTAGAATAACGGTCTCCAACTCCACCCTTGCTGGAAATGAGATTATTCTGTTCTTTTCATGGCTGAGTAGTGAGTAGTATTCCATGGTGTGTGTGTGTGTGTGTGTGTGTGTGTGTGTGTGTGTATCACATTTTCTTTATCCACTTGTTGGTTAATAGGCATTTGGGCTGGTTCCATGTTTTTGCAAATGCAAATCATGCTGCTAAACATATGCATGTGCAAGTGTCTTTTTCATATAATGACTTCTTTTCCTCTGGGTAGGTACCCAGTAATGAGATTGCTGGGTCAAATGGTAGATCTACTTTTAGTTCTTGTTTTCAATGTCATGCAACAAACAATGGTTCCTTGAGAGAAGCAATCTTGGAGAAACCTGTAATTGCAATTGTACCAGCTCACTGCCTTGAGAGAATATTCAGGCCATACCACAAGGAGAAGAAACCCAGTTAGAACCCAATGAACTCCTTGGATAAAGAATATGGAGCAAGGTGTCTGAGGGTACCCAGGCAGTAGGCAGAATAGACCAAATCTAGTAGAAGGGAGTAACAAAGAGGAGAGAGCTACATGGAAAGAGAACTCTGAAGGTATGCCAAGGGCTCTTCTCAAATATTTTGCAGAGTGCTTATCAGTTCAGACATGTAGAACATCCTAGGCTGGGGAAAACATTCACCACTACTCTTAAAACAAAAGTTTGATATATTAGGTTTTATTAAAACCAAGCCACAGGCTTGAAGAATGTATTTGCAGTGCTTATACAATTAAGAACTGTATCCAGAATATACAAAAATTGCTGTAAATCAATAGAAAGAGCTCTGCCAATTCAATTTTAAAATAGTTTAATATTAGAACAGGTACTTTACAAAAAACAAATACTCAAATGGCCAATATACATATAGAAAATTTTTCAAAAGCATTTGTCATGTAAGAAATGCAAATTAGAACTACAATGAAGAAACTCTAAAAACCCAATGGAATATCTAATATCAGAATGACTGAAAATACCAAGTGTTGGACAGAAGGTGGAGATAGCAGAATGTATATATTACCATGTGGAAGGTAAGTTGGTACAATGACTTTAAAAAAAATGCCTTACAGTATGGCCCAGCATGGTGGCTCACACCTGTAATCCCAGCACTTTGGGAGGCCAAGGCGGGTGGGTCAGCTGAGGCCAGGAGTTCGAGACCAGCCTGACCAACATGGTGTAAACCTGTCTCCACTAAAAATACAAAAATTAGCCAGACGTGGTGGTGCATACCTGTAATCTCAGCTCTTCAGGAGGCTGAGGCAGGAGAATCTATCCCAGCTACTCAGGAGGCTGAGGCAGGAGAATCGCTGAACCTGGGAGGCAGAGGTTGCAGTGAGCCGAGATCGCGCCACTGCACTCCAGGCTGGGCGACAAAGTGAGATTCCGTGTCAAAAAAAAAAAAAAAAAACTGTTGGCAGTATCAACTGAAGTCCACACATACTTATCACATGACTCAGCAATTTGGCTGCTAGGTATTTTCCCAACATAGTTGAATACTTAAATTCACCAAAAGGCATATTTACAAATGTGTACAGCAGGTTTAATTTTAAATGTACTAAACTGGGAACAATCCAAAACCCACCAAGAGTAAAATACCTACTGAAAACAAAAGTATATTCATTCAGTGGAGTGATATTCAAGTTAAAAAAAAAAAAAAAACAAACTGCAGTTATATGCAGCAACATGTAATATTCTGACAGATAAACAAAAGTGTATTCTGAGATTCCATTCACATGCAGTTCAAGAGATATATTTTTTGTTTTAAATTTAAGATTAAATTTGCTGTTTCAACGTTAAGCCTCAACAGTTATTTAAAAACTAACAATAATTATTCTATTAGAGCAGGTAGTGATTAAGAAAATAAAAGTAATCATAAAAAAATTAACCTCTGATCATCACTAACTAGCAATGAAAATAGAATGCTGTTGAATAAGTATGCCTGGGTCTATAGGGAAATCTACTGCAAAGTAGGAGATTTCTGGGTAACAGAAGAAAAAGGAGCAGGGAGAGGAGAAAGGAAAGGGGAAATAAAGGTGAGGGGGAGGAAAGAGAAAAAAGAAAGATGAGAAAGAGGAGAAAGAAAGAGAAAGAGAGAATTAGAGAAGTAGATAAAGAAATGAGAGAGAGAAAAGGAAAACTCAAAACACTTAATTATTTAAAGAAACCTGACTTCATAGCTTATTCTTCTGATTATAAAATACAGATTTCAAATTCTATATTTTGAATATCTACCTTCATTTTCCAGTCTCATCAAAAATTCAAACCACGACTTTCCTTTCTTTGGAAGTCTTACATATGATCTTTTATTGTTAATCATCTTTATACACAGATATTAATATTTTTATTTTTAGCATTTGTGATGTTATATTAGTAACCTGTGGTTTGGAAATTGCAGCTATCTGGACATTTTCTTGAAATTCCTATGATGAACAACTGTAACACTGCAGCTAGAAAGGAAAAATCGTGGCACATTTTAAATAAATCATAAGGTTTGTCAACAAAGCAGTCTAAGAACAAAACATTAAGATTGTGCTTAACAATCCGCTGTTCTGACACAAATAAAGCAGCAGGGACATGCTTATATGCATTTGAAATTTGATCATTGCTTGCCTAAATAACACCTGCACACAAATGCATTTTAAAAACTTCAATCCCTTAGCTGTTGCTGTCTCCTTGTACCTTGAATGCCTTTCATGTCCTTTTCATCATACTAAATTTCTATTCATACTTCAATGTTTAGTTCAAGTGCCATCATTTTTATGAAGTCCTCAGAGATCCTCCTGTCAAAATGAATTTTTCTTTCCTTTGGCTTCACTCAGCATAATACTTGTGCTATGGTTTAGCATTTATTTTAATTTGACTTTTAACTAATTAATTAATATCCTTTTATCTATCTCTGATTTATAAATTAAAAGATAGTAGGATTTATCAAATATGCCTACCTTACCACTCTTATCCACACAACATCCAAAATTAATATTTTCAATATACAATTATGTAACGACACTCCTCTCCTTCAAACTCTTCATGATTTCTCATCTCACTTGAATAAAATCTGAGACCATTGTCATCATAGTCATGGATTAACATGTTGTTTTTTCTGCTTACCTCTATCATAGACTCTTACTATTCACCATTTGATGTCTAGGTTTCATTTACACTACCTACATTCCAATCATCAAATATACCAATATCTTTTTCACTCTGTATCAACTACACAGATAAACCACTCAATCTAGCATACTACTCTCCTGGACATGTTCAATTGTATCACTGTTGTATTTCCTACAGCATTTATCACTAAGTGATACTTTGTTGGCTATTTTTTTTTTTTTTTTTACTGACCTCAAACACTAACACATAATCTCAATTAAGCAGAAACTTTTCCTCTCTTTATTGCTTTATCTCTGTGCCTGGAACAGACATCAAAGAATATTTGCTAATAAATTACTTATGATATCACCATGATAGGTTGATTTAATTAATGGCCTCATTTTGTCTTTCCTCCATCTATCTATATCCTTTAATGTTAATTCTTAATTCTTCGCAATAGTGAGACAAGGTTTATTTCCCTCTGTTTGGTTTTGGACTGACATTTAACTTGCTTTGTCAGATAAAACATAGCAGAAATAACTATGTCAATTCTAACTATTGGCCTCTGGAAGCCTTCTGAATTTTCATTTGACTGCTCTTGTACAATATAGCTTTGCCAAAAGAACATGCCCAGGATAGACAGCTGAAGGATGAATTACATGGAACAGAGATGTGTCTTGACAATCGTGCAGCTGAGGCCATCTTAGAACAACCAACAGCCAGTTGATCACCAGACATGTAAGAAATCTCAGCCAAAAAAAGCAGAACATGATATGCAGGTGACTACAGAGACATGAATGAGCCCCCATCAACACTAAAAGAACCACTCACCACAGATTCATGCGTTAAATTAATGATTGTTTTAAGCCACTGAATTTTGAGTGATTTGTTATGTAGAATCATTGTGGCAAAAGATAATTCACATACCATAGTATATTGCAACTCATAGAGTCTCATTGTCTGTTAGTTGGAATGTCTTCAAATTAAATATATCTGTATGCTAAACTTCTTCTTTGAGCTAAAATTTTACATCTCCAACTGCCTGGTGTATTTCTAAACTAAAAGGAACAGTTTCATCAAATTCTGCCTCCTTTCTCCGTGACCTAGGCATGAGGTTCCAAACTTTATATCAGCATTGACTACTTCTTTTTTATCTCCGTATTCAGTGTCACTGTGGGCTATCAATTATTCCTAAACTGAAACATTTCAATGCATACTCTCTTGTCTAATTTTATTGGCACCATGCTAGTCCAGCACTTCCAGAAGTCAGCCAAACAGATGGAGAATAGTAACTTATATTGTGCAGTGTTTTACAATGTTCAAAACATTTTCACACTGCATTCTATTTAATGGCTACAACCACCTTGGATCATTCTACATAGACCTTCCTATCTTCACTTAAACGTTGATGAAACTGAAACTCTGAGAAGACAAGTAAAAGCCTTCTAACTTCTAGTTCAGAGTCCTCTTCACTACACTGTGTCTTACCAACTTAGCAGCCTCCTAGTTTATTTACCTAGTTTCAGTTTCTACTCTTTCTGCCCACAAAATGGTATCAAATGAATATTCTTCAGACTATCCTTCCACTCCCCTGTTCAACAACTTAAATATTTATTATTTAGAGCATTAAGTTTAAATTTGCCAAAATTTAAGGTTTTCATTATATTTTTATTTTTTCTGGTGACCTTCAAGACCTCAAAAATCATTATACTAAAATATTTGTACCTTATAAGACATATTTTACTGAACCCTATCAACACCTCTTAATAGTTCTTTTTATCAATGCTTCTTTAGTTCAGTAATCTGGAATACATCCTGGTTTGAACTATAAAATATAATATCCACGAATATGTAAAACTATTATGAATCCATAAATTTTTTAAATAAAAATTTTAAATGCAATACCTCTGGTCCTAGCCTAATAAGTTTGCCTTAAATCTTCTATTTTTACTTTCTCTTATGGTCCTACTCTAAAAACATATTTAAGTGGAATAAATCACATATTAAGGGATTTGCCACATAATTCTAAAGACGGTGCATTGTTTCACGCCAGGGCCCTAACACACTGTCAGAGAAGTCTCTTCAGTTTCCATTTTTTTATTGAAGAAGTTAACATATGTTTGGTTGAGAACTCAAGTCTGGAAAATAGGAAGCATTGTGAAGTGTCAGGATTAATAGGTCTTAAAATTTAACAGCAAGCTAGAAAGCCTGGGTGGTAGAGTCTGTAGGTTGCAAAGTCCCTGGTCACAGAGTAGGGTAGAGAAGGTTGAATAACACATTATAGAAGTAAATATAAAATATGCAGGCTAATTTACCATTTTTGCTACTTGGTATCACTTTTTCTTTGCTTTTAGTTAAATTAATTATCTTCCTAAACATAAAGAAGATAGAAGACCTTTCAGCTACTATGTCATCCCAGATGATGCCAATCCAGTCCTACTCCCACATGGAACTTTAACCACTACTCATGCTTTCTACAAGGTAAGAAAGAAAAGGAGTGAAGGAAATAAATAATTGCTTAATATAAAATATGCATACGTGTTACAGCCCAGACTTCTGCAGTTTATTTGAGGCTGGGATGGCAATGATAATGTCCTTCCTCCATCACATGCTAAGCTCTTGAAATAGCAATTTACTAGCTAGTGTTCTTTACCATATAGTTTAACCCAAATTCCTCAAAGATGCCTTCTTTCTGGAGTAACTTAAATCGAGACCCTTGGTCTGACATGATGTTGAATAGAATACCATGACTGTGATGAGGCACTGTGTTAGTCCACCGATGGTGGTACCGGGAAACTCACTGTAGACAGGGAAAGAAAATAAATTTTATAAATACATGTCTATTGTGATAAAGATAAATTACTAGCTTCTTGATGAAAAACGTACATTGTAATCATCCTGACAAGTAGATTGCTGGTCCTCCCCAGGAATCATGTACATCACTGGCTTGCAATACTATTAATAGTAGCTTGAGCACTCAGCAGATTTAATAGCCAAATTGGCCATGAAGTTGAGGCTTTGGAATGCGAATATATTTCTGCTGCCATGGCCATTCTGTATATAAGTCTTTTAATCAAACTCTGTTGATCAAAGAAAGAGGCTGGTTGAAAGCTTCAAAACAGCTGCCGACCAGCGTTAGCTCCCTTTGCATCAGATGCTCTGTGGTGCGCACTCACATTGGACCAGATATTCTCACTTTATTCCAAGAAGCCTTTCTATATTACTTTCTCACATACATCCTTATCTTGTTCTTTGAAAATCCCAAAAATCATCATGCAGAGAAGCCCAGGTCAGATAGTGCACAGAAGCCAGTTTTTCCAGGCACAGAACAAGCCAGAAAAGAAGGATAGATTGGGGGGTGGAGATTTGGCGGTGGCTGGGGAATTTTAAACAAGAACATAATAAGTGATTGCATTTTCTCTACCCCAAGGTGAATCTGAAGTTCTGCCTAGTTCAGGCTATATTAAATTATATTGCAGTATGACTAATAGGGTAGAAAATCATCCAAGTTTATGCCCTTCTTGCTACATACAAGCTTAGTGGTCCTTTTAATTTCTCTCACGTAGTGACTCATCACCAGAAACTTAGAGATCTGTTTCTCTCTGAGTAACTCAGCACCAGAACACTTAAGATATCAATCTATACATTTATTTATAGCAGCATCATGCTATTATCTTTGGTTCATAATTTTATTTCTAGATCATAACATTTTTGATTCTTCAGAAAGGGTTTTTAGAAAAAAAATACTTTAATCTGTATTTTTTCAAATGATAAGTTAGTATTACCTCCCCTGAAGTATTCACTTTTATGTGTATTTACTATTTTTTGGCAATATTATCCACTAACTCAGGATATTTCTCATATTCCTACAATGACATAAAGCTACGTATGTCACTGAAGAGATCTTTGGATGTAAATTTCTCCTCCTGGGACTTTGATTATTTGTACATGAGTGGTACTGAACCAGGACTGTACATTTGAAGAATCTGAGTAGAACAAACAAATAAACAAACAAAAACTGATTAAATGAAATAAAATAAGGGATCCGTTTTGTTTATTTGTTTGTTTTTGTTTATTTTGAGATGGAGTCTCCCTCTGTCACCCAGACTGGAGTGCAGTGGCATGATCTTGGCTCACTGCAAGCTCCGCCTCTCGGGTTCACACCATTCTCCCGCCTCAGCCTCCCCAGTAGCTGGGACTACAGGCACCCGCCACCACTCCTGGCTAATTTCGTGTATTTTTAGCACAGACAGGGTTTCACCATGTTAACCAGGATGGTCTCCATCTCCTGACCTTGTAATCGGCCCGCCTCGGCCTCCCAAAGTGCTGAGATTACAGGAGTGAGCCACCGAGGGATCAGTATTTTAATAACTACCTTGGATATTTTAATGTTTGAAAATTATTGATTTACTTAAAGACCTTCAAATTCTCCAGTTCTTAACTTAGCCTTCTCAATTCACAAAATTATTGAGTGTTTATTTTCTATAAAGTTACATTGTTGCCCTAAATCGTAATGTTTCTAAATTGTATCCTTTATTGTATCATATAGGTCATTGAATCTTTAATTTTACAAGCTGAACTTTCCACTTGCATAAACTCTGATATCATTTCTATAAATGAAAATAATGCCAGTTGTGGGCGGCAAGCCACCCAGGCACCAAGGCAAGAGACAGAGGACACGAGCTGTTCCAGTATAATAAAATATAAAACAAGAATAGTTATACCAGACATAGATCTTAGATATGATTATATATGAATATTATTAATCATTAGTTTGTAGCAATTACTTTTTATTCCAATATTATAATAATCCTCACTCTATAATCATAGCCTAGGAAAAACCAGGCCATACAGAGATAGGAGCTGAGGGGACATAGTGAGGTGTGACCAGAAGACAAGAGTGTGAGCCTTCTGTTATGCCTGGACAGGGCCACCAGAGGGCTCCTTGGTCTAGCGGTGACACCAGCGTCTGGGAAGACGCCCGTTACCAGGCGGACCGTGGTCCAGCGGTAGCAAAAGGTGTCAAGGAACAACACCCGCTACTTAGCAGACCGGGAAAGGGGGTCTCCCTTTCCCCCGGGGAGTTTAGAGAAGACTCTGCTCCTCCACCTCTTGTGGAGGGGCTGACATCAGTCAGGCTCGCCCGCAGTTTTCCGGAGGCCTAACCGTCTCCCTGTGATGCTGTTCTTCAGTGGTCACACTCCTAGTCCGCCTTCATGTTCCATCCTGTACACCTGGCTCTGCCTTCTAGATAGCAGTAGTAAATTAGTGAAAATACTAATAGTCACTGATCTGCAGAAATAATGGCATAAGCTGTCTTTCTCTCTGTCTCCTCTCCTTCTCTGCCTTGTCCGCCAGGCAGGGAAGGGCCCCCTGTCCAGTGGACACGTGACCCACATGACCTTACCTATCATTGGAGGTGACTCACATTCTTTACCCTTTCCCTTCTGCCTTGTATCCAATAAATAACAGCGCAGCCTGGCATTCGGGGCCACTACCAGTCTCCGCGCATTGGTGGTAGTCGTCCCCCGGGCCCAGCTGCCTTTTCTCTTATCTCTTTGTCTTGTGTCTTTATTTCTACACTCTCTCATCGCCTCACACAGGGAGAGAGCCACCGACCCTGTGAGGCTGGTCCCTACACCAGTTATAGGAAAATGATAATTTACATGTGATGGTGATATTTAATTTTCTTTAAGTAAATCTGTTGAGTATCCTTTTTCTTGCAATTCATGGCAAGGACAATTATAAAATAGAAATAAACCATATCATGGACAGATTTATTTTCTTCAGATGTATTAAAAATTGAAAGTTCCAAAACTATTAAATAATATAGTTAAAAAGCAAAAGGAGCTTTATTTTTAGTTTAAATACTTTTGTAAGTTCAACAACTTTCACAAGTGTTTGTATTATAAATATAATGCTAAGTTAAAAAAAAAAAGCAATGGAAAGCAGAGAAGCACACACACAAAAATCACCCCCAAATCCTCAGATTAGAGAGAAACAATTTATAAAGTTTAGCATAAATTCTGGCAGTATGTTTAATGATAAATTTTCTAAAGACTCTAAAAATTTTCGGACAAGTACTTGTTAGGAATTTACAAATAGGTTAATACATATAGCCCATAACAAAACCACTTCCTCGTGCCATCTGAAATAACATCCACTATCTCTTTTTGCAGTTATCATTGACATTTCTCCAGCACTATTCCATCAATGTCATTGGTTTTTATTTATTTATTTATTTTATTGAGACAGAGTCTTGCTCTGTCACTCAGGCTGGAGTGCACTGTTGCAATCTTGCCTCACCACTGCCTCCACCTCCCTGGCCCAAGCGATTCTTGAGCCTCAGTCTCCTGAGTAGCTGGAATAACAGGTGTCTACCACCACGCCTAGCTAATTTTAGTATTTTTAGTACAGACGAGGTTTCATCATGCTGAGCAGGCTGGTCTCAAACTCCTGACCTCAAGTGATCCACCTGCCTCAGCTTCCCAAAATGCTGGGATTACAGGCATGAGCTACTGTGCTCAGTCTCACTGGTTATTTTAATAACTGCATAAATAACTTCTTAAAACACTGGTCTGCCAAATATTTATATTCTTCCAGTAAACATTTCTCACCCCTCCTTACCTACTCACTCCTACCTATTCCCTGCTATCGTCATACACTAAACCTGATTTTTAACAGTAACTATTAATACCACTCCTTCAACATATCAGTTTTAAGTGTCTGAAAATAAGAGTACATCTGCAATTTTCTATCTTGTACCTTCTGGTGAAGTGGCATCATTGTCTGGGGTAAATACCCAAGGTCAGTCATCTCCCGCCAGGGAAATCAAAGGCACAGACACACAAGAAGTGAGTTTAAGAGTGGAGGTTTAATAGGTAAAAGAAAGAGAAAGGAAAATAGCTCTCTCTCCTGCAGAGAGAGAGAGAGGCACACGAGTGGGTCTTCCGGTTTCGTGGTCAAATGCACGGGTCTTTATAGAAAAGCTTGAGGAGGTGATGTCTGAGTTACATAGGGCCCCAGAGATTGGTCAGACCAGGTGTGACGTTCGCATAGTGCACTAAGAAGCTGACCATGTACCCTAACCTTTTATTATGCAGATGGGTTCTCTACCCAGCCAGCACCATATTGTCTGTTCCTTATTGTACACATGGTTGACAAAGAAAAGGGAAGATGGAGCCACCATGTTGAACATGCCTAGCCCCCAGGTAGCCTTTTCCTATTGGCACTGCTGCCGGCATTCACCTGTGCAAGCTTCCAGCTGCTTATTTATGTCTGCAGCTCCATTTTACAGGCTGTTCTTTGTTAGAAAAGAAATGATTTCGGGCTGTTTTTTGTTAAAAGGGAGCCTTACCGAGGACTTCCTTACCCTCATTAACTGCCTAATTTCTATTTAACCCTTATATCATTAGCATTCTAGCTCCAACAATCCTTCAACCTTACTAGGATCTATGTTCCATGGATCTACCAATTTTTATTTTATTTATTTATTTGATTTATTTTTTTTCTATTTTTATATTCTTTGCCTACTTTGTTTCTTTGTAAAAATAATTTTAACTTTTACATTCAGGAGGTACATGTGCAGGTTTGTTATATGGGTATATTGCATAACGCTGAGGTTTGGGGTACAAATAATCCCATCACCCAAGTAGTCAGCATAGTACACAATAGATTTTTCAGCGCTTGTCCCCTTCCTTCTCTCCTCCATCTAGTGGTCCCCAGTGTCTACTGTTTCCATCATTACACCCGTCCCACTTTGTTTCTTACACTGAAGCATCTATCCTCAACTCCTGTGCCCTTTCCACCTCTTAGTGTTCACTTGACAAAAACCCAACTTGATTAAGTAACTTTTCTTAGCACTCATGCTTATGCAGTTAAACATGCCTTAGGGAGAAAAACAAAATACAAGCATGCTGACTGCTCTTACTTTAAATACATGAAGATCTAACCTCAAATTGTTCTTCAAGATTGGCTGGCAGCTCAATGTTTCCTCATTTTATTCACACTCCTACTCTCTCCTAGAGGATTTCAAATGACTTATCTCCTCAAATATCCTGTGCCTCACCCTCAACCTCATTTTTCTTAGTTTACTAAGAAATCTGAAGAATTAAGAGAGAACATGTACAATCTAATTCCAACACACTTACCTATGTGTCTGCATGTAACACCCCCATCCTGTTAATGTTGGTTAATTTTTCTTGATCTTACCTAAGACCATATCCCTACCTTTGTTCTAGATCCATGCTATATCATGTTTATGACAGATTTTTTTCTCAAAATTTTCCTCACACTTCAGTGAATCATCTATTTTTATCTCTTTCTTCTGATTATTATCATCAGCAGTCAAGCATGCTGTTACTATCTTATCTCTACGAAATTCTAACTTGGCCCCACTTCCCCCTCAGTTACCAGTCAATTGTTTTACTTTCCTTTACACACACACACACACACAAACACACACACACACACACACGAGAGAGGGGTGAGGGAGAGAGAGAGTTTGCTTGTCTGTACCTCCAATTATTAATAATTTTACCCTCTTTTCTCTTGAACCATAACAGCCTGACCTTTACCTTTCCCTTCATCAACATTGCATCTGTCAAGTTCACAATTACAGCCACTACTAAATCCAGCAGCATTCAATGCTTATATTACAGAGGCAAGAAAGACTTCATTCAAAACAACTGCAGAGGGGAGAGAAACTTAATTCAACTCTGCTGAAACAAAAGGTGTGAAGGTTTTTAAGCATTAGGGTGAGAGAAAGACCTTGAGGCAGGGAGGAGGGAGGTGGACCAATGTGACATGCCAAGTTCATTGAGCTATTCCTGAGTTTGTGAATGTTTTTTGTCTGCAGTTATGCCCTCTGTCTCTGTTAACTGGCTTCCATTGAAATTAGGCTTCTACTGTACCACAGAGATTGGGAGATAAGGATGCTATCTCCTTAGATGTTTACGTTTCAAAGAGAAGGTTTCCAGGTCTTTGAGAAAGGTATTTCCTGGGTTGTCAATCTGGGAGAACACTGAAATATATTTACAGGGGGGCAGAAAGAGAATTTATCATTGCAACTTTTTTTTAAAGTAAATGTTCTAAGAAAAAAAAAAGAGACTAGGGAGTTATAGTCAGAAATAAATCTGTAAAGTTTTATCAACCTGAGGGATATGTGATAAGATCTGAATACTGGTGTCCCTCCAAAATTCAAATGTCAAAAACCTAAGGCCTTCCAAAATTCAAATATCAAAAACCTAGCACCTAATTTAATAGTATTAAGAGGTGAGGCCTTTGAGAAGTGACTAAGCCCTGAGGAGAATCACTTGAACCCAGGAGGTGGAGGCTGCAGTGGGCTGAGATCACACCACTGCTCTCCAGGCTGGGCGACACAGCAAGAGTCTTACCTCAAAACAAAAAAAGAAAAAGAAAAAGAAAAGGCACAAGGGAATTTCCTTTTCTCTTCCACCATGTGAGGAAGCAGCAACAAGGTGCCAACCATGAAGCAGAAAGTTTGTTAGAACTTACCTCAGAACTTACCACAACTTACTTAAGAACTAAATCTGCCAGTCCCTTGATCTGGAAATTTACAGCCTTCAGAACTGTGAGCAATACATTTATGTTGTTTATAAATTACCCATTCTAAGGCATTTTGTTATAGCAGCAAGAATTGACTAAGAATGTTAAAGCCATCTTGGTCATTTGTTATTATGTAATAAGCACAGGGAGGAATATTTTTGTACTATGGCAACCCATTGAGCTTATTTTGATATTCTCCGGCTCAATTTTGATAGTGAAAGGACAGTTGAAAGATCTCAGATCTTTCAGAGGTGGAGGTCTGAGTAATGTCACAATATACATTATTTATTATAGAACAGCAGAAATGAGAACATGAGAGGAATCTAGCATGAATAAGAGAGGATAATAATTAATTAGATTTTTTTTTTTGCAGTCAAGAAAAAACGTAGAACAAGAACTGGAGTTTGTCTTACAAATCTTTATGTAATAGAATTTCAGGAAGAGAGGCTACCATGGACTTTGGAGAATCTGTCCTGAAAGGTTTAATGAAGAATGGATCTGTGCAGCTCCAGAAGTGGACAGTAATGGATGCTATGCTCTGCCACTCTCATCTCCTTTTCAGGGCCAAAGGACTTATTCCACAAACTGCTGGAAGTGCTGCTGATTGACAGCCCTCAGCTCTCAGCTCATCTTGTAAATTGTCCTTACCTTAAGAGGTCCACTTTGCACAAACTCATGCCCTATATACATGGCTAACATATGTCCAATATCCAATCTACATAGAAGAATTAAGTCCCTACCCTCTCACATCAACTTGGTACAATTCTGAAAGGATGAAATCTTGTGATTTCCTTACAGACAATTGCTCTATCACTCTTTCTCTCCTTTCCATATGAATGACAATCCTGAAAATACTGTCCAATACATTTTCTGCATTCAAAGTCCCATTTTGGAGTCTATATTCCAGGCATCTCAGCTAGCAACATTGCTAGATTTTTATTGTTTTTTTCACAGGTCCATTTCTTCCAATATACCTCACATAATAAATAAAAGAATATGCATCAGAATACCATTGGATTGTGGCTTTGCCTTTTTAATTATTTCGATTGATTCTCCATTGTTTATAACACTGTGTTCAAATTCCTTAGCTAAAGGAAGTCCTCAGATTCTGGTGCTAATTTTCAAAGCCAGCTTCAAAACCTACTATTCTGCAACAAAACTTTCTACTTCTACTTTCTACTTTAATTTTCACCATCTATTCTTATATGTCATAGCTATCCCTCCTATACACTATGACTTTGTTTATGATGATCACTTGGAATAACTTACTCTATACCTTTCCAGACCCTATCTATCTTGTAAAATCCTTCTCAACTCTCTTATTAACCCTTAGATTTGTATTAGCTAATAGTCACCCTCATCCTACTCACTATTCATAATTATCATCTTTATTATTCAAAAAATCACCGTGAGAAACGATTGAGCATCTTAAATGCAGCTACTGTTTTTATAAAACATAACAATAGCCCAATCAAGCAATAAAAAAACTTAAAAATAGCACAATTTTGTTATTAAAATTTTTAATTAATTTATGGTTTGTATTGTGTCACCCTTTCCTAATATTTATCTATGTAAACTTTAGATTTCCCAATATATTAATAATTAATATAAGCACTTAAACACAGTAAGGAATATGATTTTTTTATATCTGTCTCTGTCTCTGTCCCCCTCTCTCTCTCTTATTCTCTTCACCTTTATGAAATTAAAGTGATACAAAAATATGCATTCAAAAATTGCTTGTTGAATTGAACTGACAGAATATAAATTAGTTTGGATAATATAGGTACGCTTTATTAGAAAAGAGTGAAATAATATCATAAAATAGCCCGAGAACCTTTTATGTTTTCAAAAATTAAAATTAAACATAATCTATAAAGAATATGTGTGAAGATTCCTTTATGTCACAAAGTTAAAAAATGAGAACTAAGTCAATGTAAAAACAATAAAAACATTATCTTTAAATTTGGAATGCATAGAACAAGATGATGATCACTAAAGATGAATACCACTTTGTACACTGGATAAAATTTCTTAGAATGCTATATGCCATTTTAAATTTTATCTTTAATAAAAAATGTACAAGTGTGTGTTAACAATAAATTGTGTTCTATAAACCACCAGAGTAGTGTAAAATGAAATGACATAAAGTAACAACAGCAATAAAAAAGACTACTTTAGTGCTAACTTCACAATTCATCACGCATGTTTAATATGAAGTCACTAAATTATGAAACAAACATTATTTATTTTCTTACCACTTCTGCCATGTCATTATGAAAAAAATTTAGTTTCTTATTTAAAAAAGTAAAAGAAAAAAGAAGAAAAGGGAGAAAGACAAAATAAGGAAAGAGAGAAAAGGGAAGAATGAAGGGAGGAAGGGAGTAATGAAGGGAAAACAGAGAAGCAGAACATAAAGGGAAAAGGAAGGAAGAAAGAAAGGAATGAAAGCGGGGAGAAAAGGAAGTCCCTAGCAGACAGTTGAACCGTATTGAAATGTTCCTGGGGCTGCCAGGAATATTATTTAACTTGGTCAATGTACTTGATAAAATTAAAGCACTATTTCAGAGTAATTTCCTAAAATGAATATGAGAAAGTACCAAAGAAATTCATGTTTCTTCTTTGCTGTGTCATAAGGAGACTGACTCCATTTTTTGGATATATGACTACTGATAGCTTTTAAGCCCCACCTCTCCCTTTCCCTCTTGTGTTCTGTATCTGGACAAACTCAAACAGCTCAGGCACTCTGTCTTTAGGACTGGTGGTGAGTAGATAATCAAACTATGCAAATTGTATCCTGTGCACAAGCTCCCACCCTCAAACCAAAATAAAAATCCAGACCAGTCTCCTAACCATGCTTGTTTAAACCGTTTTGAACTTTCTTAAAAGACCCACCTTGCTTGTTCTCAGAGACCTCAATTATGTAAATAAGAAACTTTTTCATACACTCTGGGTGTGTGGGCTATTGGGTTATTGTCTCAACCAAACCTCAGGTAGGGGTCCATTTGCCTCTACAGGTGATTATGACATGCTACCACAAATAAAGTTGATTTTTCTTGGCAGAATTTAAGGCAAATGTGTTCAAAATTTAACAGTATGCTCACATTTTGTAATAAATGAAAATGAAGGGCCAGGAGAGGTGACTCACACCTGTAATCTTAGCATTTTGGGAGGCCAAGGTGGACAGATTGCTCAAGCAACATGGCAAAACCCCATCTCTACAAAAAAAATACAAAATTTATCTGGGGGAGGTGGCAGCAGCTCCCTGTATTCCCAGCTACACAGGAGGCTGAGGTTGGAGGATTGCTTGAGCTTGGGAGATTGGGGCTGCAGTGCAGTGAGCCATTATCACACCGCTGCACTCAAGCCTGGGCAACACAGCAAGACCCTGTATTAAAAAAAAAAAAAAAAGAAGAAGAAAATAAAATGAAGACACTCTGTCCCCAGAAAGATGTTAGAAATTTGGAAATTATAAACTTTATCTACTCTGAATAATTAAGGATTTATATACTACTTGCTATTTATTTTTGCTCGTTTAATAATAACAATGTTGGGGCATTTACTATGTGACAAGCTGTGCTAAGAATTATGCATATATTATCTAAGTTAATCCCCATAATATTCCTATATGGTATGTATTGTTATTATTTTCATTTCCTGATGAAGAACTGAATGTGAAATACATTAAGAATCTGCCCCAATACACCCTGATCAGAAATTATGAAAGTCACCCACATTTACAAAGCTGGTTTAAACTATGCTTCCTGACTTCAATCTTCATGCTTTTAATCACTATGCTTTATTTCTACACCATGATCAATAAAGACAATTTAATAAAAATCCAGCAATACAGAGTTCTAGAAAAATTTATGAGGCCAAACATTCATGTAAAGAATTCATATATTTCTCAAAAATAATCAAAGGCTAAATGCACTCTTGAATTAATAATAATGGAATTGAAATATTGTCAAAAGCAAAATTTTAAAAATTAAAAGATATGGCAGGGTAAGGCTCACACCTGTAATTCCAGATATGGCTCACACCTGTAATCCCAGCACTTTGGGAGGCTGAGATGGGCAGATCACGAGGTCAGGAGATCGAGACCATCCTGGCTGACACGGTGAAACCCTGTCTCTACTAAAAATACAAAAAATTAGCTGGGCATGGCGGCGTGCGCCTCTAGTCCCAGCTACTCAGGAAGCTGAGGCAGGAGAATGGCATGAACCCGGGAGGCGGAGCTTGCAGTGAGCTGAGATTGTGCCACTGCACTTCAGCCTGGGAGAGCGAGACTCTGTCTCAAAAACAAACAAACAAAAAAATTAACAATATATATCAATGCCTAGCCTATATTTTAAGTTTTCAAAGAATCACTAAATTGGGGGATCATCATAGTGATCATCCTGTCAAAAAGAAAAAAAAAAAAATTGTTGTAAGAAATTCCAACAAATCTAGACCCTTTTTCTAATTTGATTATGTTAATTCCTTGCCTTTGGTGTAGCCAACAATGTGAATTCCAGTTTTTTAGGTGAAGAACATTCTTTAAAACAACATAATTTTCAGGAGATATTTTTCCACAAGGAAATAAAGTTAATATTTACTTAGCAATGTGTAATCACATTAATGTTTTAAATACAACATTTTGTTGAATTTGTAAATTGAAACAACATTTTACTCACAATAGGGATATGTTTTACTAATAATTTATATTTGGTAATGGGTATTGGGATATGTCTTACCAATGTGGAATTTATTTACATATGTTTTAAAGTCACTTTTTTATACAGGTAAACAATTCCAACTTTCTCCATATTTCTTCACAGATGTGTTTAAATTTTGCTTTTAGATACAATTTAGGCACATTTGGAACATCATCTAAATAATTTAAATTTATTTTTACAGTTACACTGGGTTTTGTCACCAAGTATATTTATGTATGTACATATTATAATTCAAATTATGTATATCCTTTAATGCAAGAAAACCAGAAGCCAAAACTCATTACAATGTGAAGATTATATCAAGGTGACTATATCTGTACCTGTTATGAATTGTTATGTGATACTTTCTTTTTTCAGCATTTGCCATTTTGCTTATTCAATTATTGAATACCACATTTTCTCTTCTATCACTTGCATCTGCAGTAATCTCTGTCTTATATTTGCTAGTTTGTTCTCTTGCTGTGCCTTTGCATAAAAAAAACACAATTTTTCCAATCAGGCAGAAATTAAATTCAGAAATAACGTTTGTGACTGCACATTTAAAAAGCTTTATTAGACATTTGAAAACACGCTTTTCTTTGGACTAAAAGAATAAACCTAGGGAATTCAGATGCGTTGCAAATATTTCTACATTATTTTAAGCTAATCAAAAGCCTTATTATTCAGTGACAGAAAAAGAAAACTTACAAAAAGAATATAATCTGGATCCACTTTTCAAGAATAGCCCATAAAACATGTATTAGGAGGCATTAAGTTAGTAATAATTTTATTTTAATAGTATAATTTATACAAGTTTAAATACAGCATCATTATATAAATCAATATTTGGTTTTGTTTTTAAAAATCAATATGTTGAACCTTAATAATTTAAATCCAAATCTTATTAATCTGTATATATTTTATGAATTGTTTCACATATGCTCTCTATAATTTGTATGTATATAACTACAACTGATAAAAAGCAAAAATTTCATTTATATGTGTGGATATGCTTGTGTGTATGTGTGTGTTTATAGGCACATTTGTACATATATGTGTATGTGTCACAAAGAAAAAAAGGATACATACGTACCTGCAAGTGGAAAACTAACATCATTCACTTTCTCATCAGAAACTGCAGACAAGGATGGCTTCTGACTAGTATTACTCATTTTGTAGAAGTAGTAATTTAAAAACTCTGGTCCCAGCACTTTTGGAGGCTGAGGCAGGCGAATCACTTGAGGTCAAGAATTCAAGACCAGTTTGGCCAAAATGGTGAAACCCTGTCTCTACTAAAATTACAAAAATTAGCTGGGCGTGGTGGTGGGGCCTGTAATCTCAGCTACATGGGAGGCTGTGGTAGGAGAATCGCTTGAACCTGGGAGGCAGAGGTTGCACTGCACCAAGATCACGCCACTGCACTCCAGCCTGGGAAACAGAGTGAGACTCCGTCACATACACACACAAAAAAAACTCTCAGACCTTTGTAACTAAGAAAGCAGTTATTAGAAATTAACTTGACTCAACAATGGATGTGTATTTTCTTTTTTCTGGCATGCATTTAAGAGCAAAATCTGAAAGCAGAATTGGAGGCTTTAAAATATTAATTAAGTAAATGAGGACTTTTGGTCATCCCAGCTGCAGCTCCATTAAAAAGCTACCTCATGACCTAGCCATCTCAATTCCATTCATTGAGTGGAGCTGACTCCACTTATCCTGCTCCAAGACTTGGCATAAAAAAAAAATAGCATTGTGTAGTCTAAGAAGTCAGGGTCTCAGATAAAGTGATTAGTTCAGAAATGCTGTGCAATCCAGGTAGGAATAATAATGAGCGTTCTTAAGATTTTTTTCTGGGCTGTAAAAAACCAAACCACTAACTCCTCACTGCCGCATTATTCCTTGGGTATTTTTCTTTGCTTGTTTTGTTATGGTTTGTTTAATACACTGACCTGTAAAGATGATGTAGATTTGAGATTTCCAGTGACCACATAGCCATCATAAAGTAAGGAGTTTAAAAATTAAAGTGAACAGGACTCCCCACCCCAACAAAAATAAATAAATAGAGACAATCTTAATTACATTTGTTTAGAGCTACATCTTGCCATTTTTTATCATCTCTGTCATTTGGATTTCCCAATTTTGTACATATATATGGAATTAGATAAGTAGATACATAGATAGATAATAGAGTTTAAACCAATCCTTTATTTAGCTATCATTTACAAAGTCCTAATTAATAAAAAAAATTAAACGAAACCAAATATATGCTTAGTATTTCTCTCATTGTGAAAAGGTGGGGTTACAAAAAATTGGAAAAGTGTTTCCTATAACTGTAGAGATTTAGGCAAGACTGTCTCGAAGTTAATATTGCTCCTTGGGAAATATATGATGTGAGATATTCTTAACTTTTTAATATAATGGATAACTAGAAAAATAACAAAACAAAACTGCCACTGACCTAGAAAGGAAGTGTAGAAAGGCAAAGGACTCAGGATACCTACAGCTGTTTTGATATGTGATGCAAGACCTGGAGCTCCTAGACTGCTCTGTATAGCTGGACCTTTTGCAAACAGCCATGGGCAATCCTATTAAGGGCATTATTCTGCACTCAGTGTCTCCTACTTAGAAAAATACACTTATTACAGAGAGAAAATTGAAATTTTGGCTAGGCTAAATATGTGGATATTAAATAGACCTTTCTAACATGGATACAATAGATAAAATATTTAAAGTAGGCACTTTTGATAAGATTTGTGCCCTTAAGATGACAAGGTTAGGATCTGGAGTGTACACTATAGGGAATATTCTGTTGGCCCTTAAAGGGAAAAAAATCTGTGCCCTCTTTCGTATGTCCATACACATAAATACCCAGATATTCTTATCTCTGATCCTCTAGTCTTTCAATTTGCAGATCCCTTATCTGCCATGGCCCATGGCCCATGGCCCATCGTCCAAGCCATTGCCCATTGCCCAAGAAAATGTATATATACCCACAATGAGCCAATGCTCTTCTAAACCAAGCAGATGTCCATATGCACTACTTTCAGCTCCACCTAGGGAGATTTTTATTTCTCTGCAGTGCCTTTCAAGGCTTTCCCTGAGGGTATCTGTAATATTCAACCATGATCCATTTTTCACTTTTGGCTTTAGCTATATACCACACTGACCTATTCATAAATAATCTTGGGCTTTTTCTTCCCTTCAGGTTGCTATTTTCATAGAAAGCTAAAAACATTCTAATCACATTATTATTAGTGTATTGATTGCATTCCATTTTTTATTATAGTAAGTTTTATATGTATCTTACCTTCTCTAAATATTATCTCAAACAATTTTGGAAACTGTGATGCAGTGATAGATGTTAGAATAAGGTTTGTATACAAATCCCAGCTCTGCTCCTTTCTCAGCATTAAAGTTGAATCACTTTTTTCATTTGTAAAAAGTGACCTATAATAAGCAGCTTCTAAAATGGCTCATAATGATCCTGCCTCTTGGTACACACTAGTGTAACCCCCTGGTGGCATCTAGTGACTTGCTGCTAAGAAATAGAATATGGAAAAATAACA
This sequence comes from Homo sapiens, assembly GCF_000001405.40. NCBI lineage: Eukaryota > Metazoa > Chordata > Mammalia > Primates > Hominidae > Homo > Homo sapiens. Next base: position 104,250,456 of record NC_000001.11, on the reverse strand, counting down.
GGATATCACTTCTGATAATAAGTTGTAACTGACTATGACTTCCATCTTGCTTGTCCTCTCTAACTCTCTTCCTCACTAGCACTGAGGGAAGCCAGATGCTCCATGTGAACTGCCTTAGAGAGGGCCATGCAGCAAGTAGATGCCTCTGTCCAACAGCCAGCAAAGACCTGAGACCTACCAATAACCATAGAAGTGATCTTGGAAGCTAGTTCTTCTCTGTAGTTGAGCTTTGAGATGAATGCAGCTCTGAGTGACACTTTTACTGCAACTCATTGAAAGACCCATATTCAGAGGATATATAACTAAGCTGTGCCCAGTTTCCAGGCCCATAGAAACGGTGAGATAATAAATGTTAATTGTTTAAGCTACCATGTTTGGGGTAATTTGTTACACAGCATCATTAGATAACTAATACTATACATATTAAATAAACTGTTGAAATTAGTAAATGGGTATCTTGTATAGCATAATATAATTTCATTACTTTAATTGTTTTAACAGTTTTTTTTTTATTCTAAGCATGAACCTTGACATGAAAAGATCTTTGAGTAATTTGTTATCCTCAAAATCCCATTAAAATTACTTTATTCTCAAAATAATGATATTACTACTTTAATAATTTAGGTACAAACATTTAATATACCTTAAAATCCTTTCTAATGTCTTTCTGAGACCCATGTTACAACCACCCTGAATTAGAATAAAATAATTTGTTAGCATTTTTGTCAACTTTTACGAATAAGTCCAAGAAAAATATTTACTCCATATATGCAATAATCTGTCTTTAGAGATGTTTTCCAAAACATGTGCGTAACAATTGACGAGGCATTAAAAAAATGTTGACTCTTCAAAAGTGCTTTGTTTTCTTCACCATGACTGGCTGTGACCTTAAATAAGTTAAATTATCTCTCTGTGTATCCATTTTTTCATCCGTAAAACAGCGATAATAATTATACCTTACATTGTTTCAAAAGTTAAATGAAAAGATACCTGTAAAATGTTTTGAATAGTACTTGGGATGTATAATGAAGCCAGTACATATTAGTTGCTACAGTTGCTGTTATTATTAAGAAAGGAACAGAAAACTTTTTTTAATGAATATAAATATAAAATCTTTCAAACAAGCCTCCTGCTAAAAGTAAAAAATCATATGTCAATTGAAAACATATGCTGAGTTTCTTCAGTTTCCTAAATGACTGATTTGTTATTTATTTCTGATTATAAAATAAATGCAAATATATTGTGGAAAAAATCAAATCTTTCAAACAGATCTCATGTGCCAAAAATAATCATATGTCAATTGAAAACGTGTTGATTTTGTTTAATTTCCTAAATGATCGATTTGTTGTTTCTTTCTAATTGTAAAACAAATACAAAGATACTATGGGAAAAAATGAAATGCATAGAAAAATATGTAGAAAAACATTAAAATATTCAATAATAATACTATATACCAATGTATGATAATTTTTTAATATTTTCATCCAAATGTGTTAGTCTTAAATATATTATTCCAAAACATTTGTACTGATCTCCCTTATAAGAATATTACATGTGTCTGTTATACATTATATATTTATAGGTAAATGCAATTTTAATAAAAATATAGTCATCTGTTTAGAATATTTTGCTGGTAAAAACCGGAGCCGCTTATTTTATGTGTTGTATAGAACACATGAATTGAGGACAAGATCTAATTCATGGCATTTAACTTTAAAATTCTGTATAAAATTTAAATGGAAACAATAAATTATTGCCTATCGTGAAAATACAAAACTTTTTTGAAAACCTTGTATCTTTAAGAAAAAAATACTATTGTTTCAAATATTTACAAGTCAATGTTGGAAGTGTTTTGAGCACGTACTCAATTGGCATGGATTGTTATTTTCCAAGTACTAGTGAAAGACACCACAATTGTTTGGTTCTTATTAAATAATATCCAAATAAGAATTCTTTACATAAACGCAAAATGCCAGATGTTTGAAGCGGCTAATAATCTCTCAAAAAGCAAACATTAAATTATGAAAAGTCATTAAAGTTATCTTCTTGGGAGTGAATCTGGATTTTCTCTTCTTATTTTACATTGATAATTGTTTCTGAATTAGAATTTTTTATTGGAAGTAGACATTAATGCTCCAATTTGCTTTGTAAAATATACCTTTTATAGGAGTATAAGTAATTTCAAGCAAGATCCCTGATTATTTCAAGGCAAAATTGAAGTTATTTACATTCATTTTGACAACTGGGCTATGCTATATGCTCAGTATGCCACCAAACACCATATTAAACAGTGTGTCCAGCGTCCACCTATTCAAACAATACTGAATTCATATTGCTTTTAAGTGTGTTATCTGGAGCTTTAAGGAACTGGAGGAAGAAAAATGCAGGGGGATTTTCCAAACATTTTCTACATATGCGTCCATGTTGTATCTGGTAACTTTATCATGAATGGTCTCCTTCTATCCTTTTACAAAATGACCTTGAACTCCTCCTACCAGTATGAAGTCCTTTTTGTCAAGCCCTGAGTCTGAGCTGACCTTGTGACTTACTTTGTCCAGTAGAAAAGAGTAGACATCATAGTGTGACATTTCAGAATGAGAACCTCAAGAGGATTAATGAGATTTCACTTTTTTTTGAAACTTGACATCTGGCATAAGAAAAAGATCGAGGCTAATCTACTGGAATCAGACTTCATGCAGCAGTTGATCTGGTTATGCCAGCCATGTCCCCAGACATGTGAGATGGTCTAGCCGAGATCAACAGAAGTGCCCAGCAGATTTGCAGCTGACTACAGATAAAGTGTGCCTCTTGATATTAGCCTAGTTCATCTCCTTGCAGTGAGCAGAACCACCCAGCCAAGTAGTAGACTTGTGAGCTAAGTAGATGTTTATTACTTTAGGCACTTAAATAAATGCTTATTTTTTTATTGGGATGGGTTGTTACACAATGCTTGACACAAGTATTTCATATAAAATGCTTTATCTTAAAAAATTTAAATGGAGTCCATTTTCTTAATTTTATTTTTTATAATTGTGATTTCTCTTCAGAGGCAAACTTCAATGTTCAGAAAATGTTTTCATGTGCTAGTAGGCTTAGCAATAACTTTTGATTTTACAGTATTTTAAAACCAATTTGTCTATTGCATGATATGTAAACAACTAAGTCTTATGTTTAGACCTCCCCTCCAAAAGAAAGTATATTGTTTGCCAAATGTTCAAGACATTTTTGAGAAAAATAGCAGCCAGTGAGCTACAAGTTATGTGAAGTACCCAGAAATGTAAATGAATTAAAGAATATGATGAATAGAGACCACAGTGATTTCTAGCTTCCTCTAAATCACTGGGTCTCAGTGAGGGGAAGGGTGTAATTTTCTCCCCCCAGAGGACATTTGACAATGTCTATAGACATTTTTCATTTTATCAGTAGGGGCAGAGGCAAGAGATGCCACTAAACATCCTACAATGCACAGAACAAAAAGGAGACCAGGTAGCTGGAAGAGAATAAACATATGTTAACAAACCTGCACATTGTGCACATGTACCCTAGAACTTAAAGTATAATAAAAAAATGACTAAGTGATAAAGTCAGAGATTCAATTGATGACAAAGGGGTTTGTTGTGTAAGGGCCTTAAAAGGATTTCAGATTGTATTTGAGGTAAGAAAGAGAGCCAATGGTGGGTATTAAACAGAAAGACAACATGATATGATTTCTGTTTAAATAGCATCATTGTGTTAGTTCTGTTAAAAGTAGATTATCAGCTAGACAAACTTTTAAGAGGCAATTTTAATTGTCCAGGTTAAAGATGATGGTGGTTTATACCAGGGCGGAATCATCAGATCTTGTGGAAAGTGATGAGTTATTTTTTTGAATGTGAAACCAACAGAATTTCCTATCAGATTAAATATCAAGTCAGAGAAAGACAGTAATTAAGAATAATTCTAAGATGATAAAATCAAGGAAAATGTAATTATGAAGTAAGTCTTTGAAACACGATAAACTAAATTTATATGCAGTATAAATATTTTCTTCCTGTGTATATTCATGTGGCAGTTATAGGTAGCAGTCTGTGTGAAAGTAGAATACGTACAGCTGGAAGCTAAGCAGGGCTTATAGAATTTACTTTATTCTTGGAATGGGGGATATTTTTCTATAGTCCCCTAGGAAGGCTGGCAGTGTAATGATGCTAAATTTAATAACAGACTTAGAGAAATTAATGGATACAATAAACCCTAAAAAGTAATTTCTAGGGCCGGGCACGGTGGCTCACGCCTGTAATCCCAGCACTTTGGAAGGCCAAGGCGGGCGGATCACAAGGTCAGGAGATCGAGAACATCCTGGCTAACACAGTGAAACCCCGTCTGTACTAAAAATACAAAAAATTAGCCGGGCGTGGTGGTGTGCACCTGTAGTCCCAGCTACTCAGAAGGCTGAGGCAGGAGAATGGCATGAACCTGGGAGGCGGAGCTTGCAGTGAGCCGAGATCTCGCCACTGCACTCCAGCCTGGGTGACAGAGCGAGACTCTGTCTCAAAAAAATAAAAATAAAAAAAGAAGTAATTTCTATTGGAAATCTAGCAGCGGCATAGAAATTAATTTTTGTTACGCATATATTTTTATCTGAATCAATTTTTCTAACCAAAGCTTGGATTCCTGAGTAGAGCAGTGCACTCCTATTTTGCACTCCCAATGAATATACTTATGATCTTATAGGTACCATTCTTTATCTTTACATTGGAAGTTTATTCAGATGTACTTAAATATTCTCAAATTAAATTATTTATATTTATTGATATCATAATTTCTGAATTTACAGGACAGCTGTTGTCACCTTCTTGTTCATGATTTGAAGCCATCTGACTGATCTCATTGTAGCAACCAATGCACTGTGTCCTGACCCACCTACGTATTTTATTTAAATTGCACAATCGTATAATCTGTTTTTCTAAAGAAAGCAAAGCTTTTATTTATTAAGTGATAGTTTAAATGATATATATAAATGATATATATGTACATATGTACATATGATATATGTATTAAATGATATTATTAATCAGGAAAAAGTCAGAAATAAAAGAAAATATGTCTTTTATGAAAGTTTATTGTGGAACAAGATAAAAAGTAGTATGGATGTTAATGGGAAATATAATGTGCCATAAAAGGTTTAGGTTTCATTTTGAATTTTTTATAGTATTTGTATGTAAAATTTAAATTCACTGCACCCATATCCATGCTGTTCATTTAAATAGACTAGCTATAACTCCCTTTAGTTTTAAAAGTCAAGATGAAAGAGAGAATATCAAAGTTAAGTAAGTAACTTAGAACTAAGTTACATTTTGTTGATTGGAGATAGAACATTCCACTCTTTATTAAAATAGGTACCACAGAAGTATGGAGCATTCCACCAGGGCTTACATCTCCATGCTCTGTCTCAAAGAAACAGCTCTGATGTTGCAACTCTTTGCACAGACCAACTACATATCATGTAGACACCACACACTTTAAGTATATATAAGTACTGAAACCATATAAAATATAGATAAATTACAATGAAAAAGAACAAATTTTGAATTTTAAAAACACTATGAATTCTACCACTCTAAGAATTCTGAATAATGACACTATTTTCCATATTTGTAACATCTTATTAACCCAAGCCATGAATGGATATTAACAATACACCTATTCATAATTAGGTGTGTAAATCACATAGAATTCATTAACAATGATATAACTACAGGAAGAATGTAATTTAAGACATGCTACATGAAGATAGATGCAAATTTAAACTACTTTGAAGCAACAACAGAAGAAAAAATATATGTTTAAGTCTATAGACACTAAAGAGAAAGCTGAGGAAGTCTATAGTCACTAAAGAGAAAGCTGAGGTTTTTTTTGGTTTTTTTTTTTTTGTTTCTTTTGTTTTGTTTTGCTTTCCAATAGTATTTTGACATTGTTATCATTATAACAAAAACAGCATGGAGGTTGAAGTTTTCCATGTTTTCTGTCCTTTTTCTAATGGTTACACAAATATGCAACAGTATTTTACACAGTCAAGTTTTGTAAGATGTGATTTTTTTATTACTATAGCTTTATTTTTTATTTTTATTTCCACAGCTTTTGGGACACAAGTGGTTTTTGTTACATGGATGAATTATATAGCACTGAATTCTGAGATTTCAGTACATCTGTCACTCAAACAGTGAACACGGTACCTAATGTGTAGTTTTTTATCCCTAGCTCCCCCCTACCCTCCCCCTTCTTAGTCTCTGAAGTCCATTATATCACTCTGTATGCTTTTACGTACTCATAGCTTAGCTCCCACTTATAAGTGAGAACATATGGGTTTTTGGTTTTCCACTCCTGTGTTACTTCACTTACAATAATGGCCTCCAGCTCCATCCAAGTTGCTGCAAAAGACAATACTTTGTTCCTTTTAATGGTTGAATAGTTTTCCATGGTGTATACATACCACTTTTTCTCTATCCACTCATTACTTGATGGGCACTTAGGTGGTTCCACATCTTTGCAATTGTGAATTGTGCTGTGCTGTTCATGCTCATTCTTATGTGCTTATAAAAATATTAAACTTCCATTGTCCAAGATCTTTTGAAAGTAGAAAGATAAATTTCTAATCTGTCCAACCCACCTTCCTATGCAAAATGTAGATGATGCAATTGCTATTGTTAATCCTTCTTTCAGTAATCTAGGAAGAATATACTCAGTGTTAAAATAAATTCTCAGCCAAGATTTAACCCTATCAAAGATTTTGAAAATGGGAAATGACAGAAATTGCTGTCATGAAGTTTGGGGCTTGCTTGTCACAACATGACAAACCTGCCTCTGTCCTAATGTCTTTCTTCACAGTCACCTTCTCAGGTCACCTTCCCTGAGTGCCCTACTTAACCTCACAGCTCATTCCCTGGCTGCCTCCATCCCACCTCCCAACTTTAACTTTCTCCTTAGAACTTTTCACCATCTGAAATATGTTTACTTAATAGATTTGTTATCTCTCCCCAACTAGTAGAATTAGGTTCTGTAAGAGCAGATATATCATCTGTTTACTTTAGAATCTCCCAGAACTGGCACACAATTACTGCATTATTTTAAAAGGCTCACGGTTCAAGGAAATGGCTCCAGTAATTTTTTTATTATTATTATTTTTGAGACAGAGTCTTCCTCTGTCACCCAGGCAGGAGTGCAGGGGTGTGATCAGGACCCACTGCAGCCTTTAACTCCTGAGCCCAAGTAATCCCCTGCTTCAGCCTCCCAATGTGCCAGGATTACAGGAGTGAGCCACCATGCTCAGCCACTCAAGCAATTTTTTTTTCTCTTACATTTTTCAAATCCCTTCTATATTATTTCCATCCATATACAACATATGCCACTTATATTTAAATTCAATATGTTCCAACGTAACACACACCACACACACTTCTGACCTTACGTCCTTCTATAGCTATAATACTTCTTTGTTTTTCCACTTCTTATCCAATAAAATTATTTAACAGATTTGTCTACATTTATTATCTACAAGTCCTTTTACCACCTTCACTGTCATGCCTATTTTAATAGCCATTTTTAATATCCTGTACTCCTTTAATGGTCTTGTATGTTATACTATTTCAAACCCTGCTTCCTTGCTGTGGTCTTCTCACAACAGCCAAAGCAGCACTGGTGTGCCCTTAGAAACAGAAGTCAAATTTCTAACGTTCTTTTATCTAATTCTAAATAAAATCAAACTATCTTCTCCTTCGTGGCTTAAATATTTTGGCCACCCATTTATCACCGTGGTTGAAACAAGCAAGCAGCCACGGGGGCTTAGAAGCTGACAGGCTTAGAACACAAGAAGCATAGATGGCTAGTGAAATAAAAAGTCAGCTTAGAACAGAAAACAACTAACTGCAAAATTTAGCTTTTGCTTAGCCAGAAAAGTCCCCAGCCTCAAGCAGCCACGCAATTACAAAGGCTTGCCTTTAAAGTCACCTTTCCACATTTTAGTGCTAAAGATCATGCTAAGGGGCAGATATTTAAGATGCTAATAATAATGGCTAGCATGAAAAAGCATGTTAAACCACAGCACATGCTCCAGAAACACCCCTCTACATGCTCTGACGGTAGTTCCCCTTACTTTCCCTTACTCTAGAGCCCCATAAAAGAAACCCACCCCCTAACTTTCCAGAGCAGCCCACTTCCTTTTTGGAGCTTGCTCCCTTGTGTGCACAGCTTTAATAAATACTTTCTTCTTACTCGTTCATGTTGTGATTTCTCTTGATTTTTATCCTGGGGGATCACAAGAGCCCACAGGCAATAGTAAAAAATGGCTACCCCTTTCTAGGCCCATTGGATTCATTAGCAATTTTTCAGACAAGTTTTTTTCCCCACTTCAAGATACATGTTATTTCCTTTCCCTCTGCCAAGTAAATACTCGTACGTCTTTCACTTCATTCAAGGCTCTGTTCAAATGTGATTATATCAAAAGATTTTCTCTGAATACTTGATATAATATAACATCTTCCTCCCACACACACTATCTGTTTATTTCTCTTCATTCTGCTTTAATTTTTCTTCAAATAATCACTGACTGATTTGTTTGCTGTCTTTATTCCCCTAATGGAATACTAGATTATAGATTATAAACTGCATAAAAACAAAAAGTCTCTCCCTGCCCTCCCAGTTCCTCTCCAGTTTCATAATGGACATTCAGTAATTAGTTATTGGATAAACAAAAGGCTATAGAATAATTATTTCTGCTAAATTTCTTTGAACAAATCAGATGAATGTAAATGTACAACCCATAGACAGATAAATACTTTATTTGTTTTTCTAGCTGTCTCCCTCCTTATCTATGTGGTGTCCTTGTTTATCTTCCTGGGTTTTGGAAGATTGAATTCTACTATGGGTTTATTCTCCTTATATTCTTTTATTTCAGGCTTCTTTTTCATCCTGCATTGCTGAATTTACTCATACCCTTCTGGTTAATATCCTTTTCAGACTTCAGCTACTTAAAGAGAAAACATAATTATTTTGGGCATTGTCTTCTATTTAGTTGCTTACCATATGCCAGTGACTTTAAAAACAATATTCCTAGCTCATAGTTCTTTTCTGACTCCAGACCTATCTATCCATTAAATATTTCTACTTGACTTTCTGAAGGCTGCCTCAAATTAAACACACATGACAATCACAGCCAGCCCTTGGCCCCCAAACCCTCTAATTCTCCTCCAGTGATCAAAATCTCAATAAATATAATTCATCTAAGTGAGAGTGGAAACTATAAATCTTTCAATTTAAATTTTACCAACTAAAGATGTATCAATTTTGTTGTCTTCTCTCCTACAGTTTTCTTTTCAACATAACACCTTTTAAATGTATTAGTACATAATCTCCAATATGGACTTCCCATAGCCTCCCTGCCACTCTCCAATTTGTTTGTAACTCTGCAACCATATATGCTTATTTTATTCTTACAATAAAGACCAAAATATTTAGAATGACCTGCAATGATTCTCATGATCAGACCCCCACCAGTGTTGACATTGCTACTGGGTAGCATGTTCTCAAGAAACTATAAAGCATCAGCACCAAAAATCACTGTTTAAGTAGCTATATTTCCAAAAATACATATATAAAACTAGTCTTTCAATGATAATTAAAACTGTATTAATCATTTCATTTATGAATTGGTATATTTTATATTTATATTTTAGAAGATCAGATATTATAATATTTCCAAAGCTTAGGCTCTCCAAAGTTCTTAATGCAAATCTACATCTCTATTTCTGTTTTTGTTTTTTTTTTAACCCCTGTCCAACCACACTGGTTTTCTTTCGCTACTGTACAGTCAATGTATGCAACATTTGCCTTAAGGTATACACCCCTACTATTCTCTCTGTCCAAATCCTTTATCTCCCCCAACCTGTTATACCTATTTGCTAGTAAATGACGCAAATCATAAATTGTCAACTGAAGTCACTTCTGTAGGTTACGCCTTTTTGACATCCAAAGGATGATTCAAGTTCCTCTCTTAAGTACTCTAGAGTCTAAAGGGATATAGCATATAGTTGGGTCTGTAATTGTACTGTTATTTCTTTAATAATTTAATTAATCTCAATTTCTCCAATTAGATTGTAAACTCCATGAAAGCATGTCACTGTAGTTGGTGCTTCATATTTGTTGCACAAGTAAATAGCCCTTATTGGAAAAAGATAATGAATTTGATATGACTTCTCCAGTTACAGATTCTTTTAAACTTTTAAGGTTAACTACTGAGTTAATTAAACCTTTCTTTGTCCTCTGTCAATATGTTAACACAGGTAATGCTCTGCCTCCTTGAACACAGATAAATTCTCCAGGGCATAATTTATTCCTGCTCTGCCAGCTGAAATACAGTCTATGACCTTCTCTTTCCCCTAGTGACTTGGACATTTATTTAGTCATTTATGGTTATTTAAGTGCCAGATTATATTATCCTCTATATTTGCCCCACAGGACACTGCCAAAGGTACCTCAGGATCACATTTCTAAAGGAATTGTGGCAGCATTTACAAAATTATGAGAAATTATGAGAAAGCACATTGCAAGTATCTCATTTCTACTGTTTCTACATGAAACCATTTCTAATAGAAAACAAAATGGCATCAAAAACTAGACTTCTAAGTAAAAATATATTTTTATTTAAACAAAATGCAGCACCTTATTTTAAAAGTACAGGAAAAAACTAATTTATATTTTGATTCTCTAATACATAATATGAAGTTTCTTTGTACCATTCTGTAATCTTCAGTGACATTTATTGTGGAATATAATAAATAAAATATAAAACCACAGAAAAATATATAAAAATCTAATGAAAATATTCTTAAATCTTGGCACTTTTCTGATTATTCAAATGGCTTAAATTGTCTTAACATTAAAATAATTGATATACATAGAATAACGAACTAAATTTGTTTTTTATTGTTGCTGAAATATCTAATAACATATCAATGCAATGTAGTAGTACTCGACATAAATTACAGTAAAACCTTACCTGTATATAATGATTAATTGGTAAGAATTTTCTCTTTATAGACATAGGCTTTAAGCAAATGTTATTAGTGAAAATAGATGCGGCTTATAATAGCTTTCTAGGAAACAAACAAGACCTTAAAGGAATCTTTCCACTCAGCTCATGCACCCCCATTGTGTTACAAATGGAAAAGGGAGCTCTTGAGAGGTTAAGAGGGCACACAAATCTCTGGTTAGTGTTCTCTAATGCTGCAGACAGGATGGATGGGCGTGGGAGTGCAGTAATGAGAACCAGCAGGACCTGACCCACTGTAATTGTGGTTTTATAATTCACTAGGGCAGAGAGCCTGGAAACCAGTCAGAACTGATTTCTCACTATCTAAGTATGATGTTTGTTCCCACTTAAATGGCAAATAATAAAAATGGCAAATTTTTTTTTAAAAAAACCTTTCTTTGTGTTTACTTACTAATGAAGTTTTAGTTACACTTAAGAAATTAGGAGAAGAAAAGTTAACTTTATTATTTATAACTTTACAGAACTTCTATATTGTGTAGTGTATTATTCATTTCTTTCAATAAATAATTTTTATTGAATACATAATACAGAAATTAGTAATTAATTTCTAATAACCATTTTGTATTTGATTTTAACAAATGGGTGTGAATTCATACTAAGGACCACACACCCTGAGACAAAATAAAACTATAACATTCTGATTAGTCAGGATTTATATTATTATCCAAATTTTCCAAAAAGAAGTGAGGCTCTTCAGAATGAAATGGTCTGCCAAAGGTTGCACTGCTAGAAAGTAGCATAAATAACAGAAAAACCCAGAATGTCATAAGTGATTATGATGTGCATTGTATTATGTGGTATGTTATCATCAAAATATAAGAAATTCCACAAAAACTGTAGGAAGATAAATGTGATAGGCAGCCTCTAAATGGCCATCTAAAATCCTTGCCTCTTGGTATTCACATCTTGTGTTATCTCTTCCTCTTAAGTGTGAGGTGGACATATTGCTTCTCTTATAATGACTAGAATGTGGAAGAAGTAATGAGATGTCATTTCAGATATTAGGTTATAAACAGACTGTGGCTTCAATCTTGGGTGCTCATTCCCAAATCCCTCTCTGGCTTGTTCACTCTTAGGAAAGCCAGTTGCTATGTTGTGAGCTGCTCTGAGCAAATGCTAACATGGCAAGCTGCTGAGGGAGGCTCTGGCCAAAGTCAGTGAGGAACTGAGGTTCTCAGTTTTCCAGGCTGTGAGACACTAGAACCTTCCAACAACTACGAGTGAGCTTGGAAGCAGATCTTCCTTTAGTTGAGCTGCAAAAGGTACCAACTGACAGCTTGACTAAACCTAATGAGAGACCCTAAGACAGAAGCACTCTGTTAAGGCGAACCCACATTGCTGAACCAGTGAAACAGTGAGATAATGTTTGTTCCATAATGCCAATAAGTTTGGGAATAATTAGTTATGCAACAATAGAAAACTAAAATAAATTAATTTCATTCTATATAAACTCCTTAAACTATATACATAAGTATTTATACCATAAAATATGAATTGCTATACTAGTAACCAGAAAAATATGTCTTTGTGTATTTTTAAAGGTTATCAAAAAGGAGACAATGTTATTATATTTACAGGTAAGTCAAAATATTGCCAGTTATGTATATGTATGTGTGTGTGTGTGTGTGTGTGTGTGTGTGTTTGGATCTTCTTAAAAATAGTCACAATCTTGTAAAGCAAATATAAGAAAGCTTAAGTCTTTCAGAATTCAAAAAACATTAACATTTTTTCTTGCTAATAAGGACTCAATTTCTTGGCCTAATATAAATGCATTATTATTTTTTAATTTTTATTTATTTATTTATTTTGAGACCAAGTCTCGCTCTGTCGCCCAGGCTGGAGTGCAGTGGTGCAATGTCGGTTCACTGCAAGCTCTGCCTCCTGGGTTCACGCCATTCTTCTGCCTCAGCCTCCTGAGTAGCTGGGACTACAGGCACCCGCCACCATGCCCAGCTAATTTTTTGTATTTTTAATAGAGACAGGGTTTCACCATGTTAGCCAGGATGGTCTCCATCTCCTGACCTTGTGATCTGCCCACCTTGGCCTCCCAAAGTGCTGGGATTACAGGTGTGAGCCACCGTGCCCAGCCTATAAATGCATTATTAACCTAACAAGGCATCCAATTTGTCTTTCTCTCACATACCAAGATTGAGAAAAACAAAGAAAGTGAGGTTTAGGAGGAAATAAATTCTCATATTCTCATAAACAATACAGTGCTCATGAGACTTGGTTCCCAAATATATGGTAGACAAGAGGATCAGAGAAACCCACCCATTAAAGAAATCTTGAATGACTGAGCTAGATAAAATGTCGTAGCATTTTTGAAAGCTAGATTCCTAGGAGGTAAGCAAATCTTGAAGCTTGCTGTAGTCCTAGGAACAAGAGCCCATTCTCAGAGGTCTAACAGCTAACATAAGATGGGGTCTTAATTGTAAATGTTTCACTAAAATGATGACCTCTGAAGACATTCAGTGAAGATAAACACCTGTGCAGTTTGCTATGATTCAGGCATTCAAAACACTTGGATAGGAACAATACCTACGAAGGCAAGGGAATTGCCTAGTTTAGTTAAGTACCACTGATAGCCCATAGAGGAATAATAAGAAACTAAGATGTGAGGGACAGTGTGAAAACAGAGAAATGTGAGAAACAGAGGGCCTTTTGGTGACAGCTCACAAGGCAGCAGTTGTCTCCTGCAGAAAGAGAGCTGTTGCAGCTCAGCTCCAGATCCAATATCTGACAGTTATAGTTGCAGATCTCCAGGCTTCAGCCTAGGGAGTCTCTTATGCTCTCATGAGTGCCCTGGTGGAGAACACCTAAAATTGTAAAATCTACAATGGATATATTATGAAAGTTAAGCAAATCTAACCGATGATTATGTTCCCAAGGTGGTCCCAGAGGACACACCATCCACCAATACCATCAGTAATTGGCTATGAGAGGCATACCAGCATCATAAGTCCAATAGTCGCTCACTCTTCAGCGGGCTGGGGTTGATGGTTGTAGACATGGCCACAGATCTGGTCATATTAATAACAGAAGAGGTATGGAGCCCTAAAATCATAGAGGTCAAGCTTTGATACATTACTTCTGGAAGTCAGAGAACACAATTACTCTAACAAGCAATGTTGGAGTGGCAGCCAAACAGTATTAAGCTGTAAGAAATTGCAGAGATGGTTAGTAAAGCACGGGGCCAGAGAGTATAGTTTACAAATGTGCTGCTGAACATCTAGAGCCAGAAAAAGGTAAGAATGTGGAATCAGAATACCAGGTGGTTTGCTGCCCCAAAATCATAATCTCTTGTTCGGTTCAGAAACATAATTAAGTAATATCCAGCTTTTGCCCAGCTGTATTTCAGAATTGCTCTCATGTTTCCCATTTCTGAACAGGAATAGCTGTGGTTGTCTTCCTATGCTTGTTCTACTATGGTATCTGGGGAGTAGAGAGAAAATAACCTGTCTCTTTAGCTTCACAGATTTATATATCAAGAGAAACTACCCAAGGAGACTCATCCACACTTGGAAGAGATTTAGACAATGAGATTCTGGACCGTGAGCAGATGAGATAAGACTTTTGAGGATGTTGGGAGGAGGTGGATGTATTTTGTGCATGGAAAGGATGTGAACAGCTAGAGGTCAGAATGTGGACTACCATGAAAGGCTCTAACGTGAACCCAAATTTTACTTTTATCTGATGGTCACAACTTGTGTAATCCTCTCCACTGGAGTGTGCAAAGAACTCATAATGGTTACCTTGCTTCTAACTAATATAATAAATACTTCAGTGATTACATACATAAGATTATAAAGTGTCTTGCAGGCAACCTCTTTCTTTTTTGCAGGATTTGTTGAAGGCAGCTACTATGTTTTGACCTGTCTTAGGGAGACACCAACATGAGAAGAGAATGAAGGAGGCTTCCCTTCAACAGCCAGCGAGAAAAAGAGATTCTCAGGAATTTAAACAACAAAGAAAGAAGTTTACCAACTATCACATGTGCTTGGAAGTGGAGCCTTGCTCAATTGAGATTTGAGATAAGACAACAGCCCAGGCTAACACCTTGTTTGCAGCCTTTTGAGACCTGAAATAAGGTACTGACTGGTGCAGAGGACGCAGCTAAGCTATGCCCCCACCCCGACCCACAGAAACCATGAAATTACATGTATTTTCCAAACCACTAAGTTGTTGGTAATATTGTACACAGTAATAGGAAAGTAATGAAATAGGTGTTCATATTTTTTTCTAATATTTACTCTTAAAATACTACACATTAAAGAAAACTTTAACATGAATGCTACATTTTTAAGTTTTTAAGGTTTTCTAAAAATATACAAGACATTTTGTCTAAAGTAAAATCAGAGGATAAGTGAAAGGAGATTTCTCTATTGATCATTACCAAGAGGTTAGCATCTTGGTAAATATCTTAAATATTTGAACTAAAAAATATACAAATTGTCTTTTAGGAGAATTTGTGGTTTTGCTTGGGGTATTTTTGTTTGTTTGATTTTTTTTGTTTTTTTTTCTAAATCAGTACTGTCTTCAAAACAAATTCATGTGCTTCTTAGGAAAACCTTACATAACTCTGACCAATTACCCCAAAGCAGTGATTCGTTCTTTGTACACCTTTAGGTGGAGAAGTCTGGAATGCCAATGGTATAAAGATGAAATCGAGATGTGTTAAAAGGATTGCATGAAACTTCCTTAAGTAAAAATGATGCACGAAACAGCCATATTTATATTTATATTTTGGATAGCTGTATTTGCTTGCAACATTTTCTTAGTGATCCTGTTTGTGTTTTAGACCCACTCGTCTCCATTTACCTGTGAGCCCCATCCCTAGAAGCAGACATCCAAAGCCCCAGAAAAGATGGGCTTATTTCCTGCTCTGTCCCAAGGGCAAAGCTTCCGAGGAGAAGAGCAGCTCATTGTGATGAAGTAGCTGCTGCGCTTGATTGTTACTAGGCAAAAATATTGTTTCAATATTGTCCTGTTATCTAATAAACTTCTCATGGAAAAGGAGACTGAGATGCCAACTTTATTTTTCAAAAATATTGTAAGAAAAGCCCCACATGGCTCTGAAGGGGATGTGATACCCAAGACACAAGAGCTGGAATTCGCTTCCATAGATTACATAAAATAAGTAATTTTTTTTTCTGTATCATCAATACCTAAAATAATGCTTGACAGATAAGAGACACTGAATATATATTTACTGGATACAGGAGTAAACTGAAGGGACCAGAACAAATATCTAACCCTTCAGCACACGCATTTATAGCAGCCACACCAAGGATATTGTTTGGACAAAAATGTAGTGCCTTCGAGTCTCCACTAAGTCTCTTTTCAAACCACTCTATATAAACAAACAATCCTATTAAAAATAAATGCAGTCAGGCACAGTGGCTCATGCCTGTTATCCCAGCACTTTGGGATGCCAAAGCAAGAGGGTCACATGAGGCCAGGAGTTCAAGACCAGCCTGGGCAACATGGCAAAAACCTGTCTCTACTGAAAATACAAAATTAGCCAGGTGTGGTGGCATGCACCTGTAGCCTCAGCCATTTGGGAGGCTGAGGCATGAGAATCACTTGAACCCAGAAGGCAGAGGATGCAGTGAGCTGAGGTGCTGCCACTGCACTCCAGCCTGGGCAACAGAGTGAGACTCTGTCTCAAAAAATAATAATGAAATAAAAATAAATAAATAAATGCATTTACAAGATAAATCTTGTCATGTTTTCTTCCAACCAACTCCCTAAACACCTCTCATACAGAAAGACCTAACCAGCCACTCTGTCACTTTGTGGGGGCTTTAATGCACCTTATATTATAGTATCCTACTTTAGAATGCAGGCCTTTAAACCATGATAAGGAAGCTGATGAAACCTATTTAGAATAAGGTACTTGTGAATTAATATATTATTCTTTCCAGTACAAGAAACAATTTTACCAGAGGGCTAGCCAGAGAAGTCAATGTTTAAAATATAAATACAAGTTTACTGAAAGTAAAATTTCAAATATCAATAAAAGACTGAGGGAAGGGGATTTTGATACGTGTCTACTCAGTCACACAATTGCATAATGCTTTGTGTAAGGAAAAAAATTGTTAAAATATAACAAAGAATATACTTGAAACTTCTCGAGAATTTACATTTTGAGGAAGAAGTGAAATAGGAAAATGAAATAAACGGAAACATCTTTACATGACATACAAGCATATCTTGCTATATTGTGCTTCATTTTATTGTGCTTCCCAGATATTGTGCTTTTTACAAATTGCAGGTTTGCGGCAACGCTGCATCAAGCAAGTCTGTTGGCGTGCTTTTTCCAATGGCATATGCACACTTCATGCCTCTGTGTCAAATTTTCATAAATTCCTGAGTTTTTTCAAGCTTTATTAGATCTGTTATAGTGACTTGTAGCTAATGATCTTTAAGTTAGTATTTATAATTGTGTTAGGGGTACCATGAACTATGCCCATATAAGTCCACGCACTTAATCAATAATGTGTGTTCTGACTCCTCCACTGACTGTTTCCCCGTCTCTCTCCTCATGCCTCTCTATTCCCTGAGACACAACAATATTGAAATTAGACCCACAATGGCCTCTAAGTATTTAAGTGAAAGGAAGAGTAGTATGTCTCTCATTTTAAATCAAAAGCTAAAAAATGATTAAACTTAGTGAGGAAGTCATGTCAAAAACCAAGACAGAGTAAAAGCTAGGCCCCTTGTACCAAACAGCAGAGTTGTGGATGTAAAGAAAAATTTCTTGAAGGGAATTAAAAATGCTACTCCAGTGAACACATGAGTGATAAGAAAGCTAAACAGCCCTATTTTTAGTATGCAGAAAGTTTTAGTGGTCTGGATAGACAATGAAACCAGCTACAACATGCCCTTAAACCAAAGCATAATCCAGATCAAGATCCAAAATCTTTTCTTTTCTAAGAAGGTGAAGAGAAGTGAGGAAGCTGCAGAGAAAAGTTGAAAGCTAGCAGAGGTTGGTTCATGAAATTTAATGAAAAAAAGCCATCTTCAAAACATAAAAGTATAAAGTGAAGCAGGAAGTATTGATTAGAAACTGCCATAAGTTATCTAGAAGATACAGCTAAGATCATTGAGGAAGGTGGCAAAACACACACACAAAAAGATTTGCAATGTAGATGAAACAGTTTTCCACTGGAAGAAGATACCATCTAGGATTTTCATAACTAGAGAGGAAAAGTCAATGACTGGCTTCAAAGCATCAAAAGACAAGCTGACTTTTGTTAGGGACTAATGCAGCTGATGACTTTCAGTTGAAGCCATTGTTCTTACCATTCTGAAAATCCTAGGGCGCATACAAAATATGCTACATCTACTCTGTTTGTGATCTATAAACGAAACAAAAGTCTAGATGGCAGCACATCTGTTTACAGCATGGCTTATAGAATAATTTAAGCCGACAGTTGAGACCAACTGCTCAGAAAAAAATTATTTCAATATGTTACTACTCATTGGCAATGCATCTAAGTCACCCCAAGGACCCTGATGGAGATGTACAGGGAGATTAATGTTGTTTTCATGCCTGCTAACACAACATCCATTCTGAAGCTCACTGATCAAGGAGTCGTTTTGACTTTCAAGTCTTATTATTCAAGAAATACATTTTGTAAGGCTAAGGCTTCAATGGATAGTGATTCCTCTGATGGATCTGGGCAAAATAAATTGAAAACCTTCTGGAAAGCATTTATCATGTTAGATGTCATTAAGAACATTTGTGTTTCATTGGAGAAGGTAGAAATATCAATATTAACAAGGGTTTGGAAGAGGCTGATTCCAACTTTCAGAGATGACTTTGAGGAATTCAAGATTTCAGTGGAGAAAGTAAATGGAGATTTGTTAGAAATAGCAAGAAAGCCAGAATCAGAAGTGAAGCCTGAAGCTGTGGCTGAACTGCCGCAATCTCATGATAAAACTTGAATGAGGAGTTGCTTCTTACGCATGAGCAAAGAAAGTTATTTGAGATAAAATTCACCCCTGGTAAAGGTGCTATGAACATTTTTGAAATGACAACAAAGGATTTTGAATATTCCATAAAGTTAGTTAATAAAGCAGACGCAAATTTAGAAAGGATTGACTCTAATTTTGAAAGAATTTCTACTATGGGTAAAATGCTATCAAACAACATTGTGCTGGAAGAACTCTTTCATGAAAAAAAACAGTAAACTGATGAAGCAAATTTCATTGTCGTCTTACTTTGAGACATTTCCACAGCCACTTCAGCCTTCAGTAACCACCACTCTAATCAGTCAGCAGCCACATCATCAAGGCAAGACCCTTTACGAGCAAAACGATTATGACTCTCTGAAGCTTGTATGATTATTTGTATTTTTTGCAATAAACTATTTTTTAATTAACAAATGTACATTGTTTTGTTAGATACAATGTTATTTCACATTAAATAGACTAGAGTATAGTGTAAACACAAGTTTTATATGTATTGGGAGACCAAAAAAAAAATGTGTGACTTGTTTTATTGTGATATTTGCTTTAATGTGGTACTCTGGTACTGAACCTACAACATCTCCAGGGTATGCCTGTGGTAGCAGAAAAAAAATTGAGATAAATGATAGGAGATGGGTGGATGCAATGTAAAGGCAAGTTGGTGTATTATATGAAATAGAGAAGGATAGTGGTTTTTCAGACATCAAGATGTCAGATGAAAGTTCACTTGATACTGATCTGAGCAGGAATAGTCACTTATTCAGGTTAGCTGGGAGAAAATAGCCATAAATAATGAAGAATCAGCTGCTAGAAAATTGTGGTAGTAATAGCTCAAAAAATGTACTTTCTCTAGAAAGTGATGAGTAGCTAGAAATCTCATTAGGTATCATTATTTCATTAAAAACTGTCATCTTCTTCTTTGATATTTTATTCCACCAATATTAAATTATGAATTATTTAATGATTTCCATTTAATATATCTTATCACAAAAAAGTTTGTCTAGTTTGTGCTTTCTCCCATTTTCATGAATATAAAGCTCAGAATTGTTTTAGCAAATAATGCTACAGCAAAAATAAATATTGCAATAATGCATAAACCATAATGCTATAAAATATTTTTATTCATGCCCATGGTTTTTATTTTTTAAAAAAATAGTTACTCATACTGCCATTTTATGCACTTGCCCCCTTTTTATCTTACTAATTTGAGGTTACAGGGAACTGGCTTGGCCACTTTATATTGTTGATGAGGTCACTAACCTTCTCCCCTTGGCTGATTTGGCATTACATGAAAGATTACATAAGGTCAAAAGGTAAACCTATAACCAATAAGCAACAGGAAAGGCTCTTGAGCACTGTGGTTACAAATCATGTGCTACATAACACGCTTATAGATGTGTTATGCCCTAGAAAAAAGGCTTTCAGTTGGTCCTGAAAGGCAAGAAAAGAAGAGACAGAAATTTGAACGTAAGGAATATCACAAAGGGTGAAAGACAATATTATTTTAAAAATATCACTCACACTCCAGACGTGTGATATTTCAGAGAGTTTGGGATCAATTTAAATAACAAAAATTCAGTCTCTAAATAAAGAATCCTCAGTGACTTGTTTTTTTCTCCCCTTAATACCGCCTATTTTATGTCCTGTATATTCACATGTACTACACTTAAAATAATATGATTCATAGGCTGAAGTGGAGAGAACATTAATTAATGCCTAGGGATTTCAAATGCATATGGAAACAAGAATCTTTTTGTCATTGAAACTTTTCCACTGGAAAGGCAGGAATTAAAGAATTTGTGGAGAAAATAAAGATCTTACAGATGTTATGGCTTAAGACCTTTATTTTACAAAGAAAAACATTAAAGTCCAGAGAATTTAAAGGATTTGTATTGAATAGAGGACATTGATAAACTAGATCTCAGTTCAGTGATATTGTTTAGCAGTAATATTCTAATCAAAAGCTGATAAGCACTCTGTTAAAGGTACCAATCTTGCAAGTGTGGAAGTTCCAGAATCCCTGCTATAAATTGCCAAATGCTATTGCAGTGACAAGAATGGTAACATTTCCCTAGAAGAACTTCTCAGTTGTGATTGGGTATTGTTGCTAGTTTTCTGCCTCTAAGGCCCTATCAGGTTTCCATAAAATATTCAATGTCATTTACCAAATCTCTGCTTCTTTTTTTTTTGTGACTAAGATCAATGAACCATATAATCATTGCTTTTTTTTTAATTTTTACTATTAGATAACTATGCCTCACATTGTAAAGAATAAAAGATGTAGACAGTTAATGATTCTTGGGCACATAAACTCTACCAAAATATATAATACATAAATTACTGGAAATTAAGAATATCATGTTAAGGGTTGTAAAAAATGAGGAAAGTAAAAAATGATGCTTTAAGAATTAAAGAAAAGAGAGTATGTTAACATGAGTGGTAGTTCTTAAAATTTAAGTTGGCATTGCATTTCTCTGAAATTTTCATGGAGAGTGAAGATTTCTGGGCTCCATTTACAACCAGAGATCATAATACTTTTATGTGTATTGGGTGGGACTCAGGAATTTATATCTGTATTAAGACTCCAGGTGATTCTGATGAAGCTGGTACCTTAACTCCACCTATTAAAAACAATAAGGAGTCAGATAAATTTTAGGAAGAATATTATTATTAGAAATCATGCTTCTCAGTTTTTTCAAAGTGTTCTTTGATGACCTTAATGTCCCATTTGCTTTTGTCTTTTCTAAATGTTGCATGACTTATGTTTCTAAGTATGATATGGTATTATCATAAAGAAAGTAATAAAATGATACTAGATATCTCATGGAAACCTAGCAGGGCCTTAGAGCCAAGTGTTGCAAAATTAAAGGATAGCTAGAATCCCAAAGAATAGAATCATATCAACCTAGGCAATTTCATATTCATATAATAACAGTCTCATTATCTATCTTTACATTTCTTTTTGCCTAACTCAATGCTAGTCCAACTCCTACTTAACCATTTGCATTAGGCCATGCTTACACTGCTATAAAGAAATACCTGAGATTGCAAAATTTATAAAGAAAAGAGGTTTAATTTGCTCACAGTTCTGCACACTTTACAGAAAGCATGATGCCTCAGGAAGCTTCCAATCATGATGGAAGATGAAGGGGAAGCAGGCATCTCACATGGTGAAAGCAGGTGCGAGAGAGTGGGAGGAGGTGCCACACACTTTTAAACAAGATCAAATGTGAAGTTACTCACCACCAGGGGATGGCATTAAGCCATTCATAAGGGATATACCTTCTTGATCCAGATCCTGGTTCTGACCTTGAACCAGGCCCCACTTGAACTCTGGGGATTACATTTCAATATGGGACTTGGTGGGAATATAGTTCTAAAACATATCACCTTTTTTTTTTTTTTTTTGGTCTGCCAGTATAGGCCAGATTATAAAGCAATGAAATCAAACACCCAAGTCTCAATGGTTTAATTACGTAGAAGATTTATTCCTTACTCATGCTACAAATCAAGTGTAAATCAAAGGAGGGTGCTGATGAATCGATGCTGATGGGGCAGCCACTTCATGAAATGGCAGTGGCCTGATTCTAAATATTCTGCCCAAATGTTTCCCCCCTCCCCCTAAAACAAGTCACATGCTACCCTGGCTTCAAATGGGCAGAAATATGGAATTTTACTATATTGTCAGAAAAAAGAGAGGAAGCATATTTGTGAATAACCTGTCAAAAAGATTATTGCAAAGTCTCTTAATTGATCTTTCTGACTCTAAGTTTCTCCTTTAAAATCCATTCTGTAACCTATGGACACATGAATCCACTTAAAGCAACACTGATTACTTTGTTCTTTCCCAGAAAACTTCAAAGCACCTCATTGTCTATTTAATATGATACAAAATTATTAGAATGACAGTTGAAGCCCTCCACATCATTGCCTCTTAGATGACACCAACTCAATATCTAGCACTTACCTTACATGAAACCTATAATTCAATAAATGTGCACTATTAACTAGTCCTCAACATGATTTTTGTTTGAGGAGTAATCAATAGTACAAATATCATTTATTGTCAAACAATAAACATGGTTATTACTAACTCCATTTCTTCACTTACATTTCCGGGAACCTGGATTTAGAATTAACTAACACTGATTAAGTAGAGAATATATGAGATAAATTTCTTCTATAGTAATTATTTTGTCCTCATACCTACTCATCAATCTACTAGCAATTCTTTAATCTCCATTTTAAATAAAGCTTGCTTTAAGAAGCCTTCCCAGACGTTCAAAATTAGCTCTGATTCTAATTTTGTCATAATCTTCAAGGTCTTTGCACAAAGTTGTATTTTAATAACATATTCTCTGCCTTTTGATATAAATACTTGGCTACATATCTAATCTTCAGATGAAAAATACAAACTTTTCTGGGTTTAGATGGAATTGCTTTTAAGTCATCTTCCATGTAGCACTGTGTAAATAATGGCACTTACTAAAAAAGTGTTTAATTGAATTGTCAAAATAATTTATATAACAGCATCTGAGCACCAACTAATGACAAATTTCACCTTGGAAATTAGTTTGTGCTTTTGAAATTATTATTTTATGATTTGGGAATTCATTAAAGCATTGTTACAGGGTGATCATTAACATTTTCCCCATATAATCAAATATGCAAGCTAGTAAATATAATTCTGAGTAGAAACACACACACAGATGGAGGTCTAATGATGTATGATTTTCATTTTTATTTAGATTTCTGAGTTTGTTAGGGAGTGATGTAGAACTGAGGGTACATTTAGCATAGTTCTCTCAGGTTTGGTAAGTAGGACTCTCATTTGCAGCCTATCTGAAAAATTCTTCATTTGGGTTTCAAAATAGTCATTGGCTGTGCTGCCAACAAAAGGAAAAGACAGTGCGGTCAGCCACCAGATGGTAAATTATTTCAACTCAACATCACATTTATTCATAACATTCAGGTTATCACATAAAGCAAAAATGGCCACAGTGGATTTTATTTTACTGCTTATAAGGAGCTCCTCTGTTTTTTGAGGATTATATTTTTCCCTTGGTGTATTTTAAGCATACTTTATCACTTAAAAGGCTTTCTGCAGCTCATTCGAAGCACTTGCCATTCCCCCCTTTTCAGGCACCTATTACTGAGATTATCACTGGTAATAGCAGTCAGATTAATGTATAATTCTCACATGTGTAATAGAACAAATAAGATAGACTCAGAATTTGAGGGTCATGCTGTTCTCGAGTTTATGGTATGATTTTTTTTTTTTTCTCCCTGAAGTGTGATGCCTATCTTTACAGAAGGAACACTACTCAGTTTTCATTGAATGGAGGGGTTTTTCTGTCAAGGAGATTTAGACATCTCAGAATTCATATAAAATTTTACATTCTCTTAAGAAATTGAATAGTAATTTTATTGTATTACCTTAAAAGAAAGTGAGTAAATAATGGTTGGTTTTATGTCATATAGATGTTAATTTGTATATAGAAACTGTATACTAGTGATGAATTCCTGTTAACCCAATTATGTTATCTACAGCAGCATCCAATATAGGTGAGCAATATTCATTACCAGGCCAAGAGCAGATGTGATAGAACCAGAGCTAGAGTTATGCTTACAGATGAGATAAAACAGAGAAAAAAATACTATAAGAGATGTGAAAGATGTTGACAGACCCCTCATTTTTTTTTTTTTCTCCTGCAAAAGTCCTTCTTCATCCACATTGAAATTTTCTCTTCCTTATGCCCTGCTAGGCTCCAGTAGCCACCAGTCCCAAGCAGGCCTGCCTGATTTGTTTAAACTGGAAGGAAGAAAAATATATGCAGATCTTCTCTGGGGTTGAAAATTTGATAGTTCCCTGATGTTCAGCCTGGTTGAGTAAGCAAGTAAGCTGTGAGAGAGAATAAAACTCACAAAAAGAAGTAAAGATGAGAAACAAAGTGCTGGCAGCATCTGAGTTGCTGAATCCCGTTTTTCCTAAGATTCAGCTGTATTCTTCTTTCCTTCACATGGTTTGATTGCAAACTATTCTGTGGATTATATGAGCCAATTAATTTTCCTTTTGCTCAAGCTACTTACAGTATTTAGAGACAATGAGTCAGAATAAGGAACTTTTGAACAAGGTGTAACTGAGTGGGACTGGAGGAAGCTGGATGGGACTAAAAACTGAAGCAATATCACTTGATATGAGCACCAATGCTTAAGAATTAACTAAATATCATGTTTGCATCAACCTAATAAACTGTAATGATCAAAATAATAAAGAGAAAGGAGAGTGTGATGGGTTGGATTATTTGTTAGTCATACTCCACCTCTTTTGGGGGATGAACTATATAGATCCCTACCCTACTGCTTTGGCCAACTCAATGTTCATGGCTATGTTGTGATCAGAGATTTTGACCTGTTCTCTTTGGTTCATTAGAATCATCAAGAGAAGGTTATGTTCTGTATATCTTACTTGTCCATGAGCAATATAAAAACAATTGGAACTGATTTGAAATCAACTCAAAAGCAGAAGTTGAACTAGTCCAACAAACATGCAGACCATTAGAGAGAAAAATAAATATTGATTGTTGTAAGCTACTGTGTTTTGAGGTGGTTGGTTACACAGCCCTTATTTTGGCAACAGCTGACTAATACACATGGTTAATACAATAAAGAAATTAAAAGCAAAGTAGGCGCTAGTATGAGTGACAGACAACAGAAAAAGAACCAAAAGAGAGGATGAAAAACGTGGGAAACCAAAAAGAATTGAAAATAAAAAGCAAATGAGGCAAGTTGAAATATAATGATCAGTAGAATAAAAGAAAAGATAAAATTTCAGTAAGTAAATCCAGCAGACTGATAATTATAGGAGTAGAAGAAGCAGGCAGATTACAATGTACAGAAAAAAAAACTGTGAAATATGTGATAGAGACACAGGATTTTATACCTAGACGGAAACATAGGAGCCAGAGAAATTAATGTCTACAGTAAAAGCACATGGGGTGAGCTAAAAATACCTTAGAAATACTATATATTAGGTGCACAATTGAAGAAAAGTGAGAAGCACACGATATACTGGGAAAAAATATGTTATGATTGGTATCAAATAGTTTAATTATCATTACCTAATTTTCTTTCATTTCTTGGGATTCTGATCCTTCAAATTATCTTGAACTCACACCTACAATAAATACTCAGAGTTTTTAGAGAACATCCTACTCAAAAAAATAGGCTAAACAATAATAGAATGTGTAGACTTTATTGAGAACACTCAAGACATTTGCGTTGATGATTTAATGATTAAGTAACCTTGAGAGTTATAATTTCAAAATTTCATCTTGCAAATTAAATTTTCTCTATTTGAAAGAAAAATATTTTCCTAGCATAATAAAGGGGGAAAAAGGAAGGAAGGAAGGAAGGAAGAAGAAACCAGATCCATACTGGTCAATGGCCAGAGAGTCCATGCTGATTTATGAACCTTATGAATCCAAAGTCACTTTTGTTTTGGTCTGTAAGTCCAGACTTGATTAAAGTATTGATTTGTTGGATTTGTCTCCATAAATAGGATAGAAAAGTAAAGCTAATGGTATTTAGGTCCTCTCTTTTCTGCCCCTGTTTTAAAGGAAATAGCCTACAAAGATATTAAGTGCCTAGTTTTTATGAAATAGATTTTAGGAAAAGAACTGGTAAGAAGTTCCTTCTGTTTTGATGAACAGCAGTGGGAATGTGTATATGGAGCTGTGGTACAGTAGTGTTTTTTAGCTCAGCACACAATGTTGGACTACTGGGGCACATATTACAGTCACATGTATGCAATTCTAACCAAAGTTTAATTAGTTTGGCTTTTGTAGGTTAAAAAAGAGGGAATCTATATAGTTAAATCAGAGTGTAGAAAGAGCTAATAGCATTGCACTGACTATCTCAAGAGGAAGATCCTTCCACAATAAGTCCAGGAGAGCCTTCCACAGTAACTCCAGGGAAGTAATTTTCATATATATCTCTTTCTTTGTTATCCATCCATCCAATACCTAGGCTAGTCTTAGTGCCAATTGTTTAAAGTTCTTTGTCAAGAGAACCAAGAAGATAGACTAAAAGAATTTTTCAAAATAATATAATGTTTTAGTATTTTAAAAATTATTTTTTGCATTCATTTTATTTCCAGATTCTTTAAGAAAATAATTGCACATTTCAGGGTGGAGCCAAGACGACTGAATAGGAACAGCTCCTGTCTACAGCTCCCACTGTAAGCAACACAGAAGACGGGTGATTTCTGCATTTCCAGCTGAGGTACCGGGTTCATTGCACTGGGGATTGTCAGACAGTCGGTGCAGGACAGTGGATGTAGCTCACCAAGCATGAGCCGAAGCAGGGTGAGGCATCACCTCACCCAGGAAGCGCAAGGGGTCAGGGAATTCCCTTTCCTAGCCAAGGAAAGGGGTGACAGATGGCACCTGGAAAATCAGGTCACTCCCACCCTAATACTGAGCTTTTCCAATGGTCATAGCAAACAGCACACCAGGAGATTATATCCTGCACATAGCTCGGAGAGTCCTATGCCCACAGAACCTCACTCATTGCTAACACAGCAGTCTGAGGTCAAACTGCAAGGCGGCAGTGAGGCTGGGGGAGGGGCGCCTGCCATTGCCGAGGCTTGAGTAGGTAAACAAAGCAGCCAGGAAATTCGAACTGGGTGGACCCCACTGCAGCTCAAGGAAGCCTGCCTGCTTCTATAGACTCCACCTCTGGGGGCAGGGCATAGCCAAACAAAAGGCAGCAGAAACCTCTGCAGACTTAAATGTCCCTGTCTGACAGCTTTGAAGAGAGTACTGGTTCTCCCAGCATGCAGCTTGAGATCTGAGAATGGACAGACTGCCTCCTCAAGTGGGTCCCTGACCCCCAAGTAGCCTAACTGGGAGGCAACACCCAGTAGGGGCAGACTGACACCTCACATAGCCGGGTACTCCTCTGAGACAAAATTTCCAGAGGAATGATCAGGCAGCAACATTTGCTGTTCACCAATATCTGCTGTTCTGCAGCCTCCACTGCTGATACCCAGGCAAACAGGGTCTGGAGTGTACCTACAGCAAACTCCAACAGACCTGTAGCTGAGGGTCCTGACTGTTAGTAGGAAAACTAACAAACATAAAGGTCATACACACCAAAACCAATCTGTACGTCACCATCATCAAAGACCAAAGGTAGATAAAACCACAAAGATGGGGAAAAAACAGAGCAGAAAAACTGGAAACTCTAAAAATCAGAGCGCCTCTCCTCCTCCAAAGGAACACAGCTCCTCACCAGCAACAGAAAAAAGCTGGACAGATAATGACTTTGATGAGTTGAGAGAAGGCTTCAGACGATCAAACTACTCTGAGCTAAAGGAGGAAGTTCAAACCCATGGCAAATAAGTTAAAAACCTTGAAAAAAGATTAGATGAATAGCTGACTAGAATAACCAATGCAGAGAAGTCCTTAAAGGACCTAATGGAGCTGAAAACCATGGCATGAGAACTACATGATGAATGCACAAGCCTCAGTAGCCGATTTGATCAACTGGAAGAAAGGGTATCAGTGATGGAAGATCAAATGAATAAAATGAAGTGAGAAGAGAAGTTTAGAGAAAAAAGAATAAAAAGAAATGAACAAAGCCTTCAAGAAATATGGGACTATGTGAAAAGACCAAATCTATGTCTGATTGATGTACCCGAAAGTGACAGGGAGAATGGAACCAAATTGGAAAACACTCTGCAGGATACTATCCAGGAGAACTTCCCCAATCTAGCAAGGCAGGCCAACATTCAAATTCAGGAAATACAGAGAACACCACAAAGATACTCCTAGAGAAGAGCAACTCAAAAACACATAATTGTCAGATTCACCAAAGTTGAAATGAAGGAAAAAATGTTAAGGGCAGCCAGAGAGAAAGGTCGGGTTACCCACAAAGGGAAGCCCATCAGACTAACAGCTGATCTCTCGGCAGAAACTCTACAAGCCAGAAGAGAATGGGGGCCAATATTCAACATTCTTAAAGAAAAGAATTTTCAACCCAGAATTTCTTATCCAGCCAAACGAAGCTTCATAAGTGAAGGAGAAATAAAATACTTTACAGACAAGCAAATGCTGAGAGGTTTTGTCACCACCAGGCCAGTCCTAAAAGAGCTCCTGAAGGAAGCACTAAATATGGAAAGGAACAACCAGTACCAGCCACTGCAAAAACATGCCAAATTGTAAAGACCATTGATGCTAGGAAGAAACTGCATCAACTAACGAGGAAAACAAAAAGCTAACATCATAATGACAGGATCAAATTCATATATAACAATATTAACCTTAAATGTAAATGGACTAAATGCTCCAATTAAAAGACATAGACGGGCAAATTGGATAAAGAGTCAAGACCCATCAGTGTGCTATATTCAGGAAACCCATCTCACATGCAGAGACAAAAATAGGCTCAAAATAAAGGGATGGAGGAAGATCTACCAATCAAATGCAAAACAAAAAAAGGCAGGGGTTACAATCCTAGTCTCTGATAAAACAGACTTTAAACCAACAAAGATCAAAAGAGGCAAAGAAGGCCATTACATAATGGTAAAGGAGAGCTAACTATCAACAAGAAGAGCTAACTATCCTAAATATATATGCACCCAATACAGGAGCACCCAGATTCATAAAGCAAGTCCTTAGAGACCTACAAAGAGACTTAGACTCCCACACAGTAATAATGGGAGACTTTAGCACCTCATGGTCAACAATAGACAGATCAACAACATAGAAAGGTAAGAAGGATATCCAGGAATTGAACTCAGCTCTGCACCAAGTGGACCTAATAGAAATCTACAGAACTCTCCACCCCAAATCAACAGAATATACATTCTTTTCAGCACCACACCACACCTATTCCAAAATTGACCACATAGTTGGAAGTAAAGCACTCCTCAGCAAATGGAAAAGAACAGAAATTATAACAAACTGTCTCTCAGACCACAGTGCAATCAAACTAGAACTCAGGATTAAGAAACTCACTCAAAACTGCTCAACTACATGGAAACTGAACAACCTGCTCCTGAATAATTACTGGGTACACAACAAAATGAAGGCAGAAATAAAGATGTTCTTTGAAACCAATGAGAACAAAGACACAACATACCAGAATCTCTGGGAAACATTCAAAGCAGAGTGTAGACGGAAATTTATAGCACTAAATGCCCACAAGAGAAAGCAGGAAAGATCTAAAATTGACACCCTAACATCACAATTAAAAGAACTAGAGAAGCAAGAGCAAACACATTCAAAAGCTAGCAGAAGGCAAGAAATAACTAAGATCAGAGCAGAACTGAAGGAAATAGAGACACAGAAAAACCTTCAAAAAATCAATGAACCCAGGAGCTGGTATTTTGAAAAGAACAACAAAATTGATAGACCATTAGCAAGACTAATAAAGAAGAAAAGAGAGAAGAATCAAATAGAAGTAATAAAAAATGATAAAGGGGATATCACCACTGATCCCACAGAAATACAAACTACCATCAGATGATACTACAAACACCTCTATGCAAATAAATTAGAAAATCTAGAAGAAATGGATAAATTCCTCAACACATACACCCTCCCAAGACTAAACAAGGAAGAAGTTGAATCTCTGAATAGACCAATAACAGGCTCTGAAATTGAGGCAATAATTAATAGCTTACCAACCAAAAAAAGTCCCGGACCAGACAGATTCACAGCTGAATTCTACCAGAGGTACAAGGAGGAGCTGGTACGACTCCTTCTGAAACTACTCCAATCAATAGAAAAAGAGGGAATCCTCCCTAACTCATTTTATGAGGCCAGCATCATCCTGATACCAAAGCCAGGCAGAGACACAACAAAAAAAGAGAATTTTAGACCAATATCTCTGATGAACATCAATGCAAAAATCCTCAGAAAAATACTGGCAAACTGAATCCAGCAGCACATCAAAAAGCTTATCCACCATGATCAAGTGGGCTTCATCCCTGGAATGCAAGGCTGGTTCAACATACACAAATCAATAAATGTAATCCAGCATATAAACAGAACCAAAGACAAAAACCACATGATTATCTCAATAGATGCAGAAAAGGCCTTTGACAAAGTTGAACAACACTTCGTGCTAAAAACTCTCAATAAATTAGGTATTGAAGGGATGTATCTCAAAATAATAAGAGCTATCTATGACAAACCCACAGCCAATATCATACTGAATGGGCAAAAACTGGAAGCATTCCCTTTGAAAACTGGCACAAAACAAGGATACCCTCTCTCACCACTCCTATTCAACATAGTGTTGGAAGTTCTGACCAGGGCAATTAGGCAGGAGAAGGAAATAAAAGGTATTCAATTAGGAAATGAGGAAGTCAAATTGTCCCTGTTTGCAGATGACATGATTGTATATTTAGAAAACCCCATTGTCTCAGCCCAAAATCTCCTTAAGCTGATAAGCAACTTCAGCAAAGTCTTGGGTTACAAAATCAATGTGCAAAAATCACAAGCATTCTTATACACCAACCACAGATAAACATAGAGCAAAATCATGAGTGAACTCCCATTCACAATTGCTTCTAAGAGAATAAAATACCTAGGAATCCAACTTACAAGGGATGTGAAGGACCTCTTCAAGGAGAACTACAAACCACTGCTCAAGGAAATAAAAGAGGATACAAACAAATGGAAGAACATTCCATGCTCATGGGTAGGAAGAATCAATATCGTGAAAATGGCCATACTGCCCAAGGTAATTTATAGATTCAATGCCATCCCCATCAAGCTACCAATGACTTTTTTCACAGAATTGGAAAAAACTACTTTAAAGTTCATATGGAACCAAAAAAGAGCCCGCATCGCCAAGTCAATCCTAAGCCAAAAGAACAAAGCTGGAGGCATCACACTACCTGACTTCAAACTATACTACAAGGCTACAGTAACCAAAACAGCATGGTACTGGTACCAAAACAGCATGGTACTGGTACCAAAACAGAGATATAGACCAATGGGACAGAACAGAGGCCTCAGAAATAATACCACACATCTACAACTATCTGATCTTTGACAAACCTGACAAAAACAAGAAATGGGGAAAAGATTCCCTATTTAATAAATGGTGCTGGGAAAACTGGCTAGCCATATGTAGAAAGCTGAATCTGGATCCCTTCCTTACACCTTATACAAAAATTAATTCAAGATAGATTAAAGACTTACATGTTAGACCTAAAACCATAAAAACCCTAGAAGAAAACCTAGGCAATACCATTCAGGACATAGGCATGGGCAAGGACTTCATGTCTAAAACATCAAAAGCAATGGCAACAAAAGCCAAAATTGACAAATGGGATCTAATTAAACTAAAGAGCTTCTGCACAGTAAAAGAAACTGAGAGGTGACAGCATGCTGGCAGTCCTCAGAGCCCTCGC
The DNA here is from genome assembly GCF_000001405.40 of Homo sapiens. Taxonomy (NCBI): domain Eukaryota; kingdom Metazoa; phylum Chordata; class Mammalia; order Primates; family Hominidae; genus Homo; species Homo sapiens. The sequence continues at coordinate 104,217,970 of NC_000001.11, read as the reverse complement.
TTGCTCTCGGCACCTCCCCTGCTTGGGCTCCCACTTTAGTGGCATTTGAGGAGCCCTTCAGCCCCCCCACTGCACTGTGGGAGCCCCTTTCTGGGCTGGCCAAGGCTGGAGCCCACTCCCTCAGCTTGCAGGGAGGTGTGGAGGGAGAGGCACGAGCGGGAACCGGGGCTGTGGGCGGCGCTTGCAGGCCAGCTGGAGTTCCGGGTGGGCATGGGCTTGGTGGGCCCCGCACTCGGAGCAGCCAGCCAGCTCTGCTGGCCCCGGGCAATGTGGGACTTAGCACCTGGGCCAGTGGCTGCGGAGGGTGTACTGAGTCCCCCAGCAGTGCCAGCCCACCAGCGCTGCGCTCGATTTCTCACCGGGCCTTAGCTGCCTTCCCGAGGGGCAAGGCTTGGGACCTGCAGCCCGCCATGCCTGAGCCTCCCGCACACTCCATGGGCTCCTGTGCGGCCCGAGCCTCCCGGACGAGCACCACCCCCTACTCCATGGCGCCCAGTCCCATCGACCACCCAAGGGCTGAGGAATGCGAGCACACGGCGCAGCACTGGCAGGCAGCTCCACCTGCAGCCCCAGTGCGGGATCCACTAGGTGAAGCCAGCTGGGCTCCTGAGTCTGGTGGGGACGTGGAGAGTCTTTATATCTAGCTCAGGGATTGTAAATACACCAATCAGCACCCTGTGTTTAGCTCAAGGTTTGTGAGTGCACCAATCGACACTCTGTATCTAGCTGCTCTGGTGGGGCCTTGGAGAACCTTTATGTCTAGCTCAGGGATTGTAAATACACCAATCGGCACTCTGTATCTAGCTCAAGATTTGTAAACACACCAATCAGCACCCTGTGTTTAGCTCAAGGTTTGTGAGTGCACCAATCGACACTCTGTATCTAGCTGCTCTGGTGAGGACGTGGAGAACCTTTATGTCTAGCTCAAGGATTGTAAACACACCAATCAGCACCCTGTGTTTAGCTCAAGGTTTGTGAATGCACCAATCGACACTCTGTATCTAGCTACTATGGTGGGGCCTTGGAGAACCTGTGTGTGGAAACTCTGTATCTAACTAATCTGATGGGGATGTGGAGAACCTTTGTATCTAGCTCAGGGATTGTAAATGCACCAATCAGCGCCCTGACAAAACAGGCCACTCAGCTCTACCAATCAGCAGGATGTGGGTGGATCCAGATAAGAGAATAAAAGCAGGCTGCCAGAGCCAGCATTGACAACCCACTCGGGTCCTCTTCCACACTGTGGAAGATTTGTTCTCTTGCTCTTTGCGATAAATCTTGCTACTGCTCACTCTTTGGGTCCACGCTGCTTTTATGAGCTGTAACACTCACCACGAAGATCTGCAGCTTCACTCCTGAGCCCAGTGAGACCAGGAGCCCACCAGGAGGAACGAACAACTCCAGACGCACTGCCTTAAGAGCTGTAACACTCACCGCGAAGGTCTGCAGCTTCACTCCTGAGCCAGCGAGACCACGAACCCACCAGAAGGAAGAAACTCCGATACATCTGAACATCAGAAGGGAGAGACTCCAGACGCGCCACCTTAAGAGCTGTAACACTCACTGCGAGGGTACGTGGCTTCATTCTTGAAGTCAGTGAGACCAAGAACCCACCAATTCCGGACACAAAACTACCCTCAGAGTGAAAAGGGAACCTACAGAATGGGAGAAAATTTTTGCAATCTACTCATCTGACAAAGGGCTAATATCCAGAATCTACAATGAACTCCAACAAATTTACAAGAAAAAATCAAACAACCCCATCAACAAGTGGGTGAAGGATAGGAACAGATACTTCTCAAAAGAAGACATTCATGCAGCCAAAAGACACGTGAAAAAATGCTCATCATCACTGGCCATCAGAGAAATGCAAATCAAAACCATGATGAGATACCATCTCACACCAGTTAGAATGGCAATCATTAAAAAGTCAGGAAACAACAGGTGCTGGAGAGGATGTGGAGAAATAGGAACACTTTTACACTGCTGGTGGGACTGTAAACTAGTTCAACCATTGTGGAACTCAGTGTGGTGATTCCTCAGGGATCTAGAACTAGAAATACCATTTGACCCAGCCATCCCATTACTGGGTATATACCCAAAGGATTATAAATCATGCTTCTATAGAGACACATGCACACGTATGTTTATTGTGGCACTATTCACAATAGCAAAGACTTGGAACCAATCCAAATGTCCATCAGTGATAGACTGGATTAAGAAAACGTGGCACATATACACCATGGAATACTATGCAGCCATAAAAAATGATGAGTTCATGTCCTTTGTAGAGACATGGATGAAGCTGGAAACCATCATTCTCAGCAAACTATCGCAAGGACAAAAAACCAAACACCGCATGTTCTCACTCATAGGTGGGAATTGAACAATGAGAACACATGGACACAGGAAGGGGAACATCACACACCTGGGCCTATTGTGGGGTGGGGGGAGGGGGGAGGGATAGCATTAGGCGATATACCTAATGTTAAATGACGAGTTAATGGGTGCAGCACACCATCATGGCACATGTATACATATGTAATAAATCTGCACGTTTTGCACATGTACCCTAAAACTTAAAGTATAATAAAAAAAAAAAAAGAAAAAAAAAGGGAAGAAGAGGAGAGAAAGGATTCGGGGGGTTAGGAGGGAGGCCAGTCACAGAAGACTACATTTTGTATTATATAAAATTCCATTTATATGAAATTTCTAGAAAACGCAAAACTATAGAGACAGAGAATTGGTTCGGTGGTTGGCTGTGGTGGGAGAGGGGATTGACTGCCACAGGTGTGAGGGAACGTTCTGGCGTGATGGGTATGTTTTAAACTGGAGTGTGGTGCTGGTTGCATAATCATATATAGTCACCAAAAGTTCTATAATTGCACTTACAAGGGGAGAATTTTATGATATGCAAATTATTCCTCAATAAGGCTGTTAAAAATGGTACTGGGTCTTGCACTAGAAGATGACTGCTGTAATGATTCTAGAGATACTAATTCTTTATGGCATTTTCACAGTAGATAACTTGAATTGTTGCATCTTTAACATTTTGACCTGCTTTTTTATGTACCCATTTAAGTATACAATTGATAACTCTTGACCAATTCTCTGTCTCTATAGTTTTGCCTTTTCTGGAAATTTCATATAGATGGAGTTCTGTGTAATACAGGATGTGGTCTTCTGTGACTGGCTTCTTTCTTGCCTTCTTGAATCTTTTCTTTCTTCTTTTTTTTTGCATACATCTATGCAACCACCATCACAATCAAGATATAAACATTTCCATCACCCCAAAATTTCCCTCTCTCCTTCCCAGTCAACATTCCCACTCACCACCCCTGGCCCCAGGCACCACAGACCTGCCTTCTGTTGCTATAGATTAGATTTGTCTTTACCAGCATTCCATAAAAATGGAATCAGACAGTATGTACTCTTTTGCGTTTGGCTTCTTTCACTAAGTTTGCTGTTTATGAGACTCATCCGTGTTGTTGCATTTATCCGGTAATTTTTTTTTTTTTTTTTTTTTTTTTTGAAATGGAGTCTTGCTCTGTCGCCCAGGCTGGAGTGCAGTGGCGCAATCTCGGTTCACTGCAAGCTCCGCCTCCCAGGTTCAGGCAATTCTCCTGCCTCAGCCTCCCAAGTAGCCGGTACTACAGGCATGCGCCATCACGCCCAGCTAATTTTTTTGTATTTTTAGTAGAGACGGGGTTTCACCATGTTAGCCAGGATGGTCGTGAGCTCCTGACCTCGTGATCCGTCCGCCTCGGCCTCCCAAAGTGCTGGGATTACAGGCTTGAGCCACTGCGCCCGGCGCCAGTAATTTTTTTTATTGTTGAGTAGTATTAGATTGTATGGATATATCATAATTTGTTCTTGGTTATAATGAATAAAGCTGCTATAAACATTAAAAAAAAGAAAATAATTGCACATTTCAATCATATGGCTATTTTGTATCAAGTAGTTTAATATATAGCCACTATAAAGATGATTTTTTCCTGTACTGAATTTGATAATTGTTGCATTAAAATTTTCCTCAGAAAAAAAAAAAATCTCAAGAATAAAACAAAGGAGATTTAGACTGAAAATTTTAGAAAATCTATTTAATGTCAGATATTTTTTCTCTTATAGATAGTATGAATTAGAACTGTGTTGTTTTCTTAAAGAAAGTGTCATAGCCATCACTATTCTTGACATTTTAATTGAATATTTTATGAATGTATGGCATATGGTAGTCAGTTCTGCATATAGAGAGCCGCCAGTAATTATTGAACTTTATTGTAAATAATTCAAGTATCATTCACCATATTAGTATTTAAATTTGTAATGAAAATGAGTTAAAAGAAACTCAAAACGTGTTTAATGTAATGGCTAACACTTAGCAGAAACACGATTACTTTATCTGGAGCAAAAACTGTGCCACCAACCCCTCCTCTTATTCTTTCTCAGCAAGTTCAATGTAAAGACAATGAGGATGATGATATTTATGATGATCCATTTCCACTTATGATTTTCCTAATAACATTTTTTAGGTTACTTTAAGAATACAGTATATAATATATATAACATACAAAATACGTGTTGACTGTTTATGTTATCAGTAAGGCTTCCTTCCGGTGAACAGTAGGCTATTAGTAGTTAAGTTTTAGAGGAGCCAAAAGCTATATGCAATTTTTCACTGTGCCCCTAACATCTGTATTATCCAATGGTTGGCTGTCCTTCTAAGATAGCAAACTAGTCTGCTGCGGTTTCAAGGATGCTAGCAGAAGACACACCACTCATTGATCAGAAGGGTAAAGGACATTATTACTCACTCAGTGCACAGCAAGCAGATAGCAGCATGATCATCATGTACATGCAGTTTCTCCTTGTTTCTTGTGCCCTACAGGAGCAATATGGGTGTGCCTAAGTGGGTGCTGTGCAGGCAATAGGTTTGCATTAGCTGAGGAACCCTAAGTTTAGGGAATCCTGGCATTATGAACTGAATTGTGTCTTCCAAAGTTTATATGCTGAAGCACTAACCCCGAATGTGACTGTATTTGGAAATAAGGCCTTTGCGGTGCTAATTAATATTAAATGAGGCCATAAGTGTGGGGCTCTAATCTGACAGCGTTAATGTCCTTATGAGGAGAGAAAGAAACATCAGAAATCTTAGTCTCTGTGCAAGCACAGAGGAAATGCCATGTTGGGACACAAGAGCGTAGCTGTCTACAAACTAGGAAGAGATTCCTTACCAGAAGCTGAGTTTGCTGGCACCTTGCTCATAGACTTCTAGCTTTCGAACCGTGAAAAAAATTAATGTCTGTTGTTTAAACCACGTAGCCTGTGCTATTTTGTTATGGTAACCTGAGTCAACTAATAAACACAGCCTTTAAAATATAACTAAATTTTAATTCAATTAAAGTAATGAGCTCCAAACAATTCTGCCCCACTGTTGTCCTATAAGGAGAAATTGTCCTTATGCTAGTCAATAAACAAACTTGCCCTCTGCTCTAGAGGTAGATACATCATACTTTCTATGTTTACTATGCCACACCCTTGCATATGTTGCATATGCATACTATGCATATGTTTACTATGCGACACCCTTGCAAACATAGTCCAGAGTAAAAGTTGTCAGTGGTCACAAGAGTTGTAGAAAGAGAGGGGACCCATAAAGAGTTGCTTCCCCAGGAGATGCAGGTGCTGCATTAGGGGGTTTAGTCAAGAGAGAGAGAGAGAAGAGAGATTATGTGCAAATTTAGTTCTAGAACTTTTAGGACTTGAACAAATAAGGATCTTCTACATATGTTTATATCCCATCATTGCACTAATCTACCAGGAAAGCTATATTTTGTTGATCCTTTATTGAGCATATCAACTATTCATTCATTCACTCACTCACTCATGAATTCTTATATTCATTCAATAATATTTACTGAGCACCTACTCAATAGTAAATATTTATTAGTGAAAAATAAAAAGAAATATGACAAGGTCTCCACTTATACAACAATATATAAACAATATGGAAGATTAGATAAAGGTAACAACTCAGATAAAAAAATAAGATGCTCATGAGTAGCATGAGATCTTCTAATAACGTTAGAAGTCTTTTCGGTTATTAGAAGTTATTAGAAGTCTTTTGGGTTCTGGATGGCAAGTTTAAGAAAAAAAAAAAAAGGATATTATTGGCTCAAGTAATTGCCTCAAGCCAGAGGTAGTATGGCCTGAAATATACATCAATTCAGAGGCTATGGATGATGTGAGGTTTCTGTATCTTTACATTTCTTTGCCTTATAATTTTTCAGAGATTGTTTTTATTCTGCAGACAGTTAAATTCATTTGAACAAGAGAAAGGGACACTAGCAGCTTCAGGCTTACCTGATTTGTGAGGCAAATAACTATATTTATTAATATCCAAAGAAAGACATCTGTGAAGGTGAAAATGCGTGCTATTAATAACTATTCCAATAAAAGATGTAAAAACCAGAACATTCCAATGAAATCTGCAGTGTATGTTTACCCTATACAGAACCCACTATCCTAAAGGAAGAGAAACTCTTTCTGTCCCATCATCCTCTTATTAACCTTTTCGGAAGCTGGTAAGGGACTAATGTGCTATCCTGGAAACAATGACTGCGACAAAGAGAATGGAGAGAATGGAGTTCTGTGATTGCATCATCTGTTTCCCACCCTCTTTTTTTTTTTTTTTTCCTTTTTTTTTGAGACAGAGTCTTGCTCTGTCGCCAGGCTGGAGTTCAGTGGCACGATCTCGGCTCACTGCAACCTGCGCCTCCCAGGTTCAAGCAATTCTCCTGCCTCAGCCTCCCGAGTAGCTGGGACTACAGGCGCCTGCCACCATTCCCGGCTAATTTTTGTATTTTTATTAGAGACGGGGTTTCACCATGTTGGCCAGGATGATTTCTATCTCTTCACCTCGTGATCTGCCCGCCTCGGCCTCCCAAAGTGCTGGGATTATAGGCTTGGGTGACCACGACTGGCCCCCTCTCTCTTTTTCTAGCCATATGCTTCTCTCAGAGCATCCAACCTCCTTTCAGTTTAGAGGAACCCATTTACCCCTTACTTTCTTGTTCGGTAAAACCTGTTTCTGGCTCCCTCATAGAAGGACTGTGGTAGATTCTTATACTTATAGCACAGCATTTATGATATATACCCCCCCATGGAATAACATGGTAAGTCATTATTATGAAAAACCTCCTCCTTACCAGTGAAGATGAGACAGAATGAAAGGAATAAAGGTATCAGACCATTCCATTCTATCACACATGCACAAGCATACGTGCACAAACACACACTCGTGCGCTCACACATTTTTATTTTGGTCTCTTGAGCTTAAACCTTAGTTTCAAATTATTTTATCAGACTGATAGATAGAACCAGAACTAAGCATTGATTCTTCAGTGATTTATTTTCTGGAAGCCAAAATAATGGATTAAATATACTAACTAAAATTGAGCTTGGAGATATTACCATTTTGTTAAAGATAAATGAGAGTTGTGATCATAATAATTTATCAATTGCTATAATCATCCAAAGTAGTAATTAGGTCACTGCAAACACATTTTTATGCAATTTGCTTATATTCACACAATTTTCTACTCTTATCTTTATTATTAACAAGAAGTCCTCTTGTTCAAAGTGTCAGCTAGTCACCTTCTCCCCAGTCTAAGAAGGAAAAATGCATGCCAGCGAAACTGGAGATCAAGCCTGCCTATGACATTCTGTTCATCTTAGAAGTCTGTTATTAGTAGAGAATATATATTGATACTGTGACAAATTTACTTTCAAGGTATTTGGAAAGATGTCTGTTGGTGGAAATAGATTTCTTATAAACCTAAATATAAACAAAATAAATATAAAGGGCCATAGAACTGAATTTTGAAACCCCTTTAAAAAAAAAAAAAGCCTGCCTGGTGCATTGGCCCACCCCTGTAATCCTAGCACTTTGGGAGGCCAAGGCGGGCAGGGCAGATCACGAGGTCAGGAGATCGAGACCATCCTGGCCAACATGGTGAAACCTGTCTCTCCTAAAAATACAAAAATTAGCTGGGTGGGTTGGCATGTGCCTATAATCCCAGCTACTTGGGAGGCTGAGGCAAGAGAATGGCTTGAACCCAGGAGGCGGAGGCTGCGGTGAGCCAAGATTATGCCACTGCACTCCACCCTGGTGACAGACCGAGACTCCTTCTCAAAAAAAAAAAAAAAAAAAAAAAAATAGCCAGGTGTGGTGAACCCCTGTGGTCCCAGCTACTCAGGAGGCTGAGGTGGGAGGATTGTTTGAGCCCAGGAGGTGGAGTTTGCAGTGATTTGAGAGCTGAGAGCTGAGAGCTGAGATCATGCCACTGCACTCCAGCCTGGATGACAGAGCAAAACCCTCTCTCTCTCAAAAAAAAAAAAAAAAAAAAAAATTAAAAAGAAAAAGAAAAAGAAAACTGAATTTTACATTAAAAGTAGCAAAATAAAAAAACAAATTTTGAGGTATAATGGCAATACAGATATGCATTTATAAATGTTTTATCTTAAAGAAAATGATCATAATCCAGCAAACACACAATATAAGAGAAAATACCTCAAACTAAAGTATACTTCCAGTGGATACAAGGTTTGGGGAGGATGTGACTATGGTGATTGTACTTTATCTGAAATGTTCTGCTCCTGACTCTCCACAAACACAAATCCCCCTTAGGAACCTCAGTTTACTAATCCATAAAACTACCATGGTCATCTAAATGATCTCCAGGATCACTCTTGCAAAACTCTACCATAACAGCACTAACTAATGCTTCATTTTTGTCATGGTTACTCATCGAGAACCCTTAGATATTCCAGACCTGAGCAGGACTGGGGCAAGGGTGAGACGTCATAAGCACTTACCTCAGGAACAGAACTTAAGGCCCTACCAAAAAGCACAATGATATGGTTTGGTTGTGTCCCCACCCAAATCTCTTCTTGAATTGTAGTTTCCATAATTCCTACGTGTTGTGCAAGGGACCCAGTGGGAGGTAATTGAGTCATGGGGGAGTTTTCCCCACGGAGTGCAATGGCGCGATCTTGTCTCACTGCAACCTCCACCTCCCAGGTTCAAGCGTTTCTCCTGCCTCAGCCTGCTGAGTAGCTGGGATTACAGGTGCTGCCACCACACCAGGCTAATTTTTTTTTTTTTTGTATTTTTAACAGAGACGGGTTTCACCATGTTGGTCAGGCTGTTCTCGAATTTCTGAATCTGGTGCTTTTATAAGGGGGTTTTTCCCTGGCTTCGCTATGCCCTTCTCCTTGCTGCTGCCCTGTGAAGAAAGGCGTGTTTGCTTTCCGTTCTTCCATATTGTAAGTTTCCTGAGGCCTCCCCAGCCCTGCAAAACTATGACCCGATTAAACCTCTTTCGTTTATATATTAACCAGTTTTGGGTATGTCTTTATTAGCAGCCTGAAAACAAACAAATACACTCAATAATCAAAATAAATATTATTTTCATGTAATATTTTAAAAATTGAAGTTGATGCCCTAAAACCACCCCACAATGAACAAAATATGAAACTTTTAAATAAAGACAGGAACTTACCCTGTAGTTGTACAGCCCTGTCTCACAAGCCTCACCCTAAACTCAGCCTGGCCCTGAGTCCTTGTCTATGTGACATTGAACAAGTCATTTAATTTCTTCAAGCTTCAGTTGCCTCACTGTAAAATGAAGATTAATAATAGTATTTTTAAAAAACTTCACGGTATGGTTGAAGGAAATAAACGTGATGATGCTTTCAAAGTCCTTGTCATAATACCCAGGACATAGGGGGTGCTAGATAAATGTTAGTTATTACAATTATTAACTCAAGCATAACATTTATTATATATTTTAGTATTCAACAATGTCTTAAATAAAATATCTTTGATGAAGCAGGCACATAATTGGACACTGGAGCTACAGTTTCTGCCCTCACAGAATTCAAAGTCAGATATCATTTAAATATTTATGAATATTAATTTAAGAAGCTGTGATTCCTCTGTAAATCTGTAAAATGTGATGCTTAGTTATTTGCTAACATTGAAGAAAATATATTTTAATAATTATTTATGATACATAGGAGTTGGTTATTTATTGCATTTCTCTTGAGCTCTGTGTTAAAACATTTTAAAAAGTAAGACATTTTGGCATGTGCTAATTTTATCAATATGACTTAATTACTCCACATAATTCAAAATACTCAATTATTTATAATATTTTATTATAAATTAATGACTTAAGAGTCATCTACTCACATGTTTGGTTTATAGACCAAAGTGATGTGTTTTTTCATCAGGTCAACCTGCTATTTCCAAATCTAGCTAGCTCTGTTTTTTTATATTTGTCCTTGTTCTTTTCTAGGTTGTTCTCTGTCCTGAATACCTACAGTTCTTGTTTCAGATCTTCTACGAACTACTCTCTGGCTAAAAACAAAACTTTGTACTTTCCTGCTTAAAATGTTTTAATGAATACCTAATATCAAAAATAAATTCCAACTCCTTAATGTTATCCAAATTTTTTTTTAATTTGACAAAATCCCATTTTTCAGCCTTATCTCTCTTTCTTCCTCTATTTTTAATTGAGACGTAATTCATACCCAGTAAAATTCACAACTTTAAAATGTACAATTTAGTGGGTTTTAATATATTCACAGAGTTGTACAACCGTCATTACTATCTAATTCAAGAATATGTTATCATTCTCAAAAGACAAAAGAAACTCAGAGTCATTAACAGACACTCTCCACTCCCCCATCTCTCTCCCAGCCCCTGGCAACTATAGATGGTCCTTGGCTTTCAATGGCTCCATGTACAATTTTTTTAACTTTATAATAAGGTGAAAGCAATATGCATTCAGTGGAAACAACACTTCAAGTACCCATACAACCATTTTCTTTTTCACTTTCAGTACAGTATTCAATAAATTACATTAGATATTCAGCACATTATTATGAAAATAGTCTTGTTGTTATATGATTTTGCCCAACTAGTAGGCTAATGTAAGGATTCTGAGCATGTTTAAGGTAGGTTTGGCTAAGGTATGGTGTTCATTAGATAAGACATATTAAATGCATTTTTGATAAGATATTTTCAACTTACAGTGCGTTTATCATGACATAACCCCACTGTAAGTCAAGGAGCATCTGTATTATTCTGCTTTATGTCTCTATATACATACACTATCTCCACATTTCACATGAAAAGAATAAGGTGTGTGACTTCTTATGTCTGATTTCTTTCCTGTAGAATACTGTTTTCAAGGTTTGTCCACATGGTGTCATGTAACAATACTTAATAACTTTATATAGCTGAAAAATATTTCATTGTATCAATATATCACATACTGTTTGGCCATTTATCAGCTAAAGAACATTTGGATTGTATTTACTTTCTGGCTATTGTGAATAACACTGCTTGTATATCAGCATTCATATACAAGTTTTTGTGTAAGCATATGTTTTCAATTCTCTTAAGGATATGCCCAGAGTTGCAACTGCTGTTCAACTTTTTGTGGAACAGGCAAATTTTTCACAGTAGCTGCACAAATTAATATTCTTGTCAGCAATGTATGAGGTTTCCAATTTCTCCACATCTTTGCCAACCCTTGTTCTTTTCTACTTCTATGTTTGTTTTTTAGTTATAGTTGTTTTATCAGGTAGAAAGTGATATCTTAATGTGCTTTTGCTTTGCATTTCCTAACAACAAATGATGTTGACACCTTTTCATGTGCTTATTGCATATCTGTATAACTGTTTTGCAGAAATGTTTGTTTTAATACTTGGCCCATTTCCTACTTTTTTTTCTTGAGTTTTAGGAGTTCTTTATATATTATGGTTACTATACTCTTCCCAGATATGACATTTACAAATATTTCTCCCATTCTGTGGAGATTGTCTTTTCACACTTTTAATAGCATCTTTAACAAATAAAATGGTTGTAATTTTAATAAATTTTAATGTATCTATTTATTCTTTGGTTGCTTATCATTGTTAAATTAAATAAGCAGGATGCCCTTAGCCTGTGGCTGTCTCCGTACCTTGAGTTTCTATGTTAAAAAACCCTGCAACCTAATTTAATACATAAACAGACTGAAATGTAACCTAGGAGGATATACACATACATATATATATGTATATATAGTAATATATATAAAACTACATATATTTATATATTAGTATATATTTCTATTTATATTAAATATATACATATATGAGTGTGTATATATATATACACACACACACATATATATATAGAGAGAGAGAGAGAGAGTAAAAAAGTAACCAGATTTCAGTAATCATAAAAAGCCAGGCTTCGACCAAATATAATCAGCCAACTAACCACACCATGCCCAAATAGGATACATGCCTAGAAGTAGCCAATTAGGTCGTTTTTCTACCTTGCATCTGTGCTCAACCCATAAAAGATTCAGTGCTCATACTGTTGGTCAGAGCTTTCTGAACATCTTCTGGTTCTGAGTGACGCCCAAATTCATGAATTTTTCTTTGCCCAAATAAATTATTTTAATTTTAATTTGTCTAAAGTTATATTTTACCAGTTTAATATCATGAAAGAAATCTAAGGAAGACCTCCAGCAATCCCTGGGAGCACAGAGTGAACAAAGCAAAAGCACCCGCTGGGTCCATTATGCTCATTGCTCTCTCATAGCAACTGGAGGTCATGGGTAAGTTCTTCTCACATTCAAACTTTGCAAACTGGTGTATTTGAACTTTTTGACTTTATTTGAGCATTTTCTATTTGGAATGGGTTCAGAATCATGACATAAATTGAACTGGGTCCAGTAGAATGCCTTAGGTAGGTGAGGTTTCACAAAGACAGGGAATCATGAGCTCATATGGATCCAAGGAGCCTAGAACTGCTCCATGGGGAACTACAACCAATTTCACATGTAAGACCTATGAACTCATAACCTGTCCTTTTCTAGAGAAAGGGGTAAACCTTACCAAAAATAACTTATAATTACAGTGACAACAGTGGATAAACTCCTCGCAGAAGGCGAACAGTTCCAAGTGTTTAAAGCTAGAACAGCTACAGACCAAGAAGACCTTCTTATATGGATTTTAAGTTAAGACTGAGGAGTCCAAAACTAAAGAAACCTGTGCACTGACATGTCTGCCTTTACTCTAAACTTCCAGGTTATTAGAAAAGAAATTATTCACTTTTATACCAGCCTTTTGATGAACCCACTCCCTTTGACCTGGATTGTTTCTGCAACAGAGGAAAGCTTCAAGGGCTTCATTTCCACCATAATAATCAACCAATCCCTTAGATAATAAAGAATATTTCTGTGGTGGGAATTTCAAATTGAGTATAAAAGTCCCTGTGTCCAAACCTGTCTCATAGACTTGGACCATTTTCAGAAAAAAAAAAAATTATGAGGATTAGTCCTGTCTTCTTCCTCCATTTGATTTTGTTTCTCCCATGGGAACCTCTAGGTTAACTGAAACTCCTCTTTTCATACTCTCTGAGGCATGTGAACCAGAGCAACTCCATCTTTAATAGGAGCTAGGTAAAATGAGGCTGAGAATTGCTGGGTTTCATTCCCAGATGGTTAAGATATTCTAAGTCTCAGGATGAGATAGGAGGTCTGCACAAGATACAGGTCATAAACTCCTTGCTGATAAAACAAGTTGCAGTAAAGAAGCTGGCTAAAACCCACCCAAACCAAGATGGCCATGAGAGTTACCTCTGGTTGTCCTCACTGCTACCCTCCCACCAGCACCATGATAGTTTACGAATGCTATGGCAACATCAGGAAGTTACTCTATGTGGTCTAGTGAGGGGAGGTATGAATAATTCTACCCCTTGTTTAGCATATAATCAAGAAATAACCATAAACATAAGCAACTAGCAGTCCTCGGTGCTGCTCTGTCTATGGAGTAGCAATTCTTTTATTTCTCTATTTTCTTAATAAACTTGCTTTTACTTTGCACTGGGGACTCACCCTGAATTATTTCTTGTGTGAGCTTCAAGAACCCTATCTTGAGGTCTGGATGAGGACATATTTCCAGTAATAAAATCTTTGTCAACTATATTGTCTGTCAATTCTTAAAGGAAAAAAAAAAACTGGTCTCTTATACAAGCCTGGAAAAAAAAAGCAAGGGGGAAAAAGATGAACCAGTTATCTGACTGTAAGGCGAGATTAGAAATATCCATGCAAATGCATTTTCTGTGTCTATTGGGATAATTGTGTTGTTTCTTGCCTTGTTATTCTATTAATATGCTATATTAAATAGATTGAGTTTTACATTTTAAACCAGGCTTGTCTTCCCGGAATAAATTTCACTTGGTCATGTTGTATAATCTTTTTGAAGCAACCTTTGGAAAATTATGACAGTAAGATAAATCTGACACACTTGACTCCCTCTTGCTTTTAGCTGACCCTCTAGCTGACCTCCAAGCTGTCATTGTTCATTTCTAAGTATAGGCCAAGCTGACTTTGAGAGAAATTTAGTTTATAGCTGAACCTTAAAGTAAGGATGATAATAGCCTTTCCCAAAACTACTTCTTTCAGAGACCAAAACTACCTTTGTAAAACTAATGAAAGACTACAAGGTTAGGATTATGAGAGGGGCCTCAATTCTGCCAAGATGTAGCTAATGATAACTACCATCATTCTGGAGGTCACAAGATGTGTAAGTTCCGTAATTATTACTATAGATAACATCATTATTGTAGAAACTAAAATTGCTCTTTTAAGGTGTTTTTCAGACTTTTGCATTTCTGGGGACTCACTGACTCTAACCCGAACCTGTGATTCTTGAATCAACTGGTCCTGTGGCCCCACCCAGAAGCTCACTCAGTGCACAAGGACCGCTTTCCACACCTTTGTTATTTTTATCCCCAACCAATTAGCAGCACCTATTCCCTAAACTCCTGCCCACCAAATTGAACTTAAAAAAAAGTCTCCAAATTCTGGGGGAGACTAATTTGAGTAATAAACTCTAGTCTTCTGCTTAGCTGGCCATATACTTATTAAACTCTTTCTCTATTGCAATATTGCTGTCTCAGTAAATAAGTTCTATCTGTACAGTGGGCAACAATAACCTATTGGATGATTATACCTTTGGTTTGTTAGTATTTGGTTAAGGATTTTTGCATCTATAATATAAGGAATATCAGCTTGTAGCTTTCTTTTCTTGTGATATTTTGGTATTGGATCAGTACTCACAGAGTAAATTAGGAAGTATTATTTTTTCCTCTACTTAATAAGAAATTTTTTGAATGATTTGTGTTAATTCTTCTTTAAATATTTCACAGAGTTTACTAGTAAAGCCATGTGGTCCTGAACTCAGTCTCTCTCTCTCTCTCTCTGTATGTGTTTGTGTGTGAAATGTTTTTAATCACTAAAAAAGGTTTTACTTGTTATAGATTTATTTAGATTGTCTATTTCTTCTTGATTTAGTTTTAGTCTGTCTTTCTAGAAATTTTTCCATCGCATCTACACTATCTAACTTGTTGGCACAGAGTTCGTCACGGTATTCCATTACTTTAAAAATATATATTTCTGTAAGTTTGCTGGTAACGTCCTTTCATTAATTCTGAGTTTTAGCAAATCATATCTTCTTACTTTCTTGCTAGATCAGTGGAGCTAAAGATTTATGAATTTTTAAAAATATTTTCAACAAATTAATTTTTGATTTTGTAATTATTTGTAATTATTTGTATTTGTTTCTATTCTCCATTTTATGCATCTCCTCACTTTGTTATTTCTTTCTGCTAATTTTGGGTTTAGTTTTCTCATCTTTTTATAGTTTCTCAAAACGAAAGATTATGTTATTTATTTAAAATATTTCTTCTTTGATAATATAAGTGATTACAGCTCTAAATTTTTCTCTGAGCAATGTTTTCACTGAGTTTTAGTAGTGTTGGCATTTTATATTTTTCTTGTCATGTATCTGAAAGTTAATCTTTTTTATTTCCATTTTGATTTTCTTTCTGACTCATTGGTTATTTAGGAGTGCATTTTAAAATTTAAATGTATTTGTGAAACCCAAAATTTGCTTCGAATATTTATATTTATGTTTCTTTTATGCTTGTCTGAGAAAATACTTTGTAGGTCTTCAATCCTTGTAAACTTTTTGAGGTTTGTTTTATGAATTAACATATGGCCAATCACAAAAAATGTTTTGTTATTATTATTGATGAGAATGTGTATTGTGCTATTGTTGGTGAAATGGTCTATAGATATATGCTATGTTTTGTTGTGTTAAAGTCTTCTACCCTCTTGTTGAAATTCTGCTTAGCTATTTCATCAATTATTGAGAGTGGGAGATTGAAGTTTTCAACTATTACTGTTGGATTATCAGTTTCTCCCTATTGCATATTGTATTTTGTCAGCTTTTTTTTATCCTATACTTTGAGGATCTGTTGGTAAATCCCATCAAGCTATAATTGCTATATATTATTAATGAATTGCCCTTTTTATTATTATAAAATATCCAACTTTGCCTCTATTAAC
Source organism: Homo sapiens (assembly GCF_000001405.40). Taxonomy (NCBI): domain Eukaryota; kingdom Metazoa; phylum Chordata; class Mammalia; order Primates; family Hominidae; genus Homo; species Homo sapiens. Next base: position 104,201,495 of record NC_000001.11, on the reverse strand, counting down.
AACTTTGTTTTAAAGTCTATTTTGCCTGACAATGGTATAAACACTCTAGTTCTCTTTTGGTTATCGTTTGCATGGAATAGGTTTTCCCATCTTTTCCTTTTTAATCTATTTATGTATTTGTATGTAAATGACATTTTTATACACAGCATATAGTTGAATCATGTATTTTTAATCAATTTATCTAATATTTGCCTTGTATTTAGAGAATTTAATTCATTTACATTTAATGGAATTATTAATAAGATAGGTGTATGAGTATTCTAGAACTGTTATAACAAATTGCAACAAATTAGGTGGCTTATAACAAGAGAAACAGTGTTAGAGACCAAAAATCCAAGTGTTGGAAGTCTGGGTGCCTTTTGGAGAATCTCTGAGGGCTGTCTTATTCATGCTTCTCTTCTATATTTTGGTGGCTACAAGCGATCCTTGGTATTTCTTGTCTTAAGGCAACATAATTCCAGTTTTTGCCTTGGTCATCACAAGATATTCTTTCCTTTGTCTCTGTGTGCATTTCATTTCTGTCTCTTATAAGGGCATCACTCATTATTGGATTTAGGGCTCACTGTCACCCAATATAATCTCATCTTGGGATCATTACTGAAATTGTATCTGCAGGAACTTTCATTCCAAATAAAATTACATTCTGATTTTCTAGATGGACATATACTTTAGGGAGATAAAATTCAATCCTCTACAATAGAATTTATTTATACCTGCCATTTTGTGGTTTTCTATATCTCTTAATGTCTGTTTTTCCCAAATTCCTCCATTATTCCATTCTTTTATGTTAAATGGATATTTTCAGGTGTATCATTTTAATTCCCCTTTGATAATTTTAATATATATTTTTGAGTTACTTTATAATGGTTGCCTTGTGAATCACCATTAACACCTTAATTTACAACAATCTAATTTATATTAACTTAATTTCCATAATATAAACTACTTTGTTTCTACATAATTTTGTTCTCCAATCTGCTCTATGCTATTAAAGTCACAAATTCTAACTTTATTCATCGGGTTTCCATCAGCATAGATACATAATTTTTGCTTTACGTAGTTGTATTTTAAAGCAGTTAGGAGAAAAACTTCTTGTTCTTCTACTTAGTTACCTGTGTTGGTGCTCTTTATTGCTTCACTTGAATTACTTTCATTTTAGCTTGAAGCACGTCTTTTGGGTTATTGGTATGGCTGATTTGCTACCAAGAAATTCTCTTAGCTTTTGTTTATCTGTTAATGAATGACTTATTTCTCTTTCATTTATGAAGAATAGTTTTGCTTGAATATACAATAATTTTATATGTTTTTTTCTTTTCTTTTAACCTTCTATGTCATCCCTCTGCCTGCTAGATTCTATGGTTTCTGACAAGAAATGATCTGTTATTACAACAAAGAATAATTTTTATCGTTAAGTTGCTTCTCTCTTGTTCCATTCAAGATTATCTTCTTGTGGCCAGCCGCAGTGGCTCATGCCTGTAATCCCACCTCTTTGGGAGGCTGAGGTGGACAGATCACTTGAGGTCAGGAGTTCAAGACCTCTCTGCTAAAAATAAAAAGATTAGACCAGCATGGTGGTGGGCATCTCTACTAAAAATACGAAAATTAGCCAGGTGTGGTGGCGGATGCTTATAATCTCATTTATTCAGGAGGCTGAGGCAAGAAGATCCCTTGAACCTGGGAGGCTGAGGTTGCAGTGAGCTGAAATGGTGCCACTGCACTCTGGCCTGGGTGACAGAGCGAGACTGTCTCAAAAAATAAAAATAAAAAATAAAATAGCTGATAAAAAGTCTTTGTCTAGTAAGTCCAATGTCTGGGCTTCCTCAAAGACGTTTTCCATCATTGCTTCTTTTCCAAAGTGTATGGGACATACTTCCTTGTTTCTTCACACATAATTAATTTTTATTGAAATATAGACATTTAAAAATATATAACAGCTCAAAAAATCAAATCCTCCTCTTCCCACTGAAGCAGGGTTTGTTGTTGTTGCTCCTTGTTGCAGTCATTATATTTTTAGTAACTTTTCTGAACTAATTCCATTAAATCTGTTTTTAAATATGTATCATTATTATTATTATCATTTGTGGTCACTGAAGTCTCTATACAATTAGCTTAGTTGCCCGGTTGGACAGAGAATTTCTTAAAGACTTTCTTGCATGAATCTGTCAGTTTTTGCTGAAGAGACCCTGTGTGTTTGTGTTGGAGCATGCTTTCAATACTCAGCTGGGTAGTTTCTAACTCTTTCTTAGCCCTTACTTTCTGTTTGCACAGAGTCTGCAGTTCAAAGATGAGAGCTTGATCCTTCACAGATATTTCTTGAGCATGCACACAACTGACAAATGTGCATGCCTTCTATATTGCAGAGAGCATGTCTGAGCTTTACAAAGTCCCCGTGGACATCTCTTTCCCCAGCTTTTTTTTTAAGCTTTTTGGTTAGTCTCTTTTTGGCTTTAATTGTTATCCATTTCTTCAGGCAACTGTGGCATTAAAATATTTGCCTCTAAAAGTTTGTGACAAATGCTCCCTAGGGAGAGGCTTTCAGCCCTGAATGCAGTTCAAATAAAGATAAGTAGAGATGGGGTTTCACCATGTTAGCCAGGATGTTCTCGATCTCCTGACCTCGTGATCTGCCCGTCTCGGCCTCCCAAAGTGCTGGGATTACAGGCATGAGCCACCGCGCCTGGCCTACAGTGGTTTTATACAAATTTTGAAAAATATTTTTTATGATTTCCTGTTTGTTCTCAGTGGAAGACTTCATTGAAAGAAATTATTGGCCAAGTGTGGTGGCTCACGCCTATAATCCTAGCATGTTGGGAGACCGAGGCAGGTGGATCACAAGGTCAGGAGTTCGAGACCAGCCTGGTCAACATAGTCAAACCCCATCTCTACTAAAAATACAAAAATTAGCTGGGCGAAGTAGCATGCGCCTGTAATCCCAGCCATTCAGGAGGCTAAGGCAGGAGAATCGCTTGAACCCAGGAAGTGGAGGTTGCAGTGAGCCGAGATGGTGCCACTGCACACCAGTCTGGGTGACAGAGCAATACTCCGTCTCAACAAAAAAAAAAAAAAAAAAAGAAAAAAGAAAAAGAAGTTATTGCACCATTACTGAAAGTAATGTTGTTGTTATATTTAAATATACAGAAGAGCTATACATTCTTCATTCATTAACTTACATACTGGGGCTTCACATAAGTAGGTAAACTTCCTAAAGGCATTTGAGTTTATTATCCTTGAAACAGCAAAATCATTAAATTAAATATGTTGGGCACTTAAACAGAGCTCTGTGAAATAGCTATGCAAGAGCTAATCTTGGGGATAAGAAGAAACTAGAAAAATTAATTATTGAGGAAGCAGAACACTGCAATGGCTAAGTTATGATTTAAAGTTTTCTTAATAATATAAATGACTCTAATGGAATGAAAAATAAGGCATTTTCATCAAGGTAAGAACAGGGCAGTAATACACTTTCTAGGATACAGTAAAGCCAGGGGCAGCTCACCAGCACATATGGGGGACAGAACGCTTCAAGTTACAGTGAACAACTTCAGATATGATTCTGAAAAGTTTAATCATGAATGTATTTGTGAAAGTTGTCAGGATCAAAACCAGAGTCACTTTTGTTAAAAACAAACAAACAACTCTTCAATAGAGCTGAGGAAGTCCATAAAGAGAAAAGTTCTCATTTATAAATAACTGACAACAAAAAGCACCATAAAAGACTGCAAAAAACACTACTTTGCACAAAGGTCATTTCAACCTTATGCAAAAATACTACTGTAAGGACATCTGCCTAGCAACTGCTTGTGCAACTTTAGACTGACTACTTTTGTTATTAACCTTTGTAGCCAAAGATAATAATCTCAAACAACTATGTAATCTTCTTAATTTTTTTCTTTAAAAACCTTTGTCTTCTTTTATGCTCCTGAATATGAATATCGCTTTCTATGGAACATTTATTCACATTGCAATGTCCTATTCCTAAATAAATATTATTTTCTTTTAGAGATACTCTTTCTGGTTATTTAGGTTGACACATTTGATGAGCAAGAAGAGATGTGAGATATTCTAGGCAACAATTTGATTTAAAATCAAGTTAGCTGCAACAGAAAGATAAAGTCTTCCGCGACAGAGGGGAGTAACAAGCACAGAAACTCGGTCTAGTGCTGGGAATTTTTTTACAATAGAGAATACAGGTAGAGAACACCACTAGTTCTAACAAAGATAATTTGAATAACGGGAGAGAAAGAAAGAGTGATAGCATTAAACCTGAACTTTGATAACCAATATTTTTTAAAAAGGCAAAGACAATAAAACAATAAAAGCCTTACTAAGATGAGTTTCTCTTGTACTGAAGCAGGGTCAAGTGGAAAAATGTGCAACACTGACTAAGAATTAGGTAAATGTGTTGAGATGAAGAAGTCACTGTTTAACAGAGAAGCTGCTGGAAAGAACAGAGACAGAGACTAAAAACCTGAGATCCAGATTTTAGTATGACAAGAACTGATCTCTCTGTTTTGGTTATAATAGTTTTTAGTATGACAGGAACTGATCTCTCTGTTATGGTTATAATAGTTTTTAGTTTTCACTCTGTTTTGACTGTACTTTAACATTTTAAACTCTATATCTGCATCATGTTCTTATCAATCTCACATTAAAATGGCTTTAGTAAACTGTATTGTTTATAACTAAAACCAGCCTCCATATCATGACAATGTTCTGGCCTAGCTCACTTCTGCTTCCTATTTCTTCTACAACTTGCCTTTTATTGACATACTACTGATTACATTCCTAACGGAAGGCAGCAACTCTGTCATCTTCATTTCTGCATACCCATATCCCCTTTCACAGCACTGGATGTAGAGGCAGTGTTCAAGAGTTCTTTACTGATACAAAATTCAGTAACCATCTATCAATTCAATGTGGGCAGGCTTAAGCAGATTTTTATCTCATGATAGAACAAGAGCATTAGGACATACCATTACCCCAAACAGAAAATATTAAATGTAGCAATAAATTATGAGCTTCTATTAAAAAGAAACAGTGTTATAGTATACTCCTGTCCAAAGAATGATCCTCTTCTATTGAGGAAAATTCTTCTTTATCCCCATCTAGTAATCCAGACCATGCAAATGAATACTGGCAACTAATGGGCAACAGATGTTGCAGCCAGATGGCCCCTAACTTGAAAGTAGTTAACTTGTACTCAGGTGGTTATATTTCTTTAGAAGTGTTATATAGTCTGTCCCTTTTTTGTTATACTCAGTGATTAGTGGGCAGTTAAATACTTTATGCTACTAATTTAATTAAAGTAGTTTTAATGAAAAATAAAAAGATAGATGATTGGATTTCTGATGCCCTGGTGTAATTCAAAGAATTTGGTCCAAGCCTTCAAACATTAAGTTCTATGGTTGACCTTGCAAAACCAAATTTATAAAGAGCAAATATTGATTACCAAATATCTTTACAAGATATTTGATACATTCTCTGATCCAGAAAATAGAGAAGAAAACTTAATATTTGAAATAGACAGGTAAACTTGGAAATGAAAATTGTATCGTTATTACATAAAAAGAGAGATTGCCATGATAGGAAGAATGAATGCTACAACATAAACCCTCTAAGGTTACTTTTCAATAAGACACATGGAAGAAATACTGCAAGAGCACCCTCAAGCACTATTTTAACAAGTGTAACATTATCAATAGAAAGAAACAATAGCAGGGCAGAAAGATATTACAATTGAATATGATCTCTCATTTTGAAGAAGACAGCAGGTTGAATACAAGGCTAAGAGGTAAGGTAGCCCTGCTGGCTACAGCCACTGACTCTTTGAAATAACTATTACTCACACATTGGTGAGATCATCATAAACATGTGAAGTAATGCCTCAAACAATGTAACCTAGCAGGGCATGGTGACTCACACCTATAATTCCAGCACTTTGGGAGGCTGGAGTGTGAGGATCACTTAAGGCAAGGAGTTTGAGATCAGCCAGGACAACATAGTGAGACTCCATCTTTATGGAAAAAAGAAATAACAAGAAAAAGCCAGACATTTTGTTGTTGTTGTTGTTGTTTTTCCAGATCTGGTGGCACATGCCTGTAGTCCCAGCTACTTGGGAGGCTGAGGTGGGAGAATCACTTGAGAATAGGAGTTTGAGGCTGCAGGGAGCCATAATTGTGCCACTGCACTTCAGCCTGGGAGACAGAGCAAGACCCTGTCTCTAAACAAAAATAAATTTTAAAAAAAGAAACAATAACACCTTTGAATACAAAAAATAACATTCCACTGGTTTATTAATCTATAAAGTAATCTAAATGAAGGTTTATAAAATTTTGTTGTTCAAATATATTATTTTATTATCACTTCAAAGAAATATAGATTTAAGTAAATGTTTTCCAAAGGTTAGCAGACACATTTTAATTTTTAATTCCTTTATTTGGCACAGGGTCTCACCTTTTCTCCTGCAAAATATAAATAATAGCACAATAGTTTGGTAGAAGAGCAGTGGCCTTCAAATTAAATTTCCAGACAAGAGCCTACAACTACCAACCAGGTATCTTTATTCTTTATGCCCATTTTATGAATGAAGAGTATTTCACTGTCCTTTCCTGAAAAAAAAAAAAAAAAAGAAAGAATAAAACTGGGAATAAGAGTGAGTGGGAACAAGATGGTTCTTCAGTTTCTCAGTCTTTCAAATTGTCTTACATCAATCGTATATTGATATCCCATTGCATAACAACAGATATTCTGCATACTCTACCATTTTTACGTATCAATCCTAATCAACTATACTTGCCAAGATCACAAACAAGCTCTTTACCACTAAATCAAACTGATCGATTTTGTCCTTATCTTGCATGATCTCCTGGTGTTTGCTTCACATCTATCCCTTACTAATTTTTTTTAATGATATGGTTTTCTGGCGTCTCACACTCAGATTTTTTTTTTCCTTTTCCTCTAACTGCTTCTTCTCAGGTGGGTTGCTTGTATGGTTGTCCAGATAGGCTTCATTGATAAGATAAAAATTGAGCAAAACCATTAACAAGGTGAGAATGATAGCTAAGCAGGACTGACAGGAAGATAATTCTAGGAGGAGGAAGTAATTTAAACACAGCAATGCCCCTAAGATGGGATTGTGTTCATATTTTCAAGGAACAGAAAATATGCAAGTATTACTGGGGCTGAGTTAGGGAAGGGAAGAATTTTTGATGAAGACAGGAAGGTGCTAGAGTTACCAAAATATGCAAAGCTTTACTTGCTATGTAAGGTCTTTCACTTTATTCTGAGTGAAATAAGGAGATATTGAAGAGTTTTGATCAGAGGAGTTATGACTGAATTTTGTTGTTAAGGTTTACTTTTGCTTTTGTGTAAGAACAAATTTTATAGGAGCAAAGTAAAAGCAGGAATTCCAGTTGGGATGTCATTACAACAATGCAGATGAAAAATGATGATCTTTCTACCAAATATGCAGCAGTAGAGGCAGTGAAAAAAATAAAATTCTAGAAATACCTTGAATGTAGAAAGGATTATCTGATGACTTGGATATGAGGTGTGAGAGCCAAAAGGATTCAAGAATGGCTTTATACCTTTGGTGTGGAAAACTGAAAAGTTTAATTAATTTCAACTGAAATGGGATGGCCTATAATTGAAGTAGATTGCAGTGGTAGTGGATGGTAGGGGAGAGAACAGATCAGAAGTTACATTTGGGATATATTGAATTCACAATGGTTATTAGAAATCCACGTGAAGATGTGGAAGAAGCGGTTGACTATATGTCTAAAATTCAGAAAAGAAGTTTGGATTGGAAATTTTAATTAGAAGTAAGTAGCATGTGAATTATACTTAAAACCATGAGCCTGGATGAAGTAATTAGGAATGTGAATATAAATTGAGAAGAGAAAAGGATCAAAAACAGAGCCTTTAGCAACACCAACATTAGAAGGTGGAAGAAAATAATAAAATAAATGAGAAAGAATAATCAATGTGATAAGAGAAAACAAGAGAAAATGGATTTCTGGAAGCCAAATGAAGAAATGGTAGTAATCAACTATGTCAAATGCTGCTGATTGGCCAAGTAAAATAAATAGTGGAATTTGATAATTCAATGTAGTAACATGGAAATTATTAGTGACATTGATGAGAGTAGTTTCAGTGGAGTTGTATCATGATAGTTTGATGGGAGAAAAGAAAATTGGAGACAAAGCATAGACCATTCTTTTCCGAAGTTTTGATGAAAAGGGGGGAAGAAAAAAGTGGTATCTGGTTGATGAACTGCTGGACACGTTGTTTGTTTGCAATGTGAGAGAGATTAACATCCATATAACAATGTTGTCATATCACAGACTGGCTCCACCCCCTGTTATATTGTCCTTGCCTACTTCCTCACCACTTTACAGATCCTACCAATTACTAAACCCTCATGCTTCTACTTCCTTCATATCAATCAAATCAACTAACTTCTCTCAAGCCCCCTAATCCACTATGGTTTGTTTGTTGCCATTTCTCTAACAGGCCATAAATATAATTCCTCCTTACATTTTCCACTATTGCCTTCCCCTGATTTAATCTCTAAACTACATTGGAGTAAATTATTTTGCAATAAATATGTGATTATGTTAACCTTTTATTCAAAATACTAAAATGACTGTTCATCACCTTCCAGCTAGTTATAAAATTATATATTTTTCAAAGGAAAATGTATATTACTTCTTGTGAAAAAGCCTGCAATGATTATTCATCATCTGCTACATAAAAACTAATCTTTTTAAGTAAGCACGATAGGTCTTTTTAAATCTGGCCCCTGTTCATCACTCAGATCACCTTCTACTTCATCTTTTTTTTGTAAGAAATTTGAGGGCAGGGATTTTTCCACTTTGTTCAGGACTGTACCTTGAGAACTTCAAATAGTGTCTGGTCTGAATTAATCAGTTAAAAATAAATAAAAGAATGTCTGGATGAATGAACACATGCCTTTTGCAATATCTAATGGATAGTGAGTGTGCAATTGTGAATAACTTTAATGAAATGGAAAGGACTTCTTATATGTCCAAGAGGTCTTCAGTGTTCTATGAACTAATTGCACTAGTTTTTGTCTCTATGTCTTATCTTATCCAACACCCACACACACAAATCTGAGAGATTGTCTTTATGTTCACTTTTATTGGATGTATCATCTATATTGGATAATAGAATGTTCTTTAAGCAAGAGATGGAAATTAGTTGTAGTGATTCTACCTTCTATACTGCTAGCTGTAAATATAAATATGCAATGCTTGTATACTTTTTGACATTGAAGATAAGGTCAAGTTTATTGGCTTTAAACTTTTGAAATCATATGAGTTAAAAAATCTGTACAATACAAATCAGGACTGAGACTAACCTCAGTTTCATAGCTGTATTAGTTTGTTCTCATGTTGCTAATACAGACTTATCAAAGACTGGGTAATTTATAAACACAAAGAGGTTTAATGGACTCATAGTTCCACGTGGCCGGGGAGGCCTCATAATCATGGCAGAAGGTGAAAGGCACATCTTACATGGTGGCAGGCAAGAGAGAATGAAAGCCAGTGACAGGGGAAACCCCTTATAGAACCATCAGTTCTCATGAGACTTATTCACTACCATGAAAACAGTATAGGGGAAACTGGCTCTATGATTCAATTATTTCCCACTGGGTCCCTCCCACAACATGTGAGAATTATGGGAGCTACTATTCAAAATGAGATTTGGGTTGAGACACAGCCAAACCATATCCATAGTCTATTAATTTGTAGTAGCACAAAACTTCATCATCACCATGTGTTTTATCAACTTTAGTTTTACTGAGTGAATTTTTTTTTAAGATGGAGTTTTGCTCTTATTGCCCAAGCTGTAGTGCAACAGCTGGATCTCGGCTAACTGCAACCTCTGCCTCCTAGGTTCAAGCGATTCCTCTGCCTCAACCACCTGAGTAGCTGGGATTATAGGTGTGTGCCACCATGCCCAGCTAATTTTTTGTATTTTTAGTAGAAACAGGGTTTCATCATGTTAGCCAGGCTGGTCTCAAACTCCTGACCTCAGGTGAACCGCCAGCCTCAGCCTCCCAAAGTGTTGGCATTACAGGCATGAGCCACCGTGCCCAGCTCCTGGGTGAAAATTTTATATGGTATGATATTGCAAATGAATTTTATTATTATTTTATTTTAAGAATAGGGAAATTATAAAGAAAGAAGCAAGTGTTATGATCACAATGCCTCAGGAGTTACAGGTCTGCAGATAAGGAAGAGGACTTGGGGCTTAAACACTGAAGATGTCTGACAATAGCTATCCATTTCCATAAAAGATTAAGTCAGCTGAAGTATGCACACTACTTTGATTAACATATGAGGTAAACTCTGGTGGATTTAAAAGCAAGTGGACATTTTCTACATAATAAATACATTCATTCTTTTTCCAAAGTACGTTTTCATAGTCATATGGCAATCTGAAAACCATTGGCTTTTTTCCTCTCAGATAATGCACCCTTTGTTAAGGGATAATTGCAAAGATTTCTCAACACATTTCAAATTTCAGGTCCCTGAGGAGAGAAATATAAATTTACCACTACATTATATTAAGAAAGGTTATCAATAGTATTTTATAATGATATTCTCAATAGCCCATTGTGAAATTCAATCACAAAAAAAAAATAAAACCTCTCTTGTATAACTTAAGAATTAATCACTTGTGGTTTATCTGACATAGAGTTATAACTTACAACTAGAGCAAATGGCTCTATTACACTTTCAGAGCAGTGGTGGTTCAGCTTGCTGCTAGGGCAGAATCACAGCAGGCAATTAAATGAGATTTCATGGAATTGAAAAGATTTGCTTTTACAGATTTAAAATCCAGTAAAATAAAGAAAGTTTTAGGACTACAAAGTATTTTATTGAATAAAACTTGTTTATAAAAAGGTAAGCCTGTAGGGGAATATATGTGCAACATTATGTTTTTTATTTTTAAAGGAAATGAGATTTCCGTGGCTAAAAACAGCAAAAGCAAAACAACTAGTTACAATTTTTTAGTGACCTAGATAGTCGATGTAGCTTTAATCATTTAAATTTCTTTGCTATTGCATTGGGTATATTTTCAGACTTTTTAAAATAAATAAATAAGATTGTATTTTGCAAATAATATTAAGTGAATGTAAACAAATAAAGTAGTATTCTTAGATTTCAAAGTTTTAAAATAATTCAGACTCGTGACAGAAAATGCTCGTTCATTGAGGCTGCAACTTTTGGTGTAAAGCCATCAAAAACAAAAATGTATGGTACATATTATGTTCTTGTAGAATTATTTTTATTTTTAAATGAGGTAGTGCTTTATCTTCTTAGTATCTCTGTCAAAACTTAATAATTATTAGGTGGATGGATAAATGAATGAATACATGTATAAAAGACAAACTGTCTTGTAGAATTTAGATATTTTGAGAACAATATTTTATTTGCATCTCAAATATTCAGGTCTCCCAATATTATCTTTTATAGTGGCCATTAGTTAGTACTTTTTACTGAAATGTTAATTTATCTTTTGAAATGACACTGAATCTCACTTTAGAAAGTTATTACAATAACTATTTCCCAGTCCTCCTTTAAAGTTATTCAATGTATCCTAACATCAGTTTCTATAAAATTGTTCCCTTTGTCTTTTCATACACATTTTATCAGCATATCTCCAGAGATTACAGGCATATTAAAATGTATTTAGGTTATTTTATTATATTACTGACAAACTACCCTTTTTAATGAGCAATATCCAGAAATGTCTAATATAAAGTATGCCTCTGGTATGTAATTTTTGAATAAATAAATAAATGAATAAAGGCAAAGAATTTTTATTCCAGTTAAAATATGGACACTGCAATAATTTTCTCAGGTAAAATCCTTTAATTGGAAGCAAGACCACAAATGGCACAACCCAAACCAACCTAAAATTATGACTTACTTATTTTGGAGCAGAAAGAGTTCTTAATTAGCATTTATATCAACCTCTTTATTTTATGATGAGGAAACTGAGCTGCACATGTACTAAGTTACCAGTTCAGAGTCACATGACTTGACACAGTAAGGATTATAATTGATTTCCTCTCACTCTCACTTTTGTGCTTCTTCCATCCAGTCATGTGAACTCTTACTCAGATTACAAAATCAAATCTGATTGTTGGCTGCCCTGTCTCCTTGTCCCTCTCGAGAAATTAAGGTTGCAATTAATATGTTTATGCATCTAGGAAAGAGACAGAAAGAATCCCACTGAATAAGCAGACATTAAGCAGATTTCTGGTAGAATTCATCAGCAGTTTTGGGAAAGAAGTTGTTTTCTGAGTGATAATAGATGAGGAGATATATTTTAGGAGAAATGGGAAATTTGGTAGGCCAGAGACATAACTGATCTAAGGCAAAACATAGAAAGCAAGCTAGACCGTATATCTATTGGAGACAGCAAAGAGAATAATATTTTAAACAGCTGGGAAATTGAAAAAAAATACAAGATAAGTGTCTTACTTTTGGTTTCAGACCTTTGTATAACGGCAAAGTTGAAAAGAGGGATCATGAGACAAAAACTCAAGTTCTTGTTCACTTGGTTGAAATCTGCTAATTGAGGATTTGACTTATGAGGCTTAGGGGAAAGGTAGTAAGTGAAAGAAAGACATTAGAATCCAAGTTATAAAGCAGAGACTTAAGCTAATTTAATTGATTGTTCATAACATGCTTAGTAATGGTACTAAATTGGGGCAACAAAGTACAGCATGAGCTAAATCTCACCCATCGCCCGTTTTTGTAATTAAAAAGTTTGATAAAAAAATAGACACACCAGTTCATTCACTGTATCTACAGCTGCTTCATATACTAGCAAAATTGAATCATTGCAATACAGACTATATGGATCTCAAAGCCTAAAATATTTACTAACTGAATGTTTACAGAAAAAGTTTTCCAATCTCTGAATGAAATAATGCTTCATATTCTTTTACTAATTTAATTTTTTCAAGTTCTCAAAATGATAAAATATTCACTATTATATTCCCCATTTATAGAGGAATATCTGGCACTTAATAAGTATTCAAAAATAGTAGACATATGAGGGAATGAATCAACTTACTGCTATTATGATCAACATTTTCAGGTAGACTATGGGGAGGAATGACCTCATGGCAGAAAATTTTGGCTTCATTTTTCTTTTCATTGATTCTCAGGTATTTATGCCTTTGATTACTCAATATGATATTCTTCACTTTTCTCTCTCTAATTATCCTTATATTTCCCCTATTTGTGCTTTTTTCTATTATCATTCTTCCCTAAAAGAGAATAATACATGTCGGATAAATAAGTCATTTTGGTTCAAACAATTTTTGTGTTTTTAATATTTATGTTAAAAATATAAATCAAGTCTATTTTTTGTTTTCCAAAACCTAAACATATATTTACTGATTTATAGCACTTATAATTTTTTCTCTTTTTATTAAGGAACATTGATCATAAAAGAAGAAAATATGCCTGATTTATAATATTCTATAGAAATTCTGATATTTTATTGTTTTAACTCTCTGCCATTGACGACAACCCTGGAGGCTGACATTCTCTAAAGTTATTTATCTCAAAATAGATCAAAATGCAGGTATTTATTGTATTGCTAGATGCTGTTTTGTATCTTGAGGTTTCACCTATGATGAGAAAAGTGAATGTTAAGTATATCTTAAAACAAATAATAATTGTCATATACTCAATAGTATTATGAAAAATTCCCTATAGATTATTACAAAACAACTTTTAAAAATTATGACATTAATTCTTTTTTCCAAAGACAGAGAACAAATTGAGTTACATTATGAGGTCTCAAGTAATACTCATAAGTAAGTTTATACATGTTTGTGTATACATAAATATAAAGAGAGCAACATCCATTTTATTTGCAAAAATAAATCCCAGAAATAATAATAACAATACCATAAACTGTCAAGGCTAAATTAATGTTGATTTTCAATGGATTTTCCCAGGTAAATGTTAAGAAACTTTATTGCTTTATTTGGCTATTTTAGTACAGCATATTGTTTTCTGTATTTGTGCTATATTATAGTGGCTCATAACAACATACAACACATACGTATCATTTACTAAAAAAAAATCGGAGAGCAGATTCTAGTAGTTTAGCAGAAAGCAAAATAGAACAGTTAATAATCATTAACTTAGACTGCTGAAGGCACCTGAACTTAGAGTAAAGCATGAAGTGCTTGTCTTTGCCAGCAGCTCTCTGATTTCATGTCCTCATGGCAACTTGTCTCTTCTAGCTTACATATGGTAGCCACTCCAAAATCCTAGAACTACTTACACATTTCCCAAGATGAAGCTTCAAGAATTACTTTTCTTTCTTATTTCCATTCTATTTAGCTAATGAATGAAGAGTAAATCATACATGAATTTTCTTAGTAAAGAATGAAAATGTGAGAACTAATTGGAAAAATAGCAAAACACACACAGAATCAGTTTTCTGTAAGTATACACTACACTTACTGAAATCATCAAAATATATTGGCATTTCTCTACTAAAGTATTTATTATTATACCATGCAGTATTTAATTTTATATTGAATTGTTCTCCATTTACAATCAGGTCCTTTCAATTTGAGCACAAGTTGATGAAAAATAGGATTTAAATTTTATACCTCCTTTGTGTTTTTTATTGGTGCCTAATACATTAATAGAGTAGTCAATTTATTATCTCTGACTGCCTCTTATGCACAAAGCCTTCTGAGTTTATTAACATATAAATTCTAAGGAAGTATAATCAAGTTGTAGAGTCAGCTAATCATACAAAAGACTATTAATGTATAAAAAAAAGCGCAAACTATAAGGTCTCATGAAAGGTACAGATAAAACATTCCTGAATGTATACAGTTGATATGAAAAAATACATTAAGACACGTAAAAATAAGAGTACATTATGGTAATAATCCAGAGGTGATCTGGTTCACAGTTTTCATTTCATAGGTGAGGAAACTAAATTAAATATGGTGTAATATTAGCACAATTTGCACAGCCAAAAATAGTAAGCTGGGGCTACAATTCAATTTGGCAAATTGTATTCACTGCACTCATTAGCAATATGTATTGGGCTTTACTGAAACATCACTGTAATAATGTTCCAGTTATCTATCAATGTGTAATAACCACCCACAACCCACATTGGTGTCATGAAACAACAATCATTGTCATGAAACAACAGTCATTGTATTATGATCTGGGATTCTGTGAGTCAGACTCCAAGAAGGTACAGTGGGTATGATTTATTTCCATTCTACATCTGAAAAACTTGAATGTCGGAGTGACTTAAAGAGCTAGATGGTGGAATCATCTAAAGGTTTCTTTACACACGTGAGACAGAGGGTAAAGATATGATTGTTGGTTTCCATTTGGCTTGTGCATCTTCACAGCATGGCAAACTTGAGGTAACTGGAATTCTTACAAGTAACTCAGGGCTCCAAGAGTGAACGTGCTATTGAATAAGACAGTATGATATTTGGTGACCTTGCCTTGGAAGTCACATAGCATCACTCCTACCATACTCTATGGTCGAAACAGTCACAAGCTACCCAGATTCAAGGGAAAGAATTCTCTACAGGGGAAGTGCCAAAATCCGTATTTTAAAGACAGCATACTTTATTTTTCCTTTCCTGGACTGACCTTTATAGAAAACATTTTTCCTCATTATTTTAATCTGAGTGTTCTGATAGTGGCAGTCAGTCTCTGTAGAACTGTTGTTACTTGCATGCTATAGTTAGAATAATTATTTAAAAAATTGTTTGTCACATAGAATGTTTTTCTACAGAATTCAACTTAAAAATGGCTCTATATCTGATAGAAGTATGAATACCGTAAGGTGGTTGTCCTAAAAAAGAACATTAAATGTCCCACCTTCCTTCATTTTCACTTATTCCAATACTTTAAGTAAATAAATAGAACTCGAGAGTATATCAGGAAGATTATACATTTAATTAGTGTGCAACGGGATGTTATCTACATTGAAGATGTATGATATGGCACTATATCATTTATCATTTCACTGGATAGAAAGGTGGCTTCATTAAGAAAGAACATATGTAAGTCAAGGATCATTGTATTAGACAAGAAAAAAACAACCTGTTTGGGTTCTTTCACACCACTCAACACAGAACACTTCTGACACCAGATAGTTTAGAGGGTTTTCCCCATAGACAAAACAATTCTTCAGTGGACACAAACTGAATGTCTTACAATTTAACTCAATTCTGACACTCTCTACCTGGAGATAGCATCAGATCCCACAGGTTAAGGTCTTAATCCAATAAGACCCAGCCCCAAATTCAGGTGTCAATTGCAAGCCCTAGGTTGTTCATCTTCCTAAACCTACCTAACAAGTTATAAAACGGCATTGCTACGACCCTTTCCTCGGGTTTGATGAACCTGCTACACAACTCACAGATCTCAGGAAAATACTTAGATTTACTAGTTTATTATATTAATAAAGGACATGACAAAGGATATAGATGAATATCCACATGAAGAAATACATAGGCTAACATAAACGGGAATACGTGTGGATTTTCCATGACCTCTTCAGGTGTGCCATTCTTCTAGCACCTCCATCTGGTTGGCAACCAAGAAACTCTCTGAAGCCTGTAGTTCAGGCATTTTCTTTTTATGGAGGCTTCATCATGTAGTCATGATTAATTACTAACTCAATCTCCAACCCCACTCCCCCTCCCACAGGCTGAGGAGTGAGGATGAAAGAAAGTTCTAAGCCTCTAATTATGGCTTGGTCTTTCTGGTGACCAGCCCCATCCTGAAACCCAACAAAAGTCATTAGAACAAAAGACATGCCTATCACCTAGGAAATTTCAAGAGATTTACAGCCTGTGTCAGAACCTGGAGTCAAAGACCAAATATTTGAACAAAAGATGCCTCTAGCACCATGATAACCAAGAAATTACAAGCATTTTACCAGGGATAGAGAAAAAATATGGACTTATTATATTACAATATAACAATCATGTTATTCAGTTGATGGTGAAATTGCTTAAAATACTAAAGAATCTTGAGATCAAGTCTTCAAAGACTGAAAGTAAAACTTACATGGATAGTCTCAGACTTTTATTGCCTAAAGCAGAAGAGCTTTCCATTTTCACCTTCGTTTTAAACTTTCCTCAGAAAAATCCATAGGAACTTTTCACATACTGTTTTCTCAATATGGAATATACCCCCACTTCTTTATAATTTATCTAACTTTTCATTCAGTAAAATCAACCAGAATGTTCCTGCTTCATTCTTCCAAACTTTCCATTTCAAAATAGGCCCCCAACAAAACAGGGCTGTTTTTGGTTTCTTTGTTTTTTCCTCACTACAGATACCCGATATCTAGCATAATGTTAGATATCTTGCTATTAATTAAATATTTATTATGTAAGGAATACATGGATGATTACTCCATTTGGTGATATATCAAAATCAGAACATGTAGTCATCTGACTCCCAATTCCAGACACTAATAATTGAAATTCACAATATGATCCTAATGCGTTAAATATAACTTTTGTTTGTTGTCTCATTCATGATTCATTTAGTAGAAAAAAATAATTCTTGTAGAGATTTTGTTTTGGTGCCAATAAATTAAAATTTTCAGCATTCTTTCTTTCTTTCTTTCTTTTTTCTGAGATGGAGTCTCCCGCTGTTGCCCAGACTGTAGTGCAGTGGTGCCATCTCGGTTCACTGCCACCACCACCTCCCAGGTTCAAGCGATTCTCCTTCCTCAGCCTCCTGAGTAGCTAGGATTACAGGTGCGTGCCACCATGCCTGGCTAATTTTTGTATTTTCAATAGAGATGGTTTTTCACCATGTTGCTCAGGCTGATCTCAAACTCCTGACCTCATGATCTGCCTGCCTCAGCCTCCCAAAGTGTTGGGATTACAGGCATGAATATTATTTCATAAAACTGAACTCAAAAACAAGTAAACCAAGCATAAAACATGAGAAATAGAATTTAGACCCTGTGTTTGCCTTAAATTATGAATAACTTTTAGTGGAATACAAGGGTACATTTGATTTAGAATTTTCATTTCAACAGGAAAAAAGAAGAAATACTTATGTTTTGACAAAGAAAGATTTTAAAATACCAGACATTAGACAAAGGAATTCTTGAATTCTTCAGGGAAATATTTTTATCTGGATAACATACTTTTTTATTATATCTTGAAATTGTAATATGAACAGGTGGCTCTGGAGACTATGTTCACATCAGAAAATAAGACTTTTCAAAGAATAATGTCCTCTTCATAGCTGCCACAAAGAGCCACAGATGAGATATCAATGAATAGAGAAGTCAAAAATGTCATAGACATCTCAATTGCCAGACTCTCCTATGCCCAGCATGCCTGACTCTGTTTGAAACATGGGGCATGTCCATCAAATTTAAGAGTTGAAAATAGCTATATCAGGTCAAAAAGAAAAAGACTTTTTTTAATGTAGGAAATTTACACCACAGTTAAAGAGTCACTTTTATTGTATTCTTCTTCTATTTTGATAACATTCAGCAATTTTTTTAAAAAGTAAAAATTTTTTACTTGTTTGAGGTTTTCTCCCAGTGTCAAGAAACTAGAATCGTTTTATTATAGGGGGAAAGAAAGATCAGTAAAAAAACATAAAACACTGCTTGATCATGTATAAGTGATCAACATGGTTCTCAACTGCTACTTTATTTTAGCTTTGCATTTCTTTTTCTCCAAATATAAATTTTGGGATATTTGGTGGTAATTAATCAAATGTAGTTTTACATTAATTATTAGTCCCTTCTCATACTGCTATAAAGAACTGCCCAAGACTGGATAATTTATAAAAAAACGAGGTTTAATTGACTCAAAGTTCTACAGGGCTGGAGAGGCCTCGGGAAACTTACAATCATGGCAGGAGAGAAAGCAAACATTTCCTTCTTCACGTGGTGGCAGGAAGGGGAAGTGCTGAGTGAAGCAGGGAGAAAGCCCCTTATAAAACCATCAGATCTCATGAGAACCCATTCACTGTCATGCAAACAGAATGAGGGCAACCACCCCCATGATTCAATTACCTCCCACAGGGCCCCTCCCAGGACATGTGGGGATTATGGAAATGACAATTCAAGATAAGATGTGGGTGGGGGAACAGCCAAACCATATCATCATCTAAGTTTGAAAAAAAAAAAGTTATATTTGTTAAATGTAAGTGCTGTAAGCTGCAGTCATTCTGAGCAATATTGTTAAGCACAGAAGCCAAGACATAGTAAAGTGAAATTAATGGAAATACTTTATAAGGGCTTTAAAGTTAGACACCTCAAACATTCATTAATGTTTTCCTTAAGTTATTTTATTTTTTTCTCTGTGGAATAAAAACAAGTAATTTATCTGTTCTACCTACAAAAAATTTCGATCATTTTAATTTTAGTATTCTATATCCCAGTATCTGATACCTCCTTATTTTACATTCCTTTGGTGCTCAGAGAAGTGGAAATGGTTATGAAGGTATCTATTTTATCCTTTGCATGGCCCTAAAAACTGTGACCACCAAAAAATCTGAGACAGATCTCAGTCAATTTAGGATGTTTATTTTGCCAAAATTAAGGTTGCATGCGAGTGACACAGCCTCAGGAGGTCCTGATGACATGTGCCCAAGGTAGTCGGAGCACATCTTGGTTTTATACATTTTAGGGAGACATGAGACATCAATTATACATGTAAGATGAACATTGGTTAGGTCCAGAGAGGCAGGAAAATTCAAAATGGGGAGAGAACTTCTAGGTCATAGGTAGAGAAGAGACAAATGGTTGTATTCTTTTGAGTTTCTGATTAGCCTTTCCAAAGGAGGCAATCAAATATGTGTTTATCTCAGTAAGCAGAGGGATGACTTTGAATAGATTATTAGGCAGGTTTGCCCAAGCAGTTCCCAGCTTGACTTTTCCCTTTAGCTGAGTGATTTTGGGGCCCCAAGATTTATTTTCCTTTCACAAAGCTTAAAATGAGATCAAAATTTAAAATGTAGATTTCCTGTAGTCTACCACTGTACACTACAGCTGGAGAAACTGGAATTTTTAGGGTACAACAGTGGAGGGCAGAAGAGTCCAAACAGCAGGTTGTCACTATTGCTGAGATTGTAGGCATTTACAAAGCACAGTGAAAGTGAGCATCCACCTTTCCTATTCTGGTTTCCTTAGTTTCCATAACAGTTAGTGAGGTCAGAAACAGGATCAGATAGGCAAATCTGGTGTAGGATGTATTTTTCTACACTTATGTGGCAGAATGAAAAAAAAAATCTGTGGTACTCAGAGCTCTGACACAGGCGTTATTATTTATCTCAATAATCTCTTCTTTGTCTTTCCATATGTCTTTATAGATTTTCCTTGAAAATAGAATATGGTAAAGTAACCCAAGTGAGGTCCCCACTTTATTTTGTTTCCCTGTGGTTTTCTCATGATAATATCATTAACTTCAAGAAGAAATGTATTTCCCATAGCACACACAGTTTGCTCTACCCTTCATACAGCTACATTCCATCCCTTGTTCTAAGTACCCTCCTTAGGGGCAATGAGAATGAAAATTTCTGCAGTATTTCCCTTTGTATGTTGGTTGCAGCTCCATAATGACTTTTTGACCTGTGGAGACACATCTCTGAATCACTGACTTTAGAAATTTATCTCTTCCAAGTAACCCAGATAAATTTTGACTTTGCAATAAAAATTATTATTTTTCTGATCAACATTGCTGAGTAAATGTATTTAATCATAAGGTTATATAAGTTCATATCTATCTTAATTTGCTGAATATGAGTCATATTTTACATAAAATAATGTTATGCAATACTGTACATATATTTATATTTATTATCTAATTATATAACACATATAATTTTATTCTGTGTAATTATATGTGTAGATTACATTTATTATCTAATTATATTACACATATATTGTATTCTAATTATTTCTAATGAAGTTAAACATTTGTGCAGATATTTATGGCTTAGAAAGCTTTCAGCATATATGAGAGTATTTTATTTTTACAACATTTTGAAGAATTGCGGCCAAGCCCCTAAAGAACTGAATTTAAGATGGGCTTTATAAGTTTCTGATTTCTCAAAATTATTTAAGCAGTATATTCACAGCTTTCACTACTGTTTCTTGTGATATATCTCATTCTTTTTTGTTGTTGTTGTAGAGATGGAGACTAGCTCTGTCACCCAGGCTGGAGTGCAGTGGCCAGATCTCGATTCACTGCAACCTCTGCCTCCTGGGTTCAAGCGATTCTCCTGCCTCAGTCTCCTGAGTAGCTGGGACTATGGGTGCACACCAAAACGCCCAGCTAATTTTTGTATTTTTAGTAGAGATAGGGTTTCACTGTGTTGGTCTGGCTGATCTCAAACACCTGACCTCGTGATCCACCCACCTTGGCCTCCCAAAGTGCTGGGATTACAAGCGTGAGCCACTGTGCCCAGCCGGTATACCTCATTGTTTTCTACTGTACCATATTACAGCATTTCTGATGACTGAAGAGCAATGGGAACTGAGGGTCATACATTATTATTAACTTTGCTTACCTCATGTGTGATGGCATGATACCTAGATTTTACATAAAATTATATTATAAAATGAAGAAGAATTAAGATATTTTTTCCTACAGTAATATTTTAATACTCTTAAATATATTAGGTCTAGTAGACTAATTAGAAATTCAGTCTTCTTTATAGTTAATTGCAATATTAAATTAAAAGCATGTCTTCCGTTCTCATTAAATATGTTAAATTGAACTATTATTACTGTCATGATTTCTTTTTATTAGTATTATTATGACAAATCATAAATTGTATACATTTATGGGGTACAAGGTAATATTTTGATCTATGTATGAAATGTGGACTAAGTCTAACTGATTAACATAGCCATCATTTTGCTTACATATGATTTTTATGTTGAGACATTTCAAATATGCTCTCTTAGTTATTTTGGAATGTACAATACATTAT
Source organism: Homo sapiens (assembly GCF_000001405.40). Taxonomy (NCBI): domain Eukaryota; kingdom Metazoa; phylum Chordata; class Mammalia; order Primates; family Hominidae; genus Homo; species Homo sapiens. The sequence goes on along the minus strand of NC_000001.11, from coordinate 104,179,464 downwards.
TATTGACTATAGTCACCCTGCTGTGCAACATATCTCAACACTTATGCCTCCTGTCTATCAGAAATTCTGTACTCTTTGATCAACAACCTCTCATTCCCTCCCTCCCCACTCCACTCCCAGCCTCTGGCATACATACAGTGACACTGATAAATGGAATATTTAGTATGTCAGAAGGTGATAATGTGACAAAATGGACAATATGTAAAGGTTTAAAAACAAAGCAAAACAAAACATGAACACATATTAGTGGTTGGAAACACTAAAACAAAGCAAAACAAAACATGAACACAGATTAGTGGTTGGAGAGGTAAAGATTAAATAGTGATTTAATGGAGAATATCACTTAGAAGGTAATATTTGAGACAAAAATTTGAAAAAAATTACTAAATTGTTATATTTCCTGAGATACTTAATTGTGGCATTAAAAAGATTTTGATATATCTGCAATTAATATTAACTGGCAAAAATAATGAATATAGACATCTCCATGTTTAAACGGAATCAAAAAAATACAAAATACAGATTCTCATTTTAATGTATTCCTTCTATTCTTAATCCTTTCTTAAAATGGTAGAATAACAATAATAAAAACTATAATTTCATGAATGGCTACTATATCAGGCATAGTTAAAGTCAGTCACAGAGACTGACTCAGTCTAATTTCAGCAACAAAACAAAAAACTTTGTAAAGGACACTAAGATTCACATAATTTGATTTATTTAATAAAGCATCCATCACTACACCATGCTTGGCTAATTTTTTTCTTTTTTTTTTTTTTTTTTTGTATTTTTAGTAGAGACGGGGTTTCACCATGTTAGCCAGGATGGTTTTGAACTCCTGACCTCGTGATCCGCCTGCCTCAGGCTCCCAAAGTGCTGGGATTACAGGCATGAGCCACCGCGCCTGGCCAAGGATTTTTATGTCTTCGTGCTTGACCCTGTGTTTCCACAACTGTGTCTAAGGCATAATAGGAACCCAATAAGTATTTATTGAACAAATAAATGAATGGACAAATCTAACTGATGGCTGGAGAATCATACCTGGCAAGGGATCATAATGAAGTGGCTTTGGAAGCTGGGTAGATGGAACAGTCAGATCATGACATCACCAGTAGGAAGAATGTTTTTTCAAATGTTAATATAGAGTCCTTGTCTTGCTGTTCAATATTCAAATTTAATGAAGAAAAAATTCAGCCTGGAATGGCAGTGTGAAGAGTTTGGTAAATCCACTCTTCAGGAAAACAATCATGAAACTATTGAAATTTGTAAAACAGAACAATTTGAATTCTCTGGAAATTGACCTAAGTGCACAAAGCAAACTAAGAACCACTTACTCAAGAATATATTCTGAATATTCACAAGAACAATGGGAGTCTAAGGCATTTGAATAAGAATCTGATATTACCACCCACCACCCTCCAGTTACATGTTTCAAAAACTTTACTCCAAAGGTGTGCATCCAAGACGATGGAGGCTATCTTTCCTTTCAGTTCACAGTTGTGTGATGATGCTGCCTAGGAGGGACACACTGCTGCATTTTCCCATTTTTACCCCCATCCTAGCTACATGTTCTGGAAGCTCTATTCTGGATTGGTGTGTTTAAGGAAACTAATTCTCTTCTCCCACCTTGCTTCCATTCACAGGGAAGAATCTTTACCCAGGCAGGGTGTTCTCAAGAACACTGGGATCTCAATTGCCCATACTCCCCAGCTCCTACTTGTCTGGCAGTGGTTCTGTTACAAGAAAGGGGTCCTGATCCAGACCCCAAGAGAGGGCTCTTGGATCTCGCACAAGAAAGAATTCAGGGCTAGTGTGCAGTGCAAAGTGAAAGCAAGTTTATTAAGAAAGTAAAGAAATAAAAGAATGGCTACTCCATAGACTCCCTCGGGGCTGCTAGTTGCCCATTTTTATGGTTATTTCTTTCTTTCTTTTTTTTTTTTTGAGACGGAGTCTCGCTCTGTCGCCCAGGCTGGAGTGCAGTGGCGCGATCTCGGCTCACTGCAAGCTCCGCCTCCCGGGTTCACGCCATTCTCCTGCCTCAGCCTCCCGAGTAGCTGGGACTACAGGCGCCCGCCACCACGCCCGGCTAATTTTTTGTATTTTTAGTAGAGACGGGGTTTCACCGTGTTAGCCAGGATGGTCTCGATCTCCTGACCTCGTGATCCGCCCGCCTCGGCCTCCCAAAGTGCTGGGATTACAGGCGTGAGCCACCGCGCCCGTCCTTTTATGGTTATTTCTTGATGATATGCTAAACAAGGGGTGGACTATCTATGCCTCTTCTTTTTAGACCATATAGGGTAACTTCCTGATGTTGCTATGCAATTGTAAACTGTCATGGTGCTGGTGGGAGTGTAGCAGTGAGGACAACCAGAGGTCACTCTTGTGGCCATTTTGGTTTTGGTGGGTTTTGGCCGGCTCCTTCACTGCAACCAGTTTTATCAGCAAGGTTTTTATGACCTGTATTTTGTGCTGACCTCCTATCTCATTGTGTGACTTAGAATGCCCTGTCTGGGAATGTAGCCCAGTAGGTTTCAACCTCATTTTACCCAGCTCCTAGTCAAGATAGAGTTGTTCTGGTTCACATGCCTCTGACTGTTCTATGATGAGAGAGGTGAAAATTCAGGGCTTTTCCTCCTCATTTCTCCTCAGCTTCTGGTTATAGGACAGAGATGTAATTCCAGAGAAACAGGCTGCCACCCCTTCCTCCAGTGGGATACAACAGAGGTTCTGCCTAGGTGAGAGGCAAAACAAAGACAGGTAGGTGTGTTAATCTGTTGAAGGGGGTGACTTCATTTGGAAAAGAGGATGGAAATCACATGCCTTAAGGTTTTCTCAAAAAGTATAGTTCTAGTAGTGAGCAATTAATAATAGAAGAATAGAGAATTAAGAGTAGAAGGCTAATAGTTCCATGAATATAGCTGTAACAAGAAGTAACACATAAGGATAACTTTTGACTAGCCACTAGATGAACAGTAAAATATGTTAACCCAGAGGAGACTGCTAGACAAGCAAGCTTAAAATTTAAAAGTGAGGGGGGGAAAATGTGTCATCTGAGACTTCACATTACAAGGGAAATAGATTTCATTAATTAATTTAGCCAAGTCATTAAGCAAATAACACTAAACACCAACATCAACCCCTGGTGGGTAGTGGTGGAATGGTTGCTAACTTATACTCTCTAAAATGTCCAATTTTTGACCAAAAAAATTATGAAAGTCAAAGAAATAAGGTAATGTGTACCTTACTCAAAGAGGATTTTAAAAAGCAAGGAATATAAACTGTTTTTGAGGGTACCCAGATGTTAGAATTAGCAAAGACTTCAACAGGACTATTATAAATATGTTCAACAAACTAAAGAAAATTGATGAGAATGACATCAAATAGATTATAAATAAAGAGGTAGATATTTAAAAAAATACATATTTTGGAGTGGAAAAGTACCATAATGAAAAATAAAAAATACCTAAAGGGATTTAGCAGTAGCTTTGAGCTGGCAGAAGAATGAATCAGCAAACTTGAAGATAGATTATTAGAGAGTATGGAATCTGAAGAACAGGGAAAAAAAATTCAGGAAAATGAACAAAGCCTCAGAGATCTGTAGGATACTATTAAGTGCACAAACATATGCCCAGTGGAATGTAAAGGAAAAAAGAGAAAAGGGCATACAATACACAAAGATATAATGCCTGAAAACTTCCCAGATATAATGAAAACCATTAATCTACATGTACATGAAGCTCAACAAATTCCTAGTAAACTTTTAAAATATATATCTAGATATAGTCAAAATGTTGAAAGCTAATGACAAAGAAAAAATTTTTAAAGCGGCAAGAGAAAAATAACTTACCGTATACCAGCAAACACAAATAAGATAAACAGCTGATTTCTCCTAAGAAACAGTAGAGTCCAGAAAGCAGTGAGGTGACTTACTCAAGGTGCTTAAAGAAAAGAGCTGTCAACCAAGAGTCCTATATGCAGCACAGCTATTTAAAATGAAGGCATAATAAAACATTGAAAACCAAGACTGAAAGGATTTGTTGCTGGCAGATGTACCTTATAAGAAATACTAAAGAAATTTATCCATGCTAAAATAAAGTAATATCAGACAGTAATTCTAATTGACATAAAAAAGTGCTAGTAAAGATAACAACCTAGTAATTATAAAAGACACTTACATATTTCTTTTCTTTTCTTGATTGATTTAAAATAATACTATAAATAATATCTATAAAATTGAAATACTGGTACTATAGCATATAAACATATAACATATTTGACAAAAACAGCCCAAAGTAGTGAGGGAAAGAAGATTACAGTGGAGTAAGAAAGTGACATTGAGTTATTAACTCTACTCCACCGGAAGACTATCAAGAGTGATAAGTTTGATCAAAAACACTATAAACGTATTTTTGTCCTTTCTTTAGTGACCTAACTTTATATATAGCAATGATTATAACACTGCATTGTGGTGTTTGTAAGATATACAGATATAATACATTTGACAATAATAGCACAAAGAGGGGTAGTGAAGAAAACTAAAATAGTACCCCCTTTTCTGCATGGGATATATTCCAAGATTCCCCAATGAATGCCTGAAACCAGCACATAGTAACGATACCTATATACACAATGTTTTTCCTATGCATAATAATAAAGTTTGAGGTATGACAGCAAAACTAGTATAAATTTCCTTTTCCTTCTTCACAATTTGAAGGATAAAAGTTTTGCTCTTACCCTAGATCTTAGCAGCCAAAGTATATGATTTTTTTTCTTTTCTTATTAAGTTTTGATCCTTTATCTTTTAATGTAAAGAAAGTATTTTATGGCTTCATTTTGGCATATTCAGATTGTCATCACCAATACTATTGTGTTTGGGGCCATTATTAAGTAAAATAAGGGTTACTTTTGCACAAGCACTGTAATATCATGAAAGCCAATCTGATAAATGAGATGGCTACTAAGTGACAAAAGGGCAGGTAGCATATACAGCATGGATATGCTGAACCAACAGATGACTCATGTCTTGGGCAGGATGCAGTAGAATGGCATGAGGTTTCATCGCACTACTCAGAATGACACATTTTAAAATTTATAAATTTTTTGTTTCTGGTATTTTTCATTTAATGCTTTCAGTCTGTGGTTGACCACAGCTAATTGAAACCATGAAAAGTAAAACAGTGTGATATAGTTTGGCTGTGTCCCCACCCAAATCTCATCTTGGATTGTAACTTCCCATAATTCCCTCATGTTGTGGGAGGAACCCAGTGGAAGATAATTGAATTAATGGGAGCCTTTTCTCCCATACTGCTCTCATGGTAGTCCATATGTCTCACAAGATCTGATAGTTTTATAAGAGGAAACCCCTTTCTCTTGGCTCTCACTCTCTTTTCTTGTCTGCCACCATGTGAGACATGTCTTTCACCTTCTGCCATGATCGTGAGGCCTCCCCAGCCACATGGAACTGTGAGGCCATTAAACCTTTCTTTTGTAAATTCCCCAGTCTTGTATGTCTTTATCAGCAGCATGAATACAGAATAACACACAGTGAATAAAAATGACCGTATAGTGAAACAAATTGTATATGTATCACTACATTTAAGTTGGTAGAAATCTGAGATAGATGTGGCTAATTTGAGATGCAAGCTGTAATCCCAAGATTAACCACTAAGAAAATAACTCCAATAAACATAAAATTAAAAATAAATTAGTATCCACTTCATCAACACTGGGTCAAGTGCTGATATCTGACCCAGTAGATGCTCAATGTCTTTAGCTAGCATAACTAATTATTACATTTGTCTTCCATTTCCATAGTACATAAAACTTTAGGTGAGAAACTAGCTGAGACGTCTATTTTTCAGATTCTCTTTGGTATCACGTGTACAGAATTGGTGGGTTCTTGGTCTTACTGACTTCAAGAATGAAGCCACAGACCCTCATGGTGACTGTTACAGTTCTTAAAGACTATGTGTCTGGAGTTTGTTCCTTCAGATGTTCAGATGTGTCCAGAATTTCTCCCTTCTGGTGGGTTCGTGGTCTCTCTCACTTCAGGAGTGAAGCTGCAGACATTCACAGTGAGTATTACAGTTCTCAAAGGCGGCACATCTGGAGTTGTTCAACCCTTCTGATGGGTTTGGTTTGTGGTCTCGCTGGCCTCAGGAGTGAAGCTACAAACCTTCACAGTGAGTGTTACAGCTCATAAAGGCAGTGCAAACCCAAAGAGTGAGCAGCAACAAGATTTATTACGAAGAGTGAAAGAACAAACTTTCCACAGTGTGAAAGGGGACGGGAGCAGGTTGCCGCTGCTGGCTCAGGCAGCCTGCTTTTATTCCCTTATTTGACCCTGCCCACATTCTGCTGATTGGCTCATTTTACAGAGAGCTGATTGGTCCATTTTACAGAGAGCTGATTGGTCCATTTTACAGAGAGCTGATTGGTCTGTTTTGACAGGGTGCCGATTGGTGCGTTTATAATCCCTGAGCTAGACAGAGTGCTGATTGGTGTATTTACAATCCTCTAGCTAGACCTAAAGGTTCTCCAAGTCCCCACCAGATTAGCTAGATACAGAGTGCTGATTGGTGCATATACAATCCTTGAGCTAGACACAGTGCTGACTGGTGCATATACAATCCTCCAGCTAGACATAAAAGTTCTTCAAGTCCCCACCCAACTCAGAAGCCCAGCTGGCTTCCCCTAGTGGATCCCACACCAGGGTGGCAGGGCAGAGCTGCCCGCCAGTCCCCACGCCACACACACCTGCACTCCTCAGGCAGTGGATGGGACCTGGTGCTACAGAGCAGGGGGGGTGTTGCTCATCCAGGAGGCTCGGGCTGCGCGGGAGCCCACCACGGGGTGGGAGGGCTCTGGCATGGCGGGCTGCAGGTCCCGAGCCCTGCCCCACGGGGAGGTGGGTGAGGCCCGGCCGAGAATTCGAGTGCTGCATGGGTGGGCCGGCAGTGCTGGGGGACCCGGTGCCCCCTCCGCAGCTGCTGGCCCAGGTGCTAAGCCACTCACTGCCTGGGGCTGGCGGCACTGGCTGGCTGCTCCAAGTGCAGGGCCTGCCAAGCCTGTGCCCACCCTGAACGTGCGCTGGCCGGCCAGTTCCGCGTGCGGAGCCCAGGTTCCCGCCCTGGTCTCTCCCTCCACACCTCCCTGCAAGCAGAGGGAGCCGGCTCCGGCCTCGGCCAGCCCAGACAGGGGATCCCACGATGCAGGGGTGGGCTGAAGCGCTCCTCAAGCACAGCCAGAGTGGACACGGAGGTGCTGAGAGCGAGCAAAAGCTGCTAGCACGTTGTCACCTCTCCGTCAGGTGTGACAATATGACAAGTATTGAACTATACTCAGAAAGCTCATCTGTTTGGAAGTAGACATAATTCCTCCATGTTCTATTAATCCTTCAGTTTGCTAAATATAGATATTCAACAAGCCCTAGAGGTTGATACAGTCAGAAAATGAGAAAAAAGTGTGGATCTCCAAATCACTATGGAGGCAAAATTCCCACCATCTTGCAATGTTTACCCTTGATTTATATGTAATTAATAGATGCACTTTTACTGAATGGGAGCTAATGATATTTTCATGTTTTTTATAGCATTTTAGCCAGTCTTAACTGATATAATTCCTAACTGTAGTCAACTATAATCTCAACAGATCGTATGAAGTAAAATGATTCATCCTCCAAAAGAAAATTTGGATTTAATTTCATAAGAAAACTGAATGTTGGCTGTGTTCACATTCTGGATCTTAAGTACTGTGGTAAGTTTTTAATATATATGTGTGTGTGTGTATATATATGAATATATATGTGTATATTTTACACATAATTATAAGCAATATTATTGAAATTATTTTCATAGTCATCATATACCAAATCCTATAAGGTGATTATTATTATCCCATTCGTTGAGAAGAGAAGAAAGAAACTAAGATTAGCTAAGTATATTAAATATTTGAATTTTAACCAAAGTCTTTCTAGCTCCAAAAAAATAAAAGTTTTTAACCAGTACTTTACCCACTATGGCCAAAAATTTCTTTGATAATCTGAAAGACTCTGGTTTAAGTATTAATTGACTTTAAAAGTTACTAATTATTTTTTGATATTCTGTTTCACTCATTTGATACAATACCTTCCAAAACACACTTTTTATTATATTAAAATAACCTCCTTAAAATTTTATTTTTGTGGCAAGCAATTCACCTTTTCCAATACATTTAATGCCTCCCTTAAAACCTATCCATTTAATGAAAAGCTAAATATCAAGATTAATATTGAAAAAATGATCCTTTTCTCTTAAATTCATGTGGCAGAATTTCATTCAATATGAGCTATCTATACTTTGTTCTAAGTATGTCTAAAGATGTTGGTCTCCCTAAGCTTTTCATTGTTGGTTTATTAATAGTCTGTTGATACCAGAAATGCAATGCTGCAACATAGGCCAAAATGAATTATGAAAACTGTGGTGACTTCCTACCTAAATTAGTACAAATACATCTGTCTTTTATGTTATGCTTTTATTCAATAAGGAAAAGGGTATTTGACTTGGGTAGATTGTTTTATCAAAACTGAGTTTCTCATTCCACCCACTCTCTTCAAAGAAAGAAAGAAACTGTTCCTCCTATGGCTTTTCCCATGTTTATAGCAGATCATTCTTTCTGTCACTCATAGGAAAAAAAAAAATCATGGGTCATCTGTGACACCTCACTTTCTCTCATAACAGACATAAAACCCACAAGGAAATCTTACTGGTTCTACTTTCAGAATGAAATCTGAGCCTGACCCCTTGCCCACCACCCAACCTGCTGGCACTCTCTTGGGAGCCACGGCCTTCTCTCCCTCTCATCACTGCAACAGCCTTCTCGCTCCTCTCCCCACTTCCATCCTTGTCTTGTTTATTCTCAACACAGTAGCCAGAGTGTTCCTTTTAAAATACAAACCAAAACAATTTGGTTTACTTCACAAATTCCACCCATGGCTCTTGCTAATCCATTTAGAATGTAATTAAAAGTTTTAAAAAATAGGCTTATTTGCCTTCCACAATCACCCTCCTTCCCCCATGTCCTTCCATTCTCTCCTTGCTTACTTTGCTTGCAGGAAACTGTGCTCCTTAACCGCTTGATGGACACTCCTGTTCTCGGGCTTCCACACTGCCACTGCCTTGGCTTCAAACGTTTTCCCTGCTCATGCACAGCACTCACTCTCGCACCTTCAAGTCTTGGTTCATGTGTTACACGTTCACCGAGGCCTTCCCTCACAATTTATCTGAAATTAAACCCACATGCAAGGGATGCCTTCCACTGCTGATTCACCTAACCCTGCTCTGCATTTTCTTTTTTTCTGTATTACTTCCCACTATTATATAATTTACTTATTCATTCTTTTTTTTAATTGCCTCTCTCTAAACTCTGAACATGAACTTCATGAGCACAGGAGTGTTTCATTTATTCTTGATGGAAATAGTGCCTAGTACATAGTTGACTCTCAGTACCAATTTGATAAAGAATGGATGTGGTAATTTAATTAAATTCATGCCTATATATGGCATTGTAAGAATTTATGTATTTTTTGTAATACTTTTCGAACTGTTTGGAGAAGACTCTACAATAACATTCTAATATAATGGCATCTAATTCCCATGCAACCCACAATTTCCTTGTGGTTTGTATGTGGGATATGAGAGGAAGTGAGGAGTTATACATGTTATTCCCCATATGTTCCTTACTCTGGAATAATTAATAAAAATATCTTAATTTAAAAAGTCATCATTCTGATAATTTTCAGTGTTTCATGGAGATTAGAAGGAAGAAAATTCAATCAGATGCTTTAAATTAACTCTAAATGAATACTAAGCACTTAGACATACATCATGTTATTTCCTTCTTGTAAAAACTTGGGATGTTCATTTGTTAATTCCTTTTTGGAATACATTTACCCCACGACTCATAGCTGACACCTTCATGAAGCTTCTGCGGTTCACAATTCTATATTCTTTTCAAAACTCCTTTTTATAAGAAAATAAAATAAAATTTCCATGTAAGGTAAGTTCATCAGACTTCTATTGCATAAAATATGTATGAACCAAAATTTTGAAATATTATAGTAATAATAAAGCACTAAATATTGTAAATATATCAAAAAGATGAACAGTCACGAAATAAGAAGGCTTACATATTATTTTACAAACCAGGTTAGTTAAAATGTTCAGGTAGTATTATTTCTTTTTGCAATATCTAGCCTCACCAGGATATCCTCTAGAAGAGAGCAAGCTTTGAAGTTCACAAAATTTGATTCAACATCGGCATATCAACCTGACTTCAAAGGGATTTACACTGCTGAAGAATTTCACTGAGTTCAAGAAAGAAAGGAGAATCTAAACTTTCTGTGAAATCTAACTTCAGAGTGCCTGGTAACTTCAACGAAATCAGATACATTTGGGTATCAAAAACAGCTCAATTCACACAGAATATTTCTTTTTAATTGTCTGTTTGTTTAATATTTATTGCAATGTAACAATAGAAAAACAAAAAGTTAGGAGTTTAGTGTTTGGGGGGATAAAGCTTTCCTAAACATATATTTAATTTTAAGTAAGAAATAATATTGATATAAATGTTTTCTTTCCTGCCCATTCATATGTGCACTGGTTTATCAATCTCATTTTTACTTTCCCTACAAAACTTTCCCTAAAATTCCACTTATTTTTTATGAGCATGCTTGATTTCATTTAGCATTTATTGCATTTAATGTTTATTTCATTTCTTTCACTTAAGTTTAACACTTACATTTCCAGAGTCAAAATTACTTTCAGGTTTCCATCAGTGTGTCCTGCACTTTAATTCTACTCTTTTTTGTGGTCATGGCATTCTCTTCCCATTCCTACCTTCCTCCAACCCAACCCATTATAGTATTTTCAAAATTTATAGCTATGGAAGTGCTACTTATTCTATAAGGCCCATTTGAATATTCCGTCTATTTTCAGTGTCTCTTGCTATGTCCAAGACTACATGTTTTATTACCTTCACATTTATCTGTGTGAATGAATGACTATAATTCATTTCTACCTCCCATTACTTCTTCTCTCTGGTTTAATTGAAGAAAAAATTATTTAATTATTTTGAGTAAAACTATTAAATTGAATAATTGCAACCCCCCCCCCATTATATGTAACATATACACAGGATGAGTAGAAATTGATGAGACTAAATTTATAATTCCTAAGTCAGACCTCTTAAACGGTTAACAATATACAATTAATAACAATGCGTATACTTTATAAACTCTCATAGCAATTCTATTGATTTTCAGATTTGAATAAATGAGGTATTTCAAAAGGTATTACTCTGTGGGAAGTTTAAGAAATTGATAGCCAGTAACAGATATTTTAATGATAACTACATTTTATTCAGCTATTTTTGCAGGTGAAGATGTGTGCTAACCTGTAAGGAATGGTATTATTATCTGCATTTTGTTAATGAGTACATTAAGCTTTGGAGAGATTAAATCACTCACCCATGATCACGCAGAGTCAAATCTAGGTCTTCTCTCTCCAGAGCAAAAGCCAACCTAATAAAATTACTAGAAGTTAGAACTGAAAGGTAACTTAGAAATCATTTCTTCCTTACCTCTCATCTTACAAATGAAGAAATTGAGACAAAAATAGTTTCCTGCCCAAAGTTGCCAAGCTCTTGGACAAAACTCACTCTACCCTTGCCACCTCAACCTGTAATAACTGCAGTGAGCAAGTGGAGCTAAGAATTTCTGTTAAGTATAAAAACCGGAATGCACAGATAGATTTATTTCACTTCCCTAGTAGAGAACAATACTAAGCTGGAAAAAGATATGCAAAATATCACCCCTGGTGCCCTCTTTTACAGTCAGGAGAGATCCAGAGTGTATACCTCCTTTTAACACTTTAAAGGTCACAGCCTCCTGGCTGCTTATTTCTGGAAGCTGATAAATCCACCTTCACTGAGAGTGGAACTCCAGATCTCTTTTTGGCCCTAACTTAATCCAGGAAAAGGCAAGATCTTAGAAACTGTGGGCTGGATTATTCTTGATTTGGGGCGGAACAGACATGCTGCCTATGTTGATTCTTCACCTTTGTTGATGAAGTTTAAAAGTTTTAGTGAAGCCATTTGTGACTCCTGAGGGTCAAAGCTTCCTCACATAAAGGGTAGTGTATAAGACCTAGAGGAAATATTATATTAATTCTGGTCCTGGGTGTGACTTTGTCTGGAAAAGAACAAATTGCTTACAAGTGCACTCACACCTCTTTCTGTCTTCCATGGCTGTTTCTGAGACTTCCTAACATCGTGCTGTTCATTAAAAATATATATATACCTTTACATCGTAAACAATTTTGAACCTGCTTAATAAAATGTAGAACTGAGAAAATTAAAACATTTACTTCATTCTAGATGGTCATTTTTTAATAGGTTAGGTGGTTTTATTGGTGCTTTTGATGATATGGAAGCAAAAGATAAAAAAGATACAGTCCCTGCCCATGATGGCTTAAATTTCAGTGGGAGAGACAAATAAATGCACAAGTAGAGTATTTCTATATAATGTGGTAACTTGCACAAAAATCACTTTACTTTGGAACACAAATAAAACAAAAATTAATGTATAGTACTACTTTTAAAATAAAATATAGACATCTAAATAAAATTGTTAAAGTAAAATGGATAACAATCAATTCAATAAATAAGATCATAATTTGGATATGCTTTTGGAAAAACATGCACACACAATAGGGCTAATTAAGCTGTTTATCTCAGAAATTTTACACTCTAAAATGTTTACATAAAACTAGCAGTAGCAGAGATGGTTAACTGATTACCAAACATGTTTCTTTTCTATTGGGAGCATAGCTCTGCTAAATTTTTCTTCCTTTGTTTCTGTTAGGCTTGACAGTGATTGAGTTTTATCCAGTAGAATGTGAGTAGAAATTATAAATACCTCTTTCGCATATAACCATCAAAACCTCCAGTGTATACATTCTACATGTGCTTTCCCCTCTCAGCTTGGTGCAGATGAGCATAATGACTGGGGGAATAGGGGAGCCATTGCTGGGAAGACTTGTGTCCCTCAGTCAGTAAGTAGAGGTGAATCCCTCAATGACCAGGGACATATTTTCATGGCTGTTAAGTGAGCAAAAAATGACCTTAAATATTGGTTGGGTCATTATAATTTGGGGGTTCAGGTGACATTCTACTAATATGCCAGCCCTTCAGAAGAAGTGAAATATAAACACTACTCTCACCTTTTTTTAAAATCACACAGGGGTTAATTGAGCTTGATTTATGAAGTCACAGGATTTTAGAGCACAGATTGTAGAGAATAATAGCCATAGAATATTAGGCATAATTTAGTCAAACAGCCTCATTTTAACGAGGAAATTGATTTAAATTACCAAGAGTAATTTGAATCCCTTCTCTTTGTTCCCACATCTCTAAGATTGATAACTGTTCCTACGGTAGCTACTTTTCTTTTCTCTTCTTATATTTCAGTTGTCTCATTATGAATTTTGTACCTAGTTAATAATTGTTCATATTAAAATTTCATTGTTCAAATAACTGGTATGGGTTCTTTCTTCTTACTGAACCCTGGTGTGGACATAGGAGGTTTATATCCTTTGTTGGTGAATGAAATAAACAAAAATATGAAGCAAATTATTACTTACCCCAATAGTCTCCCCTGAAATTAGCTGACCAGGAGGGGACACACGTTGCAGCGATCTTAAGTGCTTCCTTCAACACCAGATCATGGATCAGACATAAATGCATAAGGGTCATTCCAGGATGGCTTTGACTTTCTCAATTAGCTTTGTTTTATGTTGGGACATACATGGGTGCTTTAGTGAAACTGAGAATGACCAACTCATGCTATTGTCATTTTATGGTTAACTTCATTAAACACAAAAATCTCACAAAAACTACAGATTAAAACCAAAATTCTTGTGCTCTATCTTCAATTTCTTTCTCCTATGAATTTTTGAAAAATTTTAGCTAGATAAACTTGAAGAATATCTCTACCTACTAAATCTTAATTTTTTATTTTATATTGTTAAGATATTCTAGATCTCTTTTTTCAGCTTAATAATTTTTAAATACTTCTAGCTAGATGAACTTGAAGAATATATTTATTAAATCTTAATCTTTTATTTTATATTGTCAAGATATTTTGACTGTCTTTTTTTCAGCTTAATAATATTCCATACTAGGAAAGTGGAAAGAAATATATCAGTAATTCTGGTTTCTATATTTAACTGAAAATTCTTAGTTCCACTTAACTGCTTGCTCAAAATAGAGTCAGACTGTTTGTTACTTGCATTTTCAGAGATACTCACTCACTCTATATCCACTATAACATGTACTGCCCATTTCTTTTTATCCAGACTTGGCTTTTCTCCATATGTGATTGATTCTACAGACTCATTGTCTATGTCCCTCATGCAGAGCCTCTTATTTTTCTTCCCACAGTGGTAATAACAAAGATCTTACTCTGCTTACTTTTTGATTAGAAGAGTGCCACAAACTGGTTCAGAGATTCAAACTCTTCCCTCATTGCAGAAAACACAGATAATATTACACTTCTTAAATTAAAAAAAAAAAAAACATTTCCTTGCTCAGTAGTTTTACTCCCTAATTGTTCCATTTTCAGTAGCTGCCTTCACTACCCTGTAGACTTCCCCATTTTGCCCACACACTCTGAACGATCTCATGTGAGGGTGAGGGCCAACATAGCTGCCTCTCACAGTTCTCCCTCTTATCCAGCCCTGTTTAGCTGTCCCAGAACTATGAGACAATTTTCTGATGCTCTGCCTATTTACATCTGGCATACAGCCTGGCAAATTCCCAAGGAGGTATAAAGACCACCCTTCCTTTCACATTGGATGTAAATGTCCAGAAGCTAAGATGTAACTTTACAGGTCCAGAAGAGTGAGTCGCTCTTTGCAGCCCAGGAGATGTTCTCAGGGGCCCACGCTATCAAAAGCAGACATTTGTTAATAGCCTCAGCCAATGTGAGGCACCTGTTAATAAAAATTTACAGTTAGTGGCACTAAATGGAAGTGAAACTTGAATCCCCTTAATAGAAGAGTTTCTCAATCTGGTACCAGAAGAAGAAGTCAGAGAGAATCAAAGCATGAGAAGGACTCAATGAGCCACTGCTACTTTGAAGATTGAAGAGGCCATGTGAGATGAAAGGGAGGTGCCTTTCAGAGGTATGGTGTAGCCTGGCTGACAGCTAACCACAGAATGAGTCCTCAGTTCTATACCACAAGAAAATGACTTCTGCCAATGACACGTATAACCTTAGAAGTATATAAGCTTCGAACTCAGGCCTCCAGATAACGGCCCACCCTAGTGGACACTTTGATTTCAGTCTTATAGCACATAGAAAAGAGAACCCAGGTAAGCCCACTTGCACTTCTGACCAACAAAAAAGTGTGATAATAACTGGGTATTCTTTTAAACTGCTAAGTTTTAGTAATTTGTTATATAACATTACAAAAATAGTATTATTTTAAGTTCTATTGTTATGAAAAAACAATAAATGAGAGCCTATCTTTGTGTTTACATTTGACTCATGCTAATTTTTGGGAAGATTCATTAATTTTTGGAAACACTAATTATAAATTATAGTTCCATCTTATAATTGCATTACTTTTAGTTTGAAAATTAATCTTTTATAATTGACATTTCTTTCCATTTTATATTTTTGGTGATTTTCTTCCTCAATACAACTTGCCATAATGACAATAAACTCAGCAAAGCTGACGTAACCCAAACCTTCTGATTGTGTTTTATGTTATTTATTTAACCAGAGAATTTTATTTTTTAGAATTTTCATGGGTACATAGTATGTATATATATATGTGTGTGTGTGTGTGTATATATATATGGGTATATATATATGTGTATATGTGTGTGTGTGTGTGTGTGCGCGTAGGGTATATGAGATGTTTGATACAGTCATGCAATGTGAAATAATTACATCATGGAGAATGGGGTATTCAACACCTCAAGCATTTATCCTCTATGTTCAAAATAATCCAATTAAGCTATTTTAGTTATTTAAAAATGTATAATTGTTATTATTGACTATAGTCACCCTGTTATGTAATCAAATACTAGATATTATTCATTTTTTCTAATTTTTAGCACCCATTAGCTATTCCCTCCTCCCCCCACAGCCTCCCACTATCATTCCCAGCCTCTTGTAATCATCCTTTGACACTCTATGTCCATGATTTCAATTGTTTTGATTTTTAGATCTCACAAATAAGTGAGAACATGTGATGTTTGTCTTGCTGTGCCTGACTTATTTCACTTAACATAATGACCTCTGGTTCCATCCATGTTATTGCAAATGACTGGATCTCATTCTTTTATAAGGTTGAATAGTACTCCATGCCACATTTTGTTTATCCGTTCATCTGTTGATAGACACTTAGGCTGCTTCCAAATCTTGACTAATATGAATAGTGCTGCAACAAACATGGGAGTGCAGAAATCTCTTCAATTTTCTGATTTCCTTTTTTTGGGGGTATATACCCAGCAGTAGGATTGCTGAATTATATGATAGCTCTATTTCTAGTTTTTTGAGGAACCTCCAAACTGTTCTTCATAGCGATTGTACTAATTTGCATTCCCACCAACAGCATGTGAGAGTTCCCTTTTCTGCATATCCTTGTCAGCATTTGTTACTGCCTGTCTTTTGGATAAAGCCATTTTAAATGGGATGAGATGATATCTCATTGAATTTTTGATTTGTACTTCTCTGATAATCAATGATATTGAGCACATTTTCATATGCCTGTTTGCCATTTGTATGTCTTCTTTATAGAAATGTCTATTCAAATCTTTTGCCCATTTTTTGGATTGGATTATTAGATTTTTTCCTATCAAGTAGAGTTCCTTATATATTCTGGTTATTAAGCCCTTGTCAGATGGGTAGTCTGAAAATATTTTCTCCCATTCTGCTGGTTGTCTCTTCACTTTGTTAATTGTTTCCTTTGCTGCATAGAAGCTTTTAATTTGATGTGATCCTATTTGTCCATTTTTGCCTTGGTTGCCTGTGCTTGTGGGATATTACTCAATACATTTTTGTCCAGACCAATATCTTGGAGATTTTCCCCAATGATTTCTTGTAATAGTTTTCATAATTTGAGGTGTGAAGACTTTAGGCTTTTCCAAATATAAGATCATATCATCTGCAAACAAGGGAAATTTGACTTCTTCCATTACAATTTGGATGTCCTTTATTTATTTATCTTGTCTGATTACTCTAGCTGGGACTTCCAGTAATATGATGAATAACAGTGGTACGAGTGAGCATCCTTGTTGTGTTTCAGAACTCAGAGGGAAGGTTTTCAGTTTGTCCCCATTCAGTCTGATACTAGCTGAGGGTCTGTCATATATAGCTTTTATTATGTTGAAGTACGTCCTTCTATCCCAAGTTTTTTGATGATTTTTATCATAAAGTGATGTTGAATTTTCTCAAATGCTTGTTCAGCATCAATTGAAATAATCATATGGTTTTTATCCTTCATTCTATTGATATGATGTATCACTTTGAATGATTTGCATTTGGTGAATCATCCTTGCATCACAGGGATAAATCCATTTGGCCATGATGAATGATCTTTTTTTTTTTTTTTTTTTTGAGACGGAGTCTCGCTCTGTCGCCCAGGCTGGAGTGCAGTGGCGCGATCTCGGCTCACTGCAAGCTCCGCCTCCCGGGTTCACGCCATTCTCCTGCCTCAGCCTCCCGAGTAGCTGGGACTACAGGCGAATGATCTTTTTAACATACTGTTGAATTCAGTTTGTTGAGGATTTTTGCATCAGTAGTCATCAGAGATATTGGCCTGTAGTTTTCTTTTTCTGATGTCTTTCTCTGGCTTTGGTTTCAGGGTAATACTAGCTACATAGAAGGAATTTGGAAGTATTCTCTCCGTCTCTCTCTCTTTTTTTTTTTTTTGGAATAGTTTAAATAGAATTGTTATTCTTTTTTAAATGTTTGGTAGAATTCAGCAGTGAAGCCATCAGGTCCAGAAATATTTTTTCCTGTGAGACATTTTATTATGGCTTCAATCTCATTACTTGTTATTGGTCTGTTCAGGTTTTGGATTTCTTCCTGCTTTAATATTAGTAGATTGTATGTGTCTAGGAACTTGCCCATTTCTTCTAGGTTTTCCAATTTATTGGCATATAGTTGTTCAGAGTAGCCACTAATAATCCTTTGAATTTCTGCAGCCATTGGATGACATGTTCTATTAATATCTACTAGATCCATTTGGTCTATAGTGTAGATTAAGACAAACATTTCTTTGTTGATTTTCTGTCTGGAAGAAACAGCCTCCAACTATTATTGTATTGGGGCCTCTCTCTCTCTTTAGCTCTAATAATATTTCCTTTATATGTCTGGGTGCTCCAGCATTGCTGTATCTTGTTGTTGAATTAACCCCTTTTTCACTGGGATAGATAGAAGGACATACTTCACATAATAAAAGCTATATATGGCAGACACTCAACTAGTATCAGACTAAATGGGGACAAACTGAAAGCCTTTCTTCTGAGGTCTGAAACACAAAAAGGATTCCCGTTTGTACCACTGTTATTTAACATATTACTGGAAGTCCTAGCTAGAGTAATCAGACAAGATACATAAATAAAGGGCATCCAAACTGGAATTTAAAAAGTCACATTTCCCTTGTTTGCAGATGATATGATCTTATATTTGGAAAAAACCAAACCTATAGTGACCTTTTTGCTTTCTTCTTATAGTTTTTTCTTGTAATCTATTTGTCTGATATAAGTGTAGACAGGCCTATTTTTTTGGTTTCTGTTGGCATGGAATATCTCTTTCCATCTCTTTATTTTCAGTCTATGTTTGTATCTTTGTAGGTGAGTTGTCTTTCTTATAGGCAGCATATCAATGGGTCTCTTTTTTAAATTAATCCATTTAGCTACTCTGTCTTTTGATTGGAGAGTTTCATCCATTGATAATCAGTGTTATTATTAACGAGTAAGGATGTACTCTTTCTATTTTGTTATTTGTTTTCTGCTAGTTTTGTGGTTCTTTCTTTCTCTCTCTTTCTTTTTCTTTCTTTCTTTCTTTCTTTCTTTCTTTCTTTCTTTCTTTCTTTCTTTCTTTCGTTCGTCTTCTTTTAGTTCAGGTAATTTTCTCTGGTAATATGATTTAGTTTCCTGCTTTTCAAATTTTTTGTGTATCTGTGGTGTGTTTTTTGGTTTGAACTTATCATGAGGTTTGCAAATACTATCTTACAACCCATTATTTTAACCTGATAGCAACTTAACACTGTGTAAACAATAAAAAAATAAAAAAAGAAACTAATAAAATTATATGCCTTAACTTTGTACCCCTTCTTTTTAACTTATTTATATCTTATTGTACTTATCTTATTGTTCTATGTCTTGAAAAGTTGTTGTAGTTATTATTTTGAATAATAATCACTTAGTCTTTCTACTTAGGATAAAAGTAGTTTACACACCACAGTCACAGTTTTAGAACATTCTGTGTTTCTCTACTTACTGTTACCAGTGAGTTTTGCACTTTGAAGTGACTACTTATCTCTCATCAATATCCTTTTCTTTCTGATTGAAGTGTTTACTTCAGCATTTCTTGTATGACAAGTCTGGTGTTGATGAAATCCCTCAGCTTTTGTTTGTCTGGGAAAGTTTTTATTTCTTCTTCACATTTGAAGGATATTTTTGCTGGATATACTATTCTAGGTTATTTTTTTTCTTTCTTTCAACACTTGAAATATGTCATGCAACTCTCTCCAGGCCTGTAAGGTTTCCACTGAAAAGTCAGCTGTCAGGCATATTAAGGCTCCATTGTATGTTATTTCTTTCTTTCCTCTTGCTGCTTTTAGGATCTTTTCTTTATCTTTGACCATTAGGAGTTGGATTATTAAAGGCCTTGAGATAATCTTCTTAGAGTTAAATCCTTTTGGTGTTCTATAGTCTTCTTATTTTATTGATATCTTTTTCTAGGTTTGGGAAGTTCTCTGTTACATCCCTTTGAATAAACTTTTTTCTCCTATCTCTTTATCTATATCTTCTTTAAGGCCAATAACTCTTAGATTTGCCCTTTTGAGGTAATCTTCTAGATCCCATAGGTGTGCTTCGTTATTTGTCATTTTTTAAAAATTTTGTCTACTCTGACTGTATTTTCAAATAGCCTGTCTTCAAGCTTACTAATTCTTATTTTTGCTTGATCAATTCTGCTATCAAAGGACTCTGGTACATTCTTCAGTATGCCAGTTGCATTGTTCAGTTGCAGAATTTATTAATTCTTATTAATTATTTCTATCTCTTTGATAAATTTATCTGAGAGAATTCTGAATTCCTCTGTGTTATCTTGAATTTCTTTGAATTTCCTGAAGACTGCTATTTTGAATTCTCTGTCTGAATGGTCATATATGTCTATTTCTCCAGGATTGGTCCCTGGAGCCTTATTTATCTCATTTGGTGAGGTCATGTTTTCATGTATAGCATTGATAGTAACACATGTTCTTCAGTTTCTGGGCATTGAAGAGTTATCTACTTATTGTAGCCTTCACTGTCTGGGCTTATTTGTAGCCTTCCTTCTTAGGAAGGCTTTCCAGATATTTGAAAGGACTTGGGTGTTGTGACCTAAACTGTATCTACTTTATAGGGCACACCAAGCCCAGTAACGCTGTGATCCTTGCAGACTTGTAGGTAGCACCTTAAAGGTCTTGGGGAAGACTCAGGATAATTATCTGGATTACAGTATTGAGACTCTTTTGATCACCCGCCATTCAAGACTGTCTTTTCTACCTCTTCAGTGCATCTTTTGGTGATATGTAGTTAAAACGAAGTACTATCAGTGAGTGTTCATCTGATTTTAGTTCTTAGAAAGGTGTTTTTTTTTTTCCTATATAGATAGTTGTTAAATTAGTGCCTTTGTTGTGGGAACAATTGGTGAATCCTTATATTCTGCCATTTTGCTCCACCTCTGTCTCTGTTTATGTTTTAAACACAAAGCATATATCTATACTATAGAAGAAAGCAATATGAAAGTCCTTAAATAGAGCAATACATTAATTTAATATACTGAGTCTCACAAAATCTTAAAAATACATTAAAATATTGAAAGAAAAACTACTGCAAAGATACTTCTGAGAATATGAAGGACCAATTTATGACATCCTGAGCTAATAAAAAATCATGTATTGACGAGTACAAGCATAAATCCACTAATAATATTCCCATTGTTTAGTAAGTAATCAATAGAGACACATGTATAATTCAGAAGGTAGAGAAAATGGGAAGCCAGAATAACTTTTACATATGATGTTTAGATAAATGAGCTAATGATGAAACCATTCACAAAATAGGGATTATTGGAAAACAAGCAGGATGATAAATGGGAAGATTATTTGGGCCATGTTGACTTTGAGGATTCTATAAGTGGAGGAATATTGTAGGCAGTAGATATATATGGGATTACAGCTCAGAAAAGTGTAAGCTAGTGGTGACACTTGAATTATGAGCACTGGAAACTCAGAGTGTGAAAAAATTTCTCAGGTGAGTGCAGAGTAAGATCTAAAAATAATAAAAAGGACAAGAATACAATCTTAGGAAATAAGAATAGTTTCAGAATATGAAGAGGAAGAGAAGAATGCTGAGAGGAAATCACCAAAGATATTGAAGGGAACCTATTAAATGTAATGTAATGAAAATCAGGAAGGGAGTGATAGAAATTGTCAAACACAAGAAAGATCAAGCAAGACTCATGGAATTGAAAATGGTCTTTGTAATAATTAATTGAGAATTATTGACTAATTATAGCTTAAGATTGGGGTTTGAGATGGGAATAGGGCTGGTAGGAAAGCAGCTGATTTTTGTCAGTTGATAATGGAGTAAACATATAGAAGTGGTAACAGTTAATGGAAACTGTGAGAATATTTCCTGTGAACAGAAGGAGAGGCATGCAGGATCTAAGAAGGTAAATTTTACATATGGAAATGACTGAAACACTTACACACAGATTGGGGGGACATAGCTATTAAAGAAAAAGAAGGGACAAATATAAGAGGGACAGACAGGCAAAATTACCAGTAGAGTATGTCTGTGTCCCTAAATACATAAAAGTGAATATAATCACATTCATATTTTTACTGTGCTTACATTTCTGGATATGAAGTTATAAAGATATGCTGCTGACTTTAATTTACTTTTCCAATGTCCTATTATTCATATAAGACTTCAGAAGTGAAATATAGTTCAAATAAAGCAATTCAAAATAATTACACAATTGATGGGATTAATGGACTATTGACTATAGTGAAGCATAATGTATTTAGCTCAACGCTTTTAAACCTTGTCATCAATGTGACAGCATATACTTGTTCTTTTCAAATAATATTTGATTAAGGCATTTTACAAGCCCAATCATCATCACTGTGTGACATTCCATGGCCACGAGTGTGTTATACTGTATTAATTCACACATGGATGCACTGATAGTACTTAGCTCCCAATGTGAATGAATATTGCACATTTCATGCTCTGTCATGTCTCATTGCATTAATAGTCATGTGTGTGATGAGGTCTGTAATCTACGGCTATTTTACAACATTTTCAAATGCACTTGTCATGAATGGAGTAGCCAAGTACTTCATTAAGTAATCTCGTTTTCAGGAAGCATGTGTCTCCAGGAGCAGGTTGGCATTTAAAGTAATGTAAGTTGCTTTCATCTATGTAAGACAAAAAAGAGGGCACTTGTAACTCTTTATTTACATCAGATCTATCTCATAATTCAAATAATGTGCTGATAAGACCTCTTATTTACCATTGCCACATCGTCTTCTTTTGGGTAGATATATTTAACTTTATACCAACTACTAAGGAGTTCTTCTGAAACCTTTTATTACAATACTTATTAGAACATGTTATGAGGGAGAGTGCAACTTGCAGTAACAGCCCTGACCATGGGTACTTTGCACCCATCTTATTTTTTTTCTTATTATTAATTAAAAAATTGACTGACAAAGATTATATATATTCAAGGTCTACAACACGATATATGTTTACATTGCATAATGATTACCACCATTGTATTAATGAACATATCCATAGTTACATTTTTTTGTGTATTTATGCCTATGATGAGAATTTTTTTTTCTTTTTCTTTTTTTTTTTTTTTTTTTTTTTTTTACCGGAATCTCACTCTGTTGCCCAGGCTGGAGTTCAGTGGTGCCATCTTGGGTCACTGCAAACTCTGCCTCCCAGGTTCAAGTGATTCTCCTGCCTCAGCCTCCTGAGTAGCTGGGACTAAAGGTGTGCATCACCAGGCCTGGCTAATTTTTTGTATTTTTAGTAGAAATGGGGTTTCACCATGTTGGCCAGGCTGGTCTTGAACTCCTGACCTCAAGTGATCTGCCTGTCTCAGCCTCCCAAAGTGCTGGGATTACAGGTGTGAGCCACCATGCCCACCCAGTGAGAACTCTTAAAATATGCTCTATTATCAAATTACAATTAAACAATACAGTAGAACTTACTCATCTTATAACTGAGAGCTTGTACCTTCTGACCAATATTGCCCCATTCCACCATGACCCACCATTCTCTCTGCTTTGATGAGTTTGAATTTTTAGATTCTACATACAAGAAGTTCAATGCAACATTTGTCATTCTGTGTCTGTCTTATTTCACTTTGTATAATGTTCTCCAGGTTCATTAACGTTGTTGCTTGCAAATGGCAGAAAGATTTCCCTTTTTTTTTTTTTTTTTTTTTTTTTTTTGACAGGGTTTCTGTCTCTCTGTTTCCCAGTCTGGAGTGCAATGACATGATCTCAGCTCACTGCAGCCTCAACCTCCTGTGCTTAAGCAAACTTCCACTTGAGCCCCAACCCCCAATCCCCAGTAGCTAGGACTACAGGTCCATACCTTCATGCCTGGCTAGTTTTTGTACTGTTTTGTAGAGACAGGGTTTCACCACCTTACCCAGGTTGATCTTGAAGTCATGGGCTCAAGAGATCTGTCTGCCTCAGCCTCCCAAAGTGGTGAGATTTCAGGTGTGAGCCACTGTGTCTGGCCAAGATTTCCCTTTTTTAAAAGGCTGAACAAGATTCTATTGTGTATATATACCATATTTTCTTTATCCATTCACCCATTAACAGACCCTTTTTTCCATATCCATTCATCTTTTATTAGTGGCTTTAAAATTTCTTTTCTAAGGATATGAAACTATATGATCATTAAAACCACATGTGGAAAATCACTTTATCAGTAGAATCCAGTTAATAAAAATTATTCTGATTATACGTGCATCGAGGCAAAAATACTAAAGCTTTAAACTGTTAGTTTTGAAGACACACGGGACCAACTTCTGGATCTTTTAGGTAGACATTTTTCAAACGAGGCCAGGAACTCTGTTGGGGTTTCAACATACAGTGAAAGGGAGAAGTGGCACTGAACTTTCTTCCCCAGAGACTGGCCAAGTATTGAGAACACAGAGAGCAGTGTCAATACCAAGGAGTAAGGGATAGGGCATATTGGAATTGTGGAAAATCTTGGCAGAGATTAGGGGATTCACCAAGAAAAGGGTGATATCAGCTTCCTCATAAGTGGGCTTGCTGTCATTGTCCCCCAAAATGTCAAGAGGAAGCAGAATAAGTGGCCAGACCTTTCCTGCTCTGGAGGCTTGGTAAGTTCAGGAGGTTGAAGAATTTGAAGGTTTTCCCCAAGTGCTTTATCATATGACTGACAAACTATTTATATTATACAACATAAATCCATTTATGGGATTGTTTTGTTTGCTTGTTTTAACCTCTAACAACTAGACTTCAGACAAACAAGTGAAAACAATAACAAAAGTAATAGCTCTTCAAAGGGACTCAGCAGCCAAATCAAAAAAGAGTTGGCAGGACAATAATAAAACACATTCAGAGAAGCAGAAGTGCTAAAGAATGTGGCTACCAGAAGAGTTTAAAGATATTGAAGTACATCACACATACACACCCACATATGAGATATTTGGTGATTGAGAAACCTATGATTTTTTTTTTCACATAAAGTCTTAAGAGATAAACTTAAGGAGAGGATAGTCACTGGTGAAACAGACTAGTGACCCAGAAGATCCAGGGTAAGAAATATCGACCGGGCGCAGTGACTCAAGCCTTTGTAATCCCAGCACTTCGGGAGGCTGAGGCGGGTGGATTACCTGAGGTCAGGAGTTTGAGACCAGCCTGGCAAACATGGTGAAACCCCGTCTCTATTAAAAATACAAAATTAGCTGGGCCTGGTGGCGTGCACCAGTAATCCCAGCTACTCGGGAGGCTGAGAAAGAATTGCTTGAACCCGGGATGCGGAAGTCACTGCACTCCAGCCTGGGTGACAGAGCGAGACTCTGTCTCAAAAAAGAAAGAAATACATTGGCAGCCCATTCAGAGGGCCCAGAGATCTGTGTCTTGCTTCAACAGTGTTTGGACGGAACTGATCCAGGGACTCTCTTTCTTCCAGCCTCTGACCACCTTGGGATCTCCTCTCCACTTGCAATCTCCGGGACCATCTTCTTGGCCATCTTCTGCTTCTGGGACCAGCCAACACCGTTTTTGTGGTTAGCTCCTTCTTGCCAACCAACCATGAGCTCCCAGATTCATCAAAATTATTCCACGGAGGGTGAGGCTACCATCAACCGCCTGGTCAATTTGCACCTGCGGGCCTCCTACATCTGCCTCTGTCTGGGCTTCTATTCCCACCGTGATAATGTGTCTCTGGAAGGCATGGGTCACTTTGGCGAATTGGCTGAGGAGAAGCGCCAGGGCACAGAGCGTTTCCTGAAAATGCAAAGCCAACACGGCAGCTGCGCTCTCTTCCATGACATCCAGATGCCGGCTCAAGATGAGTACGGATAAAACCCTGGACGCGACGGAAGCCACCATAGCCTGGAGAAAAAACTAAATCAGGCCCTTTCGGATCTTCATACCCTCAGTTCTACTCACACATAATCCCATCTCTCTTGCTCCCTGGAGAGTCACTTCCTAGATGAGGAAGAGAAACTCCTCAAGAAGATGAGTGACCACCTGACCAATCTTCATAGGCTGGCTAGCCCAGAGGCTAGGCCGGGTGAATATGTCTTCAAAAGGCTCACTCTCAAGCACGACTAGGAGCCTACTGCCCCCAGCGACTTCTGAAGGGCCCCTCGTAGAGCAACAGGGCTTCCGCCTAAGCCCCCCTGCAGCCACTAGGCAGCTTTTTGAACTACCCTGGAGCATTCTCCCAATCCTCGGAACAAGTGGAAATAAAGTTTTTTGAAGCAGAAAAGAAAAGAAAAACACAGTGCAAAAATACAGAAATCGTAATACAAAAATCAAGAGACTGGACTGGAGTATAGATTCAGGAGCGCTAAAACATGAACTATAAAAGTTTCAGAAGTAGCAGAAATGAAAAAAAAATGTGCTAGTAAAAATGGCGTATATGTGCCACATTTTCTGGATTAAGAAAATGTGGCACATATACACCATGGAATACTATGCAGCCATAAAAAATGGTGAGTTCATGTCCTTTGTAGGGACATGGATGAAGCTGGAAACCATCATTCTCAGCAAACTATCACAAGGACAAAAAACCAAACACCACATGTTCTCACTCATAGGTGGGAATTGAACAATGAGAACACATGGACACAGGAAGGGGAACATCACACAGTGGGGCCTGTTGTGGGGTTGGGGGAGGCGGGAGGGATAGCATTAGGAGATATACCTAATGCTAAATGACGAGTTAATGGGTGCAGCACACCAACATGGCACATGTATACATACGTAACAAACCTGCACATTGTACACATGTACCCTAAAACTTAAAGTATAATAATAATAATAATAATAATAATAAATGGTGAGGCAATAGTTAAACAAATAATAGAAATAAAAATTGATCAAAGATACGTCAGTTTGTAGATCAAAAATCTTCCTAAGTTCTAGGCTAGATACACAATAATGAAAATCATAATAACATGTGTTAGGTTGAAAGGAAATATCATGAGCTTCTAGAGAGAAAACAAAATTTTTACCTAGGAAATATATATATATGTATATATATATACATACATATATATTCAGACTGGCAAAGTGCATCTCCTTTTGCAGCACTGGAAGCTAGAAAACAGTTGAACAGTATTGATATATTACTGGCAGGGAAAGATTTCAACCCAAATATGTTATTTATCTGCCAGAGAAAAAGAAAAATATTTGAAGCCAGGAAAGAATTCCTAGAGTATATATTGTCATCATACTCCAAACTTGAAACAAACATCTGAAAAAAGATTCTAAGCAAACATCAAATGAAAAATAATGTGGATTTTAAGATGAGGAAATAACTAGAGGAAAGAAGTGAGCAATAAACCTTGTGAGATATGCTTATGGACAAATAAAGACTGCATAGAAATGAGAAGTAGAAAAGCTAAAGAAATGCATAGAAATGAGAAGTAGAAAAGCTAAAGAAGAACTTTTAAAATAGAAGGGATCTATCGTTAAGAGGAATTAGTGCTAGACTATCTTCACAAAAGCAAAACAATGAGAGTGAGAAAGCGAAGAAAGGAAGGGAAGAAATAAATTACTATGGTATCTTCGAAATGAAGAAAGAGAATGGGGAATGAGAGTACTGGAAATTAGAATACTGGAAAGCTCCATCTTATTTGTATTTGGGGGAATTTGAGCATCTGTCATGGGAAAACATTTGGGGCATAGTGCTTGATTATGACATCAGGAAAAGTGAGTATAAGTGTTAATAAATGGAAATGTACAGTATTTCCATCTACCAAGGAAAAGAAAGAGTAATGAAGAAGACTTTGAACACAGAAGCAAACATGAATGAAGTGATAAAAAGAAAACGATAAAATAAGTAATAAATATGAAGTAAAATAAAAATTTAGTATATCATTAATTACATATAATGTTAGTGGATTAAATTCTTCAACTAAAACACAGAAATCAGTTTAAGGTTAAAAAAAATTCTAAAGGATCTTTACAATAAAGACACCCTAAACATGGTAAGAATTAAAGGTTAAAATTAAAAGATGAACAAAGAGATAACAGGTGTATGCAAACAAACGACAAGCAAGTATAGTGGTATTAATATAAGACAAGGTGGAATTTAAGATTAAAAGCAATTAACAGGATAAAGGACATTGGGAAATAAGCAGGCATGCTTATTATGGAAATATGAGTTATAAATTTATATAATAAAATTAAAAATTAGATAAAAAACCAAGATCATAACTGGAAATCAAAGAACTTGATAAAATACAGTTATACTGGGAAACATCACTGTAAGTCTTTCAAACTGGGTATGTGCAATAAAACTCAAGGGGAGGACAGTCACTTGTTATAATCATTCATGGTTATAAATCAATTCTAGAACTTGAATGTTCCCTATTTTCAAGAGAGGGTAAAATATAAGAGGATACAGCACAATTAGCTAAAGTAAACATGTGATTTGCTTTTGTTTATATCCTTCCATTATATTATTCCAGAAAGGCTGATATTTGTCTACTTTGAAACATGCAATAATTAAACTTAGAAAATATTTGTTTCAAAAACAAGATTATTTCTTGCTTAT
This sequence comes from Homo sapiens, assembly GCF_000001405.40. Lineage (NCBI taxonomy): Eukaryota > Metazoa > Chordata > Mammalia > Primates > Hominidae > Homo > Homo sapiens. Next base: position 104,150,853 of record NC_000001.11, on the reverse strand, counting down.
ATTTAAGCAAGCCATAAACCAAGAAGAAGCAAGCAAATATAAGAATGTGCCTATTGTAATTACATACTTAACAACATTCTTGTCATTGATTTAGTGTGAATAATGAAGCATACTATAAGGAGAGCATAGTGTAGTTATATTTTTTAATGAAGGAAGCCAAGAGAAGAAAGTTAGAAAGTTGTTTACTGCTCTTTTGACTTTGCCTTTAGTTTGCAGGGGATATATTTCCCCTGTTGAGAGAAAACTTGCAAAAGCTCCAGTGTTTTGATGTATGGTATCTGAACTCCAAAGAGAATGTAATCTTTGTGGTAAGCTATCCAAAAGAAGTCCTCATGGAATTTGAGCAACCTCTGAAAAAGATAACCACAGCAGCAGAAATGAAACACTTCTAAGAACAAACAGTAAAGCATGCAGTTCTAGTTTATTCAGTTTTTATGTCTGGTATCTACTTATAATTTCTATATTTCTAACAATCTCAGGATGATCAGAGTGATTTTCTCCAAAAATATGTAAAAACACAATTAGACAAATGTTTAACTCCAACTCCTGGAATCAAATTGTAATCTTTACATATTTAAATGTATGAGATCTGATATCCAAGGGATTCTTTATCATTTCTATAAGAAAAGGAAAGATATTCATAATAGAAAAACATATGCTTAGTTTAAACACATGGACATATTTTAATAACTGGCAATAAAATTATAATAATAATGCTAACATCACTGTTAAATATATTCAAATATAATGTTCTACAGCAAATTTTTTCTAATGATATTTATCAAAGGGAATGAGTATTAATAGACTAGGTATTTATTATAACAGATATTTAGATTAATGTGAAATATTCAGTATACTGAAAACTATACCTAATTATTTACATATTTGGTTACTAGAAATTAAATGCTTCAATAATTGAAAGAATAATTAGTTTTATATGGCTGCATATGGTCCAATTAAAAGAAAATGAAATCAAAAACAAGGAAATATTGTCATTTTTCTTCTCACAAATCAATTCTTAATTCAATACAAATATAAAATATTAAATATCAAAGATAATTAAATTACCTTAATAATCCTTCATATATCATCCAGGAATTGATATAAATTGTATAAATTTTGAAACAATTTATATTTTCACAATGGATCCCTTTGTTTTAAGTTGCATTCCCTCAGAAGCTGATGTTGAGACATGGACGTGAATACACATAGTTTTTTTGGGAGAGGATCTGATCCCAGGAAGCACCGATGGAGCAGAGGAAAAGTGCAACAAAGAAGGATAAAATGCCAATAAAATGGAATGTTAATTAGTGTTTATGAATAATTTATTACTGTGTTTATCTAGGGCTCAAGCACCCAGGGATCTCGAGAGATTTTAAAGAGCACCCTTCACTGTTTTCACACTGAAGCACAAGAACTTCAGTAGTTGAAGGATGCTCCCAAAGAAGTTAATTCCTTGGAATTTTAAATTGTGTAAGAACCTTTGAGACAGAGAAAGTTCTCAGGCAATGAATGAGTCAGTGGAGCTTGCAGTAGAAAGGCTTTGGGATGGCATCCATGAAATAGCATATGGCAAGGACATGTAGATAGCTCTACACATTTTTAGGGCATAATGGAGCTCACAATATCTATTTTCTCCCAGAGACAATTTAAGAAATAGTAAATTAAAACCCCAAGATTATGTGAGCTGATTAAAGTTTTAACAACATTTATCATAATCACTGTGCATGTAGTATAGTAAAAAGAACATACTTTTTATTTATAACAAATTTGTTATAATTCAGTTCCACACATAAATTCTCATAGCCGTGTGAGTTTCAGAAAATTTCTTAATCTTTCTTTTTTATTCAATTTTTATTTTAGATTCAGGTAGTACATGTCCTGTATTGTTACCTAGGTATATATTTCCTGATGCAGAGGTTTTGGGTCTAAATGACCCCATCACCCAAGTACTAAGCATAGTGCTCAGGAGTTTTTTCACCCCTTTACCCCCTTCCCACCTCTCTCCTCTAGTAGTCCCTAGTGTCTATTGCTGCCACCTTTATGTCCATTAGTACCCAGTGTTTAGCTCCCAATTATAAGTGAGAACATGTGGTATTTGGTTTTCTGTTCCTCCATTAATCTACTAAGGATAATGGCCTCCAGCTATGTCTATGTTGCTGCAAAGGACATTATTTGATTCTTTTGGTTGACTGTGCACTATCCTTTTGTGTATATGTACCACATTTTCTTTATTTACTCTACTATAGATGGGCATCTTGGTTGATTTTACGTCTTTGCTATTGTGAATAGCACTAAGATGAACATGCAAGTAAATGTGTCTTTTTGATAGAACAATTTGTTTTCTTTTGTATATATACCCAGTAATGGGATTTCTGGGTCGAATGGTAGTTCTAAGTTCTTTGATAAATCTCCAAACTGCTTTCCACAGTAGCTGAATTAATTTACATTCCCAAAAGTATATAAGCATTCCATTTTCTCAGCAGCCTTTCCAGCTTCAGCTTCTGTTGTTTTATGACTTTTTAATAATGGCCATTTGGACTGGTATGAGATAATATCTCACTGTGGTTTTAACTGGTATTTGTCTGATGGTTAGTGATGATGAGCATTTTCTCATGTTTGTTTCTCACTTGTATATCTTCTATTGAGAAGTGTCTGTTCATGCCTCTTGCCCATTTTTTAAATGGGTTATTTGTGGGGATATTTAATGGGGTTATTTGTTTTTTGCTTGTGTGATTAATTTCCTTATAGATTCTGAATATTAGACCTGTGTCAGATGCATAGCTTGTTAATATTTTATCTTATTCCATAGGTTGTCTATTACTATGTTGATAGATTTTTTTTTTTTTTTTTTTTTTTTTTGCTATGCAGAAGCTCTTGTTTAATTTTGCTCCGCTTGTCAATTTTTTGCTGTCATTGTGGGACTCTCTCTGCTCTAGGTCCAGGCAAATCTCCAGGCTTTGGGAGCACCTACTTGCCTGGTGCAACAGCCTGAGTCACCCAACCTGTCCTGTGTGGAGATCTTTGAGCAAGGGAACCCTCTCTGCTCCACATCCCAGCAGATCTCGAGGCATCTGGAGCACCCACTCTCCTAGATTAGGAGCTTAGGCTCCCCTCCATCCCTAAGCAGATAATTTAGAACCGAGGAAGCTCTAGGTGTTTGGTGACCACCCACTGGATTCTCCCTTGGCACTGGTGTTTGTGCCTGCCACAGAGGACCTTCGGTCAGACCTGCCCTTCCTGACTCCCTTGTCCTCCAACACCACAACTAAGCAGCGAGCCCAGAGCACAGTGCATTCCATGAATCAGCCCATTATCTGAGGTAACAGAGAGCTTCTGCTAGTAAACAAGGATCAAGTATATACCCAGCCATTGGCCACAGTCAGCTCTTACTTATATATGCTGTCTAAGGGCTTGTACAATGAACTACACAGCCCGATATAAAAACTGCCAAAAGAAGTGCATAGTGTTACAGAAGCAAAGCCAAAAAAACCAGAATTCTTTACAATCTTAATCTTTCTGAACTTCACTTTTTTTTTTTTTTTTTTTTTTTTTTTTGAGACGGAGTCTCACTCTGTCACCCAGGCTGGAGTCCAGTGGCATGATCTCCGCTCACTGCAAGCTCTGCCTCCCGGGTTCATGCCATTCTCCTGCCTCAGCCTCCCGAGTAGCTGGGACTACAGGAGCCTGCCACCAAGCCCGGCTAATTTTTTTGTACTTTTAGTAGAGATGTGGTTTCACTGTGTTAGCCAGGATGGTCTCAATCTCCTGACCTCGTGATCCGCCCACCTCGGCCTCCCAAAGTGCTGGGATTACAGGTGTGAGCCACCACGCCTGGCCCTGAACCTCACTTCTGTTGGTAAGAGAGAAAGAACTGCATTCAGGTAAATCATGTTACTATTAAATCAGATTAAATAACTTAAAACATTTATGAAGCCTAATGTAGCCCAGATATACTTCAGGTATTCAAATAATTAATTTCCTTTTTAGTAAGATCTAAAATTCTGGGTGATGTTAAATCATTCTTTTACTATTCGTTATTTTAAGCTCAGGATGACTCCCTCAACATTTAGTTAGATTATATTTCTTTGTGTATTTCTTGGGTACTAGGTTTTATTCTACTTATCTATCCATCTACTAGGAAACTGATTTGTCATTATTCTTGACTATGAACCAATTTGGTACTTTTTTTTAAATTTTATGTACAAGAAAACTTAGGTATTGAGTAGCTGAGTAAGTGATGGGCTAGGGTGTTAAATCAGAAAGCATAAATAATTTTAAAAAGATTAAAACCTGAGACAATATTTACTTTCAAAGATGAATAAGATGGAAAATAAAAGAAACTGAGAGCCATAAAGAGAGGGCAGGATGAACTGAAAGTAGAATTATTAAAAGGATCTGGATCAAATAAAATTAAAATATGTAAAATAAAGCAAAATTATTAGGAAAACAAAATTGACTTGTTAATAAATTAGTGAGATATTTAAGACAGTAAGGGACAAGATTTTTGGTATAAAAAGTAGAAACATTTATAGAAAAGACAACATAGAAAATTTCCTAGAAGACAGAGTAAGAGTACAATAATGAAAATTATGAGTAAGAAAAATATAAACAATCAAAAACAAGTTTTTACATTTTAACTTATAATTAATCTCAAGGGAGAGCTTTAAAAGTGGATAAAGAAAGAGTAATTCAATTTCATATATTGCATTTTATCTTCACAATAATCATATAAATAGAAAAAACATACTTGATTTTGATTTCAAATGATATTAAACTGATGACAACAATATGATGTCAAAAAATGTTAAATCTTACATAACCACACAAAGACTTGCATGTGAATGTTCTTAGCAGCATTTTTCTTAAACCAAAAATTGAAAACAACTTAAATGCCCATCAACTGGTGAATTGATATACATATCAATGGAATACCATTATAATGTATTACTATTCAGTGATAAAAAGAATGAACTACTGATACATGCTAAGTACAAGAAGCCAGATAAAAAACACCACATATTTCATGATTCTAATTTATAGAAAATATTCTGAAAAGGCAAATCTATAGACACAGAGTAGATTAATGGTTTTCTATGGTGACGAGATGGGGGACAGATGGCAAGGTGAAGATTAACAGTTAGTGGACATTAATGATCTTAATGGGGTGCTGAAAATGTTCTGAAACTGACTTCCAGTATTTTGCACAACTTGGTAAATTCACTAAAAAATCATTGAGTATTCACATAATATGACATGTAAAATCTACTCCAATCAAGTTATAAAAGTGTTACGTTTTGTACAAACAGAAAAATATTAAAGCTCCAAAAGATAAAAGTGAGCAAAAGACACACAATTCAATAAATATATGAATTTGAAAGAATGCATATCTTTTAACTATATTAATTACGACAAATGCAAATAAAAATTGCTTGCAGAAGATTGTCTCTCAATCCTCCAGAGAACTTGTTAGGAAAGGGAAAGATGGCTAGTCAAGGAAGAGAAAAAAGACTTTGGTTTTCATACTCCAGACAAATACATATTTAAGAAGGAGCTGGGCTGTCCTCTCTTCACCAGCAGAGGAATAGCAGTTCCTCCTGTGTATTGCAAAGTCTACTTGTCAAAATACCAGAGATATCCTTGGGCTTCCCCTTCTCAGACTGCCAACTGAGTAAGAATGTGATTTACTGGGAGCAGTCAAACAAACACAGGCCATGTAACCTGCCATATCAATACTGAGCAGTGCTTTCATAATTGATCTGCTGCAACATTTAAAAGATGAAAAGACATTTTAAAACAAATAACTCTAACTAAATCCCTATTGTGTATTTACATTTGACGCATACTACATATACGTACTTTCAGAATCAAGTTTATAAGCAAGTTGTAGGAGCAGCTTTATATACAAGGCATAGAGCTTAAATCATTCTACAGGAGTTTCTGATGACAAAAGAAAAACATCATCACACAAAGTGATTTGTGTATTAAAGTATCTTAGCCTCAGGACTGGCATTGTCTCAGGGACTTCTTAATCAGCAGAAAAACATCTTGAACATATCTTTATCATAGCACTTAAAATCTTATAATGAAATGTGCTGCTTGTGTATCAGTTTTCAACACTAAAGTCACTAAACTATAAGATCAATTCTTTAGGGAAACTGTGCCTTGTATTCAATTTTGTTGTTCTAGCAACTAGCCCAGTGACATAGTAGGTGCTCAATAAATATTTGTTCAAATAAATTAATCCTTAACTTACCAGTGTAGTTATAAAGTACACAATTTCCCTATGAATGTGCATCTTGGGATTGGGATAAACAGCCTGAACTCCTTTTTGTGTTTCCTTTTCTCACAGAGTTATCTATCCTTTGCCAGCTACCCAATTACCAGTTATAATGAAGCATGGTTACACGGCTTGCTCCCAGGCAAATATTTGTATGCTAAATCAGGTAACCAGACCATATTTAGCCTTTGCCAGCATGTGATCATTCTTTTAAACAAGGGAAACATAAATGTGATTAGGCATTCTCACCAAATATTTATAAATTCAAGTGCTTTAAAGCCCATCCAAATAATGTCATTTCCATCAATTTATAAAGGTAAGATGATTTGTTCTGGTACTCAAATTTATGTAAGTTTAAATATATATTGCATCTTTTTAAATATTTTTCTCGAACCATTCCATGATTGACTTTTTTCTCAAAGCTTTTCAAAGCACACAAGAGGTTTACCTTATTATAAACAGAAGTTACCTATTTATTCATCTATATTTTAGTATAAAAATGAATTTTATTGCTGTCAAAACTTAAAGCCTGGTGCTATGGCTTACACCTGTAATCCCAACACTTTAGGAGGCCAAGGTAAGAGAATCATTTGACACTAGGAGTTCAAGACCAGCCTGGGCAACACAACAAGATCCCATCTCTATAAAAAATTTTAAAAATTAGCTGGGCATGATTGCACACCCCTGCAGTCCCTGCCACTCAGAAGGTGAGGCAGGAGGATCACCTGAGCCCAGGAGGTCAGGTTGCAGTGAGCCATCTTTGCACTACTGCATGCACTCCAGCCTGGGCAACAGAGCAAGGCTCTGTCTCTAAATACATACATATATATATACACACACACACACACACACACACACATACACATAGACAGACACACACACACCCACATATACATATACACATATATATACATATATATTTACATATATGTGTGTGTGTACAAGTTAAAGTTAAAAATCTATTGTAACATAATATCTTAAATGTTGGGTAGTTTGGAAATAAGTACTACTGGGATCTTATTAACATTATACAATATATGATATAGGGTAATTTTAATTTCATTCCATTTATAATGTCATTTAAATTTTGAAAAATATTATTAAGCACAGAGATAAATTAATTTATTTGAAAGTTCTGATATTTTCATTTTGTTATACTATTAAGAATATTTTTTCTTTAATTTTGTTGAGTTGTTCTATCAGTAGGCCTGAATTTCTTAGAATTTTAGGAGCAGTAGTAATTCTTTCAGTGAATCTTTTTGCATTTTAGACATTGTTCAAAAATAATGTGAGAATACTAAGTATTGCAACTTAAAAACTGAAACAGGAGGCTGTTTTAACTTGTGAAGTCACTGTTACAATTAAAGAGATCATTTTTACTAGAATAATGAGACTCAAAGCAAGATGATAGTGATTGGCTGAGAATGGGAAGAGAAAGAACATAGACTTCTTAAAATGTCTAAAAGTGAAAGGAAGGAAAATGATGAAGTTGTGGCATGAGGAAAAGTAGGCAGTGTGCAGGCAGATAGTTTAGGTTAGAAAGCAGAAGCCAGTGTAAAGAAAGAAAACAAATATAGATAAACAATGAATAATTCATCACACAATATCCTACAGGAGGTTGAAAAGAAAAAGGAAAGGAAGGAAGGAGCAATATATAACCAAAATGAAGACTAACATTTGAAAGTGCGGAAGAGCATCTGGCACTGAGAGTCATGCTGGAGCAGAGTGAGAAGGCATCGTCACAGGTTGTGGGCCTGGCATGGGTGAGGCGTCCAGCACAAGTGCTGCAAAGAGGCTGTTCATGTAAATGGGCAGCCTGATGTGGGCTATCAGAATCTGAGTGGAGTAAGTATGGCACCAACATGAGGGCAAAGCCTGGGGTGGGCTATACACATACATATACATGTATAAACACACACATATATACACAGATATGTATATATGTGTGTGTTTGTGTGTGTGTATATATATCTATATATTATATATATAGATATATATAGATATATATGGTATATGTCTATTCACTGAGAGAATCTGGGCACAATAAAACCCCAATAGTAATGAGTGCACCTAGTATCCACATGCTGAATTATAAATATCATTATCCACTAAAAGGAACCAAGGGTCCTTGGAGAAATGGCTAAATCTGCAGGTGGAGCAGGGAAATTAGAAGATGAGCCTGGAACATTTATTGTGCCAGATAGCAAGGAAGTGCTTAAAGAAGAATAGGAACATGTCCAGAGGACATAGAAGCCAGCTTGAAGGAACTCTCTCTCACTGGCCAACTCTAAGAAAATATCAGTATCAAAATAAAAATTAACAATAAGTTGTTATCCATTAAATAAAATGATAATGCATGCATCCACACTGAAATAATATATAAATATATTAATATATTGAAAGTTGAATATTATATTGAGTTATTCCAAAGTACTGCACCTCTACACAAATTATTCAATAATTAAAAAGGGCAAAAGAGTCTCTTCACAGGAGAGAAAGCTGTTAAGACATGACTTTTAATGAAAGAATCAAAGTAAACAACACAGTAATAAGAAAGGTAACCTGAACCTGTACACAACTGGGAGAAAGCAATGAGAAGAACACATATTATTTGTCTAATACTCTTGCCAATGAAACATAATCTAAATCTAGTTATGAAAAAATATCAGTCAAAAAACAATTGAGGGCATTCTGCAAAATAATGGATCTGTTATCTTTAAATTTCAGTCACAGAAGTGAAAGTAAAACTGCAGAAATGTTCTGGCTGGAAGAGACTTATAAAAACCTGTCAACTAAATATAATACATTATTTTGAACAATATTATTTTGCCATAAGGTACATTACTGAAAAATATAGAAAAATTTGAATGAGGTCTGAAGATTATATGTAGTAATGTATGACTGTCAATTTCTTTATTTTGATAGTCGTAATTGCGGTTATATAAGAAGACAAGTTTGTTTTTAAGAATTATCCAAATTATATTCAGGGCAATGGAGCATTGGGTTGACAACTTATTTTCAAATGGTTTAGGAAAAAAGTCATTTGTGGTACAATTTTTCTATAAGTTTAAAATTGTTTCTAAAATTATATAAAAAATAAGAAAATGAACATAAAGCAACTTGATGTGGTAATGGAGCTATTATATACCTTTATTATATACCTTGATTGTGCATACATTGGTCAACACTCAATGAAGCGTGTCTTTAAAATGAGTACATTTCATTGTATACAAACTACAGTTGTACACAAGTGCACTTCAGTACTGTTGGTTAAAAATATGTAGCTATATTTGAAAATAAGAAAGAAATATCTTGATTAAAAATACAAATTAAACTCATGATGGTGAGAAGGTACTGAATTTTGTGATTTGATGTGAGAAAAACAGCATGAGTTCGAAGGCCACCTGAGAAGACAAGCGTCTTGCATTTGGCAGAAAATTACAATCAGGATCCACTCATTAAGTCTAAAGCTGGAACTGTGTTATCCATTTATTTAAAAAAATAAAAAGCTCATTTATTAAAAAAAAGAGCTTCAATGGGCTTCCCAATTTGCAGCTGTGAACACATGGGATCAGAACCTAAAGATTCAGCACCTATAGCCACAAGGAAGACTTTGAACTAAAGACCTATCCATTCTGAGGGACCAGGATTTAAGCAAACAGTAAGTTACCATAAAGGGAGGAACTTGGTCAGGAGTTTAGCTCCTCAACATAAAATACCAAATTTAAAAGAACATATACTTCCAAGAAAGACAATCAACACACTGAACAAAATGCCAAAAGAAAAGGAAAAAATATTAGAGTAATCCAAAATAACTATAAAGCAACTGTATTTATAGATATTGTATAAAGTGATGAAATCATGTATGTAAAAATAAGAATTTCTTAAACAAGAAAGGACAGTTATGAAGCTAAACACCAAGCAAATTTCTATAGGAACTCTGGGGAATAAAAATCAGTAAAAATGTCAACATAAATAGTTACAACTAAAAGCGAATTTAACAATTGGATATAGCTGAAGAAAAATTAATTGATTACAAGATATAATGGAGAAAATCTTTAAGAATGTAGCACAGAAAGTTTAAATAATCAATGATACTAAAGAAAAACTAAGAAACACAGAAAATGGAGCAAGAAGTTTCAAAATATCTAATAAAGAAGCAGCAACAAGTGATATTTGGAGAGATAAAGGCACTATGTGGGTGTGTGTGTAAAGAGAGAGATATTCCCAGAATCTACCAGAAAAAATTTCTGTTACCAGCCACGAATCCATATGGATCTGCAGCAACCTCAATTATTGCCTCCTCGGAAGAAAGAATTTGACTGAGGGGCATAAGCCAGAAGGAGAGACTGAGGCAAGTAACCTCACAGGTGCTCAGAGAAAGGAAAATTCAAGAAGAGAAGTCAGAAGTTGATCATGGAGGGGCAGAGAATCCATAAATGCTAAAGGTCTCACATAAATGTGAAAGGACTCATTCTCTACACCAGGAATTGAGCCCTGGCCACCATTATAAAATGGTGAAGACTTACCTGCTGAGCTACAGAATTGGGCAGTTTTCATTGTTCTTTCCAGAAGGTTCCTGGAGGCAGCCAATTTTGAGCTGTCAGTGGCTTTTAACTCACTCAAAATAATTTTTAGTGTGGCCCGGCAAGGTGACTCATGCCTGTAATTCCAACACTTTGGGAGGCCGAGGCAGGCAGATCACCTGAAGTTGAAAGTACAAGACCAGCCTGGCCAACAGGATGAAATCCAATCTCTACAAAAAAAAAAAAAAAAAAAGAAATACAAAAATTAGCCAGGCCTAATGGCCTGTGCCTGTGATCCCAGCTACTCAGGGGGATGAGGCAGGAGGATGGCTTGAACCTGGGAGGTGAAGGTTGTGATGGGCTGAGAGTGAGGCACTGCACTCTAGCCTGGGAGACAAGAGTGAAACTCCATCTCAAAAAAAAAAAAAAAAAAAAAAAAAGCTATAACATAAAGTCAAAAATTCCTATCTTCCAGACAGCAGAGAATAAAAGAAAGTATTGCCACATGGTTACAAGGTCAAGCTCCCAAGGACTTAAAACAAGACAACAGGGAAACTTCATCTAGCTTTTTGGTTGGTTTGTTTGTTTCAAGGACCTGCAGTAAAGTTTGTAACGTAAGTTTCCCAAGCTGCCTTGACCAGTGGGCTTATGAGATCCTAAGCCCATGTTTTGTCCTGAGGTACCACTCTCCAATATACCACAACACAGAAAGACAAATGTATAGCACAAAATACACCAGATTCCTTATAAACTGAAACCAGCTTCACAAATCCTTTTTCTTACTAATTAAAATGTTGCAGAGGAGACAGTGATTTTTACCATTGCTACAGTAGATTTGCACAGAGAGAGAGGCCAGAATTCCGACTGGTAAGAATTTACCCTGTTGTCAGCATGCCAGGTTTCTGGGTTCCCTTTCCCTGAGCAGCCCTAGCAACCTTTCTCTCTGTATTGTCGCCCTGGGGGCCAAGGGGCAAAACAAAGAAAAATTATTATTATCTTTTTATTTCATGAAACCACAGGCCAAAAAGCCTCTTAATATTGTAAGATGCTGCCCAAGTGGTTTCCTGGAGTAACCAAATTAATATTTTCCATTTTGGCCAGAGCAAAATATGCCTGACAAAACACAGATATTAGCCACTTCTCTTAGCAACCAAAACCGAACTGGAAAGGTTCAAACTTGCCCCCAGTTGGCCATTTTAGAACACACACAGAGAAAACAGGAGAATATGAATGCAGGTTCTAACACAAAATATAGGAAAGGGAAAGGAGAGAAAGAGGGAGAGAAAAGCATTGACTGCAGTGGGTTGGGGAAGGCAAGGAGCTCAGTGAAGCCAGAGAAAGACCCACCCGTTGCAGCAACAGTGAATCAAAAGTTCAGGCAGCCACTTTTTAGTAGCAAAGGGATCTTTTCCAGCTGTCTCATCTGATCTTAAGTTTTCCTCTGTGGGGAGAAAAAAGCTCCCCATGTTCTATGATCCTGCACATGCCACCCATAACTGTAATTAGACAAAAGTCATTTTCCTTCTGTTAGGAAGTTATGGATTGTAGTGTATGTTACTATGCACATCTTGTGAGTGGGGAGCAGATACAGAAGTTATCTGCATACTGTAGAAGTTATCCCCGCTCAAGAGACTGCTCAGTTAGATTTTTGCTAGGGCTTGCCTGAATAAGTGTGGGTTATTTCTAAACCCCAGAGGTAGGACTGTCCAGGTTGAAGTTATTGGTTAACAATTTAGTTAGCTTGTCTGAGAGAAATAGGGATATTAGAGAGAAAAATGAATTCAGAGGTGGAGTAAATATTAAGTGAGCACAAATCATGGAAAGTGTATTTTTGCCCTAGAGAGGTGTGGGGTATTTCAACTTTACCAGGGACTGGTGGGAGAATGGTAATTGGTCCCTTAAGTAATATAAAGGGGTATGAATCTTTCCTTTTGAAGGAAGGGGATATTATTTGCCCTGATTACCCAACATTATTTGGAGGAGAGTTGCTTAGAGAAGGAGATTAGCACAGAGTAGGCAGCTTTTGAATGCAAAAGGAGCATTTATAATTTTACTTGCCACCTCCAGAGTTGCCCTTGGCTTTGTTCTGTTGATGATGATATCTGAGCTGGTAGCTGCTGGAGCAGAGATCCCTTCCACTCAAGGCCATTAAGGGTTGGGATTCTGTCCTGGGGGCCCTTGTGGTAGAGAAGACAAGCCACGCAGGGCTTTTCCCTATTTTTATGCCATTGGGGCAGTTTGCCTTCCAGTGGCCTGGCTTCCTGCACCAATGGCAGTTACCTGGAAGCCTATCCTTAGGGCAACCTGGAGGGTTATGCACTTGAGAACAGAGGAGATACTGGAGTGAACAGTGGACCCTCTACTCATCCTTGGGATTCTGGAATAACCAGTCTTACTTTGTACCCCTAACCTTTCATCTGTGTTCTAATGGCAACCTGTTAGCCTGGGACCAACCTTCATCTCTGCCCTATGGGGCTCTTGTGCCTGTGACTTTGGGCCAGCCTATATCCTTGACTCCATGATCTTACAGTGACTTTTGCTTGGAGCATTCCAGGAAAAAAAAAAAAAAAAAAAAAAAAGATTATCTTTTTTTCAGACTCCCATTTCCTACATTATTTAAGTAGACAAAAAGCCTGTTTTTTAGGGGCTGCACTTCCCTGCTTCCTCCCTTAGAATATAGCCTTGGAGGTCTTGATGCATATTGAGAAAGACGTGGATGTAATTAGAGAAATGGAGGCTACGGGAGGAAGTGAGAGGATGCATGAGGAATACTCACGTAAGGGCCTTTATATGCTCACAAAAACAGCAGCCTTTGGATTTGCAAGAGCAACATTTATTTGCCCTCTTGACATAAAGTGGTAACCTCCAGAGGACTTGGAGCTTGGGATAAGAACTCACAGATGGCAAAGGAGGAATTTCCCCTTTTTTCAAAGGGGTGCTAGCTCACAAAAGCCAATAGGTGGGATTCTTAAAGGGCCACAGAGTGAGGCCCTATGGAGGCAGACAACCTGCTTCAAAAGCCACCAGAAAACTTGGCCCTGGAGCATAACAGGAACAAAAACCATGTGGTAAGTCATAAGGAGCTGGCAGAGCCAGAGTTCCAATTAGTGCCATTCCCAGAAATGTGCCAGCACACAGGGGAAGGGCTGAAGGTCATCCGAGCTGGTAGGGTAAGAACAAGTATAAATCTCAGGGGATATCCTCAAGGGAGCCCTTGTCTTTGCTGACATGCAAATGCAGTAAAAGTCATGAGCACATGAATAGCAGGGAGTGTGTGTTTAAGAAATCCCATGGAATGCAAAGTGAAAGCAAAGAGGCAGACTTGCCCCTGAGGTGGATGGTCCAGCAAGTGTACAAGGCCATTGTAAAACACACACAGAGAAAACGAGAGAATAGGCAGTGCAGGTTTTTGGGAAACAGACGGTTTTAATTGAAAAGGCAGAGGAAACCCAAGACATTGCACGGTTTTAGGCTTTAGACCTACCACTCTCACAAGCCTCCTGTCCAAGAGGGCCATTAGTGCTTCAGTTCTACTCAATGCAGACCCCAAGATCCTTTCCACCCCCAAAAGCCACCCATCCATGTGAGCTGAGAGATCAGCTGGGTGGAGAAGAGTTACTTATGACTGAGAAGAATTGTTCTGGGTGTTGGTTAGTAAGCAGGAGAGTAAAAGGAGAGAAGAAAACCTTGTACAGGGTTGAATGCCTCCAGCCAAAGAAGGTGAGACATAAAGGTATATTAACACTACGGAATGTATCCAAGCCATGTAGCACCAAAGTACGTTGGTGATGGAAGTTATCCAAGTCACACGGCAGCAAAATGTATTAGCGGTGGAAGCTATCCAAGTCATGGCACCAAAATATGTTACTGACATCAAATCCCTGGAGGTCTGCAGCAACCTCAAGTCATGGCTCCTCAGAAGAAAGAATCGACTGAGAGACATAGGTAAAAGAAGATGCCAAGTCAAGTCTTAGAGCAGGAGTGAAAGCTTATTAAAAAGCTTTAGAGCAGGAATGAAATGATGGAAAGGAATGAAACTTTGAAGAGGGTCAAGTGGGTGACTTGAAGGACAAGTGTGTGGTTTTACGTTTTGACTTGGGGATTTCTATGTTGGCATGCTTCTGGGGTCTTGCATCTCTTCTGCCCTGATTCTTCCTGTAGGGTGGGCTATCCGCATGTACAGTGGCCTAATGTGCTTGGGAGGGGAGCATGCACAGTGTGTTTACTGGAGTTGAATGCATCCTCACTTGAGGCATTCTTCCCTTCCGCCAAATGCCCCTGGAAGATCACATAACAGTTATGCTCCGCCATTTTGCCTCTTAATGTGCACGCATGTGTGGGGAAAAGAAAGAGAGATCAGACTGTTACTGTGTCTATGTAGAAAGAAGTAGACATAAGAGACTCCATTTTGTTCTGTACTAAGAAAAATTCTTCTGCCTTGAGATGCTGTTAATCTGTAACCCTACCCCCAACCCCGTGCTCGCAGAGACATATGCTGTCTTGACTCAAGGTCAAATGGATTTAGGGCTATGCAGGATGTGCTTTGTTAAACAAATGCTTGAAGGCAGCTTGCTTGTTAAAAGTCATCACCACTCCCTACTCTCAAGTACCCAGGGACACAAAACACTGCAGAAGGCCTCAGGGACCTCTGTCTAGGAATGCCATGTATTTTCCAAGGTTTCTCCCCATGTGATAGTCTGAAATATGGCCTTGTGGGAAGGGAAACACCTGACCGTCCCCCAGCCCGACACCGGTAGAGGGTCTGTGCTGAGGAGGATTAGTAAAAGAGGAAGGCCTCTTTGCAGTTGAGATAAGAGGAAGGCATCTGTCTCCAGCTCGTCCCTGGGCAATGGAATGTGTCTTGGTGTAAAACCCGATTGTATATTCCATCTACTGAGATAGGAGAAAAACCGCCTTAGGGCTGGAGGTGAGACATGCTGGAGGCAATACTGCTCTTTAAGGCATTGAGATGTTTATGTATATGCACATGAAAAGCACAGCACTTTTTTCTTTACCTTGTTTATGATGCAGAGACATTTGTTCACATGTTTTCCTGTTGACCCTCTCTCCACTATTACCCTATTGTCCTGCCACATCCCCCTCTCTGAGATGGTAGAGATAATGATCAATAAACACTGAGGGAACTCAGAGACTGGTGCCAGCATGGGTCCTCCGTATGCTGAGCACCGGTCCCCTGGGCCCACTTTTCTTTCTCTATACTTTGTCTCTGTGTCTCTTTCTTTTCTCAAGTCTCTCGTTTCACCTGATGAGAAACACCCACAGGTATGGAGGGGCAGGCCACCCCTTCACGCATAAGCTTAGTCACCCAACTCCTGAGATCTTATTAGGAAGTTGCTGATCACCAGTTTTTTTGTTTTGATTTTTTTCCTATCTATAGGGAGACTGCCTTTCCCTGGCACTGGCTGTGAAAAATTATTATTTTAGAGAGACAATTAACAACTCCCTGACCATCACCTAATGGTTGCCTGACATTCCTGGTTGCAGGGGGAGCCCTCTCCTGCCCTGCTCATGTCTTCCTGATGACCTACTGTAAAAATTGCACAGGTTGAAAAATTTCATAGTTTGTAGAATAATCATAGATTGTAGAATCATGGAGTGTAGAATAAACTTTTTTTTGAATGAATATCTCATCACCTCATAGAGATACTGCTCAACATGAAGAATGAAGAAAAGAAAATACCCCCAAATCACCAATAAACAAAGGTAGATGCTAAGAGAAAAGTGTTGAGAGGATAGAATTGTAAATATAAAAAGTTTATGTACTGCAAAATTTTCAGTGAGTACAATCAAAACTTTTAAGACATTAAGAATCACAAATCATCCTTTCTACAAAAGGAAAAATGAAGCCAAAGGAAGTGGGATTCAAGAGCAACAGTGAAAAGCATGTATTATAACATGATGAGGAACAAAATGATAACGTAAAATCATACATTAAGGGGAGAAGAAAAGCATAGTTTTTGAAAAGACAAAATTGGCAAACTACCTACCAGACTAAAATTTAAGACAGAGAGAATGCTTAATGAAAGAATATTAGTAATGAAAAAAATGTAACTATAGATATAAATTTAAAATATGAGTTGTATAAATTTAAATATTTAAAGATATAGATTAAAGAAAGATATTTTTTTCAAAAAATAATATTGCAATACCCACAAGAAGAAATAGTAAATCTGGATAGGTTAAAATCCATTAAAGAAACTGTAACACTCTTGAAACATACTACCAAATAAGGCATAGGAATAAAACAATGGTATTTAATTTCTCACTTATTATTAACTATATTGTCTTTTCTTTTCCCCTTTGGTGAATGTGAGAAAAGAGATCAGGGAAATGTGTTTTTGGTTTATAAAATGAAAAAAACAAACCTAAATATTGTTTACCTTTTGAATCTTTAAATATAATCCAATTATTAGAAATTTGAAATGCCATTAAGCCAAAGCTGAAGTAAAAATATCTTTGAAATGACACTTACAATTTAATTCATAAGGGAAAATTATTAGTCCCTACCTGAAATTGCTTCAAAATTAAGCTGTATTCTAGCATATTATAAATAAATTGTCTTTTATAATTCATGAATAAATAACTATTCTCCTTGGGGAATTATTCATTTCATCAATTAATATCTAGATTTCATCTAATTTTTCTAGAAAAAAATAGAAAATTTGTCACTGTTATTTACTTGCACTTAAAAATAAAACAAAATATCACTCAAAAGCAATGACTTATGTTTTTTTAAAACTATATATATTTAATTTTACAGAGACAGGGTTTCACTATGATGCCTAGGCTGGTTTCAAATTCCTGTGTTCAGGCAATCCTCCTCCCTTGGACTCCCAATGTGCTGGGATTACAGGCATGAGCCACTGTTAGCCTAAAAATATATATTTATAATTTAAAAGCTTTTTAAATTTGAAAGAATGTTTTCTATAAAAACCATGCCCCTTAAGATTAAATGTTTAGTAGGGTTAATCTGACCTATAATTTTTAAAGCATTGATATTCTAAGATTTCAATTATTAGGCACATTTTATAAAATGGTATTCTGAACACCTGGGGAAAAAATGAACAGATCAGACATGATGTTTTGTTTTGTTCTGTTTTTATGTTTCTCACATTTCTACTTAAACATGTTTCTACCAGAGCTACAATGCTAGCTGATTTATTTTTGACAGTGGATGTGAGCATAAATCTCTTTTTGTCTAAGAGAGGGCATCTAATCCAATTGGTCATTTGAAGGAATTGACTGTATGTTTATCCCAAGTTTTTCTCTAATCCAGTGCTTTAAGGAATTGAGTACCTTCTAACTTAACATTTTTCTTTTCTCTTAAAATAAGCAGCCTTTTTCAGACCACAGGTTCCAACTATCTTCTGAGGACTGTGGTTGCATTGTCACTTCAGCATTCAAAGTCTTTGCTGGGCTGTTTGATTACCTCCCACATGAACTCTACTCATTGACCAGCAGATGGCCTGTTAGTCCACTTCTCAGTCTTTGGCATTCCAGTGAGAATCAGATCTATGCATATGCAGCTCAGCAGAGATGCCAAGACCACATAAACTAATTCATAGGTTATGCTTTTCTCTAGCAACCCTCTCTGGACAATCTCTCCCACACTTTCTGGTTTTCTAATGTCCTCCCTTTTATTCTTCTAATTAGAAAGGTGTGGCTTTACTTACCGCACTTTGCCCTGCATTTCTATGATTGCATTGGGAGCCACGTAGTAGAGAAGAAAAACACCAGCAGAGAAGAAAAACTCCAGCCCTATCCTTTAAGGAATTGCAGTTCAACTGATCAGAGAGGAAGTTTCCCCATCTCAGAATTTTGGCTTAAGATTCCTGTTGAAAAGGCAGGAGCCTGCACACAGCATGCTTTGGAACTGCGATAGAAGAAATTTGAAAAAAGGAGAGTAGAAAATTGGAATTTCTCATGCTCCTTGAGCTAGTGCTAGAGTGCTTCTTTGGCTCTCTTCCTCTCTATGTCTCAGGGGCCCCTTCTGTGCTTCAAATTACAACGATTTGAGGTGAGGGGATACAAGCATAAAAATAAAACAAAGGTAAACTCCCCTTAGGTTCTAAATTCTGGTCTTCTTCCCCAAACTACCTGCTACTATTCACTTTACAGAATCTCAGGTAGTTGCTTTATACATTCTATCCAGCCTTCATAGCTGCATTCAATAGTATAGACTGGTAAAATGGGCTTATTTCAACTAGTCTAGAACATGAACCACTGGGGGAAACCAAGAAAATAAGTTGGAAAAACAACAGCCCCCACGATGGCAGCCTACTCTTAAGACCACAAATAACATTCCTTCTCTTCCTCTCATAATATCCATTCTAGATTTCCATCACCCTCAGCTAGCACCAGTTCTAGTCTCAGTTGTTTTCCTGCAGTAGAGAATCTGAGCACAAAATCTCTATGCTTTTTTCAGAGTGTAATTCCTACACTTGTCTATTTCTCATTAAATTGGGCAAGGGGAAACCAAGAAATGCTCACGTGGATCATGTGGGTATCAAACAAATTCCTCTCAAAGCGTGACAGTATTCCTACCTCTTCCCCATATGAAGATCAGTTACACCTGTCTTAAGATGTTATTACTAATTTTGTTTGAGGATGGTATTTTAAGAGATTCTTTATCAACATTTCAGAATGAAAGGGCAATAATTGCAATAGTGAGGTGAATGACTTGAAAATCAGAAAGGCCAAGTAAGAATTGAACTTAACTGTATGGGGTGGTATCTGGATTATGTGAAATGACCTATGGAAAAGACTTTCACAGTGCCTGATAGATATATGCCCTTGTGAATTTTTTTTTTATTATTATTCTCCATGACACATCACTGTGGTTGCCATAGTTCCCAGTTTTCCTCAGGACGCCCACTTCATGTGTGCTTACGCAGTGCAATGAAAATAGTGGCCCTTTTCACTTCAAAAGTTATCCATTTGCACATTAATATTTTATGCTTACCATGCCCTTTGCTATCCTATTGGACACTTGAGTTGATTTCCTTATATTTCTAAAATCCATCAGCTTCTCTACTCCCCTTTCTTTGCTTCTGTGAAATGCTCAGAATGTTCTGCTTGGATTACTTCTACAGCCTTTTAGCTAGTCTCATTGCCTTCAGTATTGCTCCTTTGATCCTTTTTCAATACTGACAGCAGAATGACCTTTCTAAGTTCAAATAAATTCACATCACTGAGATCACTCAAAGACTTTCCAGAGATGTCTTTATACAAATTATTTATCCTAGTAGCTATGATTCACCATGATCTAGAGCCTGCTTCCATCTTATCTCAACAGGTCACTCACTGCCTTGGAATCTGTCTTCTGGGTGTGATGAAGCAAAGGCATTGCCTTTTCCAGGTAACATCAGTAATCCATTCCCCAAGATTAGACACTGCATAAGAACATCAACTAGGACCTCATTTCCCAGTAAACAAACTTACCAAGGGTTACTTATCAAGCTGAAGCCTTCCACTAATTTCTGAACAATGGAGCTACAACATTTGAAAAAAACTTAGATTCATTACAATTGATAGGGTCAGAGTGCATGATATGTAAACATATCTTCATCTCATTACTAAACAATCAATATGTTTGTTAATAAGCCATTGATTTTTATTCAATAATGTGTAGTGTTTGCATCCCAGGCCATAAATGTTGGCATTTACAATATAACAAGGCAAAAAATCCACAAATGAATACATTTTTGTTAGAACAAAGAAAATAAAAAATGTTTAATTAAAAAAAAGCAAGGTGATTTCATGAAAAAAGTTTTATTCTCAAGTGAGAAGGGGAATAAAAGCTTTAAAAGCTTAAAGACGGAGAAGAGAGTAGGTTTGAAGCAGGCACAGTATGTCACTGGTTATGAAACATTATGGTGCTGAATAGATGGGTGTTGAAGAGTAAATTTCAGCTAATTACCAGACTCAGAGGAACTGACAGTTTCCACTATTTTGGTGCATCAAAGGACTCTAAGACAAGAAGGCTCAGTAACTCTGCAGGGCAGCTGGTCAATGCTCCAATATGCACAAATTGCAAAATGCATCTTTGCTTGTAATCTTGCTAGTCATTTTCTTTGTATATACTTGTAGTGCTTCAAATGTAATCACTTTCATCAAACCTCTTATTACCTTTTGTGTGAGCATTCTTTCTATTTTTTTGTTTTAATTTTTGTTCCTCATTACATGACTGTAGGCAAGAACAAAAGCTAAAAATGAAAAGAAAAAAAAAATTCAGGATGGTGACAAAGTATCCAGAGAGAGGAATGAATAGGGTATGGGAATGTGAATCTTCTAACAGCACCAGTAGCAATGGAGATGCATGTCCCTATTGCTGATAGTCAACGTGAGTTTTCAAACATCTACACATGAATCAGACATTTTACCAATTGTTTTGGAAAGTAATGAGATTTCCAATATATTGTTTTGCATTTGAGGGCATAAATATAAATTTTGACCAAAATTCTTTCAGTAACAGATAAATTTGTTCTATGAAGTAAAGGCATAAAAGTATTTCACTAGGAAATCATTAATAGGAAGAAGCTCTGAAGGAGAAGCCTCTATGGGTGCTGCCCCAATTCCATCCTAGTTTTCCTTGTGTCTATTCCTGAGATTTATCTTCTCTCTCTCCATGCCATATCTTTTATACCTGGAAATTTATTTCTATTTTTAAGATATGTTTTGCCTTTCATACATATCCAGGATTAAATTCGTGAAAATTATAAACATCTGCCCTAATCTGGTTTATATTCATGTCCTATATCCTCCTCTTCTTACCCCTTTCTAGACTATGACACCGTAACATTTAGTTGTCTGTTGTCTTTATTCCATATACTGTGCTTCTCAAAGTCCCTGAGAGCTGGAACTATGTGTAGCTCATGTCTGAATCCTCATGTCTAGCACAGTGTCTAGCACATGGTAGCACTTAAAAAACATTCAATGATTGAAAGAAGAAAAGAAAGAATCCAAACTGGCAAGTATGTATAACAGGCAAGGGCTTAGGAGACAAGCTAGAGCTGCTGATACATATTTATAAATCTTCTGTGTAAAGTAGGTAGTTGAAGTTTTATGAGTGGATGAGATCACTCTACGAAAATGTAAATAGTAGTGGTTCTCAAATCTGTCTACAGTTTAAAGCTACCTAGGAAGCTTTTTTTAAAAAAATAAAATACCCAGGATTCACCCCATAAACAACATTTCTGTGGTTGGGGCCAGGTGTTGCTGTGTTAGAAAAACTTACCTGGTGATTGCTATGTGAAGTTAAAATTAAGAAACACTAATAAATAAAGTTTTAAAAAAACAGCAAATGCAAAAGCTTTAGAATAAAAGCATAAAAGGATCAGGATAAGCAAGAGTAGCCAAAAATGAATGAATGAATGAATGAATGAATGAATGAGTGAATGAATAAATAAATAAATAAATAAGAAAGACAGATAGGAAGGAAAGGAGGGAGGGAGAAATGAAAGTAGGGATGGAAAATGGCTCAGAAAAGTAGGCAAACCTGAAGCCGCAGTGTCCCAAAAGCCAGGTAATGAGAGAGTCTTGAGAAGGATGAGTTGTGTAGTAAAGTGTAAAATGCCAGACAGATTTTCTGAACAGTAAAAACTAAAATAAAATCAGAGAAAAAAAGAGACTCGAGATAATAAGCAACTTTATTAAAAGCTATTTAGGTAGTGGGATGCTAGGAAATAAATTGAAATTATAATGAGTTAAACAATAAATTAAGTGCAGAAACTACTAATTTTCCTGTAAGCCATAAGAAATACTTGTTATAAAGTATTGCCAAGAAATTAAGTCAATGTTTACATTATTTCTTTATGACATAGTCATTACTTTATTATTCCATAAGACTACAGCATACGTTTTTACAATAAAATGCAATAATACATAATCCTAAAAATATAATACCCCAAATAACATGAATAACCCTTCAGTGTAATCAGAAAGTAATCTGCTTTTCATCATGCATAGGTAAACAAATATAAGGCTACAGAAAATGGAGAAGGGAACTAATCTATTTCTTATTATTCTACTGGTTAAGACAAAAGCTGGTTTGCATATATTTTTATCAGATAAGGAATGTTTGTCATTTTATTTCACCACTACCTCAGTAGTAAATACCAGGATTTTTCTGATCAAAATATCTTGTTGCTATTATTCACCGTAAAAGTAAGATAATACAGGTCAGAAGGTATGGTAAATTGTACACCTCTCCAAACTGTTGAAAAAGTAATTCCTCTATAAGTCAAGATAAGGTATGAACTAATTTGTCCCCTGCAGAAAGTAGATACAATTGGATCCCAATAAAACTCCACTCAAATATCAATGACAGGATATTTAAGACATAAAATGTACATCCTAATTGTTGGTTGATACATATGTATTTGTGTGCATTGCCTTGTACAAAATTGAAACCCAAAGAGTATGGTTGAATCCATTTACAAATTAATCAGTCACCTGGAATTGGAAAAATGTGCATTTTTGATGGCTCTAATTTGTGTTCCCAATCTTCCCATTTTGGAGGATATTTTTGTATTTGTACATATGACATACATTAAAATACTATGCAGTCATTAACTGGTCTGCAGACAATGGAATGTTATATTTGATTTTGTGGACCTCTTACCAAAACACTCAGGTCTGGTAGCTCACAGATTGGGAAATTGTACCAGAGGTCCATATAATTTGTTTCTTCCTCTAACTATTGGTCTCTGAAAGAACAGTTTTATTTGATGGCTCTAATTTGTGTTCCCAATCTTCCCATTTTGGAGGATATTTTTGTATTTGTACATATGACATACATTAAAATACTATGCAGTCATTAACTGGTCTGCAGACAATGGAATGTTATATTTGATTTTGTGGACCTCTTACCAAAACACTCAGGTCTGGTAGCTCACAGATTGGGAAATTGTACCAGAGGTCCATATAATTTGTTTCTTCCTCTAACTATTGGTCTCTGAAAGAACAGTTTTATTTGATGGCTCTAATTTGTGTTCCCAATCTTCCCATTTTGGAGGATATTTTTGTATTTGTACATATGACATACATTAAAATACTATGCAGTCATTAACTGGTCTGCAGACAATGGAATGTTATATTTGATTTTGTGGACCTCTTACCAAAACACTCAGGTCTGGTAGCTCACAGATTGGGAAATTGTACCAGAGGTCCATATAATTTGTTTCTTCCTCTAACTATTGGTCTCTGAAAGAACAGTTTTATTTGACAAAAACAGAAATAAAACTTTGAAACCTTAAGAACTGTATTTTAATTTAAAAAAAAGTTGCCATGAAGTTCTGAGTTTTCTGAGTATAGCTGCAGATTTTTCTATCAATAATGCTTAGCCTGCTATCCAGATAACTGAACAGCATCAACTTCTCATGCTCACTCTTACCATGTATTTGCTTGATACTACTTTGGGAATATGAAGGTATAGAATTACCAACAATGCTGATATTACTCACTTTTAAGATATGAAAACAAACTAGCCTCTTCCCAAAGTGGACTGAAACCCCAGGAATTCATAGGGATATTAATTAAACAAACTCAGAGTAATATTTGGTACTACTTGGATTAATAAAATAAACCCCTATTGTAGACTCTATGATTAAAATTAAGTAGCCAAAATTGAAATGTAAGTGATGAAATAAACTCTACTCTTCTTCTTTATATCATTGTTGCTTTATGTGATCAATAAATATGACAGAAGTGATGACATGTAGTTTATGAGGCTAAGTTATAACAAAAATCGTGGCTTCTGCCTGTCTTCCTCCCCCTTACGTTACTCACGCTGGAGAAGCCAGCTGCTACATCATGATAACACAAATGTAGTCCTACGAAGAGGCCCATGTGGCAGGAAATTGGTGCCTCCTTCCAATGGCCATGTGAGTGGGTCACCGTGTAAGCAAATTCCCCAGCTCCTGTCAAGACAGCAGATGCCTGCAGCCCCTACCAGGTCCTTCATGAAAGACCTTGAGCTAGAACCACTCAGTTAAGCTGCCAATACATTCCTGACCAGAGAAACTGCAAGATACTAAACATTTTTTGTTTTAGTCATTCATATTTGTGATTAACTTATTGTACTGTAATAAGTAACTAATACACATACCAGTTTATTGTACATTTGAATGACCTTGTAGGATGACTCTCCAGCATAGGTCTAGGTGATTGCCTTCCAGTATAAAAGACAAAAAAGACAGACACTCATTTTCTAGCACCTTCCAACACTCAATATTGCAGAGACTACAGCAACTTCGAAGTATCCCGGTATGCTAGTGTCAGTAAAAACAGAAGCAGTTCCAGCATCCAATGCCAGTGGCAATCAAATTTGCAATTTCCAGTGTTCAGCTGTGAAAACAGACGTGTCTTCACTCCACTTATTTACTGGTGTGATTTGGCTGTCATTTTGTCTTTGACTTTTCCATGGTTACTGCCACTTTTCCAGTTTGGTCAGGATTCCAACAAATCTGTGAATTTACCAGTTAAGGTAACTATGGCAGTTGTTGTAATAAATCAACACAATTTCAGTAGCCTAAAGCATGGAAGTTCCTTTCTTATCAATTTAACAACCTTAGAGGGTGTTTTGGTAGTGGATGACTCAGGCTGTTTTCATTCTAAACCTCTAGGACTTCTTCAACATTTGTGGTTAGAGCAAAAGAAAAGACGGCATGGAAAAGTTACTCTACTTAAAAAAAAAAAAAAAATCCTGTCTCCTGTGCATTCTCCTTGGTGAGACCCAGATACCAAACACACATGAACTCACAGGTGAAGGGAAATATACTTACAGTCCATAGGTTGCAACAATTCCTCAGCAACAATCTTATTTGATATAAGAAAAGTACATCTTTTCAAAAGTTATTCGCCTCTGTCACACGAGCCATAAATACATCAAAATAAGTTTGTTTGTTTTACTTAAATCAGCCTGAATTAGTTTGCTTGCAATTGGGAATCCCAATATAGTAGTATTCTCACTTACTTGATCAAAATTAACATAATTTGACTAGTTAGTACAAATTAAGTTGAATTACTTCTTTTTTTACATTATCAAGTACCATATTTTTGATAAATACAGGCTGCTTATCAATACGTAGTTTATGATACCTAAGCTTATGCATAATGCTTACTGTGAAAAACTTGGAAGCCTCTGTATCCTTTGTATATATTTAACAACATGGAAGAGGTCATTGCTGTAAAACATTTGCTATTTATAGACACATTATATCTAATAAAACCTGAAAGCATTTCATTTCTTTCAACTCCATTAATTAACAGCACAGATAGCCAACACTGCCACTAAACACATATTTTTCAGAAATTTCAAATAATAGATGATAATTTTCCCAGGAATATTTGAGATTTATTTAATATTATATCATTTATTAAATTTTCTTAGTCATCTAAAATAATCATGATCACATAATATTTTGCTGCTATGGAAAATCTCTACTAATTATGAATACAGCTTAACATTGTTGTATTGTATATCTTCAACTTCATTATCTTGAAAAATAAATATTTGTGAAAGGACTAAAAAGACAAGCCACAGACCGGGAGAAAATATTTGCAAAACACATATCTGATAAAGTGCTGGTATTCAAAATATACTAAAAACTTTTAAAACTCAACCATAAAGAAAAACAACCCAGTTAAAAAATGGGTAGAGTATCTGAAAAGACATCTTACCCAAGAAAATGCACAGATGGAAAATAAGCATATGAAGAGATATTCAACATCGTATTACAGCAGGGAAATATAAATTAAAACAATGATGTATCATTATACACCTGTTATAATGGCTAAAATCCAAAACACTGACAACATCAATGCTGACAAGGATTTGGAACAACAGGAACCCTTATTTATTGCTGGTGGTACTTCGAAATGGTACAATCACTTTGGAAGACAGTTTGGCAGTTTCTTACAAAAGCTAGGCATACTCTTACCATATGATCCAGTGATCACATTCCTTGATGTTTACTGAAATGAGTTGAATATGTATGTCCACACACAAAACCTGTGCCCAAATATTTATAGCAACTTCATTTATCATTGTCAAAATTTGAAGGCAACCAAGATATCCTTTCAATGAGTAAATGGATGAGCAAACTTCAATACATTCATTCAATGTAATGTTACTCAGTCCTAAAGAGAAATGAGCTATCAAGCTATGAAAAGACATGGAGGTAACTTAAATGAACACTGCTAAGTGAAAGAAGACAATCTGAGAAAGCTAATACTGTATGATTCCAACTATATGACATTCTGGAAAAGGCAAAACTATGTAGAGACAAAAAAGATTCATGATTGCCAGGGGCTTAGAGAGGGAACAAGAGATGAAGAGGCAGAGCCTGGGGGATTTTCAGGGTAGAGAAACTATTATGTCTGATATGATAATGGTGGGTATCTGTCATTACATATGTCAAAACCTATAGAATGTACAACACAAAGAGTGAGCCTCAGTGTAAAAAAGATGTCAGTTAATAATAATGTATTGATATTGGTTCATATATTATAATAAATGTACCACACTAATGCAAAATGTTAATAATAGGAGAAACTGTGGACTTGGGAAATGAAGGGATATATAGGAACTGTGTAATTTCTGCTTCCTTTATTTGTAAACTAAAATTTCTTAGAAAAAAAGTTTAGTAATTTAGAAAAATAAATCATTGTATTTAAGTGACAGAGGACCACAGATTCTAGGAATGATGTTCATTATGATTTATTTTTATGAGATTCTTTTATCTAAGAGGAGAAACAAAAGCTGTTACATTCACTCTAAATGCAACTAGATGGTTCTCAATATTCCTTAAAGATCAGAGGTAGTAGGATAAAAAGCCCCATCCAGCAGTTCCAATGTGAGCTATTTCTGTCTACCAACAATTCATGTAAATTGCTTCCTAACCTCCAATTGGCCTATACTTTCTGTATTTTTACACAACTTCTTGCTTCTTGGTTCACCTGTTAGGCTCAACTTCTAGCCTCCCCATATCGTCTCATAGTTTGGCTTTACTAGCATTAACTAACAACCAGAACAACATTGAAGTTGTTCTACAGTTCCACCGTCAGGTCTTCCTTAGGCTCTTAGTTGCTGCTGCCCAGAAAAAATAAATAAATAAAAAAATTCTTAGCTCAATGTGAACTTTGTATTGCCATCTCCCAAAATTACCATGGCTTATTCATCTGCCTCCCTTGCTTAACTTCAAAGTTTTTTCTTTACTTTAATTTTTTTTTTTAATATGACACAGGGACTCGCTGTGTCACTCAGACTGGAGTGCAGTGGTGTGATCATAGCTCGCTGCAGCCTCAAACTCCTGGGTTCAGGCAATCCTCTTGCCTTAGACTCCTGAGTACCTGGGATTACAGGCATATGACACCATGCCCATCTAATTTTTTACTTTTTGTAGAGGTGAGGTCTAGCTATGTTGCCCGGGCTGGTCTCAAACTCCTAGCCTCAAGGGATCCTCCTACCTCTGCCTCCCAAAGTGCTGAGATTACAGGCATGAGCCACCAGACATGGCACAAAGTTTTTAATGACACCGATTTCTCAATTAACTTATGGACAATAAAACAGTATGCATTTCATAAAATAAAATGCATATTAAAAGAATAAGAGAACAAATTAATTAATGATAAATGTTCCTTCTAGTTTTATTTTCTGCTGCTTCCATGACCCTAATACAAAACAGGGCAAGATCTATCTCAAATCTTCCCATACCAGCCTAACCTAATAATTCCTCAGGTGCCAAGCATTTCTGTAATGAATATAACAAAATCTTACCAATTTTTAAGCAGCTGAATATTTAATAACCTTAGATGATTTGGACTTTTATAATAGCATTATATTAAGCCATAAAGTCAGATATATGTTATTATTAGCTTAGAGATGATGAGGGATATTCACTATATTTGCTGAAGATCATTCAGTCAGAATAAAGGGCAAACAATTAATCAAGAAATAGGTTGTAGAAACTCGGCAAGCCTAAAGTAAAGTTCATGTGCAGAAATAATTAAAAAGCAGGTATCATTTCTGATTAATTTTTGAAATTTCTTTTGATTTCTGAAAAATTCATTACCTTTTTGTTTGTTTTTTCTGAGTAAGGATGACCATTTCAAAAAGAATATTTCGATTTAAAATAAGCTATGCCTACAGACTTCATAGCTCAATCATTTATACATTTATTTAGCAAATATTTATTAGCCTTCTAATTTGTATGAGGCCCTGCATTAGTCACTAGAAAGTTAAGAAAGTTAATACAAAGCAAAGATAAACATGATGCCTGCCCTTGTAGAATTTGAAGTCTGGTTAAAAGAGTAACAGCCCCTCCTTCCAAATTACACATGAAATTTGTATCCATCATTAGAAATGAATCAAGCTTTAAGTAACATAGAGTGAAGATACAGTGGCACAAATATATAGGGCTAATTTTTCTCATATACATATATTCTAGATGTAGGCAACTGCTGTTGTTTCTTCGGCAGCTCATTGAATGTGGACCTACAACTTTGCTATTGTCTTCTGCTGTCCCTTGAGAGAGCCTCTCATGATCCTACGACGCCTATTGCACAACCCATTATAAATGAGTAATAATGTATTTGTTTCAGTGGAAGATAAAGGAAAGGAAAAAAGACAGCATCTATAGGAAAACAGCAAAAGTCTGCAGGAAGTCCACAGCATACTTCTAGTTCCAATTAATTGGTCTAAACCTGGATTATATTGTCACTTTTGACTGAAAGATAACTAAGAAGGATACGGTGAGTCAAACAAAAAAGTTTTGTAATGCTAATTAATACTGCATAATTACTAACTGTTGTTTTCCGGTGAAACTGACCCCAAATCAGTCTTTAAAAAGCAAATTTAAAAATAATTCTTAGTTCTCCCAAAAAACAGGATTAAAGAGTATATATATAACATATGTGTATATATATATGTGTATATATATGTGTATATATATGTTTATATATATGTGTATATATATGTTTATATATACACACACATACATACTGAAAACATATATTGGTTGTAGCATGGTATGCTCTTACTATGAACACAGGAATAAATCAGGATACTAGGTACTCTAAGTACCTCACAGTATAGTGGAAGAGACAGGTAAACAGATAATTATAAGACAATGTGATTTGTACAATGTTCAATCTTCTAGCATAAGATGTCATTGCTAAGATTTTCATATATCTCCAAATAGTATCAGAATATTGTAAAACCTTTGGTTAAGACACCACTGGTAGTGATTCTTAAACTGGAAATCTGAACAAAACTAAAAAAAAAAAAAAAAAAAAAAATTCCTGCCAAATAGAAAAGGGTTATATTGTCATCTAGTGGCCAAACTCATGTCCTTGAAATGATTTAGTTACTTTGGATATAATCTATCTGAAAAAGTTATTTTTAGGGGGGGAAAGCAATTAACTACAATTTCACAAGTTTTCAGATCCTAATACATGAAGAGAATTAATGCTCTAAAAATTATGATAATATCACATGCCTTTTCAGGGACAATTTTTTTTTTCACTCTTTCATCACAGATAGAAATGCCTTCAATTTAAATAACTGTCCCAGTTTAAAGGAGGCTAGACAGGCATGAAAACTAAGTGCAATATGTGATCTTGGATTGGATCCTGCAACAATTAATGATTTTCAAAAAAGCCTGTAGATTATTTAATAGCATTGTAGCAGTAATCATTTTATGAGAGATATTAATATTTTGGGAAACTGGATGTCAGATATATAAGAATCCTATGAAATTTTTGCAACTTTTTATAACTCTGAATTTATTTTAGACTAAAAAATCTAAAATAAACTAAATAATAAAAATTAATGTAACTTATAAAACTGGGTTTATAATGTATTTTCTGTTCCCCTAAGCTGATAATATATTATATAACTATAAAAATATTATAATTCACTTATTCATATATTTTGTTCTAAATTATATATTTTGTTCTAAATTGTATATTTTAAAACTTAGGACCAATGTGAAAGATTAACATCAGTGCTCAGAAATATGAAATATATCTTCAATAAATTGCTTTTGTATGCATTTAGTTGTGACACTGCTGTTTCTCTCAATCTTGGCCCAAAACTCTAGCTACTCCAGGAAGACACAATTAGTATCTGCATAGGTGCATTATTTTTCTTTCACTTCATGTACTAAGTGTAAAATAGTTTAAGGAAACTATTTTATTACATCCCATCAGAGACTTTACTTTAAAAACTCGATGAGATACATATTATTTTATATTTAATACTCTCAGTACTTTCAAAAAAGTAATACTTTATATTATCTAAGTCAATGCTTCAGATGTTTTATTTTGTTGGCAATAAATGAACACATTAATCATCTTTTATTTATCATTTATCTACTTATTTAAAAAGTATGAATTGCCTACTCCTTCTGTGGTAGGCACTGAGGCACAAAGATAATGAGATATGGTCCATATGTATTATACTATATAGTATGACTTCTAATAGCTCAGCTTCACCTATTAACATTTAGGTGAAATTAATAAATTTTTAGGTTGCAAGCACACACCTTCTTCAGTTGTCTGAACCCTGCAAAAAACATTCATAAAACTATTAGATTTAGATAACATATTTCAAATAGGTTTATTCTTTAATTCAATTCATATTTACTGAATACTATTTGCCAAAAACAGTGGTAAATACTGAAGATATAAAGATGAGTAAGTTCTTGTACTCAAGAAGCTTATGGTCTAGTAAAAAAAAAAAATGCAGTCATGCAAACAAATAAAGACAAAAGGATATCAAATGTGAAACAATACATACAGAGCTTTACACAGAAATATGTAGTCATTACAAGGAGAGTTGGAAAATGCTTTAAAACAAGGTAATAGCTGATCTGAGTTTTGAAAGCTGAGCACGTCTTTAGCAAGAAAGCAAGCATAATAGATGACTCAAAAGCCAAAATGTTACTATCCGAGTGACATGGATTGCTGTTATAAGATAGGTAGAATCTAAAAATTGTGTTTATGTGTGTCTAAAATATGTCTCTGCGTTGCACTGGGTGTCAGGTTATCCTTCGTATTTTAAAACAAACCAGAAGATGCAGGTTTTCCTGTTCGTGGTTTGTGTTATTCCTTGCCTCTGTCCTTATCTCTTCTTATTAGAACACCAGTCATATTGAATTAAGGTTGACCCTAATGAGCCTGTTTTAACATCCTTACCTCTTTAAAGCCCTATCTCTAAATACAGTCACACTCTAAGGTAATGTGGGTTAGGGTTTTAATATACGACTTTTTTTTTTGTGGGGGAGGACAATTCAGCCCATAATCCTCATCTTAGGAAGTGGGTTGAGCAACAAAATGTCCAAATGTTAAACCTAACAATTTGCCTTGCTTTTAAAAAGCTCTCCCAGTGGTTCTATTTTCAATCACGTTGTAGGTCAAAATTTAGGAAGATTATAATGCAAAGATTCACCTACTGTGATTGAGAATTGAACCCAATGTCATTTGATGTCTTTTCTACTCATATTATTTGATGATTTTATGTCACTCTGATTAGTACAACGTTACAGATTAAACATAGACAAGGAAACTAGATTTTTGGTCATGTGCCAACTTTAGTTGGCAAGTGCTTTCTGAAGCACTGTAACGAGGAGAGTTGTGAGACCATGTTCAGGCTTTAGGTGGAAAAGGGTCCTAATGTATTATTTATGTTTGCCATAGAATAGGGAGTAGAACAGCTCCGCATGTGCTACGCATGTGTCTTTCTTGTAATAGTCATCTAAACAGAGACTAAACTAACAGTTGCTAAAGAAAGTGTAGTTTCAAACCATATAAACCTTTGGAGGACTCTATTTGGCTTCAGGTATTTTATTTCATCATCCTAGCTAGAATAATGCCCACATTAAAAATGTGACCACTCATTCTCAGGTTCTTCCCCTACTTTACTTTGTGGAATCTCACTTTAGCAACAATTTCTGTGTTTTTCCCACTCTTCTCCAGACCCAAATCTGTCCCACTGGGTCTTTGAGTTCTTCCTGTCCTTATTGTCATGGCTTTTCTCATAATGTTCACTACACCTCTTTCTTTGGATCAACTCACTCTGCCTTCTTACACCTTCTCTCTCATTCTCCCTCACTGATTTTTTTTTTAAATACATGTGTTTAGCTGTATATAACAATCTACCATCTACCTACCAGCTTTGTTATTAGATCCTCAATGGAATCAGTTTGTAAATTCATTCCTTTAAGAAAATAAATTATTATATTCTCTCTTCATGGATTCTTGAACTGGAAAATGTTTTAACCTTACACTCCCATATGTAAGCTCTCCACCATCAATGATAATGTAAAACCTCACTATTATTCTTTATAAAACTAAAAATGCTTAAGCTATTATTTTCGTAATACACCACTAAAACTCACTTTATCCCATGTCTGTTCACTATTTGATTAACAATAATTTAGAGGTGTCAATGAACACTAAATATCATTTTTCAGAGTGTCTATTTTTTTATTGGAATAATCACCCAGATTTTAAAGAGAGTGATTTGGGACATTACAAAAATTAGAAATGACGTTTAAGTATTTGTGTTTTTAAAATTATTTCATGGTTTATCAAACTGTATCAAAGTTCTACTTTTGGGCAACTATTGTGTTGGAAAATAGCAGAAACATTTATAAAATTGAGAAGTAAATAGTTGCTGCTAATACGTATATCCCAAAGTTGAACAATGGATTTGAAAAAGGAATAATATTTTTTCACGATATTCTGATTTAATGTGTTATTGTGCCCCTAAGGAATATATATACATAAAATAAGAGGAAATTTGACTAAAGAAAATATTTTTATTTCAATTCATGAAAAAAGATATCTTTTTAAAAAATTAATGTGCTACATTTTATATTTTGTGGAAGATATTCAGTGTGAAATGTGAAAAAGGAAAATTGAAGTGAGAGTTTGAGTATCATTTACATCACAGGTATTAATTAATATAATTAGAAAAGAATACTTATTAAATTATCCTCAAATCTTATGGTGACTATACTTCTGGCACTTTTTAGAAAAATATATTTTTCAAATATTTTGACTGTTGATTTATAAAAATCATTAAAATTCCATAAACTGGAGTATTTTAATAGCTATAATCTAATTCATTTTCTGCCTTTTGTAGAGAGAAACATCACAGAACATTTTTTATTGAACCAAATATCTAAAGTTTTGGTTTAGAAAAAATGCTCACTGTATATAAAATTTATGTTCACATACAAAAGCAACCATTGACCACCACTATTAGGACTTTAGTTTGTTAGATTTCACTCCAAGAATTGTAATAGAATGGTGCTGATCATGTATTTTAACCCAAGACCCCTTGTGAGTGTGTATATTTACAAGAGAGTTGGTTAGGGTTAAGGATGCGGTCAGTAGTGAAGGAATAAAGCAAATCAAACAATTTCACTTCAAGACCAAATTCCTCATTCAGAATGCTAATCAACTAATCTAGTCAACATAGGTAAATGAGTTACAGAATTTTGAAATATTTAATCAGATTAGTATAGTTATTTGTAATTGATTGTTGCATAAATACTTTAAACTCAATATATCCTAAAATAATTTAGTATTTTCTCTCTAAAATCCAGTTCACCTTCTGTGCTTTTGGTCTCTATAAATAATTTAATGACCAGAACAAGACACACATAAGAGTGAAAAAGGTCAATGCACATAAACATATATACTGGGGCAGTGCATATGAATTTGGACCGTCCTAGGTAAACCAATGGATGGTCCCACTATTTGTGAATAATGTAATCACTTATGCATTTGGCCAAATCAAAATCAGATGTCCTATTTGACTCAGCATTTTATCTCAAATCATATCAGTTAGAAAGATTTGTTGATTTTACTTTATTTTTCCTTGTTCGTTACCCTAGATGAAACTCTCACATCATTCCTCACCTAAGCCGGACTTTGTGCCTCTAACCCATCCAATAACCACCACCAAAGTGATTGATTTGCAAAATGCAAAATAATGTCTCCGTCCTAGTTAAACAAAACATAAATATATAACTGCCTCTTGACAACTCCAGGATAAAGTTTGCAGGTAAAGTTCTGAGAGCTTAATATAAGACCCTTTATGATCCCATTACCTGTGAAATACTTCGTATTCATGGTATACACACATGACCTAACGTAATGTTCACCATTTATGTTCCCCTACAGTTTTCTCTCATGTTGATGCTCTCTTGTGTCCACTTGACTTTCAGGTTCCAACTTTATTTGCACAGAATATTTCCTAACACCACACACACACACACACAGACACACACACACACACTTTTCTAAGCATAAAATAATGGATTCTTCTCTTTTTTTTATTAGACTTTAAGTTTTAGGGTACATGTGCACAATGTGCAGGTTTGTTACATATATATACATGTGCCATGTTGGTGTGATGCACCCATTAACTCGTCATTTAATATTAGGTATATCTCTTAATGCTATCCCTCCCCACTCCCCCCACCGCACAACAGGCCCCGGTGTGTGATGTTCCCCTTCCTGTGTCCATGTGTTCTCATTGTTCAATTCCCACCTATGAGTGAGAACATGCGGTGTTTGGTTTTTTGTCCTTGCGATAGTTTGCTGAGAATGATGGTTTCCAGCTTCATCCATGTCCCTACAAAGGACATGAACTCATCATTTTTTATGGCTGCATAGTATTCCATGGTGTATATGTGCCACATTTTCTTAATCCAGTCTATCATTGTTGGACATTTGGGTTGGTTCCAAGTCTTGCTACTGTGAATAATGCCGCAATAAACATACGCATGCATGTGTCTTTATAGAAGCATGTTTTATAATCCTTTGGGTATATACCCAGTAATGGGATGGCTGGGTCAAATGGTATTTCTAGTTCTAGATCCCTAAGGAATCGCCACATCGTCTTCCACAATGGTTGAACTAGTTTACAGTCCCACCAACAGTGTAAAAGTGTTCCTATTTCTCCACATCCTCTCTAGCACCTGTTGTTTCCTGACTTTTTGATGATCGCCATTCTAACAGGTGTGAGATGGTATCTCATTGTGGTTTTGATTTGCATTTCTCTGATGGCCAGTGATGATCAGCATTTTTTCATGTGTCTTTTGGCTGCATAAATGTCTTCTTTTGAGAAGTGCCTCTTCATATCCTTCACCCACTTGGTGATAGGGTTGTTTGTTTTTTTCTTGTAAATTTGTTTGAGTTCATTGTAGATTCTGGATATTAGCCCTTTGTCAGATGAGTAGATTGCAAAAATTTTCTCCCATTCTGTAGGTTGCCTGTTTACGTTGATGGTAGTTTCTTTTGCTGTGCAGAAGCTCTTTAGTTAATTAGATCCCATTTGTCAATTTTGGCTTTTGTTGCCATTGCTTTTGGTGTTTTAGACATGAAGTCCTTGCCCATGCCTATGTCCTGAATGGTATTGCCTAGGTTTTCTTCTAGGGTTTTTATGGTTTTAGGTCTAACATTTAAATCTTTAATCCATCTTGAATTAATTTTAGTATAAGGTATAAGGAAGGGATCCAGTTTCAGCTTTCTACATATGGCTAGCCGGTTTTCCCAGCACCATTTATGAAACAGGGAATCCTTTCCCCATTGCTTGTTTTTGTCAGGTTTGTCAAAGAACAGATAGTTGTAGATATGCGGCATTATTTCTGAGGGCTCTATTCTGTTCCATTGGTTTATATCTCTGTTTTGGTACCAGTACCATGCTGTTTTGGTTACTGTAGCCTTGTAGTATAGTTTGAAGTCAGGTAGCATGATGCCTCCACTTTGTTCTTTTGGCTTAGGATTGACTTGGCAATGTGGGCTCTTTTTTTGTTTCCATATGAACTCTAAAGTAGTTTTTTTCCAATTCTGTGAAGAAAGTCATTGGTAGCTTGATGGGGATGGCATTGAATCTATAAATTACCTTGGGCAATATGGCCGTTTTCACGATACTGATTCTTCCTACCCATGAGCATGGAATGTTCCTCCATTTGTTTGTATCCTCTTTTATTTCATTGAGCAGTGGTTTGTAGTTCTCCTTGAAGAGGTCCTTCACATCCCTTGTAAGTTGGATTCCTAGGTATTTTATTCTCTTTCAAGCAATTGTGAATGGGAGTTCACTCATGATTTGGCTCTCTGTCTGTTATTGGTGTATAAGAATGCTTGTGATTTTTGCACATTGATTTTGTATCCTGAGACTTTGCTGAAGTTGCTTATCAGCTTAAGGAGATTTTGGGCTGAGACAATGGGGTTTTCTAGATATACAATCATGTCACCTGCAAACAGGGACAATTTGACTTCCTCTTTTCCTAATTGAATACCCTTTATTTCTTTCTCCTGCCTGATTGCCATGGCCAGAACTTCCAACACTATGTTGAATAGGAGTGGTGAGAGAGGGCATATTACTACCTAAGGTTAGACTATCTTTAGTTTTTACACGGAGTTTTCCCTCTCTAAGACCAACTTCTGTCTTTTGTGGAACTTTAACCAACTCTAGTGAGGGATGCTAATTATAGAATAACATTGCCTGATCACTGTGGATTTGTCAAAGGGTAGACATGTAGTCCAACCATGTCAAGCAGTCCATCTTCATAATTTTGTCGACTTCACTGAATAAAGATATTCAGGCCCTATTTGATGATTAAGCTATGCTATGTAAGGTATGGGGCCTACCAGAAGCTGCGTTCCCAAAATGAAGGAATTTGAGAACTGCATTCAACAACACAGAAAGCCATGATGTTAGATACAGAAAAAGTTCTGGGAGTATTCATACTCCTAGTTCCATTTGTCCCTGAGGCCCATACTACCCATGGATACATGGACTTTTAAATAAAAGCCACTCTCTTTTTATTTGCTCAGTGTATTTGTTCATTTATTTGTCTCACTTGGTTTTTCTCAATTGCAAAAATGTCAATAAACAAGAATCACCTGTCCTGATTCTCCCAGGATGAGAAAAGCTTTCTCTGATCTGTGATTCTTTACAATAGTGTACTTGTATCATGCAAGCTTTACTTTAGACAAAGTTCATCCACATATGCTAATCCAGAAACTAAAAATGTTCTCATTTACGATAATACCAAAATAGAAATAACAAAATAATGTCTTTCACAGAATCTTGGATGAAACTAGAGGCTATTATGCCAAGTGAAGTAACTCAGAAATGGAAAACCAAATACTGTATGCTCCCACTTACAAGTGGGAGCTAAGCCATGGGTACACAAAGGCAGACAGAGTGGTATAATGGACATTGGAGACTCAAAAGGGGGAAGGGAGGAAGGGAGAAGAGGGATAAAAAGCTACATATTTGGTACAATGTACATCCCACACGAATGACAGGTGCACTAAAATTGCAGACTTTATCGCTATAGAATTCATCCAGGTAACCAAAAACCACTTGTACTCTAAAACTATTGAAATAAAAAAATAAAAACAACAATAAATAAATAAATAAATAAAGTAATGCAGATAATCGCACTCAATGAACACACATCTTAATGTGTAAGTATAATCCGAATCTTCCTGTGTTTTAGTTCTGGTATACCCCTCAGAGGGATTTATCCTCTTTCGCTGAGGATGATTCCTTCTCTTAAAAATATGATACCAATTTTAAAATTCAAAATAGCTTTAAAAACATACCTACCACCTGAATTTTGGTTTCTAAAAATCATTTGCCAATAAATTAACTGTGGGCTTTTTGGAGAGGTGATTAATTGCAGGAGTGGAGCAGAGAAAATATGAATATCCTGGTTCCAGAAAGTAAAAAAGTGCTCAAAGAAAGATGAGGGCTTGTCAAACAACACAGGGGCCAAACTGAAGGTGCTCTTAATGATCAAAGCTGGAATATTTGAGCATCAAAGTACATAATTAAAATGCTGGATTTTAGCCCATAGAATAAGAGAAATATTCATAAGTCGATACTGACATAAATAAGTAGTCAACTAAGAGAGATGAAATAGCTTTTCTTTACAATACAGTCTCAAATAATAAATGAGGAAAGAAAGAGGGAAATAGAAATCATCATTAAGCAAATACCACAGCAACGATTTTTGAAGACAAGATCCATTGATGGATGCAAATGGTAGCTGGTGAAAATTTGAGGAGAAATTAGATTTCATCATCTCAAAGTATGTCCTCCAAAATATCTATTAACTAAAAAGTGATAGTAGTGTTACAATAGAGGAAGCTCACAGAAGACACCTTAACTAAGTGTCAATAATAACAACACTATTAGTAATATATCATCATCATGAACATTATGATATAATGCACTAAGATTGACACAGCATTATACCTGTGGTATTCTGTTCAGAAAAAGCATTACCACAGTTTAATCATGTGAAAACATAAGACAAATCCAAATTGAGAAATTTGAAAAAAAAAAAACTTATTAGCATTCTTCAAACTATCGAGATACTGAAAGATAAGGAAAGCCCGAGGAGCTGTTGTAAACTACAGGTGACTATAAAGAAAAATACACAAGTTAAATATTGGATTGTGGATAGGATTCTAGAGGAGAGAAGTGCATTGAAGGGCAAATAAAGTTTACCATTTAGTTAATGGTATTGCATCAGTGTTAATCTCCTGGCTTTGAGAACTGTACTATGGGTATGTGACACTACTAGAAGACAGGTGAGAAATAAATGAAAAAGAGCCCAGATGGGATTGTTGGTAAATTCTATCAAAAATTTAATGAAGAAGGGCCTAGCGTGGTGGTTCACACCTCTAATCCCAGCACTTTGGGAGGACGAGGCAGGCGGACCACCTGAGGTCAGGAGTTTGAGACCAGCCTGGCCAACATGGCAAAACCCTGTTTCTATTAAAAATACAAAAATTAGCTGGGAGTGGTGGTGGGCACCTGTAATCCCAGCTACTCCAGAGGCTGAGGCAGCAGAATCACTTGAACCCAGAAGGTAGAAATAACAAGAGCAAAATCCATTAAAAAAAAAAGAAGAAAGTTTGTACCAATTCTTTAGAATAATTTCTAGAAGATGGAAGCAGGGGGAATACTCCTAATTCACTCTTTGAGGTCAGCATAACCCAATACCAAAATCAGACAAAAATGTTACAAAAAGACCGATATTTCTCATGAACACAGGTGCAAGAAAATCCTCAATAAAATATTAACAAATTAAATATAAAAATGCATCAAAAGAATTATATATCACGCCCAAAAAGGATATATGCCAGGCATGCAAGGCTGGTTCAACATTTGAAAACTAATTATTGTATTCCGTCACACCAACAGACTTAAAAAAAAAAAGATATATGGTTATATCA
Organism: Homo sapiens; assembly: GCF_000001405.40. NCBI lineage: Eukaryota > Metazoa > Chordata > Mammalia > Primates > Hominidae > Homo > Homo sapiens. The sequence continues at coordinate 104,110,752 of NC_000001.11, read as the reverse complement.
AAAAAAATGGAGAAAAAGCATTCAATAAAACCCAACACCCATTCTTAATAAAAACTCTCAGAAAACTAGCAATAGAGGGAAACTTTCTTGACTTGATTAAGAACATTACAAATAAACTATAGTTAACATTATATGAAATGGTGAGAAACTAAATGCTTTCAACCAAAATCAAGAACAGGCCAAGCATAACCCCTTTCACCATTTCTATTCAACATAATATTGGAAGCCCTAACTAATGCACTAAGAAATGAAAGGAAATAAAATTATACAGAACTAGTAGGAATAATATTGCCTTTGTTTGACATGACATGAATGTCTATGTAGAAAATCCTCCCAAATCAACAAAAAGGCTACTGGAACTAATAAAGGATTATAGGAAGTATGCAGGCAAGATTAACATATAAGTATGTCATTTACCTTCATATATACCAGCAATGAACATTTGAAATTTGATATTAAAAATACAATATTATTTACATTAGCATCCTCACTCCAACATAAAATACTTAGCTAGAAATCTAACAAAATATTTAAGAGATCTACATCAGGAAAACTACAAACGTCTAATCAAAGAAATCAAGGAATGTCTAAAAAAATGGGGAGCTCTTTCATGTTCATTGATAGGAAAACTCAATTTTATTCCTGAAAACTAATAGGTGTCAGTTTTCATAAATTAGTCTATAGATTTAATACAATCTCAAACAAAATCCAAAAGATATTTTGTCAATATCAACAAATTCATTCTAAAGTTTATATTGAAAAGCAAAACCGAGAATAGCCAAAACAATATTGACGGAGAAAACAAAGTTGAAGAAATGATACCATCCAACTTCAAAACCTACTATAAAGCTATAGTAATCAACAGTGGTGGTGTTGGCAAAACAACAGATGAATAGATTAATGGAACAGCATAGAGAGACCAGAAGTAGACCCACATAAAAGTAGTCAACTGACCTTTGACAAAAAAAAAAAAAGTAAAGGCAATAAAATGGAGAAAATATTGTCTTTTCAACAAATATTGCTGGAACATCTAGACATCCAATTCAAAAAAACAATTTTAACACAGTTTTTAAACCCTTCTCAGACATTAACTCACAATGAAACAGACTTATATGTAAAATGTGAAATTATAAAACTAAAAGATAATATAGGAGAAAGTCAATGACCCTGATTTTGTCAGTAACTCTTTAATTACCACAAAGTTGTCATTCATGAAAGGAATAATTAGTAATTTGTACTTTGTTAAAATTAAAAATGTATGTTCTGCAAAAGAATGATATTTCACCAAGATAATGAAAAGAGAGTCCACAGATTAAAGAAAATATTTGCAAAACATGCCTTATAAAGTACTGGTAACAAAAATATACAAAGAACTTTTAAAACTCAGCAATAAGAAAATAGATATCCCAGCCTAAAACACAGGCAATGTATCTGAACAGATATCTTACCAAAAAAGTTGTAGAGATGGCAAATAAACATATGAAAAGATGCTCACCATCATATGACAGATAATTGTGAATTAAAACAATGAGGTATCACTACACACCTATTACAATGGCTAAAATCCAAAATACTGACAGTATCAAATGCTAGTGTTGTTTCAACAACAAAATGCAACAGGAATTCTCATTTATTCCTTATGGAAATGCAAAATGATGCAGCTACTTTGGAAGAATGACAGTTTCTTACCAAACTAAACATACTCTTACTATATGATTCAGCTATTGCACCCTTTGGTGATTGCCCAAAGGAGTTGAAAATTTATGTCCACATAAAAACCTGTATGTATGTTTATAGCACCCTTATTCATAATTGTCAAAACTTGGAAACAACGGAGGTGTCTGTATTAGTCCATTCTTACACAGCTATGAAGAAATACCTGAGACTGGGTAATTTATAAAGAAAAGAGATTTAATTGACTCTCAGTTCTGCATTGCTGGAGAGGCCTCAGGAAACCTACTGTATTAGTCCGTTTTCACGCTGACATACCCAAGACTGGGCAATTTACAAAAGACAGAAGTTTATTGGACTTTCAGTTCCACATCGCTGGGGAGGCCTCACCATCATGGTGGAAGGCAAGGAGGAACAAATCACATCTTATGTGGATGGCGTCAGGGAAAAAGAGCTTGTGCAGGGGAACTCCTCTTTTTAAAACCATCAGATTTCATGAGACTTATTCACAATCATGAGAGCACAGGAAAGACCTGCCTCCATGATTAAATTACCTCTCACCGCGTCCCTCCCACAACACGCGGGAATTCAAGATGAGATTTGGGTGAGGACACAGCCAAACCATATCACTTACAATCATGTGGAATGGTAAAGGAGAGGCAGGCACCTTCTTCTTCACAGGGTGACAGGATGGAGTGAGAGCGAGCAGGGGAAATGCCAGACACTTATAAAACCAACAGATCTTGAATGACACTAACTCACTATCACAACAAAGCATGGCGGAAACCACCCCCATGACCTCCACCTGGTCCCCTCCTTGACACATGGGAATTTGAGGATTACAATTCAAGATGAGATTTTGGGTGGGGATACAGCAAAACCCTATCAGTATTCTTCAGTAAGGGAATGGATAAATAAACTGTGATACATCCAGACTATGGAATGTTATTCAGTGATAAAAAGAAATGATCTATCAATCCATGACAAGACACGAGGAAATTTAAATGCATATTACTAAGTGAAAGAAGCCTGTCTGAAAGGCTACATACTGTATGATTCCAACTATATGATATTCTAGAAAAGCCAAAACTATGGAGACAGTAAAAAAAGCCATAGTTGCCAGGAGTTCAGAGGCAGAGAGAGGAATAAATAAGCAGAACACAGGATTCTTAGGATGAAAAAAACTGTATGATAATGTAATGGTGAATTCATGTAATTACCCATTTGTTCAAACTCTGAATGTACACCAAGAGTGAACCTTAATGTAAACTACGAACTCTGAATGACAAAGATGTGTCAATGTGGGTTCATCATTGTAACAAATGAACCACCCTAGTAGGGAATATTGATAATCAGAGAGGCTATGCATGTGTGTGGGCAGGGGTTATTATAAATGGAAAATGTATTCTGTTCCTCTGAATTTTGCCTATGTGTGTTCTTTCCAAATTCTTAGATCCTCTTCTTCTATGAACTAATCTGAATCAAACACTTGCCTCCTTGATTCCAACAAAACTGTTCTTAATGTCAATGGCTTACACACTGAATGATCTTATGATTTTCTTGTTTATTTTTCTTACTGAAAGACCATAGGGAATAATCTTGACGTAGCTTCAAAGATGAATTAATTATGAACTAATAAACAGTTTATAAATTTAATTTTTCAGGTGCTTATGTATTTCTTTTAATAATTTGTAATAATAAAAAAGACAGGTAAATGAAAAGATGAATATTAAAAGATAGGCTAACTCATTTTCTCTGTGTATGTGTTTTTTGTTTTTTGTTGTTGTTGTTGTTGTTGTTGTTTGTTTGTTTTTTTTTTTGAGATAAGAGCCTCGCTCTGTCACCCAGGCTGGAGTGCAATAGCGTGATCTCAGCTCACTGCAACTTCCGCCTCCCAGGTTCAAGTGATTCTCCTACCTCAGCCTCCCGACTAGCTGGGATTCCAGGTGTGCACCACCATGCCCAACTAATCTGGGCATTTTTAGTAGAGATAGTTTCACCATGTTGGCCAGGCTGGTCTCAAACTCCTGACCTCAAGCAATCTGCCCACCTCAGCCTCCCAAAGTCCTCGGATTACAGGAGTGTGCCACTGCTCTGGGCTCTCTGTGTATTGTTAAAAAATAAATTGACCAAATCAAAGACAAACCAAAGTTTCTATGTAACATCATAACAATGTTCATAGAATAATATCTATTAATTATATGTATTAAAATTTTAACATTAAAATAAGCATTTTTGCTGGCCTACAGTTCAGATTCATTCAGAACTAGAATTATTAGCTGTAAGTTAAAGTCATTTTGTTTATTTCAGCTCCTTCAAATAAAATGTTATTTTACGCAGAAAAGAACTGAAATTACCTATAGCATGATTGAACTCCCACAGGTTTTATTTATTTACTTATTTGACAATTGCTAGATACCTAAACTAACTCTAGGTGTTGCAGATGGGAGAAAAAGAAGCAGGATGGGGAAATACAAAAGACAAAATAATACAACTTATTTTTGGATAGTGGTTTTCCTCAGTAGCAATAAACTATGTAATTTTTTGTTTTGGAGAATATGGAATTAATTCTGATGTGGATGTAATATTGGATGGAAACTTCTATTTTTGTTAGCATAGAAGTCTAGATATCTTTTAAAATGTCATATATGACAAAACACTCAAAAATATATAGTGTTATATGTGGTGAATATTCTTTGTAATTCATAGATGAACACATAAAAGATAAGGGCAAAGGAAGATCTCACGGGTTTATAAACAAACCGAACTTTAAAAACCAAAGTGAAAAAGTAGTACAGATAATTAACCACCATGGGTGCATTTGCCAGTCTTCAAGTAACATAACAGTTTTAGTGAGAGTCTTTTAGTGGAAAACTCCCTTTTAGGGAGTTGAAACTAAAGTACATGCCTCCTTCTCTACCACCATTTTAAAAATGAGAAGATTGAATGCTCTAACGATAAAATCTTTAGCGAAAGGGTAATACAGAAAAAAAAAATTCTGCCCATATCACATAGGAGTGCCATGAATACTTTATCAGCTCAGGCTGAATATTATCTCCTAAAAGTTTACTTAGAAATTTACATGAAAAGAGGTTTTGCCATATAGCTGTTAATTGGGTGCCTGACAGAAGCAAATCCAAATATTTTCTGAAAGGATTCATTCTTCAATCCAGGCAGCAAGAAAATAAACAACAATAGCAGCCACAGAATTAGATGCCTCGATATTGAGACAATGTATTATCAGATATAGACGGTGTCTTAGTCCATTTTGTGCTGCTATAACAGAATCCCACAGACTGGATAATTTATAGTGAACAGAGATTTATTGGCTCACAGTTCTGGAAGCTGGGAAGTACAATATCAAGGTGCTGGAATCTGGCTAGGGCCTTCTTACTGTGTCATCACGTGATGAGATGCATCACATGGCAAAAAGGCAAAGAGAGAGAGCAAGATGGGGCTAAATGTGCCATTTTATAATGACACCGATCCCACTCATGAGGGTGGAGCACTCGTGAACAAATTATTCTCTTAAAGATGCCATCTCTTAATATTGTTACAATAGCAATTAAATTTTAAAATAAATTTGGGAAGAGCCAAACATTCATACCATAGTAAACTGAAAAATGAAATAAGTAAAGTGATTAAAGAATTAACAATTGGAATGAAACACATGGGAAATAAATGTGATACTACAATAAATAAAATAAAAGATGAGGAAGAAAAAACAGAGATAAATTTAAAAAGTGAAAACAGAAGTTAGGACAAAACAGAAGAGAGCTATTAAACCAAAAAAGAAAACTAAATAATGAATTGGAATTTAGCATAGAGAAAAATTAAATATAGAAAAGAATTGCCTAAAAACACAAAGTATAGAATGAGAAGATCCAAAAATTAATTAATAGCATTATGGGAAAGGAATCAGAATGTTAAGAAGATTATATTTGAGGAATGTCTGAGAATTTTCCAGAATCAACGAAAGACATAATGCCTCAGATTCAGGAAACCCCATGCAAGATAAAGAAAAGCGATTCACACATTAAAAACACCATACTGAAAGAGCACAATATCCAAGAAAAAAAAGTTAAAAGCAGACACGAGGAAAATATATTATACAATGCAAAAATTTAAATGCGATGTCAACAAAAATATAGATACAAAATTATTTCTCAAGGTGATAAGAGAAAATATCACCATACCATATCACAGAATTGATGTAGAGCTGAGTTTTTCCTTCAGAATAATGAAGAAATAAAACAATTGTAAGACAAATGAAACCTGAAAGGATTGAACCATGACAGACCTTTAAAGAAGGAACTTCTAAAGGATAAACTTTGAGAATAAAGAAGGAAGTAGTGAGGAGTGAAAATGAAAGTGACAGAGGAGAATGATAAACACATATAAATATCTAGATTGATAAACACTTACAAAATGCAATTCTGATCAAAATCTCAATGTAGACTTTTAGGAAACTTAATAGAATGACTCCAGAATTTCTTGAAAGCATAAAATGTCGGGAATATTCAGAACACTTATAAACTACAGTAATTAAGACAGTGACATACTGAAAGATATAGACTAAAGAAATAAAATACAGCACCCACAAACCAATCTATGCATATATGCAACTTGGAATAAGCCAGAATTGACAGATCAAATCATTGATAAGTCAGAAAAAAATAATTAACTGAAATAGATAAAATTGTATTTGTACCTCATATAAACACAGGAATATCCTTCCATAGCAATACTATTTGCAGTAGTAAAAACCTAGAGTAAACCCAAATAGGAATAGATAACCATGCAGAGGGGAAGAATAAATTTACAAACACACACACTCACAACTATTATAAAGCAGTCAAAGCAAATGGACCAAAACCACATGAGTATGTGATTCCTGTAAAAGGCACATTATATGAATAAATGTTAACATTAACAGAAGTTAAAAAAAGTCCAAAAGAATACACGGAGTATAATTTTTATATAAATTAATATAATTATAATTTAAAAATATACTCCATAGTAATACAAATATGTGCAATAAAACTATGGTGTAAAGAAAGAAAGGAGTTAATAGACTTAAGATTCAGGATGGTGATTACTTCAGATGAACTAGAAATAATCTGCATCTAATTATAGGGCACTTTCACCATGCTTTTGCCCTATCTCATTAGTGGATGCAGCATGTTTTACTTGACTAGTTTCTTTTGAATCCCTTTGCCAATTTGTTACTTAATATTCTGCTCATTAGGCAAAATGAAAATCGTTTTATTTACCAGGGGTGTTAAGTTCACTTGTACTTACAGATATAATTGATAAAATTGTCCTCTCTTCTGTGTTAATGATTTTATATAATCTTTCATTATGTAGTTTATTTATTTACTTTATTTTTATATTTAGGAAGATTTTTATTTTTATTCAAAAATTTACTTTCATATACATAATTATATGAAGCCAAAGTTTTTCTCTCTTTATTTCTCATTATCTATTGATACCCTATTATGAACAATAAGGAAATTAGCTATTCACCAATTCTTTCCCCTCTCCTTCCTTTCCCATGCCATATTATGTTGTTAAAAATTTCCTGTTAATTAAAATCATAAGGAATTAAAACATTTATTCTACTTTGCATATGATCCCCCCACACTTTCTTCTTATTTTTGATGGTTATATTCTTTTTACCTTATTAGAGTATATAGCCATTTCATATTTTCTTTTTTAACCATTATTATGACCACTCCACTCTTTTTTGTAATCATTATTTGGTATTGGTTCTGAAAGAAAATGTATTTTTATGTTTATCATCAGTATTTATGTTGATGTCTATTCTGGCATTTGGCTATCTAATCTTATTCTTTAATAGATTTTTCAGAAAGTGCTTATAAAAATATTTCCCAAGGAAATGACTGTGGGAATACCCTTGCCTGAGTCCTTGTATATTTATCACAGTGTACACATCTTTATATTTGAAAAGTAAGTTGGCTGAATATAAAATTGTTGGCTTACATTTTTCTCTCCTAGAGTACTGAATGTGCTATTCCATTGTCTTCTGGCATAAGATTATTGTTATCGAAAAGTCTAATAATAATCTAATTTCCCTCACTTGCAAGGGACTTTTCTTAGAGGCCTCCAAAATATTTTTCTTTTCTTATAATCTAGTAGTTTTATCAGAATGTCTGTGTTTATTATTCCATTTAAATTATCCTAAATATGTAGTATGCTATTTCAATATTTCATTCAACACCTATTTTTATAAAAAAATTAGTTTACATTTAAAACTTGAACATTTTTAAGAATTTATTTTAATGTACCTTTATTTTAAATATATTTTTAAATTGAAATTTAAAATTTTAATAATTTTTCTATGATACTGATTTTTACTTCTTTGAGTACTCCAAACAGAGCTAATTTTTCCATTTCTAATTGTAAATGAGTTTAAATCAATCCAGGAAGTAATATTACATGTGAGATGAATAAAATATTAAGGCATTGTGCCTACCTAATAAACTTCTCTTTCAGCCATCTACAGAAACTTTTGCAAAACTCCCTCATCAGTTGCTCACCTTCCCATCTGGTGGCTTCTTTTGTATTATCGTTCTACGTTATTTCATTTCTAATGACTTTGGTTCTGTTGACTATTTGTTTCTCAAGGTTCTGTTTTTATTTAGATTATCCAAGTGTTCTCTCCTCATTCATCTTCTATATTTCTCAATTGTTCTTTTTACTCTTTCTCTAGCCCTTAAGTGACTGACTCCCTAGAGTTCGGTCTCATTTACTTTTCTTTTTTGTTGCATATATCACACTGGGATAGTATCTTATCTGCTCCTAATTTTTTAGCTATGTTCTGTCTGTTGAAGATTTTCTAATTTATTTCATGCTCCAATATGTATTCTCAACTGCTTATTAAGTACTGTTATTCTAATAACACCCCCAACATAATATATTCTTAATACATTTGATTACATTCCTCAAATTACAAATCTCCTTTTTAAATTTTATTTGCATCAAAGATAATTTTGCATTCATCTAAAAAATAATATTTGACTCCACTTTTTCCCTTTAATTCATATCCAATTAGTCCTTGATTGCTTTAAAAATACTTCCTGAATATATTTATTAAAATCTGCACTACGACTACCTTTAATTGAGACTTTCCAAATTGCCTACTTCCTAACTGGTCTCCCTGCTTCACATGTGTACTCTTTCAAATGACATATTCTCCACAAAATCATAATATGAAAGGTGTAACTCAGCATAGCATTCTCCAGCTTTCAAACACCTGGTGGCTACCCATTGCATATAACAATTATTATCAATTTATTTTAAAATCTTTTTTAACAATGCCTCTATATAATTTGCTCTGCAATGATATCTCCAGATAAAGAAAGAGTTTCTCTGGCCTAAGAAGGGAGGAGCTTGTTAGAGGGTGGAGGGCTCAGAGTTGTGCCCACTGAATCTTCCTATGCCCTACCTCCTGGGGCACCACTGAAAAATATTAAGAATTCAAGATAGAGGGTATGAGAACTCTTGGCCAAAAGCCTCAGACTTTTTAGTATGTTATTGAAGACACTGTTCAAACTAATTCTCCTTATCTACTCTGGTTTTAACATCCCCACATCACTGATCCTAAACGTTTGAAATCCCAATCTACTCACATTTTACCAAATACGTTGTGTATTTTCCTGAATATTTTATTGTGCTTATTCTTCTGCTTTTCTCCCTTTCTATTCTTAACAACTTGTATTCATCTTTTAAAGACCAGTTTAAATATCCCCTCTTCTTTGAAGTCTTCCCACAAAACAACTTAAATTTTCCTTCTATGTACTATTCTCTGAGAGTACTTTGCACAAACATTTCCCACGTCACTGATCATCTTGTATTATCATGTGTGCATCTGTTTAGCAGAATATGAAATCAAGTCTATGTCAGATTGGGCCGGGCACGGTTGCTCACGCCTGTAATCCCAGAACTTTGGGAGGCCGAGACCGGCGGATCACAAGGTCAGGAGATGGAGACCATCCTGGCTAACAAGGTGAAACCCTGTCTCCACTAAAAATACAAAAAAAAAAAAAAAAAAAAAAAAGCCAGGCGTGGTGGCAGGCGCCTGTAGTCCCAGCTACTCAGGAGGCTGGGGCAGGTGAATGGCGTGAACCCGGTAGGCGGAGCTTGCAGTGACCGGAGATCGCGCCACTGCACTCCAGCCTGGGCGACATCACGAGACTCTGTCTCAAAAAAAAAAAAAAAAAAAAAGAGTCTATGTCAGGCTGAATATTACCTAGATATTTGCAATGTGTCACACAGCCTGCAAAATTTAGCTGTTTAATATAAGAACTGACAATGAGGTATAGAATAAAATAAAAATTAAGTATTCATGATCTATTTACTTTACATTTTGTTGCTTTTTCACTCTATTTTACACACTCTCCTATCCAGCCACAGTGGTCATCTTGTCACATGCCTGGAGGTTTCTTTCATGTTCATTTTGTGGCATATTGTTTTCTAATGATGGCTACAATGTCTTTCATCTCCTATATTATTCTAGAACCAACAAACTACAGCCTACAGACTAAATCCACCTAGATTTGAATTGCCTGTTTGCTTTTTTTTTTTACTACCCACAACCAAGATTTTTGTATTCTATTGAAAAATAATATGTGAAAGGGATTGCATGTGGCCTGCAAAGTCTAAAATACGCACTCTTTGATCTTTTGCAGAGAGTTTGCCAGCTTCTGTTCTAGAAACTTGAGACTCCCTTCAAGGGTGGAGTCTAATTCCTTTCCCTTGAATCTGGTAACTTTATTACTTCCTTGTAACTATAGAATGTGACTGATGTGACACTGCCTAATCCCCAAGGCTAAGTAAGAAAAGGCTATGAGATGCTCCCCTTGCTCACTGAAGCACCGCCCTGAGGCTGCCACATTAGGAGGAAAATAAAATATGAGAAAATAGCTACCACAAGGTAGTGCTTTTTTTGGATTGTGTATTTAACAATGCAGTTAGGCATTAATTATCCATCTGTGCCTTATCAATTAAAATATTACCTATTTGTTGTTTTAAACATTCCTGTTAAAATTTGATAGCTATAATGTTGAGTGAAGAAAGTCACATGGAAAACAAAAAAAAAATGCTATATGATTCCATTTCTATAAAGTTCAAGAACAGGCAAAAATAATTTCTGTTGTAGGTCAGGTTAGTGATTACCCTGGGAAAAGGTGGTAATTCAAAGGATGAGTTACTACCCTATGAGAGGAACATCTGGGTGGCTAGTAATGTTCTATTTCTTGATCTGAGTAATGGTTACATGGGTGTGCACTTGTGGAAATTCACTGAGCTGTCTACATGTGACCTGTAAACTGTGTGATGTTATACTTCAATTTTGAAAGTGTCTATTTTTAAGCATCAATTACTTATTATTATACATTAATGTTAAATGAAATATGCTTCTGTATCAAAATGTAAAGAAATTAAAGCATACAAAAAGATTAGGAAGAAAAAGGATCTAAAAGATCATATAACAAACACAATCAATTTTATATAAATGAATATTTTGATATCTCAAGATGCTAACCATTATTACAAAGTCATGGAGTAATTTAGGAGTAGACTTAGGTTGTTGTATTACCCATAGTATATATTGGTTCTGAACATACTTATAATTAATATTTATGCTTCTAGTTCTTGCAGAAACAGCCTGGGCTTTTTTTTTTTTTTAACTTTTATTTTAAGTTCAGTGGTACACATGCAGGTTTGTTACATAGGTAAATGTGTGTTATGCGAGTTTGTTGTACAGACCATCTCATCACCCAGGTATTAAGTCTAGTACCCATTAGTTATTTTTCCTAATCTTCTCCCTCCTCCCACTCTCAAACGTCCAATAGACCCCAGTACCTGTTGTTCCCCTCTGTGTGTCCATGTGTTCTCATCATTTAGCTCCTACTCATAAGTGAGAACATGCGGTTTTTGGTTTTCTGTTCTTGTGCTGTTTGCTAAGGATAATGGCCTTTTTTTTTTTTTTTTTTTTTTTAATTCACTGCTGACACAGCAACTTTACAACAGCTTTGACGTCAGAAAATCCTTTTGATTTTACAGGAGACCTTGTAAGTACCAATAGTTAAGAGATCCTCTAACTCTGCTGAAAAGTCACCATCTACTGGTTATTTCCCATTAAAGAGGTGTGAAAGCTGAGATATCAGCCTGTTTTCTCTCTGCAGGCATCAAGCCTTCATTAGGTATTTTTCCTGGCACATAAGCCAGGACTTCATCAAACTACATCCCACTGGGTGCAAAGAACGTTCTAAAGTTTCCAAAGCGAACTATCTTTTCCAATGACTCCTCTGTCCTTTTTCTCATTTCTGGGTCACTTTCAACATATTCCTTACAATACATGGTGAATAATCAGCCAGCTTCTCTGACCACCATGCGCCGTTAATCAGAATGGCTCCAGCATGCTTCTGCTTTGTAGTTGTCTGCTGTCTCCCCACTATGCCTTTTGGCTAGGTACCATTACCTCTCATCAATAAGCCATTTAAAGTGCTATTTTTTATATTAGAACTTGGCAATTTAAGTTTTCTACCTTATTGATTTTGATTTTTTTGTTTGACTAAAAAAAGTAACATTCCCATAGAAAAAAAATTGGAAATACAGAAATATTGTATAATAATATTGAAATAATCATAATAACTAGAATTTATCAAGAGATTACTCTGACATATTTTACTAATTCATTTACACATATTAATACCTATATACTCATGTCTTACCTAATCTCACAATAACCAACCAAGGCACACAAAGATACTGTTAAAAATGAAGAATCTGAAGCAGAGAACTTGAACTGCTCCCCTCAAAATCACATGGCTAGTGAGTGGCTGAACAGCAAATTGAATCTAGATCTTCTGAATACAAAGCCCTAAATCTCTCTTCAGTCTGCTGTCCAAAAATAACAATTGTTGATGCTGCACTGTTTTTTTCTCATATGATGAATACATATAGCTCTGAAAATTTTCTTCTATATAATCAGGATTATTCTATAGACAACACTTCCAACCCTGCTATTATCACTCAACATTATATTATAACCATTTTATTATCTCATTAAAATTAAAAATCTCTGCAATCTGAATTTCCTGGACTATACATTTAAACAATTTTTATAAATCTCAATATTTAAAAATGATTTATTTGTCATATATGTTACATAAGGATTTCAGGTGAATTGTGGTTGTGTTGGGCTTTGCTTTGGTTGACCGAGACTTGGCTTTATATACATTCCCAATCCAGAATCTAGGCTGAAGCAGGTGCTTCTATCTCAGAAAAGTGCTGATGAGGGAGTGCTAGAGCAAGAGGACCCCAGTAAAGCCATTTCAGTTACAATTAAATCTTCGGATCAGATTTGTCAAAAGTCCCAAGTGTTCATACTGAATTGGCAAATGTATGCCACATGGCCAATCCCAAATTCAGTGGTACCAGGAAGCATGACAAGTATGAAGAGGAAACGTATAATTTTAAACTAATAATACAATCTAACATAACATTAACTTCCATACTTCAGGCAAAATATATACTTATTCCATCCCCAAGCCACTTAATGCCTCATCTAAAACTTTGAAAAGGCTTAAAAACCAAGACTTTTAATCCAAATTAGATGCTGTTAGGGTTTTTCTTGAATCAAAGAACTTCTAATTAAAAAGAAAAGCTATCTGATCCCCTATATATCCAAAGTACAGTGAGGGAACAGGGACAAGATAATTACAATGAATATTCATATAGAAGCAAGGAAAATAAATATTTACAGTAATCACCAGTTTTTGTGAAATTCTGAAATCACATTGGACAAATAGGAGATTGCCCCTAACCTTGTATAGGTAATGCTTCCTGATCAAGCTCCAGTTCTGTTCCCTAGAATTGACTATTCTATTCTTTGTTCTCCAGGGAACTTGGCTTTTTCTTTGAGGATATTCTCTTTGGTCATAGCTTCAAAAGGCATTGAGGATGTGCCTACCTTATTATTGAATAAATTTCTCAGTCTTTTTCTACCCATAGAGGGCTGAGAGACTAAGGGACATTTTATGTCAAAAATATTTAGTCATTTTCATCAAGATACACAGCACTTTTGACAATGCAATGCTCAAAAATTTTGCTAGCATTTATTTCTTTGATTCCAGTCAGCTTTATGTGCCAATACCCACATCTGCAATTCTTTCTGAGACAGGGGCTTTCTCACACTCTTTTTAGACGTAATTATAAATTATTTCTGTTTATCGGATGCTATAGACTAAATTGTGCCCCATTCCCAAACATTTCTATGTTGAAACTCCAATGTGATGGTATTTGGAGTCGTGGCTTCTGAAGCTGATTAGGTTTAGATGAGGCCATGAGGGTAGGGCTCTCATGATGAGATCAGTATTTTTAAGAAAAGAAACCCTCTTCTCTTAAGGTCACTCTCTTTGTTATGTGAGGAAACAGTGAGAAGGTGGTCATCTGCATGCAAGCAAGAACCTCACCAGAACCTGGCTGTGATGGCACCTAATCTTGGACTTCCAGCTTCCAAAACTGAGAAATAATCTGTTTTTAAACCACCCAGTTCGGTAATTTGTTATGGCAGCCTGAGCTGACTAATACATCAAGCTTCCACAAAACCACAAAGGTGTACTCCCATCTGTAAGAAATTTTGTCCAAAGGAAATTATTTTTCAGGGTTACTTGATACAATCAGACTTAAGAAAAGTTTTGACACTTGTGCTTTTTATTTAGTCTTTGTCTCCAGGTTATGTGTCCGTGGGCACACCTTGATTTGGATTTTATCTTTAGCTTTGACCTCGATTTGAGAATCTTTTACCAACTGGAGATGAAGGATAAATGTTTTTATCAGCCCTGAAAAATCTCTAAATATGTTCCCTTCTTTCCCTACTTCAAAACTAACCATTTTTTTCCTGAGCTTATTTCTTACTTGGTTTACCTTTTCAAGTAGAACAAATACTGGCCAACTCAAACTGCCAACATTTTGCTCCAAAACTTTACCTCTAAACCTCAAAGTTTATTAAGTACATCTTCTCCCTTGTAAGTGATCATTTTACCAAGTATTTCGCTACAGCATCCCGTGGTCTCTCTTTTTCCAGCATACTATTTTAGTGTCCTCACTGCCTTCCTCCAGCCTGTAGCAAATGCCACATACATTGGTGTTTTGTTTTAGCAGCACGCCATTGCTTGGATACCAAATTCTATATTCAGGTTTCTCTAGGTTAAACTGGAAGAGGGGTACTAAAAATACTTGTGGTTTAAAACAACAAGTAATTATTTCTTATTAACATTGAATGAGGGTTAGTGGGAGACTCAGGCTCATCTCGGCTCTACTGGATGAAGGAGAAATGGGAACGGTTGCTTCAAGTTGTGCCTGAAATGAGCCACTTTCCTAGATTTGTATTGTGTGAACTAATACATCCTCTCGTAGCTTAAGCTAGTTTGGGCTACCTTTTCTGTCACATGTTCCTAAAAGAACCTATCTGCTTTATTAAGGAATTTGACCTTTATCCTAAGAGCATAGCAGACATGGAAAGCTTTTTCTTTAGAGAGATAACATATAAACTGCATTTTGAAAAAGTTATTCTGCCAGCAGGATAGAGAAAGAATGAGGGAGAGCCAAAGTTGTAGGCCAATGGCAGAATCCAAATCGTAGAAATTTTAGCTTTGAATAGAGTGGCAGCACTTGGGAAGGAGATATGCTCAGATTTAAGATACTTAGCAGTTAAATGAGACAAGAATTGGTGTAAATTGGATATATAGGTGAGGAAGAAAGATTCAAAGGAACACAGGACTTGTGTTTTCTTGTAACAGGATTTATAGTAGGATCAGTTAATAAGATAGAAAACATTGAAACAGGAGCTATTTTTTTGTTAGAGGATAATGAGTTAGTTTTTAAACATGTTAAATAGTATGTGCCCTTGAAACATGAAAGTGGAAGTATTGAGTATACAGTTGAATACTTGAAACTTTAAAAAAGAAGTTGGAAATATAAATCTGTGAGACTTTACCTAAGTTCGTACATAAATAAATTCTCAAAGGCACTTAACCTGCTCTGTGAGCATTTTAGAATCTCTCTTTAGATAATAAAAAAATTAGAGTTGGCAGCTATATCATACGTTTAAAACTTCTCTCTCCTCAACAAGTTTGTACACTCCTAGAGGACAGGAAATTTACTTCCAGCATCTAACATCATGCTTGCACTTCGTGAGAATTTAGTAAGATTTATTTCATGAGTACGTAAACCAAAAATAAAATTCTAAGCCCCTCACCCATGTGAATGGACCCCTCCTGTGGTCCAAAGACATTCCAAAGTTGTTAACCTGGAAAACTAGTTCAAGCCATAATGGGAAGGGGGAGTCAGACATGCCTCATTATACCCACTATCCTTTTGAAATGTGGGCACAACTGACCAGCATTAACATCAACACAAAGACCTTCAGGCTGATATAACAGATTATTTTTGTCTGATAATAAGTATTTAGATGATAACTCTTTTAACCAATTGCCAATTAGAAAATCTTTGAAATGCCTATGACCTGGAAGTCCCTGCTTCGAGCTGTCCTGCCTTTCCAGATGGAACCAATATACATCTTACATGTATTGATTGAAGTCTTACGTCTCCCTAAAATGTGTAAAACCAAGCTGTAGACTGGCCACCTTGGGCACATGTTCTTATGATCTCCTGGGGCTGTGTAATAGGCCATTGGTTACACATATTTGGCTCAGAATATATCTCCTCAAATGTTTTACAGAGTTTGACTCTTTTTGTCAACAACTGTATGAGTATTAAACAGTATCATCTAACCAGGATTTCAGCTTGAGTATTTTTTATTTTCCTGTGATTTTAAATGGGGCTTTTAAAGTTTCTTTATTCCAACTCTCACCCATGTCTCAATCTATCTGCTTTGCTTTTTTCTTGTTCATCTAGTCACACGTACCTTCCTAGACACCTAATGAAAGACCAAAAGAATGTTTTTAAATATATCTTTTCCACACAATTTTTGTTCCATGTGATTATTTTGAAGCTGTGAAACAAAAATAAAATTCTAAGTTTACCAACCAACTTAACGGACCCTCCTTTTGGCCAAGAGCATTCTAAAGTAAACTTGAAACACTAGTGCAGGCCATGATGGGAATAGGTGGTCAGACAGGACTCATTATACCTTTCTCCCATTGAAATTCAGACACAGCTGATCAGTATTAATGTTAAAACAGAGATCTTAAACCTGATAGAACAGATTCTAAGTCTGATAAGAAACACTTACAATCTATTCTCTCTGAAGCCTGCTACATGAGGGCTTCATCTGCGTAATGAGAACCTTAGTCTCTACAACCTCTTATCATAACCCAGACACTCACTTCTATTGACTCCATTCCTTTAAATAAACTCTTTCAACCAATTGCCAATCAGAAAAATCGTTGACTCCACCTACCCCCACCAACTCCTGGCTTCAAGTTGTCCTGCATTCCCATATCAAACCAAAGTACATCTTACATGTATTGATTGGTGTCTTATGTCTCCCTCAAATGTATGAAACCAAACTGTAACTTGACCACCTTGGGCACATGTTGTCAGAACCTCCTGAGGATGTTTTGCAGGCATGTCCTTAACCAATTGATTGAGACTTGTCTCAGATACTTTTTGGTTTACAAAGCAAAGTAATAGTTTAGAAGTAGGAGATGGAGAAGAGTCTACTTGTCTACCTGATTTATAAACACCATTTCTCTTAACTACATATTTTATTCCTCAACTTACAATTCAGACTTTTGGGAAAAAAAAAACAAGTATTAGGGGTGGATTACATATTTGCAAAACTTAATCAGTTTTATGGGGAGTTATATTTCAATTTTCATAAATACTTGAAATGAACTGGAGGAATGTTAAGATGTGTCATCACTTATCCACTTTACATTTTTCACAAATAGAGAGTCTGTTCCATTTATATAGCAGAAGCATCTGCTAGATGACTAACAAAAAAGCAGATTAACTCAAAGAGTAGCAGCAACTACTTTGCTTACCATTTATTGCCACAGCTGCAATGTGAACTGACACATCCAGGGACTTTACCTCACAGATAGAACAGCGAAGTCCAAAAGAAGCTAGCCAACCAAATAAGAGTTACCTTAAACTAGCCTCACTGCAGGTTCCTTTCTGCATATCTTCCCACAGCAGAATGGCCCTTTACTGCCAAAACCAATGCAATCATTTGTCATGCAAATGCTACATTTCTGGATGCCAAAGAATGAAAAGACAATGACACCTGGAACCACAATATACTCACCAAAGGCTCATTATAAAATGAGATCATGTTGGAAAACATGCAGGTGTTCATATCCAACAGCTTTATCCAAGGAAATAAAATGATTGGGCATTGAGCCATAGGTGCTTGTTTTGTTTTAGCTCTTTCTTCCTTTTTTTTTTTTAAACTACCTAGTGGCATATCAGATACAGATAGGCTGTGTTTTCAGGGTTTCATTGCCATATAAATCCTTTTTTGTGGAACTAGAAATTGCAACAGAATAGATTTCTGACCACGCTAATATTATAGAAGGATGGCACTTACAAATGACTAATTTATTCACTACCATGCTGTTAAAATAAATCCTCATATAGTCAACTCAGCTGCACTGATCTCCCTACTTCTTCAAGAGATTTGGAAAATTCAATCTAACCTTAAATAAATGAGCTTATTCTCTGTTAATAGCATTCCTTCATTTCTCACCCTTCTGTAGGGTATAACTCTACTTTAAACAAGGTATGCATATTATGCCAGTTCCTTCAAAAATCTGCTGACTTCAGCCTGCTGCCAACTCCCCAGTAATTCTTCAAGCCATGCTTATACTCAACATTACACTTACCAAATGAAATGACCTGATGGTCACTGAATACCCAGTCAGGCCCAAAGGAAGTTTCTCTGTTTTCTCCTCTAATGCACAGTTTCCAGGGGCATGGGTGTTCATTCACTTGGGCCTGTCAGTCCAGCTGTTCAACAAGGCCAGTATCTTTCTTTGAGGGGTCTCTCTGACCCTTTGAACTGCCAAAGCTTCATATAGGTCTATGTCACCCCAGATCAAGGCAAGAAGAGAGAAAAGGATGCGGTCAGGGAGAGTAGGTTTCTCTTTGGTACTGTACTCATTTAGAGGACCCCTCACCCCCGCAATGCATTTTAGAGCTAAATAAGACTTTTCTTTCAGTCCCCTTTATTCCCGGGACCCAGATATAGATCCAGGATAGCTAGTATGGACTCTGAAAGCAGCCAACACTCTCAAGATTCTTGCCTGAGGTTTTGTATTTTATTATAAGGTTAACACCATCATCCCTGGCTCTTTCTTCCTTAGGACAAGTTCCTTAGTGAGATGCTCCTGAATCCCCTGCTATAAGTTTTCCAGTTCTATCTAAAATCTGACATCAATTTATAAATTCAATAAATATTTATTGAATCCCTATCATTTTCTAGACATTTCAAATAAGTCTTTGAATACTCATAATAATTTATGTATGGATTTTTGTATGATAAAAAAAGTATTGTCTTATGTGGCTGTTAGAAACAGAAGCCTGAAGAAGAATTTACTTAATTACCTTTTAGCAAAAAACCTAGACATAACAATGAAATAACAAATTAACTCCCAATATTGTGTTTTAGCTCACATGTAATTTGTGTGTGTGGCACGGGATGTTGAAATTTTCTGAGTCTAGCGTATGCCAAAACTTCCCTGATTTTCCCACTCCAACCAGATTTCCTTTCCCAAAGGAACATAAAAGCAAACTGCACACTGACTATTCTTACTAAACAGATTCTCAACAGCCTCATCAAACCTCCAATATATTCCATGCCATCATCTTTATTACAGGTGGTGAGTGATGAGTCTCAGCTTATAAAACTGCCTTCAAAATGTATTTGAATATCATTCATAGGTCATCTGGCATTTCACTGAAGTATATAAGGATGTTTTGCAATTACTAAATTGACTTTTGGAGCATCTGCTAAAAATCTGAGGCAAAAATGAAAATTTGTGTTACATGCTATCACAATATTTTTTTTTTTTGCCCTCCTCCACTTTACTAATATAACACAGTTGAGGCAGTTGTCCAGGAGAGCGAAGCTAATGTGGGGTAAATCTGGGCCTTATTTCTGTAGTACAAGCACTTAGGATCCACTGAAGAAAGAGCAGTGATGGACTTAGTTTCTCACTAACTTCTTTCTTACCACTTCTCTGTTACTATTTCGCTGAATAATATTTAAGATGCCTTTCCCTCATCAGTCAAATTAAAAAATTTCCACTTCCTGGGTCTTTCTTACCCTTTTTTTTTCAATAATGAAAAACATAGCATAGATGTGGTATGCAGGAGAGAAAGGAGAATAATAAAAGAACATAATGCAATTCATAACATTAAAATATTATGACAAAAAGGAAGCTTTCAAACTAATCAAACAGTGACTTACTGTTTGCTATTCATCAGCTTTTTCCTATTTTATTTGCTTTTGAATGATTCTCACATCAAATCTTCTTTTCCAACTCATCACTATACTGAAAAGATTAATGTAGGTGAAAGCCTGCAAAACTATTTCATCTAGATACGACATGGGTCTTCTGCTCCAGGAGCCTTTACATTTTTAATTAAAAACTGTAAAATATTATCAATTCTACACCTCTCACATTAGTACCTGTCCAAGAAATAAAAAAATACAGTATTGAAACAGTGCATCTTATAGAAATTAGCAGATATACAATAGATTATAAATATATTTCCTTCTTTAAATAAAGTAGAGCTGTGCAGACCTTTATTAAACTTGACCGAAAGAAAAATAATATAAAAACTAGTCTCGTCACTGAAATATTTCCAAAAGTAGATCAGAATGAAATTCTTATGCCAGTGCTCCTTATTTAGTGCACACATTCAGCTAGAGAACTAGACTTCTTTAAAAGTATAGCTTGTTGCATGAACTCTTCTACAAAGAAAGAAATATCTAAAGATTTAATACAGGTTTTTAGGGTGGATAAACTTCCAAGACAGCAAATAGTTATTCTCTGATTATTATGTTTTAAAAATAAGGTTAAATGCAGAAGTATTTGCTATTTTTATTTCTTTCCAGAAAGGTATCATTCTCACAGCAATCTAGTTAATGGCAGAGTAGTGGACAAAACAAATTGAGGCAATGTACATCTGTGGAGAAAACCTGGCAGTAAATATCATAAAAACAGCAATTCACTTTTAGATACCACTTTATCATTTACAAATCATTTTCTGTTTTTAATCTTGCATTCTTAAACTACATATTATCATCCTGACTTTACAGCCTAAAAAGAATACAGCTCAAAGAAAGTAAGACTTGCCCAATTTTACATAACCATTTAATGACAGAGCTGGGACTCCAACCCAAATTTTTGTCCCACCTCAAAGGCTCTTTTTTGCTATACTACACCCACTTTAGGTAGAATCCTAATTACATGATTAGGAAAGGGGATAAATGGAGTTTTTAATTGGCTAACTCAAAAGGTATTAAAGATGAATAGGTCCTTGTGAAAACCTCTAAAACATTTGAACTGGTCAAAAAGATTAATGTCAATGGAAATGCAAGAATTTTCTAGCAGATCCTTGTAAGGATATCTAATTCTATAAAGGTCTGAGCTTTCTCTTGGATGCAGTCTTAAAATTTTGTAAGCTATAAAAAACTAATGGTAAAACAAATAATTCTTGTCCATAGAGAAAATATTTCACCCATTGAGATTAAAATCACTTTCCACTTTGTGGATATTGACTAGTTTTGCACCTATTAGCAAATTCATTTTTGTATTTCTATGGCCTATATTATGTCTGTTCTTTGGAGTCTCCTTTGAACTACTGTTAACATTTACTGGCCTCTCATTAATTGATGAGTTAAATAAAAATATTCAATACATGTTTATTTTATTATTTGTGAATCATAAGTTTACATTTTGGAAAATATTTTAGCATATGTGACTAAATATATATCCCACAAGGAATCACCATAAATAAATAATTACAGTGAGAAATGCCAAATAATACAGATTTGTCAGCAAAGTTTTTACAGAAATAAATTAACTCTGTACAGTGGTATTGGAGTATGATGGCTTAGATATTATTGGAAAATGAGAGAAAAATAAAGAACATAGAAATCAAGGAAATCTGCCACAGTGAACTACATTTAAGAAGACAAATTGAACTGTAAATAAAGATAAAGCAAACAGTCTATTTTTGGGTAATACATATTATTCTAGAGTTGTATGATAAACTGAAACCATCTAACTTTAATTATATGATATCAAATCTAGGCTACAATACAATAGGCAAATGAAATGGGAAATTGCACTTAGCATTTGGTGAATTAAATCTTTTTGGCCAAACTAGATATGAATCTAGTCTCCAAAAGATTCTTTCTTCAATTATAATTATTTCAGCTGAATTCCATATTTGTATAAACTGTATACTTATTAAGAGTAAGTTCTTCCAATTAATCTCTGTGTTTACCTCAGCGCTAAGCAAAGATGATTGCCCATAAAATCCATTTCATAGCTATTTGATGAATTCAATTAATACTTGGGTCCAAGCTGTTGCCACCTCCTAGTGTTCACCTCTCTAGAAATTTCATTCATCTGCAAAGTCAGACAATCCTTTCTAGCACGTCGTATCTCTATATAACACTGGTTTCACCCTGTATTGTGGTGGATAGCTGTTTGTAGTTTGGCTCATCATATTCTCCCTCTCCTAGAATCTTATCCCCTGAGGCCAGGACCCCCATGTATGCCTCTATTTAACACCAAAATGCTTGCCATGGTGCCACTAAATATCTGTTGGATGAATTTATTTAAAAAAAAAATCGTCCATTTGGCACTTTGGCACTAAAAATGCTTGACGGGACAAAAATATAATTTGAACATAAGCCAAAAAAAAGTTTTCTCTGGTTTACTTTCATAAGAAATAATCTTCAGTTACTCCAGAATTAGTTTTGAAATTATTTTTAGTATAAAAATTATCTGAGCCACTGCTTAGTAGTCTGTACTAAAGTTATAACAATATGGCAAATTTATAGGAGCTATAAATAGATATGCAGTTACATCACACCATGTACAAACAGTAAATAAGAAAATGATATCAAACAAGGATAGCAGGAAACTTTATGGACACAGACACTGCTTCATAACAAAATTACTGAGCTCTATATTTAACAATATTATACCCTACAGTATGCATGCAGATGCATAATATATTCCAAACCTAATTAATATCAGTATGTTGGAGCATTTTGTATGTTTCAGAAAACTGGTCAATTTTTGGATCATTTCAGCATCTATAAATTATCATTTTGAAGATGAATAAATATCTCTTCATAAATAATCTTTTTCTAGACACTGGAATATGTCACAATATCACAACTGTTTCTAATTCTCAGAAACAAGTGAATAATTTGGGCAAAAATATTCTTGTCCATGCCAAATGAAGGAATTGTCCATGGAAGGTGTGATGCAAGGTAGTAATCAGAAGACTATGTGGTCTGGGGGAAGCCTGCAGCCACAATAACACCCGGAGGAGTCTGGTGATGAGGCAGAAATGAAAATGGAAGGATTGATTCCATGTTGGTTTGATTCCAAGACTGCTGTTACTAGGAAAAATACCAGATTCATTGAAATAGAATCATTACTTTGACAAGAATTTTTAAAAATGACTTACTTAAGTACTTTTATAATACCAAATGGTGTTCCTCAAAAAGATATGTTGAAGACACCCCCCGACCCTATTATCTGTGAATGTGATCTCATTTAGAAATAAGGTAGGTGCAGATGTGATCAGTTAAGATGAGGCCATACTGGAGTAAGGTGGGAGTCCAATCCAGTATAACTGGTGTCCTTATAAGAAGAGGGAAATTTAGACATAGCACGGGGAAGACAGCCACATGACCATTGGAGACAGCAATTAAAATGATGTATTTACATGCCAAAGAATGCCTGGAACTGTCAGAAACTAGGAAAGCCAAGAAAGGAGCCTCCGATAGAGGCTTAGAGGTAGCATGGTCCTGTCAACACCTTAATTTCAGTCTTCCATCCTTCGGAACTGTGAGAGAATAAATTTCTGTTGTTTTAGGTTACCTAGGTTGTGGTCCTTTGTACAACAGCCCTATGATACTAAGTATACCCTTCCAGGTACTAAAGTAACATGAAGACTATTTTAATTAGATCCTTTAATCAACTTACCTTTAAGATCATAAAGATTGATTGCTATATGGCATAATGTTATTAGCATAAGAAAAAAATACCAAACCCCTGTAATTTTGTTGTCATAAAGACTATATAAAAATATGGCTAATAATGATGTTAACAATGGTTATCATATACCAGGTGCATAATCTTTCATCTCCTCCACAACCATAGATCGTAGGCAATACTATCCTCATTTTATAGGAAAGGAAAATAAAGCAGTAGATTCAGAATTATCCTAAGGTACAAAACTGTAGTTCAAATCTATGTCTGTCTGACTCCCACACAATATTCTTTTCATACTGCCCTTGTCCCTTCTTTAAAAACTATATAATAATAATGAAAACAATTTGGCTGATTTTTATTAATTGAAATGACTGGATGTTTGGACATTCAAAGTTATATTCTAAAACAAATCAAGGGAAAGAAGCTTGCCCAATCATCACAAGTGTTTATCTGAACTTTTAGTCCTGTCAATCAGCATAATTATCAGAGAACAGATTTATTTTTTCTCCTACTCACTACTTCTCCATATGTCTACTGCATGTCTTGCATTTTCCAAAAATCAAGTGATTCTGACTTGCTTCTCCAGGGAAATGGTGTAACATATTGATTAAAATAAAAATGGGCTTTGATAGCTACAGTTCCTGTGTTCCAATTTCAGTTCTGCCCCTTAGCAGCTGTGTGAATGTGGCTGGTTTCACACCTTCGGGCTCCTGGCTTCATTATTTGTAGAGCGGGGGGTCATAGTAATTCCTCCCAGCATTGCTGTGGAGGTTAGCTGCTTAGCATAATGGAAGTTACATATAGTAAGCTATTATTACAATTATGCCTCCAATAATATACTTTACTTAGAACTAGGAAAATATGTTGATTATATGAAATTGACCACAAATGTATTTTGAATTATATCATTTAAACTATAGGTTTTGAGGCTTCTAAAATCAAAATAAATTTTTAAAAAGACACAACTCAAAGAAGGCATTTATTTTCTGCATTATTTAAAGAATTCCCTACAAATCAAAATATACAATAATTCTTAAAAGCTAATCTTCACAATAAGAATCAGTGTGTAAAGGTTCAAATTCTATAGAGAAAAAAGTATGACTTATTTTATAAGCAGATTTTGCACCAAGCTGTTTTCAAATTACCTCTGATAAAACAGAATAGTCACACATTTTCTATCCAAACCACTTCTGCATTATAATAGGAACCAAAGAGTAAAAATGAAAGGTATCTACTGGGAGTTTTTTTCCAAATATAGTCTATCCGAATGATTAAATACTCGCAAAAAAAGTGTTGAAAGAACAATGATGGTATTAAGGCAGGCAAAATCTTTATATTTTCTCTTGAAATGCTGTTATAGCAAGTATTCAAATTAGTTACTTATTAAATGTTGTTTGTGTTGTCTTTAGGATTAATGGCAATGAGGCAGCATAGTGTGGTCATTGAGTGTGAATTCTGGAATCAGAATTTGGGATTATCTTTCCATCTCCACTCTTTACCAGTTCTGAGAAATTGGGCAAGCCATGTATCCATTCATTCCTCAGTTTCCTCATGTGCAAAATACAAATATGAATAATACTAATCTCACAGAGTAACTGAAAAGATCACAGGGATGTACAAAAAATGCTCTAAGACAGTACCTATTATATAGATATGCATTCATCTAATGTTATCAATAATAATTACTAAACAATAATTCAGTAAGATTAAATCTTACGTGTCTCATGAAGAGAAAATACCTAGCAGCTATTAAAAAATAAACAGTAAAAATAGCTTCCATGTGTTAAATACTTATTCTGAGCCAGGCCCTATAATGAATACTTTAATAATACATGGATGTACTATGTCATATACCCCATAATATTTTCTCAGTTTTACAAACAATGGAGCAAAGAAGCTCTAATTTCTTGTCACTCTAGCAACCTGAAGATCCAGGACTGTTTTTACTCTTCCTCAACTTTATGCCAAGCACTGAGAGGAGGACTTAGGATGCAAAAATCTTCCATCAGTCCTCTCCTGCCTCCTAGATGCATATAGGGTTTTCACTTTGAACATGGTTCAAAGTGAGTCCTCTAGAAGCAGAAGTTGAAATAGTGAGTTTTGTGAAATAACTTGTGAAAGTAATTCGGAGACAGTAAACTTCTGGGAGAAGGGGAAGAGAAAAACAGGATAGGGGAAGGAAAGAAAGCTAAGCAAGGCTGTGGACTCAGCTGGAGACTAGCTCAATTCTGGAGCATCATTTGCATCACAAGGTTGGCTCCACCTTAGCGCAAGAGGGCCAGCCCTTTGTACCCTAAATCAGGCAATCAGTAACCCTGACAGCCCCAGGATCAGGGGTTCATAATCTCCTGAGCAAGGCAGCTCTCTTTCTTCCAAAGCCAGTGCTCTGTACAAGGGACAGCAGCGTACCCTTAGCAATCACCATTCCCAACACCTGGAGAAAGGCCCAATGAAAGGGATCTGGAAAGAGCACCAACAGCATAAACTGTCATCTACTCTCTGTTGCAAGGTCTTTCCCCTTGGAGATCCCATGTCTCTTTCAGTCAGTAAGTTCTATTTCTGAGCATTAGTTCAGGTCAAGAAAGCAGGATGTTGACTCTTCCCTGATTTCAGCATTCTGCTTATTCACTGTGTGTGTATGTACACTTTTGTTGGCTGCCTATCTATCTTGAATTGGAACTATCATGTTCTACTAGTATCTCCACAGATCACAGTGAGCCAGGTTGTCTTGACTACCATTCTGACCTTATCACCATTTGCTATTATTGGATCCTGACATTCTATTAATACATGGGTTCATGGGCGTGTTATGACATCTCCTCCAATCGACCCTGTCTTAGAGAGGACAACCACTGTTCATCTTAGAGATTCTGGTGCCCTCCTTACAAACATATTTCTTTTCATCTTGAGAAATATTCATCTGTGGATTTCTAGGGTTTTTTTTCATGGTGGACCCAGTATAGTATAGTGTAGTGTAGTATAGTATAGTACAGTACAGTACAGTACAGTAAAGTACAGTATAGTATAGTATAGCACAGTATAATATAGTATAGTATACCCAATTCTTGGAGCTTTTTTATTCTTTACACCAATCTGTCACAGATTTCTGGCATTTCTACTTTAGTTAGTATGGGCTATTTGGTTTTCCAAGATTAAAAGAGCCAGATAAATGGTATATTAGCACTCCTTTCCAAGCTCCTTGCCAGGGTATTAAGTCCTGTCATGAGAGGATGCTTCCATAACAGAAAACCCATTTTTTTCAGCTGATGGTCTGTCTCCTTTGATCCAGCACTCTCAGAATACATTCCTGGTCATATTTTCCTTTTACCTACTGATACATATTAGCCAGATCTTACAGTTCCTCTAGCATATAGTCCATCTCCTCACTCAGAAGTCCAAGCACTTTCACAGTAAGGTTTTCCTTAATACTGGCGTGCTTAACATGGTTCATGCTAAGTACAATAAACAAAGATCAGCTTTCCTATAGTGATTCTTGCATTTTAAACATTAATTCTGTTTACTCAAATAACTTTTGCCCCAAAATCTAATTTAGAAACAAAATTGCTTGAAAAATTTAAACATTATTTCTCTATGAATGATTATGTTGGGTGAAGGGCAGATCCCAAGGAGGGTAAGCATTGTTTTGTGAGGTACCTGCTTCATATGAGGCCTCTTTATAGCAGGGAGGTAGCATAGGCTGCATATTAAGGCTAAGAATTAGATCCGATAATTCCAGGTTTTTAAATGCATCTACCTAGTTTTGTCAATCTGAAGTCTCAGGATCCCTCCCCTTCCTTATTAAGGCTCTGTTTTTGGCCTCAGACGCTTGCTTACCTTAAAATTCAACCTTCTTTACACATCTTCCATTCTTACAATTAGGTATTGTCTTTGGTCTTCAGCACTGTTTGTCCTCTGGCTATGGGCAACAGGAATCTCTTATAGAAACTCTAAGGAGGCTTTCTGCCCCTCCCACAAGGATGATCATAGATGTGTCTCTAATTTTTTCTTTTCAGTACATCAATGGCACATAGCAACAAACATCTAATTCCACAGTCCTTATAATTATTATTTATATCACACCTCTGAAACTTTACAGACATTGCCTGACCTACAGAATCCCCTTCCATAAGCAGCCTGTTCTAGTTAATCACACTGCTACAGCATTCCAGGTGCTATTGATATTTCATCTATTTTATTGAGGTCTTCATTGTCATCCTGACAGCAAGTGATCTACTTTTAGAACCCCATCTTGACAATCTGCTTCTGAGGATCACTTTTGGCACCATCTCAAGTCAGGATCCCAAAGCAGAGCCATAGATGGTCATTGTTTTAAAAGTGATATATTGAAGAAGTGCTCT
Source organism: Homo sapiens (assembly GCF_000001405.40). Taxonomy (NCBI): domain Eukaryota; kingdom Metazoa; phylum Chordata; class Mammalia; order Primates; family Hominidae; genus Homo; species Homo sapiens. Next base: position 104,082,482 of record NC_000001.11, on the reverse strand, counting down.
CAGAATGAGAGTTAGGGTTCCACCTTGAGGCAAGAGGAGTGGGAAACAGGCTGTGTACATCCCCGAGTCAGTCTGTTACTGGGCTGTGGTTACTATACAAACTCCTCAAAGAGACAGTTTCATTTCAGGTGAGGGTAATGCTCTGGCAGAGGGGGGATTATGAGCCAACAGACAGGGAAAGGTGCACTGATCCTGTGGAAGGGAGTTTGGGAGCCCACAGACAGCACCCATTATGCCGTATTTCTGAGACAGCATTTAAAGCAGTGCTTCAAAAACATAAAGTCCATGTACAGATTATCTTGCCTACTTGCTACTTACTGTGTTTCACTTGCCAGCTATTCCTTTCCCCTCCCATGATATGTTTTCACTACATTTCACTGTGTCCTTCAATGCTTTCAACTCAATGATAAGCTCCTATAGTGCAATGGATTATCTTATATCAGATACATTTAACAAATTAAAATATCTTCCTGGGAAAAATCTGCTGCTTCAAGTATGAATGTTGACAACCCTCAAAACTTTCCTTATTGGTCTGTCTGAGTCATGGCTAAGGTCAGCAGTTCTGCTCTCAGCCTAAGATGAAACCCTCCCTGTGTTGTGCTCTGCAGACATGTGAAGAGTTCTCAGTCATTCTTTTATATGTGAGTAGGCCTTCCGAAGAAATAATAAAACAACAAAGTAGCAAAGGATCATCTGCTAGATTATCAGCATTAACAATCCTTCATTCATAAATGCAAATTTCCATTCATATTTTTAGAAAAACAAGAGCAGGACATTCATAGTTTAAGGTAAACAACAAAATGGAGGCGCTCTTTAGACAATTATATTTCAATAGTGATCTTAGATCTCCATCTTTTGAGCATGCAATAGCAACAAACAACCTGCTATGAGGGTTAAAACACCTGCTTTTTTAGTTTACCATCATCATCGTACCTTTAAGACTGGCACCCATCCCCACAAACCCAAAACTGGACATACAGAGAAGAGTTTAGAGGTTGGAGAAAGAGCATAAACTAACTTGTTAAACCTGGAAGTTGACCTCAGTATTATACTTGGAGACAGTACATTGTGTACCCGCAAAATTTGTTATATATATGTGCTATGATTGAAGACAAACTAGCCATTTATTATGTTAGTAAATCTGAGAGATAATATAAAATACCGTGTGCATTTGATCTGTGAAATTCTAGGTAACAAAATGTATTAGCTCAATTGTGCACAGGTTAATGCAAAGAAATCCTATAATATTTCAGAAGATAACAGTCTGAAACTACCTCACAATTGCTTTCAATGACATATTAGAAATGCAATTCTCTGTTCTTAAAATACGTGATCAGACTATTAACACCAGTGCATAAAGAAAATTCTTTACTAAGAAGTCACACAGAAATCAGCAGTAAAGTGTTGTACGTTATGTGATTATATTTTTGTTTGTTTAATATTTAATAGGCTCCTGGTAAAGGTGGTGAAAATGCTTCTACAGTCTTCACACTTAAAATTAGGGGATAATGTATTTCAAATTAGGCTTCATATTATTGACCCCTATAGAAACATTACATTCAAAGGAAACCTTAGCTTTTTTTAACTTACATTTTTATTATTGTGGGTTCCACTTATCAGTCATTTCCTTCCCCTACCACCAATAAGCTTTTACTGTATTTTACTCTGTGTCCTCAATATATTCAATTCAATTATAAGCCCCTGTAGTATAATAGGTACTGCTTGCATTTCTTCATTCTAAAATTCCTGTCTCTTTCTATTACATCTTGCAAAATCTTTTTGGTTCTTCAAAATTCAGCTCAAATGTCACCTTTTTTTTGTGAAACTTTCTGTGTTCCTAACAACTCATTCTCAAGTGGGATTGATCAGATTTTCTTCATTGTGTTGATTCTACTTGCATTATATTTACTACTGTATCTATCACATCATCATGCAAATATGATTTACTAACTTGGAATCTATATGAGATTATGATCCCTATGAAAATGTGGATCCTTTCTTATTCTTTTCTGTTTTATCAGCATCTTGCACAGTGTCAAGAACTTATTAGTGATCCACAATTATTTTTAAATGGTGAATGTACAATTAGGCTTTGTCAGAAATTGACAGAGGAGAATCTAACATGTTTCTTACTGCTTAAAAGGCAAAGTATCAATCCTATGGGAGTACATTAGTGCCATATTATGCCTTCTTTTTTTGCTATCTCAGTTTGAAAAGTCCTAAATTTCCTTTAGCATCTTCGCAGATTGCTTGTTTTAACAAAATACAAGTACAGAACAACTGAAAAATCACCATGACTCCTGATTAATACTGAGAGAAATAGAGGGAATGAGAAATATATTGTCTTCTATATAATTTAAACAGTTTCAGTAAGCCCCTAGTTAAACCTCAGAATGATTCTTCTTCTTGAAGTAGATTTGCCTGTCAACTCTATCCTTCCTCAGTTTTTAACCAAAACAATTATCAGGAAAATAATGTTGAGTCAATTAGAAAATTCCAAATGTAAACTTTTGTCTCATATTTACAAATCCTTGAATAATTGTCAACATTTGTGTTTCAAAATGTCACTGATTTTGAGCTTCACAGAGCTTACATTTGACTTTTTCATTAGCCTGAAAGTTTGCAGTATCTGAACATGATCATACAAAGCTTTTGTACAGATTTGTCTTTATGAGGTATTATTGGTAGAGTAAGTCAGTTTTTAGCTACTAGAGAAGCTTTTTAGCAACTAAGGAAAAAAAGCAAGACTTTCTCTAGGGTTGATCTTTCCAACAGTGTTGTCAATTGTAACTGGTAAGTTTTTAGTTGCTCTGCAATTGACAACACACTTAATTATTCAAATGAGAAATGTCTCTTCCCAAGTCTGTAATATAAAAATTAGATGCCCTGCCATTTTTGATTTCTATTTTAAAGGTACAACTTATCATCAAACTCATGTTCACTGTAAATGTTTTCTTGGCAATTTACTTCCCATAAATGTCTATTATACAGACTAATTCATCTGAGAATAGTGTTTGTTTATCCTCATGTACTTATGAATTTGTAAAGACAGCAGTGACAATAAAGGTAAAGAAATTATGACTAGAAAACCTCCAGATGGTGAGATTTGTTTTGTTGTAATTCCATATTCCAAGGTCTGAGCTGGATCCAATCCAAATTTCAGAAAGAGAAATATATTATACAATTTTTTTAACTGTGAGAACTTAACTGGCTTAGAAATAACCAAACCATCCAAAGATTCATAGGCAAATATTGCTTTTATGTGTGAAACAGGTGAAAAAGTGTGAGCTGGGAAACAAGTCAATATGAGAAAGAATTGTATAGATTTCATTTGTTCTTTTTGGTAGGGTTCCTTAAAAGACATGGAAAGAAATTTTAGAAATAGAAGAGTTGGAATATACATTTATTGACACACCTGTAAGAAAACAGATAAACATACAAATAGTAGATATCCATACCACATTTACAAATTTGAAATTTCTTAAAATTGCCAGATTATCTTAAGATGCTCATCCTTTATCATTATATCAAAGTGGTGTAAATTATGGTCAAAATAATTTATATTTCAAGAAAATTCATTTATTCATGCATGCATCAATTCATCCAGCATATATTTATTGAGTGCCTATTTTGTGCATCTCACTGTGATAGGGAGCTAATATTCTAGAATCTCTTTTCTCCGTGATAAAAAGCCTACCTTTTATTACTATTTTTATTTTTTGCATTTTTACCTGATGGCAACATATGGCTCATGACAAATAGGAACAAGTAAAACACTGTATTTATCAAGTATCATCAATCAGCCTTATTTGCTTAATATTAATTCAGAAATCAATTTTGTTTGAAATTTGTTTATCAAAAAAAGTCCTGAACATTTTCATTTATTTAGAAATTTCAGTAATATACTCAGTTATCAAAATAATATCAACCATTTTGCTAGTTTAGAACTCAGGTTATTTAAGCCTAAATAAAATGGAGTGACCCATATGGCAAATGAAACATATTTCAAATTTTATTTTTTATGTTTTTAAACCTCTCTCTTGAATCTTTAATTTATACATGTACTTATTTACATATAAATTTTACATTATATACATATTTATGTTTTCTATTTTATTAATGACAGCTCAGAAGCTAAAAGCACATTTAACAAGTAAAAATGGAAATTAGTTTAGAACTTGTTATTTGTTGTCAAAGTCAAAATTAGACTAGAACTTTTAGAAAATTCTTTTAAAATTCTATAACAGATATGTTCCATTTTGATAGTCTATGAATTGTACATTACTTAAAATGATTACAAAATATCACATGATGATATAAATACCATTTATGGGGGGAAATGTTCCTTTAATCAAGTAATTTAAGACAATATAATTTAAGCATTCTCCATTTTACGTCTTCTAGATGACTGCCTGTAAGTAATATTATATATGGTGTAATAGTTAATTTTTTTTTTCTTTTTTTTTGAGACAGAGTCTCACTGTGTCACCAGGCTGGAGTGCAGTGGTGTGATCTCGGCTCACTACAACCTCCGACTCAGTGGTTCAAGCTGGTTCTCCTGCCTCAGCCTCCTGAGTAGCTGGGATTACAGGCACGTGCCACCACGTCCAGCTAATTTTTGTATTTTTAGTAGAGACGAGATTTCACAGTGTTGGCCAGGATGGTCTCCATCTGCTGACCTCGTGATCCCCCTGCCTTGGCCTCGAAAAGTGCTGGGATTACAGGCGTGAGCCATCACGCCTGGCCATAATAGTTAATTTTATGTGTCAACTTGACTAGGTTAAGGGACACTCAGATACCTTGTAACATGTTATTTCTGGGTGTTTCTAGGAGAGTGTTTCCGGAAGAGATGATCTTTTAAATCATAGACTGAGTAAAGAAGATTCACACTTACAAATATGAGCAAGCATCATCCAGCCCACTGGGGGCCTTGACAGAAGAACAAAGAAGAGAAAGCATGAGTTTTATCTTCTTTCTTGTGCTAAGACATCCATCTTCTCCAGCCCTTGGTCAATGGAACTCTTTATATAGATATATGTATATATATAATTGATTTTTTTTTTTTTTGAGACAGAGTCTTGCTCTGTCGCCCAGGCTGGAGTGCAGTGGTGTGATCTTGGCTCGCTGCAAGCTCTGCCTCCCGGGTTCACGCCACTCTCCCGCCTTAGCCTCCCAAGTAGGTGGGATTACAGGTGCCCGCTGCCATGCCCGGCTAATTTTTTGTATTTTTAAAAGAGACGAGGTTTCACAGAAAAGTCTTGATTAATACATATGGTTAATCCTACTTATCATAGTTTTTATAAAAGACTGAGTAAAGAAAACAAATGGCCGTGTGTGTGTGTGTATACATATATATATATATATATATATATATATATATATATATATATATATTTTTTTTTTTTTTTTTTTTCCTTTGGTTCTTTGTTTTTGAGACACAGTCTTGCTCTGTTGCCAGGCTGAAGTGATGCAATCTTGACTCACTGTAACCTCCGCCCACTGGTCTCAAGTGATCCTCTCCTGCCTCAGCATCCTGAGTACCTGGGACTAGGCACATGCCACCACGCCCAGCTAATTTTTGTACTTTTAGTAGAGATGGAGTTTCACCATGTTGGCCAGGATGGTCTTGATCTCTTGACCTTGTGATCTGCCCTCCTCGGCCTCCCAAAGTGCTGGGATCACAGGCCTGAGCCAACGTGCCCAGCCTATTGTTATTACATATTTTATGCTATTACAATCTGAACATTAAAGCAAGACAAAATAATATTTAAAAGTGTATTACGTGGAAAATAATACAAATAAAGCATATACAGTTGATTCTTGTTATGCTTGGTAATTATGGTCTAACAAGTCACTACGTTAGTCAAGTTATGGTCTACTATAATGTCCCCATGAGCACTGAAGTAGAAAATGCTGAATCATTAGCCTTAGGGAAAATACATGGTTAGGTTTCTTCAAGCCTTGTTTGTAAAATTTTCATCAAATGATCAATAAACTTGATTTTATGTGTATTTCTGTTTAATGAAACATTATTTAATATATATTGTTGATTCATTAACATTGAACTCATGGCCAAGAGTACTATAACTTATCCCTGAGCAAAGCCCCTTTGTTTTGGCCAATTTACCCCATTTGGAATGAGAATATTTACTCAATGCCTGTACCCCCATTGATTCTTGGAAGTAAATAACTTGTTTTTGATTTTACAGGCCCATAGGCGTAAGGGACCTGCCTTGTCTCAGATGAGACTTTGGACTTGGACTTTTGGGTTAAGGCTGGAATGAGTTAAGACTTTGGTGGACTGTTGGGAAGGCATGCTTGGTTTTGAAATGTGAAAATGGCATGAACTTTGGGAGAGGCCAGAGGTAGAATGATATGGTTTGGCTCTGCATCCCCACCCAAATCTCATCTTGAACTGTAATTCCCACATATTGACGGAGGGACCTGGTGGAAAGTGTTTGGATCATGGGGATGGTTTCCTCCATCCTGTTCTTGTGATCCTGAGGAAGTTCTCACAAGATCTGATGATTTTATAAGTTGTGGTTTTCCCTGCTCTCCAGTCTTTCCTGGTGCTTTATGAAGAAGGATGCATTTGCTTCTCCTTCGCCTTCCATCGTGATTGTAAGTTTCTTGAGGCCTCCCTATCCATGCAAAACTGTGAGTCAATTAAACCTCTTTCCTTTATAAATTACCCAGTGTTGGGTATTTCTTTATGGGAGTGTGAAAATGGACTAATACCCCTGGCCTCTCCCCTTTAAATGCCAAGTGGCACGCTTCTCCAAGTTGCAACAACCTAAAATGTCTCCAGACACTGTTGAAGATTCCCTGGTGGACAAAATGATCCCCTACTGAGAAAATCGATCTGTGGTGTTGGTTGTGTTTTTAAACTTTACATCATTTGGAGTTAAATTTCATACTTTGGTTATTAAGGAACACTGACATGTATCTCCCCCAAATACTAACAAGAAGTTGACTTTTCTTTGCCTGCTGATATTAAAGTTCCTCCATATACTGCAGAATTTTTCAAATTTATATCCTAAGATTTTATATTTATCAGATAATGAACCTAATTTATAAATATTATACCCAGCATTGTCATCTCTAGAGTCATGTTATCTATCCTCTCCCCTAACAAAATGAATCACTCTTACTGACCATTATTTGTATTGAAGTGATGATACAAAATACATTTTTTGAAATAAATACTAGTATGTTTTCTCTACACCTGAAATTAAAGATAAAACATGCAGATTAAAATATAATAAAATATTTACTCTCATCCAAATTAACTTTTCTATGAAGTACTGAAATTAAAGTCTGTAGGCCTGGAAACTTTCTGTTGCGTTAGAGTGGGAATGTTTACTGCAATTGTTTGTTAGTGTACTTATTTAACAAATGTTTAATGAGCACCTACTATGTGTAATTCCTTGTTTCTGAGGAAACAAAGAAGGACCCACTAGCCAAATCTCTCAGTTTATGTCCTTGCCAAGGGAGCAAATAATAAGCAACTAAACAAATATAGAAAAATATGATAATAGGACAATAAATTGTTTATAGAAAACAAAGCAGAGCAAAGGCTAGAGAATTTTTCATGGGATGATCCACAGAGGACAGTTGAATAGAACTCTGAATACAGTAAGAAAATGAGCTTTATGGGGAATGAACATTCCTGGCAAAGAAGAAATAAAGTGCAAAATCTGAAATCAGAACAATCTTAGCTTATCAAAAGTTAAGTCAGAAATAGGTGTGGCAAATGAAGTGAATAACCTAGAACCATATGAGAGACAAGGTTGGAAGGGCAGGCATGTGTTGGGTCATGCAGAGCTTCCTTGGTGTGGAAAAATTTGCCTTTTGCTGTGAGTAGATAAGAAGGCTCAGGAGATCTGAGTGGAGGAGTGGTGTAATCTGATGTACAATTATGAATGATCAGTCTGGCTGCTGAGTGGAAAAGTGTCAGTAGGTGGAAAGGAGTTGAAACTGTGTCATTAAGAAGACATTACCTGGTTTAGGAAAGATGACGGTCATTTGGAAAAGGGCAGAATCAATCATGGTAATGAGAAAACACAGTTTCGGGAAATATTTTGAAGATGAAACAAACGACTTGCTGAGAAATTGAATATACAGTATAACTGAACATTTTCAAAAATGGTTTATAGGATTTAAGTTTAAATAACAATGGAAAACCTAATGTCATTTTCCAAGATGGGCAAGGCAAGAAGGAACAGATGTGGGTGGGTGTGCAAGAGGTAAATAAAATTTCTTTTTAGACATGTTAAGTTTGAAATAAAGTTTAAATGTTAAAACTAGTAACATTTTATCTAAAGAGTTAATTTTTTTTCTGTTTTTCTGGTAACCTTTAGTTACTGAGCTTAATGTAGATTTTTGTGGGTTTTTAAAATTTGTGTTTCACTTTTGATAGGAGGGTGTTGTATCCGCATTTCTATATATCCCCAATGTATTTTTTTTTTAAATAGAAAGGCACTTTATTACACTGCCCACTCACACCAGGCCAGGACAGGAGTCACTCTTTAGAACTCTGAGGGGCCGTCCAGGCTGATGGAGGAGGGGACCCACTCACCTGCCACAGAGCCGGCCCCCTCACATGGCTTCCTCCCTGAGGAGCATCTCCCATACTGGGGCTTCCAACGACCTTCGCTCTGCGCGTGCTGAAAGGACAGAGTTCAGAATCAGCCTCAGCCTGGACTTCTGTTACTATGGGAGGATAAGCTTGTCATGCTCAGTCCTAGTACCATGCCTCTAAACGTCCTTCAGACGGCGTCGGGGCTCTCGCCAGGGAGCTTGGTTACTGTTTCAATCCCCCGCCCGGCAGGCCTCACGGCCAACTTTCTCAATGTCCACAGCAGACAAAAATGTCCACAGCCAGAGCTCCAAAGCCCTGCCGGCCCTGGTGCCACTGCCGCCTCTGCGTCCGGAGCCTGTGGGGCTCAGCTCTGCTGCTCTGGCCCAAGTCTGGCCTGGAGTCCCCGGTGCCCTTTGCAGGCACGGAGGCAGCTGGACATCCTTCGCTTCACCAGCCTCTGGGCCTGCAAGCGCTTCTGGAGCGTTTCATTTTCCTTCAGAGTGAGGAAGAGTTTTTTTCTTCAGGGAATCTAAGTCCAAAAGGGCATAGCTGTGATCAGATGGCTGCTTGTCGGGGGGCCTTCTCAAGCCTGCAGGGCCGGCCGGCCGGCCAACAGTCTCTGCTGCTTGCGGACTCCGTGGCGAGATCTGTTTTACGGGGCCTTTGGCATTTGGGGGCAACTGAAGCTCTTCAAGCGCAGTGTCCATGTTTCTCCCAGGGCTGTCCTCTCCGGCCCCCGCCTCAGGGAGGACCTTTTCTTTCTGAGAAGAGCTGGCATTTCCTCTCTCACTGGCAGTGTGTGTGTTCTCCCTCACCTGCGGTGGAAGGTGAGCTGCTTCCTGCGGCTGCTGTAGCGGTTGCAGCACTGCCAGGCCGCGCACGACTTCGGCATCTCCGGCCAGGCCTGGCTGCCCGTAACAAAGATGGCGGCAGCGGGGCCGGATGTATTTATTTTGTTATCTTCTAAGCCACAGAAAATAGTTTTTTGATATAAATATATAGGTTTATCACAGATAGTGTTTTTTTTTTCTTTAAATACAGCATTATCTTTCTAAGGCTAGGTAGCTAAAAAATAAAGCCTGTAAAAAAAGTAAGACATGAGTAAATTAATTTATGGAGGCCTGCCTTTCTCAAACAACTAGTAAATACTAACAAATACTATTTTAAGACACTAACACTTATATTTAAAATAGAACTTTTCAATCTTGTGACATTTTACTTAGTCTAATTCATAATATATGTACAACTTGTGGGATCGTTTTGTAAAAGTATATAGTTTGACATAAGGATTCAAAGTTGTTCTCTAAATGTTTAAAGAAGCAATAAATCTAGGTTTGAGGATATTTGGTACATAAATTCACTGGGAAAGAAAAAGTCTGTAATAAATAATGTCATGGTAAAAGTACAAGCTATATATTCTTTTACTATTATTTGCTAGTATTCCACATACTACTTTTTGATCCTTTAATTGAAAATGGAAACAAAATGAAAAAGCAGGTCTGTATTTACAAAGTTTGTCCTGCAGTATTTTGCCACAGGTCCCTGTAAAATTCATTCCTTTAAGGTAACACTTGAATTGCAAACATTATCTCAGCAAAGAAAGGCAGCATTTTCTTACCCATTGGGATCTTAGGAAAAGCGATCTGTTTCCGAGCAGATCCTGAAGACATACTAAGTTATATAAATCGAGAAAGGGGAAGATCAAAACCTTGGCATATTCCTCAGGATCTGCTATAGTGGAAAGTCTGGAAGTTCTTTTAAAATCTAGAAAACTGGGGCTGGGCACAGTGGGTCACACCTGTAATCCTAACACTTTGGGAGGCCAAAGTGGGTGGATCACCTGAGGTCAGGAGTTCGAGACCAGCCTGACCAACATGGTGAAACCCTATCCTTACTAAAAAATACAAAAATTAGCCAGGTATTTTGGTGGGCGCTTGTAATCCCAACTACTCGGGAGGCTGAGGCAGAAGAATCACTTGAACCTGGGAGATGGAGGTTGCAATGAGCTGAGATTGCCCCATTGCACTCCAGCCTGGGCAACAGAGCAAGACTCCATCTCAAAAAATAAATAAATAAATAAATACAAAAATAAAAAAAATTATAAAACTGGTAGACAAGGATGAGAAAGGAAGTACATAGAGGGTAAAGGCAAACAGAAAGACAGTGGCCTGCTGCATTATGCAGTCTGGGGTTAATCTTTTTCTTGTACATTATTCTGACTTCTTAAAGGATCATTATGAATAGTTTGAAAACAATTATTTTCGGTCATTTATTGTCTTCTGGAACTCAATTGTGTACTCATAAAACAAAGAAAGTAAAAATATAAATGAGACATTTCCCAATATGTCAGATAAGTGAATTTTATTGTACTCTAAGCAAGGAAAGTACATTATATTATTTCATTATGCTAAAACAAAAATTAGTGACTCCTTGGGTTTAGTGATACAACACTGATTTACCTCTAGGTCATCTGATAATTTTAAGTGACCTGTGGAGACTAAAAATGTTTTATGTCATTTTCCATGTCTGTGACAGCAGGACTTGGGGAAAGATGATTAAGAAGAGCCTTTATGCATGAAGATAAGCGAATGTAAAAGAATAGTTTATATTCATATCTCAAGAAACAGATGACAAATATGTTTTATTATAACATTTAAAATTATGAAAATCAACCACATCCTTAGAGAGCTGGCTAATTCTAAAATAGGCCTTTTATATTTGACTCTGAAATAGTTAACATGTGAACTGTGGTCAAATAAGGCTTTAAAAGGAACATGTTTATTAAATCTTGTGTTAAAACCTACTAATAGTGATACACTTACTAAAATTCCAACAATAAAGGAAACCTCTAAAAATTTATGTACTTCATTTTTTAAAAATAAATTCTATCTATAGTCCTTATTTAAACTGGAGGTTGAAATGTAACATAATTCATGTTAGGGGAAAGTCAACCAATCTAATTTTTTTTCAGTTGTAGTCAGAGTTTTTGTTTTCTTCATTGAGTTTTGGTGTTTTATTTAAGATCTGAAGGGTTAAAAAACCTCCATGGAGCTATGGTAGTGATGGTAGTAGTGATAATGGGGCTTATAGTCCTTAATCATCACCATAATTATCTTTTAAATAAATACCATTTTTACTGCTTTCAAAGTGTCAGCATCTAACTCTTTAGAGTCCGCTGAGACACCCACATCTAGTATCTTTCTTTGTTGGTGAAGTCTTCACATGTGTGACTTTCTCACTGAGACTCTTCAGATAGACCAGTTTTCCTCTGCATCTAAGCCTCTGCTGAAATTCACGTACTTTTCCCCTCCTTTCCAGAGCATGTACACTCAGCAAGTGAAACATGAGTAGGAGTTTTTCAGGTGTCCAGTGGAAATGTCGAGGCTCCTGGAAAATTTCTCAATCCCAGTGACTTTCTACTTACTAAGACTCAGGCCTAATTGATCATTAGCCCAAGATTATATACTGTTCTTGTCTCTGTCTTTATTCTCTCATCCCCAGACTTCTGAAACTGCCTGTATACTTTGACCTTCCAGTATCTTATTTTCAAAATTCCCATAAAAATCCCTTGGCATGAGCAGGAGCTGGAGTGGATGAGTTCTAAAATTTCTCCTGTGCTGAAACACCTTGAAAATCATGGTTGAACTTGGGATTTAGTCTAAGAATACAATTGTATTTTCCGGATGACAGTTCTAGCAGCTTCAGCAAACACAGGAGATTGTCTGAATGGCTTAAAACACTGATTTTATTATGTTTCATTATTTTATGAGTCAGAAATTGGTTGGGCAATTTTTCTACTCAACATGCCATTGACTTACTAAAGTCATTTATTATTTTCACCTTATGGCTGGGCTTATATGGAGGGTTCAAAAAATTTTACTCAAATGCCAAATACCTTAGCAAGGAAAAAGTATTTGGAGACTTTAAAATTATACTGTGTTAATACACTCAACCTTCCATATCTACAGGTTCCACCTACAGGTTGAATCCACAGATTAAACTGCAGATGAAAAATATTCCTAAATATTAAAGAAATAAATAATACCAATGTGAGGGACAGAGCAAGAAGAATAGAAGCCTGCACCATTTGTCCCCATCCTCTACTCCCACCTACTACCTGCCCTATCTGGAACACCAAATTTTAATAACTATCTAAACACATAAAAAAAAAAAACACCATCACAAGAAACAAACAACAGAAAAAACAGCTGAGCAATGATAGTACTTGGTTTTAACTGCATGTTGCTGAAAGAGGCATCAAGGAGGACAGAAGAGAGAGTCCTGAATTGCAGATGCCATCCCTCACCCCATCCCCCATCAGTGACCATGCAGCACAGAAAGGAGATAGAATCTGTGCACTTTGGGAAGAGAGAGTGCAATGACTGGGGGACTTTATATTGAACTCATTACTGCCCTGCCATATTGGAGAATGAAGCCATACTGCCATACTGGGAATAGCCAGTGCCCACCCATGGAGGGAGCATTGGGTCCAGCCCTAACCAGAGGAAAATCAACCATCCCAACATTTGGAACTTGAGTTTTTGACAAGCCTCACCACTGCAGGCTGAAGGGTTCTGGGGTCCTAGGTAAACTTGAAAGACAGTCTCGGAAACATGGTCTGTAATCCTAGGCAACTTTTAGTGCTAGGCTGGGTTTAGAGACAGTGGACTATGGTGACATGTTACCTAGGGAGACACCAGCTAGTCCAGCTAAGGGAGTGTTTGTACCATCCCTTCCCCAATCCCAGGTAGTAAAACTGACAGCAACAAAAGTAACTCTTTCCTTCTGCTTCAGGAGAGGATAGTGGAGAGTAAGGGGACTTTGTCTTGCATTGTGGATACCAGCTCACCCATAATAAGACAGCACATTGGGCAAAGTTATGAGGCTCCCATTCCAGGCCCTACCTCTTCTGTGACATTTCTAGACACACTCTAGGCCAAATAGAACCCTCTGCCTTGAAGGGAAGAACCCAGTTGTGGCAGGATTCATCACCTGCTAACTAAAGAACTCTTGGGCTCTGAATAACCAGCAGCAATACTCAGGTAGTATGCCATGGACATTGGGTCCTGAGACTTTCCATCTATAGGGGAGATACAGCACATTACAAGCTGTGGTGGCTATGGTGAAAGACTCCTTCTGTTTGAGCAAAACACAGGGAAAAGCAAAGGAGCTTTTCCTTGTACCTCAGGTACCAACTTGGCCACAGAAGATTAGAGCAACAAGCAAGCTCTTTGGGTTCCTGAGTCCAGGCCTGCACTCTTGGAAAGCACTTTGAACTTGCTCTGGGACAGAAGAAGCCCACTGTCCTAAAGGGTGAGTCTCAGGCCTGGCAGTATTCACCACAATTTGACTGAGGAATGCTTGGGCTTTAAGTGAGCATTGTTGGTGCCTTGGTAGAATCTCTGTGTTCTGGTGGTGGTGGTAGCCACAGGGAGAGGCTTTTCTGCTGTGGGAAGAGTCGGGGGAAGAGCAGGAAGGATTTTGTATTAAGGTGTGAGTGCCAGCTTAGCCACAGTAGAATAAAGCATTAGGTAAACTGCTAAGATAGAACATTAGGTAAACTGCTAACTCTAATCCCTGGCTCCCAGACAGCATCTGTGAACATGCCCAGGGCCTGGGAGAACTTGCCACCCTAAAGGGAAGGGTCTTGGGCAAGACTCAAATAAATGATATCAGAGATAAAAAAGAGACACTACAATGGATACTGCAGACATTCAAAGGATCATTAGTTGGTACTATGAACCAATAAATTGAAAAATCTAGAAGAAATGGACAAATTCCAAGACACATACAACCTACCAAAACAGAACTAGGAAGAAATCCAAAACCTGTACAGATCAATAACAAGTAACAAGATCAAAGCCATAATAATGTCTCCCAGTTAAAAAAAAGAAGCCCAAGACCTGACGGCTTTACTGCTGAATTCTACCAAACACTTAGGAATAACTAATACCAATCCTACTCAAACTATTCAAAAACAATAGAAGAGAAAGGAATGCTTCCAAATTCATTCTATGAGGCCAGTATTACCCTGATATTAAAATCATACAAAGAAACATCAAAATAAGGAAACTACAGGCCAGTTAACTCTGATGAATATTGATGCAAATATCTTCAACAAAATACTAGCAAACCAAGTTCAACAGTGCATTAAAAAGATCATTCATCATGACCAAGCAGGATTTATCTCTGGGATGCAAGAATGGCTCAACATATGAAAATAAATCAATGTAATACATCATATCAACAGAATGAAGGACAAAAGTCATATGATTATTTCAATTGATGCCGAAAAATGATTTGATAAAATTTGACATTATTTTCATGATAAAAACCCTCAGAAAACTAAGTACAGAAGAAACATACCTTAACATGATAAAACCCATATAGGACACACACAGCTATTACACTAAATGGGGAAAACCTGAAAGCCTTTCCAGTTAGGTCTGGAATATGACAAGAATGCTCACTTTCACACTGTTATTCAACATAGTACTGGAAGTCCTAGCTAGAGCAATCAGGCAAGAGAAATAAAGGCCATCTAACTAAAGGCAGAAAATGATCATTGTTTTCAGATTATATAACCTTATATTTGAAAAAATCTAAAGACACTACAAATAAAACCATTAGAACTGATAAACAAATTCAGTAAAGTTGCAGGATACAAAATCAACACACAAAAATCAGTAGCATTTTCATATGCTGACAGTGAACAGTCTGAAAAAAGAAATCAAAGTGATCCCATTTACAATAGCCACAAATAAAATTAAATACCTAGGAATTAATCAAAGAAGTGAAAAATCTCTACAATAAAAACTATAAAACACTGATGAAAGAAATTGAAGAGCATACACACAAGAAATGGAAAGGTCTTCCACATTAATGGATTAGAAGAATCAATATTGTTAAAATATCCATACAACCCAAAGCAATCTCCAGATTAAATGCAATCCCTATGAAAATACCAATGACATTCTTCATAGAAATAGAAAAAATTTGAAATTTATATGAAATTTCAAAAGACTCAGAATAGTCAAAACTATCATGATCAAAAAGCACAAACCTGGGGGAATCACATTACCTGACTTCAAATTATAGTACAGAGCTACTGTAGCCAAAACAGCATAGTACTGGCATAAAAACAGACACATAGGCCAATGGAACAGATTAAGAAACTCTGAAACAAATCCAACGAAAAGTGACTGAACTCATTTTTGACAAAGTTGCCAAGAACATGCACTGGAGAAAAGATAGTCACCTCAATAAATGGTGCTGGGAAAACTGGATATCTATATGCTGAAGAATTAAACCACATCCCTATCTCTCAGCATACACAAAAATAAAATAATAATGGATTAAAGACTTAAATCTATGTCCTCAAACTATGAAACTATTATGAGAAAACATTGGAGAAACTCTCCAGGACATTGGTCTGAGCAAAAATTTTTTGAGTGCCCGACAATCCTAGGCAACCAAAGCAAAAATGGGCAAATGGGATCACATTAAGTAAAAAGCTGCACAGCAAAGGAAACAATCAACAAAGTGAAGATATAGCCTATAGAATGGGAGAAAATAGTTGCAAACTGCCCATCTGACAAGGGATTAAAAGCCAGAATATATAAGTAGCTCAAACATATTTTTAGAAAAAAATCTAATAATCTTATTTAAAAAAATGGGCAAAATATTTAAATAGACATTTCTCAAAAGAAGACATACAAATGGCAAACATACGTATGAAAAGGTCCACAACATCATTGATCATCCAAGAGAGATGTAAGTCAAAACTACAGTGAGATATCATCTCACTCCAGCTAAAATAGCTTTTATCCAACAGTAGGCAGTAACAAAGGCTGGTAAGGATGTGGAGAAAAGGAAACTCTCATACACTGTTGGTGGGAATGTAAACTGGTACAACCACTATTGAGAAAAGATTGGAGGTTCCTCAAAAAACTAAAAATAGAGCTACCATATGGTCCAGCAATCCCACTGCAGGGTATATATCCCTAAAAAAGGAAATCAGTATCTAAGAGATATCTGCATGCATATGTTTTTGCAGCATTGTTCAAAATAGCCAAGATTTGGAAGCAGTCTATGTATCCATCCACAGATGAATGGATTAAGAAAATGTGGTACATACACACAAAGTAGTACTACTCAGCCATAAAAAATAATGAGATGCTGTCATTTGTAACAACATGGATGGAACTGGAGGTCATTATGTTAAGTAAAATAAGCAAGGCACAGAAAGACAAACATTGCATGTTCTCACTTATTTGTGGGATCTAAAAATCAAAACAATTGAACTCTTGACATAGAGTAGAAGGATGGTTACCAGAGGCTGAGAAGGGTAGTTAGCGGGTGGGAAGGAAGTTGGAGATGGTTAATGGGTACGGAAAATATAGTTAGAAATGATGAATAAGACCAAGTATTTGATAGCACAACAAGATGGGTATAGTCAATAATAATTCAATTGGACATTTTAAAATAACAAAAAGAGTATAATTGGATTGTTTGTAACACAAGGGATAAATGCTTTAGGAGATAGATACCCCATTGTCCGTGATGTGATTCTTATGCATTGCATGCCTGTGCCAGAATATCTCATGTACCCTATAAATACATATAGCTAGGTGTGCCCACAAAAATTAAATATTTAAAAATTTAAAATAAATAATAACCAATGCCAATGCAACAATAAAAATAGAAATAGAAATAATATAGTGTAACAACTCTTTACATAGCATTTATGTTGTATTTGCTGTTATAAGTAATCTAGAAATAATTTAAACTAAATGGGAGAATGTGCATAGGTTTATGGAAATACTACAGCATTTTATATCAGGGAATTGAGCATCCACCTAGTTTGCTATCTGAGGATGCATATCAATACCTGGATGACACTTAATGAACAAATATGAATGACTGTATTTGTTATGTTATTAAATTTTGATTTATTTATTTATGCCATCAAACTATGATTTATTTCTGTGCTCAATCTCTAGGATTTTGATATTTTGAAATCTATGGAGGTTTAATTTATGCCCAGCAATTGTTCTATGTAGAGTTAAAAGTGGACTGAATATAGTCTATGTATAGTTTAAAAGATAACATGAAAAATTTGTTGTGTATCAAATATCTATTAGAAAGACAATGATTTAACTCTTACTTGTGTAACTGGATAAATAGCCTCAGTCAGAAGTGTGCTATGTGAAACATTTATGAGTCATATTCAAATATAAATAATTTCATTATGATGAGAGAGTCTTACACTTGGCCTAAGAGTATTTATAGAATTATTTTGTTTATTGTCATGGTGGCATGTGCCTTTAGTTCCAGCTACTTGGGAGGTGACCCAGGAGGACTGCTTGAGCCCCAGAGTTTGAGGTTGCAGTGAGCCATGATTGTGTCACTGCACTCCAACCTGAATGACAGAGCAAGACCCTGTCTTAAGTAATTACATAAATAAATATGGGCTACTAAAAAGGCTTTCCCTCTTCCTTTTGCATAAATAGAGCACATATTTATATTTATTCATGTCTTTTAATGCAAATCATTGACTCTTCTTACTGACTCCTATTTGGTTTAAAGATTAAAAGTTTAAGCATTCTGTTGGGACAGAATTTTTTAAAAATACAAAATGATAAAAGTTTTTTTCTGTTTCCTAAAGCAGTTACTTGAAAATGAGGCAAAATTTTATGTTCCTTATTACTTAATTTTTAAATTTATTTATTTTTATTTGTTTGTTTCTGCTTGAATAACCCATGGTTAGAGGGGAGTTAAGTTTTTGAAAAAGACTATGATACTGTAAGTTAGTAAAGGGCATCTACTGATAGTTTAGACAGAATATTCCTGGTCACAAAGTCAGTAGTCTATAACTATTGGGAGTCTATAACCATTGCAAGATTTGGCTCGTGAAATATTCCTTAAGCCTGAATACATGTATAGCCAAACATATACTTACCACAACTGTTTAAACACTGCTGTGTCATGAGATAAATAATGAATTATATTAAAATAATTAATAAATTTATAGTACCTTTTGAAATGATTTTTATATTAAGAAGTGCTAAAAGTAAAATTATTTTCAGGTAGGGATTCATCATGCTTATTTTTCCTTTGAAATGACTTCTTAAAATCTAAAAGGTAAGAATTTCTGACATAAATGATCTATTCTTGTCGTACAGCCACAGCCTGATATTTTAACATGCAACAATATTACAGGTGTAAATCATTAGATGCACTGGTGAGTAAATATTCTCACTGTTGTAATTCTGTAAGCCCTTGTAAAGGCTAGCTGGCCACTTGTCTGTGTGTTTTACATAAAAACAAACATAGCAAAACATGTCTATTTAATACAAGATACTTGGTCATGATACCAGAAAAAAATATTAAGAAGAAGGCACAGGCTAAAAGTTGTGTTTATTTGAATATTAGAGTATATGTAAATGCATGTAATTATGATTTGTGAAAAAATTTTCAGTTGAAAAATTTAAGACTAAATTAATTTATTGAAATTATGTGAAATACATAACATCATCATTAACAATAATAACAAAAACAATAACAATATCTCTTGTGTCTGTCTTACTTATTAGGTAACATGTTAAGCTTCGTAAATGCATTACCTCTTTGAATCATTATAATATACGGACAAAATCAATCATGTTTTCACTCTCATTTTATGGATGAGAACACTTAGGTACTAAAATATTTTATAAAGACCATATAGCTAGTAATCAATCTATGTGTTATTTGGGATTGGGAAAAACCTGTGTTATTTTTCACTATGTTTTATTACACAGCATAAAGAGGACATAGTGGAAGCTGAGAGGGAAGAGGAAAGCATAAAGAGTATAAGGCTGGCAGACCAACTCGTGGACAAAATAAAGTGATATTATGACTTGGAAAGGGAAAAAACACATCTTAATTATATAACTCAAGAAAGAATAAAATCCCACATAAAACTTTCATTGAGAAATATAATTAGTATAATTTGTTTCACTAGGACTGACATAAAGAGATGATAGGAATCCACTATTATAATTTGAACTCATAATGTTGCCTAAATCTGTAAACTTGATAGGAACTTAGAATATTACCATCAATGATTTACAACCAACTAAAAAATACAAGTAAAGCATAACCGTTAACTTTTATTTAATTAAAATTTTAGTACAACTTTTATGCTGTAAACGCAATGCAGAGCTTACTCTCAGCGTAGAAATTAAGAGGAAGTAGAACTTATCAATAAACGTTATTTCCAACAAGCTCCATATTTTAGAGGATCATTAAGGAAATTTAAACTGTAGAAGCTGCTCTCAGAGGTCTAGAAAAATAGATTTGCATCTGCAATACAGAGTCCTAAATGGCTCTGAGAAGCACTATGAAAGAGACAGACATACTCTTGTATGAAGTTCCCCTACTCAGAAAAACAGGCAAACATGGCTCAGGAACGCTATAACCAGGACCTGTTCTACCTTTACCGAACTTCTTGGCAATATTTAACTCCCTATCCCATAACCCCAACCACACCCAAAAGAGATGAACATGTTTACTCTCAGTAAATTAATATAAATACATTTTAAGGTAAATGTGCTGCATTTGCAGCATATTTAAGTAAAGGAACACTACATTATCCTCCTCTTTAAATGCAACTCAAAATATGTGCAATTCTTCACGTATTCAATAAAATATATTAGCATTCTACAGGTAAAGATATATCTTCCCTCTACTCTGACCTCCATTTTCAATTAATTGTGAAGTTTTAAATGATTAAGCCTTGAAATAAATGATTATATTTAAAATATTTCTTTAGTTGTTTCCACTTTCCTGGCTGGGAATATGTTTTCATGATTCCAAATTACAAAAAGGAATCTAAACTTTACTCAATACTTACTTTCCAGGTTGTGTTTTTGTTGTTATTGTTATTTTTTTTAATCTCTTCCTTCCTCCTTTATATCTTTGTTTTTGCCATCTACTCTGCCGAACCAAATCCTAGAAAATCTAGTGCCAGCTCAAGTCAATTTCTTCATGAAGCTGACTCTGATTATTTATTTATTTATTTATTTATTTATTTATTTATTTATTTATTTTTTGAGACAGAGTGTCACTCTGTCATCCAGGCTGGAGTGAAGTGGCATGATCACGGCTCACTGCAACCTCCACCTCCAGGGTTCAAGCGATTCTCCTACCTCAGCCTCCCAAGTAGCTGTGATTACAGTCACACATCACCCTGCCCAGCTAATTTTTGTACTTTTAGGAGAGACAGGGTTTTGCCATCTTGGCCAGGCTGGTCTCCAACTCCTGACCTCAGGTGATCCACTCACCTCAGCCTCTCAAAGTGGTAGAATTACAGGAGTGAGCCACCGCACCCAGCCTGGTAATTTTGTATAATGTTAATATTACCTGATGCTTCTGAACCCTAGAGTTGAGTTTTTATCACAGAGAATTTTAATTCCAGGGTAGTAAGTGGATTACCGGTCAATATCTTGGGCATCTGGACATTGTCATACATCTAGTATATATTTTACTTGGACTAAATTATTGGTAAGTGCATACATGCTCCCTGAATTTCAGCCTAAATTTTTCCCCAAACTGTGCCCAGGTGTTGGAGTTAATCATAAAAATCAATCTTCCTACCCAGTATGCCAGATCTCAGATGAGATTAGTGCCCTAAGCTGAATGACAATTAACTTCATGAGTTTCTATGGTTTCTTACAATAGCTGTCACTTTCCAAAATGGTAAACAATGCCTAGTACACTTGTTTATCTTTACCTTACGAAAGAGCATGGTTCTACCGATTTATACCATAGTTCCCTATCTGGAAAAATTGTCAAATCTTAATAGCATGCCAAGAATAATTCATTTTCATGTGCAAAACTGATTTATATCCTAAGCTTATATAATTTAAACAGGTTTTTTTTTAATCTACAAGATATCTAGTGAGAAATATAAGGACTATAAGGAACTTTTCATTATGTGACACTTTCTATGTCATGAAGGATGCCAAGCATTCCAGTTATTATCCAAAAATGGTAATAGTGCCCCCTTTTCCACAGCTTTTGTGATAAAGAATATTACCCTACACAAATTTTAATATTTTTCTATAGGTCCACACTGAAAACCACATCTTTAACAATGAACATGAGGGCAGGAGTCATATTATAGAGTGCTTGTAATATGTACATGAAGGATTTGAGGTTTACCTTTAGGATCACAGAAAACCATTGAAATAATTTGAGCCAAAGAATAAGTAATGGCATTTGTATTTTAGAAAATATAACTGGTCTACCATCTGCAGAATGAATCAGGGGGAGAGTCTATGGCAAATTGAAGACCTTAAGTAGTCTGAGTGAGAGAAATGGTGACTTTGACCAGAATTGTCTGAAACAAACTATTTAAAAATTATATTAAAAATAATTTGGAGGTTGATTTTTAAGGGGTAGGAGAGGAGAAGAATAAATTACCAATATAGAAAAAAAAATTGAAAGGATCTAATTTGGAGTTTATTTTGTATGTGTCATTTTCCTCTCTCACTTGAGCTACACTGTCTCTGAAGTTACCTCCACTTTTAAATATTTTTTAACTTTCTGATTTTTTGAAGTCAGTTTATAAGTCATTGGATAAAAGAAAATGATTTCATATATAAAAAGTATCTGCACACAGAAATTTTTAGGAACAAACTTACCTCATAAAAATGTCAAGAGTTCCAACAACAATCTCTGGGTACATTTTTAAATTGTCCCAAAAAATCCATATTAATGGAGATAAAGAAGGCCCTGACTTTATTTTCTCCAGGTGTTTTACACTGGATGTTCTCAGAGGAAACCAATGTATAATACTAAACTAATTTAGCCATTTTCTCCAGTATTTTCTTCCTTCTCAGATTCATATGCATGCTTTTCTTTTATTCATATAACAAAATATTAAAAATTCAATTTGGAAGAGAACAATTTGAATGCTTAGCTAAGGTGGAGTCCTTATACCCATCTATTTAAACTTTAGTACATACACTAGAATCACCTGGAGAGCTTCTTAAAAATACATATTTCTAGGTTCCACATTCGAAATTCCCATTTCCGTAATTCTGGAGAAATGTTGAGGAATTTGATTTATTTATTTGTTCCTTTATTTATTCATAAGCAATGATTAATGCAGGCAGTACTTGGATCACACTTTGAGAAACAATGCTATTCTGTATCCAAGGAATATTTCACAATGCTGTATTCCATCTCAGACATATAGAAAATAGAGTTAGTACTTCCTAGGCCTATGAATATGCTTATTCTCTTAATTGTAGAGTGATCTATATTTTTTTCCCAGAAAAAAAATTAATATTAGGGGGAAAAATTCCCTAAGTGCTCAAAATTAAATAAAGTTGCTAAGACAGGCAGATAAAATGTGAACACTCAATGTTTCTAGGGTTGTGTTGAAAGGGTAGCCCCAGGATGCTAACATCTAGTTTATTGATTATGGGATATAAATATCACATGAGCAATATTAAAACATTCTCATCCTCAGGTCTTATCCCAGATTGATTAAATAAGAATCTGCAGAAGTGAGACCTAACATTTTAAAAATCATCTAGGCAATTCCAATGTGTAGCCAAAGTTGAGAATTACTCATCTAAAACATCAGTCAATGACCAGGCAAAGTGGATTTTCAATACAGTTGAGAAATAAGAGAAGAGTGCTTTTCAGGCAGCGAATGAATCTTCCATATGGCCTTTATCAGACCAGCCACTGGTGACCTGAACATTATTTTTGTGTTGTCTTTCTAATAGCAGTAACCACATGGTATGTACTAATTATCAGAGTGAAAACTCATTTTGAGGAACTAGTTTTATAGTTGATAAACTTCCATTGAATATTTATCATTGAATTAATCTAAACACAATTTTTAATGCACAAAGTCCTTCTATTTCTCACCAGGTCACTAAACTCCTTTTAAATTTTTTATTTTATGGTTCAAGCTGGCAAAGAAACATCTGCATTTCACTTCTGGCCTTATGTAATTCACCATTTCACAACTAAATGCAAGCAAAAATAGCTGTAAGCCAGACTGTTTGGAATCAACTTCAATGCATAGATCTTTTTTATTTAAAACCTGAGCAACTTAAACTACTTTTATAGGGAGGTCTTTTTTACTGGAGAAATTTACTTGCAAGTATGTGTCTTGGAGTTGCTCTTCTTGAAGAGTATCTTTGGGGTGTTCTCCGTACTTCCTGAATTTGAATGTTGGCCTGTCTTGCTAGATTGGGGAAGTTTTCCTGGATAATATCTTGAAGAGTATTTTCCAACTTGGTTCCCTTCTCCCCATTACTTTTAGGTACACCAATCAAACGTAGATTTGGTCTTTTCACATAGTCCCATATTTCTTGGAGGCTTTGTTTGTTCCTTTTTATTATTTTTCTCTAATCTTGTCTTCTCGCTTTATTTCATTAAGTTGATCTTCAGTCACTGATATCATTTCTCCTGCTTGATCGATTTGGCTATTGATAATTGTGTATGCTTCACGAAGTTCTCATGTTGTGTTTTTCAGCTCTATCAGGTCATTTTTCTTCTCTAAACTGGTTATTCTTGTTAGCAATTCATCTAACCTTTTTTCAAGGTTCTTAGCTTCCTTTCATTGGGTTAGAACATGCTTCTTTAGCTTGGAGGAGTTTGTTATTACCCACCTCTGAAGCCTACTTCTGTCAATTCGTCAAACTCATTCTCTGTCCAGTTTTGTTCCCTTGCTGACAAGGAGTTGTGATCCTTTGGAGGAGAGGAGGCATTCTAGTTTTTGGAATTTTCAGCCTTTTTGTGCTGATTTCTCCCCAGCTCTGTGGATTTGTCTACTTTGGTCTTTGATTTGGTGACCTTTGGATGGGGTATTTGAGTGGACATGCTATTACTTTCTGTTTGTTAGTTTCCTTTCTAACAGTCAGGCCCCTCTGCTGCAGGTCAGCTGGTGTTTGCTGGAGGTCCTCTCCCTACCCTGCTTGCCTCGGTATCACCAGCAGAGACTGCAGAACAGCTAAGATTTCTGCCTGTTTTTTCCTCTAGAAGCTTCATCCCAGAGGGGCCCCTGCCAGATGCCAGCCAGAGCTCTCCTGTATGAAGTGTCTGTTGGCCCCTACTGGGAGGTGTCGCCCAGTCAGGATACATGGGGGTCAAGGACCCACTTGAGTAGGCAGTCTGACCCTTAGCAGAGCTTAAACGCTGTGCTGGGAGGTCCACTGCTCTCTTCAGAGCAGGGACGTTTAAGCCTGCTGAAGCTGCGCCCACAGCCACCCCTTCCCCCAGGTGCTCTGTCCCAGGTAGATGGGGGTTTTATCTGTAAGTTGGTTACTGGGGCTGCTGCCTTTTTTTCAGAGATGCCCTCCCTAGAGAGAAGAGATCTGGCAGTCTGGCCACAGTAGCCTTGCTGAGCTGCAGAGGGCTCCACCCAGTTTGAACTTCCTGGTGGCTTTGTTTACACTGTGAGTGTAAAACCACCTACTAAAGCCTCAGCAATGGTGGACGCCCCTCCCCCCACCAAGCTCAAGTGTCCCAGGTTGATCTCACACTGCTGCTGTGCTGGCAGCAAGAATTTCAAGCCAGTGGATCTTAGCTTGCTGGGCTCTGTTGGGGGAGACCTGCTGAGCCAGACCACTTGTCTCCCTGGCTTCAGCACCCTTTTTTAGGGGAGCGAATGGTTCTGTCTCTTTGGCGTTCCAGGCACCACTGGGGTATAGAAAACAACAACAACAAAAACTACTGCAGCTAGTTCAGTGTCTACCCAAATGGCCACCCAGTTTTGTGCTTGAAACCCAGGGCCCTGGTTGGGTAGGCACCAGAGGCACTCTCCTGGTCTGTGAGTTGCAAAGACCATGGGACAAGAGCAGTATCTGGGCCGGAGTGCCCGGTTCCTCAGGCTCAGTCCCTCACAGTTTCCCTTGGGTAGGGGAGAAAATTCCCCGACCCCTTGCACTTCCCCAGTGAAGTAACGCCCCACCCTGCTCCTGTTCTTCTTCCATGGGTTGCACCCACTGTCCAACCAATGAGATGAACCGGGTACCTCAGTTGGAAATGCAGAAATCACTCGCCTTCTGTGTCGATCTCACTGGGAGCTGCAGACTCGAGCTGTTCCTATTCAGCCATCTTTATCCTGAATCCCGAATTAAGCACTTCTTAAAGTGATCAGTAGAGCTCACAAGGGCAATATGCAGGTATTTTACAAGGGTAGCAGAGAGTTAGGAAATAAATTGCTGAACAAAAATTCCATAATTTACTTTCTAGTATGTGCATTTTTTAGTTTTTGTAAAAATTCTACAATGCTCACATAAAGAAACCAGAGAATTCCTTGATTGTTAACAATCTGGCCCTTACTCCATGACAATGAGTATTCTTATACCAAATATCAAAATACAGAAGCCAAAAAGTATATGGGGGCTCTTGACAAAAATAAATCAGCTTAAATTATGTGTCTTTCCTTACTTTACCTTGGACACTCTTACATCTATATTGCCACTCACACTGTACTTTAAATTATTTCAGTTTTCTGTATCACTGTTCTCACCACTGTGTGCCAGAAACTAACTTGATTTTAACAATAAATACGTAGCACTCAGCTTGCTTCCTAGTAGAAATTCAGAAAACGTCAGATTAATTATAAGTGACAAATGAAAATCAGCAAATATAAAATGAAATACGACTGAAAAATGAGTTATTGAATGTATCTGTGAAGTGCTAAGAATTCAAAGATAAATTATACATCTGCACTGAAGTAATATATCCATTATGTTTTAAGGAGGACAAGCAGATATGCAATTTGTCAATACTGAAAGTCAGCCTGTTCATAGATCCAGCTAGATTATGTATAAAAGTTCTAGATGAAGACGAGAGAGATAATGATGAATCCTGGAGGTGGTCAGTCAGATATGGGGATCAGGTAGATCTTGACAGGCTTAATAGAAAAACTGATAGTTCAGTCAAGTTTGGAAGGATATATAGGAATTCCATATTAGGGAGCAAGGAAGATGTATGGACAGAAATTATAGAGAGTAAAAGTGTATCATCTCTCTCTCTCTCTCGCTCTCTCTCTCTCTCACACACACACACACACCCCAAGGGATGAAATGCAAGCATGATTAGATGTTTAGTACTTTGGACTATAATAATCTCATTCTGTAGATTTTTATCACCTGATTTCCCCTCTTGTAAACATTATTATTTTTAGTGTCCTTATTCACAATGCATTGTGGGTATTTCTCTTACTGATTTAGCCTTGTCATAAGGGCCTAGTTCACCGTTTTGGGGACTGTCACTATAGTATTCATGTTGAATCAAAAAAAGGAAATTATGAAGAAGCAGTGTTCCATACTTCCACCAGAATTCATGAAATGCATTATAAATCCACATACTTATTAGTGCTCTCAGGGCTCTCAGGGGCTCACTTCTCTTCAATGACATTAAAATGGTAATTTTATATATATATATATATATATGGCAAGGAAAGGGAATCAATAAAGTTTTGATTCGCTGTGTCCATGAGATTCTGACTTGGCTCTCTGCCAGACATATATCTTCTCCTAGATGGCTCATTGTCTATTTCCTAAAAAGCAACAGTCTGGCACAGGAGAGAGGGTCTGGAAAGATGGCAAAGTAAGAAGCACCAGAAATCTGTTCCCTACTTAGGTAACAATTGCACCAGCAATTTGATGTAAGTGTTTTGAAATTCTGGAGTCTATTGTAGGCTTGAAACTTCCACAGGAAGGCTTGAAGTATGAATTATGATTAATGTTGATCCATTTCATAACTTAGCACAGTAGCAGCTACCCATCCCTGACTCCTTAGCACCATGCACATATCCCTGGAGCAGCTTCCTCACAGTCTCCAGGAGCCAGGTGGACAAAAAGGATCCTGCCTTCCAAAAATCAAGTATCTGTGCTCTGATTGCTGACTGCTATTTCTAATCATAGAAAAAGAAGTAGCTGACATTATTGTTGCACTTTTCTCCATTGTTGCAAGCCACTCTTTCACTGGCTGTAGTGGCTTCCGGAGGAAATAAAGAGCCTTTAACTTCACTCCCTTCACTTTTCTCCATTTTATCTTTTGGAAATCAGACATGGAAGACTAAACCATTCAAAAGCAACTGCATATAGGTGGAAATTAGAAAGTCACCACACATCCCAGACAAATGTACAGGCTCAGAAAAGACTTGAGAAAACCTTAAGTTTACATATGAGGCTGATACTCGGCACAGAAGTTATCTACAACAATGGAAAACATGCAAAGAACAAAATTGAAAAATGGAAAACCCTGGGGAAGGGGAAGAATCTGATTTCCATAGTCACCACAGGCATAAGAAAGCATCAGTAAACTTCAAGAGAGGACAATGGAAATCATTGAGTCTTAGGAACAGAAAAGTGAACAGAACCTAAGGTATCCGATGGAGTGGAACAAATGAGCATTTGTCAGAGAAATAAATGAGAGGAAAAAAAGGGAATAAAGTCAGTTTGAAGTAGTAATACCTGAAAAATGTCCATGTTTGATGAATGACATGAATATAAACATTCAAGGGGTTTAATAAACTTCAAGTTTTACTGAACTGAGAGACCTGCAAAAAGACACATTGTAATAAAATCATCAAAAGCCAAAGACAAAGAGAAACTCTTAAAAGTAGAAAGAGAAAAGTAACTTGTCATGCACAAGAGATTTTCAATTAAAATTATTAGCAAATTTCTCATCAGAAACTTTTGTAGTCTGAGGCAGTGGGCTGATATATTCAAACTGCAAAAACAAAAACAAAAACAAAAAAACCACTGTCAACCCAGAATAGGCAGAAAAAAAAAAAGATCAAATGATAGAAAAAAATCTCTCCTGGCAAAACTGTCCTTAAAAAGTGAGGGACAAAGTAAGACATTCCTAGATAAATACAAGTTGAGGCACTTTGATACCATTAGATCTCGCCTATAGCAAATGGTAAAGAGAGTCATGTAGGTTAAAATGGAGGATACTAGACAGTAAAACAAAGATGTAAAAACCTATAAAGATCTCAGCAAGGCTAAGTACATGACCAATGATAAAATCTACTATTATTCTAACAATAATGTATAGTTTCAATTTTTGTTTTCTACATTATTTAAGAGATAATTACATTAAAAATTATTAGTCTAATATCTAGTATTATGATTTTGGTTTGTAACTCCATATTTTGGTTTTTTATATA
The DNA here is from genome assembly GCF_000001405.40 of Homo sapiens. Taxonomy (NCBI): domain Eukaryota; kingdom Metazoa; phylum Chordata; class Mammalia; order Primates; family Hominidae; genus Homo; species Homo sapiens. Next base: position 104,053,707 of record NC_000001.11, on the reverse strand, counting down.
ACCCAAAAGACTAATATATTAAAACACTTGTTAGTGTATGTGTTTGGACAAATAAATCTATAAAAATGTAATTTTGTGACACTAAAACTAAAAGAGGTGGGAATCAAGCTGTTAGAAAAGCCTATATTTTGTATGTTATTAAAGTTAAGTTATGTGATTTGTCTGTGTCCCCATGCAAATCTCATCTTGCATTGCACGGGGGCAGTTTCCCCATACTGTTCTTGTGGTAGTGAATAAGTCTCACGAGATCTGATGGTTATATAAAAGGTTTCCCCTTTCACTTGGCTCTCATTCTCTTTTTGCTGGCTGCCATGTAACATGTCCCTTTGCTTTCCCTTCATCTTCCACCATGATTGTGAGGCCTCCCCAGCCATGTGGAACTGTGAATCCATTAAACCTCTTTCTTTTATAAATTACTCAGTTTGAGTATGCCTTTATTAGCAGCATGAGAATGGACTAATATGATAAATTGGTAGTGAGAGAGTGATGCTAATCTATAGATACCCAAAAAATGTGGAAGTGACATTGGAACTAGGTAACAGGTAGAGGCTGAAACCGTTTGGAGGGCTCAGAAGAAGACAGGAAAATGTGGGAAAGTTTGGAATTTCCTAGAGACTTGTTAAATAGCTTTGACTAAAATGCTGATAGTGATATGGACAATAAAGTCCAGGCTGACATGGTCTCAGATGGACATGAGAAACTTTTTGGGAACTGGAGTAAAAGTCACTCTTGCTGTGCTTTAGAAAAGAGACTGGCGGAATTTTGCCCCTGCCCTAGAGATATGTGAAACTTTGAACTTGAGATAGATGATTTAGGGTATCTAGGGGAAGAAATTTCTTAGCAGCAAAGCATTCAAGAGGAAGCAGAGAATAAAGATTTGGAAAATTTTCAGCCTGATGATGCAATAAAATATATATATATATATATATATATATATATATATATATATATATATACACATATATATTCTGAGGAGAAATTCAAGCCAGCTGCAAAAATTTGCATAAGTCACTTAGCCAAGTGTTAATCACCAAGACAATGGGGAAAATGTCTTCAAGGCATGTCAGAGACCTTTGTAGCGAAGCCTCCCATCATAGGCCTAGGAGGGAAAAATGGTTTTGTGAGCCAGGCCCAGGGCCTGCCTGCTCTGTGCAGCCTTGTGTCCCAGCTGCTCCAGCTGTGCCAAAAAGGGACAAAGATACAGTTCAGGCCATGGATTCAGAGGGTGCAAGCCCCAAGCCTTGGCAGTTTCCACCTGGTGTTGAGCCTGCAGGTGCTCAGAAGTCAAGAATTGAGGTTTGGGAACCTCTGCCTAGATTTCAGAGGATGTACGGAAATGCCTGGTTGTCCAAGCAGAAGTTAGCCTCAGCAACGGGGCCCTCATGGAGAACCTCCTTTAGGGCAGTGTGGAAGGAAAATGTGGGATTTAATGGCTGCCCTGTTAGATTTCGGACTTGCATGGGACCTGTAGCCCCTTCGTTTTGGCTAATTTTTCCCATTTGCAATGGGTATGTTTACAGAATGCCTGCACCCCCATTGTATCTAGGAAGTAACTAACTTGCTTTTAATTTTAGAGGTTCATAGGTGAAAAGGACTTGCCTTGTCTCAGATAAGACTTTGGACTGGGGACTTTTGAGTTAATGCTGAAATGAGTTAAGACTTTGGGGACTGTTTGGAAGGCATGATTGGTTTTGAAATGTGAGGACATGATAATCGGGGGGACAGGGGTGGAATGATATGTTTTAGCTGTGTCCCCACCCAAATCTCATGTTGAATTGTAGCTCTCATAATTCCCATGTGTTGTGGGAGGGACCTGTTGAGAGATAATTGAGTCACTGGTGGAGTTTCCCCCATACTATTCTCATGGTGGTGAATAAGTCTCATGAGATCTGATGGTTATATAAGGGGTTTTCCCTTTTGCTTGACTCTTATTCTCTCTTTGCTGGCCACCATGTAAGACATCCTTTTGGTCTTCCTTCATCTTCTGCCATGATTATGAAGCCTCCCCAGACATATGGAACTGTGAGCCAATTAAACCTCCTTTTCTTATAAATTATCAATTCTCTTGTATGTGTTAGCAGGGTGAGAACTGACTAAGACAAGCTGTAATATTTGTTTTCTACATGATTTAAGAGACAATTACATTAAAAATTATTAGTTTAATAGCTGGTATTATAATTTTGGTTTGAAACTCCACATTTTTTTTTTTTTACATAACTCAGGAGACTAATGCATTACACACTATTTAGTGTATATGTTTGGACAAATAAATGTATAAATGTGTAATGTGTGACATTAAAAATAAAAGAGGTGGGAATTAAGCTGTTAAAAAAGCCAAGATTTTTTATGTGATTGAAGTTAAGTGATATTGTTTGACTGTGTGTCCCCACCCAAAATCTCATCTTGAATTGTAGCTCTCATAATCATCACATGTCCTGGGAGGGACCCCATGGAAGGTAATTAAATCATTGGGGCAAGGTTTTTCCATGCAGTTCTCATGATAGTGAATAAGTATCACGATCAACTTGAGATTTTTATGGGGACAAATATCTAAATGATATCAAACATATTGTTCTTTTTTATTGATGAGCAGCATTCAATATTAGGGATAGGCCACAATTTGCTTAAACATTCACCTGTTGAATGACACCAAATTGTTTCTAGTTTTTTCCATACAAATAAAACATTTGGGTACTACTTTTTGTGTAAACATAAGTTTCTCTTTCTCTGGGGTAAATACCTGGGAGAATAATTGATGACTGGCGTAGTGACTGGATATTTAGTTTTTTTTGTTTTTGTTTTTGTTTCTCTGGTTTGCCTGTTTGTTTAAGAATCTGCCCAACTGTTTTTCATAGGGACTGTACCATTTTACATTCCACCAGCAATGTGTGATCCAATTTCTCTGCATTCTCATAAACATTTGGTGTTGTAAATACATTTCATTTTTTTTTTTCATTCTGGTAGATATATAATGATTTCCCACTGTAGTTTTAATTCGAGTTTTCCTAATGGATAATGATGTTGAAACTTTTTAATCTGCTTATTTGCCATTTGTACATTCTCTCTGGTAAAATGTGTGAAATGTTTCTTCTTATTTGCTTATCTGCCATTTGTACATTCTCTCTGGTAAAATAGGTGAAATGTTTCTTCATGTTTTTTGTCAATTTTCTAATCAAATTATTTGTTTACTCACTGTTGAGTTTTGAACATTCTTCATGTATTCTAGGTACTACTCTTGTTTTGTATGTGATATGTAAATATTTTCTCCCACTCAGTAATTTGTATTTTCATCCTCTTAAAGGAGTCACAGAGAAAACCGTTTTTTGGTTTGGATTAAGCCCAATTTATAAATTTTTCTTTTATGTACTGTGTTTTTGCTGTCATGTCTAAGAAATTTTTGCCTACCCAAGGTCATGACTATTTCTTTCTATTCACTTTTCTAAAAGTTTCATATTATATATTTAACTCTTTAATCCATCTGGAGCTAATATTTTTAGAAGATGTGATGATTACATCAAGGATTTGTTTTGTTTTGTGTCTTTGTGTATTTTTTGGCCTATATATACACAATTGCTCCAACATCATTCCTCTATATAAGGCTATCTATTTTCTATTGAATTATTTTGAATACTTGTAAAAAGTAATTTGAGGATATTTGAATGTGTCTACTTTGTGTGGGTTTTTTTTTATTTTGTTTTATCAGTCTGTGGGCCAATCCACCTTCAATATCACAATCTTGATATCTGCATCTATATAATACAATCTGATAGACTGATTCTGCCCACTTTATTCTTCTTTTCCAAATTAGTGTTATTTATTATAGTATCTTTCCCTGTCCACATACATTTTAGAATAATCTTTTACATACCTACAAAAAATGAGACCTAAATTTTAATAGGAATTGAGTTAAATCTGTATATCACTATGCAAATAATTTATATATTTACTATGATGGTCTTTCAAACAGTGAACATGATAATGATTCTCTATTTATATATTTGATTTTTTTTCTGTTTTATAGGTTTCAGCATACAAATCTTCACCACACCCAGCTAATTTTTTTGTATTTTAGTAGAGACAGGGTTTGACCATGTTGGCCAGGATGGTCTCAATCTCCTGACCTCGTGATCCACCTGCCTTGGCGTTCCAAAGTGCTGGGATTACAGGCATGAGCCATGCACCTGGCCTGACTGCTGAAAACTATGAAGCCTCACCTCTTCCATTTTCTTTTGTGCCCCATATATGAATAAGTACATAAGAAAACTTAAGAGTTTTTTCTTTTGGATCGTGTGGAAGGTTTAGACAACATGGGCCCCTGCTAATGAAAGAAAACTCATGTTGGCCCCAAGTCCTAACCACAGTAATATGCCAGAAAGTCCCCTTTCTTTGTTCTCTGAAGCCAATTTTGGACCTGCTTGAAGGACTGTGCTGTTCTTCCCAGGCACATCAACTATGCAAGTAGTAAAACATTTCATATCTTCGTGTGTGTGTGTGTGTGTGTGTGTGTGTGTGTGAGAGAGAGAGAGAGGTTGATTGAGAGAAAAAGTTTAGGTATGAGAAGCAACTTTTATGTTGGCAAAGTATCCCCACTCTGACTTTGCAGAAGGCCACAGAAACCTCTGTTGTTTTTCATTTTATTTTAGTTTTTGCTTATTACATTGGCTGAAATTTACAGCACTATATTGAAAAAAAGTGATGAGAACGGATTTCCTTGCCTTATTCCTGAACATAAAACAAAATCATTCGGGCTTTCCACATCAAATATAATGTCAGCTGTAGGATTTTTGAAAATGTTGCTTATCAAGTTAAGTAAGAGCCAATCTATTCCTAGTTCTCTGGGAATATTTATCATAAGTAGGTTTTAAATTTTATCACATGCTTTTTCTACATCAATTTATCTTTTTATGTATTTTTTTTTTCTTTTTTTAGCCTGTGAATTGGTTTACCCTGATTTGTTTTTGAATATTTAAATAGTTTTTCATTCTTGGTATAAAATCTATTTGATCATGATATAAATTTTTAAACATTTACTGAATTGCATTTGGTAATATTTTGTTAAGAATTGTGTTCCTGTTCATCTGGTTCAGGAGCCTAAGCTGCCCCACCTTCCTGTGGAAAGATCATGATGCAACAGGACCCTCTATGCTCTATGCTCAGGCAGATCCCCAGGTATTTGAAACACTTGTTCTCCTGGATCAACAGGCTGCACTTCCTGTGTAGAGACCATGGTAAAGCAGGGTCCTCTCAGCTTCTCATCCTGGCATACCTCCAGGGATTTAGAGCACCCACTCTTCTGGATCAGAAGCCTAAGCTGCCCCACCGATCTCATGAAGAGATTGTGGTTCAGCAGGGTCTTCTACACTTCACACCTAGGCAGATCTCCAGGCATCAGGAACACCCACTCCCCATGAGTAGTTTAGGCCACCCCCCAACCCAATGCAGAGAATCTTGGGCTGAGATTTCACAGCTCCATGACAAGATATACCTATGGGTGCTCGTTGGCTGCCCACTGGACCCCCCTTGGCACTGGTGCTTGTGCTTGCCATTGGGGAACATGTACGTGGGTCTGCCTGGACCAGCCCTGTTCATCTTCATCCCCAACTCCTGAACTCAGACTACTGTGAGTTCCATGGTTCAGCCCATTGCCCAAGGCAACAGAAAGCTTATTTCAGTAAGTAAGAATTAAGTATATACCCATCTGCCTTGGTGGCAGTCAGTTCTTACCCATAAGCAACATCTACTGACTTTTAAGTTGAACCTCACAGCTCAATATAAAACATGCTGACCAAAGTCCACAATGCTCTGGAATCAAAGCCAAAGAACCCTACCCAACTCTACAGTCATATCCTCTAAGTATGACTTAGGTGGAAGGAAAGAAAAAAATTCTATCCACATGAAAATAAATACAAAAATTTGAAGTGTTTCCAGATAAGAAGGAACCAGAGCAAGAGTTCTGGCACCATGAAAAATCTCGATGTTTTGACACCACCAAAGGATCATACTAGCTCTTCAGTAATGGTCTCTAACCAAAATGAAAACTCAGAAATGACAGATAAAGAATTCAAAGCATGGATTGTAAGAAAGCTCAATGAGACCCTAGACACAATTGAAAATAAACACAAAGAAACTTCTAAAGCAATGCAGAAAATGAAGGAAGAAATAAACATCTTATAAGGAAATCAATTAGGACTTTTGTAATTGAAAAATTCACTTAAGAAACTTCAAAATACAATTGAAAGCTTTATCAGTAGATTAGACCAAGCAGAAGAAACACTTTTATAGCATGAAGACTGGTCTTTCAAACTAATACATGCAGACAAAAATAAAGAAAAATGAATTTTTAAAAATGAACAAAGTGTTTGAGAAATATAGGATTATGTCAAGTTACCAAAGCTATAAATTATTGGCATCCTTGAGGTAGGAGACAAAGTAAATAACCTGTAAAACATATCTGAGAGAATAATTCAAAAAAAATCCCTAATTTTGCCAAAGAAGTAAACATCCAGATATAAGAAATCCAGAATGCACCTGCAAGATACTATACACAATGAACATCACTGTACAGGGTCAACACTAAAAACATCTTAAAGGCAGCTAGAGAAAAAGGTGAGATTATAAACAAGGGGAACCCCATCAGGCTAACAACAGATTTCTCAGCAGAAATCTTATAAGCCAGAAGAGATTGGGGGCCTATGTTTGCATTATCCAAAAAAAAAAAAAAAATTCCGACAAGAAATATATATTCTGCCAAACTAAGCTTCATAAACTAAAAAGAAACAAAATAGTTTGCAGACAAGCAATCATTAACAGAATTCATTACCACTAGACCAGTCTTACAAGAGATCCTTAAGGGAGTTCTAAACATGGAAATAATAGAATGATACCTGCTACCACAAAAACAAACTTATGTACGTAGCCCACAGATTCGATAAAGCAGCTACACAATAGAAACTGTAAAGCAACAGGCTAACAACTTCAAGATAGGATCAAAAATTTCACATATCAATATTAATCTTGAATGTAAATTGTCTGACCACTCCACATATAGGGAACAGAGAAGTGAATTTGATAAAAACAAAACAAAACAAACAAAAAAACAAGATCCATCCATCTGCTGTCTTCAGCATACCTATCCCACACATAATGACGCTCATAGGCTCAAGGTAATGTGGTAGAGAATGATGTATCACACAAATGGAGAGCAGAAAAGAACATGGGTCTCTATTCTTATATCAGATAAAACCAACTTTAAAACTGATAACAGTTAAAAAAGACAAAGAAGGGCATTACATAATGATAAAGGGTTCAATTGCACAAGAAGACTTAACTATGCTAAATATATACAGATTCAACATTGGACCAACCAGATTCATAAAACAAGTACTTCTAGACCGACAAAAAAACTTATCCACACAACAATAGTGGGGGACTATGACATCCAACTGACAGTGACAGACAGATCATTGAGGCTGAAAACTAACACAAAAATTCTAGATGGAAATCTCACAATTGACTAATTTGTTCTAATAGATATCTACAAAATATTTCACCCAGTAACCAGAGTTTATATTCTTCTCATTCACACATGAAACATACTCTAAGATTGACTACATGCTTGGCCACAAGGAAGTATCGATAAATTTTGAAAAATAGAAATCATACCAACCACACTCTCAGACCACAGTGAAATGAAAATAAAAATAGAAATCAATACCAAGAAGATGTCTAAAAACCACATAATTATATGGAAATTAAACAACTTGTTCCTGAATGACTTTTGGTTAAACAATGAAATTAAGGCAGAAATCACAAAAAAAATTTGAAATAAATGAAAACAAAGATACAAACCAAAAATCTCTGAGATGCAGCAAAAGCAGTGTTAAGAGGAAAGTTTATAGAACTAAACACCTACATTAAGAAGTTAGAAAAATCTTAAATTAACAATCTAATAATACACTTAAAGGAAGTAGGGAAAAAAAGAAAAAACTAACCCCAAAGCTTGCTGAAGAAAAGAAATAATTAAAATTAATTGCATAAGGTACAGACTAAAAAATTTTAAAAAGGAATCAAAAGAACCAAACATGGTTTTTGGAAAAGCTAGAAAAGTATTGCAGGAAGTCAGGGACCCCAAATGGAGGGACCAGCTGAAGCCATGGCGGAAGAACATAAATTGTGAAGATTTCATGGACATTTATTAGTTCCTCAAATTAATACTTTTATAATTTCTTAACGCCTGTCTTTACTGCAATCTCTGAACATAAATTGTGAAGATTTCATGGACACTTCCCCAATTAATACCCTTGTGATTTCTTATGCCTGTCTTTACTTTAATCTCTTAATCCTGCCATCTTTGTAAGCTGAGGAGGATGTATGTCACCTCAGGACCCTGTGATGATTGCGTTAACTGCGCAAATTGTAGAGCATGTGTGTTTGAACAATATGAAATCTGGGCACCTTGAAAAAAGAACAGGATAACAGCAATGTTCAGGGAACAAAGGAGATAACCTTAAACTCTGACTGCTGGTGAGCCGGGCGGAACAGAGCCATATTTCTCTTCTTTCAAAAGCAAATGGGAGAAATATCACTGAATTCTTTTTCTCAGCGAGGAACATCCCTGAGAAGGAGAATGCGTCCCTGAGGGGAGGCCTCTGAAATGGCCGCTTTGGGGATGGCTATCTTTTACGGTCATAGCTGAGGGATGAAATAAGCCCCAGTCTCCTGTAGCGCTCCCAGGCTTGTTAGGATGAGGAAATTCCTGCCTAATAAATTTTGGTCAGACTGGTTGTCTGCTCTCAAATCCTGTCTCCTGATAAGATGTTATCAATGACAATGTGTACCCGAAATTTCATTAGCAATTTTAATTTCGCCCCGGTCCCGTGGTCCTGTGATCTTACCCTGCCTCCATTTGCCTTGTGATATCTTATTATCTCGTGAAGCCTGTGATCTCTGTGACCCACACCCTATTCGTACACACCCTCCCCTTTTGAAAATCACTAATAAAAACTTGCTGGTTTCACAGCTCAAAGGGCATCACGGAACCTGCCGACATGTGATGTCTCCCCCGGACACCCAGCTTTAAAATTTCTCTCTTTCGTAATCTGTCCCTTTATTTCTCAGACCAGCCGACACTTAAGGAATACAGAAAAGAACCTACGTGAAATATCAGAGGTGAATTTCACCTGATAGAAAAGATTTATAGACTGCTAGCTAAAGAAACAAAATGAGAGAAGATACAAATAATCACAATCAACAAAAACAAAAGTGATGTTATGGCTGATCCCACATAAAAACAAAAGACCCTCAGAGACTATTTTGAACACCTCTCTGCACACAAACTAGAAAACCTAGAAGAAATAGATAAATTCTTGGAAACACACAACCTACCAAGATTGAAACAGGAAGAACTTGAAACCCTGAAGAGACAAATACTGAGTTCAAAATTGGATCAGCAATAAAATCCTATCAAACAAAAAAAAACTCTGGACCAGATGAATTCGAAGCAGAGTTCTACCAGACAGACAAACAGTCAAAGAGCTGAAACCAATTCTACTGAAACTATTCCAAAAACTCAAGGAGGAGGGACTCCTCCCTAACTCAGCTAGCATCACCCTAATATAAAAATCTGGCAAAGACACAGTTAAAAAAAAAAAACTACAGGCCAATACTCCTGATAAACACAGATGTAGACAACACCACACCAGCAAACTGAATCCAGCAGCACATCAAAAAGCTAATCCACCAGAATCAAGTAGGCTTTATTCTTGGAATGCAAGTTAATTCAACATATGCAAATCAATAAATGTGATTCATCACAAAAATAGAACTAAAAACAAAATACATACGATCATGTCAACAGATGCAGAAAAGGCTTTTGATAAAATCTAACATCCCTTCATGTTAAAAACTCTCAACACACTAGGTGATGAAGAAACACATCTGAAAAGAAGAGCCGTCTGTGACAAAACCAAAGCCAGTACCATACCAAATGGGCAAAAGCTGGAAGCATTGCCCTTCAGGACCAGTAAAAGACAGGGATACCTACTCTCACCACTACTATTTAACATAGTACTGCAAGTTCTAGCCAGAATAATCAGGAAAACAAAAGAAATAAAAGGCACCAAGATAGAAAGACAGAAAGTCAAACTCTCTCTCTTTGCAGACAATATGATTTTAAACCTGGAAAACTTACAAGCTTTGCCCAAAAGCTTATTGAGCTGATAAACAATGTCATCAGTGCTTAGGGATACAAAATCAATGTAGAAAAATTAGTAGCACTTCTAAATACCAACAGCATCCAAGCTGAGAGCCCACTCAAGAGCACAATCCCATTCACAATAGCCACAAAAAATAAAGTAAAATACTCCCAAATGCAACTAACCAGACAGCTGAAATATCTCTACAATGAAAAGTACAGTGAGTTGAGAAAACACTACTCAAAAAAGTCAAAGATGAGAAAAACAAATGGAAAAACATTCCATGTCCATGGAGAGGAAGAATCAGTACTGTAAAAATGGCCAGACTGCCCAGAGAAATTTACAGATTCAATGCTATTCCTATCAGACTAACAATGACATTCTTCAGAGAACTAGAAAAAAAATCATTCTTAAATTCATACGAAATGAAAAATATACCAAATAACCAAAGCAATTCCAAGCAAAAAAAAAAAAAAAAGCTGTTACTCAATTTCATGTTGAGTAACTCATCGTGTTACTCAACTTCAAACTATACTACAGATACCAGTCTTCACATCTGTGCCTACAAGATGTCGCTGAGAAAAAGCTCCAGTCCTGGGAAGGGAACCATGTCCGTCTCTGACACAGCTCGGGACAACAGTCCAGGGAGATCTCCATACAGATCATGCCTATATCTTAAGAAGGGAAAACTTAGGGCTGCAACCACTTGGGGAGGAGGTGGGTGCCCTTCATGCAGCCATGGGCATTCCCAGGGTACACATAGATAAGAATGGAGTTGATGGCCCTCACTGGTCAATTACTCTTCTGCAAATCATGTCTGCTTCCCAGAAGAAAACTACAGGCCAATATCCCCAATGACTGTAGATTTAAAAACATATACTACAAGGCTACAATAATCAAAATGGCATGGCACTTGCACAAAAACAGACACATCAACAAATAGAACAGAATAGAAAGTAAGAAATAAGCTGCATGCCTACAACCATCTTCTGATCTTCAATAAAGTAGACAAAAACAAGCAATGAGGAAAGAACTTTCTATTCAATAAGTGATTCTGGGATAACTGGCTAGCTATATGCAGAAGATTAAAGCTGGAACCCTTTCTTACACAATATACAAAAATCAGCTTGAGATAGATTAATGACTCAAATAAAATCTAAAACAATAAAAACCATAGACAAAAACCAAGAAAATAACATTCTGGACATAGGTCCTGACAAAGATTTCTTGATGAAGATGCCAAAATCAATTATGACAAAAACAAAAATTGACACATGGGACCTAATTAAACTAAAGAGCTTCTGCACAGCAACAGAAACTATGAATAGAGTAAATAGATACCCCACAAAACGAAAGAAAATATTTGCAAACTATGCATCCGACAAAGGTCTAATATCTAGAATCTATAAGGAACTTAAAAAAAGAAGTACAAGCAAAAACCAAACAACCCTATTAAAAAAATGGGCAAAAGACATAAAAATGCACTTTCCAAAGAAGACATACACATAGCCAATAAGCATATGAAAAAGTGTTCAACAACACTAATCACTGGAGAAATGCAAATAAAAACCACAATGAGATATCATCTCACAACAGTCAGAAGAGCTATTATTAAAAAGTAAAAATTAACAGATGCTGGTGAGCCTGCAGAGAAAAGAGAAGCTTAAACCCTGCAGTTGGGAATGAAAATTAGTTCAGCCATTGTGGAAAGCAGTGGGAAAATTTCCCGAAAACCTTAGAGCTAACATTTGACCCAGAAATCCCATTACTTGGAATATATATACCCAAAGTGATCTAAATCATTCCCAAATTATCTTATAAAGCTAATATTACTCTAACAATAAAATCTGACAAAAGCAGTACAAAAATAAAATTGATGAATCAATATTGCCCATAAATGTGGTAGTAGGCTGGAAAACTGGCCCACAGAGATATCCAGGTAAAATTTCTGAAATTCATGGATGTTAGCGTATTTAGAAAAAAAAAGCCAGGTGCAGTGGCTCACGCCTGTAATTCCAACACTTTGGGAGGCTAAGCAGGCAGATCACAGGGTCAGGAGATCGAGACCATCCTGGCTAACATGGTGAAACCCCGTCTCTACTAAAAAAAAGCTGGAAATGGCAGCATTTTGATGAGTTTTTATTTTTTATTTTATTTTTTATTTTCAGTATGCACTTATTGGCACTTCTGGGTTGCTATCTTCTCTGACACCTAATCCAGTATATAAGTTGCAAAAATAAAACCAGGGAACTCACCACCATGTCATTCTTCATGTCCTGAGATTCTCAGCCATTCTCATTTCTTTCTTTCTGCCACTTTTCAGAGTCTTCTTATGTTTGCTTTATGTATAATTTCCACAGCTTTTAAAAAATTTGCCCAGATAACTTGTTTTGACAAGTGTAAATAGCAGAAGTGATATATGTCAATTCAAAAATGAAAATTTTAGACAAAGCAAGTAACATCATCACTGCACTTTCGTTTTTCGCAATCTAGTAGGTCGACACCTTCTTCTTATTGATATGTCAACACTTTCTATAAACCTTGAGCCTCAAAGAATAGAAAAAGAAGTGGAATCTGATTTTCCATAGACTATCATATAAAATGAGAATATGTTGTATTTTTAAAAAAACTAGAATTATCTAATACTCTTTAAATTGATTTATCTCACATCACTTCCTTTGCCTACAAATCAAGTTAAACTGTTTGGCAAGGTGTATATCCTTGAGATTATTTATGACAGAAACTCTCAAATCCACTGATGGAATACAAAATGGTAACATCACTTTGGAAACATTTTTCAGTTTCTTACAAAGTGAAACTCATACTTACCATATGATCCAGCCATCTCACTCCTACATATTTGCCCAAAGAAACTAAAAATTTATGTCCATACAAAGGCTTATGCATTAATGTTCATAGCACTTATATTTGTAGTAGCCAAAAGCTGGAAAGGATCCAACTGCCCAATAATTTACTCATTATAACTGTGAACAAGCTGTGATATAGCCAAACAATGCAATATTGCTCAGCAATAAGACTGAATAAACTATTGATATCAACAGCCACATGGATAGATGTCACAAAATTATGCTGCATGACTTAAAGACAAAAAAGTGCATGTGCATAGTGTATGATTTCATTTATATATTATTTTAAAAAATGGAAACTAAACTACACTAGTAGAAAGCAGAGCAGTGATTTCCTGAGGACAGTGGGTAAGGCAAAGATATACCAAGAGAGTGATGATAAAAGGTAACAAAGAAACTTTTAGGGTAATAGATTTGTAATATTAAACATGGCAATTGACAAATATATACATAAATCAAAATTTGTCAAATAATAAGGTTTATGTGTAGTTTACTACATAGCAATTACATCTCAATAAAGTTGATGAAAACCAAACCAAAGAGTTAAAAAGTCTAAGTTGTTAAACTAGTAAATAGAAAATTCTTCCGAAGGTCTGAACTTTTTATTATATCATTTAAGTTATTTCCATCACTTTGGAATCTTGGGTTCTTGCTCATTTTTTAATTGCCTAAAATGTTCCTTACAATCTCCATATTCATATGAGTTTGCAGCACACTTAAAAATAATGTGCAACCAAATTACAGCAAGAACTTTATCATTTTGTCAATATCACAACATAAAACACAAAATGTAAGCAGGTAGCAAAGGTGTTAATGAGATTTTAGAAAATCCATGTATGAAAATAACCTCAAAGCTTTATTGTTATAAAAATTATAGAAGTACAAACATTTGTGCAGCTGTATCAGAATGCAATATGTTGTTCATTTACATCTTAACAGTATTGAATATGTTTATTTTTTAGCTTAAGCAGCCTGGGAGAATTTTCTGGTATTATTTCCTTTTTTTCCCACATCAGAGTAATGTATGAAAATGTACATTTAAGATTATGTTAAATCTAAAAATGCTGCACATAAAGCAAACTACAATAGCAATTTCCTCAAACTATAAAGAATGTAAGTCACATGATTCTTCTGAAATATGTGGCCAGATAGCTGAGAGATACTGAAACACACTACCAAAAACTTTTCTGGTGATTAGGCACCAATCAGTATGAGTTTTTAATACTAGGTGACCATGATATAGTAGAGCTATAAGTAGTACCTAGCAGTGAATGTTATAATTCTCTTCTAAAAGTGTTTTCACTTGGCATCTAAAAATAAGGAATCAAACCCCCTATCTAGACAATAAATAAAGCTCTCAACTCTGACTGATTTGAGTTATAAACATTTTCTTTGAATATCTTCATTAAAATGTATTTGTATCAGAAATATCACATGTATTCATTATTAGCAGTGCTTATTATATGTCCTCTATCATTCTAAGTGCTATCTAGGTATTAATTCCCTCAATCCTTATAAAAATACTATGAGGTAGGTAATAGTACTATTCTAATTTTAACAGAAACATAAACTTTGGCTCACAGAGGCTAATGTAAGAGCTGTTGATGAGTTATTTTTGTGTTTCCTATACTCCAATTTATATGATGAAGTCCTAACCTCCTGTGCCTTATAATGTGAACTTATTTGTAAATCAGACCCTTGCAGAGTTAATTAGTTAAGATGAGATCATACTGGAATAGAATAGGCCCCTAATACTACGTGACTGCTACCCTTATAAAAAGGGAAATTTGGATACAGACACACACACAGGGAGAATGTGAAGATGAAGGCAGAGATGGGGTGTTACAGTAGAAGTCAAGGAAAACAATTCAACTCATAACAATCCCTATCCCTTACATTAACTACCCTGAGACAATGTTTCTGCATCTGGTAAAATTAAAATAATACTATTATAGGTGTCATAGTATTTCAATGAGAATTTCAAATTAATACCTAGATACCAAAGATTGCCAGGAAATCACAAAAGGCTAGGAGCAAGGCATGAAACAGATGCTCCATCACAGCTCTCAGAAGTAACCCATCCCACCAACACTTTGGTTTCAGACTTCTAGCACAAAGAACAGTAAGACAATATACTTCTGTTCTTTAAATTTTCTGGTTTGTAATACTTTATTATTACAGCTCTAGCAAACTAACACAGAAATGAAATCCAGATATCTGGCTCCAAAGTATTACTCTGCTATGTATTCCAAAGACATACTAATTACATTATAATTCTATATAAGAAAGGAAAATATTGAGTTCTAAGAAGAAGGACTTAGAGATGGATGAGAAGGAAAAAAATCTGAAGACAGAAATATATGTACTGAAAATGATAGAGAGTCCAAGCATTCTGAATGAAGAAATCACAAATATCTCGAGTATTGGACATACAGTAGGAGAAAGGAGAGAAGGGGAGCCTGGTGGAATGGAAGAACAATGACATTAAAGGAAGAGTAGAATCAACTTACAAAAACTTTACTTATTTTTCAAATGTGCCTATAAGTTTGACTGTGCCCAAACCCTAGTGTGATGAAAAGTCCAACAAACAGGTGAAAAAAAAATACTTCATTGCAAAACCAGGAGGTGGCCAGAATTACAGTAAATTGCCTCTGTCCCAGAATAGCTCTCAAAAATAACCCCAAGAATGGCTAATTTAAAATCTCAGTCCATTTGACCTGAAAAAGTCAATGACCTGTCCCTCAAATATCTTATATCCAGAAAATAACTTGTTCTGTAAAAATCCGATGTGTCAAAAAAAAAAAAAATCAGTTGACATTTAGTGTTGCCAAAAATAAATCTAAAGCTAACGTAACACTTTTTGTTATTTTGTTTTTGTTTTGGTAGAAAAGCTATTACGTTCTTTCTAGAAGCATTGAAATTTTTCCCTTTGCAGGATAAGCCAATATGTGGACTGTTTATTAACACAAATCTGACAGGTACTTGGATAATGATACTGCTCTGGTTCTACAATGTTGAGTTCAGGCATGTTCTCACAACAAGGCAGTATTACAGTAGAGAGTCTTGAGATGATGATTAAGGATGTTATTCATGGACCATAATGTTGTGTAATGTTTAACTCCTATATTAACGAAACACACAGAGTCTGAGTCAGGTGGTTTTCCAGCACCTATCTGGATTAAGATAGATGATGGACTCCTCCAGCCTAATGTAACTGTAGCTACGGTTGGATCTGACAGGTCCCAAGAATTTTTAAGTGACCTTTGTTATCACCTGAAACTATATATTTATTGGTAAGAATTTTGGAGGGCAAGAAATTCTTCTCTCTCTGGACATACTTGGAAAAGGACTTCCTATTATTTTCCTTCACTAAAGAAAACTAACATTCTTGGACGCAAAGCTGGCAATGGTTTAAGTGTGAATAAAGGTGAATAGTATCCATACTAGTGAATAGCCCTATCTTAAATTGTAGCTCTACTATAAATCTTCTAATGACTTATAGAGTGTCTCTCACAGGAAGAAAAATAATCATTATTGAATGTAATTGAAGAAATGCCTCTCTTAGAAGAAAAACAACAACAACAACAAAACATTGTAACCGGGTAAAGTTTTTAAAAATGTCTTAACCAATTTCCATATTTTTGCCTACAGAAAGAAATATTAGATCCCAAATAGCATAATTGTCCAGTGCTCAACTTTTTGTTTGAACCTTTATTTCTAGTTTTATATAGTACTAAAAGTTCATAAAATGCCACATCTGTTCAGTAAAGTAATGACTTTTAAGCATACTCATGTGAGATTTTTTTTCAAATAACATAGCTGAATACCCTAAATAATTATTTTAGTAGCTTTGGATATTGAGAAATTAGTCTTTCTATTTTCTTTCTTTCTTTTTTTTTTTTTTTTAAGGTGGAAAGTATTTTTTTTTTTTCGTTTGTTTGTTTTTTTTTTTTTCGTTTGTTTGTTTTTTTTTTTTAATTTTTTTTTTTTATTATACTCTAAGTTTTAGGGTACATGTGCACATTGTGCAGGTTAGTTACATATGTATACATGTGCCATGCTGGTGAGCTGCACCCACTAACGTGTCATCTAGCATTAGGTATATCTCCCAGTGCTATCCCTCCCCCCTCCCCCGACCCCACCACAGTCCCCAGAGTGTGATATTCCCCTTCCTGTGTCCATGTGATCTCATTGTTCAATTCCCACCTATGAGTGAGAATATGCGGTGTTTGGTTTTTTGTTCTTGCGATAGTTTACTGAGAATGATGGTTTCCAATTTCATCCATGTCCCTACAAAGGACATGAACTCATCATTTTTTATGGCTGCATAGTATTCCATGGTGTATATGTGCCACATTTTCTTAATCCAGTCTATCATTGTTGGACATTTGGGTTGGTTCCAAGTCTTTGCTATTGTGAATAGTGCCGCAATAAACATACGTGTGCATGTGTCTTTATAGCAGCATGATTTATAGTCCTTTGGGTATATACCCAGTAATGGGATGGCTGGGTCAAATGGTATTTCTAGTTCTAGATCCCTGAGGAATCGCCACACTGACTTCCACAATGGTTGAACTAGTTTACAGTCCCACCAACAGTGTAAAAGTGTTCCTATTTCTCCACATCCTCTCCAGCACCTGTTGTTTCCTGACTTTTTAATGATTGCCATTCTAACAAGGCTACAGTAACCAAAACAGCATGGTACTGGTACCAAAACAGAGATATAGATCAATGGAACAGAACAGAGCCCTCAGAAATAATGCCGCATATCTACAACTATCTGATCTTTGACAAACCTGAGAAAAACAAACAATGGGGAAAGGATTCCCTATTTAATAAATGGTGCTGGGAAAACTGGCTAGCCATATGTAGAAAGCTGAAACTGGATCCCTTCCTTACACCTTATACAAAAATCAATTCAAGATGGATTAAAGATTTAAATGTTAGACCTAAAACCATAAAAACCCTAGAAGAAAACCTAGGCATTACCATTCAGGACATAGGCGTGGGCAAGGACTTCATGTCCAAAACACCAAAAGCAATGGCAACAAAAGCCAAAATTGACAAATGGGATCTAATTAAACTAAAGAGCTTCTGCACAGCAAAAGAAACTACCATCAGAGTGAACAGACAACCTACAACATGGGAGAAAATTTTCGCAACCTACTCATCTGACAAAGGGCTAATATCCAGAATCTACAATGAACTCAAACAAATTTACAAGAAAAAAACAAACAACCCCATCAAAAAGTGGGCGAAGGACATGAACAGACACTTCTCAAAAGAAGACATTTATGCAGCCAAAAAACACATGAAGAAATGCTCATCATCACTGGCCATCAGAGAAATGCAAATCAAAACCACTATGAGATATCATCTTTCTATTTTCAATAGCTTAAGATAAATGAGAAAATAACTTTCATGAAGTTAGATTTTTCTTGATGAAAAAACATATATGCAAAAATAGCTGCAAATATGAAATAAATTTGCATTTGCAATTGCTTAATATATAAATAAGTAAAGACTTCTTCAAAATTAAACCATAATAAAGAAATCTCTCAATATATATTATGGAAAATGGTAAATTAGAGCTAATATTTATTCATGCTCACATTTTCTATATTGAAATATACTTAGAGAAAACGAGCCTATTTCTCTTAAGACTATTAGCACATACATACAAATTATTCACTGAAGCTATGGTAGAAATGTATGATTAGTGAGACTTGTTTTCAAATGTTTCGATGGAATGATTCCATTGAGAAGAATGTGTATGGTGGGAGTGTTTTAGACACACACAAAAAATGAAAGAAATAAGAACATCATGAGCAAAATGACAAATATCCATCAGCTTAAGCTGGTAGTTTTGACTAAAATTTTAACTAAAAACAATACAAAACGAAGACAAGAATAATTAAATATGTTCCTTCTTTACCTTGATGCATAGGCTTTGTAAGTCCTTGGGCTCATTTTGTTCACATATAGTAATGGTAATTTTCATATTTAGCCAGAAAGTTAATGAATGTGGCTGATGATAAGAAAGCCACTACAGTGGCTAAAGAAGACTAAATAGAAGATGAGCATTTTTCCCCTTAATACTTTACCAAATACCACAAATATTCTACTTCTGTAATATTTATTTTTCCTTTAATTTAGAGTGGGATAGAGAGACTTTTGTTGTCTGCTCAAAATAACTCTTACAGCTCTCTTCACTGCTGATATTTAACAGTAGCTCTTAGAAACTCTAAAAGCTGTAAGCTAACAACGTGGAGGCTATATATATTAATTGTCACGTTACAACCTTGTATGGCAACATTGGATGACTTTCATGCCAGCCTGCATTCATCTCTTTGGCTGTCAATAGGCCTTGATGGAGCTTTTAGACACTTATTAACATTTTATTGTGTTTTCCATTTACTCAACAATTACACAGTAATTGATTTAAAATTAATTATAATCTTATTAACATTATAATCTAACTAATTAGTACAACCAAATAAAATGCAAACAGTTATCCTGCTCTGTCTTTCTTTATTATTTGTTTATTTTATTTCTAATATTTTATTTTGGTTGTTGATGTTGTTTTAGATTTCTACATTATTTCCAATGATAGACAAAATGGTTTACTCCAGCTCATTATTTTAATGTGATATTCTCTAAAACTAAACTTTTGCCAGAGTATCCATGAACCTGAACAATCTAGTACTGCTAAGTTATTGAGGGATCGTCAATGGAAATACAAATGTGAAGTTTTCTCACAAAATAGAGTATGAATTTCAGAATAAAGGTAAAACCTTTTAAAAATATTTATAGAAATTTAACTATTGTGAGCCAAATAGAGTGAAAAGCATCCATTTATTCAGAAAAATTGGCTTGGAATTCCAGATCAGCTCCTTGTTAGATATGAGTCATGGGCAAACCACTAACCTATCTGTGATTAAGTTTAGACATCTGCACAAGTGGGGGTAATATGCTTGTGTTACTTACTTCTTACTGCCGTTAGGATGATCAATGGAGAAAACGAATGCAAGGTCCTTCTAATTCTAAAAAAAGTATGTACTAAAAGTCGTTAGGGGCTTTGAGTAATGCCTTTGATGAATCAGTTATATTGTTTTCTTCTGCAGAATGCCTTAGATATATTCAAAAACCTGGTATGCCAGGTGAGATGAAGAGACATCTTTAGCCCAGAGAATGTCTCAATAAATCAAATGATAAATGTACAATGATAGAATATATTCCAGTGTGACAAACATTTTCCCTAGTCTATTGATTTTTTAAAGCAGTTTACTATTCTTTAGGTACAAGATGGAGTTAAGACTTTAGAATCATCTTCTTAATTAAATAAGAGTACCAAGTTAATGAGGATGATGTAGTGAGTATGAGTAATTTTCACTTTTTTCATTACATTTAAGAAAAATTCTTATAACTTTTGTTACTTTTTAATAAAAATATAAACAGAAGTGTAAGGAAAAGGAGAATAATATGTAGGTTATATAAATTTTACTAAGAGAACTTATTTAACAGAAATCAGAAAATCTTTAATTTACCCTAACGATACCTTCCCAAATGGAATCTTGTGATAAATAAATAAATAAATGTTTTAAGTATTTGTAAATATTTTAAAACTATAAAGATAATTTAGTACATTTATACATTAACCTGAAATGACATTTTAAATATTATTTTAGGTAAGCACAATAACTCTGATATTTAAAACATTTATAGACATTTTTGTCAAGATGCAGAAAAAAAGTCAGAAGGGAAGCATGGTAATCTTATTAAAATTCAGAATTTTCTTGAAAGTAAATTCTGAAATATCAAATAAAAAATGAAAGTAATGTCACACCTTATTTCTTTGCTATACTCTAATCTCCAGTATTGACATTCTGTGCTATCATTTATGGTAATTATTGATTAATGCAATATATCTGACTATTTAATCTTTATTTTTCCAGTAGTTATTGCCAAGGAAACAATATTCATATATAAACAATTTATACAAATATATAAAATTTTGACTTGTTTTTCATGAAAGACAAAATAAATGTTTGGAGGACTAAATTAGAATAATTGGAGGTATTTTGAGAAAGTACATTTAATTATGAAGAATTTATAAACAAAGAAATAAATTTCAGGGTTTAGTTCAATATAGATTATTTGAATCACATCAGCTATATTCTTACCAGAGAGTAGTGAAGGCATTATTTTCTTATAACTAGAAGAAAAGAAAAAGAAAAGGAAGAAGAGAAAATAACTTAATAGAAATCCATTGCAAAATTCTTATAACATAAACTGAATATCGATATGCTTCATTCTAAATCTTGAATTACTATTTTTCAGAAATCTTAAGGTTTGTTTTCAAATGGCCTAAACAGTCAATGGAAGTATTTATAAAACAATTAATTCTTTTGTTGAATGTAACATTGTATACCTGACCTTATAAAAATAATAAGTAAAAATATGACTCTTGTACTTTCTTAATTTATTTTCCATTGTGGACCAAACAAACTTCAATTCATGTGAAGATTTTGTGTTAATCACCTCAGCTAATAAGTCTATAAATAAAATTATTAAAAAGTAATGATTTTAATATTTATATTTTGTAATAGCTAAAATCTGAATGCAAATGTGAAGCCAGAGACAGAGGACCAAAACTCTTGGAAATCTCTGGTACAGGTATGAAATGAGAGCTCATGAAGAAGTATTCTTGGGCTCGTTACTGAGGGATGCAATTCAGGTCAAAACCCAGAGAGACACTCTATACCCATGATGCTTTATAGTTAATAATAAAAAAAATTACAAGGGATCAAAAAGCAACAAACTACTTTTAATAGGAGCTTTGTGTCCAGGGTGCAGCTGGAGAGTCAAAAGGAGCCTGTAGACACGAGATCAGCTCCATATGAATTCATAAAACAGCACCAGCATCAGCCAGAGACTGAGTTTCTAAGTCGACACAGTTATGCTTAGCCACCTTCTTGGTAGTTAACCTGAGATAGCTGTGAGGAACACCCAGTAGACAATGATTTTATTCAATAGAGAGGTTTTTTTAAAAAAATTAAAAATTATGATTAAATTAGTTCACTGCTGAAAAATGGAAATGATATAGGATCAAGTAATGATTCATAGGCCATAGAAACTTTATCAGTATTTGTGTATGTAGCCAAAATATACACCAAAGTAACACACCAAAATTTTACAGACCCAAATGTCACACTGGGACTGGCACAACACCTAAAAATTAATGTGATGCTTAACTGAGCAGGGTTTTCTGTGGCTCCAAGGACCACTTTTATTTTTCAGCAATAAATAAAAAGTCACCCTCTGTTTTGTTAATATCAACTTTTAAAATAAATTACATTTTATTTACTACTATGTTAGCAGGCTTATTTTAAACATCATAAAAATTTCATTCAAGAAGAAGAGACAAAAAGTTTTATTCAAATTGATTCTGTAGCTTCACAAGCCTCTATGTTTTATTCTTAGACCTCCTTCTAGCATGCTGTATCCTTGCACAGCCAGAGACTAAAGTAGTACCAGTGTTCTTTCAAGCTTGCTCACAGCTGAGATGTCAACGGCCAATTTAATTCTAGTGATAAAGTGCATGAGCTTTGCTATCATTGCTAGTCTTTTCATTCGAAGAACAAAAATAAATATGTGATCTCAGTGTTATTTTGTCTATTCTAAACCTCTGATATGGTTCCAACACAAGTGCAAAATATGTTGTATTGACTTAAAAGGAACTGAATATTTCCACACTTCTTGATTTGTGTGAAATGTCAACTATTGTAAACTGCCTATCTGCAATCTGCTCAACACAGAATCCTATCTGGATAGAAACATTGAAGAAACAGGTGTTTGTTCAACTAGATCAAATATTGGAAGCATGACATTGCTGCACATTTAAAACAAAATATAAGCCCTATGGCAGTATAGTGATCCCAGTAGATGTAGAGATACCAGGTGTTGAAAGAAGGTTTCATATTGTTCCCGTTCCCTAAAATAGCCTTAATTCTGTGTTACTGGTGAACTTTTACTCACCAATTTTACTTTTAATCATTCAATTGTAAGATTAAATATGTCTTCTACAGAAAGTCTTCCTGATTCCTGTTAGCATCTCCTGAAGTACTCTATTTTTCTTGTTGTTAATAAAGTTTATTAATAATTTGTAATGTTATATTAGTTTTGGTGGGCATTTTGTGTGTGTGTCTTCACTAAATCGTAAGCTCTATCAGGTGAGGTTAATATATAAATGTTCACTGTGCTTAATTCAGCTCCAAGAAAGAACCATGCACATTCTAAGCTGACAATAAATATTTTGGCCAAATAATTGCAGCCATTAGACCTATACTGAGCTTTGAGATGCTTTAACTAGTATCTCAAGAGGACAGAGTAACACTAGCTATGTTAAGATATACATGCTGATTTCAATGAGTTACATTATTTATAAAATTTGTAGAAGAATTCTAATAGTAGATAAATTGTTTCTTTTGGAAGACAAAGGTTGACTCCGATGTGAGAATTTGACCGGTGTATCCCTCCAAAAAGCTGACTTGTTCGACTTACCAGACAAAACAGGACGTGTCCTTCAAATACATTGAAAAATTAAGCCTAAGAGAACCCATTCTCATTTAGTCTTGTATTCTGACCTCTTTTTTATCTCTGGAAACAGGGATATTTGAGATTGTAAAAAAATAAGAATGTATTAGTCTTTGTGGAATTCAAAGAGGCTCTTTAGATTTCCAAGAATAAAAGGCTTCAGCAGAACTTCTTAGAGTATTTATTATGTGTCAGTATTCAAAACCAGCAAACTTCTACCAGCTGTACTACTTTGACTTTAATGTAAGAGAAAAGCTATTTTGCATGACAAATTATACTGTTGTAACCAATATTATAATTAGGATAGAAAGCAGATACATTAGATTCACATTTCCAAAAAAGCTACCGAAGATTAATTACAGTCTATTAAAATTCTCAGTTCATCATCATTTACAGTTTTTTCTCTTGATGCCAGAATGGAAGGATTCCAATATATTGGTGAGATGAATCTAGTATGCACTAATCTACCATGCTAAACCCATTCAAACTTAAGGACCCAAATGTGTTATAAAGCATAATTACTTGAGGGTTAAAATCTTAAGCAACACTGAAATCCAAATTAACATTGCCAAGGATCATATATAAATAGAGAATACAATCCAGAAGAATCCTTACAAATAAGGCCTTGTCTTTAATCCAAAATCACAAAATCTACAAAATTATATGGTTTATGTTGCCTATTATAGTTTAAAATGGATTCTTCTGAATTAATTTTTACGACATTGAAAAACTACTCACTGTCATATGTTTATTCATCTAATATTAGCTTTTATGTTAGCTGGCAGATGTCACAATAGAATGTCATCTAAATTTTCTATCCAATTATGCATGCAAATTCAGATAATCCAGCAAGAATATTTTTAATATAAGTGTCATATTGATGCAGTTTTTTTATTGTCATTAGACTAATTAATATAAATGTATATAATGCCATTTATTATACAAATTCCAAATACCAAGTTGTCAGTCACTTAAATATAACAATAATGGTAGTACAATTTGTTTGATCTTATTCAAAACTAGAATCTTAGATTTCAGAGTCCACTGACCTTTTTTAACAATAGAACAGTGCTTTTTCAAAGGTAATAATGAAAGTCTTCCTTGTGAAAACTACATGTGAAAACAAGAACAGTCAAAACCAGCAGTGAAAAATACTACTTCACCATCAAGAAAAGCATTCTAAAATAAAAACTTCACTTTCAGTAAATATCTCAGGTTAGGTTTTGGAAATCCTGGTTTGCTTTCTTTATACAAACAGAGGATGTGAGCAAATTAAACCTACTCTGTCCTTCTCAGCTCATATGCACTGCATATGACCCACGCCTTCTGACACAGGCACTTCATTACTTTTCTTACTTATCTTTAATACCCATAGCTTATTTTATCTTAGAATAATTATAGCTTAGTGATCAGCTAATTAGTTTTAGTCATTATCATCTTCACAGGATGTTTGTGGAGTATTATGTCTGAGTGATTTAATATGCAGGCTTTATGAGCACTCTCTTGCAAGAAACATACAAAGCCGTAGAATAATGAAAGCAAATGTCATTTTACGACCATGAAAATCACTTTATTTTTTTACCCAGAGTTATCAGTCCAAATAAAGTTATATATGTAAGAGTCAAAAGAATAAATATCAGCTTTAATCTTTAAAAACATAATATCTGTAATATCTGTATTAATGTGTAATGCTCTGGTTTCCACATAGTTTTCACTATATATGCTCTTTGTTTTCAGAACGTTAGAACTTTTTAACTTGTACTTTCATTCTAAGTCAGTCAAGGAATTAATTATGTTACTGGAGAAAGAGTTGTAGATGTTAGAAAAAAATTAGTTAAACCTGGAGTTACCAGGCAACCTTAAGTAAAATGCTTAATAACTTTGACTTCAATAACCTCATCTTAAAATGGGTCAAATAGTTTCTCCTCTGTCTCAGCATGGATGATTTTAGATTTCAAAGAGAAAAGTCGTATCTTGAAGATAGTCTGAAAATGGTTTACATGAATGTGCATTATTTGACCCTTACTCTATAAATTATATATATATAATATATATGAATATATCATTTATCTACTAACATGATTGGTGTTACCATATCTTAGATCCCTAAAGAGTCAGCTTAACTTGGTTCTAAAGTGAATATTTCCATTAGAGATTTAGATAGAATTAGGTGATCAAGAATGATAATCGCATTTGCCGTAATTCTGATCTGTGGTTTCACATTTTTTTCAAATAGATACAAATTTTTTAAATAAAGTGCACATAAAAAATCAAATATTGGTGTGCCCTAAATATTTTTGTAACTCAGATAAGACTAGGTATCTATGGTGAGTCTCTGATTCCACCTAGAGTCCAGTCTCAGCTCATCATCACAACACACACACAAACAAATATGTGACTATATGCGTTGTTTGCAGATAGCACTTTTTTAAGAAGCACAGATCATTTATTGAGCCCTTATGAATACCAGGCACTGTTGTGTGAACATTTACACATATTCTTTAATTTTTACAACAAACTTATGAGTGGATTACTATTATTTTATACTATACTTTATAATGCTATTTTCTTCCTTTATAAGGCTGAATAATATTCTTTTGTACGTATGTACCACATTTTGTTTATCTGTTCATCAATGGACATTTGGGTTGTTTACATCTATTAGTCTTTCATCACTGAATGTCATGTAAGCTGTCATCTTTTCATGCATGGCATTTATTGTCTTTAGGTAGTTTTCTTCTATTCTTAGTTAAGTGTGAGTTTTTTTTATTATTAAGGAGTTTTTAATTTTGTTAAATGCTTTTTCTCTGTCAACTGTGATCATCAAGTCTTTTTTTGTCCTTTATTCTGCTAATGTGGTGTATTACATTTAATAATTTTGTATGTTTAAACATCTTTGCATCCCAGGAGTATATTCAACATGGTTATGGTGTATAATCCATTTAATATAATTTTGAATTTAGTTTGCTAGTATTTTTTTGAGGATTTTTGCATCAATATTAATTAAGAATCCTGGTGTGCTGATTTCATTCTTTATAGTGTCTTTGTCTGCTTTGGTATCACAGTAATACTAGCCTCATAGAATAAACTTGGAAGTGTCCTCTCCCCTTCTAATTCTTTGGAAGATTTTCAGAGAGATCTGGTGTTCTTTTTAAGTGTTAAGGTAGAATTCTCCAGAGAAGTCAACTGGACTGTCTCCTTATTGGCAGGTACTTGATTATCGATTCAATCTCTTTACTAGTTATCGGTTTGTTCTGAATTTTTATTCCTTATGACAGCCTGGTAGGTTGTGTGTTTCTAGAAATTACCTATTTATTCTAGGTTATCCAATTTTTTGGCATACAATTGTTCATAGTGTTCTTTTACACTCATTTTTACTTCTCTGGCATTTATTACAATGTTTCTTATTTTACTTCTGATTTTAATCATTCAAATGTTCTCTTTTATTAGTCAGTCTAGTTATCAGTTTGCCAATACTGTTCATCTTTTCAGAAACCACGTTTTTGTTTCATTGATTTTTTAATTGTTTTACTTTTTTCTGTTAAATTCATCTATAGTCTTTATTATTTTCTTTATTCTGTTAGCTTTGGACGTAGTTGTTGTTGTTGTTGTTGTTTTTCCTATTTCCTTGAAGTATATAAAGTTAGGTTGTTTATTTTAGACCTTCTTTCTTAATGTACATATTTACAGATATCAACTTGCTTCTCAGCACTCTTTTCAATTCATTTCGTAAATTTTTATATGCTTTCATTTTCTTTTGTCTCAAGATATTTTCTAATTTCCCTTGTGATATAATATTTGACTTATTAGTTGTTTAGGAGTGCGTTGTTTAATTTCCACATATTCATAGATACTTGTTTTACTTTTGATACAGATTTCCAGTTTAGTTCCATTGCGACCAGAAAATATATTTTGTATAATTCAAATCTTTCAAAAAATTCGTTAGGACTTGTTTTTTGGCCTAAAATATGGTCTACTCTGGAGAATGTTCCAAGTGCATGTGAGAAGAATGTGCATTATTTTGTTTTTGATTGGAGTGTTCTGTACATGATTATTAGGTAAAATTGGTATATAGTGTTGTTCAGGTTCTCTATTTTCTTACTGATCTTTTGTTGTTCTATCCATTATTGAAAGTGGAGAGGTGAAGCCTCTTACTATTATTGTGTTGCTGAATGTCTCTTTTTATTCTGTCAAAGCTTGCTTTATATATTTAGGGGCTCTGATGCTTAGTGAATAAATTTTTATAATGTTATATCTTCTTAATGAGTTCACCCTTTTATCATTATATTAGATTGGCACAAAAGTAATTGCGGTTTTTGCCATTACTTTTAATGACAAAAACTGCAATTACTTTTGCAACAATCAAATATAATGTCTTTTTTGTTGCTCGTAACAGTTTTTAACTTTCAGTCTATTTTATGTGACATTGGTATAAGTATTCCTAATCTTTTTTGGTTACCATTTGCGTGGGATATCTTTTTTCATCCTTTTTCTTTCAGCTTATGTGTGTGTCCTCAGTTAAAGTGAGTCTTCTGCAGATAGCACATAGTTGTATTCCCTTTTTTACCCATTCTGCCAATCTATAGCTTTTGATTGAGGAATTTAATCATTTTCACTTAAAGAAATTATTAATAGAGAAGGATTTGCTAAGGACATTTTGTTATTTTTTTGTACATTTTTTAGTTTTTTGTCCTTCATGTCTTCTGCTACTGCCTTTCTTCGTGTTTCTTTGATTTGTTTTGTAGTGACTTGACTTGAATTCCTTTTCATTTTCTTTATATATAATTCATAGATTTTTTTTCTTTGTTACCATTTCAATTGCATAAAACATTTTAAAGTTTAAATTCTACTCCTTTACAGTACCAATCCCCCCACACTTTGTTATTGATGTCACAAAGTACATTTTCACATATTGCATACACATTAGCAAAGATTTATAGTTATTTGTGTTTGTATTATTTAAATTCTATACAAGCATTATAAATAAGTTTATGTAGTGAAATTACATAGTGCAAATTACTAAATTTTTCACGTCCTTACCTACAGCTGTGTTTTGTATTTTTAATTTTCTATTATGTCACGAAAGATACTTCAGGTTGGGTGTGGTGGCTCATGCCTGTAATACCAGCATTTTGGGAGACTGATGGGGGTGGATTGCTTGACGCAAGGAATTTGAGACCAGCCTGTGCAACATAGAAAACCCTCCCACCACATGAGATTGGGAGGACAACGCTGCAGTGAGCTGTGATTATGCCATTGTACTTCAGCCTGGGCAGCAGAATAAAACCCTGTTTCAAAAGAAGAAAAGCAAGAAAGCAAAAGAAAGAGGAAAGAAAGAAAGGAAGAAGAAAGAAAGAAAGAAAAAGAAAGGAAGAAAGAAAGAAAGAAGAAAGAATAAAAGAAAGAAAGAAAGAAGAGAGAGAAGGAAGGAAGGGAGGAAGGAAGGAAGGAAAAGAAAGAAGAGAGAGAAGGAAGGAAGGAACGAAAAGAAAGAGAGAAAGAAAAAGAAAAAGAGAAAGAAAAGAAAAGAAAGGAAGCAGGCAAAGATAGAAAAAAGATATCTCAACCCCTGTAAACCTTATTTCCCCATGTTTTCTCATAATAAATTTCCTTTCATTGAAATATTCTGAGAATGCTTTTAATTCCTTGAAAATTGAGAGTCCACCTAATACATAAAATATTTTTCTAGTATTTTTTTTCCAGTAGACTGGCTTAAAAACAATGAGTAGAATAAATACAGAATAGTTTTAGTCTATCATTGCCATAGTCAATATTAAACTTGGTCTTAATTTGAAAACCTAATCCATTAAAAGTACCACAAGCCTTTGAGAAGAAACTGAAATAGTAAACCACTGCTTTAGTTTAGAAGTTTAGCTGATAAGAAACACAATCAAAATGCTCAACCTTGACACCTAAGATAGGAAAGGTGAGAGGAAAGTCCCTGAAGTACCACAGGTTTGCTTCCTTCTAAGTATATTCTCCGATAACTATCAAGCTTAGGGGTTAGAGGGGTAAAAAGAGAGCTGAGAAATATTTGAATCTTCAATTACAAATCCTAGAAATAGGAAATAATGCACTGAGAGGGATTTTTTGGTAGGAGAAAGTAAATCAATAGGAAAAAATTAACTCTGTGCAACTACTTTTTCATTTGTGAGTATTAACTTTTGTTTTTATAGGTTTTTCCTCTGAAAAAGAAGAACGCCCTTGGGGCACTATAATTTGTGCAAGTTAACTGGATTTTTTAAATATAGTATTCAGAGGACAGTATCTTGAAAATAAATTTGTATTCAGAATAGTCATCTTCCAAGTGGAAAATTAAAACTCTGTAATTGAGAAATAAAACTGCCATGAATAAACATACCAAAACACTTACAGAAAAAATAAATAAATCTTTTTTGGGGTGAAGTTTCTGCTTTTAAGATTAATGTGTATGACTGTGATCTGTCCTAGTAGAGTATCAACAGTTTTGCCTAAATGTCTAATTTTCTTAACTTACAAATTTCACTATTTTCAGATGATCCAAAATACAACAGATAGGTCTTGGGATAATTCCACTAAAGTGTGAAATAATTACCTTCTGTGTTTCAGACATGTTTAGGGAAGAATTTAACCATAATGGCACAGACCAATTAAAATAAAAAAAAAAAGAGGTTAGCAATAAAACCCAGGTTCTCTAGGGCTCCAAGACTCATAAAAAGAAAATCTCTTCTCTGGTTTTGTTTGAAGTCATGCTTTTCTAGTTTCTGAGCAGAATGGGTGAGAGTAGAAAAGGGAAAAAAATCAAACTTTAAAAAAAAATAATGCCCTTATGAGATTACTGATGGTAAATATTTTCATATTTTTTAAAATAAATATTTTGAAAGGAACTATGAATTTATTTTAAAAGGAGAACTTGAAAAAGATAAAATAGAAGGAAGGTCTATATGATAACCACTGTTGTTAGGAGCTGGTGCTGTGGACATGGGAAAGGCAGGGTGCCAGACCACAGCATGGCATTGGTGCCTTTTAAACAGCTGCATAGCCACTAAGCATTTCCCCTAATAAACAGGGGTCTGTAAAGGGAACCTAGCCTTCTTGTCCATCAGAGACAACGGGCTTTTCTCAGAACTGACAATATAATGGTGAACTATAAAGGGACAACACACAGCCTGAAGGAGCTGATGTCTTCTATTCTTAAATACAGGTGTTAACCAGACAGGAAAATTTAAGCTTCTAATATTATCACTCCCCAAACAGATAGATAATTTTAAATTAGGGATCATATGAGCCCATGCAATCTATCATCTAAAGGTGATTAAGAATAAATTACTCTTCTGTTTCTGGCCAATATGGAGTAATAGAGAACAAATGTAACCTCTCACCTAAAACAATGCAAAAATCCAACAAAATACATGAATTAATAATTTTCAAGATATTGGATATTACACAACAAACAAAAAGGAGAAACAAATGAGGTGAACTCTATGATTATCTCAGCGTACTGCCTTGGTGAGTTTCTAGGGCGCAGTGCAAGGAAGAAGAAGCCAGACAGAGTCCAGCAGTTTCCATAGATGAAAATGGGAATTCTGGGGAGACCAAGGAGAATAGAATACACAGAGAAGAGTAAACAGGACAAGAGAGGGAAGTGAAAAGAATTGCACAGGGTTTCCCTGAGGGGTTCACTTGAGTACTTGTCAGTACATGCATGTGAGGAAACTACCCAAGGCCAGGGCCTCCTGAAAGGACTGGAAGAAAAATACCTTGCAGTTCACTTGGGGATGCTAGTACTTAACATTCCCGCAAGTCAGAGTAGACAGTCCCATAATTTACAAGGCATTGAGTAGAACACACAGGACATTCAGCCACAGTAAAGGGAAAAAATTAGCCTTAGACTATATAGTGCTCTGGTACAACTTAGTAAATCATAGATTAAAACCCCAGAATAATGAAAATATTATTAATTGACTTTACCATGTCCCAGAACAAAGCTCAAGAATTTTTATAGTATAGAAAAGGTAAAATTCACAATGACTAGTCTCTAATAAACGATTACCAGACATTCAAAGAATTGGGTAAACATGAGTCATATTGAGTATAATAATCAATCTGAACAGACTGGCATATTTAATATAATTAATAGAAAAAGACATTAAAACAATCAATATAACTGGTTGCCATCTGTTCAAAAGTAGAAACAGTGAAGATATTAAAAAGCCCTAAATTAAAATAATAGAGATGAGATATGAAGAAAAAAATAATAAACTTCATGAGAATAATGGAAGAATAGACACTGCAATTGAAAACATAAATGAAATTGAAATAATAGCAATAGAAACTATCTAAAATAAAATTCGCAGGAAAATAACCTGAAGGAAAACAAAAGAATGCATTATCAATTAACTGTGGAAAACCATTAAATGGGTCCCTGGAATATAGGAGAGGGATGGGGTAAAAAAAAAAACAAAATTTGAAAAAATAATGTCCCAAAATTTTCAAACATTATGAAAACCCAGTATCTAAATAGCTAAAATAGCAAAAAGCCAAGTAGTTAAATAAACATCAAACAGAAAATTTTAAAGGCAAACCGGGGTTGGTGAGAAAAGGTGCATCACATATAGAGAAATAAAAATAAGGGTGGATGTTTATTTTTATCATGGCAGTGCAATCCGGAATAAATTTAAAAAAGCACTATCTTTACAATGTTGAGAGAAAGAAAGCTATTAATTTTATACTTGGTAAACTATTTTTAAAATACACATGCAAAACATGAACTTTTTCAGCATGGAAACACTCAGAGAATTCTTCATGGGCAGAACTGTGCTAAAATATTAAAGTATATATTTTAGGCAGATGGAAAAGGATACAAAGTGGCAATCTAAATCTACATAAAGGGTGAGAAGTTTCAGAAATGGTAGCCACTTAGTAAAACATAAAAAATCTTTGTATCA
The DNA here is from genome assembly GCF_000001405.40 of Homo sapiens. Taxonomy (NCBI): domain Eukaryota; kingdom Metazoa; phylum Chordata; class Mammalia; order Primates; family Hominidae; genus Homo; species Homo sapiens. The sequence continues at coordinate 104,021,124 of NC_000001.11, read as the reverse complement.
TACTAATGGAATTTATTTTAAAAACAAATTACTGTTTAAAGAAAAATAACAAAAATTTGTAGAGCTTATAACATATATAGGAATTTTAAAAAAATTAAAATAGCATAAAAGCCAAGAGGGGCAAAATGAAAGTATATTGCATATTTAACTACAGGAGAAGCCTGTAGTTCTCCAGACTCCAGAATGGTGTAACAGCTTGCACTACATGCCTGGAAAAGCCACAGGCACTCAACGCCATCCTGTAGAAGGACCTGTGGGGGCTATATCCTGCACAGCCACAGAGGTAGAGCTGCCCAAGGCTGTGAGATCCATTCCCTTGCATCATTGTGGCCTAGATGTGAGACATGGAGTCATGGAGTCAAAGGAGATTATTTTTAAGCCTTAAAATTTAATGACTGCTCTGTTGGATTTCAGACATGCGTGGTACCTGTAACTTCTTTGTTTTGGCCAATTTCTCCCATTTGGAATGGGATTATGTACCCAATGCCTGTACCCCCATTGTATCTTAAAAGTAACTAACTTGTTTTTGATTTTACAGGGTCATAGATGGAAGATACTTCGCTTGTCTCAGATGAGACTTTGAACTGTGGACTTTTGAGTTAATGCCGAAATGAGTTAAGACTGAGGGACTGTTGAGAAAAGATACTTATATTTTGTAATGTGAGAAGGACATGAGATTTGGGAGGTTCAGGGGTGGGAGGATATGGTTTAGATTTGTGTCCCCACCCAAATGTCATGTCAAATTGGAGGAGGGGCATGGTAGGAGGTGATTGGATTGTGTGAACATATTTCCACCTTGTTGTTCTCATGATAGAGAGTGAGTCAATTAAAACTTTTTTCTTCATAGATTACGCAGTCTTAGGTATTTCTGTATAGCAGCATGAGAACAAACCAATACACCACTCCTCCCTCTTCCCCCCTGGCAGCTGTAGCATGATGCAAAAAAGTTTTTGTGCACTGGGGAGAGGGAAACCTCAGCAATTGTGATGCAATGAACGCAGAGCTACTCTGTTACAGCAGAAAAAATATACTGGACCAAACTGATGCCAGACCATGGAGGGTGCATTTAAACCAGTCCTAGCCAGAGAGGAATCACTGCTCCCAATGTTCAGAACTTGAGTTTCTGCAAGCCTCATCACAGCAGGCTAAAGTGTCCTGAGGTCCTAAATAAACTTGAAAGGAAGTCTAGGCCACAAGGACTTCAACTCTTAGGCAAGTCATAGTGCTGACCTGGGCCCAGAGCCAAAGGACAAGCAGGGGGCATGCAACCCTACTGAGACACCAGCAGGAATGGCTAAAGGAATTCTGGCATCAACCCTTTATTAACCCCAAGCTATATAGCTTACAGCTATGAAAGAGATCCCTTCTTACAGCTTAAGGAGAGGAGAGGAAAAAGTGGGGAGGAATTTGTCTTGAATCGTAGATACCAGCTCAGCCACAGCAGGATAGGCCAATGGTTAGAGTTGTGAGGCTCCCTTTCTAGAAGACATTTCTAAACACACCCTAGGAAGGAAGAGAACCTGCTGCCTGGAAGGGAAGAACCAGTCCTTGTAGGTTTCATCACTTGCTAACAGAAGAGCTGTTGGACCATGAAAAACCAGTGGTGATACATAGGTACTACATCAAGGGCCTTGGGTAAGACTCTGAGACTTGCTGGCTTGAAGTGAGACTCAGCACATTGCCTGTGGTGGCCACTGGGCAAGATTTCTGCTTGAGAAAAATGGTGAGAAAAGTAAAGGGAACTTTGCCTTGCACCTCAGGTACCAGCTCAGCCACAGAGGAGTAGAGCACCAAGTGGGCTCTTGGGGTCCCTGATTCCAGGCCTTGGCTGTTGGATGACATTTCTGGACATGCCCTGGACCAGAGAGGAGCTCACAGCCTTGAAGGGTGAGTCCAAATCCAGGCAGCATTTACCACAAGCAGACTTAAGAGACCTCGGGCCTTAAGAGAACTTTGATGGTAGCCTGGCAATACCCCTCTTGGCCTGTGGTGGCAGTGGCCATGGAGTGAGGCTCCTCTGTCTTTGGAAAGGTAGGAAATATGGGAAGGACTGCATCCTGTGGTTTGAGTGCCTGCTCAGCTACAATACAATAGAACACCAGGCAGTCTTCTAAGGTTTTTAATAGCTGGTCTCCAGTTGCTAGGTGGCAACTCTGAAGCTGTCCAGGGCCTAGAGAAACTCATCATGCCAAAGGGAGGGACATAGGCCTGGCTGGCTTTGCCGGATGCCAGTGTAGAGCACCACGGCTTTGAGAGAACATAGGTAGTAGCCATGGAGTGGTTAACACAGGCTTATGTGAAACCCAGTGCTGTTCTGGATTCAAGTCTGACCCAGTAGAGTCCTAATGGTAGTGGCAACAGAGGTACTTGTATCACTAAACCCCCAGCTCCAGGTGACTCAAACAGAGAGAGAGAGACTCTATTTATTTGGGAGAAAGTAAGAGAAGATAACAAGAGTTTCTACCTGGCAATCCAGAGAATTCTCCTGAAACTTATCCAAGACCATCAAGGTGATACTTCTACGAGTCTGCAAGAAACACCGCAGTAATGGGCATGGGGTGCCCCCTAAAGCAGGTACACTTAGGTTACAACATCCAGGTCCTTTTGAATATCTGGAAAGCCTTCCCAAGAAACATGGGTACAAACAAACCCAGATTGTGAGGACTACAATAAACACCTCACTCTTCAATGCCCAGATTCAGATGAACATATACAAATATCAAGATAATCCAGAAATACGTGTTCTCACCAGATGAGCTAAATAAGGCATCAGGGACCAATCCTGGAGAAACAGGTATATAACCTTCCAAACAGAAAATTTGAAACAGCTATGTTGAGGAAGTACAAAGGAATTCAAGTTAACACAAAGAAGAAATTCAGAATTCTATCAAAAAAAGTAACAAAGAGAGAAATGATTTAAAAGAAGCAGAAATTCTGAAGTGGAAAAATGCAGCTGACATGCTGAAGAATGCATCTGAGTCTCTTAACAGCAGAACTGATCAAGCACAAGAAAGAAGTAGTGAGCTTGAAGACAGGCTATTTGAAAATACGCAGTAAGTGGGGGCAAAAGAAAAAAGAATAAAAAACAATGAATCATGCCTACAGGATCTAGCAAATACCCTCAAGAGGGCAAATCTAAGAGTTACTGGTCTTAAAAAGGAAGTAGAGAAAGAGATAGAGGTAGAAAGTTTATTCAAAGGGATAATATCAGAACTTTCCAATCCTAGACAAAGATATCAATATCCAAGTACAAGAAGGTTATAGAATTCTCCAGTAAGACTAATTCAAGACACTAATAATCAGATTTACAAAGGTCAAGATTTACAAATCAGATTTACAAAGAAAGAATCCTAAAAGCAGCAAGATAAGAGAAATAAATAGCGTACCATGGAGCTCCAATATGCCTAGTAGCAGACTTTTTTAGTGGAAACCTTATAGGTGAGGAGAGAGTGGCATGAAATATTTAAAGTGCCGAAGGAAAAAGAAAAACAAAACTTTTACCCTATAATAGTATATCCAGTCAACATATTCTTCAAAGATGAAGAAGAAATAAAGACTTTCCCAGACAAAGAAAAGCTGAAATTTTATTATCACCAGAACAGTCCTAAGAGAAATGCTAAAGAGAATACTTCAATTCATAAGAAAAGAATTTTAATGAGCAATAAGAAATAATATGAAGGTAAAAAACTTATTGGTAATAGTAAGTATGCAGAAAAACACAAAATATTATAACACTGCTACTGTGTTGTGTAAATTACTGATAAATAGAAAGACTAAACAGTAAATCAACAGCAAATAATAGCTACAACAACTTTTCAAGACATAGACAGTACAATAAGAGGTAAATAGAAACAATAAAAAGTTAGAAAGCAGAGAACAAAGTTAAGGCATAAAGTTTATATTAGTTTTCTTTTTGCTTGTTTGTTTACACCAAAAATGTTGTTATCAACTTAAAATAATGGGTTATAAAGCAATATTTTCAAGCCTTATGATACCTCAAACCCAAAACCATACAATGAATACATACACAAAAAGATAAAAAGCAAGAAAACAAATCATATCACCAATAAAAAGCATCTTCATCAAAAGGAAAACAAGAAAGAATGAAGAAAAGACTACAAAAAAACAGAAAAAAATAACAAATGGCAAAAATAAATTCTTATCAATATTAACATTGAATGTAAATGGTCTAAACTCTCAAATAAAAAGACACACAGTGACTGAATAGCCTAAAAAACATGATTGTATTAGTCCATTCTCACATTGCTATAAATAACAACCAAAGACTAGGTAATTTATAAAGAAAAGAATTTTAATGGCTCATGGTTCCACAGGCTGTACAGGACACATGGCTGGAGAGGCCTCAGGAAACTTTCAATCGTGGTTGAAGGAGAAAACACATCTTACCTTGCCAGAGCATGAGGGAGAGAGTGAAGCAGCAGGTGCTACACACCTTTAAACAACCGGATCTCATGAGAACTCACTTGCTATCAGGAGGACAATAAGGGGAAAATCTGCCCCCATGATCAAATAATTTCTCACCAGGCACCTCTCCTAACATTGGGGATTACAATTAGACATGAGATTTGGGTGGCACAAAAATCCAAACCATATCAAATACCCCATGAACTTGTGCCTACAAGAAACACACTTCACCTATGAAGATACACATAGACGAAAAACAAAGGGATGGAAAAGATACTCCATGCCAAGGGGAACAAAAAAAAAATAGGAGTATAGAAGTAGCTGTACTTTTATCAGACAAATAGATTATAAGACAAAAACTCTCAAATGAGACAATGAAGATTACTACATAATGATAAATGGGTCAATTCATCAAGAGAATATATCAATTTCAAATATATATGGGCCCACCTATGGAGAACCCAAATATACAAAGCAAATATTATTAGAGCTACAGTGAGAGAAAGACCCCAAAGAAGAATAGCTGGAGAATTCAACATGCCACTTTCAGCATTGGAAAGATCTTCCAGACAGGGAATGGACAAAGAAACACCAAACTTAATCTGCATTATAGACCAAATAGACATAATATATATTTATAGAACATTTCTTACAAAGGCTATAAAATTCACATTTTTTTTCGCTCAGCATGTGGATCATTCCCCAGAAAAGATCATGTTAGGTAACAGAATAAGTCTTAAAACATAAAAAAAATTGAAATAATATCAAGTATCTTTTCTAACCACAATGGAATAAAACCAGAAATCAATAACAGGGAATTTTGGAAACTATAAAAATACATGGAAATTAAACAATAGGTTCCTGGAAAACCAGTGTGTCAATGAAGAAATTAAGAATGAAATTTAAAAATTACTTAAAACAAATGATAATGGAAACAGAACATACCAAAACTTATGAGATACAGCACAAAGAGTACTAAAAGGAAAGTTTATAGCTATACATTCCTACATCAAAAAAGAAAAAAAAACTTTAAAAAAATCTGCCAATGCACTTGAAAGAACTACAAAGGCAAGAGCAAACCAAACCCAAAATTAGTAGAAGAAAAGAAATAATAAAGATCAAAGAATAAATAAATTAATTGAAATGAAGATAATACAAAAGGTCAATGAAACCAAATATTGGTTCTTTGAAAAGTTAAACAAACTGACAAATTTTTGCCAAAATGAAAAAGGCAAGATCCCAAAAAATAAAATCAGGGGCAACAAAGGAGACCTTACAACTGATACCACAGAAAGTCAAAGGATCATCAGAAGCTACCCTAAGCAACTACATGCAAATAAATTGGAAATCATAAAAGAAATGGACACATTTCTAGATGCATAAAACCAACCAAAATTGAACTAGGAAGAAATCCAAAACCTGAACAGACCATTCACAAATAACAAGATCAAAGCCATAATAAAATGTCTCTCAATGAAGAAAAGCCTGAGATACAATGGCTTCACAGCTGAATTCTACCAAACATTTAAAAAAGAACTAATAGCAATCCTACTTAAACTATTCTGAAAAATAGAGGAGAAGGAAATACCTCCAAACTCATTCTATGAGGCCAGTATGACCTTGATACCAAAACCTTACAAAGACACATCAAAGACAGAAGGCGACAGCCCAATGTATCTGATGAATATTGTTACAAAAACCCTCAACTATCTCGTAAACCAAATTCAACAATACATTAAAAAGATTATTTATCATGACCAAGTAGGATTTATCCCTGGGATGCAAGGATAGTTCAGCATAAGCAAATCAATCAACAGGATACATCATATCAAGAGAATAAAGGATAAAAACTATATGATGATTTTAATTGATGCTGGAAAGGCATTTGATAAAACTCAACATCTTTTCATGATAAAAACCCGCAAAAAACTGGGTGTAGAAGGAAGATACTTCAACAAAATAAAAGCCATATAGAACACAGCCACAGATAGTATAACACTCAATGGGAAAAGCCCTTTCCTCTAAGAGCTGGAACATGACAAGGATGCCTATTTTCACCACTGTTATTCAACATAGTGCTGGAACTCCTAGCTAGAGCAATGAGATGAGACAAAGAAATAATAAAAATTTCTTTCCAAATTTGACATAAAAAGTCAAATTACCCTTCTTTGCAGGTGAAATAATCTTACATTGGGAAAAATCTAAAGACTACACACAAAAGAACTTATTAAAACTGACAAACTCAGTAAATTTGCAGGATACAAAATCCATGTACAAAAATCAGTAGCATTTTTATATGCCAATAGTGAAAACTCCGAAAAAAGAATTTTACACAGTAATCCAATTATAACAGCCACAAAAATTATATACCTGGGAAATAACTTAACCAAAGTGAAAAATATTTATAATAAAAACTTTAAAACATTAATAAAAAAATGAAGAAGACACCAAAAAATAGAAAAATATTTCATGTTCATAAATTAGAAAAATCAATATTATCAATATGTCCATACTACCCACAGCAATCTACAGATTCAATGCAATTCCTATTAAAATACCAATGACATTCTTCACAAAAAAAAAAATAAAATGATAAAAATTATGTGGAATCACAAAAAACCCAGAACAAAACTGGAGAAATCACGTTACCTGACTTCTAATTATACTACAGAGATATAGTAACAAAAACAATATATTAATAATACTTGTATAAAAACAGACACATAGACCAATGAGCAAGAATAGAGAACTCAGAAACAAATCCATACACCTACGGTGAACTATTTTTTGACAAAGGAGCCCACAACATAAACTGGGAAAAGACAGTCTCTTCAATAAATAGTGTTGAGAAAACTGAATACACATATGCAGAAGAATGAAGGTAAACACCTATTTCTCACCATGTATGAAAGCCAAATAAAAATGCATTGAAGGCTCAAATATAAGACCTCAAACTATGAAACTACTAATAGAAAACATTGGAGAATCTCTCCAGAACACTGGTTTGGGCAAAACTTCTTAAGTAATATCCCACAAGCATAGGCACCCAAAGCAAAAGTAAACAAATGGAATCACAACAAATTATAACCTTCTGCACAACAAAGAAAACAATCAACAAAATGAGGAGACAACACACGAAATTGGAGAAAATATTTTCTATTCATCTGACAAGGGGTTAATAACCAGAATATATAAGGAGCTTAAACAACCCTATAGAAAAAAATCTACTAATCTGATTTAAAAATGGGCAAAATATTTGAATAGACATTTCTCAAATGAAGACATATAAATGACCAACATGAATATGAAAAGATGCTCAACATCATTGTTCATCAGAGAAATGCAAATGAAAACTCCAATGAGATATCACCTCACCTCCGTTAAAATGGCTTATATCCAAACGTCAGGCAATAACAAATGCAGGCGAGGAAATGGAGAAAAGGGCACCCTCATATGCTGTTGATGGGAATGTAAGTTAGTACAACCACTATCAGAATAGTTTGGAGGTTCCTCAAAAACTAAAAATAGAGCTACCATACAATCCAGCTATCCTACTGCTGGGTATATATCCAAAAGAAAGGAAATCAGTATATTGAAGAGATGTCTGCACTGTCATGTTTGTTGCAGCACTGTTCACAATAGCCAAGATTTTGAATTAATCTGTCCAACAACAGAAAAATGGTTAAGGAAAATGTAGTTCTTATACACAATGGAGCACTATTTATCCATAAAAAAGAATGAGATATTGTAATTTTCAAAAACATGGATGGAACTTGAGGTCATTAGCTTAAGTGAAATAAGCCAGCATAGAAAGGCAAACATTATGTGTTTTCACTTATTTGTGGGATCTAAAAATCAAAAAAATTGAACTCACAGAGATCCATAGTAGAAGGATGGTAACCAGAGTCTGGGACTGCTAGTAATGGAGCAAGTGCTATGCAGATGTTTAGTGTGTATAAGAAAAAAAAAGATTAAAAGGATGAATAAGACCTAATATTGGATAGCAAAATAGGGTGACTGTAGTCAATAATAATTTAATTGCGCATTTTAAAATAATTGAAAGTGTGATTGGATTGTTTATAACACAAAGAATAAATACTTGAGGGGATGGATGCCCCATTCCCACATGAAGTGACTGTTCTACATTACATGCCTGTATCAAACATCTCATGTACTCCATGAGTATATACACACACTATGTACCCACAAAAATAAAAAAATAAAAATAAAAGTAACTTAGTGCTGCCTCAAGCCTTTTTCAGGTCCAAATAGGAGAAGCCCCGCATTTTGCTGATTTAAAAAATCCCACCTTTGAGTATCCCACAAATATTTTAAAAATCCAAGCAAAACTGGCTTTCTTCTGGGTGATTATTTGCAGTTAGAAGAATAAAAATTTAGTTGCATGCATGACATTTTTGTTCATAGTCAAATTTATATTTCTTGCTACAATATTCTATGACTAAACTTTTTTTATTTTTAACAATAGTGTTAATAATAACAAATATTTGAAAATATATATACACATAAGTTGAATGCTAAAATATATGACCACATCAATTTTCAATGTAACATGAACAGGAAATTTTAATCAAAATATTCCAAATGTGCCAGTGTCTTTGAAAAGTTGATTTTTCTAGAACTTTTTCAATATTGTACAAATTAAGTGTCTGCATTAAGATACTTAAACAGTCTGATAAATTTTAAAAGTGTTGTATGATTCTCAACATTAATTCTGCTATGTTCCCTGAGATATTTAAAAACTTCTAATAGGTTTTCAAGATGGCCGTATAGAAACAGCTCCAGTCTGGAGTTCCCAGCTAGACCAATGCAGAAGGTTCGCGATTTATTCATTTCCAACTGAGGTACCCAATTCATCTTATTGAGACTGGTTAGACAGTGGGTGCAACCCATGGAGGGCGAGCAGAAGCAGGGTGAGGTGTTGCCTCACCCAGAAAGTGCAAGGGCTCTGAAGAGAGCCATGAATGTCCCAGCACAGTGCTCGAGCTCTGCTAAGGGACGGACTGCCTCCTCAAGTGGGTCCCCAATCCCCTTGCCTCCTGACTGGGAGACACCTCCCAGCAGGGGTCAACAGATACATCATAAAGGAGAGCTCCAGCTGGCATCTGGCAGGTGCCCCTCTTGGATGAAGCTTCCAGAGGAAGGAGCAGGCAGCAATCTTTGCTGTTCTGCAGCCTCCACTAGTGATACCCAGGCAAACAGGGTCTGGAGTGGACCTCCAGCAAACTCCAGCATACCTGTAGAAGAGGGACCTGACTGTTAGAAGGAAAACTAACAAATAGAAAGCAATAACATAAACATTAACAAAAAGGATGCCCACACAAAAACCCCATCCAAAGGTCCTCGGCATCAACAATCAAAGGTAGATAAACCCATGAAGATGAGGAAAAATCAGCACAAAAAGGCTGAAAATTCCAAAAAACACAATACCTCTTCTCTTCCAAAGGATCACAACTCCTCACCAGCAAGGGCACAAAACTGGAGGGAGAAAGAGTTTGATGAATTGACAGAAGTAGGCTTTAGAAGGTGGGTAATGACAAAGTCCACTGAGCTCAAGGAGCATGTTCTAACTCACTGCAAGGAAGCTAAGAACCTTGATAAAAGGTTGCAGGAACTGATAACTAGAATAACAAATTTAGAGAATAACATAAATGACCTGATGGAGCTGAAAAACACAGCACAAGAACTTCGTGAAATATATGCAAGTATCAATAGCTGAATAGATCAAGTGGAAGAAAGGATATCAGAGATTGAAGATCAACTTACTGAAATAAGGTGCGAAGACAATATTAGAGAAAAAAGAATGAAAAGGAATGAACAAAGCCTCCAGGAAATATGGAACTACGTGAAAAGACCAAACCTATGATTAATTGGTATACCTGAAAGTGACAGGGAGAATGGAAACAGGTTGGAAAACACATTTCAGGGTATTATCCAGGAGAACTTCCCCAGCCTAGCAAGACAGGCCAACATTCAAATTCAAGAAGTACAGAAAACACCACTAAGATACTCCTCAAGAGGAGCAACCCCAAGACACATAATCATCAGATTCACCAAGGTTAAAATGAAGGAAAAATATGTTAACGGCAGCCAGAGAGAAAGGTCAGGTTACCTAAAGGGGGAAGCCCATCAGACCAACAGCAGATCTCTCGGCAGAAACTCTACAAGCCAAAAGAGAGTAGGTGCCAATATTCAACATTCTTAAAGAAAAGAATTTTCAACCCAGAATTTCATATCCAGCCAAACTAATCTTCATAAGTGAAGGAGAAGTAAAATTCTTTACAGACAAGCAAATGCTGAGGGATTTTGTCACCACCAGGCATGCCTTACAAGAGGTCCTGAAGGAATCACTAAATACAGAAGGGAAAAACCGGTACCAGCCACTGCAAAAACATAGCAAAATATAAAGACCAACGACACTATGAAGAAACTGCATCAACTAAAGTGTAAAATAACCAGTTAGCAGAATGATGACAGGATCAAATTAACACATAACAATATTAACCTGAAATGTAAATGGGCTAAATGCCCCAATTAAAAGACACAGCCTGGCAAATTGGACCCATTGGTGTGCTGTATACAGGAGACCCACCTCACATGTAAAGACACAGATTGGCTCAAAATAAAGGGATGGAGGAATATTTACCAAGGAAATGGAAAGCAAAAAAAGTAAGAGTTGCAATTCTAGTCTCTGATAAAACAGACTTTAAATCAACAAGGTCAAAGAAGACAAAGAAGGGCATTACATAATGGTAAAGAGATCAATGCAACAACAAGAGGTAACTATCCCAAATACATATGCACCCAATACAGGAGATCCCAGATTCATAAAGCAAGTTCTTGGAGACCTACAAAGAGACTTAGACTTCCACACAACAACAGTGGAAAACTTTAACACCCCACTGTCAATATCAGACAGATCAACGAGACAGAAAATTAAAAAGGATATTCAGGGCTTGAACTCAGCTCTGGACCAAGCAGACCTAATAGACATCTACAGAACACTCCACCCCAAATTAACAGCATATACATTCTTCCTAGCACCACATAGCACTTATTCTAAAATCGACCACATAATTGGATGTAAAACACTCCTCAGCAAATACAAAAGAAAGGAAATCATAACAAACAGTCTCTCAGACCACAGTGCAATCAAATTAGAACTCAGGATGAAGAAACTCACTCAAAACCGCATAACTACATGGAAACTGAACGACATGCTCCTTAGTGACTACTGGGTAAATAACAAATTTACAGCAGAAATAAATAAGTTCTTTGAAACAAATGAAAACAAAGACACAACATACCAGAATCTCTGGGACACAGCTAAAGCAGTGTTTAGAGAGAAATTTATAGCACTAAATGCCCACATTGGAAAGCGGGAAAGTTCTAAAATCAACACTCTAACATCACAATTAAAGGAACTAGAGAAACAAGAGAAAACAAATTCAAAAGCTGTCAGAATACAAGAAATAACTAAGATCAGAGCAGAACTGAAGGAGATAGAGACACAAAAAAACCTTCAAAAAATCAATGAATCCAGTAGCTGTTTTTTTTTGAAAAGATCAACAAAATAGACCACTAGCCAGACTAATAAAGAAGAAAAGAGAGAAAAATCGAATAGACACAATAAAAAATGATAAAGGGGATATCACCACTGATCCCACAGAAATACAAACTACCATGAGAGAATACTATAAACACCTTTATGCAAATAAACTAGAAAATCTAGAAGAAATGGATAAATTCCTGGATACATACACCCACTCAAGACTAAACCAGGAAGAAGTAGAATCCCTGGATAGACCAAAAACAAGTTCTGAAATTGAGGCAGTAATTAATAGCCTACCAACCAAAAGCAGCCCAGGACCAGATGGATCCATAGCTGAATTCTACCAGAGGTACAAAGAGGAGGTGGTACTTTTCCTTCTGAAACTATTCCAAACAATAGAAGAAGAGGGACTCCTCCCTAACTCATTTTATGATGCCAGCATCATCTTGATACCAAAACCTGGCAAGGACACAACAAAAAAAGAAAATTTCAGGCCAATATCCCTAATGAACATGGATGTGAAAATCCTCAATAAAATACTGGCAAACCATATTCAGCAGCACATCAAAAATCTTATCCACCACAAGCAAGTTGGCTTCATCCCTGGAATGCAAGGTGCTTCAATGTATGCAAATCAATAAATGTAGTCCATCACATAAGCAGAACCGATGGCAAAAGCTACATAATGATCTCAATAGATGCAGAATAGGCCATTGGTAAAATTCAACATCCTTCATGCCGAATACACTCAATAAACTAGGTATTGATGAAACGTATCTCAAAATAATAAAAGCTATTAATGACAAACCCATAGCCAATATCATACTGAATGGGCAAAAGCTGGAAGTATTCCCTTTGAAAACCAGCACAAGACAAGGATGCCCTCTCTCACCACTCCTATTCAACACAGTGTTAAAAGTTCTGGTCAGGGCAATGAGGCAAGAGAAGGAAGTAAAGGGTATTCAAATAGGAAGAGAGGAAATCAAATTGTCTTTGTTTGCAGATAACATGTTTGTATATTTAGAAAACCTCATCATCTCAGCCTAAAAATTCCTTAAGGTGTTAAGTAAATTCAGCCAAGTGTCAGGATACAAAATAAATGTGCAGAAATTACAAGCATTCCTATACACCAATAATAGTCAAACAGAGAGCCAAATCATGAGTGAACTCTCATTCATAATTGCTACAAAGAGAATAAAATACCTAGGAATACAACTTACAAGGGATATGAAGGACCTCTTCAAGGAGAACTACAAACCACTGCTCAAGGAAATAAGAGAGGACATAAACAAATAGAAAAACATTCCTTGGAAATAAGAGAGGACACAAACAAATGGAAAAACATTCCATACTCATGGATAGGAAGAATCAATATCATGAAAATGGCCATACTGCCCAAAGTAATTTATAGATTCATTGCTATTCCCATCAAGTTACCACTGATCTTCTTCACAGAATTAGAAAAAACTACTTTAAATTTCATATGGAACTGAAAAAGAGCCTGTATGACCAAGATAATCCTAAACAAAAAGAACAAAGCTGGAGACATCACACCACCTGATTCAAACTATACTACAAGGCTACAGTAACCAAAAGAGCATAGTACTGGTGCCAAAACAGATATATAGACCAATGGAACAGAACAGAGGCCTCAGAAATAACACTGTACATCTACAACCAACTGATATTTGACAAACTTGACAAAAACAAGCAGTGGGAAAGGATTGCCTATTTAATAAATGGTGTTGAAAAAACTGGCTAGCCACATGCAGAAAACAGAAACTGGACCCCTTCCTTACACCTTACACAAAAATTAAACCAAAATATATTAAAGACTTAAACGTAAGAGCTAAAACCATAAAAACCCTAGAAGAAAACTTAGGCATTACGATTCAGGACATAGGCATGAGCAAGGACTTCATGACTAAAACACCAAAAGCAACGACAACAAAAGCCAAAACTGACAAATGATATGTAATTAAACTAAAGAGCTCCTGCACAGCAAAAGAAACTATCATCAGAGTGAACAGGCAACCTACAGAATGGTAGAAAATATTTGTAATCTATCCATCTGACAAAGGTCAAATATCCAGAATCTACAAGCAGCTTATACAAATTTACAAGAAAAAAACAAACATCCTCATCAAAAAGTGGGTGAAGGATATGAACAGACACTTCTCAAAAGAAAACATTATGCAGCCAACAAACATGAAAAAAAGATCATCATCACTTGTCATTAGAGAAATGCAAATCAAAACCACAATGAGATACCATCTCACGTCAGTTAGAATGCAGATCATTAAAAAGTCAGGAAACAACAGATGTAGGAAAGAATGTGAAAAAATACAAACACTCTTACATTTTTGGTGAAAGTGTAAATTAGTTCAACCATTGTGGAAGACAGCATGGCAATTCCTCAAGGATCTAGAAGCAGAAATACCATTTGACCCAGCAATCCCATTACTGGGTATATACCCAAATGATTATAAGTCATTCTACTGTATAATACATGCACATGTATGTTTATTGCTGCAGTATTTACAATAGCAAAGACTTAGAAACAAACAAAATGTCCATCAATGATAGACTGGATAAAGAAAATGTGGCACATATACACCATGGAATATTATGCAGCCATAAAGAAGAATGAGTTCATGTCCTTTGCAGGGACATGGATGAAGCTGGAAACCATCATTCTCAGCAAACTAACGCAGGAACAGAAAACCAAACACCACATGTTCTCACTCGTAAGTGGGAGTTGAACAATGAGAACACATGGACACAGGGAAGGGAACATCACACACCAGGGCCTGTCAGGAGGTGGGGGGCAAGGGGAAGGATAGCATTAAGAGAAATACTTAATGCATGTGAGGCTTAAAACCTAGATGATGGGTTGATGGGTGCAGCAAACCACCATGGCACATGTACACCTGTGTAACAAACCTGCATGTTCTGCACATGTATCCCAGAACTTAAAGTAAAATTAAATAAATAAATAAATAAATAAATAAAATAACAAAAACCAAAAACTTCTAATGGATTACAATAACATACAAATTATGTAATGAATTTTTATCCTAAAAGTATAGCTATCTCTAAAAGTGAAGGTTGACACTAAATCTACTTTAAATTTTAAAATGTGATTAATTTAGAAGCTATGAAAATTAAATGTTAAGAGAGAGTTTTAGGCAAATATGAAATCTATAAATACATTTTTCAAATTTTTTGAATATGTTTAGATATTATGTGTATTAGTTAGAGCAGATTTAAGGTATTTAAACACAGTAGAAACTGATTTCCTGCTTATCTGACCAGAAATGGGCAGGTAAGCAGGGTGCCCATCATGCACACAATCATACAGGACCATTCAAGATGCTATTGGCTTTGCAACTTCACCTGGTATATTTGAAGGTCTTGCTGGGTGCTGTTTCTATTACAGTCAGCTGAAAGAGAAAAAAAGCATGAAGAAGCACAGATGGGAATTAATTATGTACCAATCATTAGAGTCCTACACATCACTTCCACCCACATTCTATTGGTTAGAATGTTGTTAAATATCCATTCTTAACCATAATCAAGTCTGAGAAAGTAAACATAGGTTTTATCCAGAAAGAGGAAGAGATGAATTTTGATAAGCTGCTTAAACACACTGCAACACTAAGTATCTTAATACTCTAGTTTTTTTAAATTTTTAACTGTAATATACACATGCATAAAAGTACATAAAACATATATGCAGCACTTAAAATAATTTTAAAGGGATTACTCTTGTAATCACCACCAAAATAAAAAAAAAACAAGCAATGCCCAGTGTTCTCTGTTTACTCCTAGTCTGATACATCCTCTCTGCTCATATAGTAACCACTATCCTCCTTTTAATCTATTTTTTGTTTACTTATTTTTTAAAAATATCTTAATTCCTCTAAATGTGTTTTAAAATATAGCTTTGCTAACTTTTGAACTTTTCATAAATGATGTCACAGACTATGTGTTATTTTTATGCTTATTTTTCTCTACATTATTTTTATGAGATTCATCCATACTTTTGGGAATAGTTATTCAGTTATATGCATTGCTGGATTTTTTGTCATATTAATAATATAGCCCGTTTTATTTTCATTCTGCTATTGATCAACTAGTGACTGTTTATAGTCTGGAACTGACACAGGAAAGGTGAGCCCCAAACTGGGGCTTAGTTTGGGAGGGTTCCTGGCTTCACCCAGGGAAGAACTCAAGAGTGAGCCAGTGGTAAAAAGAATTTTACTCAAGAAGTAGTAGTGTTACAGCTCCAGCAGTGTTACAGCTCTGTGACTGCTCCTGTAGAGCAAGGCAACCTCTTAGGCAGTGTGCTGGATGTAGCACCTCAGAAGCAGCTCTGCAGTTGTATTTATACCCACTTTTAATTATATGCAAATCAAGAGGCAGTCCATGTAGAAATTTCTAGAAAAGGGATGGTAACTTCTAAGTTGTCAGGTCATTACATGGAAAGGTGTGGTAATTTCTTGGCCTTTCCACGGCAATGGTAAACAAACATGGCACCTTGCTGGGAGTGTCTAATGGGGGGTGCTTCCATCCCAGACCTTCCATCCCAGACCCAGGTTTGACAAGTCCTCAATTTGGTCCTGTGTCTTACCTCTGCCTCTGGAGTTGCAGGGCTATTATGAACAAAGTGGCTATGACTTCTTATACCTGCCTTCTGGTGTATGGTGAAAGTTTCCTTACCCAAGAAAGGAGTTGCTAGACCATATAATATGTTTATATCAGCTTTACTAAAAAATGCCAAACTAGTTTTCCAAAATACTTTTAACACTATATATTCCTATCATGGTATAAGAATTCCCATTTGCCATGTCCTTGACCACAGTACCATCATACTTCTTAAAAACTTTTGTTGATCTAGTGAATGTGTAATCATATCTTACGTAGTTTCAGTGTGGACTTTCCTGATTATTAACATGTTTTCCTAAATGGTCACTGAGTATGAATAACATTTGCTATGTTTGTAGACCAATTGAGTTTTGTCTATTCAAGTACTTGTAAAAATATCCTATAATTTGTTAATAGATTTTGTCTTTCTCATTAATTTGTATGAATTTATAATATATTGTGGAACTTCGTAGGTTACTTGTGAATATTTTCCCATTTAGTGATTTCTTTTAAATTTTATTGCATACTTTAATAAACACACATTTTTAAAAACATAGCTATTATTTCTTTGTGATTAGTGCTTTTGACTCTTGTATAAGAAAACCTTCACTACCATAGTTTCAGCATGACTTTCTCAAACCTACTTTTATGAGCTCTACAGTTTTTTCTTTCGTATTTCTATAATCCTGAAGCTCTTTGATTTTAAGTAGTTATAGTCTAATATTTTCTCTTTTTTCCTTCCTGTGAATACCTAGTTTTTCCAACACCATTTATTAAATATTCTGTTCTCTTCCCAACAATATACTGTGCAACTTTTGTCAGATATAAAATGTTCTAAATATGTATGAGTCTATTTCTATGCTCTATTCCATTCCATTTGATACTACCTTAATTACTTTAGATCTATCATTCTTGGTAACTAGCAAGGCAAGGTCAACCAACCTCTTCTTCTGTGAAGTTTACTGGCTTTATATTAATTTTAACTACTTAATATCTTACTCTCAACAACACTTTTTGGATTCTTCAGAGATACCTATCAAAATTTTTCACTGCACTATTCTCTAGCACAATTATCCACCTGATTGCTTATGACTCCTCTCTCTGCGTCTCCTTAGAGCCCGTAACTCTTACTCTGGCAGGCCTGAAATCCCTTCAAAATGATTCGTGCCCAAACATCTTCCACAATATTCAGTCTGGCCCAGGAGAAAATAGCATTATTCTGCCAAATTCTTGAATCTCAATTTTCTTTTTCTGTTCTCCTATTAAAGTCAGTTCTAATCATGTCCGTGTTCAAATGTTTCTATCAACGGTCCAGTTCCAATTTTGTGGGTATTTTTTCTTCCAAATTTCAGGGTACATATTTTATACACTATGAGTCACTCTCTTGAACCACGTCTTCTCCTATTTGCTTTTAGATAAAGGCCAGTTTGGGGCATTGGAAAATGGTTACAGATCCTCAAACTCATGGTTTTCTAACCAAACTCCCAAAGAAACTCTCACGGCCAATCTTTCTTCATGATTATCTTTGTCCACCCATAACCTGGAAGCAGATGCAGGAATGCAAGTCTCAAAAGCAGTTTAGGGCCACTTGTGATCAAAATCTGTGTAAATAATCTAGGATCTTTTTTTTTTTTAACATGTGAGAACATTTCACTGTCACTTTCTTTAGAATCTGTCCAAAATCTCAAGGCATGAAAGTTCATGTTTATCAGTGTTTTTCTTTATTATTTGAGGGTTTTTTTTAAATCAAAACCAATAACATACTACTCCAATATAGTCAATTGAAATCAATTAAGTCTATAAAAGGCCGTAAGAGAGAGTATTCAAAACAAACACACTTAACACGGCAACAATACATAGCTATGGAGTAACACGTAATTCAAAGCACTGCACAAACTAGTTCTTATTGTACAAATGACCTAAAATGGTAGGATTTTTTTTGTAGCAAAGCTGCTATCCAGTCAAATTAAAATAACTTGAGATCTCTATTTTTCTTAGTGTTATTTTTTCTTTACATAAAATGCATACACTATATGGTTTTCCACCATTTTTTAAAAATATTATACTCCTTTCACAACCCCTTAACTCTGAATATCCCTCTGACAAAGAATAAAAGTTCCATGATAAGTTACCACTTACTCATGAGCATATCTATTTCCTACATATTTGCTTTAGATCAAGCATAAATTTATAGCTTCTATTACCCTCTCCTGACTCACTAAAAAGGGTTATTTACCTTTTTGTTGTCACATCATTAAAATCATGATCTACTATAGCACATAACAGGTTATATTATTATTATAACAACTTGATTTTTCCCCTGTTAGACATGAATTATATCATCCTGGAGCAAAGCTCCTGGCCTATAATTAATTCCCCAATAAATATTTCATTAAAAAATGAAAATATAATATCTCCTCTATTTGAGGGCCAAAGTTAGGGAGAGTTATATTACATTTCCAGTTCTGAGACAAGTAGCATAAGACACTTGCAAGAGCTGAAAATATACAAAAGCATAGAGTATTAAGGAGTTTGTTTTAGTTAGTGTCTTTCAGTTCACAAGGCCCAAAGATATATGCCGGTTATTTCCAGGGATAGGAGTTATTAGTAGACAAAGACAAAAATGTGAGAAAACAAAGAAAAGTATATTAAGAGTCAGAGTCAATTCTCACAAACAACCAAAGCATATCATTGCAATTTTGAATTTAACAGCAACTGTAGTGTCTCTCAGCAGTAATTTCACTAACTCAGCTGAGGCTCTAGTTACCCAGTCTGTTTTTTCAAATGGACACCTGATATTTACTACCCTAGTGACTTAATGACTCAACTTCTCTTACCTGTGAATTTTTCTAAATATCCTTCTTTATTTACTTCCTCTTCGTTAACTTTTAGCTTTTATTTAATTTGTCTCTGCATTCTCTGTGATCCTTTTGTGTATCTAAACTAAATTTCTTAAGATAGTATTTTACAAAGTTTTTTCTAATGGGAAAAATGCTTATACCAGGTCACCTTATAGGCTACAGGACTTCTTGCATCTAGCCTATAAATGGTTCTATTTACACATCATCATTGCTAATCCAATCAATTTTTGTCAATATAGTAAGGTCATTAAATCTTTAAGCAAAATAAAGAAATAAAATGTCCATGTCTGCATATCTTAGACTTGTTTGACATAGCATATGAGTCTCATGTAATACCTCATAGCATGTAAGGGCACAGGAAATGTTAGGAATACAAAATGAAAGAGGAAGTTCCATGATTAAATTCAAAGGAAGTGAACTTCTTATATGACGACCCAGGCCTCAATTGTGCATATCCCAGGACAAAGAGAAACAACCAGAAACAGTGCCAATTTTTATGATTTAGCCTATTCCTCCATGTTCTATTTATTACAAGAAAGCCACCAAAATTAGCCCATATTCAAGAGGAGTGTAATCAGACTCCATCTTTTAAAGGGAGAATCATCAAAGAACTTGCAGATATGTTTTAAGACAGTACGTTACCAATTTATAACAGTTACATTAATTTCATTTGTTTTCCATTTTAGGTTTGCTTTCCTTTTCTTTCCTTAGTTAATATCATTCTTTGGATATACATAAAATATATCATACAAAAGACAAACTATATAAAGATACATACTCAGAAAAGTTTTGTTCCAATACCTATACTTTTTACCACATTTTCCGCATCATTCTATAGGTACTTTTGTTGTTTCTGCTTTGTGTCTCTTCACAGCTTTTATTTTTGCATGAATAAGGCGATACTTATATATTAAACTCCTGCTTATCTTTTCTTACATAAAATGCATATTATATATTAAATGCCTTATTGAAGAAATGGCTGATTTTAAAACTAGATCAAGAAAAATGCAAAATAAGCCGAGGATACCTTGTTACGCCAGAGCAAAGAAATATCCAGAGACAAACAGAAAAGTGACAAAATGTACATGACCCAGTTGGGAAGGATTTCTACCAGCTGCATTTGAGATAATGTAAGCAGTAAAACAAAAATAACAGCAAGTAATTATAAAATATTATATAAACAAGAATATTTGAGTCTGTGATGATATTTATAAAAAGATTAAAATTATTTGACAACATTGCGACTATCATATCATTTTTTTTTCTGAAAATTGGTGTAGAAAAATAAGGATTTGCTTGTCTTTTGAGGAAGAAAGCATTAACACATCATGTAGTGGATGGGCATTGGGATCTTCATACAGTGCCCAAATTATCAAAATTAGCATCAATCACAGCGAGCCAATCCAACATATGTGCTTACTGATGAAGCACATAGCACTAACGATGAGGCACTCTTGCCAAAAATATTTAACCTGAATTTAATTAAAGCTTTAGATATAATTTCTTTTAGAGGAAATAGAGAGATAAACAAATTAAATGATACTGTGAGGAGACAATAAGATATATATAGAATGCAGTTGTGTTTTATCCTTGTTAGCTTTATTTTTTTTTTCAAAATAGTCATAATTAAAGTTTAGGGGAAAACAGCTGACTACAATGAATAAAATCTGACTCAGTCCTGATTTAAACCCATATTTTAAGTGGCAGTATTGAGAAAGTTATAGAAAATTGAATGTCCATTACACCAGGAAACTTTATTTTTGTATGCCTGATAATAAAAGGGTGGTTATGTTAAAGAATGTTCTTATTTTGGAAAGATGTTTCCTAGACTATTGAAGTGTAGAAGATTTTGATGTCCACAACTACATTTAAATGGATCAGCAAAGATAGCAGATAGATTGATTGATTGGTTAATATAGATACATACAGAAAAAGATAGCAAAATATTTTAATAATTATCTAATAAAGAGGTGGTATGTGGAGGTGTATTGCTCTAGTGATGTGTTTGCCTATATCTTTGAATCTTTACACAATAAATTTGAGAGAATAAAAAGACAAATTTGAGGAAAAAAAGACTAGATTCTTTTTATGCCGATATTTTAAGAAGGATATTTCCTGTTATTCAAGACATTATATAAGTTGATTAACATATAGGAAGAATAAAAGGAGAAGCTATTATTCTAATTTCATAAAATTGTACATGAGTTTGGATCATTCTATTATTCATTGTAAATATTCAATATTTGCTGTCTTTTCAGTATGTTGTCAGCATTAATGTCTTTATAATTCTGTGAACTTTTTTATATGAGAAGTGCTTTTGCATATTCTCATTATGCATATATTGCATAAAAAATATAATTGCAGTGATGGTCATTGTTAATAATTTTGCATGACTTTTATATTTAGAAGTGCTTGGCAATAATTTTTATTAGCCATTATTAACATCTTTTCCAGAGGACACTTCATATTGATTAATGACATTTCCGACCTAACTATTCAATTTATGTTTGAGTTTTTCTTTTATGTTCAGTTACACTTTATTGGTTTAAGCCTTTCATTTGTTTTTTAAACGCAGAAATTTACAAAAGTTATTTCTGGGATAAAAGTATTTTCAAGTAATTCAATTTTGTTATCTGACAGATTTTTAGAAGATAGAGTTTGATTTTTACTTGAAGCAATAGTCTTTTACAGGCTATGCAATTCAACGTGTAAAGAAAATTGCCAGATTGTACTCACATTTTATTCATATCTCTCAAATTCCTTGTTTGCTTTTTTGCTCTCCCTGGGGTAGTTTATTCATTTATTAAGTCCTGGGTTATTGCATTTACTAAGAGATAAAGAATAAAAGATTGGTGTTAAGAAAGTTGTATGTGATTCCTGAACCCACCATTACTTGACCACAGGTTTCTTAACTAACCTTGCTGGGTCTCAGTTTTTTTTTAATCTATAAAAATGAGAAACTCACTACTTTAAAATGTATTATGAAGATTTAATGCAGTGTCTATTATAATTTACTTATTAAGTATCTGACAAATTACTCTTAATAAATTAGCACACAAACAATTTACCTTGTGTCTTGTTTTGCAATTTTTTTTGTAATCATCCAAACTTGTGGTAGGGTCATCTTTATAAACTGCAAATTGAGAATATCAGTATTATTACTTAATATTAAGATGAAGTCCCATTTTTTAATGACAATATACAGGGCGTATATAGTCTGATGTGAACCTCATATTTTTACCATTTCTGTTTACATTTATTTTCAAGGGATGCAGAAAATATGAACCTAAATAATACTGGCAACCTTCCTTGGCAGCCATCCCGAGTTTTTCATTTTCCGAGGCACTGTATATCTTGTAAAAGCTTTGCACATGCAAGTGTGCAGAATGTCCATAGTATCTTGATTAAACCCTCCTTATTCAGCAAAGTTTAACTCAAATGTCATCTCTGGCAAAATATTTCCCTGATAATTTATCCCTCCATTGTGCTCTCATTACATCCTATTGCTCTCCATCCTCCAAATTTCTGTAAATATATCCCTTTTTTCTCTCTCTCCCCTTGACTAAGAGCTTCAAAATTATTGAAGCTATGTAATGTAGAAATTCGTTTACAGATACAGATATTTGTATCCCTTGCAATAGTTGTTAATATATAATTTCCCCAGTATTTATCCAAAGAGTATAATTTAAATAGCATCACTAGTCTATGATTGTCTCAAAGTATCTCCTTCAGCAGTATCAGACGATGCTAGTTTCATTTCTGTTTTACCTAGAATGTCTAACAATGATCTCACTGACCAAAATGGGGGCACTTTCTTATTAGGACTGTGGTTTAAAATGTGCTACATGGTGATGCAAGATTTATTTCGCTTCTGACTTTCTTTTTTATCCCTCAATCAGTTTATTGGATTAGCCATTTGTGACCCTACAAGTTGCAGATAAAACATCTCTAAATTTGGGACAAGATTTGAAACAAGGTTTTAATTACTAGTAGAGAAAAACTATAAGAGAAAGTTTAGGGCATACATTTTATATACGTCAAGCTAAAGGACTCCTCAGCTGTTGTAGGTCAATGTCCATAAAGATCTCACACTTTTATACAATGGGTTTTCTTTACATAAAGTGTGGTGGCTGTAAGCATGGACTTTGAAGTCAAATAGTCCAGGTTAGATTTATATGTCTAATGCTTATTAGATCTGTGACTTGGAACAATTTAAATAACTTCTGAGTGTCAGTTCTTTCATCTACAGCATGCATGTAAAAATGACACCAAACACATATAATTGTGGGGGTTTAAATAAGACAGTATGTATATTTACCACAGTGACAGGGACATGGTAAGAGCTCACTAATGGTATATATTATTGATATGATTATTATTATCATCCTACTCAAAAATCTTAAAGCAATTGTTATCCCCTACATGTAAGGGTGTCAACTCTCAAAAAATGTTAACAATTTATCTACAATGTAGAGGTGATATTAATTGATAAATATAAAATTCAAACATAAGCTTTCTGATTTTATTTATAGCACACTTTACAATGTTTCCTGCAGATTCTAGCTTGTGATGGTCCCAGGAAAGGGATGAAAGATCCTTAGTGGATGTCCAACTCAGGTATGTCAGAAAGACAGGAAGGAAAAAATAACTCCAAGACAGAATTCATTGGTTTATAGAGATATTCTTTGTCATGTTACTTAAAAATTGATGCTACCTACAGAATCATTAACTGTAGGTTACCATGCTAAGCATGGATGTTGAAAGATTAAGAACTCCAATTAATTTATCCTTTAATAGCTTTTCTAAGTTCCAAAATAAAAAGCTCAAATAATATATTACTAAAATAAACTCATAACTGCAAAATAAATATAATTGAAGGTGTTCCTATAAATTCAATAAAATTATTTTAAGTTGACCTAGGAA
Source organism: Homo sapiens (assembly GCF_000001405.40). NCBI lineage: Eukaryota > Metazoa > Chordata > Mammalia > Primates > Hominidae > Homo > Homo sapiens. Next base: position 103,996,698 of record NC_000001.11, on the reverse strand, counting down.
ACAGATTTTATGAAATTGTCATAACATGCTTTTTAAATTTAATTTTTAAAATGTACAATTGACACATAATAATTATGCATATTTATGGGATACAATGTGAAGGTTTAATGCACGTATACATAGTATAATGCTCAAATCAGGATAGTTACCATATCCATCACTTTAAACATTTATTATTTCTTTGTGGTGATAACATTTAAGATTTTCTCTTCTAGCAGTCTTGAAACATATGCTATGTTGTTATCTTCTATAGTCACTTACTGTGTAATAAAACCCCAAAACATCCTTCCTGTCTAACTATAATATTGTACTCATTCATTGGCCTCTCTCAATTCTGCCTTTCCCACCCTCCCCAGGCTCTGGTAACCACTATTCTACTCTCTATTTCTATGAAATCCCCTTTTTTAGATTCCACATAAGACTGAGATCACGTGGTGTTTGTCTTTTTCTGCTTGACTTATTTCACTTAATATGATGTCCTCCAGGTACATCCAAGTATCCAAGTTGTTGCAAATGACAGCATTTCATTCTGTTTCATGGATGAATAGTATTCTATTTTATATATATATATATATACTTTTTATTGATTCATCTGTAGATGGGCATTTTGGTTGATTCCATATCTTGGCTATTGTGAATAGCACTGCAATAAACATGAGTAAGCAGATGTCTCTTTGGTACACTGATTTCACATAGACCAATGAACAAAATATAGGCCCTGAAAATATATCCATACATTTACAGCCAACTGATTTTTAACAAAGGTGTCAAGAATACACACTGGGGAAAGGAGAATCTCTTTAATAAATGGTTCTGGGAAAACTGGATATTCACATGCAGAAAATGACACTAGACCCCTCTCTCTCACCGTGTATAAAAATCAACTCTAAATGGATTAAAGAAATAAGTGCAAGACTCAAAACTGTAAAGCTACTAGAAGTAAACATAGGAAAAAGCTTGATATTTGTCTGGGCAAGAATTTTTTTAGTAAGATCTCAAAAGCACAGACAACAAAACAGAGTAGACAAACGGTATTACATCAAACTAAAAAGCCCCTGCACAACACACAATTAATAAGGTGAAGAGAAATTAGTTGCACACTATGTATCTGAGGAGGGATTAATATCCAGAGTATATAAGGAACTCAAACAACTAAATACCAAAAGAATAATTTGATTAAAAATGAGCAAAAAACCTGAATAGACACTCACAGAAGACATACAAATGGCCAACAGATCAATAAAAAAGTTCAACATCACTAATCATTAGAGAAATACAAATCAAAACCATAATGAGTTATCTCCTCAACTGAGTTAGAATGGCTGTTATCAAAAAGGCTAAAATAAATAAATAAATAAACAAATAAACAAATAATGCTGGCAAGAATACAGAGAAAAACAAACATCTATACACTGCTGGTGGAAATGTAAATTAGTACAGACATTATCAAAAACACTAGGAAGTTTCCTCAAAAAATTAAAAATAGAACTATGATATAAACAAATCTTTCCGAACCAAGTTTTCAAATTGTTATGGGGCCAGATAAAGGACAATATTCTAAGGAATATGACTGTTCTGCTGTACTTTTTACCTTGGGTTATTACCATTTACTTTTCAACCATCTGTCTTCATCTACATTCTGTCAGTTTTTATAGTTCCTTGTTAAAACCCTAGCAATGTGTCCGCTTCATTTTGTTTTCTTCACTAAGAAGACGGGCGATAACATCCTTTTAGAAATGACCAGATTTTTCTTTTCAAAAAGGACCAATTACAACAATCACTTTCAATATACTAGCTAAATGCATTTATTGATACTATGATATAACAAGAATGTTTTGTAGTTATATAGGTTTCCATTTCAGTTAAGAAAATTCAAGCATTACATAATAAGTAGTTGATGATAGGAAACCTTCAGTGTTTCCTATAATGGAAAAGAAGGAAAATTATTATCTTAAATTTTCAAGTTAGGTAATAACAGAGCAGAGATTACATTATTCGCTGCAGGGCAGAGCATGAATCATGACACAGCCATTCAGATAATCTCAGACATGGAAAGACCACATAATATTTTAAATCGTTACTAGAAAAATATGAATAAAATGAGATAACATATTACTCTATTAAATTACACTAATTACTTTCACTAATGTCCTCTTTCAAAACAGAATTGTAATAATTCTGTGTAATTTAACAATTTTTTTTCATTTTCCACTAGGGATTTTGTTGGAGAAAAAAAATTATATTGTTAGAATCAAAATTATCACTGCCTTAATTCCATATTTCATATAGTGTTGGTGAATACATTCTTCTAATAATCTTAAATTCAAGTCTATCTGATTAAGTGCTGAGATTAGCATGTCCCAATCACTCTGCAAATCCTAAAGACAAAATGTTTTAGATGATCTACTTGAGTCCATAAGAATTATACAATTCATTAGGGGAGGAAAAATATGCATATAATCCAAATAAAATGTGCTCTAAGTGTTAGCATATATAAAAAATGCCCTATTTTAAACACTCATAGTGTCTAACATAGAAGACTACTAGAGTATAATAGGTATCTTTCCCTCTAGTTGTCTCCTCCCATCCACCATTTAATCTCTTTCTCTCACTAGTGCCAGAATGACCTATAAAATGCTGATCTGACTTTCTTACTCTGCATGAAGAGACCTCTGGTGGTTCTCCATTACATACGGAATCAGCTCAACCTCCTTAACAAAATACATGAAACTTTCCCAACTTGGGTATGTTCCTCCCCTACCTCACCTCTACCATCTATTACCTATTTTCTGTTGATAGATTATAAGCATCATGCTGTTCTACATCTTTTCTGTTTTCTCTCTCTGGAATGACTTTCCATACTTAGTTTAACTCACTTCGTTTATTTTTACTCATCCTTCATGATCCAGTTATGGTTCGTCTCTTCCAAGAAACCTCCCCAAACTGAGGATCTTTACTTTGCACACTTTTAGAACATACCATATCAATTTCTATTTTATCATATTGCATGTATAGTTGGTCATATTACAGGCAAAAATAGAAAATCCTTGTGGTGGATATTGTCAATTGACTGCTAGCCTATTTTCCCACCCTTCTAGTGTATCTTCCTTTCTTACACATTTTCTTTTACTTAGCTTTCAGGATTCAAATTAGATTCTGCCACCAAGTTGCACTTTTATGAAGGTTGAAAGTAGGCAAAGTAGAAAGTCATCTTTACGCGTCTTTCATTATTTACCTTTGGTAACCAAAGAGTTTTTATGCAGCAGTGTTTCAGTGTCCAATCTTTATCTTTGCCAGTGTTGAAGCAAAAATAGATTTTTTTAATTGACAGATAATATTGTACACATTTATCATGTACAACATGATGTTTTAAAGTACACAAACATTGTGGAATGGTTGAATCTAATGAACACAGTTACTATTTTTGTGTTAGGAGCATTTAACATTGACTCTGCATTTTTCAAGAATATATTAACTATAGTCACCTTGCTGTACAACAGAACTCTTGAATTTATTCCTCCTATCTAATTATGTATCTTTTGGTAAACATCTCCCCATCCTACATACCCGCTAACCACCCTATCCTCTGGTAACCACTATTCTACTCTCTAATTTTACAGAATCAATGTTTTAAAAAATTCTGCAAGTGAGTTAGATCATGCCATGTTTTTCTATGCCTGGCTTACTTCACCTAACATAATATCCTCTAGGATCATCCATGTTCTTGCAAATGACAAGATTTCCTTCTTTTCTATAGCTAAATAACATTCCATCACGTATATATACCACATTTTCTTTGTTTATTCATCAGTTAATAGTAGGTTGATCCACAGTTAGTTTTGCACCAACTTAGTGGATAGTTTTGACAGAGACAGAATGCAGACTTCAAATTTCTATGTGCATATACCAGCTTCATAGGATTGAGATGAAGTTGCAGCAGGATTGCAATGGCTTTCAGATTCCAAATTTCGAATCTCTGATTCAGAGCTACAGCTGAGTGTTTGAACCCAAATATTCCAGGGCCAGTTTCTCCATTCTCCCCACTTCCTGATTCTTGCAGAGTCAGTTTCCAAGTAGGTCAGCTCTCCACTTTTCTGGGAATCATTCCAGGACAGACAGCCTAAAGCACACTTCTCCATCTTTTCCAATGACTGTGTTAGCACCTATATTAAATTTTCTTCTTTGCATAGAATATTTAAAGTTATTTTTCCTATACTCTGTCTTGAAAGAGTTTTTGTACCAGGACTGGTTGCAGACAATAATATATTCTGAAGGAAGGGAATCTGGGGTTTGTTATCTAGCTCCATTAGCTTTAAAGTCAGTAAGGATAAGAAAAGAACAAGAGAACAGGTGCTGGTGGTTCATGGAAGACAGAATAAGTTCATAACTTATTTGGAATAAAACATCTTTCAGAGTATAAGGGCTACTGTTTCCTGGAGTGAAGCCTGCCTAATACAGCTTCCTACAGGTGAAGACTGTGTCATTGCCATCTTATACTTACAGCTCCTAGCACAAAGCCTGACACATAATCACATTGTATGTAAGTATATGAATCCGAAGTGAGTAATACCTTCTGTCTGGGTCACATAGTATGTAAGTACATTGACCTGAAATTAGTAATACATTATGTCTGGGTAACTTAAGCATCACCATGAATGAATTTATATTTAACCTGGATATTGAAGCACTTCAGTTAATATTTCAGAGAAATAAAGACAGCATGGTCAGTGAAACAAAGGCTTTAAAAGACAAGACATGCTTTGGAAATAGTAAATACTTCACTGTAATTTTATCAACAGGACTTTGAAAGATCTGGTGAGATTATGCTGGAAAAATGGAAGGAAAGAAATTCTAAAGGATACAGTATGTCATAATACTTACATATCATATACTTAGTAGTGTTTTTTCCAGAAATTTCTCTCCATGCTTTTTAAAATCCCCTACTCTGTTATTTCTAATCCTATACCAAGAATAAAACTGTAATAACATTATTTAACCAATATTATTCATCTTAGAACACTATTATTTTTCTCCTGCTGTCATATTTCAACAACTAAAGGCAAACAATATTGAAAATAATCTTTTTCCTTTAAAATAAATTTCACTTGGCAATTATTTATAATTTCTTTTTCGTAGATAAAATATCTGAATCTATTTACACTCTGTCCTTTTGAATTATTAAATCAGAAATGATTTCTTCCTCCTATGACTTGCATCTTTCTCATATATACCTTCAATGTGACTATTTTAGAACTCATTTAGGGATTTAACTTTTACACATTTTTTTCACATGTTATTCATAACACCTATTTTTTAACAGACTGAAAGATTGACTAATTTAAATAATACTATTTTTACAAAGTAAGATGATATTTTACAAAACGATCTAGGACTGACTATTCTTTTTCTGCAAACTAAGATGTAACAAAACGAGTGAGATGTTCTCCGTTCCTAGTTTTTCTACGTGTAGACAAAATAGAAACTGGAATAAACCTTCAAAATGATTGCATCAAATCAATCTTAACCAGAGAAGAATTATATTGTTTGGTACTTTCATAGATAATAAAATTCATTCTCTAGGTACAGGGCTGATGAATTTTTAATATGCACTTTCTATAGAACTATAATAGTTTCATGCCTTTTTCCTCACATAGTCATTTACTCATACATTCATTTAATAAATATCTTTCGAGTGCGTACTGTGTGCTTGGAAATATCTGTGGACAAAATGGACAAAGATTCTTGTCTGTGGAGCAAACATTCTAATACAGGGAGACAGACAATACTTAAAACACAGTCTAGATGGGCGCAGTGGCTCACTCTTGTAATTCCAGAACTTAGGAAGACTGAGGAAGGAAGATTGCTTGAGGCCAGGAGTTTGAGACCAGCCTGGGCAATGTCAAAGACCCTGTCTTTACAAAAAAATTTAAAAAGTAGCCAGTCTTGGTGGCATGCACTTGTAGTCTTGGCTATTTTGGGGGCTGAAATGGGAGGATTGCTTGAGCCCAGGAGCCTGAGATTACAGTGAACTATAATCACGCGACTGCACTCCAGCCTGGGTGACAGTGTGATATCATGCCTCTAAAAAATAAAAAAATAAAAATATAATAAAATAAATTGCTAATCTCTTAACTGGTTGAGATTAAGAGTTCTATAAAAAGTGTCTTAGTTCTTAGACCTAGGATATCCCTTCAAAATTAGAAATATAACTGCTCCTACTGCTGAACTATATATTCAACATATAAATGATATTCAAAGTTAGGACCAGAAATAACAAAAAGAAAGAAAATGGCCCAGGGCCACCAAGAATCTACTAAAATGTATATTTCATCAAGAACAGCCATATTTGTCAGACATGAAATGTTATGGGCTAAGCTAACCATGAAACATGCATTTCATTATTTAACAATAGTTTTAGAAAAATAAACAGGTCCAACTTTTATGCTTACTTTATACAATGAAACTGAAGAACAGAGAAAATTTTCACATTACGAAGCTTAAGAAATGATTTGAATGGGGTTAGATTAGAAGCCAGGCTGTCTACTCCTGGAGATGCTAGACTGCACTGTAAATAGGATCTAGCAACATATTAAAAACCAAACCAGAACAAAAATATAGCAAACATAAAGAGACACTGGGAGCCATGAGGCATAAAAATAAAGTGAAATAAATGTCTCAGTGCACATCTAAAGGCTATTTAGGAGAGAACAAGCTTTAGACAAGAAAATTAAGGTTTCTTTTGCAAGACTATTCTAATATGGAGATGGTACCTCAGACTACTTTGATGTGATGAGAAATATTTTTTTCATCTAATTAATTCTCCATGCTCTGATTTCATACTTATCAACCTTCTGATTATTACTTGAGATCTCAAGTTTAACAGCAAGAGAAAAGGTACTAGCCATATCAATGTAACTATTATGTGCACATGACATTTATAGTTCCTTTTGAAATATAATAAATTTTATTCTATTTTTTAAAATCAGCTTCATGAGCTTGAGTGAAACATAATAGCAATTCATAAACTCTTTGAAGTACGGAGTTCTATGATATTTTATATGCTCTAAATATTTGTTACCACAAGCATTTGTTGAACGAAGCTATTCTCTCAATTATTGAATAAATCAAATTCTACAATTAAAGTGTAAAACAACCCTACAAGTTTTTTTTTTAAAAAAACTATTATTATGCTTATTTTAAAGATGAGAAAACTAACCTTTAAATGGAACACCCAATAAGTCCATAGACATGTAGGGCCAGAATTTTGTGGTCTACCTCATAATAAGGTCTATTTGACCCCAGAGTTAAAACTATTGTTTTTCAAACTATAGCACTACAGCTAATTTATTAGTGTGATCATGAATATTTGAAAATTCCATTTTATCTATCCAGCAAACTGCTGGAAGTTCTTAGCAGATTTGTCTTTTGAAAATATTTACTTCCATCTATGCCTGTCTTTTTCATCTCATAATATTACTTTTCGCAGAGCAGAAGTTTTCACTTTTTTTTTTTTTTTTTTTTTTTTGAGACAGGGTCTCTCTTTGTTGCCCAGACAGGAAGGCAGTAGGGCAATCATGGCTCACTGCAACCTCTGCCTTCTGGGCTCAAGCCATCCTCCCACCTAAACTTCCCTAGGGCTGGGTCTACAGGCACACGCCACAATACCCTGCTAATTTCAAATTTTTTGTAGAGCCGGGATTTTGTCATGTTGTCCAGGCTGGTCTCGAACTCCTGGACTCCAGAGATCCGCCCAGCTCGACCTCCCGGAAAGCTGGGATTACAGGTGTGAGCCAACAAACCCTGCCTGAAGTTTTTACTTTTAATGAAGACCTGTCTATCAATTATTTATTTCATGAATTATGCCATTGGAGCTGGATCTAAAAAATTATCAGCATACCCAAGGTAATCTAGGTTTTCTCCTATAAGAGTTTTATTGTTTTGCCTTTTACCTTTAGGTCTATGATCTATTTTTTGTTCATTTTAATTAAGGGTATAAGGTTTTGCCTGGATTTATTTATTTATTTATTTTTGCATTGGATGTTCAATTGTTCCATTACCTTTTTTTGAAAAGATTGCCCTCACTCCATTGCATAATGCCTTTGTTCTTCTGTCAACGATCAGTTGACTATATTTAAGTGGGTCTGTTTCTGGGTTCTCTATTCTGTTCCATTGATTTATTTGTCTCTTCCATTACCAATATCACTCTGTCTTGATTACTGTGGCTTTATGATAATTCTTGAAGTCCAATAATATCAGTTTTCCAACGTTGTTCTTCAAATTCCTGTTGGCTATGATGGATCTTTTGCCTATCCATGTGAGCTTTAGAATCAGCTTGTTTATAACCACAAAATAACTTGATGGTATTTTGATTGGGATAGATCAAGTAGAGAAGAACTAATATATTGTCAGTACTTCGTCTTTCTCTCCATGAGTAGGAATATTACTCTCAATTTATTTCTTCTTTAACTTCTTTCATTACAAGCATGTAGATTCCATTATATAAATGTTATACTTTTTGTTTTATTTTTTACATTTGTTGCTATGTCATTTTTTGGATGCTAATGTAAATGGTATTGTGTTTTTAATTTCAAATTTTACCCATTCCTGGCTGGTATATAGGAAAGTGATTGACTTTTTAAATTTAACGTTGTATCCTACAATATTGCTATAACTGGTTGTTAGTTCCAGGAGTTTTTTTTGTTGATTTTTTTTCCAAATTTCCACATAGAAAATTATGTCATCTGTGAATAAAGACAGTTTTATTTCTTTCTTCTCAATTTGTGTACCTTCCATTTCATTTTGATTTATTATATGAATTAGAACTTCCAGAACATTGCTGAAAAGGAGTTGTAAGAAGGAACCTATTTGCCTTGTTCCTGAGTTTGGTTGGAAAGTTTCCAGGTTCTCATCATTAAGTATCATGTTAGCGATATATTTTTTATAGATATTCTTTATCAAGTTGAAAAAATTCCCCTCTATTCCTACTATACTGAGAGTTTTTATCATGAATGGGTAATATATTTTGTCAAATGCTCAAACTTTTTTTTGGCATTTATTGATGTGATTTTTATTTTGTAGTGTTGATGTGAGAGATTACATCAATTGATTGTGGAATGTTGAACCAGTCTGCATACCTAGGCTAATCTCCACTTGATTGTAGAATTCTTATAACTATTTCTATACTTTGTTGGGTTGATTTTGCTAGCATTTTGTTGAGGACTTTTGCATCTATGTTTTTGAGTGTAATGTCTTTGTCCGATTTTGGTATTTACATAATGCTGGCCTCATGACTGTTTTTTAAAACATATTTTTTAAATTGAGAGCTTTCATGAATTTTAATGTAGAGAAATAAATATCAGAAATCATCAAAGGACCAACTGGTGATATAAAGTTTCAGGGAATGCTATCTTGATGATTTGCTTCACTTCCTAGAGAAATACATTCCAGAGCCAAATTGTATCAAAAGCTGAATAACAAATATATTTGCTTATATTTTCCAACTGAAACAATCATCGGCCAAGCCTTTATATATATACAGCCATCATCAAAGCATTTGATGCACTCCTGCAAAGAGCTTTATTATCACAAAGATTATCTCTTTCACAAAACTCTATTGAGGCGCCCCTGAACTCTTTTTCAATAAGGCCTGACTTTTGGACTTCTGTGCTCATCTCTGCATTGACCAATTGAAGCAAGGATTCTGCTGAGTCAGTTTAACCAGAACTCTCTGCCCTTGATATCTGATCATCCTGGATATTTGATTGGGTTTCTCATTTTCCACCATCCCCCAAGAAATGTCTGATCACATAACCTGCCTTCAGCAGGAAATCCTACTAGGTTGGCTTAGCCAGAATCTCTTCTTAACCCCTTGTTTTAGTACATTTAGGCTGCCGTAACAAAAACCCATAAACTGGTTGGCTTATAAACAATAGAAATTTATTTTTCACGGTTCTGGACTCTAGGAAGTCCAAGATTAAGGTGCTGGCAGGTTCTGTGTCTAGTGAGTTTCACTTTTCCTATAGATAGCCATCTTGTCACTCTAACATCACATGGCAAAATGGGAAAAGGGTCTCTTTCCAGCCTCTTAGAAAGGCACTAATCCCATTCACCAGGGCTACACCCCATGACCTAATCATCTCCTAAATGCCCCAGGTCCTAATAATATCAGCTTGGAGGTAAAGATATTAACATGTGAATTTTGGGGAAACATAGCATCCCTGATGTTTCCACAGCACCACTGGTATTTCCTCTTAGTAATTTTGCATCCACTGCCACCACCCTCCTCCTTGGCAATAAATTCCCACTTGCACATGCGGTATTCAGAATTAAGCCCAATCTATCTCCCCTACTGCAAGACCCCTATTGCAGTTGTCCCTATATCTATCATCATTCCTCAACTCCCTGCCCCTTGAATAAAGTCTGTCTTTGCTTCTTCAACAGATCTCATTGAATATTTTTTCTTCATCATGTGAGAAAGCTCTGTAGGTTTTTGATTCATGTTCAGAATTCTTCATTAGAATCACAACTTGCTGACATTCCCAATAGCCCGTCAAAACCTGTCAAAACTAGTGGTGAATCCTGATATGTGGCTCAAACACTCGATTATCAAATAGAAGTGAAACATTTTCTTATTCTACAATGTCATTTTTATCATGGATAAGAAACTATCACAATGGTTAAAATACACTCCGATCAGGAGTGTACACACACACACACACACACGTATACACACAGCTGTTCTGTTCTGGCTCTATGTTTTAAAACTGATATTTCATCACTTCTCTTCCTTTCTTCTTCCTTCTACTGAACTTTCTATCCCCAGATGATGATCTTGCTTCACAACTATATCAAAGTTCTCAGTTGCAAAACTTCATGAAAAAAATAAAACCAATCACCTAAGAGTTCTCTCATTATTTTTCAATATTGAATATTATTAACATGGCCACACAGTGTTTTCTTTCTCACTCACAGTAAAAGGCAATCATAACAATAGCTTATAGGGACCTCTATGATCTGGTCTCATTCTCTCTGAATTCTTCATAGTCTTTCTATGTAGAATGTTCTCCAAGACTTCCATTTGGCTTACGTCTAAAAAATAGCTATAACAATGAGAGTTTCCTCATCAAACATAAAACAACAACTATCTTAATGCATGTCATATCCTCCAAACCCTGCCTAATATTTTTAACACAGTACTTGTCAAAATTTATGATTATTTACCTGTCTTCCCCCACTTCTTTTTGTTTTGCTCTGTTTTTGTTTTTGATGTCCATTGTTTTGGTTTTGTCCTTGTTTAGTAGCATATTCCCAGGGCTCAGAAGAATGAATGTGACACTTCACTGACTATCACTGGATCCAGTATGAGTAACCCGAGTCAGGCTTCTGAACCTTCCTCGATTTGGGAGCATATTCATTACCAAGTTCAAGAATATCACACTGAGAAGTTTTTAGAGATACAGGCAGCTAGTCATCCTCTTTACTTCACTGGTTGTTACAAGCATTTATCTAAACTTCTACAAATCTTCCTTTAAATGTAATACCGTCTCTGGATAGAAGGCCAAGTTTTAAGGATTTTATTTAAAGATAAATATTGTTAAACCATAACTGATTGAGTTTTGCTAGAATTTAAATTTATGTTATGCATTTAATTACCCTGTTAGGTATTAGTTTCAAAAGAATTCAGAATAAAACTAAGATCAGTAAATATTGTGGCAAAAGAAAAGAGATATTTTTAAAAGGTTTGTTATTAAAAGGTTTGTTATATCAGATAGTTCAGTGAATTTCACTGTGCTTGACGGATTTTTAAAAACTCACTGGCAGATTAACAAAATACTTCAGATGCAAAAATCTGAAGTATTTAGTTAACTGATGAGTTAACTAAAAATATTAATTAAACAAAATCATTTTGTCAAATACTTCATTGTACTCTCTTTACTAGTTATATTCTGACTCATAAATGAAAGTTTCTGAAAAAATACACGATTTTGATGGAAATTTTCATTTTGAAAAAATAGTTTACCACAAGGTTGTTAAAACTTGAGTTTAAAATGATCACTAAAACTAAAGTTTGCCTCCAAAGCTGTGAGGAAACAAATTTTTGTTCTTTAAGCCACCAGGTCTGTGGTACTTTGTTATGGCAGCCCTAGCAAACTAATATAGAAATATAATGTGGTTTCATATTCTTTCTATCCAATTCTTTCCTGTTCCCTTCCACAGGTGTCACACTTGAATCATGGTCTCTCTCACTTTATCCTTCACAGTTTTTTTCCCCCAACAATTTTTTTTTACAGGTATAATTCCATTTTGGCTTCTGCTCCTCATTAAAACCAATCTAACACAGTCTTCTAAATAAAACAGGGTAAAACAGTATTTCCAGTTCATGAAACAGAGATATGAATTTGAAATCATTATTGTATGAGAGTTCACTTATACTTCAGTTAAATTCTAGTTTTCATTTCTTCTAAAAATTACTCCTTATACATCTGACTATAAAATACTTTTCAGTGCATATATTTATTTTTAAAACATAATTTCCCTCAAAAGTCAAAAAAACCTAAGAATCTATCCCAACCTGTAAATTTTTATTTATTGGGGGGCATTTCATGATAGCTCCTGTGTGAATCTTCCTTAAGATGACTGAATTCGATGACATTGAATAGCAATGAAAATATTGTAGCTACCATTTCAGAAAATACTACATTCCTGTTCATGAAAAACAGTTAAATTGAACACATGTATTTTCAAGGTGTTAGCTGAAGGAACAAAAAGGAAGAACTGAATAACTATATATATTTTTCTGATATACATATTTTCTGATATTTTATGTATATGTATTTAGTTTCTGATACATATATCAGAAACTAAGTATCTGCAAATCTATGCCCAGAGAATCGCCTAATGTGTAATATGATTAAGTATTCACAATAAGATTAACAAATGGCCTAAAAATTATATCAATCATTAAATTCAAATACTACTAAAGTGGTCAGCACTTCACTGTGTATTATTTATTTTAAAAAATAATAATTATTTTAAACTCTACAATTTCAAGTGGCAGGTGTTGAGTGGGCTAGACTTTTTTTTAATAACCACTAAAAACAATTTCTTAAAAGCTTATAAAATTGTATTATTTTACCTTACCAAAAGATGTGCAGGAGATGTCATTTTAAAAAATTCATTGTAGTAGAATTCTTAATTAAATATGATGTAAAATAAATGGGCAATGAGTGAAAACCTAAAACTTTCTTTACACAAAAATATTGACTGTAAAAGAAAATTTGAGGTAAGGATTTCAGTAACGAGTGCTGCAAAGGAAATATGCAGTCACTGAATCAGTGAACTGAGAAAACATAGAAGGCATTTGTATCATTTCAAATTTTTAAATGCTACCTAAAATATTTTCTAGTGTTGTGCTACTGATAGAAAAATGCAACCAGAAAGTCCAGGCTATGAAATATTCTGCTTCTAAAATACTTGTACTAAAACAAATTAGAAATTTGGGAAATTAATTTTCCAGCTGTAAATTTTTTTTATCATGACATAATTTTACTATTTGAATGGGATCGTGACTCTATTAACATTTCAGTGTCCTGTTTTGTTACAAAAAAAAGTCAAAAGGATAATTTAGAGTGGACATACCTTCCTCCACATTCATATCTAAAATATCTATCAAACAGAAGTTTATTTCTGCTACCAAATCTCTAAAATTACCGGCTTCTGCATTCACTGTCTGTTCGGTTCTCCCACCAAAATTCAAAAGGAGAGATGCACCACCTCTTATTTATATGCTTCTCTCTCATCTATTCTGAGTGCTTTACCTCCTTATTAGCTCATCTTTTAAACTGTATCCTTTTGTTTTTTCTCTGGTTCTTTTCTAACAATATTTTAAAATTTCATGGTTTTTATTAAAATTAAAATCTCATTCTCCCAAATTCCATTCAAAACTGTTTCTCTCTCTCCTGTCTTCACAAAGTTGTAAAATAATTGTCTTTACCAGGGATTGGCAAACCTTCTCATAAAGAGCCAGCATGTCAATATATTAGGCTTTGTGAAACATGTGATTGTTGCTGCAGCCACTTCTCTCTACTGTTGTAAGGTGAAAGTAAGACAATTGATAATCAAATGAGTGCAGCTGGCTTTTGATAAAACTTTATTTATGGATACTAATGCTAGAACTTAATAAAATTTTCCTGTTTTACAAGGCGTTATTTTTTCTTTGATTTGTTTCAATCCTTAAAAATATAAATACCATTTTTACTTTCCAAGCTGTGTAAGAACAGATTCCAGGCCAGATTTAGCTTGTACACTATAGTTAGTCAAAACCTGGCCTATATACACTCTTTCTAACTCTCACCTCCTCTACCAGCGCAATCTGCCAACAACTCTCTTCCCCCTGGGGACACTGCTCTAACAACCTACTTTTTGCAAATTTTATGATGAATAATTTCTACTCCTCATTTTACTAGATCTTGGAACAAGATTTGACACTACTTACCACAGTCTCTTTCTTCTGGAAGTACTACTATCTTTCCATAGTTTTAATAAAGCCCTACTCTATTTTCCTTGGCTCTCTCCCCCTTCACTGAATCTCCTTTGCAAGATTTTCCTCAAATACCTACCCCACTGTGGGTGGCGAATGTCTCTGTTCTAGTCACTGTCTTCTCCACTAACTATCTGTGCTTCTAGTCATCTCACCTACTCCTTGTCTTCAATTATTTTTCATATTGTAGTTCTCAAATATGTGTAGGTGAAATAGTTATGAAATCACCATTTAAAGTGCAAATTATATACTGTAACCTGTTAAAACCCTGAAAGATGGCCATGAAATGTGCATTTTTGACAAAAAGCCTATGTTATACTAATGGAACACAACATTTTAAGAAACACTGATATGGAAACCAATGGCTCTTAAATTTGTATCTCTTGACAAACTGCTCTTCTGAGGTCCAGATCCTCATATGGAACTGAATCCAGAACTAAATGTACACAGAGATCTACAGTTCAGTGGGTCTGAACCAACTTCTTCGAAACAGCTTTTTATTTCAGTGAATGAGCACAGCTGTCCATTTACTGAACTTTCATTATTTATTTTTATTTTTACTTTAAGTTCTGGGATACCTATGCAGGATGTGCAGATTTGTTACATAGGTAAATGTGTATCATGGTTTTTTGCTGCACCTATGAACCCATCACCTAAGTATTAAGCTCAGCATGCATTAGTTATGTTTTCTAATGCTCTCCCTCCTCCGCCCCATGCCCCATTTACTGAACTTTTAAAACCAATAAGTAAGTTCTCATTCTTTTTCCTCACCATTCAGAACAAATAATCAATCACTAAGCACATTTCATAACTATATCTTTAGAATGTATCCTGTTTTCTCTATTTTCATTGCCATCTTACTACTTCAACACATCATTCGTTATTGTGAGGAATTCTTGACTCCCTCTCTCCATGTTTACTCACCTCTGATATCAACTGTGACTATAGATTGCCCTGTGCTTATACTTTCAATGATTTATGATTTCATTTAGGATGAGAACCAGTCTTCTTAATACAATACTTTTCATAAACTGTCTCCAAATTCCTTTCCAGATTCATCTGTCATTACTGCTCACTCTACCTGCGCCAGCTCTTCAGCAGGTTTCTTGATCTCCATGATCCATCCAGTGACTCATAACCATTACTTCTCTAACCTCCAGGACTTTGCATATACCTCTCCCTCCAATCTGTAATAATTTGTACCTTCTAAAATTTACTTCTGCACATTTACTTTACCCCTTTCATAGATTAATTTTATATATTAATTATTTAGGTCTAAGCTTACATATCACTAGGAATCTAGGCATTCTCAGAAGCATTCCTTATGCTTCTGAAATACTCCCCCATTGACCTAATTGACCCTTAACACACTGTGCTTTCCTGTGATCACCCATGGATGGCACTCTCCATGAAGGCAAAGACGAAGGCTGCTGTTTTTTTCAGCATTAAACCAATATCTGTCAGACAAAAATTACTCAACAGACATGTCTTATTAAATTGCCTCTTCATTAAGAATATTTGAGATATTTTCACTTTTCTGATTTGATCTATGCTTTCCCCAGAGTTATACTTGTTTTCCTATATAATCCAAATTATTCATGGATAAATGTTAACTGTTGACTAAATAATTTTTAGGAAAAATATTTTGTGAATGTGCTATATTCATTAACTTCTTTCTAAAGCTGGAAGACAATGAATCTTAATATTTTATAAACTCAAATTTATTATAATTTCTTTTAGAAAAATAGATAACATTTGAACTCTAAGTTTTAGCTCTTGTCTTTCAAATCTCAGCTGCAAATTAAAGATATTGTGTAATAGTACCACATAATAAATTCAATTTATATGCTAGAGTTGTATTTTATTAACAAAAAACAGTTTAATATCATAGTACATGAAGATCATTGGGTTAAAGTCTAGTGAGCTTCCATTAAGTAGCTTTTATCTACATTTTCATAATATCTCTAAATGTATTTTAACGCAACTGATTCCATTTTTAAAGTATGTCCAGTATCATCCTTCAGATTACTACAATGTTCTACACTGAACATAATTACAATGAAGGGAAATAGTGTATGAAATAGTAATAACAGCATTCATTCTTAAATGTGTTATTGCCCTTGAAATTCTGCCTTTTGATGTCATACTACTTTTCCCTTGGTCTCTTTTTTCCCTAGATCTCTCCTCTAAATAATTTTTCTATTTATTAAATTTTTGATATAACTTTTAATTGTCAAATGAAAAATATAGCCAAGTACTTCATTATGAACTTATTTAAAAAGCATCTAATAAAGTAATTCCAGTTATAAGGGTAGACCACAAAACAGACATACAAATACTTATGGAATAGATAGACATCTACTAGGAAGTGAGAGCCAGACAAGAGAAGAAGATGACATGGAAACTACAAAACTCATAAGAAAAACATATTATTGAAATAAAAATTAAATTAGAAGGAACAAATAACAGAACACATATAGTTTAAGGCACATTGGGAAACTTAAAATTTATTAATAAAGAAATGATTAAAATAATAGGCTAAAAGAACTAGAAAATAATCAAAATAGAAAATGACAATGAAATGCCAATAGACACAACATTTTGCCCCTAGAGAGGAATACAAAAACAATAAGCAGAACAAAAATTAAAAAAAAAAAGAAAAAAAATTGACTAAAAATATTGAGACTTCAACCTACATATTGTTCAACATGAACTCAGAGAAATTTGATAGTCAACACATATCACAGTTATTGAAATACACAGGAGAAAAAAGAATCCCAGAGGAGCCAGACAAAAAGAAGAAGTAAAGAAAATATTTTGGGAGTCAAATGTCTCCACAGAAACATTTATTTCCAAAATAAAGTGAACAAAACCTATTAAACACAAAGTTTTCAGACATAGATTTAAACATGAAAGAACTCAGACTACTGTTTATATGAGAAGATAGATGAGTAGAAGATGAACTGTAGCCAATCAAAAAACAAATAGAAAATTGGCAATGTTGAATATGTTTAACTATAGATTTAAAATGAAAAGAAAGGTAACAATAAGTAGGAAGGACAGAATAGAATAAAATTATTGTATGCTCTCTGACAATATACAAATGATTCTGCTAACAAAAATTTGTACATAATGGGGAAAAGAATATAGGATGTAGATTACATTCACTGATAGCCTCATGCCTTCCTCAAAAATCTCATTGATCCCCGAGGCTTTAAATATCTTCTACATGTCAATAACTCATAAATCTATATTCCCGGCCCTTTTACTTTAACAGCACTTTATGCTGTTGATAGTCAATAACCTTGGCATCTTAAATTGAATCTTAAATACATATTATGAATTTAACAACATAGAAAGATATTTTATTTCTCTGTTTCCAAATCTGCTTCTTTAATTATGTTTCTCTTATAAATAAGTGGCTTTTATATACAGCAAATTTTTCAAACCAAAGATCTCTGAACTCTTATTTTCTTTGTCTCACAGCCTTCCCAATTGATCAACCAGCTAATCTGTGCCAGGTATTTCAACCCAAGACTTCCTGAACCCATATCCTTCCTCCCACATTACTACCCTAAGGTGGCAACAAGTTGTCATATAAAGAACAGAAAGAAGACCAGTATGGCTGCAGATGGCAATAAGGAGAAGGTAGGAGTTGAGCTAAAATAGTTCGCGGAGATAGGTGGGGCAAGATCACCTAGGGCTGTGTAAGCCATTGCATTGTAAAGAACATTGGTTTTATTCTAAGTGTGATAAGGATCTATTGAAAAAATTTTAAATGGAGGAGTGATGTAACCTATACTTTAGTTTTAGAAAAAGCACTCTAATTGCTACATGGAGATTGGATTATAGGGGATAAAAGAGAGAAGTTGAAAGTAAGAGGTAATGAGGATTTGGGCTAGAGTGTGTGTAGCATTAATTCTACATAAACTGTAGATTTAAAATGTGTGTGCAGGAGGGAGAGAGTGATCTCAAAGATCAGGATCCCAAATGGATATATGCACTCCCACATTCACTGAGCCATTATTCGCAATAGCCAAGATGGGAAACATACTAAATGTCTTCTGACAGATGAATAGGTAAAGAAAATGTAGTATATACATATAATAGAATACTATTCAGCCTTTAAAGAAGGCAATCCTGTAATACGAGATGGTCTGGATGAACCTTGAGGACTTTATGCTAAGTGAGATGATGCTGACCATGCTGCAGAAAGACAAATACGTGTACTGCGTGATTCCACTTTTATGATGTATCTAAAATAACCAAATTCACAGAACCAAAGAGTGAAATGGAGGTTTTCAGGCGTTGAGGAAGGGAGAAATAGGGAGATACTTTCAAAGGGGATAAAGTTACCATTAAGCAATATGAATAAGCTTTAAACATCAGTTATATAACATTTTACCCATAGTTAAAAATAATATTTTGTATACTTATAATTTGTTAAAAGGGTAAATCTCATATTGAGTATTCATACTACAAAAAATATTTTTTAAGTGGGGGGAAAGAACAAAAGTAGTTGAGGAAAGTAGAGTATTTATATACTCTAAGGAGTGAGAAGAAAACAGATTGATAAATTGAGTAACATTTAAAAACTTGTTCTTAATTTCAAAAACACCAGAAATAAAACTATTAAGGAAAATATTTAATCTGAATTATAAAACATAGTGCTCTTAATACATGAAGAATTATTTTAAAATTTAAAAATAAAACATTCTCAAAAAAGTGAAAAGATAACAGGCAATTCTCAAAAAATATATACAAATGTCTAACAAACATATAAACAATGTTCAGTCATTAATGATAAAATAAAACAAATTAAAATACAAGAAACACATTTTTTGCTAAAACATATGGAAATAAGCACAAAAAAGTAATGGTATATTTGTCCAGGATATGCTAACACAGCCACAGCAATTATGGAAAAGCATCACCTATTCCTATTATCCAGGCATTTGTTTCGCTTGTTACATGCAGGTTAATTGTTTAAAAATTTTAATTTTGCCCCTCTTTATTAGGAAGCTTGTAGCAGTGATCTCTTTGCTTTTAATTTTTTAAAAAATATTTGTAGAGATGGGGTCTTGCCATGTTGCCCAGGCTTGTCTTTAGGTCCTGGACTCAAGTGATCCTCCCACCTAGGCCTCCCAAAGTGCCAAGGTTATAGGCATGAGCCACCGTGCCTGGCCACCAGTGCTCTTTATAAAAGAAAAAAAAAAAGAAAAATGAAAAATGAAAAATACTCAATATAAATATTGGTAAAAGTGAACTGTGATATATTCCAAAATATATGACTATTCAGTCATTAAATGTAGTGTTTTAGAATAATAATTGCATGATAAACTATTTACAATATTCTATTAAGTTGAAAAATAAAACTATAAAATGATATTTTGTAAAAGCAATTGCATACACACAACACAAAGATAGAACAAATATTTACCAACATGTTATGACTGTGAAGCAGGCTTACTGTGCACTGGTTACCAACCTGTCCTAAGTCCAGTGAGGCAAAACACCACATATACACAAGTCACACGAAGCAGGTTTATTACTTACAGATAAGCAGCAAGAGACAACAGAAGCCGATGATGCAGGATGAGTTGGTTCCCAAAAGCTCAAGAAATAAAAAAAGTTTTCAAAAGTTTAGAATGAAGAATTATTGATATTTGACCGCCCATGGGATTATTAGAGAAAAAATAATTTTTATCAGATTGTAGGTTACTCACCAATATAAATATACAAAGCAATTTACTAGCTGATGTTTTCCAAAACATTGCATTTTATTCTCCTCTGCTTCATCCACATATATTTCAAGATTTTTTAAAAATATAACTCAAATAAATGTCATAAGAAAACATACTCATTCACTGAAAAATTTATGGTATATTGACAAAGACTTAATTAAGCAATCTTTTTGTATTAGTAAAATATATTTCTTCTTTTGAAAACTTTGTTTTATTTAGACTGAATAACTGACATTTGCTTTTGTTTTGCATGACAAATAACATAGAAACTTATTTGGGTAATTAATTCTGTTTCTTTAATGTACATATAAGTATACACAATAAAAGTCGTAACAAAATTGAATCTACAAATTTATTCTCGAAAAATACTTAATGTTATTTGCAAATATACAAAAATTTACCAAATACCACTGAGGAAACATTGACCTTTATTAAACATAATAAAGAAGTGTCTTCATCCTTTATGAGATTTAAATAACTGCCATTGAAAATCCTGTGCTTAGCTGCTAAAGGTACTCATCTTCAAATCCAAGTAACAGATTAATCTGAACATTGGCATTCAGATTATTTTTTTCTCAATTAATTGTGTAGTTAAATTAATATGATTCTTATTAAGGTATGAAATATGTTAAAGAATGACTGTAATAAAATATGCATTATACCTTTTCAGCAAAAGAGAAAGCTATATGTACAATATGTGGCTTATCTATAATTTAAAATAGTTCCACAAATAAATCAGATTTTGATGAATAGTGTATTTCTACATCATTTTCACTTGTTATTCATTTTTAAAGCAAAATTATGATATTCATTTTAAATAAACTCTGTTGTAACACAATGCTTTGTTTTTAAGGTATGGTTCTTTGGGGAAAGATAATTGAAAGTGTTTTAGAAGCTAATTTTCAAAATATTGCACAACTGGTGAGGAAGGAAGTTGAAATATGAAATCAAATGAGTCTGCTTCAAAACTAACACTTTTGACAAATCAGTTTGGGAAATTCAGAAAGATAGTGTGGGGGTTAAAGGAAAACCATTTTCATTAGAATATTAGCAAAAGGCTCTTATTCCTTCTTTATAAATGAGCCGTAATTTAATAAACATACTTATTAATATAAGTATAAATGAGTATATATTTATATTGCATAATATAAATGAGTCATACTTATTAATATTTATTTTATTTATAATAAAATAAGTATAATCAGGTATTACAGTTGTCTTTGCATAATTTTGATATTGTTAAGAAAATGACTGTCAAAACACTGAGCAGTTGAACCAGTGCAGTGTAGAAAAAAGTACAGTTGCTAGACATATGAAGTCAGGATAAAACAAAGATAGTATGTCAATTGAAAAAACAAAAGAATTCCTTTCTGTGTACAGGAAAACAATCACAGCAGAAATGTAAATGTAATCTATTCAAAATAAAAGAAAAAGATGATCAAGTGAATAGTGTAGATGCTTTTATAGGCTTTCTGAAATTTTTCTACATGGCATAAGTGGTATTATTATTATTATAACTATTATTATTACCTTGTTTAACATTGTTTTCTTTCTTTTAATACTTCCAAAATTGTGACATCCATGGGTTTACAGTTGTTCTTCTCATGGAAAAGTAAGCACCTAATAAGCTGGCCCTCCTGAAGATAAAACGATTAGTCCTGAAAAAAAAAAAAAAAATCTGAGAATTCTGGAAGGGAAACAAAGCAGGAAGATTTTAGTAGGAATTTAAAACTTTGAAGAAGTGACCTGTAAAAACTAAGTTTTCTGTATGTTGCTTTGAGCTTAGAGCATCAGCAATGATCAGCAGCATTGGATAGCTAAAATTAAAAGAGAAAGTTTAATTTATGTCTGGTTGGAAAAACCAAGGAAAGGATCCTGGGGCAAACAGGGTAATAAGAGAATGAGGAGGAGCCCTAGAAAGGAGAGAGCCATAGAAGGGAACCCATAGTTATTTGTGCAGTAACTCTGCTCCAGTTACTGATTGATGGCTCAGCAGAGCAAACTTGAAATATATGCAGAGCAAACTTGAAGCAGTTTGAAAAGTCATCCGAGTCACAACTCACCACAGACTGGATAGCTCTATTTTAATGAAGTTCAATGCACACTAAAACAAACACTTAAAATTATTTCTGCAATATATAAAATAATTACAGTCTGAACAATGGAACACTAAAAATAAGCAAAATGCCATCCAAAATTACTTGACATATGAAGAGACAAAACATGACCCATTCTCAAAGAAAAAGACAATGGATAGCAATGTAGAGGTGACTCAGATATTAGAAATCTCAGGCAAAATCTGCAAAGCAGAGAGTATGAACTGATCAATGACTCTAAAGAAAACTTATTTATAATGAATGAAAAGATAAGAAATCTCAACAGAAAATGGCATTATAGAGAAAGAAAATTTTATAATTGAAAATATATGAAATAAGATAATTCACTATATAGGCTTAATAGCAGAATGGAGATGAAAGAGTAAATAATAATCAAAACTGAAGATAGATAAATGGAAATTATGTAATCTGGAGATGAGAGGGAAAATGTATACCCTTATTACTTATAAGAAAATTTAAAGAAATGGAACAAACAAAAAGGTAATTGGAATCTCAAAAGGAAATAGGGCCAGAAAGGAGTAGAAAAAGATTTTGAAGCAATAATGACAAAAACTTCCCAATTTGAGTGAAACATATAAAATTACAGATTTTAAAATCTTAGTGAACTTCAAACAGAATACACAGAAAATTATGCCAGGATACGTTATAGTTAAACCACTAAAACTATGGATGTAAAGAAAACTTGAAAGAACCTAGAGAAAAATGAATATCACATAAAGTAAGAAAATATTAAAGTGGCCATAGAAGAGACTGCAGAAGCAAAAAAGAGAACTAATATCTTTAAGTACTGAGAGAATATACCTTTGACCTCAAATTTTATAACCAGTGAAAATATCCTTCTTGAATGAAGATAAAATAATGACAATTTTTAAAGATGAAAAATTGAGAGATTTTATTGCTAATACAATGGCACTATAAAAATGCTAAAGGGTGTTTTTCAGGCTAAAAGTGATACCAAATGGAATCACGGATCTTCAGGAAAGAAGAAAGAATATTAAAAATGATAAATATCTGGGAAAAAATTAAAGATGCAACTTTATCTTCCAAAAGATCTGAAGTACAAAGAATTATTCAAGGCTAAAATTATAACATTGTCTTACGGATATAATAAATATGACAACTATCCCATTAATAATAAGAAAAAAATAAGTAGACCCTTGTGGTTACAAGGTTTTAACATTTTACATAAAGTGACAAAATATTAACTTGAGCTGTAAACAGATGAAAATAAGCATTTTAATACCAGAGCATATTATAAACAGACAATAGATAGAAAAAAATTCTATAATATATTAGATTGGTTGGTGCAAACGTAATTGAGGGTTTGGTAATTAAATTAAGTGCCAAGTTAATTTAAATAATAATTAAATAGTTAAATAATTCAAATACAAATACAATGATGATTGTTCAAAAATGAGAGACATTTTTTGTAACAATAAAGGTGTAGTCTTTGCTGTCTCACACTTTTAATCCCAGTGCTTTGCGAAGCCAAGATGGAAGGGTTGTTTGAGGCTGGGAGTTCAAGACCTGCCTGTGCAAAATGGCAAGACCCTATATCTGCCAAAACTTTAAAAATTAGATGTGCATGGTGGTGTGAGCCCATAGTCCTAGCTGCTCAGAAAGCTGAGGTGGGAGGATGACCTGAGCCCAAGAGTCTGAGGTTATAATGAGCTATGACTGCACCACTGCACTCCAGGCTTGGCAACAGAGCAAGACACTCTCAATAAATAAATAAATAAATAGCACAAATTCATTAGGAAGACATAACATTCCTAAATGTGCTTTTGCCTAATAACAGGGCCTTGGGTTATTTGAGTATTCAAAGCAAAAATTTACAGAATTGAAGACAGAATCGAAGAATTTCACAAATATCATTTTAGCATCCTTCTCAACAACCATTGATAGAATAATAATACAAAAATGATCAGTAAAGAGAAAGAATATCTGATACAGCCCTACTAGGTAGACTTGATATTTATAGCAGACCACCCTTAACAACAACAGAATACATATTATTTTCAATATAGTTTACAAGCTGGCCATAAACTGTCTTAACAAATTTTAAAAGACCAAAATAGAAAAGAGAACCAAAATGAAATTAAACTAAAAATTAAAATAATAAAATATTTAGAAAAAGACCAAATATATGGAAATTAATCACATCTCTAAATGATTCATATTCGTGGAGGAAAGTAGAAAAAAATAGAAAATTATTTAGAATTGAATTACAATGAAAATACATCATGTAAAAATGTGTGGAATGCAGCTAATCTATGCATAGAAAAAGCATATATTTTTAAATGTTTATATTAGAAAATAAGAAATGTTTTAAAATGATGTATTTTTAAACTAAAAGCAAGTAAAATATTGAAAAAACAAAGTAGAGGAAAGTAAATTATAAACATCAAAGAAGAAATTAATAAAAAACAGACAATAGAAAAAATGACCAAAGCCCAAATCTAGGTTTTTAAAATTAAAAATTAACAAACCCTCTGTTAGATGAATAAAAAGGAAACGGGGAGAGATTCAACAAATCATCAATATCAGGAATAAAATAGTCCCACTGCAGATCTGACAGGGATTAAAAAGGTAACAAGAGAATGCCAGGCGCGGTGGCTCACGTCTGTAATCCCAGCACTTTGGGAGGCCGAGGTGGGTGTATCACGAGGTCAGGAGATCGAGACCATCCTGGCTAACATGATGAAACCGCGTCTCCACTAAAATACAAAAAATTAGCCAGGAGTGGCGGCGGGCGCCTGCAGTCCCCGCTGCTTGGGAGGCTGAGGTAGGAGAATGGTGTGAACCCTGGAGGCTGAGCTTGCAGCAAGCGGAGATGGCGCCATTGCACTCCAGCCTGGGCGTCAGAGCGAAACTCCGTCTCAAAAAAAAAAAAAAAAAGATAACAAGAGAAAAGAAGGATTCTGGGCAGGATGACAGTGTAGGAAGCAGGAAGCACCAGAAACCTACACACACTATCTAGACAAGTGCACTGTCAGAATCTGTTCAATGCAACAATTTTGGAATTCTAGAGTCTATTGAAGGCTTGTAACTTCCAGGTAAGGCCTGTACCATAAATTGAAAGGATGAAAAAAAAATTTTATTTAAATAGTAATCAAAACAGATCAGCAGTGGCTATGTTAGTATCAGACAAAATAGACGTTAAGTCAAAAAAAAAGTTTACAGGAGACAATGAAGAATACTAATCTTTTATTTATATATTATTAAAAGTTTCAATAAATAAAAAACATATAACAATCATACACATTTACACACAACAACAGGTCATCAAAATATATGAAGCAAAAATTGGCAGAATTGAAGAGGAAAATATACTTTTCTACAATAATAATTAGAGACTTCACCAACCCACACTCAATAAGAGTAGAGCAACCACACAGAAGATAAGTAAGAAATTAAGGAGTTGAACAACAAAATAAACCAACCAGATCCAACAGAGATATACAGAACAATCTATTCAACAATAGCAGAGCATACATTCAAGTCCACATGGGACAATTTCCAGGATAGACCATATGTTAGTCTGCAGATTAACTCTCAATAGATTTAAAAGATAGATATCATAGAAAGTATTTTTTCTGACCACAATATGATGAAGTTAGAAATCAAAAACCAAGGCTGGGCCCGGTGGCTCACGCCTGTAATCCCAGCACTTTGGGAGGCCGAGGCGGGTGAATCACGAGGTCAGGAGATCGAGATCATCCTGGCTAACATGGTGAAAACCTGTCTCTACTAAAAATACAAAAAATTAGTCAGGCGTAGTGGCGGGCGCCTGTAGTCCCAGTTACTCGGGAGGCTGAGGCAGGAGAATGGCCTGAACCCTGGAGGCGGAGCTTGCAGTGAGCCGAGATTGCGCCACCGCGCTCCAGCCTGGGCAACAGCGCCAGACTCTGTTTCAAAAAAATAAAAAAAAAAATTAAAAAAAAAAATTAAAGCCAAATAAAAGCAGAAAAATTCACAAATTTGTGGAAATTAAACAACACACTCTTAAATAACCAATGGATTAAAAAATCACAAGAAGATTTACCAAATACCTAGAGAAAAATGAAAACAAAAACACAACATATCAAAATGTATGTGACTCAGTGAAAGCAGTACTGTGAGAAAGTTATAGCTATAAATGTTTACATTAAAAAAAAAATTTCACTTCAGTAACCTAACTTTACAACTCTGGAACTAGAAAAAGAAAAAAAACTTAACCCAAAGCTAGCAGGAGGAAGAAACCAATAAAAATTAGAGCAGACATAAATTGAGAATTAAAAAGCAATAGAGAAAACCAACAAAACTGAAAGATGGTTCTTCAAAGAGATCAAAAAAATTGACCAATCTTTAGCTAAATGGACTATGAGAAAGAGAAATGATTTGAATTACTAAAATTAGAAATGAATGTGGAGACATTATTGACCTGTTCTACACACCTAATAAAGATGGTAAAAGAACATTATGAGCAATTGCACATCAACAAATTAGATAATTTAGAAAAAGTACAAACATTCCTAGAAAACACAAAACTTACTAAGAGTAAACCACATAGAAATAAAAAATATAAGCAGACCTATGAGTAAGTAGATTAAATCAGCATTCAAAAATCTCTCCTAGGACACCCCCTCAAAAAAAAAAAAAAAAAAGCAGCCCAGGACCAGATAACTTCACTGTGAATTCTATCAAGCATTTAAAGAATAAATGCCAATCACCTCCAGTTTTCCAGAAATAATTCCAAAGGGGAAGACTTCCTAACTCATCAATGAGATCAGCCTTACTCTGATACCAAAACCACACAAAGACACTATAAGAAAAAAATAAATTACAGAACAATAACCTACAGGAGTATCGATGTAATAATCAACAAAATACTAGCAAACAAACTTTATCAGCATATTAAAAGGACTATACACCACGACCAAGTGAAGTTATTTCTGGAATGGAAGAATGGTTCTACATATAAACATTGATTAATGTAATACACAATATTAACAAAACAAAGGAAAAAATTTTGATTATCTTAATTGATGCAGAAAAAATCTATAATATTCAACATATTTTCATGATAAAAATACTTTAAAAAGTAGAAGGGAACTACTTCAATTTACATATGAAAAATTCATAGTAAACATTATACTTAATATTGAAAGATGGAAAGTTTTCCCTCTAACATCAGAAACAATGCAGGAATACCCTCTTCAACATAGTCCTGTATGTCCTAGATAGAGCAATTAAGCATATATATAAACTATATATATTATATAAACTATATATAACAAGTATCCAAACTGAAAATAAAGAAGTAAAATCATCTCTATTTTCCATGACATAATTTAATATCTAGAAAACCCTAAAGATTTCACAAAAAAAGCTATTAGAATTAATGAATGAATTCAATTCAGCAAAGTAGCAGGATGTAAAGTTGAGATGTAAAAATCATTTGGATTTCTATATACCAGCAATAAACAGTCCCCAAAGGAAATTAAGAAAACTATCCCTTTTGCAACAACAAAAAAGATTAAAATACTTAGGAATTAACTTAATCAAGGAGGTAAAAAACTATACAACAAAACCATACAACATTTGCTAAAAGAAATTTTAAAAGACACTTATAAATGGAATAACATGCCAAGTTTATGGATTGAAAGACTCAATATTGTCTGGATATCAATAATATCCAAAGCAATCTACAGATATAATTCAATATCTGTCAAAATCCCAAAGACATTTTCTGCAAGATTCATAAAAAAATCTGAAAATTCACATGAAATACAAAGGACCCTGAGTAGCAAAAACAGTCCTAAAAGAGAAGAACAAAGTTGGAGGTCTCCTTCTTTCTGACTTCAAAATTTAACACAAAGTTACAGTAATCACAACAGTGTAGTACTGGCATAAAGGCAGATATAAAGACATAAAGAGCCCAGAAATAAACCCTGACAGATATGGCCAAAGGTTTTTCAACGACAGTAGCAGGACCACTCGATGGGGGAAAAAAAGACAGTTTTTTCAATAAATTCTGAGAAAACTGCATATCCATATGAAAAAGAATAAAGTTCAACCCTTACCTAAAACCATATGCAAAAACTGACTAAAATGAATTCATGTCCTAAATGTAAGACCTAAAACTACAACACTCTTAGAAGATAACATAGGAAAAAAAATACCTTTGCAATATCAAACCTTGCAGTGTTTTCTTAGATATAAAACCAAAGATGCAGGCAAAGAAAGAAAAAATACACAAGTTGCACTTCATACAAATTCTAATTTTCCAACAAAAGGCACTATCAACAGAGCAAAAAATACATCCAACAAAATTGGATAAAATGTTTATAAAACATATCTGGTAAAAGATTAATATCCAGAATATATGGGAAAGTTCTACAATTTAACAACAACAACAAGAAACAAAACAAACAAACAAAAAAAACAAAGAACACAACTCAAAAATGGACCAAGGACTCAAATAGACATTTTTCCAAAGAGGACATACAAATGGTCAATAAGCAGATGAAAAGATGCTCAACATCACTAATCTTTAGGGAAATGCAAATCTATAATGAAACATCACCTCACACCCATTAGAATGGCTATTATAAAAAAATAACAAGTGTTGGTGAAGATGTTAAATCAGAACACTTGCATCGTCTTGGGAGTGTAAGATGGTATAGCTGCTGTGAAAAACAGTATGGTAGTTCAACAAAAAATAAACAAAAATAAAAATAGAATTACCATATGATTTGGCAATTTCATTTCTGGGTATATACTCAGAAGCATTGAAAGCGGAATCTCAAAGAGATATTTGTACACCTATGTTCATAGCAGCTTTAGTTGTGATAGTTAAAACGTAGAAGCAATTGAAGCATCCATTGAAAAATGAATAGACAAGCAAAATGGTATACATACATACAATAGATTTATGCAGTGTTGAAAAGAAATTCTGACACATTCTAACATGGATGAATTTTGAGAACATTATGTTAAATTAAATACGCTTGTCCCCAATACACAAATAGTGAATGAGTCTACTGATAAGTGGTACTTAGAGTAGCCAAAATTGTAGACAAAGAAAGTAGAATAGCAGTTGCTAGCAGCTGAAGTAAGGCAGAATGAAGAGTTGTTGTTTAATCGGTATAGAGTTTAATTTTTGGAAGATGAAAGAGTTTAGTGAATAATGGTCATGATAATTGCACAATAGTATAACTATACTTAATACCACTGAACTGTATACTTAAATATGGTTAAGACAGTAAATTTTATGTTATGTGTATTTTACTACAATAAAAATTGTAAAAAGATACCACAAGGTTATTAAAAGCAACTTTCTGCCAATAAATTTGAAAACTTAGATGATACAGAAAATTTTCTTGAAAAATACAAGTTTACAAAATTGCCACAAAATAAAGTAACAAATAATATAGTTCACCATCTAATCAAGAAATTATATTCATTTACAAAATTCTTCAAATCAAGAAAACTCTAGGTTTTGGTTGTTTCACTGGCAAATTCAATTACACATTCAAAGAAGAGATAATGCAAAATTTATGTAAACTCTATCAGAAAATAGATGGCAAGGGAACACTTTCCATCTGCTTGATAAATCAGCATCATCTAATACCAAATTCAGAAAAAAATCTAAAACTTTTAAAAATGCTGTCCCTGAACATAGACGAAAAATTTGCAAAATATTAATAAATGAAACCAAGCAGTATTTTCTAATGATAAGGCATCATAACCAATTACGGCATCTTTTATTAGTACAAGGTTGGCTTAACATCTGAATCTCAATCAATATAATCCTCCCTGTCAATGTCAAAAAAAGTCAAATTTTAAGATAAATTTTATTAATGAAGAGAAAAGAATTTAACAAAATTCATCACCTATTCATAATTTTTTTAAAAAACCTCTCAGCGAAGTAAATCTAAAAACTCATCCCTTACTTTGATAGGGGCATCCATGAAAAGCCTACAGTTGACAAGATATTTAAGAGTAAAATATTAAACGCTATCTTAAAAAAAAAAGGCCGAATCCCTGAATTCACCACTTTTTAAAAATCTTTTACTGAAGAACCAAACCAAAACAATAAGGCAAACAAAAAATAAGTCACTCAGATTAGAAAGAATTAACACTGTCTACATTTTCAAATGACATGATTATTGAATATGAAATCCTAAGAAATCAACAAAAGTATAAAAACTACTAAAGAAATTTAGTAAAGTTGAAAGATCCAAGTCTAATATACAAAAATAATGTATTTCTATACATTAATAGCAAATATTTGAAAAAACTGAATCTTACTGTCAGGCCTCTGAGCCCAAGCTAAGCCATTATATTCCTTTTGACCTGCATGTGTACATCCAGGTGGCCTGAAGCAACTGAAAATTCACAAAAGAAGTGAAAATAGCCTTAACTGATGACATTCCACCATTGTGATTTGTTTCTGCCCCACCCTAACTGATCAATGTACTTTGTAATCTCCCCCACCCTTAAGAAGGTTCTTTGTAATTCTCCCCACCCTTGAGAATGTACTGTGTGAGATCCATCCCCTGCCCACAAAACATTGCTCCTAACTCCACAGCCGATTCCCAAAACCAATAAGAACTAATGATAATCCCATCTCCCTTCGCTGACTCCCTTTTCAGACTCAGCCTGCCTGCAGTGCACCCAGGTGAAATAAACAGCCTTGTTGCTCACACAAAGCCTGTTTGGTGGTCTCTTCACACGGACACGTGAGACACTTACAACATTACATTTGTATTTACCTTTGCAATAGGGCTAACAAGCATACAATTCTTAGGAATAAACATAGCAAAATATGTTCTAAACAATGTCACTAAGCATTTAAGGACATTGATGGGAGAACTTAAACATCAAAATAAATAAATACACCATTTTAGTGGATTGAAATATTGTGTGTAGTTAAGATGTCAAGTTTTATTAACTTGGTCTAGAGAAGCTATGCATTCCTAACTAAAATATCAAAAGATTTTCTACATAAATGGACAAGTAATTTTAAAATTTGTATATAAATGCAAGTGATCTGGAATGACTGAATTAGTTTTAAAAGAGAAGAACAAAGTTGAAGGAATTACAATTATAGGTTTGCAGACTAAATATACAACTACAGTAGTAAAAACACTGCCATTACAGTGTAAAAACAGACATAAAAATCATCAGGATGGAAATCATTTTTAATAAATGAAAAATGATGTGTGTGCCTATGTGTCTGTGTGTACAAATTGTTATGTTTGATTTTGGATAGGATGTTAAGTTAGTATAGACAAAGTTTTGCAATAACGGGCATTAGGACACTGGATGTCCATATTGAAAATGTACATCAATCCTTATTTTATCCAAAGATAAATATCAAATCAAAAGCATTATATGTTTACATGTAATATCTAAAATTTTTAATTATAAAATAAAACAAATTTTTTTTTGCAATTCAAAGCAGATATTTTCTTAATAGGACATAAAAAGTACAAACAATTAAAAATTTAATACGTTTTACTTCATTAACATTGAAAATTTATTTAAAGTTGCTACTAAGAAAATAAAAATGCAAATCTCAAACTTATGTCTAAGGGTATATAAAGAACACTCAGATTCAATAATAAGAAAAAAGCAACCCAGTAAAAAATGGGATAAATATTTGAACAGTTGCTAATGTACAGAATAATAAAGATATTCCAATATGAACATGATGATCACTAAATTTAGTAGTTTTATGTACACTTTTTTTTCCAAATACACAAGCACATACATAAAAACACATACGCAAACCTTTAAGCATTAGTGTTTACTGACCATGTAAGTGTAGCCTACACATTACACACTTACTAAAATTACTAAAATTAAAAAGACTGGCATAACAAGTGTTGGTGAGGATATAAAGTAAAGAGAACTGCTATTTCATATCACATTTCAATCTACCCCACACTATTGATAGGAATTAAAAATGGTATGACTGTTTTGGAAAACTGTTTGGTAGTTTAAAAAAAAAATTAGACATATACCTTTTTTACACCCAGACATTCCACTCTATGTATTTACCTAAGAGAAATAAAAATATGTCTTCTTGTTCAGGAATATTTATAAAATTTATTATTAATAACCCTCAAATTAAAAAGAATACAAATGTTCGTAAACAGGTAGAAGGATAATCAAAATGTGGTACCTCTACAAAATGGAATATTACTCAACAATACAAAAATAACATTATTTATATGTGCGAAGTTATGCAGTTCGGATGAATCTTTTTATTTTTTATCTTTATTTTTATTTTTTTTTTTTTGAGATGGAGTCTTACTCTGTTGCCCAGGCTGGAATGCTGTGGCGGGATCTTGGCTCACTGCAAGCTCTTCACACCATTCTCCTGCCTCAGCCTCCTGAGTAGCTGGACTACAGGGACCCGCCACCACGCCTGGCTAATTTTTTTGTATTTTTAGTAAAGACATGCTTTCACCGTGTTAGCCAGGATGGTCTCAATCTCCTGATCTCGTGATCCACCTGCCTTGGCCTCCCAAAGTTCTGGGATTACAGGCGTGAGCCACCACACCCGGCCAGTGTGGATGAATCTTAATAGCACTGCGTGAAAGAACCCAGGCACAAAAGAGTGTGTCTTGTATAGTTTTATTTTTATAAAATTCTAGAAAGCATTACATATTCTACAGTGATATAAAGCAAATCAACAGTTGTCTGCATCACAAGCAGAGGAAGGGATTGCTATAATGGGACTTAATAAATGTTTTGAGAGTGATGGAAATGTTCTGTGTCTTGACTGAGAAGGTGGTTTTAAAACTGTCAAAAGTCATCAAATGGTTCACTTTTGTTGTTACAATCTATTGTATGTAAAGTATATCAAGTAAAGCTGATTAAATTCAAAATATGCATACTGTAAAACCTAAAAGGTTGATAAAATATAGCATGAAGAATGTAAGGGAAGATGCTTAGAAGTCCCCAAAACAATTTAATGTCTTACTGAATTAAACTGAGTGTTATATATGCATTCAATTGGTAAAATAATTTAACATGCCCTTGTTTACCTACTTACTACAAAGGTTTCATGACGGAACTCTGATATAGTAAGCCAAAGACCAACAAAATGCTCTACCTTACGTTAATAGAAAGATTTTTTAATCACAGGAAGTCAAACAATATAATACAATAAATAAAATTTGTGATTTATTTCTTATTAACAGGAGGAATTGGCTGAGGATATAAAGGGTAGAAATTGTTGTGCAAGTGACCATAATTTCCTCAGAAGTGAATCTGAAAGCATGAAATCTCCCCCAGAAAGGGATAAAAGCAAAAAATATAAATAAATAAAGATTCAACTCTAAAATAAACCACTAAAACAGTTTCTGTTGTAAGTATGCAGCCAATATATTTTTACAGAGTGTATGTAAATTATTTATACAGAATAGAAATCTCTGGAACAATAAAATGCTACATTTGAGAACTTTAAAAATCCTTTCAACACGTAAACCCATATTCCAGTAAAAAAAAAAATCACTCATTATTTTATTTTTCCAAAAAACATATTTTTTTTCTGCCTTTCTTCCTATCTTCTTTCTCTTACTGTGGATCATTTATGGTGATGGTTGGAAAGGCCTACACTATGAACACGCTCAATATTAGTAACAAAATTCTATTGTCTTTTTGCTCTGGAGATTGGTGATCTAAACTCCTGTTACTTTCTAAGCCATTCAATTGTCAAAGAAATAATCCTTTGTTCCACTCTGATATAGATCACCTGTGTCTCATGGCAAATCATTTAAAATATTTTAAAAAGAATCTTCATAAGAAACAGAGAAAGTGATAGGTATCTCCAACACAAAAATATATAATTTAGCAAGAAATTAATTTCTGATGTTTTTACCTCAATACTTTTAAAATACAGTATATAGAATTAAGCATAGACTTTTGTTAAAATATAATATGTATATTTGACATATATACAATGTTTAAACTTTACATTTTATTTATAGTTATATAAGACATATATTATGTATTGTTATAAATACTGTTTATAAATAGCATGCATTATATTATATCACACATCATATCATTAAAATTTTAAAAAACTGATATTATTTTCTAATTTAAGTAATTTACCTTTTAACTTTATATATAGATAGGAATGTCTATCAGTGATTGTCTGATAGACATTACTTACACAAAAGTTTAGGTAAATAATATAGATTATGCTAGAGCAAATAGCACTTTTTACCATTAAAAAAGTCTAATTTGATATAAACCATAAATGGTGTTTCTAATTTGGAAGATGGAGAAAATTGAGACCACCTGAATACAAGAGGATCTCTTTTGTCATAGCATATGTCTATTATAGTTCTTCTAAGCCAGGAAGAAATAATACCCGCCAGTAAAGAAAAAAAGAATGGAAATCAAATGGAGAAACTCTTTATTAGCTATGAGACCATAGCAAGCAATTTTACTTGCCTGTACCTTAGTTTCTTCATCTGTAGGACAGAAATAATAATATGTACTCCATGGGGTTTCCGCAAGGATTCAGGAACATTATGTACAAAAGTATTTAGCAGAGTGACTATTATAAAGCAAATGCTCGTTAATCAATGATTTTTAGTCTTCAAATCAATCACTCACTCTATAAATGGTGAATTGGTTCTAATCCAGGCTTCTATAAAAAATGTGAAATAGTGTCAAAAAGAAGACTTCAGAGCAAGTATTCTTACTAATAAATTAAGAACAACTAAAAAGCATTATATAACCTACTCAAGACAAGACAATTTTTAAAGAAAATATGTAATTATGCTCAAAATAACCCTTTTATTTTGTCTGTAAATAATTTTTCAAATTAAAAAAATAACTTTATTTGGATAATTAGAGACAAAATAAACTTCAGCATATATCATACTTCCTAATCTAGCTTCATGTTTAGAATGTCTTTCAGATGATGGCGGTGGCTCTTCTGGAGCAGCTGCTGTGAGTATGCCAGCTACAGTGGGGAATCACAGTTGGGCTGTGGAGCCGATGGGGGCCGGGAACAGATGGGAGCCCACCCCTTACCCAGTTGGTGGGGTGGGAGCCCAATGTTCCTGGGCACAGCTGCAGCCCAGCCATGGCTCTGGACATCCCTGCGCTCTCAAGGGCCCAGGAAGCCCCTTGCCCCCTCAGGCTTGGAAGTGCCTACTCCCACTCCCTGGCCACTTCCTGCTCCCAGCACCTGCTCTGGTGTGGAGCAAAGCTGTGGAAAAGCCTGGGTACTGTTACAACTCAGCTGGGTGTGCACATGCATGGGGCATCGCTGACACCTCAGCTCTCCCACCATCTCAGACCCCTGTGGAACTTTGGGTGCTTACAAGCTCAGTGACGGATCTCAAGGGGGCTGAGGATGACTTGGTGATGGCCTGCAGTCACCCCTCAGTGTGGACAGCCTGGGAGCAGCAGATGGCATGTTGATGTCGACAGGGGGCAAGTTTGTAGCCAGGAAGGGGCAGGTATCCAGTGAAATCCCACCTTCAAGCCGGGGATAGCCCGATGCCTGTGATCGGGCTGCCAGTTCTGGGTGGAGACAACAACCCAGAGTGAGAACTTATGGTTTTTTTCCTGGCCCACTGGTGGCCACCCATGAACTAGCCAGACACACTTCCTCCCATCTGAGCACATAAAAACCCCAGACTCAGCCAGATTCACATACTTTTTGGAACAACCTGCCTGCAGATAGGAGCTACTCACTTTGGGTCTCCTCAAGACTTGTCAGGATGACTTGCCTGCAGAAATAAGCTACCCACTTTGGGTCTCCTGAGAGCTGTTCTGTTGCTTAATAAAGTTCCTCTCTGCCTAGCTCACCCTCTTCTTTTCCACATATCCTCATTTTTCTTGGACATGGGACAACAACTTGGGACCCATCAAACAGCAGGAACTAAAGGAGCTATAACATGTTCCTAGCTGCCTCACTGAGCTGGGGGTGGTTACATGCTCCCGGACTGTGGAAATAAAGAGTGACAACCCTTCTGGGCGTCCAGACCTCAGGATTCCCCAAGCCACAGTTGCTGTAACACTATAGCCCTCCCACCCTCCACCAGCACAGGCAGCTATCCCATGCAATGGGAAGCAGCAGCGGGGCCAGGCCAGCCTATGAGCTGTGGGCCAGAATGAGGCAGCATGACTGAAAGAGCTGTAACACAAAGGAGCTAAAACATTCCCTCCAAAATTCACCTCCTTGTTCACTGCTCTGTGCATGACAAGAAGGAGAGAAGAACTGTGGCCTTATTGGGAGCCTAGATCTGAGGGCTCCCTGAGGTAGGGCTAGGATATGCTGTAACATCCTCTTTGGGGCTCTGCAGTTCCTGGGATCTCCAAGCTTTTGGGTGCCATTACATTCGCCTCATCCAGACACTGGTGCCAGTTGTGGAAGCCAGTTGTGGTGTATCTGGTCTAGCCACAGACTTGTACAGAGCTGGTGCCTGTGTCAGTGCCTGGACCTGCCTGCCCCGCTGTGTGCTTGCTCACTCACACACCCCTCACCACTTCATGCCTGGCTTGCACTTGGCAGGAGTGGAATAGAGCTGGTAGCATGAGCCAATTGCAGCCTACTGAGCCAAGCAGGTGGAACGAGCCCAGCAGGTGCAAGCAACTCAAGCAGAGGTGCTGCTGGCCACGGGGTTTCTAGCTGGTGAAGCAACATCCTAAGGATTCTGGTACATTTCTATGAACTTCATTAAAGTAGTACTACAGTTTGATGGGACTGCAGTTTTAAAACAAATTATGGTCCTGGTGAAGACTAAATCTGGTTTGTTATCAATGTGGCAAAAGGCCTAATTACTTAAATGCTCTATGAATTGATGAGTAAAACTAAAAATTTTGCAGTTAAAGAAAGCACAGAATTAAGAAGTAGGAAGAGATAGAAAAAAATTGTAAATCATATTATAAAAATTTTCTAGCCTGGTATACAAGAAAAGCAATGGGATGACAGACTTATGAAAATCTCCTAAACATGGCCTGAGAATCAGAAAAACCACATAATGAAGTTTTCTTTCACAAAAGCTGAAATGATTAATAGAATGCGATTATTATCTGCTCTTATTAAACAAGATATCCCAAAATCAATAAAAGGCCATTATCAGAGAAAGATAGATACCGACCTCAAAGGCAAAAACCTTAATTGTCTGCAAATCACCTGGTAAAGCCCTCTTTGATAAGAAACCATACTTACTCCTTATTGTGCATCTAGAAAATATTAAGAGACCAAAATAAGTAAAATTAAAGGATCATAATGGGGTCTTCATTTGATATTTAACAAAAACAAAAACAGTAGTTTACTTTCTCCACCATCACAACATTTGCTAAGTTATCACCAAAGGAGATTACTACCAGTTTGCAGGAAGTTTCACTTCCTCACCCACCGCAATATTTGCAAAACTATCACCAAAGGACATTACCACCAGTTTGCAGAGGACAGAGAATACCTGGACTGATGAAGGGGTGAGAAAATAAAAGTGATATTTGACTAGCTGTTAGCATTATAATTAAAATGAAGATAATTAATCCAAACTGCCTATGTCTCATTAGAACCTTTAATTACCATTTTATTACCATTGAAATGATCAAAATAAGTATCTCATGCAGAGGGAAGGCATTCCCAAATTTGATACATCTAGTGTTTCTTATGTCAAAAAGAGGAAGACTAACAACATCTTTTGAAATGAAAAAGGATAAAAATAGACCACCCACAAAAGAAACACAAACACAGACAAGAAACATGAAAAGAGGTTCAGTCTTAAGCTAGTCAAGGAAATACAAATTAGCATATAAATAGCATCCAATATTTGCCAGTCAATTTAGAAAAAACATTGTATTTTTAATAACATCAAAGATTTGTAAGGACATGAGAAAATGGAGAGTCTCTTACAATGTTGGTAAAATATAATTTGTTGAAGGCTTTTGGGAAAATATTTTAGTAGTATGTATCAAAATTTTAAATAAAATATACAAAAATTTTAACCCAGCTATTCCATTTTTAAATCTACTATCTGTAGATTTTCATCTCAGATAGGCAATAAATGTGGTTTTGCTAAGTAATGTAACAATAAATTGCCCAACTCAACAACTATGTACTTACAGCAAACGATAAGGAATGTGCTGCACTCATTTTGCAAAAATTATTTGCAACTAGTTTACATGCAGAGACAGAACCAGAACAGTTCAGACTTAGGGTGAGAATTGGAAAACATTTCTAAAATATAGTAAAGGGAAGTTTCTCATCCCTAAATTTTTTTTAAATCTGTATTCCTTACAGTTAATATTATCAGCAGTTTTATATCCCTGTGGATAATTTCTGGAAAATCCTTTCATGCTTTCTTTTGCCAGAAATAAGAATAAGAGCATGATGTATTTGTGTTATCACCTATGAAAACTCACTTACCCTTTGCAATAAACTAAACATCTTTGAACTGTATTAAGAAACTTTCTTTAGATTATAACATGGGATACTGCATTGCACAATTTTATGGGCATTATTTATGCTGTAATTGTGCTCTGTAGGTGTCAATCACATAGGATACATATGAACAGCACAATATCCTGAGTTTATGTCTGGAGTAAGACTACTCAATTGATAAATCCTAATGGCTAAATTGGTTAAGAGGAGGAATGAGAGAAAGGAGATAATATTGAAATGATAGGGAAAACCAGACTTTCTGAATTAAACCATATAATATTTGTGGTTAATATTAGCGAAGTATACATTTAGTGCTGGGTGTCTACTCATCCTCAGTTTCAGATAATTTAGCACATGAGACTGAAATACATTATAATCTGAAGGATCTGTATTTATTAATACAGTTACTTCTGTAATCACCCAATGGGTTCACCCATCTGCTGCAGTCATTGAGACTGCAATATTGTAGTAGAGAAAGAGTTTCATTAATGCAGAGCTATCCAAGAAGACTCACTTTAAATCTAAAGACACATACAGAATAAAAGTAACGGAGAAAGATATAATATGTTAATAGTAATCAAAAGAAAGCAAAATTAGCTATATTAATTTCAGACAGAGTGGACTTCAAAGCAAGGGGAGCTATTGAGGATAAAGAAGGATGTTACATAATGATAAATGGAGCAGTTATTCAAGAAAATGTAACGCTAGTTAACATGTATACACTTAACAACAGAGCATCAAAATATATGCAGCAAAAACTGGTCAACCTTCAATAAGAAATAGATAAATCCACTATTATAGTCAGATATTTTAACACTCTTGTACCACACATATATAGCTCCATCAGGCAGAAAATCAGTAAGGACATAGAAAAACTCAACAGTACACCTGAATATAATTGACATCTATAAACAAACTCATCCAACAACAACAGAAAACACATTTTTCTCAAGCTCCCATGAAAATTTCATGAAAATAAACTATATTTCAGCCATAAAACACACTGTAACAAATTTAAAATAATAAAAACATGCAATGTCTGCTCTTAGACCACAGTGGAATTAAACTGGAAATCAATAACAGAAAGATAACTGAAAAATCCCCAAATTCATGGTGATTAAACAAGAGCCGAAGGAAAAAAAACTCAAGAGAAATTCAAAAATATTTTAAACAAAATGAAAATAGAAACACAACTTTTCAAGACTTGTGGGATGCAAATCGTGAAAGCAGTGTTTATGGGGAAACATATAGCATTGAATGCATATGTTAGAAAATAAGGAAGATTTAAAATCAATTATCTAAGCTTCTACCTTAGGAAAAATTTTAAAAGCAGAAAAAATTAAACTTAAATTAAGCAGAAAAATGCAATAAAAATTAGAGCAAAAATTAATAAAATTGAAAATAAGACATCCTTAGAGAAAATCCACAATACCAAAAGCTTGTTCTTTGAAAAGATCAATAGAATTAATAAGTCTGTAGCTAGGTAAACTAAGAGAGATAGAGGACACAAATTACGAATATCAGATATGAAAGAAAGGACATTGCTATAGATTCCATAGACAAAAAAATAATAAAATAATACAGCAAACAACACTATGTCCCCAAATTTTACAATATACATGAAAGAAACCAATTCATTGAGAGACACAATCTGCCCAAATTTACATAAGAACCCATAAACTGTGTGAACAGCCTATGTCTGTTAAAGAAATTGAATCAATGATAAATAAACTTCCAAAACAGAAAATACTAGACTCAGTAGATACATTGGTGAATTCCACCGAATGTTTAAGCAAGAAAACATACCAATTTTCTATAATCTCTTTCAGAAGATAGAAGCAGAGGAAACATTGACTGTTCTATGGGGCCACATCACTCTAGTACCAAAATGTGACAAAGACTTACAAGAAAAGAAAACTACAGGCCAATATCTTTCTTGAACACAAATGCAAAAATCCTTAACAAAATATTAGCAAATCAAATCGCAAAACATATTTTAAAAAATTCTATATCACAAGCAAGTGGGGTTTACCTAATGAATGCAAAGCTGATTCAACATTCAAAAATCAATTAATGCAATCAATTATATCAGCAGGCTAAAAAGGAAAAATCACATGATCATATTAATAGATGTAGAAGAAGCATTTGACAAAAATCCAACACCCATTCATGAATAAAAACTCTCAGTACACTAGGAAAAGAGGGGAGCTTATTCAACTTAACAAATAATATATAGAAAGCACCAATATCTATCAAATTTAGTAGTGAGAAACTGGAAGCTTTCCACTAACATCAGGAAGAAGGCAAGGATGTAACCCCTCACCACTGTTTTTCAACATCACACTGGACATCTTAGCTAATTCAACAAGACAAGTATAAGGAGTAACGGTATACTGATCAAGAAAGAATAATTAAAAGTTTTCGTACACAAATGACATGATTGTCTTTTTAGGAAAACTAAAAGAATCAACAAAAAATTATTGGAGCTAATAAGCAGTTATAGAAAGGTTGTAGGATGCAAGGTTGATATATGAAAGTTGATTGTTTTTCAATACCAACAATGAATAAGTGTAATTTGAAATTAAAATCACAATACCATTTATATTCACAATCCCAAAAATAAAATAGTTATAAATCTAACAAGATTTAATGAAGAAAATTATAAAACACTGATGAAAGACATTACAGAACTAAATAAAAGAAGAGCTATTCCTTGTTCATGGATAAGAAAATGAAATATTGTCCAGATGTATTTCCCAACTCAATCTCTAGATTCAATGCAATCTCAATCAAAATCCCAGCAAGTTATTTACTGGATATTGATAAACTGATTCTAAAGTTTATATAGAGAGACAGTATAGTCACCACAATCTTAAAAGAGAACAAAGTTAGAGGACTGACATTACTCGACTTCAATACTTAATATGAAATGATAGTAATCAAGATGGTGTGGTATTGGTGAAAAAAATAAACACATAGAACAATGGAAACGAACAAAGAGCCCAAAACTGGACCAAAATAATCATAGACAACTGATCTTTGACAAAGAAGCAAAGGTAATACCATGGAGGAAAGATTATCTTTTAAACAAATGGTTCTGAGACAAGTGGACATCCAATGCCAAAAAATAACTTGACTCAGACCTTATATGCTCTGCAGAAATTAACTCAAAATGGCTCCCAGAGCTAAATGCAAAATACAAAACAATGAAACTCCTAGAAAATAACATAGGAGAAACTCCAGATGATCTTGGGTTTGGCTATTACTTTTTACACACAACATTGTTTAGATAGCATAGCAATCCATGAAAATAAGAACAGATAGACTAGACTTCATTAAAATTTCTGCTTTGTGAAAGACACAAGAGAATAAAAAGACAATCCACATACTGGAAGAAAATATTTGCAAAAGACATATCTGACAAAAGACTGTTATCCAAAATGCACAAAGAACTCCTAAAACAGTAAGAAAACATACAACCTATTAGAAAGTGCATCAAAATTTTAACAGAAATATAATCAAAGAAGATATACTAATGGCAAATAGACATACATAAAGATGCTCCACGTTATTTGTCATCATGAAAATGCAAGTTAAAATGACAAAGAGATAACATTACACTGCTATTAGAATGCTCAAAATCCAAACCAAAACCATCAAATGCTGGAGAGAATGTGGAGTGATAGCGACTCTCATTCATATCTGCTGGGAATGCAAAATTGAACAGCTACTTCAAAATATAGCTGGGCCATTTCTTATAAAACTAAACGTACTCTTAACATATAATGCAGCAATCATCGTCTTTGATATTTACCCAAAGGAGTTGAAAACATGTCCACACAAAGCCTGCATATGGATATTTATAGCCGCTTTCATCATAATAGCCAAAACACGGAAGCCACCAAGATGTTCTTCAGTAGGTAAATGGATAAATAAACTCTAGTACATCCTGTCAATGGAATATTATTCAATGCTAAAAAAAATGAACTATCATGCTGTGAAAAAATAACAAAGAAACTTAAGTACACATTACTAAATGAAAAAAAGTCAGTCTGAAAAGATTATATACTGCATGATTTCTACTATGACATTCTGAAAAGGGAAAAATGTGGAGATAGGAAAAGGATTAGTGAATATCAAGGGACAGGAACGAGAGAGAGGAATGTATAGTTAGAATACAAAAAGTTCTTAGCGCAGTGAAAATATTCTTTATGATTCTATAATGGTATATACATATCTTTATACATTTTTCCAAGCCCATATAATGCAGAACACCAGAGGGAACTCTAATGTGGACTATAGTCTCCAGGTGATTATGATGTACCAGTGTAAGCTCGTCAGTTGTAACAAAGATACCACTTCGATGGAGGATGTTGAATATGGGAGAAGTTACACATCCTTTGGGGGAGGAAACACATGAGAAATCTCTGTACTTTCCTGTCTATTTTACTTTGAACCTAAATTTACTCTTAAAAAATCTTCAACAAAATAAATAGAATAAATCCTCTCCGATACAACAATGTGTGGGCCAAACAAAATATGACTGTAATTCAGAGGTATTTGTAAATTACCAGTTTAAAATCTCTGATTTAGAAGAGATAACAGGTTCTGAGAGAGAAAGCAGCACTTGCTTCGATTACTGGCTTTGCCATAAAATAGGTACGTTTGGGCAACTGTACCTCAGTTTCATCATGTGGTCAAGGGAAACATCTGCTCTATGTATGCCTTGAGCTATTCTGTTTTATTTTTCTTTTATTAAACAAATAATAATTCTGACCAGGGAGAATGGAGACAAGATAGTAATCTTATGGAGTGCATTCACCAGAGAACAGCTGAGCTTTTCGTCAGTGCAAGCACATTATGATCCATGGATACCTACAGCAATGTCATCAATACTAAAAAGTGCTTTTATGCATAAGAAACACATTGTATTGTTTGTCTGATCATCTGATTTTCAGGGAGTTGTAGTTAATGAAAAAATAACCATATTATACAATGTTTTTTTCTGCTTCCAAAGCCATGTGATTGGTCCAGAGAGAGCACAAGATTATGCTGAGCCAATGAGTCCCTTCACCAGGATTCTGAAATTAAGAAAAAGAGAACGTTTATCTTGCATTAAAGCTCAGGAGCTGTGAGAAAGGCCAAAGAATCACTAAGCAAGAAAAGAGAA
The DNA here is from genome assembly GCF_000001405.40 of Homo sapiens. NCBI lineage: Eukaryota > Metazoa > Chordata > Mammalia > Primates > Hominidae > Homo > Homo sapiens. The sequence continues at coordinate 103,952,708 of NC_000001.11, read as the reverse complement.
ATGAATGAGAGGAAAACAACAAAGTATAAAGGTAAGTGCTGGAGGATGTAGGATCTTTGACTTTTTCCTTTTGTAACCCAATGTCCATTCAAATAATTGGCCCTAAGTAGATAGGTAACATATATATTTTAAGTAAATTATGAATGAATGATATAAATTACCATGCATAAGTTATATCATAAAAATTATAATGCATGTGGCTCGCGCCTGTAATCCCAGCACTTTGGGAAGCCGAGGTGGGCGGATCACCTGAGTTTGGGAGTTTGAGACCACCCTGACCAATATGGAGAAACCCCGTCTCTACTAAAAATACAAAATTAGCCAGGTGTGGTGGCACATGCCTGTAATCCCAGCTACTGGGGAGGCTGAGGCAGGAGAATTGCTTGAATCCAGGAGGCGGAGGTTGTAGTGAGCTGGAGATCACGCCATTGCACTCCAGCCTGGGCAACAAGAGCAAAACTCCGTCTCAAAAAATATGTATATAATCTGTAATTTTTATTTTGCCTCATCATAATCAAAGATTTCCTTCCTTTTTATCCTGTTTTAGAACCTTATTTTCTATACAGAACAAATTCCACATGTTTTAGGTGCGGCACATTCCCCTTCCACCGCTAGTCATTGACAAAAGCACATGATCCAGGCCAGGTTAATGAGAAGATTTGGTTTACCTATAAAAAGAATTTTTCTCAGTAAGAGTTCCAGGTTCAGGATGGTTTGGACCAAGCAGAATCAGGTTATTCACTAAGAAACACATTGTTTTGTTTGTCTGATCATCTGATTTTCAAGGAGTTGTAGTTAATGAAAAAGTAACCATTTTATATAATGTTTTTTTCTGCTTCCAAAGCCATGTGATTGGTTCAGAGAGAGCACAAGATTATGCTGAGCCAATGAGTCCCTCCACCAGGATTCTGAAATTAAGGTTTGCTCCATTAATAGCAATAAGTGTGTTAGCTTAGCGCTAGCTGAGGTATTTGTTACTTGTATGTAGAACCAGTCTGGGAACTAAGTGAATACAGTGTAAGTTGGACAAAATGATAGGTGAACAAACCTTTAAATTTATATCCCTGAATTCAGCTATTTCTAAAACTAGATCTGCTATCTGGCATGAATCAATAAGTTCTTCCTCTGCTTAAATTGAATTGGGTTTCTGTCATTTACGTAAGTGAGACCTTATAATGCAAAAATTATTTTAAGAAATGTAGAAAATTAACATATTTTGTTTATTATTCAATAATTACTTTTCTTTGATTCTGTAACTTTCCCAAGGCAAAATTTCCAAAGTACTTAAAGCTGAAATGTGTTATAAAATTTTTTATCCATTACATTGAGAAGTACTGGTTCAAAATATTTGAAACCTCAGCTCTGTTTCTTCACTCCAAGCAACATGCCACTGGAGTTAGCCACTCCAAACAATATGCTTTCTAAGTAAAATAAATGGCAAAACAAAATTTCACAACAAGTCCTCAGCTCACCCTTTCCACCAGATTACCATACTCAAAGCTCCCATTTTAGAGATTCTAGAACCATTAAAGTATATTTGTTTACCAAACTACTCCAATGAAGATTTATCCATTCAACCTATCAGTTAACAGCGTTTGTTCAGTATCTATTATTGTGTGCCATGCATCATGTGGGACTCTCAGGATATAAAGGACAGTAAAATAAACTCCCAAATCTATGGGAATCAAATTAAAATAAGAAAAACAGACAAATAAAAAAATTGCAATGCACTGTGATAGAAGTTATAATGTATGTATACAGGGGGTGTTTCATAGGAAAGTGTTTTGCCATCCTGCAGCAGGGTGTGTGTGTGTCTGTGTATTTGTGTGTGTGAGTTTCAATAATGAGCCAGTCTTCCCACATATAAGATATTGCATAGTTTTATATAAAGCATTTCTGGAACTTTTATTTATTTTTGATGACTAAATAATTGAATATTCCCCCAAAGACCTAGAAGACAAAACATAACCAGGGAACACATGTTCCCATACCTGTTTAGTCACGAGGTTTCTTTTATTGTCTATTTAAGTTCAAGTTAATAGACTGAGAATCATTAAGCTTTTTAGAATTATTAAATGTAGTGGAACAAAAATTTATGATGTATATATTATGTGATTACTTATCTAAAAATAAAAATATATACTTTTATTACCAAATACTACTTATTTTTAGAAACAGAATTTTCCTACAGTCATCATTTTAAGAAAAGCACATTGTTTCAAGTACTCTTTTTATCTTAATATTAACACAATATGGGATAAATTCTAGGAGAATTAATAGCCTTTAGTATGTGATCAAAAAAGAGGACTGGTGGAGTAATTGGTCTCTGTTCATGATTAGAAAGTCTGTGGCTTTGCAGATGTAGAGACGTGGTCCAGAGTTCTGATCATTAAAATCAGAGGGGCATGCCCATCTAAGATTAGGGCCATATATGATCTATGTGGCCCAGGTGGATTCTGCTTATCCTGAGCAAAGTGGAAGGAGTCCTTGAATGAAGCAAGAATGCCAACTAACATTAGTGAGCCTGGACTAAAGCCAAGGAAAAGAAAAATATTGTCTCTCCAAGATGCAGTGGCAAAGAAATTTACACCCTAGAACATGCCACCTATTTAATTTCTTTATCTGGCAACTTTACTTTGGCAAATTATGATGTTGGAATATGTCCTGCCTTTTAATAGAGTATGCATGTGCAGAATCTTTAAAACCTGTGCATACAGTGTCTGGGGTGCATTCTCACTGCACCTGGCAGAAAGCTCCATCTGTTTCATGTTGCCTCAGGCACTGTCCAGTTCCCTCTAAGCTCCCCATGCATCAGTCTCTTCTTGCTTGCCTTACAGCATTTCACTCTCTCACACACATCTGGTTTTGATGATTCCTCCATATTGTCTTCATCTGATCATGTAGCTTCTCTACCTGCTAAACCCCTTTCAATTTAAAAGAGTCTCATTAGAGAATCTAAGACAATATTCTAAATGTGTTTAGCAATAAGGAATAGAAATGAGTATGCATATTAGCATTAAGAAGTGATGCATTAGAATTCTTTTATTGCAAGCATCACTAGTGCATAGAGCCCAAAAAGCTATAAGTCAAAACATAAATTGCACATACAACAAAATCCTAATATAAAATAGCATGAAAACAGATATTAGCCTATCTCGCAGAAGCCACGTTAAGAGACTGAACAGTCTATGATGACAATGATAGACTTATAAACATGAGCACTTGTCACCATCCACAGATACAAAATGCATAGTTCCTTTTTTGGCTTTACCATTGACAGTTCTTATATAAGTTAATTAACCTCTGTGACACATGACTTGCTACCTTTCTGTTTCACAGTAAGACTTTAAAGATTGGGATGAACATAAGTTATTAAAGCATTGTTTATTAATGAGCTAACATCCAAAAATGGAAGATAGAATATAAAATAATGAATTCCTAAGTGTGATAATCAAATATATTCCATTGTTGATAACTTTACAAAGTAGTTGTTGATGGCAGAATTTTTTAAGTTTCTGGTTACTTGTTTCTTGTTATTTGTTAAAGCAATTCCTGACAAATATCTGTATTCCTTTATTAACAGATCACATTGGATACTAAAAATATTCTGTTGAATTTGAATCACTATAGCAAGAAAATAAGTTTTTACCTAAAAAGAACTAGCATTGATTTACACTTACAGTTAAGCATGTCTATTGATATAAATTTGCTTGGCAGAAAACATATGTTGTGTTTAATCCCTATCTTACATTTGGACATTTGAGTAGCTCTACCTTGAACCTTATTTGGGTTAAGTTTTATTCTTAAAAGTCGCAAACAGCTTCTTTCAACATGTATATTCAAGGTTACTAGGTAAAAAAATAAAAAATCCATAAAATATTTTCTTCTACAATACAATAGAAAGTGGGGGAAACGTGTTTATTTCTAAATATAAAACTTTAATTAAAAGTGGCCATAAAGGCTTTATTTAGAAAAATGTGCAGAAAATTATTCAATGTTGCCACCTTCAGGACAAATTTTAAAATAGCAAGATAGCAGTGAAAAGCATAAGACTTAAGATTTTTTTTTTTCCATGATTAAGTATTTGCTCTACAATATTGATGCAAAGTTAACTACTTAGGCTTTTTAAGACAGCTAAACATCTGACTTTTAAAAATTGTTCTTATACTCAAATATGTGCCCGAAAAACTTCAACTTAAGTATACTTATCTATTAGTTCCCTGCTGATAGATATTTATTTAAGAAACGTTGGTTGAGTATTACTATGTATCAGGCACTGTGCTAGGTGCTGGAAGCACAAAAATGACTTCAACATTTGAAAATTCTCAAGAAGTCTACATTCCAAGAAAGGGAATCAACACATAAATAGAATATTCCACCAGCGCAGTAAGTGTTCTCATAGATATAAATAGACGATTGTGGGAGAACATGAGCTACACACCTTAGCCAGGAGAGTAAACAGAGGGACAGCAGGAAGAGTCATGCTGCAGGTGACAACCAAACTTAGTCTGTTATTATAATAATTTTGAGAAATAATTTAGAGTAAAATTATCTCAATTGTTTTCCATTTGCTTATTTCTATTAACCTAAAGAAAGGGGAGGGAGAAAGAAGGGTGCTAAAAGTAGAACAATTATCATGGAGATAAAATTCAGTGAGGTAAATTATTTCATAATACCTGATGTAGATATTTTCTTACTTTTTTTGTTTCCCTTTGCTGTCCTTCAACAAATTTCCAGCAGAGTCTTCTTCATAGAGCAATCCTGGGGAAAAAATATATTGTCATTTTCCCAGTTCATATTCTAACTACAGACAATACAGCAGAATTGTAGGTGCTGAGTTATTGGATTGGCAGATGCTATCTTTCTCAAAGCTCCACAAACAACATTTTTTTTTCCTAAGATACAGTATGATGTTAGCATTTCTTTCTGTAAGAAAATCTTTTGTTCTAAAAAGAAAACTTGGTAGAAAATTTCTATTCCTACTATGTTACTATTGTTTTACATATATGCATATATAATTGTTACATAAATAATTGCTTTATGTATACATATACATATATGTGATCTATGTATAAAACAAGAAAATTATGTAACATATAAAGCCTGTCAAATGTCCTTTACCTGAAAATTTGCTATACCTCCAGCACCCAAGGCAGATTTTGATCTACTTTTGACTATAATACTTTCTCAAAAATGTCATTGCAAGATGTTTAAATTAAAATTATCATTATTATTATTATTAGAAATTGGATTATTTATATCAGAGAAAATTGTAACAGTAATGTTGGTTGAAGAAATTGCACATTGATGGGTAAGTCCTTAAACTCACTATGGAAACAAACAGCCTAATTTAAAGTCATTTGTACTCAAATTCAAATTTAAAGGAGAAAGAAAAGCAGAGTAGGGTACTGAATTATGTCTCTCCTACTTTGGTAGAACAAAAAATAATCCAAATCTGAATAAAGTAATCTATATATTTCCTAGTCAAAGACCACCCAGGTATGCTGATTGGAGTGCAAGCTGGTTATTTTTTAATTAGCTACGTATGAGGTTTCTGTTCAAGTTTTAACACTCTAATTAAAAACCTAATTGCACATGTAAGCAAACAATGTTCCTCTTAAGGTACCATCTCTGAAAGAGAATTATGGATGGATGCATTTTTATCCTGGATTTAGCTTTGTTTGCCATGTGACCATGTCTTTCCTTCTAGAAATATTTACTGTAGGAATAAGTTGTGCTCCAGTTTTATATGGCAAATGATGTAAATAATTTAACTTTAAAAGTCAGCTTATATTGCCTCAGAGATGACAGAAAAATTATAATCATTCTATCACTTTATTAGTAAGAAATAATAGTTTTAGAATTGAATGGGTGATATGTGGTTCCAAATTCAGCTTGTGTTACAAAAATAATACTATTTTTTTTACCATGATGTTATGAACAAATAAGTTTTAACCACCAAAAAAAGTAGGAGATATGTGATTTTAAATTAACTATGTTATGTTGAATTAGATAAATTTATCTTTTTTTAAAATTCACATTTTTCTATTAACTTTACCACAACTCAGAGAAAACCCTCATGGATAGGGTTGGTCTGTGTAAGACCCATTATAACCATGATCCATTCCGACTCTGCATTTCCCCATGTGAGCATTCATCTGACATTTCTGCTTAAATGCTGCTTGTTTATAATGACCTCTAATTTTAATTTATAAAACATGCTTAATATTAAAAAAATAACAGTTTAAAGTTATTTCAAGTATTTTCCATGTTTGTTATCAAGAAGAGTTAGTTCAAATCTTAGTTGAAATCTCAACTTTGTAAGTTTAAAATATCAACTTTGTCCATTTGAAAAATAGAAATAAGATTCATTCCATTCAGAAACAAGATGAGGCAGACACGTATATAGAAATAAATGACATAATTCCATTCTCAAGATTCAGCTTAATGGAGAAGACAGAAAAAGTATAATATCTCACAAAGATTTATTTAGGTTATATGTGATAAGATTTCAGAAGCATTTTACAGACCTTCAATTCTGATTCAAAGTTATATAATTAATGTTGCATATGTTGTGTGCAACAATATGAACAGCTTAAAACACTTGCTGTATTCTATGAATCTGGTTTACCAGTTATATCCAAGCAAAGTATAAATACACTTCCTGTTTCCTCCTTCTGCCCTTGTTCTTGGCACATAGAAGCAAATCTCCTTAGAATCCAAGGCTATCGACTTTCCTCTTCTACAGTTACAGCTCTCCGTGGTAATGACATCGGGAAGGTAACTTGTGCATACAAAGTCACCACCCCCACTCTTGAGCTTTCAGAGCTGCTGACAACATTTCCTCCTACTCAAAACACAATGTTAGCCCCACAGCAGACCAGAGCCCCAGAGTGTACTAACAAAGTGAGGCAATCTCCTCCACCAGATCATTCTTAAAGTAAGTTACTTGAGCCCCAAAACACTATGTTCTTTCTTATCCAAAGTCTTCAGAACTCCAACAAAGGAGCTCTTTTCAATATTTTTATATTATTATTTATTAATTTTATTACACATACTGAAAAGTGTACACAGCATATATGAACAACTTAAAAATGCAAATAAAACGTATACCAGCCTCCTGCTGGGTACATTCTATAGCTCCAAAGCCTGTTCTTTATAGGACTATATTCTGGGCTAGCTCTGTCTCTCTCCCAATGAGGAAAGAAGTTTCTAGGGGCAAAGGAACATTCTCACCCGAAGCCCAGGTGTCAATTTCTCTGGGCACTCAGAACCCTACAATTTCCTGCCAACGTGTTTTAGGTTTTATGTAGATTTTCTATCAATTTTTCTAATTGTGTTCAGCAGGAGAGTTGGTCTAATGCAAGCCAAACTGCCATGACCAAAAGCTAAATCATATTTGGTTTGAAATTTCATAATGGACGACTTTCATATTTCATCTATTTTGCTAGGCACTCAGTGGTTTCAATATTCCTTGAATAACTTTTTTATAACATCATCCTCTCTATTTTCTGTGTTTATCTTTCCGAATCTCTTATTATTCAAAAGTTGACATTCTGAATAGGTCTTACAGTTTTCTACTATTTATTTATTTTAGTTTCCAAGAGTTGTTTTTTTTTCATTTTTAAATAGTATCTTGTTTTATTAACAAAATAAGTTGTCTTGTCTCTTAAAAATATTGCTAATACTTATTCTTTTAGTTTTTTTCTTTCTGCCAATTTGGAGTGTGAGAGTGTGTGTGTGTGTGTGTGTGTGTGTGTGTGTGTGAATCTTTCATAACTGAAGCTGTATTCAGAAGTCTTATCATCCTTGGCTCATAACAAAGAGTGAGAGAATTAAAATCTCATTTGTAGTTTTGAGCATGTAAATTCAATTTGTCAACTTTAAGTTTCAGTAAAGCATGGGGTAGCCATGCAAATCATTGTCTAAAGTTTTGAGATTAAGGAGGCACTGTTCATATGTCAAAACAATATGCATAAACTAGAACTATACCGGACAAATCAGGTTGTATGTTGCTTCATTTATTAGAGAACTCCTTATCTTTTGTGAGCTTCTTTGAGACTGGTGAGATTCCTCAGATAAAAATCTTTATAAATCTTGCCTAGAGAGTCTGATTGACTGTTCTTAGGGATTTAGGAACAAAAATAAGGCTGACAGGTCTTTAAATTCACATGCAGCATTCCTGTTTTGTAAATTTTAGCCACAACATAGAGTTTGTATCATGACCCAACTCCTTCAATTCAGAGACCATGTGATGAACTTTCTCTTTCTAGTCAAACTTCAGGTTTTTATTAGGGATTATAAAGTCAGAGAATGTAAGGATTTGACTTCTCAAGTAGCTTTCACTCTGGTGCTCTATATTTTACCTCATATCCAATTCATTTCCAGTCCTATATGCTTGGTTCCCTAAGTTTTTGAGACTTTTGCTGATCCTACAGTGTAAATCAGGATGATTTCACCTCTCCTTATTGCCATTGTGGAATTTGGCTTTATTTGGATGCTATGCCAGTTAATACTCCTCCATTTATATTATCTAGATATAATTTTTTTTTACAGTCACCACTACCCCTATACTTCTATCCTTGTCAGCTTACGTATTTTTTAATGTTCTCACTGTAGCTTTAATGCAGTAGCAAAAGAGAAAAAAATTGAAAGTACACTCGATCTATGACCTTTACTTGGATATGTTCTCTCCAGGTTCATTGCTGATTATGCCTCTCAGCATGTGGATATAAATTTGAGAAATATAGAACATATTGCAACCTGATTAAATAATAAAGTTCTTCATTAAAAGTTTCATAGCCCTCTGACATTGAGTTACTTCATTTGCCCTCCTTTTAGAATTAGTACTTTCTCAAGTCTTAACCTGATGTCTTGTCAAGTAGTCCGTGATATACTCCCCACGCTCTTCAGATATTCAAGAGATTAAACATAGTTTAGGCTACAGTGAAGATCTCTACTTATTTTAGCAAAGTGTTGTTATACCCATAATTCAGGTGATTCTCCTGCACAAAATTATTAATTCAACAAATATTTATTAAGGGTTTCTGTATGGAAACCATTGCATTGATATCCATAATTCATAGTGTTTCTTCATATATTAGCAAGTAAACAGACTACTGTAAAGCTAAGAATTACTTGGTGACAACTACATCTAAGAATTAGAGTCAGAAGGATGCCAAGAACTACCTAGGCTTCATTTTGCAAGTGAGAAAACTAAAACACATTCAGCTTTAATAATTCAGAGAGCTGCACCCTTACTGGGAATTAATGAAGTGTCCTGGGGGATTTCTAGTCTGGTCAACCCAAATTGAAAGTCAATGGAGTAATTTAGGGAAATTCTACATTAAAGTAGAAAATCAATTGCCTATGGTATATGAGCTAGCATCTTGGGTAAAATATAATCCTCGTGTTCAAGTTAGTCATCACATCAGTTTTGAACACACTCCAAATGCCTTATTCTAAGCAGCTGCAGTCAGTGCTATAATAACACCACTCCTGCTGTATTAGCCAGAATGCAAAGGCTCACTTTAAAATTGCTCAGCCTTAATGAAAATGGCAAAATGTTTAAAATTATACTGTACATTAGACATGGACAAAATTTCACTGCAATTTTGTCTGATTGAAAATTTAGGTAAGAATATTTGTTCTACTTTTCTCTTGCAATCCCTAAGTTGATAAGTTTCAAGCTGCATAATGTTCATCTGTTTCCTTAATGCCACCTTCTGATACCAGGTACCTTGTTGGATAGTCAGAGTGTTTAATAAGTGCCACTCTTCACAGAGGTGCTTCAGTGCCACACACAATAGCTCCTTTATTAATGTACAAACAAATGGATACCATAAGGCAAGTGTATTGTGCAGAATATGCTGGCAGAGGGTAAGATGTTTGAAATGGATGATCCCTAGGTCACTTCCAGCTTTCAGCAGCAAGTTTCTCAGAGAGTGTTATAACATAAATGAATATTATCAAGCCTAGAAAGAAGTTAATGATGTGCTTTTCATTAATGCTTCATTAAAATGTCTTTACAGATATATTGCTATTGTATCTACTTCTTTTATGTTATACTGTGCCATCCTAATACGTTTATATTACACCTACATAATAAATTGTGTGCTATATATCTGCGCAGCATAAATATATTTAATAGTAATATGAATTGAAGGCAAAGATTGTTTTAGCACACAAACCTACATATTCCAAACATCATGGATATTTTTATAAGGAAAAACAAGTTCTGACAAAGTTGAGTTAATAAATAAATGCAATGATGAATTTGAGAAATAGAGGTATCACAGGGAATTGTTTCTTCCCTCTAGGATTCCATGACATAGAATGAGAGGCTTCCATTTCTTTTAAAAGCAAAATCACTTGACTTGAAGTAAAGACAAATCCACAGTAAGCAGTCAATCCCTTGAGTGCGCTTCAGGAAGTCAAGGTCTCATGGCTGAGGGGTAGGTAGATGCCAAGTCAGCATGAGGCAGGAGCTTAGTGACCTTTAATTCCATGGGCACAAAAGACTTGGAGCTGGGTTCTTAACTCCATGGTTTTTAGAGCTGAATGTTTGTTTTCCCTTCTGTGTACCTCAGCTGCAATCAGAGCCATTATCTGCCCCTAGAATATAGTTTTAGGCTTATTGGACAAACAGTAAAAAAAAAAAAAAAAGGAAAAGAAAAATATCCTAGATGTTTCCATTGCGATAGCTAAAAAAAGTTGGCAAATGCTCTTTTAAATTGCTTTTTGCTGCACCAAAAGTTTTGAGATGTTTGTAATTATGAAACATCTGCAGAAAAAGTAAAGTACTATATTTCAGTTTATAAAGTACAAAACCAATCGATCAATAAATGTTAGTGAATTTGTTAATCATCATGTACAAATTGTCAAGCTAATCTCTCAGCAAGATAGAATGCCATTTAAGCAACATGGACAAAAGAAAACAGAACTGACATGACAAGGCAATCAATAAATTAGGGATGGTAGGTGCTTGGTGAAAGAAGGTAAGAAAGAGGCAGTGTGAAAGACTGAACAAGTTTGAGGACCCAAGTTTTGCTTTCCAAACTGGAAAAACATCATTAGAGAAGAAGGCAGAGGTGAAAAAACACAAGGGCTTTGTGATGGGCAATGAGGGAGGAAAGCTAAAAAAGAACAAGGAAGTTTGAGGGAACCAGAGTCTCCATGTGTGTAAACAGCAAAAGATAAGAAGGAAAAAAACTGAAACTGAATTGGCATGTCCTGACCAACCAAAAGAATTTTTTGGCAGATAATATGATACCATTAAAAGGTTTTCACAGAAAATTTAAGACATAATCAGAGCTTTGATTTAGTAAGTTCATCCTACTAATCGTGTATAAAGAGGCGTGTAAGAAGTGGAGTTGGCAGGGGAAAGAATGGAAACAGAAAGCACATATAGAAACCCCTGCAGCATTTCAGGTCTCCAGGAACCAGGGCTTAAACCAGAGAGAGTTTGTGTTTGAAGATACTAGAAGTTATTGGTTAATGGCATTATGAGATGGCACAGTGAAAATTGACATTGAAGACGACATTGAGATTTTAAGTCTTATTGATTTAGAAAAAAAATAAGTCAAAAGAGAAAACTGTTATGAAAAGCAATGTAAAATACTGTTTACAGTCATAAGCTCTAGAGTAGAAAAGATCTGAGATTGAATTGCAACTCCAATGCTGACCAGCCTCGTGATCTTAAAGAACTTACATAACATCTCTGTGCCTCCGTTTTTCCACCTATACAAGAGAGCTAATAAAGTACCTATCACAAAAAGATGGCATGAACACAAAAAATAATGTATGCAAATAAACATTGCCTTGTACATTATAAATACGACTCACTGTTATTGGTAATATTATACTATTTCAAGCAATACAGATTAACTTTATATTTCTTGATGTTAGGGAAACATTAGTATTAAATAGGTGATTAGAATTGTGGCATTGGAGCTCTAATACAAAGCAGAGAGAGATGTACAAATATTTGAAACTTGAAATCAACTACAGGATTTCACAGGATTCTCATTTTCTAGTCTCTGAGACCAAAATTGGGCATGTTGTTTGAGTCTCTGGTAGCTTTGCAATACCATATACATTTGTGTACTTCCAGGCTTCAGTTTATTGGATATCTGACCCATGTGCACCAATCAGAGTTTTAAAACAGGAATTCAAAACTGGTTTGAAACTGGAAAAATCTTTGAAAATCATAGTCAGCTATATAGGGGTTCAATAACTAATGACAGGCAAACATACAAATTTTCAAAAAGGAAGAATCTTGTAATTTGAAAATTACAAATAATAACTTTAATAGTAATCCTTTGGAACTTTGTACAAAGGATAATTAAGCAGAAGATTAGTGTGTGTGTATGAGAGTGTGTGTGTGTGTGTGTGTGTGTGTGTGTGTGTGTGTGTGGTCATTTTATTTAATCATTAGGAGCCTGCATGGGTTCATTAATAAACAAATTTCAGACTAACATCTTTTGAGAATTTTAATGAAGTTGTATAGGAAATTTGAATTTTTTTCATAAGCTGACATACTGGAAAGGCTTCATCAGACCCAAAAGAGTAATGCTTTATAGTAATGCTTTGCTAAAAAGGCAAAGTTCACAGTGTGAAAAAAAAAGAAAAAAAGGAAGAGAGTTCAGGCAAGCATTGGAGTTCCAAGAGATAACCGTATATGCAAACTCTAAAGCAAGCTTGTCCAACCCACGGCCCGTGGGCCTCATGTGGCCCAGAACAGCTTTGAATGTAGCCCAACACAAATTCATAAACTTTCTTAAAACATTAAGATTTAATTAATTAATGAATTTTAAATTTATTTTTCTTTTTTCTTTTCTTTTTTTTAGCTTATTAGCTATGGTTAGTGTTAGTGTATTTTACATGTGGCCCAAGACAATTCTTCTTCTTCCAATGTGGCCCAGGGAAGCCAAAAGATTGGGCACTCTGCTTCACAAGGTCTTTTTCAACACACTCAAGGCACTTCCTATCCCTATTAAACCAAGATCTTTGCAATAAATCTTGGCTTTAGGAGAACTGGAGTCACAAATTGCCAGGACGTCTTTCTAATCGAATAGTTACACCAAGCTGTTTAACTGCTTGTGCTGAGTGAAAATAATCAACAAACAAAATATCCCAGGGAGTTACCAGAATCATTTCAGAGTTTAAATTCTACTCTCGTTATTTTAACTAAGAAGTAAAGCCAGACATCCAGGCAACTCTAAAGTCTAGAGTTTTCCAGTATAGTGCATATCAACTCCATCCTACACACAGGTGAGAGGAGTTCACACATGGAGAATGTTCTAATTTCAACGATAAATTTGATGTTGTGTCATATTAAATTGTTATAAGCAAGATGAAGAAAATTCAATGAGATAACACTATGATTAGTCTGATTTATGGTTGGAGGGGTAAGTTACCCAAAAATGTCAGTTAGTGGAGTAAAATTACCTGGGAAGGTAATCCTGTTAATCAGTGAATGAAAGCCAGCAAAATAAAAACTGTGTTTTACATATATAAAGTCTATGTTAAGAACACCTTAATTATTTGCTAAATAGTTAATGATCAAATCAGTGGACAGTTTATGTGAGAGAAAAAAAATCTCAGTGCTTTCAATGAATCAGTAGGTTCAATTTAAGTAGGTATGACTTTACTTAAACACACACATCCCTATTTTAAGTCTAGTATTGTATGCAATTTAGGAAATTATTGGACCTACTCCACTCTGTTGTGGTTTGTATGGGCAACTGGTTCTATTTCTGAATATCAGAATCATAACATTGTGGTAACATCTTTATTCTATACCAGAGTAGGCTAGTCTAGACTAGGAATCCTTCACTGAAGAAATGTAATACTCCTTTAAAACTAAGTATCTCAAAATTTATTGAGTATATTTTAAAAGATAAAAATAAATGTACAAAACTAAGTAGATATGAAAGGTTACATAAGGAAGTTTGTCTACCTAACTTGTGTTCCCTAGTACCCATAGTTTTTCTGCCACCACTGTCTAGTTTCTAGTTTCTACCACCACCACTGCCAGAGAGATTTTATGCATATACAATCAAATGCACATTTGGAACAAATGATCACATACTATATGCGTTATTCTTTATCTTTTTTGTCAACATTTCAGTATACGTTGGCTAGCTTTTCACTATCAGTACATAAAAATTGGTCTCATTCTTTTTAAGGGCTGCATAATGTTGCATTGTATAGATGTGCTGTAAGTAACTTAACAACACCTATTAATAGATTTTGTAGATGGGTTAAAACACTAAAAACAACGTTTCAACAAGCAACCTTTATAAATATTTCATACATGTTTCAGTTTATTGAATACTAATTTTTCTAAGTAGGATGTCTGGGTGAGAGTGAATTTCATCTGAAAATTCTAATCTGTATTTCCAAATTGTTCTTGTCATTGTTTTTACCCTTTTATACTATCATAAGCAAAGTACACAAATGCTAACTTTCTTTCAACCAGATCTCACAAGAACTCACTCACTGTAGCAACACAGTATCAAGAAGGAAATCCACCCCCATGATCCAATCACCTTCCACTAGGCCCCACCTCCAACACTGAAAGTTACAATTCAGTGTGAGATTTGAAGGGGGACACAGACAGATCCAAACTATATCAGGGCAGCAGTATGAGCTCATAGATAAGGGAGGATGATGGGGAATGGGGAAAAGCCAAAGTAACGTAGAGCTTTGTAGGCTATATTAAGAATTTCTACTTTCACTCTGGGTGAGACGGAAAACTTTAGAGTAGTTCCGAAAAGTGAGTAATGTTTTGAGTGATCTATCTGGTTTCTGTGTAGAGATTAGAAGGGGCAGAAGGGAAAATGCAAATTAAAAATGAACGGCTGAATTCTCTCTGTTGAAAATAAGAGAAGAGTCTCCTCCTCCTTTTCTTGGAGCATTTACTTTAGAAATGTTATTAGTTCTCTCTCTGTCTCTTTAAAATACACATAAATCTTTTTAAAAGCTGAATAAGCCTCTTGCTAGCTTTGAAACCCACAAATGTCTTTCTCAAGGATCTCAGAGTCACCTATGTGAGATGTAGTCATCATATATATATATATATATATATATACACATACACACACACACGCGCGCACACACACACACACACACACACACAGAGCACCCTTGTCTTCCAGTTTCTATGGAAAAGCAAAGCCTAACATCCTCAGGTGACTCATTCCAAGTTGTAAAACAAACTTTTTCATGAAGATACAAAAACTTCATTATTTCTTTGGATAAAGGCAATTAGCTTACACAGATGGTCACCCCAATTATCAAATGAATTTAGAATGAACTATGTGTGACAAATGGTGCTGTCAAGACCTCTTATTTGAGGCCTAGTTATTGTTTATCTTGAGAACATTTATGTAACGAGTTATAACTGCTTGGCTAAATAAAAGGGTGAAATTTTTTTTCTGTCTTTTCAATCTCTTATTCCATTGCCTGTGACACACAACACATTCTAGTTTAATGCTTATTTAATAATCTAACTGTTACTTTCTCTTCTGCAACTGTGAAGAGGTTTTTTGAATTGGGAGGATATTTTGTTTCTAATTCTATTTTCCAAGGAAGAGCAAGAGCAGAATCAAAGAAAATAGTTAAGAAATTACCGTGGTATTCCAAAAGACCAATAATGGTGACGTGTGTAGCGTGAAGCAGTGGAAACTAAAAATGTAAGTTTCATGAGTGCCAAGGCTGTGTTTTCAGCAACTAACAATGTGTCATGTGACCAAAGTCATCTATATGTTCCTTTATTCATCTAATTAGCATTTATATAATTCTTTACTATCTGTCAGATATGAGCCTAGACTCCAAGAGAAATTAAAAGAAATTCTACTTTTATTATTTATCAAAGTTCCAAGTTTTTAATTTTTTTCTGATAATTATTACATAACTTCTTAATTATTCTAAGCTCTCAATCAGCATACAAGATACAGAGCTTATTTATTCCATTTAATATAAATTTTTAGAGTGTTTTCTTTTTCAGGTTATTCATCGAATCAAAATATACTAAACTTAACCATTTCAAATAGCGTATTTAGCAATAAATTCCATGAAATTATATATAAGTCTCTATTAGATGTTAAAATAATAACAATAACAATGATCCTAAAATAATAAAACAAGATTTAAAAACAAAGTTTATTAAAGTTTGTGTGCCCATTACTTATGTAGTTAGTGTCTTATTACCTTTCTTTTTTATTGTCGTTGTTTTGTTTTTGTTTTATTTTTTAAGATGGGGAAAGAGAAAAATAAAAAAAAGAAAGCATCCTAGATAATTTTTCCCATAATAGAAAAAATAGGATTAATTGATGATTCCCAATCTGCTCACATTTTCTGACTAACCTGTCTGATATGACTTAAAGGGAACCACTTCTACCGGAATTTTCGAAGGGTAAAGGGAATCTGTTCCCATAATTTGAAATGCAGAAAAGTTCAGGCTCTATCTAAAAAGAAAATAATATAAAAATAAATACTAATAAGAGTATAAAGTGAGTGTCATTGAAACCAATAGGTATCAAGAGCTGCTTGAGCATTTTGTTTAGCATAATGATCACTCCAGAGAGTTTCTGTGAATGCACTCAGATGGGTGATATTCCAGTATAACTCTCAACTTCTTGAAACAGGGTAATTTAATTTTCTCAGAACAAGAAAATGAAAATATCCGACTTCTGGGCCACCACTGGGACTAGCTCTCAGCAAGCCTAAGTGTGCCAAATATAAAGGAGTGATTTTTATCCTCCTATTGGTTTTATTTTATTAACACAAAACATATTCCATTATGTTAAGAAATAGGATATTTAAGACAAGCAAATCTAAACATCTACATAACCAAACCAAAACCTGAAATAATTGTGTATGCTTTTTTGACCAAGGAAAATCCCACATTGTAGAAATTAGTTTGAGTTCTTAAATCACCTTGAAGAGCAGTCTAAAAAACTGAATTCATTAGATGTTTGTTAAACTTTCTGGTTTGTGTTGAATAAGCTAAGTAAATGGCAATGCTTTTAAGTAGAAAAAACTTTTTGAATTTGAAATTAGAATACTTATGTCCTTAATTTCTACACATGTAAACTTAAGCAAGTGAGGAAACATTAAATTGAGTCTTTCCTCCTCTGCAAAATAGAATTAATGGTAACATTTTTCCCTGCTTAACACTGTTAGGATGGGAGGATGCAATTTAAAAATGTTTGAAAACAGTAATCTATTTCTAAATACAAGGCATGTTATTACTTCCATAATTAGAAATGTTAATTATTAAATGAGATTACAAATGTACAAAAATATTTTTACTTATTTTTATTTGAACTTTAGAAATTTTATGATAGTCTATAACTATTAAAAATGCTCCAATAACCCAAGTGCTAATACCACTCGGTCCTTTTAGAGAGGAGAACTGGGCAGGTGAGGATCCAGGTTGGTAGGAACAAAATCTGAACTGTTTATAATATATACCGAATGCCTAGATGTTAGTAGATGACAAACTCATCTGGAATAGTTAATAAGTAACATATCATATTCTTAGCACTTCAGTGTTCATGAATGTATTATTTTGTCATGCCTTTGCTTGAAGGGAGTAACAAAGAAAATTATCTGCCTAAAGGGAAGGAGGGGCATTGGAGAAGGTAGAAACCACATTCACACTCCTCTCCTAATTAAGTTTTAAACAAATATTTATTGATTTCCTCTTGTTGCAGGCATGGGATAACTTTGATATAATATGTCCTTAAAAGGACAAGAGAGTAGAAAAAGGTAAAAGACACATTTATATGTATTTATTTATTCATTCAACAAAAATTCATTGTACCCAGGACCATTCTAAGCAAAAGGGACACAGCAATAAATAGAACCTTATACTTGTCATCACAAAGCTTACAGAGTGAACATTAAACAGATGTTTACAATGAGGAAACCTGATATGATTGGTAAATGCAGAAAAGACGAGAGCATTAGCCTAAACTTAGAGTCACTGAAGTCTGAATGAATAACAGATGTATAAATTGATATCTGAAAAGTGACTAGACAAACTGAGAGGTGAAGAGTGTCCTAGGATGAGTCACTTCTTATATAAATATATGCAGACAAGATGAAAGGAATCCCTCCACCCCGCTCCTAACCTGGGACTAAGGTTCTTCATAAAACACAACCGTATCACCCTGCAGTTCTAGAACACTCTTCAAATTTGCAGCTATTTATTTAAATGCCTACCTTATCAATCATTTTGTAATCTCCACAAAGAAAGTGAAATTACCTACTTTGTTTATCGCTGTATCCTCACCTCTTATTACAGGGATGGTTATTTTTTAAAAGCTCAATAAATAAAAGCTAAATACAAAATAAGTTTTAAAAAAGGTTTAGTGAAGGTACAGATGAGAACACTAAAAGTAGTTCTGAGAAAAATGAGATTGAAAGTATGGCCAAAGGTGAAATCTTTATTTTATTTTATTGATAAAAATTATTGAACAGTCTTATGGGGAGACTAAGCTGATCAGAATTGTGCATTTTGAAATATCACTTTGGCTTGACAATAAGAGGAATTTGGAAGAGATCTCATCAGGAGAAAGAGTTACCAGTTAGGAAACTGTTGCAATAATCCTTATGATTGATAATGGTAGTCTGGTATAAGGTATAGTGGTACATATGAACAATAGTGCATGCACTCTGGAAATATTTGGAAAGCTAACGAAAAAGGAAAGAAAGAGACAGAGATCATTATTTCAATTCTGCCTTGACTAATCTCTTTACACCATAAAAGTTGTGTTTAATATCTAATATAAATTCAAATGTGAGCAGATAGGGAAGCTAACAGCCGTAATAACAAACCATTATAATACCATAGCACAAGGGCTATAACAGAGTAAGTACAAATAAAAATTACAGAAACAAATAAGGAACTTCACTCATTTATTCAACAAATATTAAATGATTACCCATTATGTACCAAGTACCATGTTTGTAACTGCCTTCAAGAAACATACAGTATTGTGGGAAACTCAGATAACTATAGTATAATAGTTAACTAGTGACAAACAGCTAGGATTTACTGAGTGCTTACTAAAAGTGAACCATGGAGCTAAATGGATTTATTGCTGTATCTTATTTAACCCTTCTGAAAAACCTCTGATGATAATGATTTAATGATTGTTCTTTTTTTTTTTTTTTGAAATGGAGTTTCGCTCTTGTTGCCCAGGCTGGAGTGCAGTGGCACAGTCTCGGTTCACTGCAACCTCTGCCTCCCAGGTTCAAATGATTCTCCTGTCTCGGCATCCCAAGTAGCTGGGGTTACAGACATGCGCCACCACACCCAGCTAATTTTTGTATTTTTAGTAGAGATGCTGTTTCACCATGTTGGTCAGCCTGGTCTCAACACCTGACCTCAGGTGATTCCCCTGCCTCGGCCTCCCAAAGTGCTGGGATTACAGGCGTTTGAGCCACCGTGCCTGGTGGTAATGATTGTCCTTTCTGTCTCCTTTGTTGAGTTCTCTTCTCCCCTACCACTTAATGTTGAAATGTGCTAGGACTCAGTTCTTGGTTATCTTCTCATTTCCATCTACACTTATGTGCAATGTGATTTTATTCCTTTCAGTGACTTTAAATGCATTTATTTGCTGTGACTCCTAAATATGGATCTGCTACTCAGACCTTGCTCATAAACTCCAGAGTTCTATATCAACTGCCTACCAGAAATGTCCTCAGGTAACAAAAACAAAATGTTAATACCTGCTTCTTTATCAGCCTTTTCCATTTCAGTGGATAATACAGTCACTTCCAATGGCTCAGGGCAAAAATTTGGGATCATTTTGTACCCCTTTCTTACTCTCATATTGTATAGCTGATTTTATCAGGAAATTCTGTTGGTTTAATCTTCTAAAGATATCCACAATCTGACTGTTTCTCACCTCCTGCATGGACACAAACTTGGTCCGAGCCACTATCATTCTTTACCTTTGTCATGACTGATAGATCCCTACCTGGTTCCCCATTACATGCCATTGCTCCCCTACAGTCCAATGTCACTGGAGCAACCAGAGATATCTTTTTAAATTAAAAGCTAGATAATGTTACTTGTTTGCTAAAATACCTGCAATAGCTCCGTTTCCACAGAATTAAAAAACAAGTTCTTCTCAATGGCTTATGTACTTTATTTAATAGACCTCCAAAAGGGCATGTCTATCTGGAATATTGAAGTTTGACTTTATTTGGAAATATAGTCTTTGCAAATATGATAAAGTTAAGATGACATCATTGTGTATTAGAGTGGGCCCTGTTCTAATGACTGGTAGCTAGGAAAAGCAAGGGAAGGATACTTCTCTACAGCTTTGAGAGAAAGCTTGGTGCTACTGACATCTTGATTTTGCATTTATAGTCTCTAGAACTATGAAAAAATAAATTTATGTCATTTTAAGCCATCCAGCTTGTAGTAATTTGTTACAACAGCCATATGAGTCAAATACAGCTTAGAAGGCCCTGTGTGATCTGCACCATCCACTCCCCAATCTCATTACTAGCTTATTCTACAGTGGCCACCCACACTGCCTGCTACTTCTCATAAACAACAGGAATAGTGGTACCTTGGGCCAATTGTACTGTCTGACACATTGTCCTGGAATGCTTTTCTGCTGGGTATCTGCACAGCTATCTCATGTCTTTCAAGCCTTTGATCAACTAGGAAGGTCTCAATGAAGCTTGTACTTATCACTCTATTTGAAATTGCAATTAGCCACAAGTTACAAAAAGCAAATTATCAAATTTTATTGATACCGTGGGCTTATCACACTGGACAAAATGTATTGGTAGAATGCCTTCCAGGAACTTAATGTACATAATGGAAGTAATGAACCCCACATATATCTTGTGGACACCACAGAATATAAACACAAGAAATATTCTGAGCATAAGTACTAAAGTGAATGGTGTGGTTTCTTCTGATGAATAAGAATTCACGGCCGGGCGCGGTGGCTCACGCCTGTAATCCCAGCACTTTGGGAGGCCGAGGCGGGCGGATCACGAGGTCAGGAGATCGAGACCACGGTGAAACCCCGTCTCTAGTAAAAAATACAAAAAAAATTAGCCGGGCGCAGTGGCGGGCGCCTGTAGTCCCAGCTACTCAGGAGGCTGAGGCAGGAGAATGGCGTGAACCCGGAAGGCGGAGCTTGCAGTGAGCGGAGATCGCGCCACAGCACTCCCGCCTGGGCGACAGAAGGAGACTCCGTCTCAAAAAAAGAAAAACAAAAAAAAACAAACAAACAAAAAAAAAAAAAGAATTCACATCAAAGATCTCAGCAGGAACAGGACACATGAAAGATGTTTGGAACTGTGAAACTTTGATCGGTCACTTAACATTTCTGGATATATATTCCTCATGTTAAGAATGGAGAGGTGAAACCAGATGATGTTTAAAAAATACCCCACCCTTAACAATTTATTATCAACTCTACACAGGATTAAACAAAATCTTACAGAAAAAGATGACCTAATTGACTATATCATTTTGCTTATAATAGCTTGCTTTCACCATTAGCATTTAATTTCCTGATGAGTACACAAACGCTACCTTCACAGGCAACAATATGAAAACCACAAATCCCCTAAACTTCTTAAAAAATTGCCATTGTTGACAAGATTATAGAAGCTCATTGGCAATATATTTGTGTTTTATCCTCCCCAATCTAATTATGAAACTATGAAGAAAAAGGCTGATATTGAGGGAACAGTGAAGACTACAGTATTATACTGGGGAAATAAGATGTAGTCAATCGGTAAAAGATAGAAAATATTGAAGAAATGATCAAATGCTGAAGAAAGAGGCTACTAAAATATATCAGACAGTAATGTATGTCTTTATATGAGAAAACTAGAGAAAGCATGTATCAATAAGACTTAAAATTAGAAGCTGGAATAAGAGTCTTAGGAAAAACAACAACAGACAAAAAAAAAAAAAAAAACTTCTACTTGGAAAACTTGAAATAGCAACAGGAATTGCCATAGATAGTATTTTTTAAAATGTAGTTTTCCTAAGTCAGATCCACTTTATTCTTCAATTAACTACATGCTCTTCAAAATGATAAAATAACGATCTCAGAGTGCCCAAATAATTGAGTGCTCTTGAATTATATGAATAAGATTACATTCTTTGTTCTTTTACCCTCTACTGAAATTGGTGTAATGCTTGTAAAAAGATACTCACTTGACAGTTCTAAACATGTAAGCCCTCTATTAACCCAGAAAGCAGGAATAGAATACAAAGGAGATTCCAACAGCCTCACATGAGCTGTGTGCATGCTAAACACTGTTCCTATTGGACCACTTGTAAAGTGAGAGTTTCATAGTTCATAGGCCATTCAGCTCTTTCACTGTTGCTGGCATATTCAGAGATGAAGCTACTTAACCACAGATTTGTAAAATTATTTCAGCTGAGAGAGAATCTCCAGAGATAAGTTCCTCAGTTTAATGGTGAATTTGCTTCCATTGTGGTATTGACTAAAGAATGTTAATTCATTTCACTCAAGTTAATAAAATACATGGACTATTCAACCATCCTGTACTCTTATTTTGCCTTAAATGACATATTTTTATTCCTATGATCTACAATTTTATTATTTTTACTATTTACAACCTAAATACATAAGGTGGGAAAAAGATGTACTCTAACCTGAAAATTCCTAATTATGTAGCTGACATTATAAAAAATAATCTTAAAAGCTTCACATTCAACATCCATGAGCTAACATTGAGACCTGCAAAGTGCGTGAAATATTTGAAATTATATCAAATAATATTATATATCTTTATAAACTTGATATATTGACTGTAGTTAATGTAAAAAAAAATACACAATTTAGAAAATCTAAGCACCAAATTCATTATGCACTAGTACTTCCCAGGTATAAGCAATGTTCCCTTATACCAAAAGCTGTCCTCGAAATGTTGTTCACATTCCTGCATTGGCACAAATTGCTAAGAATTTTATTAAACTGTGAAATGTAACTCCACAGATAAGAAAAAAAGACTCCACACTATAAATCCCCATTTTTCATTTAATACATGTCAGTTTTCCGAAGTTGATGACCCAGAAAATTTAAAACTCAGAAGAAAAATTCCATCAATTTACAATGTGTAATAATATCAAGAAAAGTTATACAAAATTTGAAAATCAAAAGAATGAAGTCATATTGAAAGTATGGCATGCACTTTTAATGTCATACCAGGGAATTACTTAAGAATCGCTACCTGTGTTTGAATTTATTATTCAGTTAGAGATCAAACATTTATAAGTTTCATCTTCAATTGTGGACTTATGTCTGGTAGAAAATATAATTCCAAAGATTTTTTTAATATTGCCATATAGCAAATTAACTATTTAACATTGCAGTCTTATTTTAACATTTTTTATTCAAAACATGTATAAATAGATTCTCAATATAATTTTGTCCTATCTTTACAATATTAAGTGTTTTCTTAAGAATTAATGGATTAAATCAAGGTCTGTGGCATGGGTTTATTTAAGAATCATATTTTAAACTACTTGAAAATTATATTTTGATTATAAAATGTTCATGTTAAAAAACTTGAGTTTCTAAACTTTCCAAGTCACCTTCCTTGTTGCTTGATCCTAGGTAAACTATTTCATTCCTAAATCTCACATTCCTAATCAAAATAAAGAAAAGAATAAAATTTTATTCTAATCAACAGTAGCATATTCCTCTGAAGTACACATGGGCATTCTCCAGGATAGACGATATTTTAGGCCACTAAACAAGTTTTAATAAATGTTAAAGGATTAAAATTGTACAGTGATTCTTTTCTGATCACAATGGAATGAAACTGAAAAATAATAGTAGAAGTGGGAAATCTACAAATATGTGGAAATTAAACAACACACTTTTTTTCAGTGACACTTTCTTGCTTTAGCATTTGTTGTCTTTTTCTGCTTTTGGAATGAGCTCTCAATTACAAAATACCAAACTACCCTCAAAAGAGGGTGTAGAAAAAGCCAGCCATTGGCACAGCACGGAGAAGCCCACAAGTAACCACAGACAAGAGCAGCAGGTGGCAAGAGTTAGGAGGTGACTGAAGCAGTGGTTACCAATGTTCACAGGATGCTAAAAGTATCCAACAGGTTGTACTCTAATGTTAGCACAGGTTAGACAGGTTAGACTAGTTACTACCTTGCTGGGTTACCTCAGTATGTTTGGGTTCAGATTCTACACAGCAACACATCTTCCAGTTAAGAGTGACAGACTGGATTAAGAAAACATGGCACATATACACCATGGAATACTATGCAGCCATAAAAAATGATGAGTTCATGTCCTTTGTAGGGACATGGATGAAGCTGGAAACCATCATTCTCAGCAAACTATTGCAAGGACAAAAAACCAAACACCACATGTTCTCGCTCATAGGTGGGAATTGAACAATGAGAACACTTGGACACAGGAAGGGGAACATCACACACTGGGGCCTGTTGTGGGGTTGGGGGAGGGGGGAGGGATAGCATTAGGAGATATACCTAATGTAAATGACAAGTTAATGGGTGCAGCACACCAACATGGCACATGTATACATATGTAACAAACCTGCACATTGTGCACATGTACCCTAGAAATTAAAGTATAATAAAAAAATTTAAAAAAAAGAAATGTGGGAAAATAACAAAATGTTGACTCTAGGTAAAGGTACGTGGATGTTCATTGTATTATTTTTTAAACTTTTATAAAGGTTTGTGATTTTTTAAAAAGTTGGGGGAAAATAAATCATTATTCATTTTCTTACTGGAAATCATTAAAAGAAAAAAAAAGAGTTCTTGGCTTGCACCGATCACAGCGTGATTGGAAGGTAGTGGACAAGTCTTGTTAGCTTTTCAAAATGCTGTCCTAGACTTGATATGTATTGGGAGACTTCAGGAGCTCTGCACTTCAGTGACAGCATATAATGGGGGTTTCCTGGGTGGATACATAGCTCAGCCAAAATCCAAATGCCATTAGTGAGCTTCAGGGATTGGTACACCATGTCCTGCCCTTCCACATTACTCTTGGCAATAGTATAAACATTATTGTTTTGCAACTTGCTGGAAACAATGTCAGCATTTAAATGACATTCGTTAATCTAAAACTGAAGTTCATTTCATTGGGAATATCCTTCCCTGTTGCAAGAAAGACCTGGTGCTCCATTTTGCCATCTTCTAAAAAGCACACTGATTGGGGTGAGGTGGGGTGAGGTGACTGAAGTAGAAGACATCAATATTGTTTTTCACAGCCACCTGCAGGTTATTCAGTCATCTTCATGACTAGGCCCAAAGTATTGAGAGGCAGGGAGACATCAATGTTCTGGTTTGGCATCAGTGGTGTATGGATGGCCAGAGGAGTGCTATTCTTGTTAAACTAGATTACAAAATCTGTCATATGCTGCAGAGCTGTATTGGTGAAGTTCATTTCCATATAGATGTGCCCTTGGTGGTGACTCAATGTTCCTGAAATCTCTAAGCCTTTATCCTGTAATGCAGGTAGCCAGAAATAGCCTTAGGAGCCACATACCCACCAGGTGCCATGCCTATCCCTGTGGAGAGTTCAAACAGGTCATTCAGTCCACTGCTGACCACAGCAGGTGTAGATGAAGAAACAAAGGTTGCAGACACCCATCATAGGATGAAGGATTGTCCCACCAGACTATCTTATCCTCCTCCCAAGAGATCCACTGCTCCCATCTGCATGGAGGACACCTGTGGCACATTGACTGGTTGACTGAGGTCAAGGTTTAAAAGACCCCTGAGAAGATTACCTTATGAGGGGATAACCTGAGGCTGTTTCAGGTTAGTTGCAGTGGTACCAACAGGGCTGTCACCTGAATCAGTACTCCCATGATGAATTGGCAACTATTTACAATGGATTCCATGACTTCCTTCCACAAAAATATTTGGAGGCTTATGATACACAGAGGCCAAAGAACCAATGTGGCACATGAGCTCTCCAGTAGAGTTAGCTCAATAAGATCTGTCTCCTCAGAGATCAGTGGCTTCTCAGACAAGACTACTTGTTTAGCTGTGACTGAGTCAGTTGAGAGAAGACACCAAT
This sequence comes from Homo sapiens, assembly GCF_000001405.40. Lineage (NCBI taxonomy): Eukaryota > Metazoa > Chordata > Mammalia > Primates > Hominidae > Homo > Homo sapiens. The sequence goes on along the minus strand of NC_000001.11, from coordinate 103,926,609 downwards.
AAATATAGCCCCCGTCTCAAAGGCCAGGATTATCAGAATTCTGTACTACACGCTCTTAAACAACAAGTGGATCAAAAAAGAAATCATAAGGGTAATTATAGAATATCTCGAAACAGATGAAAATTACAGCATAACATACCAAAGCTTACGGGATGCAGCAAACACAGTGTTATGAGAAAAATTTATAGTTGTAAATAAATGCTTATATTAAAAAGGAGGAAAGATCTCACATCAATAAGCCTAACATTACACTTTAGCATACTAGAAATAGAAAAACAAACTAAACACAAAACTAGCTCAAAAAGGAAATAATAAAAATTAGAACAGAGATAAGCAAAATCAATAATAGAAAAACAATAGAAATAATAAAGGCAAGAGTTGGTTCTTAGGAAAGTTCAACAAAATTGACAAACTTTTAGCTAGATGGACTAAGAAAAAGAGAAGATTCAAAAAAGTAACATCAGAAATGAAAGAGAGGACATTACTACTATTTCTAAAGATACAAAAATATTACAAGAGTACTAAGATAAATTGCACTCCAAAAAATTTAATAGTCTAGATGAAATAGACATGTTCCTAGAAAAGCAAAACCTACCAACACTGAATCATGAAAAAGTAGAATATCTGAATAGACCTATAACTAATAAGGAGATTAAATCAATAATCAACAACCTCCCAGCAAAGTAAAGCCCAGGACTAGATAGCTTAACAGGGAACTTTTCTCAAACATTTAAAGAAGAATTAACATCCATCCTCCTCAAACTTTTCTGAAAATTTGAAGAGGAGAGAACACTTTCAAGCCCACTCTGAGTAAAGTATTAAACTGATAACAAAGCCTAACCAAGAAAATACAGAAAAATAAATCTGTAGATGAATATCATGATAAATGAGTTACTCACCAAAAATGTATTAGCAAATTAAATTCAATAGCTCATTTAAAATATTATACACCATTACCAGTGGGATTTATTCCTGGAATGTAAGCATGGCTTAATATATAAAAATCAATCAATGTAATACATTAAGAGAGTGAAGGGGAAACTAAACCACAAATCATCTCAATTGATGCAAAAAAATTGACAAGATGATAAGATTCAACACTACTACGTGACCAATCAACCAACTAGGAATAGAAGGAAATCACTTCAACATAATAAAGGCCATGTATGAAAAACCCAGCTAACCTCATACACAATGGTGAAAAACTGAAAGCCCATTCAGTATGATATTGGCTGTGGGTTTGTCATAGATAGCTCTTATTATTTTGAGATACGTCCCATCAATACCTAATTTATTGAGAGTTTTTAGCATGAAGGGTTGTTGAATTTTGTTGAAGGCCTTTTCTGCATCTATTGAGATAGTCATATGGTTTTTGTCTTTGGTTCTGTTTGTATGCTGGATTACATTTATTGATTTGCATATACTGAACCAGCCTTGCATCCCAGGGATGAAACCCACTTGATCATGGTGGATAAGCTTTTTGATGTGCTGCTGGATTTGCTTTGCCAGTATTTTATTGAGGATTTTTGCATCAATGTTCATCAAGGATATTGGTCTAAAATTCTCTTTTTTGGTTGTGTCTCTGCCAGGCTTTGGTATCAGGATGATGCTGGCCTCATAAAATGAGTTAGGGAGGATTCCCTCTTTTTCTATTGATTGGAATAGTTTCAGAAGGAATGGTACCAGTTCCTCCTTGTACCTCTGGTAGAATTCGGCTGTGAATCCTTCTGGTCCTGGACTCTTTTTGGTTGGTAAGCTATTGATTATTGCCACAATTTCAGAGCCTGTTATTGGTCTATTCAGAGATTCAGCTTCTTCCTAGTTTAGTCTTGGGAGGGTGTATGTGTCAAGGAATTTATCCATTTCTTCTAGATTTTCTAGTTTATTTGCGTAGAGGTGTTTGTAGTATTCTCTGATGGTAGTTTGTATTTCTGTGGGATTGGTGGTGATATCCCCTTTATCTTTTTTTATTGCGTCTATTTGATTCGTCTCTCTTTTCTTCTTTACTAGTCTTGCTAGCAGTCTATCAATTTTGTTGATCCTTTCAAAAAACCAGCTCCTGGATTCATTAATTTTTTGAAGGGTTTTTTGTGTCTCTATTTCCTTCAGTTCTGCTCTGATTTTAGTTATTTCTTGCCTTCTGCTAGCTTTTGAATGTGTTTGCTCTTGCTTTTCTAGTTCTTTTAATTGTGATGTTAGGGTGTCAATTTTGGATCTTTCCTGCTTTCTCTTGTGGGCATTTAGTGCTATAAATTTCCCTCTACACCCTGCTTTGAATGCGTCCCAGAGATTCTGGTATGTTGTGTCTTTGTTCTCATTGGTTTCAAAGAACATCTTTATTTCTGCCTTCATTTCGTTATGTACCCAGTAGTCATTCAGGAGCAGGTTGTTCAGTTTCCATGTAGTTGAGCAGTTTTGAGTGAGATTCTTAATCCTGAGTTCTAGTTTGATTGCACTGTGGTCTGAGAGATAGTTTGTTATAATTTCTGTTCTTTTACATTTGCTGAGGAGAGCTTTACTTCCAACTGTGTGGTCAATTTTGGAATAGGTGTGGTGTGGTGCTGAAAAAGTGTATATTCTATTGATTTGGGGTGGAGAGTTCTGTAGATGTCTATTAGGTCCGCTTGGTGCAGAGCTGAGTTCAATTCCTGGGTATCCTTGTTGACTTTCTGCCTCGTTGATCTGTCTAATGTTGACAGTGGGGTGTTAAAGTCTCCCATTATTAATGTGTGGGAGTCTAAGTCTCTTTGTAGGTCACTCAGGACTTGCTTTATGAATCTGGGTGCTCCTGTATTGGGTGCATATATATTTAGGATAGTTAGCTCTTCTTGTTGAATTGATCCCTTTACCATTATGTAATGGCCTTCTTTGTCTCTTTTGATCTTTGTTGGTTTAAAGTCTGTTTTATCAGAGACTAGGATTGCAACCCCTGCCTTTTTTTGTTTTCCATTTGCTTGGTAGATCTTCCTCCCTCCTTTTATTTTGAGCCTATGTGTGTCTCTGCATGTGAGATGGGTTTCCTGAATACAGCCCACTGATGGGTCTTGTATCTTTATCCAATTTGCCAGCCTGTGTCTTTTAATTGGAGCATTTAGTCCATTTACATTTAAAGTTAATATTGTTATGTGTGAATTTGATCCTGTCATTATGATGTTAGCTGGTTATTTTGCTCATTAGTTGATGCAGTTTCTTCCTAGTCTCAAAGGTCTTTACATTTTGGCATGATTTTTCAGTGGCTGGTACCGGTTGTTCCTTGCCATGTTTAGCGCTTCCTTCAGGAGCTCTTTTAGGGCAGGCCTGGTGGTGACAAAATCTCTCAGCATTTGCTTGTCTGTAAAGGATTTTATTTCTCCTTCATTTATGAAGCTTAGTTTGGCTGGATATGAAATTCTAGGTTGACAATTCTTTTCTTTAAGAATGTTGAATATTGGCCCCCACTCTCTTCTGGCTTGTAGAGTTTCTGCCAAGAGATCCGCTGTTAGTCTGATGGGCTTCCCTCTGAGGGTAACCCGGCCTTTCTCTCTGGCTGCCCTTAACATTTTTTCCTTCATTTCAACTTTGGTGAATCTGACAATTATGTGTCTTGGAGTTGCTCTTCTCGAGGAGTATCTTTGTGGCGTTCTCTGTATTTCCTGAATCTGAATGTTGGCCTGCCTTGCTAGATTGGGGAAGTTCTCCTGGATAATATCCTGCAGAGTGTTTTCCAACTTGGTTCCATTCTCCCCATCACTTTCAGGTACACCAATCAGATGTAGATTTGGTCTTTTCACATAGTCCCATATTTCTTGGAGGCTTTGCTCGTTTCTTTTTATTCTTTTTTCTCTAAACTTCCCTTCTCGCTTCATTTCATTCATTTCATCTTCCATCGCTGATACCCTTTCTTCCAGTTGATCGCATCGGCTCCTGAGGCTTCTGCATTCTTCACGTAGTTCTCGAGCCTTGGTTTTCAGCTCCATCAACTCCTTTAAGCACTTCTCTGTATTGGTTATTCTAGTTATACGTTCTTCTAAATTTTTTTCAAAGTTTTCAACTTCTTTGCCTTTGGTTTGAATGTCCTCCTGTAGCTCGGAGTAATTTGATCGTCTGAAGCCTTCTTCTCTCAGCTCGTCAAAGTCATTCTCCATCCAGCTTTGTTCCGTTGCTGGTGAGGACCTGCGTTCCTTTGGAGGAGGAGAGGCGCTCTGCTTTTTTAGAGTTTCCAGTTTTTCTGCTCTGTTTTTTCCCCATCTTTGTGGTTTTATCTACTTTTGGTCTTTGATGATGGTGATGTACAGATGGGTTTTTGGTGTGGATGTCCTTTATGTTTGTTAGTTTTCCTTCTAACAGACAGGACCCTCAGCTGCAGGTCTGTTGGAGTACCTGGCTGTGTGAGGTGTCAGTCTGCCCCTGCTGGGGGGTGCCTCCCAGTTAGGCTGCTCCAGGGTCAGGGGTCAGGGACCCACTTGAGGAGGCAGTCTGCCCATTCTCAGATCTCCAGCTGCGTACTGGGAGAACCACTGCTCTCTTCAAAGCTCAGATGGAAATGCAGAAATCACCTGTCTTCTGTGTCGCTCACGCTGGGAGCTGTAGACCGGAGCTGCTCCTATTCGGCCATCTTGGCTCCTCCCCCAAGTATTGAATTTCAAAATTTAATTACTATTTTTTTAAAAAAAGAACTACCAACTAAAAAAGCCCCAGAGCAGATAGATTCACAGCCAAATTCTACCAGATGCACAAAGAAGAGCTGGTACCAATTCTAAAATTATTCCAAAAAGAAATTAAGAGAAAGAACTCCTTCTTAACACATTCTATGATGCCAACATCACTATAATAAAAAATCTGGCAAAGTCTCAACCATAAAAGGAAACTACAGGCCAGCATCCTTGATGAATATAGACCCAAAAATCTTTAACAAACTATTAGCAAACCAAATCCAGCAGCACATCAAAATGTTAATTCACCATGATCAAGTAGGCGTTATTCTTGGAATGAAAGTTTGGTTGAACATATGCAAATTGATAAATGTGATTCACTACATAAATAAAATTAAAAGCAGAAAGTGTATAACCATCTCAATATGTACAGAAAAGTGTTTTGATAAAATACAATATCCCTTCATGATAAAACACCTCACCAGACTAGGCATTGAAAGAACACAACAAACAATAAGAGCCATCTATGACAAACACATAGCCAACATCATACTGAATAGGCAAATGCTGGGGGCATTCCAGTTAAGAACAGGCTCAAGCCGAGGTTGTTCCACACAGTACTGGAAGTCCTAGTCAGAGCAATCAGGCAAGAGAAACAAATAAAAAGCATCTAAATAGGAAAAGAAAAGGTAAAATTATCTGTCTTCACAGAGATATGATTCTACACCTAGAAAATTCTGAAGACTTAGGTAAAAGGCTCCTAGGACAGATAAATGACTTCAGTAAAATTTTAGGACACAAAATCAATGTGTAAAAATCAGTAGCACTTCTGTCTACAATAATATTTAAGCTGAGAGCCAAATCAAGAATGCAATCCCATTTATAATTGCCACAAACAAAAATAAAAAGGAATATATCTATCCAAAAAAGGTGAAAGATCTCTACAATGAGAATTTAAAAACACTGCTAACATAAATCAAAGATGAAAACAAACAAATGGAAAAATATTACATGCTCATGGATAGGAAAAATCAATATTATTATAATGGTCATACTGCCCAAAGCAATCTATAGATTTAATGTTATTCCTATCAAATTACCAAAGTCATTTTTCACAGACATAGAATAAACTGCTCTAAAATTCATATGGAACTAAAAAGAGCCTGAATAGTCAAAGTACTCCGAAGCAAAAAGAACAAAGCGAGATGCATCACATTATCAGACTTCAAACTATATTCTAAGGTTACTGTAACCTCAACAGCATGATATTGGTACAAAAACAGTCACACAGATTAAGAGGAAACAGAAATAAAGCCTTTCACCTGCAAACATCTGATATTTGACAAAGCCAGCAAAAATAAGCAATGAGGAAAGGACATATTATTCAATAAATGGAGCTGGGATAACTTTTAAGCCATATGCAGAAGATTGAAACTGGACTCCTACTTTTCACCATATAAAAACATCAATTCAGTATGGATTAAAGATTTAAATATGATAGCTAAAACCATAAAAATCCTAGAAGAAAACTTAGAAAATGCCCTTCTTGACACTGGCCTTAGCCCAAAAGTTTATGGCTAGGTCCTCAAAAGTAATTGCAAAAAAACAAAAATTTGCAAGTGGAATCTAATTAAAATAAAGAGATTCTGAACATTAAAAGAAATTATTAAGAGTATACAGACAACCTATAGAATGAGAGAAAATATTCTCAAACTATGCACAAGATAAAGGTCTAGTTCCAGAATTTATATGGAACTGAAACAATTCAACAAGCAAAAACAAATAACACCCTTTAAAAGTGGGCAAAAACATACACAGACATTTCTCAAAAGAAGACAAACATTAGTGGCCAAAAAACATGAAAAAATTCTCAACATAACTAATCCTTAGAGAAATGTAAATCAAAACCACAATAAGATACTATCTCACCCCAGTAAGTATGGCTATTGCTTTTTGAGTTTTTGTTTGTTTGTTTTGTTTTGAGTTGGAGTCTCACTCTGTCACCAGGGATGGAATGCAGTGACACGATCTTGGCTCACTACAGCCTCCACCTCCTGCGTTCAAGCAATTCTCCCACCTTAGCCTCCGAAGTAGCTGAGATTACAGGTGTGTGTCATTACGCCCAGCTATTTTGTATTTTTAGTAGAGATGGGGTTTCACCGTGTTGATCAGGCTGGTCTAGAACTCCTGAACTCAAGTGATCTCCCTGCCTTGGCCTCCGAAAGTAGTATGGTTATTGTTAAAAAGTCAAAAAATAATAGATGACAAGGTTGTGGAAATAAGGGAATGCTTATACACTGTTGGTAGAAATGTGAATTAGTTCAGTCACTGAAGAAAGCAGTTTGAAGATTTCTAATAACTTAAAACAGAGCTACCATTCAACTCATCCATCCCATTGCTAGATTTATACCCAAAGGAAAGTTAATCATTCTACCCCAAAGATGCAGGTACTATTACATTTATGTCACCACTAGTCACAATAGCAAGGACATGGAATCAATCTAGGTGCCCATCCACAGTAGACTGAATAAAGAAAATGTGGTTCATATACACTGTGGAATACTATGCAGCCATAAAAATTAATAAAATCATGGTCTCTGCAACAACATGGATACCACTGGAGGGCATTATCCAGCAAATTAATTTGGGAACAAAAACCAAATACCACATGTTCTTACTTGTAAGTGGGAGCTAAGCATTGGGTACACATGGACATAAAGATAATACTCAATGGGGACTACTCAAGGAGAGAGTAGGAAAGGGGCAAAAGGGCTATAAATTTAGGTACTATGGTCACTCCCTGGGTGATAGGATAATTTGTGCCCCAAACCTTAGTGTCATGAGATGACATGTAACAAATCTGCACATGTACCCCCAACTCTAAAATTAAATTTGAAAGTATAAAAAATTATAACCTCCATTGTTGGATTGATAACATATACATATATAATAGTCATAGCAATAATAGCATAAAGAAGTCAGATTTGGTGCAATATTTCTATATTTTTTTCTAAGAGCCAGTTAGTACACAGTGTATGATAAGTCAAAGATGCATATTTTAATTTCTAAATGAAACACTTTAATCAATGTGAAGAAATTGGTATTAATTTTGCAAAGAAATTGATTGTGGTAATAGTTATGTGACATTTGTCAAAACTCACTTTTTAAGGGTAGATTTTATTGTATGTAAATTACATCAGTGAAGCTGATTTTAAAAATGAAAAATGAGCTTTCCCAGACTTTTTCTACAAAAAAAAGGAGGTCTTATTTGAATACAAACAATCTTAGGAACAACTCAAAATTGGTTAAAACTGGGAAGATGTAGGAAGCTGTGATAGTTAAACAAACTCAGAATAGAAAAAAGACAATGTTTTCCCTCCAAACTAAACTGTGTACTAATAAACAGCATGTTGAAGTGAGAACATTTTTAAAAATAATGGTTGAAATATGAGAATTTTAAATAAAATATAGTTTTAATTTTAATCAAATATCAGAATGTCATAGAACTTCTCTTTCTCATTGAACGTACAATTTGTGTGAAATGATGGCAAAAGTTTGTCAAAGGCATCAAGGAGAGTGAAAATGTTAATGCTTTGACCTCTGCAATAACACTAAAGATTCTAATCTGAAGGTACAGCTTTCACATATCAATCTGAATTTAGCAACAGGATCAACTAAATAATTTAGTAAATGCAATGCTTTTTAATTCAACATTTTCCAAAAGCAGTACACATGGTTTTGTTAAGGGAAGTCACCAAATGGTAAAAATATCAGGCTCCTGCCATGAGTGCATTTTTCCTCAATTCAGTAGATATACATAGCACAGGTTTTTTTTCAGAGGTATTTTATTGTTTTTCTACTTTTCATCAGGGTTCTGTTGCCATGGCAATAAAGTAGGCTATCTTGTTGGATTTCACCTTTACTGTCTTGCTTCATATGGTTCTCTCTGCTCAGAGCAAACATGGTGGGTACTGCACACATACAAATGTCTGATTTCGTATTTCCTTCTTGAGAGTGCTTGGCAGCTCGTCTCCTGAGACAGCTGAAACAGCACTTCACAAAGTGGCATTCATCCTTCTCTCTAATGGCTTCCATCATATGTCTCACTTGTTTTGTGATCTCTCTTTTAAGAAGGACACAGCTCCTCTTGAAAAATTTATTTTTCCCATTGAAACAGAGGTCTTTTAACATTTCAATTAACTTGGTTGTCAGAGCAAATCTAAATACATTCCCTGTTTAATGTTACCCATTGTTAAGGTGTGAAATAAAAAAGGAAACTCAAAAGAGCATATAGGCTCACCACAAATACAAATGAACAGATTTATTCAGTGCACAAACACTTTAACTTTTAGCCTCTTCTCTTTTACCTATAGCAATTACCAATTCTTTCAACTATCTAAATGTAAATCATGACTCCTGTCAAGGGCTATTTTAGTCTTTGAACAGGGCAAAACAGCATGCATTAAATATTTGTTGAAGAGACGAATAAAAAAACACTTAAGTAGAGGACACACATGCACATATACACACACATACCAAATATTGTTGAATTAAAGCCAGAAAGAAACTCTAACAGGGATTAAACATTGTGCTTATTAGATATAGGGAGTCCTTCCACACCACCAGGATTTTCCCTTCTGCCAAAAACAAATATTTCCCCCCATATTTCCTACCTATTTTTGATTTCCTAAGTTTAATGTTAACATATTTATTTGCATCTTATAGCCAGTGTTCTTCAATAATATTTATTCATCAGGTTTTTTGGCTTGTAATTATTTCTAAATTAAATTTTTAGTCCTATTACTTACAGATTAAAATATAACTTTTATGCATCATTCATAAGACAGATTTCTATGAACTTAAGCAAAGTTTACAAAGAGAAAATGGTAATTTTTTAAGATTTCATAATTCTGAATTTTGTTTAATTTTGTGGTGGTAGTCAGCATTGTCTAGATAATTCTTACCACATTATTATTATTAATCTCACACTTTAAACATTTTTCTGTCTTAAAAATTGATGACTTATTTAAGCGGTCCATTTTGCATCCAGGTGCATAGAATGTTCATCCCATATTTTCTAAACAATCAATATTATGTATTATGGGACTATCATTAGTTCTTGTTGGCAGTGCTATTTTTTTTCTGTCTGTCAGGATTTCCCTATCCTTTTTTGTCTAGTTCCTTTGCAGAATCACTTCACTGACTTCACCGTTTCTGAAGCATCCATCCATTATAGTACTCATTTCCAATTCCAGGAACAGTCCTCTGTCCCCGGTTGGCCAGAGATACCATCCCTTCTCCCGAGTGACTACTTCAGGAATGACTATATTACCCCTTTATAGACAAGGGGTTCTTAGAGGAGAAATCTCTGCATAGACAATGCAGATATGAAGTAGTTAGCCATCTTGCTCACAATATGAAGTTCTTCTCTATAGAATAATGCCACATAGAGACAAGCTGAGCCGAGAGAGAGAAAGACATGGAGGTGACTATACGTATATCTAAAAACAGCTTTTTAAATAACTGTTTCAGTTATATGTCCTAATATAGACCACTTTTCTTAAGCTCAGGTAATACATCACTTCAGAGAGCCCTTCCCTGCCTTCAGTAAATAAACTTTTAGTTATTCTTTTACTGCATACTTTTATAACAAGCATAACACTCTGATCTGAATTCTCTAATTTATTTATTTTATTTTTATAGTCTCTTTCCCCCGGTAAAACATAAGCTCCACTTTGGCAGAATCTTTGCTAGCAACATGCCTGGCTTTCAATAAACTGTTGTTAAATGGATAAATGAATGAATAAAGCTTGTTTGAGGGGAGTTTCTGTAAATAGAAACTGAAACAACCTGACTAATGCATACTTTGTTTTTCTAGGTTGCAGCAATAATATAAAAATCTAGGTATGGTTGATTATATTTTATTAACTTTTTGCATTACTTTTTCTTCATATCATTATGGCTTTTGTCTAATTTTTTTCCCTCAAATGGATTTTCAAAAGAGTCTTCCAGCAGCATTTTCTCTACCTTAGCTTAACCCTTTATTTTGGTCTTCATACAGTCACCAGAGTAATATTTATGAGAAAAAAATGATTATGTTAACTCTGCATGCTCTGATTTTCAGCAGAAATCCTCCAATCTCAGATGCTTCAGACAAAACCATATCTCCTCTGGCTTCCACATATCCATGGACAGGAATTAAGAGGGATCCAAGAGCTCTATGTACTTCTAATTAAATCTTTTCTCCTGCAAACTCCACATCCCCTCTAGCAAGAGTGAGAAACATGGAACTCCATGCTTCTGGCAAGACTCACACCCTCCCTTTCCAATATTCACACCTCACCTCTACCTGATTTGAGACCACCATTTTATTTTGCCCTTTATCCATTTTCAAATCAGTTATCACAGGACATTCTGAACACTTAGTTCACACTTTTCTCTAGATTCTAAACAACGTGATGGCTCCATAAGCAGAAGTGCAACACTCTCATTCTATCCCCACCCCCATCAATCTTTAAATCACTTTCCTGCTCTAGTTTTAGTCTTAGAATCTACATATATCATATACTGTCTTTCCCAACAAGAATGAATATAAATTTCCCTGTCGTTGCTTCCTAATTTCTCTAATCCTTCCATTATCTTCTTATAGTCTAGTATAGACACCAGACTCAGACCTGGCCAAACATAGTACTTCATTCTCCTTCCCGTAAGAGATGGCTATGTATGGTTTGCCTGCCAAAGATGCCTCTGTTCTAATTCCTGAAGCCCATTAATATATTGTTCAGTGTGGCAGAGGGGAAATAAGGTAACAGATGGAATTAAGCTTGCTAATACCTTAATCTTAAAATAGGGAGATTACCCTGGATTTTCCAGGTGGGCCCAGTGTAATTGCAAGGGTCCTTAAACATGAAAAAAGGATACAGAAGAGTTTGATCCATGAAATGTGAGTATGGCTTTGAAGATGACTGAGGCATCATAAGCCAAGGAATATGGCAGGCTATGGCAGCTGGAAAATGCAAGGAAACAGATCCTCCAGAAAGAAATGGAGCCCTCCTGACACCTTGACTTTAGACCAATGAGACCCATTTAAAACTTCTGACCTCCAGAATTGTACATAATATGTGTGTCTTGTTTTAAGCCACTAAGTTTTTGGTAATTTGTTAAAGCAATTTCTTAGTCCATTTGCTTTGCTATAATAAAAAGTACCTTATTTGTACCTTATAAGCTAAAGTATATATCATATTATGTTATAAACAAGAAAAAATGTATTTCTCACAGTTCTGGGGGCTGGAAAGTCCAAGATAAAGGTGCTGGCTTTGACACTGACTCAGTGTCTGGTGAAGGCCCACTTCCTTATAGATGGCACCTTCTTGCTGTATTCTCACACGGTGAAAGAGGCTAGCGAGCTCTCTGGGGTCTCTTTCATAAGAACACTAATCCCATTCATGAAGGCTGTGCCCTCATGACCTCATCACATCTCAAATTTCTCACCTCTTAATATTATCACCTTTGGGGTTACGTTCAACATATAAAGTTTGGGAGGATAAAAAAATCAGACCATAGCAAGCAGCAATAGGAAACTAATACATCGTGTGGCCCAAAAGGGCCAGTGTTTCATGAAAATATTTGTCATATTGATATGTTGATAATGTAAGAGAGGAGAACTCTTTTCAGCAGGATCCCAAGACGTAAGAACCTACAGGGCTGAAGCCACCAGGAACCTCTTTCCACCACAGGAAAAAAAATAAAATAAAAAAAACAACTTATCCAAGAATTTAACCCACACAAGGATGTCACATACAAGAGAACAAGCTCTGAGTATACATTTTGTGTATACTGGACTTTTTCAATTACATGAGTCAATGCATTCTTTTTTATCTTAAGCTAGTTTGACTCACATTTTTGCCACTTTAACACACAAAAAAATTATTAAGGTATATGTAATCTTATACTTCCTTGACTATGCCTTTTATCTCCTAAAACATTTCTACATATACATAAAGATTTTGCTTGACTCTCCTCTCTTAGTAAGGTTTCCCTGACTCTTCCAAGTAGATTTATCACTACTCTGTGCATACAATATAGCTACATTATTAAACTTACTATATCTTACAATGATTTTAGTGAGAAAATGAGCTAAGATTGTCCTTACACCCCCTGCTATGCCTTCACCCCTGATGAGGAAAGAAGATTTGAACATGGGTCTTAGTCACAAGAATGTTTTCTAAAATAAGCCAGAGAAAAAAAGAATAAATTAACAGTATAAGGCCAGAATATTAGTTCATAAGAAATAAAGCCAATGTCATATTAATCAGAGGAATATATATTTTTCAATGAAAGAAAATGAAATGAAATGTTTGGAAAGGAGTTTTGCCCACCCTTGAGTAGATATGTTTGATTATTTTATACATCAGTGTAAAATCAGTATCAATATCAGCCAAATAACTTATCTTACTTGTCCTCTTGATAATTCTCTTCACTCTTAACATTATAGTTCAGAGCATGTACACATGTATGCATGCAAATGCACACACACACACACACACACACACACAAACACAGTGCCTTTCCTGATAAACCAGTGGACTGAAATAATACTCTTTTCCTCTGGAATAACGTGAAAAGACATTGAGGTATTTTTTAGTTTGTTGGTTTTGTTTTTCCCAAGAGTTTTCAGTATATGGGAAAGGAAAAAATGTTACATAAAATAGTATAAGACGGTAGGAAACTCAGTTTCTTTCAATGTCCTTGACCACCAGGCCTAGGCAGCGAGGTTCTATACTTTCACATTACGACAAAGTAGCTGTCTCAGAGACATCATACCCAATGTCCTACCACCCCTCATATCCACTCTGTGTAGTCTTTAAACAACCATCGAAATTTCAAATTCCTTTAATAAATAACAACTTAAATCTTCAAAAGTATCAGGGTCATATTATTTTTAGAAAAAGAGAGTTTAGAACAATATTAGATCAGTAATGTAAAGTATATTCACATTATTGTGCTATAGATATTCAGAACTTTTCATCTTGCAAAATGGAAACTCTATACCTGTTTAACAATTTCATTTCCTCATCCCCCCAGCCCCTTGCAATTACCTGGGCCCACCTGGAAAATCCAGGATAATCTCCCTATTTTAAGATTAAGGTATTAGCAAGCTTAATTCCATCTGTTACCTTATTTCCCCTTTGCCACATTGAACAATATATTAATGGGCTCCAGGAGTTAGAACAGAGGCATGTTTGGCAGGCAAACCATACATAGCCATCTCTTACGGGAAGGAGAGTGAAGTACTATGTTTGGCCAGGTCTGAGTCTGGTGTCTATACTAGACTAGAAGATAATGGAAGGATTAGAGAAATTAGGAAGCAATGATAGGGAAATGGCAACCACCATTTTACTTTATATTTCTATGAGTTTGACTATGTTAGATACTTCTGTTGTGGTTTGAATGTGTCTCCTAAAGTTCCAGTGCAACAGTGATGGGAACTGGGGCCAAATAAGAGGTGATTAGGTCGTCAGGGCTCTGCCTTCATGAATGGATTAATGTCATTATGTTGGGAATGGTTTAGTATCATGACAGTGAGTTTTCTATAAAAGTGAGTTTGGCCCCGTCTTGCCCTTGCTTGAGCTCTCTTGCCCTTCCGCCTTCCACCATGAGATGATGCAACATCTTGCCACATATAGATTCCTCAATCTTGTAATTCCCAGTCTTCAGAACTATAAAAAATAAATATCTTTTATTTATAAATTACTTAGTCTCAGGTATTGTTATAGCAACACAAAACAGACTAAGATGATCATATATTATCATATATATTATATATATAATAAATATATACATATTTAAAAACCAGCAATGTTTGAAAGAGTAAGAGAATCCCTCTACTCCTTGTAAAATCAGATAGTAGCAGTAGCACTACCATCACTGTAAAGTATGGGACGCAGGGAGTATCTATGGGTGGCTGGCAGACATCAAGGGATAGTATGTACCTAACCTACTGGTGAAGGAACAGCTGGAGAGGTACTTGGTTCAATGGGATTTTAAACTCTTCCTCTCTATATCCATAAAGAATATTTGTAGATAAGTCTTAGCAAAGGAAAGAGAATAGTCCTAGCACCCAGAGATATTGGTTTACATCTCTAACTCTCCTAAAGACTACAGGCTCCTTGAGAAAAGAAAAACAAAAAACAAAAAAACTGAGTTTATTTACCTTAGAGATGGAACCAGTTGGTAGAGAACCTTAGATTAAGTGTTACACACACACAGGGAGAGAGAGAGAGAGAGAGACCAAACAGGTTTAGAAAATAACGTTCAATTCCTCAAATTAGTAACAAGCATAGCCAGAACTAAAACTCTCATTTTCAAGTTCCTTGTCATAGTCTGTCATTGTTTACTGTCTCTTTCCAAATTATCACTTGGTGAGTAACAGAAGATATTTTCAAGTCTCTCATAAGATTTGTACTGAGACTTAAGGTTAAGAATATTCTTATTTCTTTTCACTTCCTTGGCAAGTTTATATTTAACGGATATAAGAAGCTTTATTCATAAAAGTAGACTACATTTCATGTGTTCTTCCTGTAAAATATGCATGTAACCTGTTCCATTCTTGCAGTTTCTACTGTATATTCTGTAAAATTAATAAAATTACTGAATCTATATTTTACAAATATCATTGCCACACTTATTGTCTAATAGTATTTAATATTATATTGCTTGTTAATCAGTATTAAAAATGATTAAAATAAATTTATTCTTGTTTTAACAGTATTAGTTTACATTTTGCCTGGCATACCCCAAAGCTCCTATTGTACTTTTCTAGGAAGATATTACCTTCAGTATGGAAGGGGGTAGTGAATGTATTACTAAATAATGCCAAAACATTTGTGGATAGAAAATTCCCATTGATAGAACAAAACCTTGATATTATCTCTAAAAGTAAGTACTGAAAATAAAGTTAAAAAAACAAATACAAATAGTATTCAAATAAAAATTGGCAGGGTTTAATAAGAAAAGTAGTGAGGTAGTTTCTATAAATAAAGAGCTCATTATGGAACAAACATAAATTAACAATAAGTACAAAATATTAAATAAATATTCTGAGAACAGAAGATTAGGATGCAAAGATTTTCCAAAATAATAGATTGACTCAAGATGACAAAGTGTACAAATGCTGCAAAATGCCTATGCATCCAAGATTACATGAAAGAAGAAAAAAGATTTCATATATTTTATAAAATATATAAATAAGAGAGGATATATATATATATTTCATATATATTCATGCATGTATTTTCTATACCAAACATATACACACACAATGGAGAATAAATCCATAATAGACAAGAAAAAAATTTAAAGTGCCATTATAGCCCAAATGTTATGAGCAATACCTGAAAGATATAAAGTAAGTAGGATCAGATCCAAAGAAAAGCAAGAGAAAAAAAAGCATTGCAAAACAGATTCTGAAGCAGACTGTTGCAAAGGTAAAGGCATTTTAGGTTCTGAAGAATGAAGCAAAGTTAATGAAGCAAGCAGAAGAGTTTAGATAAAGCATTACTGATACATTCAGAAACAGCTAAGGGGATATTGCAGCTATGAAAAATTTATTAGAAGTCTTGGCATTTAAAAGTTGATCACCTATGCTGGAAACAATAGTCTAAATAGCCTAATGGGCATGGTTGAAGTGTAAATTACTGGGCTAGAAATCTACCAAGGGATTATCTCAGACTACAGAGATAAATGCAAATGAGAGGGAAAGTATAAGTGATGAGAAATGAAGTACAGATCCATAGGTTCCAATATCTCTCTAAAATGAGTTCCAGAAGGAGAAGAGGAATACATGGAATAGAGTAAAAAATAATAATAATATAGTAAAAAATAACACTTCCATTAACAAAATGGAATGAGTTTATAGTTTAGAAAACATGTGAAGCAATGGTGAAATCTCAGAACATCAAATGTTAATGTTAATTGTGTTTTCCCAAAAATTCATGTGTTGAAGTCCTAATGCCCAGTACTCTAGAATGTGACTGTATTTGAAAATGTGGTTTTGAATAAGTTATTAAATTAAAATGAAGCCATAACAGTAGACCCTAATTGAATCCGACTGGTGTTCTTCTAAAAACAGAAGATTAGGATGCAAAAAAAGACGTCAGGGATGGTCCCTCACAAAATAAAGGCAATGTGAGGACACAGTGAGAAGGCAGCCATCTGTGAGACAAGGAGAGAGGGTTCAGAAAAATCAAACCCGCCCACAACTGGATCTTGGACTTCTGGCCTCTAGAACTGTGAGAAAATAAATTTCTGTTATTTTAGCCACCAACTCTGTGGTATTTTATTATGGTAGCCCTGGCAAACGAATACACCAACAACTAAAATATTATTCTAAAAACATCTTGTAAGAAAACACAAGCAATCTAACAAAAAAATCAGCTTAATATTATATTTCATTTAAACATGACTTCTACCTTTATTGTTATCAATTAAGGATTTTTTTTTTCCTAATAGCATCCATATGTGTTTACTGGTGTCTATTCTCCTCATCCACCTGTAGTCAATTCCTTACTATGCAGGCAAAATTATCTTGTGCAAATAAGATCACATAATGCCTTCTGCTCAAAACCCCTGATGGCTTTACATCCAAAATAAAATCCCAAGGAATCAAAGAACTTATTTTGACCTATAATATCTCTTTTATTGGTCCTTCTTTCCCTTTCACTCTTTATCCACATTGAACATCTTTTAATTTCTGGAACAAACCAAGTAATTAATATCTAACACAGCCAAGGTGATTCTCAACCTTGGCTGAGTATTGGAAACACCTGCAGAGACATTAAAATATTGATGCTTGATTTCTACTCCCTAGAGTTTTAGATGCATTTGGTCGGGCATTCAACCGTGGTATCAGAATTTTTTTAAGCTCCCAGGGGATTGTTAGGGTCAGAGAAGTTTGGAAACCACTTGTCTAAGGAAGTCCCTGTTGCTTGAGTTTAGAATCCATTTGTCCACACCTTCACCTGGCTCCCTTCTTTATTTCTTTCAAAAGAAGGCCAAATGTCTGATCAAATGCTCTCTGATCTAAGAAAGTGGAACTTCAGAGTTCTAGGACAAAACTACTTTGAGTGTAAAATCCTAACCCAGCAAGTTAATATTAACCTAGGAGGGAGATAGTTATACAGAGACACCCAAAAGTACAAAACAAGATAGGTAAATTATGAGGAGACATTTATATAGGACAGAAAGAGG
The DNA here is from genome assembly GCF_000001405.40 of Homo sapiens. Classification (NCBI taxonomy): domain Eukaryota; kingdom Metazoa; phylum Chordata; class Mammalia; order Primates; family Hominidae; genus Homo; species Homo sapiens. Next base: position 103,908,730 of record NC_000001.11, on the reverse strand, counting down.
ATGAGAAAGCCACATGTCTACAGTAATAAAAGACCTTGAGATTGCTACATAAGACCTGGGTTCGTATAAATTCTCTGAGTCTTGGTTTTCACAATGTTGAACTGCAGATATTATCTTCTGTAAGTTTTTTCAGGCGCCTTCTCCCAGGACCAAAGTAGACTAATGTAGTAAAACGTTTTGGCACTTCAAGAACCGCGTAAATGGATTTTTCAAGTAAATTTAAAATAAAAGCCTTATATTAGTCTCCTCAGGCTGCCATTACAGAATACCACAGACTAGGTGGTAAACAACAGAAATTTATTTTCTCAAGGTTCTGGAGGCCAGAAGTCCCAAGTCACGGGTTCAGCAGGGTTGGTTTATGAGAGGCTTCTCCTCCTGGCTTGCAGATGGCTGCCTTCTCGCAGCTGCCTTTCATGGCTTTTCCTCCCTGCATAGACACTGCTGGTGTCCCTTCCTCTTCTTAAAAGGACACCAGTCCTATTGAATTAGTGCCCCACCTTTATGACTTAATTCAACCTGATTACCTTCTTAAAGGTCTTTTATCCCAAATACAGTCATATTGAGGGGTTAGGCTTTAAAATATGAATATTGCAGGGGAGGGGACACAATTCAGTCTATAGAGAGCTTCAATTAACAAATACTTTGGGAGCCTGGGCAGAGTGAGACCCAGTCTCTACAAAAATAAAAATAAAATAATTATCCAGTTGTGGAGGCATAGGCCAGTAGTCCTGGGTACTCAGGAGGCTGAGGCAGGAAAGGGCTTGAGACCAGGAGTTCCAGATATTAATACAATAAACCATGATCACGCCACTGACCTCGGTGACAGAGCAAGACTCTGTCTCTAGGGAAACATACACACACACACATAAATTGAAAGTTTAGTTAGGAAACTAGAAGAAAATTCATAAAATATCAGCCCTAGATTGACATTCAACAGATGTTTAAACGCTACATAGTTTCCCGTTCACTAGTTTTTGTCTGTGATGAGTAAAGCAATGTGCTAGCTACTTTTGGTTAAAGCTCAGAAACAAAATTAGAAAATCAAATTTGTGAAGAAGATTTTCAAAAACTCAAGTGTTTCACAAGCAGTTGTCAGTGATAGAAATTAGCCTTGTAAGGCAGAAACTGGTGTCATTATGTCTCTTTCCTAATATAACAGGTTAAGTAGTATATTCTGCAGAACACTAACTCTTTAAGAATTTTCTCAAAACATTTCAAAATCTAGAAGTTTCAAAAATATTTTGATAATATACTACTTTCTAAAGATTCAAAATATGCATTAGCATATTTTACTGAATGAACCGATGCTACAGAAATAATATATTTTATTTTGCTTATTCCAGCACTTCCAAAATTATGTGAGTCTTTTTTCAAACATTCTTTAAAACCATTAGATAACAATTTCTTGGGGATACAATAACAAACCCCTGTGTTTATTTAAGAATAAAAATGAGAAGGGGAGAGAGGCCCAGAGTAATTGATCTTATAAAATATAAATTCTAAAGCGACATAACTTTATTTCCAATTAGAAATGCTGGATAGAAAAAGAAAATAGCAGTCCTTTGAAATATTTTTAGTGGAAATCTTGAAAATAAAAAATAATAAGAAATGAAACAAAAAACACTTAGGTTTTACATAAAAGAAATTTATATTTTCAGGATCTGTAGTTTCTTAAAATGCCTATGGTCCACTTATTTTAAAGTAGCAATGTATATAACTTTTCTATTAAGACTTCATGTGATGAATGATTTATAGATACAAAATAGTCATTACTCTCCCTTTAAAATCATATTTTCTCTTTCTTATCTAAAATGACATAGATGTGAGGTGGCTACATGAGTTAAATTACCAATGGCATTAGATGCCGTAAGTGGAATAGAGTCTTATTAAACAAATCCATGAGGATCTTTTCCTCTGCACTCTCTAGCCTGCTCCACCAACTCTCTCTGTTGCTTCCCCTTCTCTGCCCTTTCTCAAATCGATTCATTTCTATGCAAATGCTTGCATCTCTGTAAGGAGGATATGTGATAAGAAACCAGGCTTTTTCTATAGACAGACTGTTTATTGAGTAATTTATACATCCTTTACTCAAACAGAAAATCTATGAGTATCATCATTTATTCATTCACAAGGGTGTTTTCCCACCTGAGGCAAGGACACTATTTTAATTTTGCTTTAGAGCTGGTGGGCACATTTCTGTTCTATTATGGTCAGCAGCCCCACTTTGAATATATGTTCCAGGGGCAATCTCCCCTCAGAACCTTCCAAATATTCTTAACTCACAGAATGCCATTAATCTTCCGTGTTTTCTGATTTACCCAATCCTAGCTGTCTTTTCGAAAGTGCAGCCTTCTTGGCTGTTGCAACTCACCTTTATTTCATTAATCTATATTGTACAAGTTAGCACTTAAATGGTTCACTTTTCTTTGTCTTGTAATCTCCCTAAAACAGATAAGAAATTCCTTGAACACAAATAACACTGCTAATGTGCTTTCTGTTCTCAACACTTATTATAATATATTCAGCCCATAATAGATGTCCGTAAAGATTTGCTGAGTTAACATCAGTGGGGTTAATAAGAAAGATAGATTAAAATCAGTGGGTTGGGGGTGAACTTGGTTAAAGGAGGATGAAGACCTGTAGATCTAAATTTGTCAAGTTATATTATCTCATAAACACATGTCTTCAAAGTGTGGAAGTTTCTGGTTGCACCTTGTGATGATTAACTTTATGTATCAGCTTGAGTGGGATATGGGATCCCCAGATTAAACATTGTTTCTGGATGTGTTTGTGAAGGCTTTTTGTGGTGAGATTAGCGTTTGAATGTGTAGACTCTAGTGTTCACCGCCCTCCTCAATATGCTTTGGCATCATCCAATCATTGTAGGGTCTGAATAAGACAAAAGGCAAAGAAAGGATAAATTTCTCCCTTTTTGTCCTGTCTCGCTGTTGAGCTGGAAAATCTAATTTCATCTTCCTCTGGCCTAGGACTGGGATTTACATCATCAGTTCTCTGATTCTCAGGCCTTCAGACTCACACTGAATTATCCCAACAGGTTTCCTGTGTTTCCAGCTTGCAGAGGACAGACTGGAGGACTAACCGGTCCCCATAATTGTGTGAGCCAATTTCTCATAATAAATTTATATATTTTTTTATATACTACATAAATATCATTTAAATATTATGTATAAACACATATAATAAATATATATTAATTTATAATACATAAGATAGATACATGTGTTCTGGAGAACCTAATACAAACATTCTATTAAGATCCTAGAAAGTTGCCAAATAAGAGGCTCAGATGAATTACTAAGATAGATTACATTTCAGTCACAAACTTTCATGCCTTAAAAAATAGCCATGTTTTGGCTTTTGTTCTGTTTTGTCTTTTTTAAAATTGTTTTGTTTTGAATCTCAAATTCTACTACAGTTAATGCTGCTTTCAAATCAATCATTTTCCTTACATATAGATCTACATTTGAAATAACAACAATATACAATTGAACTTGAGGGATAAATGTTATACAGAGATTTTTTAAATCATATATTGGCAAGAATAAAAAAAATTCACTTGCTTTTTTGTTAAGTTTATTTCCACAACTGTTTAGTGCTTAATACAAAAGTACATAATTTTGAATGCTCCGCATTAACTCAAAAAGATGTAAATTTTATCAAATGTTTATAACCTGATGCTTCAAATAGCCAAATTAGAGTATGAGACGGTTTTATTTGGTAGTTACATGTCATATTTAAAAATAGGCTTTCTTTTATTTTCTGTGTTCACTCAGGCTATAGCTACAGAATTCAATGAATTATTACAAATCTAGTAAGATAAACAAGCATTATTATTGTTCCCTCTACACACATTGAGTAGGCACTGGGTATAACAAAGTGAACACAAGAGACGTGGTTCCTTTCTTTGTGGACATTATAATTCTATGGAGAAGATGTATGAATAGCCAATAAAAAAAGAAAAGAATGCACAAAAAGAAAAAAACAAGAAAAAGTAATAGCTAACCAACAACATAATTACACAGTAAATCCATGGAAAGGAGAGTTAGGTGCTGAGAAATTACACAGTGTTTTAGAGATTTATTTTAGAAAGTGACATTTAACCTAAAACTTCAAAGATAAGAATCACCATGTGAAAAAAAAATCCAGATAGAAGAGAGAGAGGAAAAAAAATAAAAGTATCTAAATCAGGGGAGGATTTTATAATATAGGGGAAACAAGGGGGAGTAATGAAAATGATAAGGATGGAGAAATTGGTGGAGGCCAAGTTGTAAGGGGACAATAGAACAGGATAAGTACAATGGGGAGCTGTTAAAATTTTCAAGCAAAAAAAAAGGAAAATATTAATTTAAGTTTTAAAAAGTTTACAAGCTGCTATGTTGAAAGTATTAAAAGGGAATAAGTGTGAAAACGAGGAAGAGTTAAGACACATTGTGTTATCTTAGAGGTAGATAAGAAATAATTCTGACCTGACTTAGGTAAAACAGTGGACATATTTAGTGATAGGAGTTAAAAAATACTTTGGTGGGAGAATTGAAAGAATATGAAAGAAGTAAAGGAAAAGGAGGGATTTGAACAACTAGATGGATGTCTTAAACACCAAAATAGGCACTGTGTTAATTTGGATTATGTTCATTATTAGCAACAGAAACTCATCTCAAATTAGCTCATGCAAAAAAGGGTAATTTATTAGCCCAAGACTATAGATTGTTTCAGGTACTGCTAGATATAAGCCTTTAAGCCAGGTGGATTGTTTTCTGCTTCCCTCTGTGTGTCCCTTTCATTTTCTTAAAGGCTTTCTCCACATGATGGGAACGGTGCCCAGTTACAGTCATCATAAGATTCAGCATCTATAAATCAAATTTTACAGTGGAGCCAAGTAATGCCTTCTAGTTCTACCTCTGTTACACCACTCAATTGACCCCTCCATCAATGTTACATGAATGAAGTGAGTAAATAGTGGAATAAAACTGATGGTCCTGGCCGGGCGTAGTGGCTGGCTCACGCCTGTAATCCTAGCACTTTGGGAGGTGGAGGCGGGCGGATCACGAGGTCAGGAGATCGAGACCATCCTGGCTAACACGGTGAAACTCCGTCTCTACTTCTCTACTAAAAATAAAAAAAAAAAAAAATAGCCGGGCGTGGTGGCGGGCGCCTGTAGTCTCAGCTACTCGGGAGGCTGAGGCAGGAGAATGGCTTGAACCCTGGAGGCGGAGCTTGCAGTGAGCCGAGATTGCACCACTGCACTCCAGCCTGGGCGACAGAGCGAGACTCCATCTCATACAAACAAACAAACAAACAACTGATGGTCCTTTTTGTTTCCTTAATTTTATTCTTTCTTGATTTTCATAGTATCGTTTTTTACTCAGTTCTCTTCATACTTCTGTATATTCCTTTTCTTTATTCTCTTAGAGTCCTTGGCTTACACCTTAAACACTGACTTATTTCCACCTCAACCCACTTCTCTATTGCTCATTCTTAGTATCTTTCCCTGAGCCTACACATCGATTATCACAACTTTAAATTTTCTCATAATTATTCAGAAATTATTCGTTGGATACTACCCAGTACTAGATATTATCCCAGGCACTATGGATATTATTAACAAAATATCTGTTAAAGTATATCTGTCTACCTACTTGTCTATCTACCATCTATCTTTTATCAACTATAGATTGTTAACTGAAAAAAAAAAAGAATTGACACAGAAATCAAAGGAAATGCATTGATTTGCAAAACAAAGAAGGTACACTGAGTTTTAGCAGTCCTGAATAGTGTCCTGTAAGGTAGATACAGGAGAGATTGTTTGTAGCGGATTTTCACAAAAAGTTGTTTTTGGAGTCAGTTTATTGACTGGGCAAAAATCTGAAATTGTAAACCCTTTCAGATTGGTTACTTAATTAGGGTATTCCCAGCTAAGACATACTGATGGCCAGTGGATGCTGATTTCAGCTGTTATCCAAAGCTACTGGAACATTCTGTGGCTTGACCTTCAGCAGGTGTCAGTGCAATTTTCTTCGGACCCCACTTTAAGGCCATTGTCATAATGACTTCATTTTCTTTCACACTGGGCTCCTTTCCCATCATGTGGAGAAAGCCTGTTTACGTCATTTTGTCATCTTCTGACACCTCTCAAATCTATATTCTCGTCCTAAACTCTCTCATGAGAGATTCTATCTCCACCGAGTTTCAGACTGATATATACAACTTCCTGTTGTACATATTTGCTTAAACAACACATAGACACTGCTTAACTCAAAATATCCAAACAAAAATTATCTTCTCTCTTAAACTAATTTATTATTCCTCATCATTTTTCATCTCTACAGTTGATACAACCATCCATTCAGACATCAGGGGGTCTTTCCTTCCTCTCCTCCACTTTAATCAGTCACCGACATTTTAAATCCAAATTAATGTTTGAGTTAATTCAAGCCCCCATCATCTATCAGCTGGTCTATTGCTGTGGTCTTCACACTTACCTCCCTGACTCCAATTTCCTTTCCTTCAAATCAAACTTCCACACCAATGCCAGAAGAGTCCACATAAAACAAAATTTTGATCACCCTAGTACTCCTCTTATAACCATTACAAAAATTCAAGCAACTTATCATGACATAGGTCATCTGACTATGACCTCCCCCTTGCCAATTCTCCTTAAGAATTTAATGTTCAGCATTTACTCTTGACACCCCCTGGGCTTGAAATTTCTTACTTTCCATTGCTCCTTCTTCATCAGATTAATTACTTTTCCTATATCACAGATTCTTTCCAGAAGGCTTTCTTGGAATCTTGAGATTGTATTCCATGTCTCTCCTCTGTGCACCCATTCTCACATTCATTTATTAACTTATACCAACTTTTGCTTACTCTCCTATGTGCTGTACTTGACACACGTTCACATGCTATTTTTCTTGATAGTCAGGAGAGAGAAGAAATCATGTGTGAGCCATGAGAGAAAAGCAAAACATTATTTATCTTCCTCTCTCCAGTAACTAATTTAGTGCTTTACACAACAGATATTTATCAAGTGAGGGAATAATGTCCTTCTTTCTCGAGTCTAAATATTTCAAACCACTATCCATACACATTCCTCATTATAATAATTCATTATAACCTTTACATTTACAAAATGGTTTCACATTTATTATCATGTTCAATCCAAATCACTTTTAAAGGATCATTAATAGGTTTTCACATTCCTGTTTTTAATAACAGGAAAGTTGAAAGATTTATTTAAGGTCAAACAACCAGTGATGGAACTGTAACTTTGGAAAATTCTTTGGACCCCAAACTATATAAATTTTCCCAACATAGCACATTGCCTGCTCACTAGTGTGGTGACCCAATCTCCTCAACTCCTTCTTTCTGAAACGTGCCAGACATGTTTCTAATTCTGGAGAGCCTAACTTAATGAAAACAGACACCTCTGCTCAAGCAAGCTTGACCTTTTCACCCTGAGCGCCAACCTATTTCTAGCTACCTACTTCATGTATCTCTCCTTCGGTTTGCCATATCATTTCAAAAGCCAACGTGTCTAAAATAAAATGTATCATTGCTCTGCTCCCATACCCTATGGCTCCCACCCATACTAGCTTGACCTCCAGATTTTATGATTTCTGTCATTGCTTCTTTGTCTTGGGAATCTGGAAATTAAAGTTACAGCTGTATCTACATATTCATCTCATGAAAATAAACCTCTTTACTGATAAATTGTCATTATTTATTGAGAACCTGCCAGGCTATCATTCATCCCTTCAGGCCCTTACTGAACAAGTTCATTTTAGAGAATTAAATATGGCATACTGAAAATAGTACTCTCCCCCTTGCATAATTTAGATTTAGGCATAAAAATATTTCAGTGACAACCTAAGCTGATAAAAGGTGAAAATCTTTAACAATTAGGAGATTACTTTCATTACCTCAGTTACATTTTTGACTGAAAAGTATATTACTATTATTTTTCTTGTTTTTATTTCATTTAATTTTTTTTGTAATGAGGAGGGCAATGATGCCATCTGTTTTATTTCCATTTATTCTTATTTTTGTTCCATACCTGTCAGTTATTTAGCGGCACTAATGGAACCAGGGCAAAAGAGATTTACCTTTTAGATTCACCAGATTTGGTAGTGGTGGGGTTAACTCTTTCTGCATTTTAACAACTTTCTTGTTATTTTAATATCTGCTTGAAACAATGTAATAAATGAATATGTAATTGTTAAAATTAAAGTATCTAAAAAGGCAAGAAAGTTCAAAATATAAATTAACTACCCACTCAGTAAACCACACCTATATTACATTATTGTGCAAGTGAGGCATAAATATTTTAATCAAATTATTTATCTTAATTGGTCTTTAAACTACATTTTGGAAATGAAATCAGAAAGTTACTTCTGTGAATAAAATTAAAGAAAGAAAGCTGACAATTTTAGGGCTGGGTTTCTAAGAACTTGGATGTGGTCAGCACTGTGATGTGTCATCCAGATGCCATCTGTAGAAGACCTTGTTGCCTCAGCTGCCGGGAAAGCTGTCAAGTAAACAGGCTTTTGCCATCATCCCCTTCAGATACTACATCTGCTGCAGGGTGACCTAAATCACACCCCTTTCTAAGTGTCCCACTCAATGAATGATCAATGGAGGGATGTCCAACTTGGGACAATACTGAAGGGCCATTCTAGCTCCCGAAGATGATTCCCGTAGAAGATTGAGATTGCCTGAGGCTTTATTGGTTCTGCCAACAAAGCTCTGCCCTCTGCATCATAGTTCTGCCCTCTGCCCAATCTTGCCTCCATGCTCTGCTTTCCACAGGTGTTGCTCCCTAATAAATATTCCACATTCTAAACTCTCTCTTACAGTCAGCTTCCTCATCCCTACCCAACCTGAAACACTGGGCTTCAAGAAATCTGTGACTTGTCTAAATTTACATGCAAGTTTTTATTTTAATAGGTATTTGTGCATTTTCCTGGGAGAGGTTCTTCTTGATTGACCTTTATATGAAAAAATATAAGTACTCTTGTTCTAGTGTATTGAGGACCATCTGGTTACCTAGAAATGAAATGCTGTTAGTTTTAGCCTTTGAATTAACTCTGACAAATTCTGCGCCATGACTAATGAAAACTAATCATTCAATGGCTATCCTATTATATGAATGGGCAAAAATAAAACTAAATCAGTGAATGTTTAAAAAGCAAAGAACATCTTGCTAAGGTAAAAAGATAAATGGCTTTATACCATAAACTTTGAAAAAAGAGATGATATTCTTCATGGCCAGGAGACTCAGGTCATCCTTTTCATTTTTATAATTTTTTAAAGGACACACGAAAACACCCAAGGTGATGATACCCTCTGAATTTTTTTTAAAAGATTGTGATGTACTTTGGAAATTGTGTGCATGATTTCTTGCCTAGAGCCCTGCTGAATCTTTTATCAAATTCATAAAAAAATCCCTCAGGATATTTCACAGTGTGAGGGTACACAGTCTCCATCCTGACAGGTCATTATTGCATATCATGCTGGGATTGAGTACGGACTGGAGAGTGGCTGCTCTCCCTGCCTCTTCTGTAAATGTACATAGGATTCAAGCTTTGGAATCTTAAATGTCCACAAGAGCTCAAAGGCTACTTGGTGATTGATCTGCACTACAGGACAGAGCTGACACAAGAATTGCAGTCTAGTTCAGCAGGATTTCACTCAGAGTCCTTGGCAAAAGTCACATTGCATGAGGTTGACCACCATGAGGCTGTGGATACCTGCTGCAAATTTTTATAACTTGACGATAGGTAAGGTTTCATACTTCCCCTTTTAAAATTTTGTAATTAAAAGCAGTTTTTTCAAAAGGAAAAGTTTAACTGCAAAAGAACACATCTACCAGTTCTGACTGAAGAATAGAAACCAACATAAAGTAAATGAAACCATAGGGAGGCATATGGTGTGTGTCTAATTAGTCTGCAGTCTTCTAAGCTGAGATATATCACAGGACAGAGTGTGCTTGGAGCAAAGCTACTTCCTTTCCTTAATGATGGTATACTTCCCAATCATTAAAATATTTAAGCCCTAAAAAATGTTACAGCGCACAATTTATGGTTTCACTTTATATAATTGAGAAGTCACTGGGAAAAAATATGCTTTTTAATTAATGTGTTATAGTAAATTATGTTTTTCCACTGCTAATCTCATTGCAAGAAAATTTAAAACTGCATAAGAATATATAGAAATAAATGAAAATAACTTAGAATCCCACTAGGTACAGAAAGTACCATCTGGACCCCTATGAGTAGACCACCAGATAATCCAAATCCACTGAAAATGTCAAACAAATTTTATTTGTTGTTGAAAGCTATCAATAATTTAAATTGACTAATCTTTCAAGTAAATTAACTAATTTTTTCAGTTACGCCAATACTTTTTTTTTGTTTTATACATGTCAAGCACATAGAAACAAAAATAGTTGGTTCAGAGAACTGCTTTGAGCCAAGATCAAAGGCTTATCAAAATGAAGTAATATAAATGATTCTAAGGGCTTTGGTATAAAATAAGCACTCGAATACAAATCAAATTCTATTAATACTTTAATAATATTAGAAGTTTATTTAAATCTTCGTAGAACATTTTTGTATGCCAGTAATATTTCTTGTCAAGTTTTAATTAATAATCTTGGTCTATTGAGGGAATATGATGACTCTGAGAACATACATATAAAACCGATGAGTCTTGAAAAGTGATGGTCAAATCCTCACTCTATCCAAGATGGCTATATGTTTTATTTCTAATACTGAAGGGGTTTTTAAAAATTTTTGTTTTTGTTTTATAACTTCAGGGATGTTTTTACTTATAGAAATAAATATTCAGAGGTTTATTTTGATCTTTTAAAAATTCAGTGAATTAAATTTATAATTATACATATTTAGTTCATTTTTAATAAGTTCAGGTTACTTGCCTTATTTTAAATATATGTCTAACACATTCTTAAATTATTTTAAGGGTTTTTCAATAATTTCTGGTCTCACAAGCATAATTAAAAACATCTAAACAATATAAACTAAATTAAATATTTAATAATTTATTTTCTTAGGTTTTTGAGTTTTATGACAAATTTCCTGAACACTAAATACTTCTTAAAATTCTAATAAATTAAATTTATAAAGTGAAACTAGACTTATTTTACATATTCTTTTAAAAAGTAAGATTTCAACAAAAAAAAACATAAGCCTAAAATAGTTACACATTAGATATTTTAATTTTAAATCACAGGAATTTAAAAATTGAATGTCTCCTTATGATTTCATTTGGCCAATTCTCTTTAACATTACAGAGCCTAACAGAAAGTATGCTCCTACTTCTTTTTTTCTTTTTTGTAAAAAAGGATCTCACTATGCTGCCCAGGCTGGCATGCAATGGCTATTCACAGTCACATTCATAGTGCACTACAGCCTCAATCTCCTGGGCTCAAGTGATTCTCCCACCCCAGCCTTCTGAGTAGCTGGGACTACAGTAACGCACTACCACACCCAGCTTCCCATTCTTTACTAAAGAATATAATGTTAATGAGTTTGAGTCTTTCACATTTTTTTATATCCAATTCTAAATCTTTCTAAGACTGAAAAATGCCTTCTTCTCTCCCCACTGAGAAATATTTTTGACATTCTTTAAATTTAGAGGGCTAACTTTACAAATTTACCATACAGTTGACCCTTGAACAATGTGGAAGTTAGGGACACTGATCCCCACTCCCCGTGCAGTCCAAAATCCACATAAAACATTTAACTCCCCCAAAACTTAATTACTAATAGCTTATGTTGACTGGAAGCCTTAAGGATAACATAAAGAATCAATTAATGCTTATTTTGTATATTATATGTATTATATTCTGTATTCTTAACATAAAGGTAAGCTAGAGAAAGGAATGTGTTATTAAGAAAATCATACGGAAAAGAAAATGTATTTACTATTTGTTAAGTGAAATTGAATCCTCATAAAATTCATCATCCTTTTTGTCTTTAAGTTGAGTAAGCTGAAGAGGAGGAGGCAGGGGAAGGGTTGGTCTTGCTGTCTCAGGGATGGCAGAGGTAAAAGAAAATAAGTGGACACAGGTAGTTCAAACCCATGTTATCAACTGTATTTATAAATTGTCATGCTATATCTGTGTCTCTAGATTCATTTGCATCTACTCTATATATTGATAGTTCCTACCCAGGTTGACAGCTTGATTAGATTTTGCATTTCATTGTCTTTGGAGATAGATAAATATATTTTCTGTCAAAGGCTAAAGATTTTAAAATTTGAATGGGAACTTCATTATTTCATATGCTTCCCAAGACTATGCAACTGTTTTGGGTATTAAAATATTTGCCTCAGTTTGAAATACCTCTTTGTATATTAGGTCCAACATAAAACATGTTTCCTCAGAAATCAACATTTCCCATGTCTCTGATACTGATGCTATAGGAAGAGAAATAACAAAAGATTGCTGTCAGTATAGCCTTGTCCAGAATATTTGAATAGACTAAAAATTCAAAACATGCAGATTATAGTAGGGAAGTAGGCTCTAAGAGGATAATGCAATTTTTTGAACTGGGATTTGAGAATCTCGGTTTTGGGTGACTAATTTCCGGGAACTATTTAATGCTGCATTGTGATAACATGTATTGAGAGTTATCTGCTGCAGTGGCAGTGGCAGTAAGAGCAGAAAGCATAAAACTAAGGTGGTACGGCTTTTGGAAAGCCTCATAATAATGCCTTCTCTCTATCACAACTGTCACCACTTTTCACATGCATAATAAGAGAATTAGTTGTGGGGTGGGGAGAGCGGGGAGGGATAGCATTAGGAGAAATACCTAATGTAAATGATGAGTTAATGGGTGCAGCACACCAACATGGCACATGTATACATATGTAACAAACCTGCATGCTGTGCACATGTACCCTAGAACTTAAAGTATAATAATTTTAAAAAAATTTTTAAAAAAGAGAATTAGTCCTCACAAATATTCTTCCTTCCATTTTACTTGAAGCACATGGGTCTTTTTGGTATATCTTTTATTTGTCCATTTTTGATAAAAGACAGAAAACTATTCCTCCTCTACCAGAAAAAAAAAATCCATGGTCTATGGAAATAAAGAACTAACAATCTATCTCTGAGTAAAAGGACGCAATAGAACTTTGTGGGATCTGGAGTCACTTAGGAAGTATACAGGGCTTTTATGTTCTGTTAGGAAACTACCACTCAGCTTTAGCCAATTCTTTTCATGTTGGAATACAGACACAACATTTCCAGAAACTCGAATTTTTATTTGAAATTGCACTATAGTAAATTATTTGTTCAAATTCTTAATAAAATATTATTCAGCATAAACCAAATGCTCCAGTAAGATTTATTCAGGCCCCAGGCCACTGGTTTGCCTTTGAGTGTCCTTTAATTCAAAGTGCTACATGCCTTCTAACATGAATTATCTCAGTGCCAGAAGGGTCCACCTGCCTGCTTGAAAAATTTTGTAATAGTCATTTCTGTAAGTTGAGATTGTGGTTTACATGCCTTTTCTGTTAAAACTTAAAGCATCCTCCTTCAGTTAACATAATAAATTATTTAAGCTAACAGAAATAATATTATACCTTATCATGAATAATTGGGTATTATTTTCTGATTGGCTAATTTTACTTTCCCATCCTTCATGGTCCAGAGCAAATGTCTTTTCCATTGTGAAGGGCTTCTAATATAAACATTCCATTTTTTATCTTTCTCTCTATATTCTCAGCACTCTATAAAGTACCTCAACTGTGACAAATTGCCATGAAAGTAACATGCCTTGGTCGGTCTTCTTGTTCAAAAAAGAATAAGAATATGTGAAGCAAATCTGAACCCAACGACAGCTTGGAGCCAAACCAAGCCAAACACAGGCAAAATAATTCTATTTCAGCCAATCTATGATAGGTGACTGAGAAAAAATATTGTATTTTTTGGGTTGTGTGTTATGCAGCAGTATTGTGGCAATAACTACCTAAGACATCTGATTAGAGTCTTATCACAATTATTAAGGGATCGTTTGAGGTCACTATATTCCTGGAGATTAGAGCACTGAAATAAAAGTAAAAATTTTGGCCAGGCACAGTGGCTTATGCCCGTAATCCCAGCACTTTGGAAGGCCGAGGTGGGCAGATCACCTGAGGTCAGGAGTTAAAGACAAGCCTGACCAACATGGAGAAACCCTGTCTGTACTGAAAATACAAAATTAGCCGGGCATGGTGGCGCATGCCTGTAATCCTAGCTACTCAGGATGCTGAGGAAGGAGAATCGCTTGAACCCAGGAGGGGAGGTTGCGGTGAGCCAATATTGCGCCATTGCACTCCAGCCTGGGCAACAAGAGTAAGACTCCATCTCAAAAAGAAAAAAATTAAGAAAAAAATTTTGCTTTTAATAATTTTTCTTGAAACTATTCCTTGTGAAGAAATAACTGCTCATTTTGATCAAATATTTAAGTGATCCTTGAAGCCCATGAGGTTCTTGTTTATTATTCTGAAAGGAATATTTGTGATATAGAAAGAAATATGGCAATCATCATTCACTTTCCAGTTGAACAAACACCTTTAAAAGTATTAATTCTGTTTTATATATATATATATATATATACTTTTAGCCCTTACTCTATACTAAATGTAAAACAAAGAGATCCAGAGATTGTAGGTGGGGAAGAGATCATGAGTTCAATAGGAAAACATCCATGAATGGATTTTAAGTAAACTTTGGCTCTGTTAATATATAGTACAGAATGTTACTAGGTATCATCAGTGGTCAAGTAGCCCCTAAAGGAAAAGTTGGAAATCATCTTCCAGGAAGAATATATAGAAGAGAGGAGGAGAAAACTGAGATAGAACTCTGGATAACACTAACGTTTAAATATAAGACAAAGGAAGAAGAAACCAAAAATGAGAGCAAGGACTGGCCCTAGATTTAGAAGAAATGTTTAGAATAATTGGCATCACAAAAGCCAAAGGAGGAACAAATTTCAATTGGGGTAGTTGGTAGAGTAAAATATTTGAGAAAGTGTGGGCTATATAACAAGGAAAATTATTTATTAGATTTGGCAATTAGGAATTCACAGATAATTTCAATTATAGAAAATTTTAAATGCAGAAAGCAATTAGCCGTGTTACAGTAGATTGAGGACTGGATGGGCTGTTTAATGGAAAAGACTTAATGGATAAAACTTTCCTAGAAGCTTGACTGTGACTGAAACTGGGATTAAAACACATCTATCTGACTCATAATTTTCACATGCTTGCTTATGAGTGTTCTATTAAGCCTTCTTTGTTAAGATACATTGATGAATTCTTAAAATGTTTGTTTTCATTTATTTTATCATTTTGCTTTTTTTAAAGTATTTTTTAAAATTTCAACTTTTATGTTAGATTCAGTGAGTACATGTGCACGTTTGTTACATGGGTACATTTCATTGTGCTAAGTTTTAGGGTACAAATGATCCTATCACCCAGTTAATGAGCATGGTACCTAATAGGTAGATTTCTCAGCCCCTCTTTATCTTCTTCCCCTCCAGTAATTGCTAGTGTCTATTGTTCTCATCTTTCTGTCTATATATACCCAAAGCTTAGCTGCTGTTTATAAATGAGAAGATGTGGTTTTTGGTTTTCTGTTCCTGCATTAATTCGCATAGAATAATGGCCTCCAGTTGCATCTATGTTGCTGCAAAGGTTACAATTTTTTTTTATGGTTGCATACTAAAAATGCATACATTTTTATGGTTGCATGCATATTCCATGATGCATATGTACCATATTTTATTTACTCAGTCCACCATTGATGGACACTCAGGTTGATTCCATGTCTTTGTTACTATGCATAGTGCAGATATAATCAAGTGCATGTGTCTTTTTGGAAGAACTATATATACCCAGTAATGGGATTTCTAGGTTGAAAGTTATATTTTACATTCTTTGAAAAATCTCCAAACTGCTTTCCACAGTGGCAGAACTAATTTACATTTATAAATAATATTTTTTACATTTATAAATTAATATTAAAAAATAAATTTACATTTATTCCAACAGCGTATGTGCATTCTCCTTTCTCTGCAGCCTTGCCAACATCTGTTATTTTTTGACTTTTAATAATAACCATTCTGACTGGTGTGAGATGATATCTCTTTCTGGTTTTGATTTGCATTCTCTGATGATTAGTGATGTTGAGCTTGTTTTTCACGTTTGTTGGCAGCTAGTATGTCTTCTTCTGAGAAGTGTCTGTTCATGTCCTTTATCCACTTTTAAATGAGATTATTAGCTTTTTGCTTGTTGTATTAAGTTTCATGTAGATTCTAAATATTAGACCTTTGTCGTATGCACAATTTGTAAATATTTCCTCTCACTCTATAGGTTGTCTATTTACTCCGTTGATAATTTCTTTTGCTGTGAAAAGCTCTATAGTTTTCTTAAATGATATAATGTAATTTGTCAAAATTAAACACTTACCAAAAAAAACGGTTAGGGCAAATTACATCCACATGCAAAATAACAAGTTTTTACTTCTACTTCATATCATACAAAAAATTTCACTGACAATGGTTCTAAGAACTAAATGAAAGAGATAAAACCATGAAACTCTTAAAACATAATAAAAGCATCAATCTTTGTGAACTTGGATTAGACAATAGTTTCCTAGATATAACATCAAAGACACAAACAACTAAAGAAAATAATAAAAAACTTTGTGCTTCAAAGTTTCAAAGCCATGACAAAAGTGAAAAGATGACCCACAGAATAAGAGAAAATACTTGCAAATCATGTCTGGTCATGGAATTGTATCCAGAATATATAGAGAACACTTACAACTCAATAATAAAAACACAACCCAATTGAAAAATGTGCAAAGGATCTTTTTTTGTTGTTGTTTTTCTTTTTTTTTTTGACACACAGTCTCACTCTGTTGCCCAGGCGGTAGTGCAGTGGTGTGTTCTCGGCTCACTGCAATCCCCACCTCCCGGGTTCCAGCAATTCTCCTGCATCAGCTCCCTGAGTAGCTGGGACTACAGGTGCGTGCCACCACACCCGGCTAATTTTTGTATTTTTAGTAGAAACAGGGTTTCGTCATATTGGCCAGGCTGGTCTCGAACTTCTGACCTCGTGATCTGCCTGCCTCTGCCTCCCAAAGTGCTGGGATTACAGGTGTAAGCCACCGCACCCAGCCGCAAAGGATCTTAAAAGACATTTCTCCAAAGAGGATAAACAAATGGCCAGTAAACAGATGAAAAAAGATGCTCAACATCACTAGCCATCAGGAAAATGCAAATCAAAACCATATGGGAACACCGTATAGTATGCACTAAGATGACTATAATCAAAGCAACGAAATAATAGCAAGTCCTGGCAAAAATGTGGAAAAATTAAAATCCTCATATATTGCTGATGGAGGTAAAATGGCACAGCTGCTTTGGAAAACTGTCTGGAAATTCCTCAAAACATTAAACATAGAGTTACTATATGACTCACTAATTCTAATCCTAGGTATATATTCAAATGAAATAAAAACATATCTACATGTATACAAAAATTTGTTGACAAATGTTCATAACACCACCATTCACAACAGTCAAAAATTGGAAATAAGCCAAATGTTCATCAACTGAAGAATGGAAAAGTAAAATGTGATATATGCACACAATGGGATATTATTTGCCAATAAAATAGTACTGACACATGCAAAAACATGTATGAACCTTAAAAACATTATGCGGGCCAGGCGCAGTGGCTCACGCCTGTAATCCCAGCACTTTGGGAGGCCAAAGTGGGCGGATCACCTGAGGTCAGGAATTTAAGATCAGCCTGACCAACATGGAAAACCCCCGTCTCAACCAAAAATACAAAATTAGATGGGCATGGTGGCGCATGCCTGTTAATTCTAGCTACTTGGGAGGCTGAGGCAGGAGAATCGCTTGAACCCAGGAGGCAGAGGTTGCGGTGAGCTGAGATCGCGTCACTGCACTCCAGCCTGGGCAACAAGAGCAAAACTCCATCTCAAAACAAAAACAAAACAAAACAAAACAAAACAAAACAAAAAGCATTATGCTAAATAAAAGAAGCCAGTCACAAAAGACCACATATTGTGTAATTTCTTATATAGGAGATATCCAGAATAGGCAAATCTGTAAGGACGGAAGGTGGATTAGTGGTTACCTAGGGTTTGTGGTGGGGTGAGATTGGAGAAATGGGGAGTAACTGCTAATAAGTATGGGGTTTCTTTTTGAGTTGATGAAAACATTTCAAAATTGATTATCTTAATGATGATTGTGCAACTCTGTAAATACACTAAAAACCATTAAATTTCACATTTTTAAATGGGTGAATTTTATGGTATATGAAATTATCCCAAAAAAACTTTTATTAAAACAAATTTATAAGTGTACATTTATTTAACATTTGTTACAATAATGCAGTGACTAGGTACTTGTTATACTTTCTTTTTTTTTAACTTTTATTTTAGGATTGAGGGTACATGTGAAGGTTTGTTATATAGGTAAACTTTTGTCATGGGGGTGTGTTGTACCGATTATTTCATTACTCAGGTATTAAGCCTGGTGTCCAATGGTTATTATTTTTCTGCTCCTCTCTCTCCTCCCATCTTCCATCCTCAAGGAGATTCCATATCTGTTGTTCTCCTCTTTGTGTTCATGAGTTGTCATTATTTGCCTCTCACTTATAAATGAGAAAATGTGGTATTTGATTTTCTGTTCCTGAATTAGTTTGATAAGGATAATAACCTCCAGCCCCATCTGTGTTCCTGCAAAAGATATAATCTTTTATTATGACTATGTACCATTCCATAGTGTATATGTACCACATTTTCTTCATTCAGTCTATCATTAATTAACACTTAGATTGATTCCATGTCTTTGCTATTGTGAATAGTGCCGCAATGAACAATTCCATGCATGTGTCTTTATGGTAAAATAATTTGTATTCTTTTGGGCATATACCCAGTAATGGGCTTACTGGGTCAATGGTAGTTCTGCTTTTAGCTCTTTGAGGAATCACCACACTGTTTTCCACAATGGCTGAACTAATTTACATTCCCACCAAAGTGTTTTCTTTTCTCCAAAACCTCACCAGCATCTGTTATTTTTTTACTTTTATCATAGCCATTCTGACTGGTGTAAGATACCATCTCACTGTGGCTTTAATTTGCATGTCTCTAATAATCAGTGATATTTAGCTTTTTTTTATGTTTGTTGGTTGCATGTATGTCTTCACTTGAAAAGTATGTTCATGTCCCATGCCAACTTTCCAATGGGTTTTCTTTTTCTTGTAAATTTAAGATCCTTATAGATGCTGAATATTAGACCTTTGTCAGATGCATATCTTGCAAATATTTTCTCTTATTCTGTAAGTTGTCTGTTTACTCTGTTGATAGTTTCTTTTGCTGTGTAGAAGCTCTTAAGCTTAATCATATCCCATTTGTCAATTTTTGCTTTGGTTGCAATTGCTTTTCGTGTCTTTTTTATGAAATCTTTGCCTGTTCATGTGTTCATGATGGTATTGTCCAGGTTTTCTTGCAGGGTTTTTATAGTTTTGGTTTTAAATTTAAGTCTTTAATCCATCTTGAGTTGATTTTTGTAGATGATGTAATGAAGGAATCCAGCTTCAATCTTCTGCATAACTAGCCAGTTATCTCAGGACCATTTATTGATTAAAGAGTTTTCCCTATTGCTTATTCTTGTCAGCTTTGTCAAAGACAAACTAAAGATGGTGCTTGTTGTAGGTGTGTAGCCTAATTTCTGAGTTCTCTATTCTGTTCCATTTGTCTATGTGCCTGTTTTTGTATGAGTACCATGCTATTTTGGTTACTGTAGCCACGTAGTATAGTTTGAAGTCAGGTATCATGATGCCTCCAGCTTTGTTCTTTTTGCTTAGGATTGCCTTAGCTATTCAGGCTTTTTTTTTTTTGGTACTATATATATTTTAAAATAGTTTTTTTTTTTCTAGTTGTGTGAAGAATGTCATTGGTAGGTTGATAGGAATAGAATTGAAAGTGTAAATTGCTAAGGACGGTATGGACACTTTAATGATATTGATTTTTCTTATCCAAGAGCATGGGATGTTTTTCCATTTGTCGGTGTCTTGTCTGATTTCTTTGAGCAATGTTTTGTAATTCTCATTGTAGAGATCTTTCACCTCCCTGCTTAGTTGTAGTCCTAGGTATTTTATTCTTTTCATGGCAATTGTGAATGGGCTTGCTTTTGTGATTCCTCACTCAGCTTGGCTATTGTTGGTGTATAGGAATGCTAATGATTTTTCTACATTGATTTTGTATCCTAAAACTTTGCTGAAGTTGCTTATTAGCTGAAAGAGCTTTTGGGATGAGACTATGAGCTTCTCTAGATATAGAATCATGCCATCTGCAAACAGGGATAGTTTGACTTTCTCTCTTCTTGTTTGGATGCCCCTAAGTTATTTCTCTTAACTGATTGCTCTGGCTAGGACTTCCGATGCTATGTTGAATAGGAGTGATGAGAGCGGGCATCCTTGCCTTGTGCTGGTTTTTCAGAGAGAATGCTTCCAGCTTTTGCCCATTCAGTATGTTGGCTCTCAGTTTGTCATACATCACTGATATTCTTTTGAGGTATGTTTCTTCAATACTTAGTTTATTGAGAGTTTTTAACATGAAGGGATGTTGAATTTTATCAAAAGCCTTTTCTGCATCTGTTGAGATAATCGTTAGCTTTTTTCTTTAGTTCTGTTTATGGGATGAATCGCATTTATTATTTTGAGACAAAATATATGTTGAGACAAACTTGCATCCTGGGGATGAAGCCTACTTGATTGTGGTAGATTGGCTTTTGGATGTGCTTCTGGATTTGGTTTGCCAGTATTTTGTTGAAGACTTTTGCATTGACGTTCATCGAAGTATTTTGTTGAAGAGTTTTGCTTTGATGTTCATCAAAGATATTGGCCTAAAATTTACCCTTTTTGTGTTTCTCTGCCTGGCTTTGGTATCATGATGATGCTGGCCTCATAGAATGAATTGTGGAGGAGTCCCTCCTCCTCAACTTTTGGAATAGTTTTACTAGGAATGGTACCAGCTCTTCTTTGTGCATATGGTAGAATTTGGTTGTGAATTCATCTTGTCCTGGGCTTTTCTTGGTTGGTAGGCTATTTATTACTGCTTCAATTTCTGAGCTCATTATTGGTCTGTTCAGGGAATGAATTTTTGTCCTGGTTTAGTCTTGGAGGGGTATATGCATCCAGGAATTCATCCTTCTCTTCCAGGTTTTCTAGTTTGTGTGCATAGAGGTGTTCATAGTAGTTTCTGATGGTTATTTTTATTCCTGTGGGGTCAGTGGTAACATTCCCTTCATTATTTCTAATTGTGTTTATTTGGACCTTCTCTACTTTCTTCTTTATTAGCCTGGCTAGCATTTAATCTATCTTATTTTGTTAAAAAAAACACAACTCCTGAATTTGTTGAACTCTTCAGTTTCTTTTTCATGTCTTGATTTCCTTCAGTTAAGCCCTGACTTTGGTTATTTCTTGTCTTCTGCTAGCTTTGGGATTGATTTGCTCTTGCTTCTCTATTTCTTTTAGTTGTGATATTAGGTTGTTAATTTAATATCTTTCTACCTTTTTAATGTGGCATTTAGTGCTGTGAATTCTCATCTTAACACTGTATTAGCTGTGTCCCAGAGATCCTGGCACATTGTGTTTTTGTTCTCATTAGATAAAAAGAACTTCTTGATTTCTGCCTTAATTTCATTATTTACCCAAAAGTCATTCAGGAGTATGTTGTTTAATTTCTATGTAATTGCATGGTTTTGAGCAATTTTTCTAGTATTAACTTCTATTTGTATTTCACTGTGTTCTGAGAGTGTGGTGTTATGATTTTGGTTCTATTATTTGCTAGAGCATTGTTTCCTGTACAATTATGTGGTTCATTTTAGACCACACTCCATGTGGCAATAAGAAGAATGTATATTCCACTGGTTTTGGGTCAATAGTTATACAGAGGTCTGTCATATTCATTTGGTCCAATGGTCAGTTCAGGTCCTGAATATCTGTGTTAACTTTCTGCCTCGATGATCTGTCTAATACTGTCAGTGGAGTGTTAAAGTCTCCCACTGTTATTGTTTGGTTGTCTATGTCTCTTTGTAGGTCTCTAATAATTTGCTTTATGAATCTAGGTGTTCCCATTTTGGTTGCATATGTATTTAGGATAGTTAGATCTTCTTGTTGAATAGAACTTTTACCATTCTGTAATGCCCTTCTTTTTCAGTTTTGATCTTTGTTGGTTTGAAATCAATCTTGTCCAAAATTAGAATTGCAACCCCTGCCTTTTTCTGTTTTCCATTTGCTTGGTAGATTTTCTTCCATCCCTTTATTTTGCTGGTCTTTTTTATTTTTTTTTCACTTTTATTTCTACCTTTGAACAATAAACATTTCAATGGTGGGCCAATATAATTTCTTCCTTTATGAAGACTTTTTTTTTTTCCCTATGTGTGTCATTACATGTGAGATGGGTCTCTTGAAGACATCATACAATGGTATGGGTCTTGCTTTTTATCCAGCTTGCCACTCTGTGCCTTTTAAGTGGGGCATTTAGCCTGTTTACATTCAAAGCAGAGGGAAATTTATAGCACTAAATGCTCACAAGAGAAAGCAGGAAAGATCTAAAATTGACACCCTAACATCACAATTAAAAGAACTAGAGAAGCAAGAGCAAACACATTCAAAAGCTAGCAGAAGGCAAGAAGTAACTAAGATCAGAGCAGAACTGAAGGAAATAGAGACACAAAAAACCCTTCAAAAAATCAATGAATCCAGGAGCTGGTTTTTTGAAAAGATCAACAAAATCGATAGACCACTAGCAAGACTAATAAAGAAGAAAAGAGAGAAGAATCAAATAGACCCAATAAAAAATGGTAAAGGGGATATCACCACTGATCCCACAGAAATACAAACTACCATCAGAGAATACTATAAACACCTCTACGCAAATAAACTAGAAAATCTAGAAGAAATGGATAAATTCCTCGACACATACACCCTCCCAAGACTAAACCAGGAAGAAGTTGAATCTCTGAATAAACCAATAACAGGCTCTGAAATTGAGGCAATCATTAATAGCTTACCAACCAAAAAAAGTCCAGGACCAGATGGATTCACAGCTGAATTCTATCAGAGGTACAAGGAGGAGCTGCTACCATTCCTTCTGAAAGTATTCCAATCAATAGAAAAAGAGGGAATCCTCCCTAACTCATTTTATGAGGCCAGCATCATCCTGATTCCAAAGCCTGGCAGAGACACAACCAAAAAAGAGAATTTTAGACCAATATCCTTGATGAACATTGATGGAAAAATCCTCAATAAAATACTGGCAAACTGAATCCAGCAGCACATCAAAAAGCTTATCCACCATGATCAAGTGGGCTTCATCCCTGGGATGCAAGGCTGGTTCAACATATGAAAATCAATAAACGTAATCCAGCATATAAACAGTAATCCAGCATATAAACAGAACCAAAGACAAAAACCACATGATTATCTCAATAGATGCAGAAAAGGCCTTTGACAAAATTCAACAACCTTCATGCTAAAAACTCTCAATAAATTAGGTATTGATGGGACATATCTCAAAATAATAAGAGCTAGCTATGATAAACCCACAGCTAATATCATACTGAATGGACAAAAACTGGAAGCATTCCCTTTGAAAACTGGCACAAGACAGGGATGCCCTCTCTCACCACTCCTATTCAACAGTGTTGGAAGTTCTGGCCAGGGCAATCAGGCAGGAGAAGGAAATAAAGGGTATTCAATTAGGAAAAGAGGAAGTCAAATTGTCCCTGTTTGCAGATGACATGATTGTATATCTAGAAAACCCCATTGTCACTGCCCAAAATCTCCTTAAACTGATAAGGAACTTCAGCAGAGTCTCAGGATACAAAATCAGTGTGCAAAAATCATAAGCATTCTTATACACCAATAACAGGCAAACAGAGAGCCAAATCATGAGTGAACTCCCATTCACAATTGCTTCAAAGAGAATAAAATACCTAGGAATCCAACTTACAA
Source organism: Homo sapiens (assembly GCF_000001405.40). Lineage (NCBI taxonomy): Eukaryota > Metazoa > Chordata > Mammalia > Primates > Hominidae > Homo > Homo sapiens. The sequence continues at coordinate 103,884,646 of NC_000001.11, read as the reverse complement.
GGGATGTGAATGACCTCTTCAAGGAGAACTACAAACCACTGCTCAATGAAATAAAAGAGGATACAAACAAATGGAGGAACATTCCATGCTCATGGGTAGGAAAAATCAATATCCTGAAAATGGCCATACTGCCCAAGGTAATTTATAGATTCAATGCCATCCCCATCAAGCTACCAATGATTTTCTTCACAGTATTGGAAAAAACTATTTTAAAGTTCATATGGAACCAAAAAAGAGCCCGCATTGCCAAGTCAATCCTAGGCCAAAAGAACAAAGCTGGAGGCATCACGCTACCTGACTTCAAACTATACTACAAGGCGACAGTAAACAAAACAGCATGGTACTGGTACCAAAACAGAGATATAGTCCAATGGAACAGCATAGAGAGCTCAGAAATAATGGCCGCATATCTACAACTATCTGATCTTTGACAAACCTGACAAAAACAAGAAATGGGGAAAGGATTCCCTATTTAATAAATGGTGCTGGGAAAACTGGCTAGCCATATGTAGAAAGCTGAAACTGGATCCCTTCCTTGCACCTTATACAAAAAATAATTCAAGATGGATTAAAGAGTTACATGTTAGACCTAAAACCATAAAAACCCTAGGAGAAAACCGAGGCAATACCATTCAGGACATAGGCATGGGCAAGGACTTCATGTCTAAAACACCAAAAGCAATGGCAACGAAAGCCAAAATTGACAAGTGGGATGTAATTAAACTAAAGAGCTTCTGCACAGCAAAAGAAACCACCATCAGAGTGAAGAGGCAAACTACAGAATGGGAGAAAATTTTTGGCAACCTACTCATCTGACAAATGGCTAATATCCAGAATCTACAATGAACTCAGACAAATTTACAAGAAAAAAACAAACAACCCCATCAAAAAGTGGGCAAAGGATATGAACAGACACTTCTCAAATGAAGACATTTATGCAGCCAAAAAACACATGAAAAAATGCTCATCATCACTGGCCATCAGAGAAATGCAAATCAAAACCACAATGAGATACCATCTCACACCAGTTGGAATGGCAATCATTAAAAAGTCAGGAAATAACAGGTGCTAGAGAGGGTGTGGAGAAATAGAAACACTTTTACACTGTTGGTGGGACTGTAAACTAGTTCAACCATTGTGGAAGTCGGTGTGGTGATTCCTCAGGGATCTAGTACTAGAAATACCATTTGACCCAGCCATCCCATTACTGGGCATATACCCAAAGGACTATAAATCATGCTGCTACAAAGACACATGCACACGTATGTGTATTGTGGCACTATTCACAATAGCAAAGACTTGGAACCAACCCAAATGTCCAACAATGATAGACTGGATTAAGAAAATGTGGCATATATACACCATGGAATACTATGCAGCCATAAAAAATGATGAGTTCATGTCCTTTGTGGGGACATGGATGAAGCTGGAAACCATCATTCTCATCAAACTATCGCAAGGACAAAAAACCAAACACCGCATGTTCTCACTCATAGGTGGGAATTGAACAATGAGAACACATGGACACAGGAAGGGGAACATCACACACTGGGGACTGTTGTGGGGTGGGGGGAGTGGGGAGGGATAGCATTAGGAGATATACCTAATGTTAAATGATGAGTTAATGGGTGCAGCACACCAACATGGCACATGTATACATATGTAACAAACCTGCACATTGTGCACATGTATCCTAAAACTTAAAGTATAATAATTAAAAAAAAAAGTTATTATTCATATGTGTGGATTTGATCCTGTTACTCTGTTTTTAGCTGGTTATTATGCTGGCTTGTTTGTGTGACACAAACAGTGTCACTGGTTTGTGTATTAAAGTGTGCTTTTGTATTAGTTGTTAGCTGTCTTTTCTTTATATATTTAGCTCTCCTTTCAAGACGTCTTTCAAGGCTGGTCTAATAGTAACAAACTGTAAACAGGTGTATATCTGAAAAGGATCTTATTTCTTTTTTGCTTAGGATGTTTAGTTTGACTGGATATGAAAGTATTGGTTGAAGATTTTTTTTTTTTCTTTAAGAATGTTGACTGTAGGCCTCCAATCTCCTCTGCCTTACAGTGTTTCAGCTGAAAGCTTCACTGTTAGCCTAATAGGGCTCTCTTTGTAGGTAACCGGCCCTTTCTGTCTAGCTGCCTTTAACTATTCTTTCTTTCATTTTGACATTGGCAAATCTGATTATGTGTCTTGGGAATTATTGTCTTGTGTAGAATCTTGTAAGAGTTCTCTTAAATCTTTAAACCATCTTGAGTTAATTTTTGTGTATGATGAAATGTGGGGGTCCAGTTTTATTTTTCTAAATATGGCTATTTATTATTAATAAATAGCACCATTTATTGAATAGTGAGTCTTTTTCTTGTTGCTTATTTTTGTTAACTTTGTCAAAGATTAGATGGCTGTAGGTGTGTGGCTTTATTTCTGGGCTCTCTACTGTTTCATTGGTCTATATGTGTGTTTTTGTACCAGTACCATTCTGTTTGGGTTAATGTAGTCTTAAAGTATAGTTTGAAGTCTGGTAATGTCATGCCTCTGGCTTTATTCTTTTTGATTAAGATTTCCTTGCCTATTAGAGGTTTTTGGTAGTTTCATATGAATTTTAGAATAGTTTATTCTAATTTTGTTGACAAATGACCTTTGTAGTTTGATAGGAATAGTATCAAATCTGTGGATTGCTTTGGGCAGTACAGCCATTTTAAAGACATTGATTCTTCCTATTCATGAGCATGCAATGTTTTTCCATTTGTGTGTGTCATCTATGATTTCTTTGAGTAGCGTTTAGTAGTTCTCAGTGTAAAGAGCTTTCGTCTCCTTGCTTAGATGTATTTCTAGGTAATTTTATTTTTTTGTGGCTATTGTAAATGGTATTGCATTCTTGATTTGGCTCTCAGCTTGAATGTTACTGATGTATAAAAATGCTCCTGATTCTTGTACATTGATTTTGTATCCTGAAACTTTGCTGAAGTTGTTTATCAGTTCTAGGAGCCTTTTGTCAGTGTCTTCAAGATTTTTTAGGTATAGAATCATATCATCAGCAAAGAGGGATAATTTGACTCCTTCTTTTCCTATTTGGATGCCTTTTATTGCTTTTTCTTGCCTAATTGCTCTGGCTAGAACTTCCAGTACTGTATTGAATAGGAGTGGTGAGAATGGAGCATCCTTGTCTTGTTCTTGTTCTTAAGGGAAATGCTTCCAGGTTTTGCTCATTCACCATGATGTTGGCTGTGTATTTGTCATAATTGGCTCTTATTTTGAGGTATGTTCCTTCAATACCTTGTTTGTTGACTGTTTTTATAATAAAAGGATGGTGTATTGTATCAAGTGCCTATAAAAAATATTTTTCTATAGGCCAAAATAGTTATTTTAACAAGTTCATAAAATTATCTGAATTATTCATACCTAACAAATCTTATTCAAATTCCTGACTCTACATTTAGTAGATGTGTAATTTATCATAAGTTATTTAAACTTTCTCAGCTTTTATTTCTTAAAATGAAAAATGTGTCTAATATTATCTACCTCATTGATGGTATGTCAGGGTTAGGCAAAATATGAAAGTCCCATAGGACTGGCACAAAGTAGATAATCAATGGTGACTATCATTATTATTGTTATTATTAATATTGCCATAATGCAAAGAAGTTCATGCAATTTATGCTCATGTTTCACACTCAATGTGATTTTTTTTTCTGTAAGAGCAACAGTTAATGTTACAGACACCTAAGCCCAAAGTATAGCTTATTATTTTTTTTTACTTTGAGAAAAGTAGTCAAATTGTCATATTTTCTAAGTCACTCCTTATCACACACACACAGACACATATGCACAAGCACACACACCATTAATACCACCACCCCTTACTCCTAATATCACACAAGTACTCCAGAGAAAAATATAACTTGGGTCCTAAGCAAAAACATTAGTAAAATATGTATCTAGTTATCTTCATATCAGTGTCTTCCACATGTTTAAGATTCAGTCAAATGACATCATAGGATCTGCTGCCTCCCTTGGATATCTCATAGCATTGCCTGCTCTTCTTTTTCCATCAGATCTTTGGTCTACTTAGATACATTTGTTGTGGGACAGATGAAAAATCTCCAATTATCTGATATTTTGCTCTTGTATTAAAATGCTGCTCTGACTCTCATGTCAGTATCTTATCTCTCTTGCCCACTTAAAAGTATGTAGAGTCAAATGAAAAACTGAAAAATTTGCCTAAAAGAAACCGCATCACAAATGATAATTAAGGACATAGTTTCATCCTAACTTTCACTTACTTTTTCCTCCTCTATTTATTTGGTTTTAAAATAGCTATAAGTGATTGGTTTATGAAATACTAAGGAATTTTATATAAAGTTATAACTTTATAAAATATGAATAGTAAAACAATCCTTATTTATTTGGGAATAAAACAAAACAACTAAACACTTAATATTAATTCTTATGTTCTTTAATGCCAACACAAGTTGACAGTGTTTTTATATGTATTAAAATTATTTATTATATTAATCGGATTTTTAAATTTTTATTTTATTATGGTAAGAACACTTGCCATAAGATTTACCCTTTCAAAAAAATTTAAGTACAATACAGTATTGTTAATTATAGGACTAATGTTATACATCAGATCTTTAGAATACATTCATCTTGCAAAACTGATACTCTATGCCCATTGATTAGCAACTCCCAATTTTCCCCTTGCTGCAACCCCTGAACAGCATCATTCTGCTTTCTGATTCTATGAATTTTACTCTTTTAGACACCTTATATACATTGAATTATGCAGTATTTGTTCTTTGGTAACTGGCTTACTTCATTTAGGATAGTGTTCTCAATATTATTGCATATTGCAGAATCTCTTCCTTTTGTGAGGTTGAATAATGTTCTATTTCATGTATATATCACATTTTCTTTATACAGTCATCCATTGATGGAAATTTAGGTCTCCTTCTTTTGTAAGGCTGAATAATATTCTTTTTAATGCACATATCACATTTTCTTTATATAGTCATCCATTGCTGGAAATTTAGGTCTCCTTCTTTCGTAAGGCTGAATAATAGTCTTTTTAATGCATGTATCATATTTTCTTTATATAGTCATCCATTGATGGAAATTTAGATTGCTTCCACAACTTGGCTATTGTGAATAGTGCTGCAATGAACACTGCAGTGCTGATATATCTTTGAGTTTCTGACTTTAATTCTTTTGGATAAATAACCAAAAGTAGAAAGGCTAGATCATGAGGCACTTCTATTTTTTAATTTTTTGAGGAATATCCGTACTATTTTTCATAACAGCTGCACAATTTTACAATCCTACCAACAGTGCACAACTGTTTCAATTTCTTCACATCCTCCTCAATGCTTATTTTCTTTGTGTGTGTATGCTTGTGTAATTGTGTTTTATAAGAGCCATACTAACAAGCATAAAGTGATATCCCATTGATTTTGACTTGTATTTCCCTGATAATTAGTGATGTTGAGCATCTTTTCTTATGTCTGTCAGTCATTTGTGTATCTTCTTTGGAAAAGTATCTATTCAATTATTTAGCCTATTTTAATTAGGTTATTAGTGTTTGGGTGTGGGGGAATGTATTGTGTATGTATGCATATGTTTGCTATTGAGTTGTAGACATTTATTATATATTTCAGAAATTAATTTCTTATTAGGTATATGGTTTGCAAATATTATCTTCCATCACACAGGTTGCCTTTTTACTCTGTTGATTGTTTCCTTGTTGTTATGCAGAAACATTTTAGTATGATATAGTATTGTTTATATTTGCTTTTATGGCCTGTGCTTTTGGTGTCATACCCATGAAGTCATTGCTGAGACCAATACTGTGAAGTTTTTCCCTAAATTTTCTTCCAGGAGTCTTACAATTTTTGGTCCTACATTTAAGATTTTAATCAATTTTGAGTTGATTTTAGTGTATAGTATAAAAATCTATGGTCCGGTGTGGTGGCTCACGCCTGTAATCTCAGCACTTTGGGAGGCTGAGGTGGGCAGATCACTTGAGGTCAGGAGTTTGAGACCAGCCTTACCAACATGGCAAAACCCTGTCTCTACCAAAAAATACAAAAATTACCTGGGTGCAGTGGTGCACATCTATAATCCCAGCTGAGGTGGGAGAATCACTTGAACCCAGGAGGCAGAGGTTGCAGTGAGCTGAGATTGCACCACTGCACTCCAGCCTGAACTACACGGTGAGACTCTGTCTCAAAACAAAACAAAACCCAAAACAAAACAAAACAAAACAAACAAACAAACAAAATTTCCTTTTTTGCATAGGATATCCAGTTTTCCCAGCACCATTATTGAGAGGCTATTCTTTCCCCACTGGATATAATTTCACACACTTGTCCAAGATCAGTTGACCACATGTGTATGGATTGATTTCTGAGATCTCTACTCTGTTCCATCAGTTTATACATCTGTTTTTATGCTAGTCCTATATTGTTTTAATTACGATAATTTTGTAATATACCTTTAAATCAGAAAGTATAATGTATTTAGTTTTGTTATTTTTTCTCAAGGATTTGGCTCTTCAGGATCTTTTGTGGTTCCGTATGAATTTGGGTATTGTCATTTTTCTTTTCCTGTAGAAAATGCCATTGAGATTTTGCCATAATTTTGTTGACTCTAAAGATCACTGTGGATGGCACAAACATTTTAACAATATTAAGTCTTCCAATCCATGAACACAAGATGTCTTTCCATGTATTAGTGTCCAATTTCTTTAATAAATGTAGTTTTCAGAGTACAAGTATTTAATTTTATTTATTATTTCTAAGTTTTTTTTAGTGCTACTGCAAGTGGGATTGCTTTTTTTAATTTCATTTTCAGATATCTCATTGTTAGTATATAGAAATGCAACTAATTTTATGTATGTTCATTTTGTATTCTGCAATTTTACTATATTTGTTTATTAGTTCTAACAATTTATTGGTGGAGTATTTATGGTTTTCTTTGTATAAAATCATGTCATCTGTAAACAAGGATAATTTTACTTCCTTTTCTATTTGAATACCTTTTTTCATTTTTGTTGCCTAATTGCTTTGACCAGGATTTCCAATACTGTGCTGAATAAAAGTGGCAAGAGGGGACATCTTTGTCTTGTTCCTATTTTTGAGGTAAAGCTTTTAATTTTTCACTATTGTGTATGATATTAACTGTGGGCTTTTCATATATGGCATTTGTCAACAGAGCATTTTAAAACACATTTACATAACACTTAGGACAAAGATAAGATTTGAGATTCTCTTAAATTACTTTCTGATTATTACTCTTAAGAAAAGAAATATACATTTTTAAATTTAAAAAATTGAATCAGTTATTTTACTAATGACTTTCCCAGAGGCCAAAGCAAGATTTTTTAAAAAAGAGGACAGGTTCCAACACTAATTTAACCAGAGATTGAAATGAGAGATGTGTTCTGGAAATGGTCTTAGGTTATTAAGTTACTAACAAGTGAGCAGATAGGAGAGCAAGTAGAGTTTTCTGGCATCAGCCATTTCCATTCAATACTATAGTAGTTAAATAGTCTTTCTAAAATCTTCTAAATAGCATTGTCTTGTACTAAGCATTAATGTTTGCATTAGGTTTTTCATTGCTCTATAGCATTACCATAAACTTAGCACCCTAAAATCATGCATTTATTATCTCACAATTTCCATGCATCAGGAGCCTGGGTACAGCTAAACTGGGTGCTCTGCTCAGGCTCTCACCAACTGTAATTCTGATGTCAGTGGAGGCTGTGGTCTCAACAGAGTCTCAACTGTAAATCTCAGATTTCCAACATATTTACAAAATTAAGTCACATTCTTTTTGGTTGATGAAAGTTTTGAAGAATTTATAAAAGCATTCTACAAATGTAAAATATCATAAATGTTTTTATTGTTAATAAGAAGAAATCAGTAAATTCAAACTATTGTGTTTTGAATCATCCAACTTTCTGAATTTGCGTGTGTTTGTTTCTTTTATCATCTTGCTCCTTAGTCATTAAACATTTGCCACCACATTATATTTTCAATCTAATTTCCTACTCTACTTTGAAATTATTCAGGGCACAGAATTTCTATTGTTACTTAGAAAGATATTTAGCACTCTAACAGACCTCATACTTAGGAATTTTTTCTTCCATATTCTACCTGGTTTTTCCCTTGCTCTGTCTTATCTCATTACCTCTCCATTTCTTCCAGCAGTATCACATTGCAAGATTTTATCTAATCTTCAATGCACTGGCTTCTCCTCATCTTTTTTTTTTTTTTAAGTTCTGCTCCTTATCAAGCAGTTCCTTCCCATAAACTTATGTTGTTTTAAAAACTATGTGCCAGGTGTATGGTACTAACTTGCAATACTTTCAGATGAATCTTGTTTAATTTTCTTTTTAACCTTTCTTTAAATTTACAGAACAACACATGTTCAAAATGCATTGAACAGCAGGAGGAAAACACTTTTTTGTGAGAGAAGAATGGAAAAGTACATATACAGACTATTATATTCATAAATGTAGTGCTGCTTGTCTACAGGTGGTTGTCTGCAGGTGATTAACAACAGGAAGGCACTAGAAAGTAATGGAAATTAGTTCACTCAGCACAAGAGGAAACATTTAGCCTTTTAGATATACTATAGGAAGAATCTCTCAATGGATAGTCTTGCAAGCTGTAATTCTAAACAGCAAAACAAAATTAAACATCACAGGTGTTGAATCAATGCCCTACTTCATTCATCCAAATTCTAAACCCTAAGAGGAATAAGACTAACACTAATTCTTAAAACCCCAAAGTTCCTTTTAGAATTTTTAAACATCGAGAAGAGTATTCCCTTGTAGAATAAGAACACTTCCTAAGTTTTTTCTGAAGTCTATTTTATCTAGTATTAGCTTTGCAAAATGCCTTTATGCATGTACATTTTAAATATTTTTTAATTTTTTTAACTTAATAAATTGCTATTTGATATTATTTCTTTTTGTTTAAGTCTTAATGTTTTTTCAGATGACAGTAATAATCAAAAGTAAATTATATCTCATTTGTTATAATAGCAAGGGTTTTAATATAATGACTGGTGTGAGAAATCAGGTAAAGAGATCAAAATTTGAAGAAATACAGGCACACCTCATTTTAATGCACCTCACTTTATTATAATTCACTGATATTGTGCTTTTTACAAATTGAAGGTTTGTGGCAACGCTTTGTCAAGCAAGTCTATCAACATCATTTTCCAACAGCATGTGTTCACTTCATGTCTCTGTGCCATGTTTTAATAATTATCTCAATATTCCAAGTTTTTCACTATTATTATATATGATATGGTAATCTGTGATCAGTGACCTTCGATGTTACTATTTTAATTATTTTGGGGAATCACAAATTGTGCCCATATAAAATGACCGACTTAATCAATAGATGTTGTGTGTGTTACAACTGCTTCGCCAATTGGCTCTTCCCCTGTCTCTCTTCCTTCAGCCTCCCTATTCCCTGAGATACAACAACTTTGAAATTAGGGCAAAAAATAACCACACAATGGCCTTAAAGTGTTTGAGTGAAAGAAAGAGTCACATATCTCTCATTTTAAATGAAAAGCTAGACATGAGTAAGCAAAGTGAAGAAAACAAGTTGAAAGACAAGATAGGGCTGAAAACTAGGCTTCTTTTACCAACAGGTTAGCCAAATTGTGAATAAGAAGGAAAAGTTCTTGAAGGAAATTAAAGGTGCTAATCCAGTGAACACATGAATGACATAAAAGAAAAAAAAGTTATTTTTGATATGGAGAAAGTTTTAGTGATCTAGATAGAAGAACAAATTAGCAGCTGGGTGCGGTGGCTCAGGCCTGTAATCCCAGCACTTTGGGAGGCTGAGGTGGGCGGATCACAAGGTCAGGAGATCGATACCATCCTGGCTAACACAGTGAAACTCTATCTCTACTAAAAATACAAAAAATTAGCCGGGCATGGTGGTGGGTGCCTGTAGTCCCAGCTACTCAGGAGGCTGAGGCAGGAGAATGGTGTGAACCTGGGAGGCGGAGCTTGCAGTGAGTCACTGCACTCCAGACTTGGCAACAGAGCAAGAATCCATCAAAAAAAAAAACAAAAAACACAACAAATTAGCTGAAACGTGCTCTTAAGCCAAAGCATAATCAAGAGCATAATCATATAAAGAATGAGAGGGATCAGGAAGCTACAGAAGTGAAGTCTGAAACTAACAGAGGTTACAGGAAAAAAGTAATCTTCGTGCAAAATGAATCCAGACACAAGAAAGAATTTTCACAGATAGCTTGTTTCCAGTTTTAATCATGGGATATTCAGTTTTTCACTATAGGCTTCAATGGACTCAGAAATGTTCCTTTGTAGTTTCTACAAAAAGAGTAATTCCAACTTGGTGAATCAAAACACAGGTTTAACTCTGTGAGATGAATCTACACATCTCAAAGAATTCTCACAGATAGCTTGTTTCTAGTTATAATTGTGGGATATTTGGTTTTTCAGCATAGGCATCAACAATCTCAGAAATGTCCCTTCTTAGATTCTACAAAAAGAGTGTTTCCAACCTTGTTAATCAAATCACAGGTTAAACTCTGAGAAGATTCCACGCATTACAAAGCATTTACATAAATAGCTTCTTTTTAGTTTTTTATCAAGAGATACTCGGTTTTTCACTGTAGGCTTCAGTGGGCTCAGAAATGTCCCTTTGTCGATTCTACAGAGTGTTTCCAACCTGGTGAATCAAAACACAGGTTCCATTCTATGAGATGAATCAACACATCACAAAGCATTTCCACAGATAGCTTGTTTCTAGTTTTTAATCACAGAATATTTGGTTTTCCAATATAAGCAAAAATGGACACAGAAATGTCCCCTCATAGATTCTACAAAGAGAATGATTCTAACCTGGTGAATGAAAACACAGGTTCCATTCTGGGAGATGAATCAACACATCTCAAAGCATTTTCACAAATAGTTTGTTTCTAGTTTTTATCGCAGGTTATTCGGGTTTTCACTATAGGCCTCAATGAGCTCAGAAATGTCTCTTCGTAAATTCTACAAAAAGACTGTTTCCAACCTGCTGTATCAAAACACAAGTTCCATTCTGTGAGATGAATCCACATATCACAAAGTATTTTCACAGATAGCTTGTTTCTAGTTTTTATGCGGGATATTAGGTTTTTCACTATAGGCATCAATGGGCTCAATATTGTCCAGTTGTAGATTCTACAAAAAGAGGGCTTCCAACTTGGTTAATCAAAACACAGGTTCCATCCTTTGAAATGAATCCACACATCACAAAGCATTTTCACAGATAGTTTGTTTCCAGTTTTTATTGCAGGATATTCAGTTTTTCACCATAGGCTTTAATGGCCTCAGAAATGTCTGTTCGTACATTCTACAAAGTGAGTTTTTCCAAAAGGTGGTTAATCAAAACACACATTACATTCTTTGAAATGAATCCACACATCACAAAGCATTTTCACGGATAGCTTATTTCCAGTTTTTATCGTGGGATATTGGGTTTTTCACTATACGCTCAATGGCCTCAGAAATGTCTGTTCATATATTCTACAAAATGAGTTTTTCCAAGGTGGTTAATCAAAACACAGGTTACATTCTATGAGATGAATCCACACACAACAAGGCATTTTCACAGATAGCTTGTTTCTAGTTTTTAGCATGAGATATTGAGTTTTTCACTAAAGGCATCAGTGGGCCCAGAAATGGTCTTTCGTACATTGTTCAAAATGAGAGTTTCCAACCATCTGAATCAAAACACAGGTTTCCTTCTGGGTGATGAATCCAGACATCACAAAGCATTTTCACAGAAAGTTTGTTTCTAGTTTTTATCAAGGGATATTCACTTTTTCACTTTAAGCATACATTGGCTCTGAAATGTTCATTGTATATTCTACAAAAAGAGTGTTTCCAACCTGATAAATCAAAACACAGGTTCTTTTCTGTTAGCTGAACCCACACAACACAAAACGTTTTCACAATAGCTTACTTTTGTTTTTTATCACGGGATATTCTGTTCTTCATTATAGGCATCATTGGGCTCAGAAATATTCCTTTTTATAATCCACAAAAAGAGTGTTTCCAACCTGGTGAATAAAAACATAGGTTCCATTCAGTGACATGAATCCACACATCAGAAAGTATTTTCTCATATTGCTTGTTTCTAGTTTTTATGCAAGATACTCAGTTTTTCACTATAGAGGTCAATGGGCTCAGAAATGTCCCTTCGTATATTCTACAAATAGAGCATCTCCAACCTGGTGAATCAAAACACAGGTTCCATTCTGTGAGGCAAATCCACACATCACAAAACACTTTCACAGATAGCTTGTTTCTAGTTTTTATTGTGGGATAATCAGTTTTTTACCATAGGCATCAATGTGATAAAAAATGTTCATTTGTAGATTCTACAAAAAGAGTGTTTTCACTTGGTTTATTAAAACACAGTTTCCATTAAGAGAGACAAATCCACACATCGCAAAGCCAGTTTCACAAATAGGTTGTGTCTAGTTTTTATCACAGGATATTTGATTTTTCACTATAGGCATCAATGGGCTCAAAAATATCCTTTCATAGATTCTACAAAAAGAGTGTTTCCGACCTAGTGAATCATAACACAGGTTCAATTCTGTGAGCTGAATCCACCCATCACAAAGCATTTTCATATATAGCTTGTTTCTAGTTTTTATCAAGGGATATTCGGTTTTTCACTATAGGCATGAATGCACTCAGAAAAGTCCCTTCTTATACTCTACGAAAAGAATGTTTTCAACCTGGTTTATCAAAACACAGATTCCATTCAGTGAGATATATCCACACATCACAAATTATTTTGACAGATAGCTTGTTTCTAGTTTTTAGAGTGGAATATTCGTTCTTTTACTATAGTCACCAAAGGGCTCAGAAATATTCCTTTGTATATTCCAGAAAAAGAATGTTTCCAACCTGGTGAATAAAAACACAGGTTCCATTCTGTAAGATGACTCCACACATTACAAAGAATTTTCACACATAGCTTGCTTCTAGTTTTTATGCAGAATATTGGATTTTTCACAAAGGCGCCAATGTGCTCAGAAATGTCCATTCATAGATTCTACAAAAATAGTGTTTCCAACCTGGTGAATCAAAACACAGTTTCCAACCTGTGAGATGAATTTACACACCACAAAGCATTTTCACATAAAGCTTTTTGCTTGTTTTTATTCAAATGTTAGGTTTTTCACTATAGGCATCCATGGACTCAGAGTTGTCCTGTCGTACATTCTACAAAAAGAGATTTTCCAACGTGGTGAATCAAAACACAGGTTATGTTCTGTGAGATGAATCCATACACAACAAGGCGTTTTCACAGGTAGTTTGTTTTTAGTTTTTATCAAGAGATGTTCAGTTTTTCACTATAGGTGTCAATGGGCTCACAAATGTCCATTGTACATTCTCCTAAATGAGTGTTTTTAACCTACTGAATCAAAACACAGGTTTTATTCTGTGAGATAAACTCAAACATCACAAAGCATTTTCACAGAAAGCTTATTTCTAGTTTATGTTGTGGGATATTCGGTTTTTGACTCTAAGAATAAATAGACTCAGAAATGTCCCACCATGCATTCTACAAAAAAAGTGTTTCCAACCTGGTAAATCAAAACACAGGTTCCCTTCTGTGAGATGAATCTGCATATCGCAAAATATTTTCATGGATAGCTTGTTCTTAGTTTGTATTGTAAGATATTCAGTTTTCCACTATATGCATCAACGGGCTCAGAAATGTCCCTTTGTACATTTTACAATAAGAGTCTTTCCAACCTGGTGGATCAAAACACAGGTTCCATTCTGTGAGATGAATCCACAAATCACTAAGCATTCTCACAGATAGCTCGCTTTTTGTATTTTATGAGGTTTTTCACTATAGGCATCAATGGGTTCAGAGTTTTCTCTTCATAGATTCCACCAAAACAGTGTGTCCAACCTGGTGAATCAAAACACAGGTTCCATTCTGTGACATTAATCCACACATCACAAAACATTTTCACAGATAGTGTGTTTCTAGTTTTTATCACAGTATATTCAGTTTTTCACTATAAGTGTAAATGGGCTCAGAGTTGTCCATTCACACATTCTACAAAAAGAGTTGAATCCACACGTCACAAAGATTTTCACAGATAGCTTTTTTCTAGTTTTATCACAGGATATTCGGATTTTCACTATAGGTTTCAATGGGCTGGGAAATGTCCCTTTCGTGGATTCTATAAAAAGACTGTTTCCTACCTGATGAACCAAAAACCAGGATCCATTTTATGAGATGAATCGTCACATCAGAAAACATTTTCACAGTTAGGTTGTTTCCAGTTTTTATGGTGGGATATTCGGTTTTGCACCATAGGCATAAATAGACTCAGAAATGCCCATTCGTAGATTCTACAAAAAAAGTGTTTCCAACCTGTTGAATCAACACAGAGGTTTCATTCTGGCAGATGAGTCCTAACATCACAAAGCATTTTAAAATATAGCTTGTTTATATTTTTTATACAGGATATTCCATTTTCACTATAGGCAATAAAGGGCTCAGAAATGCCCGTTTCTGGATTCTACAAACAGAGTATTTCCAACCTGCTAAGTCAAAATACAGGTTCCATTCTGTGAGATGAATCCACACATCAGAAAGCATTTCCACAGATACCTTGTTTCTAGTTTTTATTGTGAGATATTCGGTTTTTCACTGTGGGTTTCAATGGGCTCAGAAATGTCACTTTGCATATTCTATGAAAAGAATGTTTCCAACCTGGTGAATCAAAACATAGGTACAATTCCGTGAGATAAATCCACACATCATGAAGTATTTTCCCATGTGGCTTGTGTTTAGTTTTCATGAGCGATATTCCGTTTTTCGCTATAGGCCTCAATGGAGTCAGAAATGTCTTTTTGTATACACTGCAAAAAGAGCATTTTTAACCTGATGAATCAAAACACAGGTTCCATTCTGTGAAATGAATCCACACATCACAAAGCATTTTCACATATAGCTTGTTTCTAGTTTTTATCATGGGATATTCCATTTTTCACTTTAGGTTACTGTGGGCTCTGAAATGTCCATTTGTACGTTCAACAAAAAGAGTGTTTCCAATGGGGTGAATCCAAATGGAGTTTCCATTCTGTAAGGTAAGTCCACTCATCACAAAGCATTTTCAAATATCACTTGTTTCTAGTTTTATGCAGGATATTCAGTTGTTCACTATAGGTGAGAAAAGCTCAGAAATGTCTGTTCTTAGATCTTACAAAAACAGTGTTTCCAACCCAGTGAATAAAAACACAGGTTTCATTCTGTGAGATAAATAAACACATCACAAGAATTTTCACCAACAGCTTGTATCTAGATTTGATTGCAGGATATTTGGTTTTTCTCCACAGGCCTCAAAGGGCTCAGAGTTGTCCAGTCGTGGATTCTACAAAAAGACTGTTTCCAATCTGGTGAATCAAAAAACAGGCTACATTTGGTGGGACTAATCTACTCATGACAAAGCATTTTCACAGATATATTGTTTCCACTTTTTATCGCAGGATATTTTGTTTCTCACTATAGGCATCAATGGCCTCAGAAACCCAGCCATAGATTCTACAAAACAGTGCTTCCAACCTGCAGAATCAAAACACTGGTTCTATTCTGTGAGAGAATCCACATATCACTAAGAATTTTCACATATAGCTTCTTCTAGTTTCTATGTGGGATAATTTGTTTTCACTATAGGCATCAAAGGGCTCAGATATGTCCGTTTGTAGATTCTACAAAAGGAGTGTTTCCAACCTGGTGAATCAAAACATATGTTGCATTCTGTGAGAAGAATGCACTCATCATAAAGCATTTTCACAGATAGCTTGTTTCTAGTTTTAATGCGAAATATTAAGTTTTTCACTGTAAGCATCAATGGGCTCAGAAACGTTTGGTTGTAGATTCTACAAAAAAACAAAAGTGCTGAATCAAAACGTTGGTTCAATTCTGTGAGATGACTCCACATATCACAAAGCATTTTCAAATATAGCTTGTTTCTAGTTTTTATGCAGGATATTCTATTTTTCACTACAGGTGACAAAAGGCTCAGAAATGTTTGTTCCTAGATTCTACAAAAAGAGTGTTTCCAACTTGGTAAATTAAAATGTAGGTTTCATTCTGTGAGGTGAATCCACACATCACAAACCATTACTACAGATAGCTTGTTTCTAGTTTTTATCACGAGATATTCATTTTCTCACTATAGGCATCAATGGGCTCAGAAGTGCCCTTCCATAGATTCTACAAAAAAAAAAAAGTGTTTACAATTTGGTGAATCAAAACAGAGGTTCCATTCTGCGAGATGAATCCACACATCACAAAGCATTTTCAGATATAGCTTGTTTCTAGTTTTTATGCAAGATATTCAATTTTCACTATAAACAACAAAGGGCTCAGAAATGGCCATTTGTAGATTCTACAAAAAGAATGTTTCCAATCTGCTAAATCAAAATACAGATTCCATTCTGAGAGAAGAATCCATAAATCACAAAGCATTTTCACAGATACTTTTTTTCTAGTTTATATCCAGAGATATTCGATTATTCACTGTGGGCTTCAATGGGCTCAGAAATATCCCTTTGTATATTCTACAAAAAGAGTGTTTCCAACTTGGTAAATCAAAACACAGGTTCCATTATATAAGGTGAATCCACACATCATGAAGTATTTTCCCACATAGCTTGTTTCTAGTTTTTAATCACAGGATATTCGGTTTTTCACTACAGGTGAATATGGCCTCAGAAATATCCATTTGTAGATTCTACAAAAAGACTATTTCTACCATGGTGAACCAAAAAACACAGGCTACATTCCATGGGGCTAATCCACTTATTACAAAGCATTTTCATACATAGATTGTTTCCAGTTTTTATCGCGGGACATTGGATTTTTCACTATAGGAGTCAAAGGGCTCAGGAATGCTTGTTCGTATATTCTACAAAAATAGTGTTTTTAATTTGGTAAGTCAAAATAAATGTTCCACTCTGTGAGATGAATGCACACATCACAAAGCATTTTAAAAAATAGCTTGTTTCTGGTTTTTATACAGGATATTCAATTTTTCACCACAGCTGACAAAGAGCTCAAAAATGTCTGTTCATCAATTTTACAAAAAGAGTGTTTCTAACCTACTCAATTCAAACACAGATACCATTCTGTGAGATGAATTCACATATCACACAGCATTTTCACAGATAGCTTGTTTCTAGTTTTATCGCAGGATATTCAGTTTTTCACTGTAGGCAAAAATGGTATCAGAAATGTGGCTTCGCATATTGTAGAAAAAAAGTTTTCCCAACCTGTTGGATCACAACATAGGTGAAATTATGTGAGATGAATCCACACATCACAATTCATTTTCACAAA
Organism: Homo sapiens; assembly: GCF_000001405.40. Lineage (NCBI taxonomy): Eukaryota > Metazoa > Chordata > Mammalia > Primates > Hominidae > Homo > Homo sapiens. The sequence goes on along the minus strand of NC_000001.11, from coordinate 103,867,225 downwards.
AACCTTGTTTCTAGTTTTTATTGTGAGATATTCAGTTATTTACTATGGGCTTTAATGGGCTCAGGAATGTCCCTTTGTATATTCTACAAAAAAGTGTTTCTAACCTGGAGAAGCAAAGCACAGGCTCCATTCCTTCAGATGAATCCACACATCAGGAAGTATTTTGCCATGTTGCTTGTTTCTAGTTTATATGCGGGATATTTGGTTTTTCACTATAGGCCTCTATGGGCTCAGAAACATCTCTTCATATATACAACAAAAAAAGTGTTTCCAAGCTGGTGAATCAAAACACAGTTTCCATTCTGTGAGATGAATCTGCACATCACAAAGCCTTTTAACCAATAGATTATTTCTAGATTTTATCTCAGCATATTAGGTTTTTCAGTACAGGCACCAATAAGCTCAGAAATATCACTTTGTAGATCCTACAAAAAGAGTATTTCCAACGTGGTTAATCTAAACACAAGTTACATTCTGCAATATGAATACTCACATCACAAAGCGTTTTCTTAGATAGCTTTTTTCTAGCTTTAATCGCGGGATATTTGGTTTTTCACTGTAGGCGTCAAAGGGTGTAGCATTGTCCAGTCTGTTTCCAACTTGGTGATCCAAAACCAGGCCCCATTTGGTGAGATGAACCCATACATGACAAAACATTTTCACAGATAGGTTGTGTCCAGTTTTTATCATGGGATATTCAGTTTTTCACTATAGACATCAAAGGGCTCAGAATTGTATGGTTATAGATTCCACAAAAAAAAAAAAAAAAAAAAAAAAAAAAAAAAAAAAAGAAAGAAAAAAGTGTTTCCAAGTTGGTGAAACAAAAATCTGGCTCTATTTGGTGAGATGAATCCACAGATGACAAAGCATTTTCACAGATAGTTTTTGTCTAGTTTCTATTGCAAGATATTTGGTGTTTCACTATAGGCATCAAAAGGTGCAGAGTTGTCCCAGTCGTAATTCTAAAAAAAGACTGTTTACAACCTGGTGAACCCAACAAGGATTTATTTAGTGAGATGAATCCACTCATGACAAAACATTTTCACAGACGGGTTGTTTCCAGTTTTTATCGTGGTATATTTGGTTTTTCACTACAGGCATCAATGGGCTCAGAAATGTCTTTTCGTATATACTACAAAAAGAGTGTTTCCAACTTGTTGAATCAAAACACAGGTTGCATTCTGTGGGATGAATCCACTCATCACAAAGCATTTTCACAGCTTGTTTCTAGTTTTTACAGCAGGATATTCAGTTTTTTGTACGGGCTCAGAAACACTTATTCGTAGATTCTACAAAAGAAGTGTTTCCAACCTGGTGAATCAAAACGGAGGTTACATTTTGTGAGATAAATCCACACATCACAAAACATTTTCACAGATACCTTGTTTCTAGTTCTTATGATGGATATTTGGTTTTTCACTATGGGCCCAGTGGTAATGGAAGTGTTGCTTCATATATTCTATCAATAGAGTATTTCCAACCTGGTGAACCAAAACTCATGTTCCATTCTGTGAGGTGAATATGCACAGTACAAAGCATTTTCTCAGATAGGTAGTTTCTAGTTTTTATCACGAGATATTCAGTTTTTCACTCTAGGCCTCAATTGCCTCAGAAATGTCCCTTTGTATATTCTACAAAAAGTGTGATCCACCCTGGTGAATCAAAACACAGGTTCCATTCTGTGAATTGAATCCACACATCACAAAGTATTTTCACATATAGCTTGTTACTAGTTTCTATGCAGAATACTCCATTTTTCACTGTAGTCATCAATGGGCTCAGAAATATTGGTTCGTACATTCTAAAAAAAGAGTGTTTCCAACCTGGTGAATCAAAACAGAGGTTCCATTCTGTGAGATGAATCCACACAACACAAAACATTTTCTCATATAGCTTGTTTTTAGTTTTTATTGTGGGATATTCAATTTTTTACTATAGATGTCAATGGGCTCAGAAATGTACCTTTGTACAAACAAAAAGAGTGTTCCCAACCTGGTGAATCAAAACACGGGTTCCATTCTGTGAAAACAATCTACATGTAAGAAAGCATTTTCACAGATATGTTGTTTCTAGTCTTAATGCAGGGTATTCGGTTTTTCACTATAGGCATCAATGGGCTCAGAAATGTCCAGTCGTTGCTTCTACAAAAAGAGTGCTTTCAACTTGGTAAACCAAAACACAGGTTCCATTTTATTATATGAATCCACAAATCTAGAAGTATTTTCACATATAACTTGTTTCTAGTTTCATGTGGCATATCTGGTTTTTCACTATAGGCACCAGAAAGCTCAGAAATGTCCATTTTTAGATTCTACAAAGAGTATTTCCAACCTGCTTAATCGAAACATAGGTTATATTTTGTTAGATGAATCCACACATCACAAAGCATTGTCACAGATAGCTTGTTTCCAGTTTTTATCATGGGATTTTTGGTTTTTCACAATAGGGGTGAAAGGGCTCAGAAATGTCCGGTGGTAGAGTTTGCAAAGAGTGCTTACAACCTGGTAAATTAAAACACAGGATTTATTCTATGAAATGAATCCATGCATCACATAGTGTTTTTACAGATAGCTTGTTTCTAGTTTTTATCAGGGGATATTCTGTCTTTCAATATAGGCATCAATGGGCTCAGAAATGCCCCTTTGTAGATTCTACAAAAAGAGTGTTTCTAACCTGGGCAATCAAAATAGAGGTTCCATTCTGTGAGATGAATCAACATAGCACAAAGCATTTTCAAATATAGCTTGTTTCTAGTTTTTATGCAGGATATTCCATTTTCACTATAGGTGACAAAGGACTCAGAAATGTTCATTTGTAGACTCTACAAAAAAGTGTTTCCAACCTGCTAAATGAAAACACAGATTCCATTCTTTGGGATGAATCCGTACAGCACAAAGCATTTTCTAGTCTAGTTTTTTGTGTCTAGTTTTTTTGTGTCTAGTTTTTATTGCAAGATATTCAGTTATTCACTATGCGCTACAATGGGCTGAGAATGTCCCTTTGTATATTCTACAAAAACAGTGTTTCCAACCTGGTGAATCAAAACACAGGTTTCTTTCCATGAGATGAATTCAAATATCATGCAGCATTTTCCCATGTGGCTTGTTTTTAATTTTTGGGGGGATTTTCGTTTTTTTGCTGTGAGTGTCAATGGGCTCAGAAATGTTCCTTCATATATTTTATAAAGAGAGTGTGTTTCCAGCCTGGTGAATCAAAACAGTTTCCATTCTGTGAAATGAATCCACACATCCAGAGCATTTTCACGTGTAGCTTGTGTCTAGTTTTAATGCAGGATATTAAGTTTTTTTACTGTAAGCGTCAATGGACTCAGAAATGTCTGTCTGTACATTCTACAAATAGAGCGTTTCCAACCTCCTGAATCAAAATACAGGTTTCCTTCTGTGAAGTGAATGTACACATCACAAAACATTATTATCAATAGGTTGTTTTTAGTGATTTTTGTGGGATATTCGGTTTTTCACTCTAGGCCTCAATGGGCTCAGAAATGTCCCTTCGTATCTTCTACAAAAAGGGTGTTTCCAACTTGCTGAATTAAGTCACATTTTCCATTTTGTGAGATGAATCCACACATCACAAAGCATTTTCACAGTAGCTTGTTTCTAGATTTTATCATGGGATATTCGGTTTTTCACCGTAAGCATCAATGGGCTCAGAAATGACCCTTTATATATTCCACAAAAAGAGTGACTCCAACCTGGTGAATTGAAACTCAGGTTCCCTTCTGTAATATGAATCTACACATCAGAAAGCATTTTCACATACAGCTTGTTTCTAGATTTAATGTGGGATTTTCAGTTTTTCAACAATGGGCTCAAAAATATCTGGTCACAGATTCTACAAAAAGAGTGCTTCCAAGCTGGTGAATCAAAAAGTTTTATTCTGTGAGATTAATTCACTCATTACAAAGTATTTTCAAATATAGCTTGTTTCTAGTTTTTATGCAGTATGTATTTTCTTTTTACTATAGGCATCAGAAATGTGAGAAATGTCCATTCATAGACTCTACAAAAAAAGTGTTTCCAATCTGCTAAATCAAAACACAAGTTTCATTCTGTAAAATGGATCCACACATCACAATGCATTTTCGCGTATAGCTTGTTTCTAGTTTTTTAGGCAGGATATTCAGTTTTTCACCAGAGGCATCAATGGTCTCAGAAATGTCCATTCATAAATTTAGCAAAAAGAGAGTTTCAAACCTGCTAAATAAAACACAGGTTCCATTCTGTGAGATGAATCACAAAGCATTTTCACAGCTGTCTTGTTTCTAGTTTTTGTTGTGAAATATTTGGTTTTTCACTATAGGCCTCAATGAACTCAGAAATGTCTCTTCATATATTCTACAAAAAGAGTGTTTCCAACCTGGTGAATAAAAACACAGATTCCATTCTGTGAGATGAATCCACACATCACAGTGCATTTTCATACATAGCTTGTTTCTAGATTTTATCACAGGATAATAGGTTTTTTACTACAGGCATCAAAGAGCTCAGAGTTCTCCAGTCGTAGATTTTACAAAAAGACTGCTTCCAACCTGTTGAACCAAAAAACAGGCTCCATTAGGTGAGATGAATCCACACATCACAAAACATCTTCACAAATAGGTTGCTTTCTGTTTTTATGGTGACATATTTGGTTTTTCACTGTAGGTATCAATGTGCTCATAAATGCTTTGTTGTATATACTACAAAAACAGTGCTTCCAACCTGGTGAATCAAACCGCAGGTTGCATTCTGTGAGAAGAATCCACTCATCCCAAAGCATTTTTACTAGTAGCTTGCTTCTAGTTTTCATCGTGGGGTATTCAGTTTTTCACTATAAGCATCAATTGGCTCAGAAATCTCTCTTCATGCATTCTACAAAAAGAGTTTTCCCAACATGTTAAGTCAAAACAAAGGTTTAACTCTGTGAGATGAATCCATACATCGCAAAGCATTTTCACAGATAAGTTGTTTCTAGTTTTAACGTGTGATAATTGGTTTATCACTATAGGCCTCAATAGGCTCAGAAATGTCTTTTCTTAGATTTTACAAAAACAGTGTTTCCCACCTGGTTCCATTTTGTGAGATGAATCCACACATTAAAAAGCATTTTCACAGACACCTTGTTTCTAGGTTTCTTTTGCAGGATATTCAGTTTTTTACTGTAGGCTCCAGTGGGTTTGGAAATGTCTCTTCATAGATTCTACCAAAAGCATGTTTCAAACCTGGTGAATCAAAACACAGGTTGCTTTCTGTGAGATGAATTCACACATTACAAAACATTTTCACGGATAGCTTGTTTCTAGTTTTTATCATAGGATATTAGGTTTTTCACTGAAGGTATCAAATGGCTCAGAAATGTTTATTCATATATTCTACAAAGACAGTTTCCAACCCGGTAAAATAAAAGACGTGGGTGTTTTTTGTGAGATTAATCGACACACCCCAGAGCATTTTCACATATAGCTTGTTTCTACTTTTAATGTTGGATATTAAAGTTTTAACTGTAGTCATCAATGGGCTCAGAAATGTCCATTCATACATTGTTTAAAAGGTGTTTCTAACCTGCTGAATCAAAACACAGGTTCCATTCTGTGAGGTGAATCCACAAATCACAAACATTTTCACAGATAGTTTGTTTCTAGTTTTTATTGCTGGATTTTCAACTTTTCACTATAGGCTTCAATGAGCTCAAAAATGTCCCTTTGTATATTCTACAAAAAGAGCATTTCCAACTTGGTGAATCAAAACACAGGTACCATTCTGTGAGATGAATCCACACATCACAAAGCATTTTCACATATTGCTTGTTTCTAGTTTTAATGCGGGATATTAGGTTTTCACAGTAGGCATCAATGGGCTCAGAAATGTCCGGTCATAGATTCTGCAAAAAGAGTGTTTCCAACCTGCTAAATCAAAACACAGGTTTCATTCTGTGAGATGAATCCACACATCACAAAGCATTTTTACAGATAGATTGCTTCTAGTTTTTACAGGGGGATATTTGATTTTTTTCTATAGGCTTCAATGGGCTCAGAAATGTCCCTTCGTAGGTTCTACAAAAAGAGTGTTTCTGACATGGTGACTCAAAACACAGGTTCCTTTCTGTGAGATGAATCCACAAATCCCAAAGCATTTTCAGAGATAGCTTGTTTCTAGTTTTTATCACAGGATATTCGGTTCTTCACTATAGGTGTCAATAGGCTCTGAAATATCCCTTCGTAGATTCTACAAAAAGAATTGTCCAACCTGCTGAATCAAAATGCAGGCTCCATTCTGTGAAGTAAATCCACACATCACAAAACATTTTGACAGATAGTTTGATTCTAGTTTACATGGCAGGATATTAAGTTTTTCACTATGGGCATCAATGGGCTCAGAAATGTCCCTTCGAAGATTCTACAAAGAGTGTTTCCAACCTGGTGAATCAAAACACAGGTTCCATTCTGTGAGATGAATGCACATATCACAAAGTATTTTCACAGATGGCTTGTTTCTAATTTTTATTGCAGGATATTTGGTTTCTCACTATGGGCCTCAATGGCTCTGAAATGTCCTTTTGTAGATACTACTGAAAGAGTGTTTACAACCTGGGGAATCAAAACACAGATTCCATTCTGTGAGATAAAGTGTCACATCACAAAACATTTTCACAGATAGCTTGTTTCTAGTTTTATAAAAATGCAATTTGATGCAGCAACTGCTGATGCAGAAGCTGCAGCTAGTTATCTAGGAGATCTAGCTATAATAATGGACTTTAAATGTAGCTCATACAGCCTTCTATTAGAATAAGATGTCATCCAGGACTTTTATAGCTAGAGAGGAGAAGTTAATGCCTGGTTTCAAACTTCAAAGAACATGCACCAACGCTCATTTACTATTTCAAAAATCTTGGGGCCCTTAAGAGTTATGCTAAATCTACTCTGCCTGTGCTCAATAAATAAAATAACAAAGGCTGGATGATAACTCATCTGTTTACCCATGGTTACTGAATATTTTAAGCACACCGTTGAGACATACTACTCAGATAAAAAGGTTCCTTTCACAATGTTACTGTTCATTGACAATGCACCTGGTCACCCAAGATTACTGATGAAGATGTACAAGGAAATGGATGCTTTTTTTGTGCCTTCTAATACAACATCCATCCTTCCACCCATGGATCAAAGAGTTATTTCAATATTCAAGTCTTATTATGTAAAAAAATACATTTTGTAAGGCTATAGCTACCATTGATAGTAACTTCTCTGGTCTAGGCAAAGTTCTTTGTATACCTTCTGGAAATGATTCACCATTCTAGATGTGGCGAACATTCGTGACTCATGGAGGATGTCAAAATACCAACATTAACAGGAGTTTGAAAAAAGTTGATTCAACTCTCATTGATGGCTTTGAGGGGATCAAGGATTCAGCAGAGGATTGTAACTACAGATGTGATAGAAATAGCAAGAAAACTAGTATTAGAAGTAGAGCCTATAGATGTAAATGAATTGTTGCAATCACATAATAAAACTTGAATGGTGATTATGATCTCCTGCCTGCCAGGTAAGTGTTGCTTAATGAAGCAGAGTTGAAGTGCAAACTAATGTACTGACTAAAAGATTACAGTGAGACTTTTCCCCTTTTGCATAGCAACAACATTTAGTATACATTCAATATCCAAAGTAAGAATTTAAAATATGTCATTTTATAAACATCTAATTTGAATACATTTAGTTAAAAAAATTGCTGTTTACTCATGCAATTCATGCAAACCCAGTCAGAGATCCTGATTATACTTAGCTCAGTTGTTGAAATATTTTCAGGTTTTACATCTCTGTGAATACACTGTAAGATAATATTTGGTTATATCTCTCAGCCATTTATATGAAAATGAATAAAAGTCAATTGTGAGTTGGCAATTTTTTACTTCTAAATCTTGTCATATCAAAAGAAACAATGTATAACAAATTTTGCTATATTATTTCATAAATTAAGTTATAACTGTATAAAAAATTTGAGTGGACAAGAAGTTATTTCTTATGAGTGAGAAAATCAAGCTGCTTTTTGAGAAGAAACATTCTTCTGGTGAATATTATGTGAACATTGTTGAAATGACAACAAAAGATTTAGAATATCTCACAAGCTTAGTTGATAAAGTGTTGGCAGAATTTAAGGAATTGACTCTAATTTTGAAAAAAGTTCTACTATAGGTAAAATACTTTTAAACAGCATCACACACTACAGAGAAATCTTTCATAAAAGGAAGGGTTAATCAGTGCAACAAATATGCCATCTTAAGAAATTGCCAGAGACCCCTAGCCTTCAGTAACCAACACCCTCATCGGTCAGCAGTCATCAATGTTGAGGTGGCACCCTCCATCAGCAAAAAGATTACTATTCACTGAAGACTCAGGTGAGAGTTAGCTTCTTTTAACAATAAAGAATTTTTTTTTTTCTTGAGACAGAGTCCTGCCCTGTTGCCCTGTCTGGAGTGCAGTAGTGCAATCTAGGCTCAATGCAACCTCCATGTCCCAAGTTCAAGCAATTCTCCTGCCTCAGCCTCCCAAGTAGCTGGGATTACAGGTGCCCGCCACCACACTTGGCTAATTTTTGTATTTTTAGTAGAGACGGGGTTTCACTATGTTGGCTAGACTTGTTTCGAACTCCTGACCTCAAGTGATTCATCCACCTTGGGATCCCAAAGTGCTGGGATTACAGGCATGAGCCAGTGTGCCCAGCTCAATAAAGAATTTTAAATTAAGGAATACACATTATTTTTTAAACACAACGCTATTGAACACTTAATAGGTTACAGTATAGTGTAACATAATTTTATATGCACTGGGAAACCAAAAGCTTTGTGTGGCTCACTTTATTTTGCTATTCGTTTTATTGCAGTGATCGGTAAGATGCAGTATATCTGAGGTATTACTGTATGTGGGGGAATAGGGGTGTGTATGTGTGTGTGTGTTTTCCCAGTGCTTTGGGCAAATTGTATATTCAAGAATATTATAATTGATTTAATTAGAATGTGTCATATTAAAATAACATAATACATTTCCATCTAGGAAAATATTTTTATGTCATAATTTTGCAATTATATTCAGATCTTCTAATTTTAATTTTTAATAATTTACATTTTGTGAGTAAATAGTAGGTATATATATATTTACCGGGTACATGAGGTATTTTGGTAGAAGCATGCAATGCATAATAATCACATCATAGAAAATTGAGTATCTATCCCTCAAACATTTATTCTTTGTGTTACACAATCATATTATACTCTTTTAGTTATTTTAACATGTACAATTCAATTATTACTGATGACAGTCACCCTATTGTGCTATCATATACTAGGTCTTACTTATTCTTTCTATTTTTTTGTGCCTACTAACCATCACTACCTCCCTTCTCACCACCCCAGCCACCCTTCCCAGCCTCTAGTATCCATCTTTCTACTCTCTATCTCCATTAGTTTGTTTGGAATTTTAGATCCCACAAATAAGTGAGAACAGGTGATGTTTGTCTTTCTGTGCCTGGCTTGTTTTACTTAACATAATGACATCCAGTTCCATCCATGTTGGTGCAAATGACAGGATCTCATGGCTTTTCTTATAGCTGAAGAGTAATCCATTGTGTGTAATTATATTTTTTTATTCGTTCATCTCTTGATGGACATTTAGTCTTCAGCCAAATCTTTCCCATTGGGAATAGTGCTGCAACAAACATGAGAGTGCAGTATGCTAATTTCCTTCCTTTGGGTATATACTCAGCAGTGAGATTGCTAGATACTGTAGTAGCTCTATTTTTAGTATTTTGAGGGACCTCCGAATTGTTCTCTATAGTGGTTGTACTAATTTACATTCCCCCCAAAAGTGCACAGCAGTTCCATTTTGTCCACATTCTTGCCAGCATTTTTTATTGCCTGCTTTCGGATAAAAGCGATTTTAACTGAGGTGAGATGATATCTCATTATACTTGTGACTCAAATTTCTCTGATAATCAATTATGTTGAATACCTTTTCATATGCATGTTTGCCATTTGTACATCTTATTTTGAGAAATGTCTATTTATATCTTTTGCCCATTTATATTAGATTATTTGTTTTTTTTTCCTATAGAGTTGTTTGAGCTCCTTATATAATATGGTTATTAATCCCTTGTCAGATGGAGAGGTTGCAATATTTTCTCCCATTCTATGGTTTCTCTTTTCACTTTGTTGAATGTCTTCTTTGCTGTGCAGAAACTTTTTAGCTTGATGTTACTCCATTTGTGCATTTCTGCTTTGCTTGCCTGTGCTTGTTGGGCAATAAATTTTTGCCCAGACTAATGTCCTGGAGAGTTTCCCAAATGTGGTTCTTCTAATATTTTCATAGTTTAAGGTATTAGAATTATAGAGTTTGATTTTCATATGTTGCAAGAGATATGGACATAGTTTTATTCTTCTGCATATGGATACCCAGTTTTCCCAACAACGTTTATTGAAGAAATTATCTTTTCCCTGGTGCGTGTTCTTGGCAACTTTGTTGAAAACGAGCTCATTGTAGATGTATGGATTTGTTTCTGGGTTATCTACTCTGTTCTATTGGTCTGTGTGTCTGTTTTTATGCCAATACCATGTTGTTTTTGTTACTATAGCTCTGTAGTATAACTTAAAGTGAGGTAACAAGATTCCTCCAGTTCTGTTTTTTTTGTTTTTTGTTTTTTTTTCACAGAATAGCTTTGGCTATATTGGGTCTTTTGTGGCTCCATATAAATTTTAGAATTGTTTTTTCTATTTCTCTGAGGAAGAATGACATTTGTATTTTGATAAGAATTGCATTGAATCTGTAGACTGCTTTTGGCATGAATATTTTAACAGTGCTAATTCTTCCAATTTATGAACATGAAATATCTTACTATTTTTTGTGTCCTCTTTCATCAGTGTTTTATAGTTCTCACTGTTGACATCTTTCACTGCAAATAAAGATAATTTGGCTTCTTTTTTTATTCCAATGCTCTTTAATTCTTTCTTTTGTCTGATTGCTCTAGGTAGGACTTCTAGTACTATATTGAATAACAATGGTAAAAGTGGGCATCCTTGTCATTCTTCAGATCTTATAGAAAAGGCTTTCAGGTTTTCCTCATTCTGTATGATGGTAGCTGCAGGTCTGTTACATGTGGGTTTTATTTTGTTGAGGTATGTTCCTTATATAGCTAGCCTTATGAGGGTTTTTTTTTTTTATCATGGAGAGATGTTAAAGTTTATCAAATGCATTTTTGTATCAATTGAAACGATGATATGGATTTTGTCCTCCCTTCTATTGATATGATAGAACGCATTGATCAATTTGCATATGCTGAACTATTCTTGCATCTTTGGGATAACTTCACTTGGCCGTGATGAATGATTTTGTTAATGTATTCAGTTTGTTAATGTTTTATTGAGGATTATTGCATCAATATTATCTGAGATATTGGCCTGTGGTTGTCTTTCCTTTTGTTATGTATTTTTGTCTGATTTGCATATCAAGGTAATACGAGACTCATACGATGTGTTTGGGAGTATTCCCCCTGCTAATTATTCTGTTTTTCAAAATAGTTTGAGTAAGGTTGGCATTAGTTCTTCTTTAAATGTTTTATAGAATTCAACAGTAAAGCAAATGGTTCCCAGGCTTTATTATTATTATTATTATTTTTCTGGGAGAGTTTTTTTTATGGTTTTAATCTCATAACTTGTTATTCTTCTGTTCAGGTTCTTAATTTCTTTCTGGTTCAATCTTTGTAGATTTATTGTGTATAGCAATTTATCCATTTTTTCCAGGTTTACCAAGTTATTGGCATATAGTTGCTCATAGAAGTCTCTAATGATCCTCTGAATTTCTGTGGTATCAGTTGTAATGTCTCCTTTTTCATCTCTAATTTTATTTGTTGGTATTCTCTCTTTTTTTCTTAGTCTGGCTAAAGGTTTGTCTATTTTGTTTATATTTTCAAGAAAGCAACTTTTCATTTCATTAATCTGTTTTGTGAGTTATGATTTCCTTCAATTTCATTTATTTCTGCTGTGATCTTCATTATTTCTTTTCTTCCACTAACTTTGAGTTTGGTTTGCTCTTGCTTTCTAGTTTTTTAAGATGCATCATTGTTTTTTTCTTTTTTTGATGTTTTTCTTTTTTTCATGCAGGCACTTATAGCTATAAATTTTCTTCTTAGTACTGCTTTTGCTCTATCCCATCAATTTTTGTATATTCTGTTTAGTATGTTCACTATCATTTGCTTCAAGAAATGTTTCAGTTTCCTTCTTAATGTCTTCCTTATCCCAGTGGTCATTTGTGAGCACATTGTGTAATTTCCATTTGTTTGTATATTTTCCCAAACTCCTCTTGTCATTGATTTCTAGTTTTATTGTATTGTGGTCAGAGAAACTGCTTGATATTATGTCAATGTTTTTTGAATGTTTTAAGACTTGTTTTGTGACCTAATATATGGTCTATCCTTGAGAATGTTCCATGTGCTGAGGAAGAGAATGTGTATTCTGCAGCTCTTCAATGAAATGTTCTGTAAAAACCTACCAGGTTCTTTTATTCTACATTGCAGATTAAGTCTGATGATGGTTGTTTTTCTGTTTGAAACATCTCTTTAATGCTGAAAGTGGGGTGCTGAAGTCTCCAGATACTATTGTGTTGAGGTCTGTCTCTTTTACTTTAACAATATTTGTTTTACACATCTGGATGCCTCAATGTTTGGTGCATATATATTTACAATTGTTATATCTTCTTGCTGACTTGACTCTTTTATTATTATAAAATGACTTTCTTTGACTTTTCTTGTAGTCTTTGTCTTGAAATCTATGTTGACTAAGTATAGTAACTCCTGCTCTTTTTTTGGTTGTTGTGTTGTTTCTATTGGCATAGAATATCTTTTTCTAGCCACTTATTTTTAGTCTATGTGTATTTGTATTGGTGAAATGTCTTTCTTGCAGGCTACAGACCATTAAGTCTTGTTTTATCATCTATTCAGCCACTCTATGTCTTTTGATTGGAGAGTTTAGGTCATTTATATTCAATGCTATTATCAGTAAGTAAGAACTTAATACTTTCATTTTATTTGTTTTCTATTTGTTTTGTGGCCTCTTCCTTCTTTCCTTCGAGTCTGTCTTTCTTTTAGTGAAAGTGATTTTCTGCAGTGATATGCTTTAATTGCTTACTTTTAATTTTTTGTCTGTTTATTGCAGGTTTTTGGATTTGAAGTTACCATGAGGCTTACAAATACTATCTTATAACCCATTATTTTAAACTGATGACAAGTTAACATTGACTATACAAACAAACACATGAACACACACAAAAAACTAATAAAAACTTTACACTTTAACTTCATCCCCCTGCTTTTTAAACTTTTTGTTATTTTACCTTTAGCACTTTAAATATGTCATGCACAGATCTTCTTAAATACTTCCAGTCACTGTGATATATTTTTTTGCGGGACTGTTTTTCTATAGTGTTGATTTTTTATTTAAAAATGTTTTAGAGCATTTTTGTTTTTTGTCAAGAAGAAACTTGTGTCCCTAGACTATCCACAGACTGACCATAATTTCAAACTGAAATTATCCAGTGTAAATCTGCTTCTTACACATTGCCTTCCTGAAAATGTTTAAAAATTATTTTAACTTAAGACGTGTTTAAGTTAAATGTCTAGAATCTTTTTCAAAATTTTGAAAATATTCTTATTTTTATTTATATATATAAATACACACACACACATATATATATAAAGACAGGGTCACTCTCTGTCACCTAGGCTGGAGTGCCATGCTGCTATCAAGGCTCACTTCAGCCTTGAATTCCTCACATCAAGCAATTCTCCTGCCTTAGCCTCTCAAGTAGCTGGGATTACAGGAGTGGATCACCACGCCTATCTAACTAAAAGGGATCTTCTGAATACAGTCTGGTTGGTCATTACCCAGCTTATATAAGCAGGGACTAAAATCATGCACAGCAGCATGGGTTGAGGTTGCAGAATTCAACAGCCCTTCATGCTAAAAATTCTCAATAAATTAGGTATTGATGGGACTTATCTCAAAATAACAAGAGTTATTTATGACAAACCCAGAGCCAATATCAAACTGAATGGGCAAAAACTGGAAGCATTCCCTTTGCAAACTTGCACAAGACAGGGATGTCCTTTCTGACCACTCCTATTCAACTTAGTGTTGGAAGTTGTGGCCAAGACAATCGGGCAGAAGAAAGAAATAAAGGGTATTCAATCAGGAAAAGAGTAAGTCAACTTGTCCCTGTTTGCAGATGACATAATTGTATATTTAGAAAACCCCATCATCGCAGCCCCAAATCTCTTTAAGCTGATTAGCACCTTCAGCAAAGTCTCAAGATACAAAATCAATGTGCAAAAATCAGAAACATTCCCATACACCAATAACAGACAAACAGAGAGCCAAATCATGAGTGAATTCACATTCACAATTGCTTCAAAGAGAATAAAATACCTAGGAATCCAACTTACAAGGGATGTGAAGGACATCTTCAAGGAGAACTACAAACCACTGCTCAATGAAATAAAAGAGGATACAAACAAATGGAAGAATATTCCATGCTCATGGGTAGGAAGAATCAATATTGTGAGAATGGCCATACTGCCCAAGGTAATTTGTAGATTCAATGCCATCCCCATCAAGCTACCAATGACTTTCTTCACACAATTGGAAAAAATTACTTTAAAGTTCATACAGAAACAAAAAAGAGCCCGCATAGCCAAGGCAATCCTAAGCCAAAAGAACAGAGCTGGATGCATCACGCTACCTGATTTCAAACTATGCTACAAGGATACAGTAACCAAAACAGCATGGTACTGGTACCAAAACAGAGATATAGACCAATGGAACAGAACAGAGCCCTCAGAAATAACACCACACATCTACAACCATCTGATCTTTGACAAACCTGAAAAAAACAAGCAATGGGGAAAGGATTCCCTATTTAATAAATGATGCTGGGAAAACTGGCTAGCCATATGTAGAAAGCTGAAACTGGATGCCTTCCTTACACCTTATACAAAAATTAATTCAACATGGTTTAAAGACTTAAATGTTAGCCCTAAAACCATAAAAACCCTAGAAGAAAACCGAGGCAATACCATTCAGGACATAGGCATGGGCAAGGACTTCATGACTAAAACACCAAAAGCAGTGGCAACAAAAGCCAAAGCAGACAAATGGGATCTAATTAAACTAAAGAGCTTCTGCACAGCAAAAGAAACTATCATCAGAGTGAACAGGCAACCTACAGAATGGGAGAAAATTTTTACAATCTACCCATCTGATAAAGGGCTAATATCCAGAATCTACAAATAACTTAAACAAATTTACAAGAAAAAAAAACCCCATCAAAAAATGGGCAAAGGATATGAACAGGCACTTCTCAAAAGAAGACATTTATGCAGCCAACAGACACATGAAAAAATGCTCTTCATCAGTGGCCATCAGAGAAATGCAAATCAAAACCACAATGAGATACAATCTCACACCAGTTAGAATGGCGATCATTAAAAAGTCGGGAGACAATGGGCGCTGGAGAGGATGTGGAGAAATAGGAACACTTTTACACACTTGGTGGGACTGTAAACTAGTTCAACCACTGTGGAAGACAGTGCGGTGATTCATCAAGGATCTAGAACTAGAAATACCATTTGACCCAGCCATCCCATTACTGAATATATACCCAAAGAATTATAGATCATGCTGCTACAAAGGCACATGCACATGTATGTTTATTGTGGCACTATTCACAATAGCAAAGACTTAGAACCAACCCAAATGTCCATGAATGATAGACTGATTAAGATGTGGCACATATACACCATGGAATACTATGCAGCCATAAAAAAGGATAAGTTCAAGTCCTTTGTGGGGACATGAATGAAGTTGGAAACCATCATTCAGAGCAAACTATCACAAGGACAGAAAATCAAACACCGCATGTTCTCACTCATAGGTGAGAATTGAACAATGAGAACACTTGGACAAAGGGTGGGGAACATCACACACTGGGGCCTGTCTTGGGGTGGGGGGAGGGGGGAGGTATAGCATTAGGAGATAGACCTAATGTAAATGACGAGTTAATGGGTGCAGCACACCAACATGGCACATGTATACATATGTAACAAACCTGCATATTGTGCACATGTACTCTAGAACCCTAGAACTTAAAGGGTAATATATATATATATATATTATATATGTATACTTTTTTCATTGTTTTCTTTGCTCTGGCTATAAACTAACAACTTTGATGTTATTCTAACATAAAGTTCTCAATATAGGTCTTTTGAATTCCAAAATTTGTATTTGATATTTTTATAACATTTTTGCTGAATTAAATTATTTGATGAGTTTTCACCAGTGCCTAGCATTACCCACAGGTGCTAGAAATGCACTGCTGAGCAATGACATTCCTCTGATCACACGGACTATATTAATCTCTAGAAATAACAGATCTTCTCAGATCTTTTGTAGTTTATGAATTGCTTTCTAATTTGTTATGCAAAAAAATAAGCCATTGTACATGTCTACCTTTTACACTCTACAAATTTTGCTTCCAAATTCAAAGAGAGCTTTTTTCTTTTGTTTAATACTGATAGTGCATGTGGATTTTTCTTAATGAGCAAGAGGTGTGAGTATCACACTTAGAAGACATGAAGACTGAACACAGCCTTTAAATAAACTTTCATCCATCTATTCTGTTTTGCATTTGGAAAAGATAAGTTATAAAACATATTTTATTAATTACTCAGTTTTAACAATTTTATGTAAAATTTATGATTTCTGATATGTCCTGTCACACTATTGCACTAATTAACTCTCAACAATAGAAATTCTTTACTAATTACTTCTCTTTGAACAACAACAGATACTAAAAAAATCTAACATATATTTAGGAAAAAGTCAAAGTTCTATTTTTCCTTGTTTCATTTAAAACTAAATGAAAGAAATGTGTATGTGTTCTTTTAGCTAGAGAGTATCAAATTTATCTATATAGGTAAAAAAAAATTTAAGACTGTGAGATAACAACCTGCTTCAAATTCCATGTTTTATCTAAGTTGACATATATCGATTTTTTTATAATGTGGCTTGTCTATGCACATTCTCATATTTAATGTTTTCAAATATAATATTACCAGTAGTTCATAAATTCAGTCATTAATTTACAATAGAAATATTTATTGATTTTCTATGATGCTCCATGTACTATTTTAATCACTCAGGATACAGTAGTAAACAAACATGGACACAAATAGATAAAGCTCCCTCTCCTGATAGAGCTTACCCAGCAGCAGAATGATAGATAATTTAATATTAAAATTAATTACAATATATTGAAAAGTGATAAATGCTAAAAAAACAGAGCAGATTAAAGAGGTGGAGAATGTTCGAGTTGGGTTAAAGCAGTTTGTAATTTTAACTGTGACAAGATAAGGAATGCCACACTAGGCCTTATTAAGAAAGCGATGTTGAGCAAAACCTTGAGAAGTTAAGGGAGCTAGTCATGTGGATTCCAAGAAAAGGAGGCAGCTAGAGCAAAGCCTCCAAGGTGGTATATATTTGGCATGAGGAAAGTGAATAGTTTAACTGAATCCACCAACTCAGAGAGAAGTGGTAAATCCAGGTTTGAAATTTAAGGGGAGGAAGGTTAATATAGCCAGATAGACCATTGGAAGGACTTTGGCTCTGACTCTGAAGGACATGGGAAATTAAGACAGTTATGAGAAAAAGTTGGATTATTTTTACTTCTATTGCAAATGATTACTTCATCTTCTTAATAGAATTGGTAAATGGGTTGGGGGAGATGATATTACAGGCTACTGCAATAATCATGGAGAGAAATGGTAACAATTTCTCTAAGAATAAAAGACGTAAATGGAGTTCAGAAGTAATCAGACTCCAAGTGTTTTCTAAACAGTTTTTATTAGAAAAATTTTCAAAAATATTAAAAAGTAAAAATAATGGTATAATGAACCCTATATACCCATCACCCAGAAAGAATTATTAATATTATGTGTTTTGCTTTATCCTTGACTATGATTTTCTTCCTTGAAAAGTATTTTAAAGCAATTCTCAAATATTTTGCCGCTTCTCAATTGCATTAGTATGAATTCCCAAAGCTACAGAGTTAACATAACTAAAAAAGTGATGATATTGTTTAGTACCTCTAATATCGTAATGAAATTTCTATAGTCAAATTTCAGGGTTTTTTAAATGTATTTTTATACTTGATTTATTGGAATCAGAATAAAAACACATTTCTTATATTTTATTTGTTGTGTTTTGTCTTTCAGATCTCTTTATTGTAGAACAGATGAGTCTCTAGTAGACATATAATTGGATCTATTCTGCCAATCTTCACCTTTTAAGTGAAAAAATTTCAATCCATTAAAATTTATAGTAATTTCTGATAAGAAAGTCTTCTGCCATTTTGCCATTTGTTTTCAATCTATCTTTTTTTGTTTCTTATTTCCTACCATATTGCCTTCTTCTGTGTTTAATTTTCTATATTTTACAATTTTTATAGTGTTCTCATTTTCTTTTCTGTATATTTTTATGTATCTTTTGGTGATTATTCTGGTATTACAATAAGCCTACTAAATTTATTACAATCTATTTTTACTTATTCTGTCTTAACCACACTAGTAAACAAAAATTCTGCTCCTATACAACTCTGTCCTTCCCTTTAAATTGTTTTTGTCACAAATTACATTTTTATAGATTATATGGCAATAACATAGATTTTTTAATTAATGTTTTATGCATTTGTCTTTTAAACCATATATGAAGAAAAATATAATTACAGGCCAAGTGCGGTGGCTCACGCCTGTAATCACAGTACTTTGGGAGGTTGGAGTGGGTGGATCACCTGAGGTCAGGAGTTCAAGACCAGCCTAGCCAACATGGTGAAACCCCGTCTCTACTAATAATACAAAAATTACCTAGATATATTGGCACACACCTGTAATCCCAGCTACTTGGGGGGCCAAGGCAGGAGAATCTCTTGAACCTGGGAGGTGGAGGTTGCAGTGAGCTGAGATCACGCCATTGCACTCCAGCCTGGGCAACAAGAGCGAAACTCCATCTCCAAATAAATACATAATAATAATAAAATGTGTATATATATATATATGTATATATATATATATATACATATATATATGTGTATATATATACGTATACATATATGTATATATATAGAGAGAGAGAGAGAGACAGACAGAGAGAGAGAGAGAGAGAGAGAGAGAGAGAGAGAAATCAAAAATAAAATAATATTGGCTTTGTATTTTGCCATGTAGTTATTTGTACCAGTGCCTTTTTATTTCTTCATATGGCTTCATAGACTGTCCAGTGTTCTTTTATTTTAGACTGAAGGACTTTCTTTATTTGGGCCAATTACTAGGGACAAACACCCTCAGCTTTTGATTTTCTGGGAATGTTTTAATATCACTTTCATTTTTGAAGGATAGTTTTGCCAGATATAGAATTCTTAACTGATAGCTTTTCTTACAACATTTTTTGCATTAGCATTCTTTGCTGATTTTAAATTATTCCATTGCCTAATGACCTCCTTGGTTTCTGCAGATAAATTAACTGCTCATCTTCCTGAGAATTCCTTGTTCATGACAAATTGCTTCTGTCTTGTTGCTTTCAAGATTCTCTGGCTTTGGCTTTTGACAGTTTGATTGTAATATGTCTTGATGTGTATCTCTCTATGTTTATTCTTCTTGGAGTTTGTTAATCTTCTTTTGTAGATGCATGCCGTTTATTAAATTTGGGAAGTTTAGAGCCATTATTATTTTCAAATATTCTCTCTCTTTCTTTTGCTTTTCTCTTTCTGAGACTCTTATTATGAATGTATGCTGGTACACTTGGTGGTGTTAACATACGTTTCTTAAGCTCTGTTCATTCTTTTCTGCTCCTCGGACTATATAATTTTAATTGACCTATCCTCGAGCTTACTAAATCTTTATTCTGCCTGATCAAATATGCTGTTGAAACCCTCAAGTGAATTATTCATTTTAGTTATTGCATTTCACAGTGCTGAAATTTGTTTTCTTTTTATACTTTTAATCTCTTTATTGATGATTCTTTATTTGTTAAGACATATTTCTCCTGGTTTCCTTTAGTTCTTTATCCATGATTTTCTTCAATTTTTTAATCATATTTAAGAATAAGTCTAAAAAGTTCAGTTTTTCTATTTCCTTAGGGACAGTTTCCATTAAATTCTGCTATGAACAGACAATATTTTCTTATTTTTTGTGTGCTTTATATTTTTTGTTGAAAAATAGACATTTTAATATTATAATCTGATAACTTTAGAAATCAGAATATGTCTCTCTTCATAGTTTCTTTTTCTTTCTTATATATGTTATAGTTGTTCTACTCTCTCTGGAACCAGGAAACATGGTTTCACACTAGGAACATGGACTGCCATCTTCAAGACCGCAATGGAACCAAAGAGGACAAGTAAAAATACCACAAAGCTCTACTGCCATTTCTATGTTGATTCTTTCTTGATTTAGCATTTGCTTGCTTGTTGTAAACCTCTGATTATTTTTCCAGAGTTCTGACAAAGTTTATTCTGACTGTTTCTGATAAGTTTTTGTGGTGTTTCTGTGGAGACATAGGCCATTAGAGTTAACTATTCTGCCATTTTTTATTTATATCACTCTATCTGTGTAAATTTTAATTACATGTTTCTTATTGTAAGTGAAAATGAATATTTTTGTATGTCTAAAGGACATTTTATATTTTTTAAACTGTTCATAATTTTTGCCTATTTTTCTACCAAATTTAATCTATTTAGAAGAAACAGGGGATTATGCCAAAAGTGCCAGTTATTTCCAGTTAGTATCCACTTTTCCCTTTTCTGTCATAGTATCAGAATCCCCAATTTTTAATTAGACCAACTGTTAACCAGAATGAAGTCTACATATTATAGTCTCTCTTGCAAGTAAGTGTAGAGTTATAATTAAATTCTGGCCAGTATAATATTTCAGAAGTGATATGAGCTACTCTGAATTTTTTCCTTTAAGAGAAGAGGTGTGCATTTCTTGTTCCATTCTTTGCTCCATTCCATTGCCTGAGTAAAAAGCATGATGATGAAACATTTGGGACCATATAAGATATCAGTAATTTCCTATTATGAAGCAACAATACAGTAAGTTCTGTGTCCCTAAAAATCTTCTTGAAGCAGATCTGCCAAACCAGCTTCTTATTTCTATCTTCATTACATAAGAGGATCTTCTATCTCATTTAAGCTACTGTTGTTTGGGTTTCTTTTACATCAAACATGTCATATATTCCAACTAATGCAAAGATTCCCTGAGAATAGTTCTAGTTGTGAAAATCATTGGCATTAGAAGATAAAACAGACATGACAGCTAAAGAATCTAATAAGGACAATATGAAAAATGTATATATATAATTGCTTGCACTTTTAACAAAATTGTTTTATCTGTTATGATGAAGAAAATAATACCAAAAAAAAGAAGAGATCCTTGTGATAAGAATCATTTTTGTATTTAAAATTCACGGATTATTTTTAAAAGATGTGATTTTTAAAAATAATTTTCCACATCAGATGGTATAATGGGAATTGGAATATAATAGTAAGGAAGCAAAGTTAAATTGTTTTCTACAATAAAATAATAAAAAAAAGATGTCAGCATAGAATTTTTGAGTCAGTGAGGTTTGCAGAGAGTAGGGAAAAGATTAGGAAAGAATTCGTCACCAAGAAGTTGGTCTGGAGGGATAATGAATTCGACAGAGATAAATAATGAAAAATTTTGAGAAAAATTGATTCATGCTATATAAGGTACTCTCTACATTCCTATTTAATTTTAAGTAAACTGTCAATGGTTCACTAGCATTATAGAAATCATCATTGCTATCTAATAATCAAAAAAATGTTGAATTCTGATTAACATTGGTATAGACTGTATGAAAACAGATGTACCCTAGAAAGTTTCAGGTATATGCGTATTACCTAATATTACATCTTACTCTGTTTTAAGTACTAGGTATACAAATGGACACAAGATGAAAAATCTCCATCCTCTAATACCTCACAATCAAGAAAGTGATAAAACGAAGAGTGACAAAACAATGGAAAAAGTGTTGGACACTGTGGATACAGAAAGCGTTCTAGGTGCGGAGGAGAGTCAGGCCTTATAAGTCCAGTGATGGTGTAGAAAAGGAGGAAGCATCATATAGTATTCCAGGAGGAAATACCTTTGGTGGATGCAAGTTGGAGAATCCTCAGTAAAAAGAATAATAGCAATATACAAATGTAGGGAGGTATAAATCAACATATTACATCAGTGGCTCACAAGTGGTTTGAAATTGTGAGTCCAGAATATTTCAGGAGGATTGAAAGGAGATAGATTGGGAGAATTATACACTTTTTCAAGCTATTCAAAGGACATTTGAATTCTCCTTGCATGAGGTAGAATTTAAAACATTAATTTCAGTTATTCAGTAAACAAAGCATTGTTTTAGGCATGTGCTTTGTGCCAGACTCATTTAGATATGACATGACAGATCGAGGGAGCAACTTTATATTCTAATGGAAGGGGAAAGACTTTTTAAATAAAGAAACATCAGTAAAATCAGGTGCTACATTTTTTCCTGGGAGAAAATGAATTAATGTTATGTAGAATATGGTGTGGAGGAGAGGGGAGAGGGAAATTTGCTGTAGCTGGAGTGATTGTGAAATGCTTCTCTGAGAAGAGAAC
Organism: Homo sapiens; assembly: GCF_000001405.40. Lineage (NCBI taxonomy): Eukaryota > Metazoa > Chordata > Mammalia > Primates > Hominidae > Homo > Homo sapiens. The sequence goes on along the minus strand of NC_000001.11, from coordinate 103,844,468 downwards.
ATTTGTTGAGACATAGATAAAGAAACGGAGAGCCATGTAAATGTCTGCCTGAAGAAGTTTCAAAGAAGAATAAATAGCAAGGGCACAGAGGTGGGAGTAAGCTTATTGTTTGAGGGATAAAAAGGAAACCAATATGGGATGAACATAGTGAATAAGAAGTAACAATGAGTTTGGAGAGTCAGAGAGGGACCAAGTATATAAAAATGTGTAAACAAAGAAAATGAATGTGGATATAAGTTAGATTTTCATGGAAATCCATTTTAAGTTTGTGTGCATGGAATGGCATGATTTGATTTACCTTTTACAAACATATCTCTAGTTTCTGTGTGGAAAACATACTATATTTAAGCATAATGAAATAAAGGATTCTAGTTTAGAGCCCATTTCAAGATCCCAAGTAAGAATGTTTTGGAAATGCAGTAAAAATAATGAGAAATGTTTGAATTTGGAATATATTCTAGCAGAAGAGATGTGACAGGCTATCCAGAAAAAACAGGTGTGAAGTGTGAGGAAATAAGACTTATGATTTTTTTTTCTGAGTATAAGGATAGATAACAATGCCCATACCTGGAATAAAAAGGGTTTAGGAAGACTGAATTTGAGCAGGAACCGATTGAGAGAAAATTGGAATTATTAATTCTGTTGTGGCCCTATTGGCATCCACATTCCTCGTAGACAGAGCGGAAATGTTGAATAAGCAATTGGATATAGGAGTCTGGAGCCCAGAAGAGGTCTGGTAGAGAAATATAACATTGAGTGTCATCAATATACAACTAGTAATTATGTTATGGGATTGGAAAAATCATCCTGAGAGGAAGGCTAGAAAGATAAACTACAGAGGCTGAGCACCAAAAGCCGGAGTCCTTCACACTTAGAGATCTGTCAAAGGAGTAAAACTTATCAAAGGAGGCTTAAAATGAGTCGCCAGGAAAGTAGAGATGGAGAGAAAAAAACTATTATGTCACTGTGGTCTTAGGAGAACCATTTCAAGAAAGAATCCAGTGGTCAACTGTGTCAAACACTAGCAAAAAGTCAAATAAGATAATTTCAAATGGAACATTGACTTTGGCAAGATGTAGGTCATTGCTGACTTTAACAAAAGCCAATTCAGTACAATGTTGTAGACTAAAGACTGATTGGAGTAGTTTAAGAAGAGAATTGGTTGGTAGGGTGGGAGGTGAAAACACTACATATAGAAAACTATTTTAAAAGGCTTTTGCAGTGAATGGGAGGAAAGAAAATGCTGGTGGTTGGAAAAGTTAAGGGCCAAGTGAGGATTTTGTTTAGGTTTTATGTTAATCCAAATTATACAATCACATAACTTAAACAGTTAAATAAGCCTAAAAGGCTGTTATACAAATGTAGCCATTCCCTGCCTATATCATCCTCCATTTCCCAATCCTTAGCAATGCTGCAGTCAACTAATGTTTTATTTGTTTGTTTCCCTTTGACCTTAGTATCTACATTTGCTTCCTTTGACGTTGTTAGACTTTTCCTTTCTGCTGTTTTTCTCTCATATTTTTTATCTCACTTCTCAGGTCATCTTTTTTTCCCTTTTCTTTTCTGTATGTATTTATTTTTGATACAGGGTCTCACTCTCTCACTCAGGCTGGAGTGCGGTGGTGCCATCATAGCTCACTGCAGCCTCAGATTCCCCAGGCTCAGGTGTGCACCACCAAACCCAGCTAATTTTTGTATCTTTATTATCATTATTTTTGGCGGATATTGGATTTCACCATGTTGCCCAGATTGGTCTTGAACTCCTGCACTCAAGCAATCTGCCTGCCTCGGCCTCTCAAAGTGCTGGGATTACAGGCATGAGCCACTACACAGAGTCCCAAATCTTTTTAATCCTATTTTACTGTTTCTTTCTTACTAGCTTACCTCTACTTTATTGTTTTCACTTCCTCTTTATCCTCCTTCTTTTTCTTTCTCTCCTCTTTTTCTCTCACTCTGATATGACTAGTTAAAAGCATTAAAATGTCACATATAGATACTTTTGTTGAAAGTATCTACATATATGCCCTGTTCTTAAACTTAAGTCAAATTTGCCAAACAATTGTAGCTTTCTAAGAAAAAAAATTGTCTTTTGATGTGATATTAACTGTATTTTACTTCTTCAGCAATAATTATTTAAAAGAAATAATAAAGGATACATATAGAATGCATTTTTGATAAGTTTAAAGATTTTTCTGTGAGTAGATCTTTTTGGCTCATTTCATATTTTCTTTTTTTTTCTTCTTTCTTTTGAGACAGAGTCCCACTCAGTCACCCAGGCTGGAGTGCAGTGGCACAATCTCAGCTCACTGCAACCTCCGCCTCCGGGGCTCAAGCCATTTTCCTCCCTCAGCTTCCCAAGTAGCTGGGATTACAGGTGCCCACCAGCACGCCTGGATAATTTTTGTATTTTCAATAGAGACGGTGTTTCACCATGTTGGCCAGGCTGGTCTTGAACTCCTGACCTCAGGCAATCTGCCCGCCTCGGCCTCCCGAAGTGCTGGGATTACAGGCGTGAGCCACTGCGCCTGGCCTTATTTAGTATTTTCTTAGGTTCAGTTACTCTGCCTAATTCATCTGTATCTCTGGTACCTCATGCTTGACAGGTAATAGCTATTCCAAACTGTAGTGTAACTGTGTTATTAAATGTTTTGTAGAGCAGAACACAACACTAGCACATTGACAAAATCTGGATGTGTCAATTAAGCACAATCTTTGTGTTTTAAGTTACACAACTTAAACACATGGCTTTTCTTTGCATGGTTTTCCTCCACGTTAAACCTTGACTTTGAAAGTAAAACCATATTTAATAAAGGCCCAGTGCCACTATTAACCTCTATGGCAGATGTTGTTCATATGCTCTGCTGCTTACTTGATATGGTCTTCACATTTACTCAGTAAAATATGTGTCAGGTCCTTATACTACATTCAAAAGCCAGAAGGGATGCTTACAAAATAGTGTGATAATGCTGCAAGAGAGGAGTTAGAAACAAAGAAAAAAGCTATTGATTTTCCTCAGGGAGTCTGGGCAGGCTTCAGAGAGGTGGTGATTTTTGGTCTGAGTCTGAAAGGGTGAGAGATGGAAGCCATTTCAATGAGGCATGATATCCAACACAATCTTTATAACAGTTTCAAAAAGTAGTCATAAGTTTTAGTGAAATAGCAACATAATATTTTAGGTGCTTGCTACTTTTTTTTGCTGTATAAAGAAATACAGACAATAAGTAATATGCCATTAGAGACAAGAACAACTTAAACTGAGCCCATTCAGTGTGGGAGCATTTAATTCAGAATCTTCATGTAATTTCCTTTTATTTAAACCATTATTAAGAAATATCCTCTAGCTTATCACGTGTGAATTTTAAGCCTCAGTGGTATTAGCTCTGAAACATACAGAGCACTTTGAGGATTATATTAATTTAAGCAGTGTTACCTGTTAGTGAGCATTTGATTGCCCACAATGCAGAAGGCTTTACTCATGTTATTGATTTGTTGGCAAATATATTGGGTGAAAATCCCCTGATATTGCAGGTAATCATGCATTCCAAGTTTTATTGGATTTGTGAGCCATTTTCCTCTGTCTTTAAACCTGTGATATATTTCTATAAATAGAGCCACCCAGGTATTTAATTTTAAACAAAAACATGACGTAAATATTTTTCATTTGCTATAGTGTATTTAGACCAGTTGTACTTCCATAACCAGCCAAATCTTCACAAAAAGTATTTTGATAAATCCCAGACTGTAGATTCTTACAGCCCACTTCTAATGTTCAGTGTCTGATATTTCACAGAGATAGAAGAATCCTCATTCAAAATTAAAGGCCCAAAGTTGTCAAAATCTAAAGCTTCTAGCATTTACAATTTAGTGATCATGGAATTAGAAATAGAATTTACTTAACCTTTGAAGTGTCCTTGGACATATAGATTAAGTCCACAGAAATGTCAGTCTCTGGACCTTATGGGAGAACCCTGTCTCTCAGGGGGAGACAGTTACTGGGAAAAGAAAAGAAAATGTAACATCACCATAGCATAATCTATTATTGATTAACATTCCACAGTTTCTAAAAAGCTAAGAAATCCAGTTTCATTGTATCATAAATGAAGGGTTTTATAGTAAATCTGTAGTTTAACTGTGGGATACAGAGAGGTAATCCACCAAAAGTCACTTTACTGTAGAAGGCAGCAAATGAGTTTTCTAAACAGCTACCTCATATAATGTATTATCTGGTAAATGTTATTACTAACCTTGACCCCTCTCAACTCTTAAAATTTGTTATTTCATCAGTCCCAGTGAGAGACATAGGCATTATTAAAAATTACTTCTTAGATGTTAAAAATTATAATTGATAGTATTTCCTAACTATATTGAAATTTGTTTACATTAATATTTAAAAATTTGATGTTTACATTATTTTACTTTTTATTCTCTTTGAATCAGGTTCCTTTTAATTCTTTTCTGAACTATAAGATGGGCCTAATGTGGAAAAGATTTTCTTATTTTACCCGACCATATTTAATTTTTAGTATTAAAAATGTCCTTTCTTTAGGCTTTTATAGATTATAAAGGTGAAAGAGCCCTTATCTGAAATGCTTGGGACCAGAAGAGTTCGGATTTTGGACTTTTGGATTTTAAGAATGCTCAACCTGTAGTATACTGGTGACATTTTACTATTTTTTAAAGCAAAGAGAAGGTACCAAAGTAAAATTGTCTTATACAAAGCAAATGATAAAAGATCTTTACTTTCATCATAAATGATGATAGATATCTCTGCCTGCTGCATTGTACTTTTTATAATAAGCTAAGAAATTTTAGAATTTTTTGCTAGGTTTAACTAAAATTTTGTAAGCAGACTTCCACAGTTATGATCTATTGGATAATTGTCAAACATTTAAAAAATTATCAATACTTTTCAAAAATTTTATTTTAATTGACTAAGTAATATATGATTATTGTATGATAATAAAGATGATAATCAATACAACAGCAGATATGTTGGTTGACTGGAAGCAATGTGGTTTAGGAAATTGACTTGAGATCAAGGAATAAGCCAGACTGGTTTAACTGCAGTGCCACAGGTCTTTCAGTGATTGATTGACTAATCACTATGTGACCACATTTTGGCCTTGAAACACACAAAGAGAATTGTTGGAATCCCTGTTTTTAAATAAGAGAGAATTTTTATCATCATTGAAAATAGTAGAGCACTTACTGCTATTGGCAGATAGCTAACAATCATGAGGAGTGATGTAAACAATAAATGATAGAAGAAAAGAAAATAGCATAGTCTTTGATAATATAATTTAGGGACAGAATCAATCAAACTAAATGTCCAGCTTTCTTCTAGCTTTCCTATTAAGTAAGCTAATAGATATATTTATTGCTTAAGCAAATTTTTGTTTGGTTTTCTGATAATTGTGCCTTAAAATTTCCTGATAAGTAGCAAAAGTAAAAATCTCTTTTTCTTATACCTTCTAAACATTCTACACTGAGACAACCAATTTTAACTATTATAAATGATGTCTTTATTTTTTAAATTTCATTATTATTATACTTTAAGTTCTAGGGTACATGTGCACAACATGCAGGTTTGTTACATAGGTATACAGGTGCCATTTTGGTTTGCTGCACCCATCAACTCATCATTTATATTAGGTATTTCTCTTAACGCTATCCCTCCCCCAGCCCCCCAACAGGCTGTGCTGTGTGATGTTCCCCTCCCTGTGTCCATGTGTTCTCATTTTTCAACTCCCACTTATGAGTGAGAACATGTGTTTGTTTTCTGTCCTTCTGATATTTTGCTGAAAATGATGGTTTCCAGCTTCATCCATGTCCCTACAAAGGACATGAACTCATCCTTTTTAATGACTGCATAGTATTTCATATGGTATATATGCCACATTTTCTTTATACAGTCTACTATTGATGGACATTTGGGTTGGTTCCAAGTCTTTGCTATTGTGAATAGTGCTGTAACAAACATATGTGTGCATGTGTCTTCATAGTAGCATATAGCATGATTTATAATCCTATGGGTATATACCCAGTAATGGGATTGCTGGGTCAAATGGTATTTCTAGTTCTAGATCCTTGAGGAATTGCCACACTGTCTTCCACAATGGTTGACCTAATTTACACTCCCATCAACAGTGTAAAAGTGTTCCTATTTTTTCACATCCTCTCCAGCATCTGTTGTTACCTGACTTTTTAATGATCACCATTCTAACTAGTGTGAGATGGTATCTTATTGTGGTTTTGATTTGCATTTCTCTGATGACCAGTGATGATAAGCATTTTTTCATATGTCTGTTGGCTGCATAAATGCCTTCTTTTGAGAAGTGTCTGTTCATATCCTTTGCCCACTTTTCGATGGGGTTGTTTTTTTCTTGTAAATTTAAGTTCTTTGTAGAATCTGGATATTAGCCCTTTGTCAGATGGATAGATTGCAAAAATTTTCTCCCATTCTGTAGGTTGCCTGTTCACTCTGATGATAGTTTCTTTTGCTCTGCAGAAGCTCTTTAGTTTAATTAGATCCCATTTGTCTATTTTGGCTTTTGTTGCCGTTGCTTTTGGTGTTTTAGTCATGAAGTCTTTGTCTATGCCTATGTCCTGAATGGTATTGCCTAGGTTTTCTTCTGTGGTTTTTGGTCTTACATTTAAGTTTTTAATCCATTTTGAGTTAATTTTTGTGTAAGGTGTAAGAAAGCATCCAATTTCAGCTTTCTACATATGGCTAGCCAGTTTTCCCAGCACCATTTATTAAATAGGGAATCCTTTCCCCATTTCTTGTTTTTGTCAGGTTTTTCAAATATTAGATGGTTGTAGATGTGTGGTGTTATTTCTGAGGGCTCTGTTCTGTTCCATTGGTCTATATCTCTGTTTTGGTACCAGTACCATGCTGTTTTGGTTACTGTAGCCTTGTAGTATACTTTGAAGTCAAGTAGCATGATGCGTTCCACTTAGTTCTTTTGGCTTAGGATTGTCTTGGCTATGTGGGCTTTTTTTGGTTCCATATGAAATGTAAATTAGGTTTTGCCAATTGTGTGAAGAAAGTCAGTGGTAGCTTGATGGGGATAGCATTGAGTCTATAAATTACCTTGGGCAGTATGTCCATTTTCATGATATTGATTTTTCCTATCCATGAGCATGGGATGTTATTCCATTTGTTTGTGTCCTTTTTTATTTTGTTGAGCAGTGGCTTGTAGCTGTCCTTTAAGAGGTCCTTCACTTCCCTTTTAAGTTGGATTCCTAGGTGTTTTATTCTCTTTGTAGTAATTGTGAATGGGAGTTCACTCATGTTTTGGCTCTCTGTTCTTGGTGTATAGGAAAGCTTGTGATTTTTGCACATTGATTTTGTATCCTGAGACTTTGCTGAACTTGCGTATCAGCTTAAGGAGATTTTGGGCTAAGATGATGTAGTTTTCTAAATATACAATCATTTCATCTCCAAACAGAAACAGTTTGACTTTCTCTTTTCCTAATTAAATATGCTTTATTTCTTTCTCTTGCCTGATTGCCCTGGCCAGAACTTCCAACACTATGTTGAATAAGAGTGGTGACAGAGGGCATCCTTATCTCTTGCCGGTTTTCAAATTGAATGCTTCCAGTTTTTGCCCATTCAGTGTGATATTGGCTGTGGATTTGTCATAAATAGCTCTTATTATTTTGAGATATGTTCCATCAATACCTAGTTTATTGAGAGTTTTTAGCATGAAAAGCTGTTGAATTTTGTTGAAGGCCTTTTCTGCATCTATTGAGATAATCATGTGGTTTTTGCTGTTGGTTCTGTTTATGTGATGGATTACATTTATTGATTTGCTTATGTTAAAACAGCCTTGCATCCCAAGGATGAAGCTGGCTTGATCATTGGGATAAGCTTTTTGATATGCTGCTGGATTCAGTTTGCCAGTATTTTATTGAGGATTTTTGCAACTATATGATATCTTTCACATCTTGTGTCTACTTATACAAAACAAGGTCTACCTCCATAGATAATAGACAGATAGATGATAGATACTGTATTAGCCTGTTCTCATGCTGCTAATAAAGACATATCTGAGGCTGGGTAATTTATAAAGGAAAGAGGTTTAATTGACTCACACTTCTTCATGGCTGGGGAGGAATCAAAATCATGGTAGAAGGCAAAGGAGGAGCAAAGTCACATCTTACCTGGCGACAGGCAAGAAAGCATATGCAGGGGAGCTCCCCTTTATAAAACCATCAGATCTCATGAGACTTATTCACTATCATGGGAACATTAACAGAAAAGATCCTCCCATGATTCATTTACCTTCCACCAGGTCCCTCCCACAACATGTGGGAATTATGGGAGTTACAATTCAAGATTAGATTTGGGTGGGGACACAGTGAAACCATATCATTCCACCCCTGGCCATTCACAAATCTCATGTCCTCAAATTTCAAAACCAATCATGCCTTCCCAACAGTCCCCAGAAGTTTTGACTCATTTCAGCATTAACTCAAAAGTCCACAGTTTGAAGTCTCATCTAAGACAAGGCAAGTCTCTTCTTCCTATGAGCCTGTAAAATCGAAAGCAAGTTAGTTACTTCCTAGATAAAATGGAGGTACAGGCATTGGGTAAATTCAGCTATTCAAAATGGAAAATGGAAGAAATTGTCCAAAACACAGGGGCTACAGGCCCCAAGAATTTCTGGATTCCAGTGGATCAGTCAAATCTCAAAGCTCTGAAATGATCTCCTTTGACTCCATGTCTTACATCCAGGACACAGTGATGCAAAATGTTGGTCCCCATGATCTTGTGCAGCTCCACCCCTGTGGCTTGCAGGGTACACCTCCCCCTTCCAGATGATTTCACAGACTGTCATTGAGTGTCTGTGGCTTTTCCAGGCAAACAGTGCAGGTTGTCAGTGGATCTATCATCCACCAGTGATAGATCCATCAGTAGATAAGAGATCCACTAACAGCTTGCACCATTTGCCTGGAAAAGCCACAGACATTCAATGCCAGCCAGTGACTCTCTTCTCACACAACTAGGCAGTGCCCCATTGGGGAGTCTGTGTGGGGGTTCCCATCCTACATTTCCCTCCTGCACTCTCTTAGCAGAGGTTCTCCATGAGGGCTCCGTCCCTGAAGCCCTCCTTTGCCTGCACATCCAGGCACTTCTATACTTCCTCTGAAATCTAGGTAGAGGTTCCCAAACCTCGATTCTTGTCTTCTGTGCACCCATAGGTCTAACACCATGTGTAAGCCACTAAGGCTTGGGACTTGCACCCTCAGAAACAACAGCCTGAACTGTATGTTGACCCCTTTTAGCCACAGCCAGCATGCAGGGCACCAAATCCTGACACTGCACAAAGGAGCCAGGTCCTGGGTCTGGCCTACAAAACCATTTTTTCCTCCTAGGTCTCTAGGCCTGGAATGGGAGGATCAGCTGTTAAGACCTCTGACATGCCCTGGAGACATTTTCCCCATTGTCTTGCCAATTAACATTTGGCCCTTCTTTACTTATGCAAATTTCTGCAGCTGGCTTTAATTTCTCTTAAGGAAAATGAGCTTTTCTCTTCTATTGCATTATCAGGCTGTAAATTTTACAGACATTTATGCTTTGCTTTCCTTTTAAATATAAGTTCCCATTCCAAACTATATCTTTGGGAATATACAAAACTGAACCCTTTTGACAGCCCCCAAATTAACTCTTGAATGCTTTGCTGCTTAGAAATTTCTTCCACCAGATACCCTAAGTGGTCTCTCCAGTTCAAAATTCCACAGACTTCTAGGGCAGGGGCAAAATGCTGCCAATCTCTTTGCCAAAGCATAACAAGTGTCACCTTTGCTTCAGTTCCCAATACGTTCCTCATCTGAGACCATGCCAGCCTGGACCTTATTGTTCATATAACTATCAGCATTTTGGTCAAAGCCATTCAACAAGTGTCTAGGAAGTTCCAAACTTTTCCACATTTTCCTATCTTCTTCTGAGCCCTTCAAACTGTTGCAACCTCTGCCTGTTACCCAGTTCCAAAATTGCTTTCAGATTTTCAGGTATCTTTAGAGCAGCACCTACCCTACTGGAAGCAATTTACTGTATTAGTCTGTTCACAGGCTGCTAATAAACACAGCTGAGACTGGGTAATTTATAAAGGAAAGAGGTTTAATTGACTCACAGTTCAACATGGCTGGGGAGGCCTAACAATTATGGCAGAAGGCAAATGAGGAACAAAGTCACATCTAACATGGTGGCAGGCAATATAGCATGTGCAGGGGAGCTCCCCTTAATAAAACTATCAGATCTTGTGATATTTATTCACTATCATAAAAAAATCACTAAAAAGACCTGCCCCATGTTTCAATTACCCTCACTGTGTCCCTGCCAAGAAGTGGGAATTATGGGGGTTACAGTTCAAGATGAACTTTGGGTTGGGACACAGCCAATCCATCTCAGATAGATAGGTAGATAGATAAATGACAGATAGATAGATAGATAGATAGATAGATAGATAGATAGATAATAGATAGAATATTTTTTTAAATATTAAGTATTACATTTTAAAAATAGGATCTTAGTGGTCACAGTGAAAATTTAACAATGTGTTTTCTCACTTAGCAATATAAGATGGCCAATTTTCATGTCATTATACATAATTTTAAAAATTATTTGTAAGGACTGCATAGTATATTATAGGGCAAATGATCTTTTAATTTTTTAACACATTTTCTCATAATGAAAATGTATTTTGAATGATTATTATAAGTACATATATCTTTGAGTGTGAAAATGTTTTTAGTATAAATGTATCACAATAAAAATAATATTGTTCTTCATTTTGATTGTGTTGTTTACCTGTGAAATAATGCTTAAGGAGTTTTGGGTACACCACAGAGCTGGTGTTATAGTTTATATTTAGGTCAGGCCATCTGACTTTAGAGCCAGCACTCTTATGACTTATATTAACTCCTCTCTAGGATTTGGTTTTGAATTGCATTGGATTTATGATTAAACTTTAGGAAGATTTATCTCTCCACTTTTTTATTTCTTTTCTTTGTTTTTTAGAAAAAATATATAGTATTTCTTATTTAAGTGAGTATTTCTTATTAATCACAATGTAATGTATTTTGAATTTGCATTGATGTTTGAAACTGAATGTATTTTATCAGGGGTACCAAGAAAGAATAGTGTAAGGCCAAATATTCCTGGAGTGTCAATTTATTATATAAAGAGTAATCTAAACAGCAGGCCGAGATAGTAGAATGATATATTTGATATGCTATAAGAAAAAAAAACATGCCACTTAAGAATACTATACCTGACAAGGCTGTTCTTCAGAGATATAGACAAGATAATGACTTTGCCAAACAAATAAAAGTTGTGGGGAGTTCATCACCATAGGAAAAGTGTTACAAAAATTGCTGAAGAGAATTCTTCAAATTGAAACCAAATGACATTATGAGAGCACATGAAAGAATTATAACTTAGTGGTTAAGGAAAATATATAGGCAAACACATAATACTCTAATATTTTAATAGTAATGTGTAAATCAGTTTTAACCCTAGTATAAATGCTGAAAGGCAGAAGTATTAAGAATAACTATAACTACAATAATTAACTAATGCACAATATTTTAAAAAGTAATTTTGACATCAATAGCAGAAAGAGTATTGTGTAGGGAGAAGTAAATGTATGGCATTTTTATATGTGAGGGAGGTTAAATTACTATCAGCTTAAAATAGGCTATTGCAAGAAGATTATGTAAACTCTGTGGTACTCAGAAAAATTTATAGTAGATACACAAAAATTAATGTATAGTGGATATGAAAATTAAAAATTAAAATATACCAGTATTAATAAATTATCAACGATAAATTATCAAATTATAAAAGAAAACAAAAAAGAAAGGACAAAACTACAAAGCGGAACATAATCAAAAACATGTCAACAGCAAGTTCTTACCTATCAATATTTACATATTTTTTTGTTCTGTTTTTGGTTTTGAGACGGAGTCTCACTCTGTTGCCCAGGCTGGAGTGCAGTGGCAGGATCTCAGCTCACTACAATCTCTGCCTCCAGGGTTCAAGCAATTCTCCTGCCTCAGCCTCCTGAGTAGCTGGGACTCCAGGCATGTGCCACCACGCCTGGCTAATTTTTTGTATTTTTAGTAGAGACGGGATTTCACTGTGTTAGCCAAGATGGTCTTGATCTCCTGACCTCCTAATCTGCCTGCCTTGGCCTCCCAAAGTGCTGGGATTACAGGCGTGAGCCACCGCGCCCAGCTGTTGTTGTGGTTTTTTTTTTTTGGTTTTTTTTTTTTGAGACAGAGGCTTGTTCTGTCACCCAGTCTGGAGCACAGTGGTGTGATCTCGGCTCACTGAAACCTCCACCTCCTGGGTTAAAGTGATTTTCCTGGCTCAGCCTCCTAAGAAGCTGGGATTACAGGTGCACACCACCACGCCCAGCTAATTGTATTTTTAGTACAGACAGGGTTTCACCATGTTGGCCAACATGGTCTTGAACTTCTGGCCTCAAGTGATCCACCCGCCTCCACTTCCCAAAGTGCTAGGATTACTGGCATGAGCCACCATGCACAGCCTCAACATTTACTTTAAATTTAAATGGATTAAACACTCTAATAAAAAGTTGTAAACTGGCCAAATGGGCACAAAAAACAAGATCCAACTATGTGCTGTCCACAAGACTGGCTTCAGCTTTAAGGACACACATACACTGAAAGTGAAGGAATGGGAAAAGATATTCCATGTAAATCGTAATCAAAACAGAGAAGAAGAGCAGCATGGCTATATTTTTACCCGACAAAATAGACTTAAATCAAAAACTGTTACAAGACAAGGAAAGTTATTATATAATTATAGAAGAGTTAATGAATCAATCAAACATAGCAATTATGAATATATATTCACATACCAACAGAGCACCTATATGCAAAGCATATATTAACAGAAATCAAGAAAGAAATAGCAATACAGTAACACTAGGAGACTTCAATACTCTCAACTATGGATCAATCATTCAGACAGAAAATTAATAAGAAAACAGCAGACTTTAACAATGCTATTGACCAAATGGATGAAACAGATATATGGAACATTCAACATTCCATCCAACAGCAACAGGAGGAAAACTGAAAAATTCAAAAATATGTAGAAATTAAACAACACACTTCTGAGCACCAGTGAGCCAAAGAAGATGCCAAAAGAAAAATTAAAAAAAAAATCTTGAGACAGCTGAAAGTGAAATGAAACATACCAAAACATATAGAATGCAACAGAAGCAGCTCTAAGAGGCAACTTTACAGTGATAAATGCCAACATGAAAAAAGGTCTCAAATAAACAACTTACCTCAAGGAAATAAAAGAAGAACAACTTAAGCCTAAAGAGAAAAAAAAAAAGATTAAAGGAAAGTAAATCAAATAGAAGAGGCAAGGATCCTGAGAAAATGGTAGAGTAGAAAGCACCAAAAATCTTTATCTTCACCCAGACTGCAATTGCACTGGCAAAACCTGTCTACATAACAATTTTATAGGTCTGGTATTTATTTGAAGTATTGAAACTTACAGGGAAAGGCATAGATGGTAAATTGCAGTTAACTTCTGACAATTGTAATTCACAGCAAGGTGTATGTACACAGCCACCAGCCCCTTGGCAGGCAGTTGTGTATGTATTCCTGAAGCAGTTTGCAGGCTGCTTGTGGGAGCCAGGGTGGGCAAAAAGTATCCTGTCCTCCAAAAATATAGGATTTTGTTCAGATTGCTATTTGCTGATGCTTATATTGGAGATGCAAACACAGAGTGGGGCCACCATTCTTGCACCCCTCCTCACACTGTTGCAAGGCCCCTCACCTTGGTCTGAAGCAACTTTCATGAGGTTTAAAAGAGCCAACGGCCCCTTATATTTTTTACTTTTCTTACCTCACTCCCATTTTTCTCTTTTTCTGCATTGGGAACTAGATATTTAAAGTCTAGAACATTAAAAAGCAACCATATATATAGGGAATTTAGAAAGTCACCATGCATGCTCAGGTTCAAAAAAGACCTGAGAAGAAATGAAGTTTATCCCACAGGTTTACATTAGAATAAGAATAGCCTACAAAAAGGAAAGAAAAAAAAAGAAAATGAAAACTGAAAATCAGCAAATCCTGGGACAAAAGGAGAATCTGATTTCCAGATTTACTGCACTATTAAATTCAAATGTCCAGTTTTCACCAAAGAAAATGACATGAGATATACAAAGAAACAGGAAAATATAGTCTATTCAAAAATAAATAAATAAATAAACCAGAAACTGTCCCTGAGAAAGACTAGGTGGCACATTTGCTAGATAAATAATTTAAAGCAACCGTCTAAAAAATGCTCAGCAATCTAAAGGAATATGTGGAGAATGTCCAAAAATAATGTATAAAAATAAAAATATTAATAAAAATACATGAATTTTAAAAGAAAATTTAAAAACCTGGAGCTGAAAAGTATAATAACTGAAATAAAAAAAATCCTGAGAGGGATTCAAAGGCAGATTTGAACACACAGAAAAAATAATACGTAAAGTTGAAAATAAGGCTATTGAAATTATTGATTCTGAGGAACAGAATGAAAAATATTGAAGAAAAGTGAACAGAGTCAAGTATCCTGTGATAGACCATCCAGCAGACAAACGTACATCTTTTGGAAATCCCAGAAGGAAAAGAGGAAAAGAAACGGCTATAGAGAATTTCTGAAGAAATAATAGCTGAAAACTTCCCAAATATGATGAAAGACATAAATATAAACTTCTGAGAAGCTCAACAAACTTTTAGAAGTAGGATGAACACAAAGAGACTGACATCAACCTGTCAAAAAACAGAGAATCTTGAAAACAGTAAGAGAGAAATGACTCATCACATTTAAGTGATCCTCAATAAAATTATCAGATATTTTCTCGTCAGAAATTTTGTAGGCCAGAAGGCAGTATGCTGATGTATTAAAACAGAAAGAAAAAATTGTCAACCAAAAATTCTATACTTATGAAAACCATAATTCAAAAAGTTCAAGAGGAACTCTAACTTCCCAGATAAACAAAAGTTCATTACTGTGAGACTTTTCTTACAAGGCATGCTAAAAAGTTGAAATGGAAGGACACTAGACAGCAACATGAAGAAGGTCTTAGTAGTGGCAAATATATTAGAAATTATAAAAGTTAGTATTATTTTAACTTTGATTTGTTACTCCAGTTTTTTATTCTGTATTATTTAGGAGATAGACATTTTTTAAAAACTATCATTAGTTTAAAACCTAGTATTACTATAACTTTCATTTGTGAATCAACATTTTGTTTTCTACATTATTTAAGAGATTAATACATAAAACATCATCAGTTTCTGTTTTTGGATACACAGTATATAAGTATATAATTTTACAATATCAGTCTTTAAAAGGAAGTAGAGATGGAGCTGAATAGAAGCAGATTGTTTGTATTGCTATTGAAGTTAACTTGTTGTGAATTCAAATTGGAGTGTTATAACATTTGGATGTTAAATGTAATCACCATGGTAACCACAAAGAAAGTAACAATAGAATATTCACAAAAGAAAATGAGAAAGGAATTAAAACATTTCACTGCAAAAAAATCAACTAAACACAAAAAAGGACAGTAATGCATAAAATGAGGGACAAAAACAGCTATAAGGCATACATAAAACACAGAAAAAATGATAGTAATAAGTTATTACTTATCAATACTTTTAATGTATATGGAATAAAAAATTAGTCACATAATAAAGATTGGAAGAGTAGATTAAAAAAAAAAAACATGATCCAGTTATATTTCTGTCTACAAGAAGCTAACAATTCTAGAGAAACAAATAGGTCAAAAGTAAAGGATTTAAAAATATATTTAACTCAAATAGTAACTAGAAAAGAGTATGGTTGTCTCTATATGCCAGTCACAAATGCAAAAATACTGTACAATTTC
Source organism: Homo sapiens (assembly GCF_000001405.40). Taxonomy (NCBI): domain Eukaryota; kingdom Metazoa; phylum Chordata; class Mammalia; order Primates; family Hominidae; genus Homo; species Homo sapiens. The sequence goes on along the minus strand of NC_000001.11, from coordinate 103,828,536 downwards.
ACAATTTCACTTTTATGGAATCTGTCCTAAATTTATCGGAACAGAAAATAAGATGGTACCTGCCAGGGGTTGGAGGGGAGAGGGAATAGAGAGTTATTGTTTACTAGATATAGAATTTCAGCTTTTCTAGATGAAAAAATATCTGGAGATAAATGGTGGTAATGGGTGGCACAACAATATGAATGTAGTTAGTACCACTGAATTGTAAACTTAACAATGATTAAGTTGGTAAATTTTATGTTGTGTATATTTTACCTCAATAAAAAAAGTGTTACAAAGGAAAAAAATGAAAATAAAAAAATAATATCTAATATCAATTAAACCAAGAGTTGATTTTTACAAGATAAATAAAATTGAAAACCTTTAGCTAGGCTACGAATAAAAAAGAGGACTTAAATAAAATTAGAGATGAAAGAAGAGACAGTACAACTGATGTCACAGAAATACAAAGGATTGTAAGAAAATATTATGAACATTTATACACCAATGATGACCTAGAATATTTAAATATATTTCTAGAAACATACAACTTATCTAGACTTAATAATAAAGAAATAAAAAAGCAGAACAGACAAATAACAAAGAGACTGAAACAGTAATCAACAATTTCCTGCCAAGAAAAACCTAGCACTAAATGACTTCCTTGTGTATTCTACCAAATTTTAAAGAAGAATTAACAGCAATTCTTCTTAAATCCTTCCAAAAAATTGAAGAGTAGTGAACACTTCTAAAATCATTTTATTATGCCAGCATTACCCTGACACCAAAGCTAAACTAGGTCACTACAAGAAAAGAAAATTACATGCCAATATCCCTGATGAAAATGTAGTATATCTAGACATATCACTAAAATTCAAAGTTCACATAAAATTTCTCAATAGAAAGCAAAGGTATTTTGTGTCTGTATACTAGCTAGCTATTGGCTAAAAAAAATTATCCAAAATTTGGAGCTTAAAATTACAAGAATGTGTCATCAATTCAGTTTCTGAGGATCCTGGGAGTAGCTTAGTTGGCTAATTTATCTCAAATTTCTTAAAAAGATGTAGTCAAGTTGTCAACTGGGGTTACAATCATTTAGGGTTGATTAATTCTCTTTCAAGTTTATTTCACATAGCCTCTGGCAGGAAGCTTTAGTTTCCAACCAGATGGCCATGTTTTATAATGAAAGAGAGTGAGACTGAGAGAGAGAGAGAGAGAGAGTGAGACTGAGAGAGAGAGAGAGAGAGAGAGAGAGAGAGAGAGAGAGAGAAATGCCCAGAAAGGACATCATGGAGTCTTTTAAAACATAACCTCAAAAGTGATAGTCTATCACTTCCAGTGTATCTATTGCTTACAAAGACCAGCCTTGGTACAGTGTGGGTGGGAACGACACAAAGGTGTGAAAACCGTAAGATGGGAATCTTTGGGGCCCATGTTGGAGACTGGCTACCTCAGTCATAGAAGACTTCTAGATATGTGTACATCCCCTTCTGCTATTTGCGTACCAAAGAGGAAAAGTATAGCAGTTCAGACTAGACTGCAAATCACTAAAAATCACATGAAGAAAAACTCTAAAAGAAAATTAAACTGTCTTCAACATTTCAGATCAGAAGAACTCCAGATGAATGTCACCATATGTATAATCTCACCTACATGACATGGAATAGTAAAACTATCCAGTTGAGCCCAATCAACAAAGAGAATTACCAAAAATTAATTGATGTTATTTTAAGTCAATAAAGTTTGAAGTTCCATCTTATGTGGCAATAGATAACTGCAACAAAGTTATTTTTATTAATACATAAAATTTTACATATTTAGGAGATGCATGTAATATTTTGGTGCTTACATAAAATTGTAATGATCAAGTCATGGTACTTGAAGTGTACATCACTTGGGTATTTGCCATTTCTATGTGTTGGAAACAATTCAGGCCCAGTCTTCTGGCTACTTTGAAATATAAAATATATTGCTGTTAACTAAAGTCACACTACTCTGCTATCAAACCATAGAATTTACATCTTTTATCCAGCTATATGTTTGCACCAATTAAGTGACCTCTCTTTATCCCCTCCCCAACTCTCCCATTTTTACCAGCCTCTAGTATCTATCATTCTACTTTGTACTTTTGCGAGATGAATATTTTTAGTGCCCATAAATGAGACTATATATTTGCCTTTTTGTGCCTGAGTTATCACACTTAACATAATGACCTTCAGTTCCATCCAACTTGATGGAAATGACATTATTTCATTCCTTTTTATTGCTGAATGGCATTCAAATCTGTATGTATGCCTCATATTCTTTATCCATTTATCCATAGACAGACACTTGATTTCATAGCTTTGCTACTATGAATAGCGCTGCAATAAAAAAATGAATGCAGGTATCCCTTTGATATACTGATTTCTTTTTCTTCGAATAAATACCCAGTAGTGAGATGGCTGGATCATATGGTAGTTCTGTTTTTAGTTTTTCGAGAAATCTTCATACTGTTTTCTATAGTGCTGTAATAATTTACATTCCCACCAACAGTGCATAAGAGTTCTCTTTTCTCCACATCCTTGCCTTGCATCTTTTGTTTATTTTTGTCTTTTTAACAATAGCCATTCTAACTTAGGTCTGATGATATCTTGTTGTGGTTTTGATTTTGATTTCATTTATGATTAGTGATGTTAAGCATTTTTCTTATACATGTTGGCCATTTGTATGTCATTTTGGAAAAATGACTATTCATGTTCTTTGCTCACTTTTTAAATGTATTTTTTATTGTTGAGTTGAGTACCTTATATATTCTGAATATTAGTCCAATGTCAGATGAATAATTTGCAAATCTTTTCTTTAATTTAACAGGTTGTCTCTTCTCTCTGTTGATTCCTTTGCCAAGCAGAATATTTTCATTTTAGTCCAAGTAGTCTATTTTTGCTTCAGTTATCTGTCCTTTTGAGATCTTAGCTGTAAAATCTTTACCTAGACCAAAGCCCTGAAGTGTTTTCCCTATGTTTTTTTGTAGTGGTTTAGAGTTTAAGATTTTATATAGTTTTAAGGCTTTATTCCATCTTCTGTTAATCTTTTGTATATGGTGAGATATAGAGGTCCTGTTTCATTCTTCCGCATATAGATATCCAATTTTTCTGAAATATTTATTGAAAAGGGTGTCCTTTCCCACTATAAGTTATTGGCAACCTTGTTCAAATCTGTTGGCTGTAAACATGTGGATTTATTTCTGGGTTCTCTATTCTGTTTGATTGTCCTATGTGTTTACTTTTATATCAGCACCACGCTATTTTGCTTACTATAGCCTTTTAATACATTTTGAAGTCAGCTAATGTGATGCCTTCAGTTTTGATTTTTTGCTCAGGATTACTTTGACTGGGGTTCCTTTATATTTTAATTTTTTGACCATACAAATGTTAGAATTGTTTGCTGTATTTCTGTGAAAAATGACATTGGTTTTTTGATAGGGATTGCATTTAATCTATAGTTTGCTTTGCATAATATGGTCCTTTTTAATAATAATTATTCCGATACGTGAGCATGTCTTTTCATTTGTTTGTATTCTCTGCAATTTATTTCATTAGTGTCTTGTAGTTCCCCTTGTAGAGATCTTCCACCTCCTTGGTTAAATTTATTCCTAGGATTTTTTTATTGTTGTTTGCTCATTTGTCGGTTTCTTTTTGTAGTTATTGTAAATAAAATTGCCTTTTTGATTTTGTTTTTGGCTATTTTATCATTGGCGATTAGAAATGCTACTAATTTTTCATATGTTGATTTTGTATCCTGCAACTTTATTAAATTTATTTATCAGCTCTAAAAGGTTTTTAGTGCAGTTATTGGTTTTTCTAAATATAACTTTTTGTTATCTTCAAAGAGGAAAAAGTTGACTTTCTATTTTTAAATATGGATGACTTTTATTTATTTCTCTTTCCAATTTGTTCTGTCTAGGACTTCCAGTACTATGTTGAATGAGATAGGTGAAAGTGGGTTTTTATGTCTTCCAGTTCTAAGAGAAAAGGCTTTCAACTATTTTCCATTAATTATGATGTTAGCTGTAGACTTGTCCTATATGACTTTTCTTGTTTTGAAATATGCCCCTTCCATATCCAATATGTTGATAATTTTTATAATGAAGGGGTGTTTGATCTTATAAAATGCATTTCTTATTTCTATTGAGATGATCATATGATTGTTGTCCTTCATTCTGTTGATGTGATGTATCATACATTGATTTGCATATATTGAACCAACCTTGCATCAGTGGAATAAATAGCACTTGATTATGGTGTATTATCTTTTTGATATCTTGTTGAATTCAAATTTCTAGTATTTGTTAATGATTTTTGAATGTATGTTCAACAGGAATATTGGCCTATATTTTTGTTGTTGTTTTTCTGTCCTAGTCTGGTTTTGATAGAGCATATAGTTTTTTGTGACCGTCTCTGATGATCTTTTGTATTTCTGTGGTATTAGGTGTATTGCTCCCCGGTTTTTTTTCTGATTTTGTTTATTTGGGTCTTACATTTGTATTTTCTTGGTTAGTTGAGGTAGTAGATTATCAATTTTTTCATCTTTTTGAAGAATCTATTTTTAATTTCATCCATTCTTTGTAAATTTTGGTGTTTTTACACTTAGTCATTTTCTGATCTTATTATTTCATTTTTCTGCTAATTCTGGGTTTGGTTTGTTCTTGCTTTCCTAGTCTCTTGAGTTACATCATTGGATTATTTAAATATTTCTGCTTTTCGATGTAGGCCATTATTGCTATAAACTTCCCTCGTATTGGTGTTTTTGCTGTAGCCCATGGGTTCTGGTACATTGTGTTTCCATTTCATTTGTTTTAACAAGCATTTTTTTAAAAATTTCTGTCTGAATTTCTTCATTGGCTCAATGGTCATTCAGCAATATGTTGATTAATTTTTATTCATTTGCATGGTTTCTAAAGCTTCATTACTGATTTCTAGTTTTATTCCATATTGGTCTGAAAAGATGCTTGACATTATGTCAATTTTTTAAAACTGGCGAGACTTGTTTTGTGGCCTGGAATATATCTATCCTAGAGAATGTTTCATGTGCTGATGAGAAAGATGTGCATTCTGCATTTGTTGAATAAAATGTTTTATAAATGCCTATTAAGGCCATTTGCTTTAAAGTCCAGTTTAAGTCCAATATTTCTTTGTTGATCTTCTGCCTAGAAAAAACTGTCTAATGCTGAAAGTGGGGTGTTGAAATCCCCCACTATTATTGTGTTGGTGCCTGTCTGTCTTTATAGACCTAGTAATATTGGCTTTATGAATCTGGATCATCCAGTGTTGGGTGCATATATATTTAGACATTTTTTCTAACTGAATTGACCCCTTTATCACTATATAATGAACTTATTAATCTTTTTATTGTTTTTGACTTAAAGTATGTTTTATCTGATATAAGTATAGCTATTCCTGCTCAATATTTTTAATTTTTAAAATTTTATTTTTTGTGGGTATATAGTAGTTATATATATTTATGGGGAACATAAGATTTTTTGATACAGGCATGCAATGCATAATAATAACATGGAAAACTGTGTGTCTATTTCCTCAAACATTTATCTTTTGTGTTACAAATAATCCAATTACATATTTTTGAATATTTTTGAATTTACAATTAATAGTGTCCTTTTTGTGCTATCAAATAGTAGGTCTCATTCATTCTTTCTATTTTTTTTCTACCCATTAAGCATCCTCTCCTCCCCCTCATCTTCATACTCTCCATTCTGGTATGGTAACAATTCCTCTACTCTCTATGTCCAAGAGTTCAATCATTCTGATTTTTAGATCCCAAAATATAAGTGAGAACATGTGATGTTTGTCTTTCTGTGCCTGGCTTATTTCACTTAATATAATGATCTCCAATTCTATCCATGCTGTTGCAAATAACAGGATCTCATTCTTTGTATGGCTGAATAGTACTCCATTCTTTATATGTACCATATTTTATCTATTCATCTGTTCATGGACACTTAGATTACTTCAAAATCTTAGTTATTGTTAACAGAGCTGCAATAAACATGGGAGTGCAGATATCTCTGATATACTCATTGCGATCCTTTTGAGTGTTTACCCAACAGTGAAATTGCTGGAATATAATGCAGCTCTATTTTCAGTCTTTTAGAAATCTTATCTTTTGTTTTTTTTTATCAGATTATTATATTTTTTTCCCTATAGAGTTCTTTGAGCTCCTTATATAGTCTGATCGTTAATCCCTTGTGAGATGGAAAATTTGATAATTTTTCTTTTATTCTTTGGTTGTCTCTTCACTTTCTCGATTGTTTCCTTTGTTTTGCAGAAGCTTTTTAACTTGATGTTATCCCACTTGCCCATTTTCACTTTGGTTGCCTGTGCTTGTGGGGTATTGGTCAAGAAATTTTTGTCCAGACTAATGTCCTGGAGAGTTTCCCCAGTGGTTTCTTATAGTGGTTTTATAGCTTGAGGTCTTAGACTTAAGGCCTTTGATTTTTGTGTATGACAAGAAAGAGAAGTGTAGTTTCATCCTTCTTCATATGGATATCCAATTTTCCCAGCACCATGTATTAAAGACACTGTCTTTTCCCCAGTGTATGTTCTGTGTATTTTAGTCAACAATGATTTTACTGTAGGTGTGTGGATTTATTTCTGGTTTCTCTATTCTGTTACATTGCTTGATATGTCTGTTTTTATGCCAGTATCATGCTGTTTTGTTTACTATAGCTCTGTAGTATAACTTGAAGTCAGGTAATCCCTTCAGTTTTGCTCTTTTGCTCAGGATAGCTTTGGCTATTCTGAGTCTTCTGTGGTTCCATATAAATTTTAGGATTGTTTTTCTATTTCTCTGAGGAAGGTCACTTGTATTTTGATAGGGATTGTGTTAAATCTGTAGATTGCTTTGGGTAATATAAACAATTTAATGACATAGACTCTCCCAATTCATGAACATAGAATATCTTTCCATTTTTAGTGTCCTTTTCAATGTCTTACATCAATTTTTTATAGTTATTATGATATAGCTCTTCTACTTCTTTTGGTTAATTCCTAGGTATTTAATTTTATGTGTGGCTATTGTAAATGAGATTATTGTTTTATTTCTTTTTCATGTCGTTCACTGTTGGCCTAGTGATTTTTGTCTGTTAATTTTTTATCCTTCAAATTTACTGAATTTGTGTATCAGTTCCAACAGTTTTTTTTTGTGGAGTCCTTAAGTTTTTCTAAATTTAAGATCATACCATCTGCAAACAAGAATAATTTGACTTTTTCCTTTCCAATTTATATGCCTTTTATTTCTTTCTCTTGTGTGATTGTTCTAGCTAGGACTTCCAGCACTATGTAATAACAGTGTTGATAGTGGGCATCCTCGTTGTGTTTCAGATCTTAGAGAAAGGGCTTCTAGTTTTTCCTCATTCAGTATAATACTAGCTGTGGGTCTGTCATATATGACTTTTATTATGTTTAGGTTTGATCCTTCTATGCCTAGTTTTTTAAAAGTTTTTTATGAAGAGATGTTGATTTTATCAAATGCTTTTTCAGCATTAATTGAAATTATCACATGGTTTTGTCCTTTAGTCTGTTGCTATGATGTATCACATGGATTGATTTGCAGATGTCGAACCATCTTTGCATCCCTGGGATAAATCCCACTTCATCATGATGAATTACCTTTCTAATGTGTGTTGGTTTGCTAGTATTTTGTTGAGGATATCTGCATCAATATTCATCTAGGATATTGGCCTGTAGTTTTCTTTTTTGATGCGTCTTTTTCTGGTTTTGGTATCAGGGTAATACTAGTTTTTAGAATAAGTTTGGAAGTATTCCCCTCTCCTCTATTTTTTTGGAATAGTTTGGGAAAGATTGATAACTAGTTTTTCTTTAAATGTTTGGTAGAATTCAGCAGAAGAGCCTTTGGGTCCCAGACTTTTCTTTACTGGAGACTTTTTATTACAGCTTCAATTATGTTACTTGTTATTGGTCTGCTCAGGTTTTGGATTTCTACGCAGTTCAATCTTGATAGGTTGTATGTGTCTATGAATTTGTCTATTTTTCTGTATTTTACAATTTATTGGTATATAATGGCTCATGGTATCCACTAATGATCTTCTTAATTTCTGCAGTATCAGTTGTAATGTTTCCTTTTTTATTTCTGAATTTATTTACTTGGATCATATCTCTTTTTTTCTTAGTCTAGGTAAAGGTTTGTCAATTTGTGTTAACTAATATTTCTTTGTTGATTATCTATCTCGAAGATCTTTCCAATGTTGAAAATATGATGTTGAATTCTCCCTGATCACTTTTAGTTTACGTTTGAGTGAAATATTTGTTTTACATTCCTTTATTTTCAGCTTATACATGTCTTTACAGATAAAATGTGATAGGCAGCATATAGTTGGATTTTGTTTTTATTCTTTCATACAGTCTACATCTTTTAAGTAAATATTTAAATCAATTTGTAATCTAGGTTATTAATATGTGAAGTTTTGTTAATTATTTTCTGGTTGTTTTATATATTCTTTATTTGTTCTTCCCCCCTCTTATATGTCATTATGCTTTTGTGGTTATCTGTAGTGGTACAATTTAAGTCCTTTCTCTTTCTCATTTGTATTTTAGCTTTACAGTTGAGTTTTATCCTTTTGTGTGTTTTCGTGATGGTAAATGTCATTCTTCCTTGCCCAGGTTTAGAACTCCATAGAGCATTTCTTCGTTGTGAGCCTAATGCTGACAAATTTCCTCAGCTTTTGCTTCTCATAAAAATACTTTATTTCTTCTTCATTTATGAAAGATAATTTTGCTCAATATGGTATATTTGTTGGACTTTTCTTCTTTCAGAACTTTGAACATGTCATTTTAATTCTCTTCTGGCCTGTAAGATTTCAGCTGAGAAATCTGCTGTTAGTCTGATGGGGTTCTCATAGGTAACTAGACACTTTACTTTCTCCGTCTTTAGAACTGTGTCTTTGTCATTGACCTTAGATTATTCTGACTGTAACAGTGAATGAAAAATACTTTTTTTCATTGAAGATATTTGTGAATCTCTGGCCTCCTCTATCTGCATATCTAAATTTCTTTTTCATTTCTTTTCTTTTTTTTTTTTTTTTGACAGAGTTTCACTCTTGTTGCCCAGGCTAGAGGGTAATGGTGCAATCTTGGCTCACCGCAACCTCTGCCTCCCAGGTTCAAGTAATTCTCCTGCCTCAGCCTCCCGAGTAGCTGGGATTACAGGCATGCACCTCCATGCCTGGCTAATTTTTTGTTTTTTTAGTAGAGACGGGGTTTCTACATGTTGGTCAGGCTGGTCTTGAACTCCTGACCTCAGGTAATATGCCCTCCTTGGCCTCCCAAAGTGCTGGGATTACAGGCGTGAGCCACCACACCCAGGGGTTATGATTGTTCTTTCTGTCTCCTGGCCATGCATATCTAAATTTCTTGTTAGACTTGGAATATTTTCATCTATTACTTTGTTGAATAGATGGTCTGGCCAGTTGTTGTTGCCCATGCCTGTAATCCTTGCATTTTGGGTGGCCAAGGTGGGAGGATCACTTCGTCAAAAGTTTGATCCCAGCCTGGGCAACATAGTGAAACTTTATGTCTACAAAAGCTAAACAAAATTAGCTGGCTGTGATCGTGTGTGCCTGTAGTCCTATCTATTCAGGTGGCTGAGGTAGGACGATCACTTGAGCACAGGAAGTTGAGGCTGCAGTGAGCTGAGATTGCACCATTGCACTCCAGCCTGGGTGACAGAGCAAGACTCTGTCTTAAAAAAAAAAAAAAAAAAAAAGAAAGAAAGAAAGAAAAAGAGAAAAGAAAAGAAAAGAAAATGTGTTTAAATCCTTTTGCTCTCCTTCACCTTCAGAGATACTGGAAATTCATATATTTGTTCACTTAATGGTGTCCCCTGTATCATTTTATCATAAAGGTTTTATTTTTAAATTATTTTTGATTAATATTTAATCTGACTAGGTCATTTCAAAAATCTGTCTCCAAGTTCTGAGCTTCTTTCTTTTGTTAATCTAGTTTATTGTTGAAGCTTTTAAATATGTTGTATACTTCATTCAATGAATTCTTCAGTTCTAGAATTTCAATTTGGTTATTTTTAGGTTATTTTCCTCTTTGGCAAATTTTTTATTCATATTCTGAATTGCTTTCCTAATTTCTTTTTTTTATTTCTCTTTTATCCTACTGAGCTTCTTTAGAATCAATAATTTGAATTTTTTTATTGGGATCTATTCTGGATAATTATTGTGTTCCTATGGGGGTGTCATATTTTCTCTTTCTCAGGTTTCATGTGTCTTTATTGATATCCATGCATCTGGTGTATCAGTCATTTCTTCTAATTTTTAAAATTTGCTTTAATAGGGAGGACTGTTTTATGAGGATGAATTCATGGTGTTTGTTAATTGATTAGGGTACTTTAACTTTGATTCTGAATGTGTGCAGTAGTGTGGTCTCTGTATAATTTCTTTGGCTATAAACAGCATCATTTATATCTGAGATTTTCTCAGTGGTTAGGGTGCAGATATTCATTGAGGCTGTGGTGCAGTCTTTCTGGAAATAAGGACACCCAGTTGGCCAGTCTCTGGGCCCCAGTGCTGGCAGTGAAGTGCTGAGTGTGCATGTCACTGGGACCTAAGATGGTGTACACTGGCACTAGTGTTAGTGGGTGCAGGTAAACCAAATTTGGGGCCTCCCAGTGGCTTGCTTGGATGCTAGTAGTGATAGCCCTGGCCCAGGGAGGTACTCAGGTTCTCAGGCTCCCGGGCAGTTGATACGTCATGAACAATGGCACTGGTCCTGGCAGGATAGCACTCTGGGTCCCAAGAAGTGCATGCTAGTGTTGGCAAGGACTGTGATGGGCTGAGTGTGCCAGTCCCCAGGTCCGCAGGTGACATACACAGGTGCCAGCTGTGGTGGTAGCAGCTGGGTGATTATGCAAAACCTCAGGCCCCTGGGAGAAGTGTTTAGTTGCCAATGTTGGTGGACAGAGCTGGACAATGTTCTTGCTCCTGGACTACATGTTCTGGCATGGGGAGAGGGGTAAAGTTAGGCTGAGTTGGCTTGCACTCAGGCCCCCCAGTGGTGTGTATAGTTGCTGGCCTTGGTAGGGAGGGGTGGTTCTTTCCCCAGGCCACCAGCACAATGCTCAAATTGGGTGTGGCAGGGGCTGTGCTGCTGCCTTGCCACTGGGGTGAGGGTGGTGGTGGTAACACTTTTACTGATGGCAGCTTTGGCCAGTGGATGGGGAGTGCACATGTCACTCACATCTCAATCCCAGCAGCACTTTTGTCTCAGTTCTGGGTGTGATAGCCTACAGTTGCTCACTCCTAAATCCTAGGGTCAGCAGCCAGCTCTTCCCTCTTGTTTTCTCAGCAGCCAACATGGCAGAATCCAGCTCTGCTCCTGTCCCTCAGCCCCAGCACTGCAGAGCTCCAGGATAGCATGCAGTCTGCTCTGTTGGGGATGGGGCTCTATGATGGTGTCTTGCTCTCTCTCTCTCTCTCTCTCTCTCTCTCTCTCTCTCTCTATATATATATATATATATATATATACACATATATATATATATATATATATATATACACACACATATATATATATATCCCAAGTGGTGGCCCACATACTTGGTTTTGCCTCTGCATCATGTGCATTAACCCACTGTTGCTCATGCCTAAGTCAAAGGGGCAGCATCCATGGCTTATCTTGGGCCTCCACCCCAGCATTGCTGAGCTCCAGGACAATGGACAGTCTTTTGTGAGTGGGGTTCTAGAATGGCACTCCACTGACACCTGAGTCTTAAAAGCAGCAGGCTGTGCTTTGCTCATGCCTCCACTCTGGGTGTGGGGCCTGTGGTTGCTCACTCCTAAGCCCTGGAGACAACAGCCCATGTTTCTCTTACACCTTGGTCCAAGCACCACTGGGCTGCAGGGCAGTGTGCAGTCTGTTGGAGGTGAAGCTCTAAAATGGTGCTGTACTATAGCTGCTAAGGTCTCAAGGATTGTAAGAGGCCCAGTGCAATCTTTTTCCCTGGGGTAGTGTTGTTGTACAATCTCCCGGCAGCTCACTATGTAGTTTCAGGAACCATGAGGGTTGAGGGACTCTCTCATGGCTAAGATTGCAGAAGTCTACAGTGAGAATGTGGGCTTATGAGGGTCTTTCACTGACCCTTTTCCAATGTTAGGTAGTTTCTCTTGATTCGCAGCTGATCCTAGCCACGCAGGCTACTTTGCTTCTTTCTCCATCCTTTCTTTAGGTATAGCCTGTCACTTTTCTGTTTAATTCCAGTGTTCTCTCTTAGATGAGCCATTCAAAATGTGGTTACCTACTTGTTATTTTGGTTCTTCTTAGTGGAGGAAGCAAGTACAAAACGCCCCTAGTCAGTCACCTTGAAGCCTCCACCAACTCCAAAAATTTATTTTGAACAAGATTCCTTACATAAAGTCTTGTGATATATTACCCTAAATTGCTTTTAAGAAGTCTAATTAAATAAAAAAAAATCCTTTTGTTTTTCCTGCTAAGGTATAAGAAAGAGCAAGTGCAATTCTTGGTGACCTAAGCAGAATTTTCCGGAGCTTTCTTTATAAAGAAATTATAGATAAATGGAGTATCTGACATGCAATTTTTTTGCTAGATTTGCAAATAAATTGTGACCTGTTTACCTAATAGAAGTAATCATCACAATACTGACAACGGTGAGGGAATTTTAGTTAACTAACAAAATGAGCCAGGCATCTTGCAAAAATATATATGTGCTTGACAAATTTTAATCATTTTCAGTTTACATTGTATCATCACTTTATAAAAATATTATTAGGAATGTATTATACATTTCTTATTTATAAGAAATTTGTTGTTTGAATATCATAGGGTAACAAGGAAATGTTGAAAATAATATTAAAAAGACAAAAACGCATATTTTAAAATTTACATTAATTTTACTTTAAAGAGAGTAAAAAACATTGAAAGATTATGATCTTACATTATCAAGTTGACATTCAATTTCAAATCAACTCATTTTTAACAGAAGAGTTAGTTGAACTGTTCTAGTTTATATGTTGGTATAATGTAGTAATACATTCCAGACAAAAAGATGATCTTTGAAAAACACATCAGTTTAGCAAAAATCCCTGGAATATTTTATTTTCCAAGTCTGTAAAATAATGTAACCATCCATAATGTGATATTCAGAAAATGTTTTCCACACATCCCAAAACAGGTCTCTAAGGAGTCTAGTAAAGTGTTGCTTAAATAAAACACTTTTAAGATTTAATATTTCAAGTTAGTATTTATAAATATAAACATAATCAGTTTAAATTATTAATAATAAAATAATTATACTTGGCTATTGACATAAATTCTTTTGTTGCCTGCTGCTGCTTTCAAAAACTCAAGTGATTTGTGTTTAATTCACCTTCTAATCCCAAATAATTTATTCTTTACAGAAATATAAATAAAAATTGTTGGATCGGTTAAACGAGAACAGAATATCTTGAAAAATCTTATTCTGAACAAAGCATCAATGGATATGCTTTGTGTATATCTGAATGCGTTAAATTTGTGATATATTTAGATGTTTGCATTTTTATTGCTAAAATGAGACTAACAGTGCCTGTTCTATAAATACCTGTTAGCAAATAAGAGAAGTAAAAGAGTTTGTATACCACAAAAATTTATTGTTCTTCAAATGTAAAATGTTATTGCCATTATGAATGATAAAATTCCCTAGTAGCTATTCCAAGATGTTAGTTATTTGAAAATTTAAAAGCCTCTTATCTTTCTCTGATCATCCAAAAGTAGCAAACAAATCATTTTCTCTTATGTGGCAGTTCACTTTTTTATTAAAAAAGAGGGAGACAGTATTATATTAAAAAGGAAAAGTCAGGGTCTTTAATTCAGAGAGCTATGACACATTAATCTTGGGAAAGTTTTCCACCCTTTTGAAGCTCATTGGATGTAAACAAAAATAAACATAAAGATAATGCATATACATCACATAACCAGCACCTGCTACAGAGTTTACTCAACAACTGTAAACACTTGTTATTCTCTTTTGTCCTTCCACATGAGATTTTGAGGTTGTATTTTATGGTTGTGTTTAACCACATTTTGAGGTTCATCTAGTACCCCCAGGTGGACTACTTATTCCCATAATAGTAACACTGGAGACCCTTAGGCTTCATTACATATATTTTCAAGTCATTAACTCAACTCCTACTAGTTCCTCAGGACTCAACAGCTTTTCTCTTAGCCTTCCTAACTCCCAAGGCTGGGCTAAGTTTCCTGTATATCTCACTTCATTTTCTGTATATTCCTAGGAGAGCAATTCCAATAATGCATCGTAATTGCCTGTTTTTTTCCTCAACTATAAATTTTTACATCTTATGCAAGACTGCACCTCAATGCCCAGCACAGTGCCAAGCACAGAGAAATACATACTTGCTCGATGTGTGGACTAGTAAGATTATTTTATCAAGGCTGTTTGTATCTCTGCATAAACTCTAACTCTGCTTCTCTCATTTAAAAACTGACAGTCTGTGTACCAGGCAAATTTATCCAATCTACTTTTTTGTATAATCCTGCCTGATGTGGTCAGGGCTTCTTTGGATAAATTCTAGTCTGCTTATGTTTGATTCTGATATCAAGGTTTACTAGCTGTGAAAATTTGGGGAAGTTACTTCACCTCTTTGTGTATGACTTTCCTACAGTCATACTCTATGTTATAACAGCTAATCAGAGGATTCTGTGAAAACAAATGTCTACATGAGCATTTACTTAGGATATTGCCTGGTGCATAGACTTGCTATATTTACTCCCACATCCTCTTCCAACAACACTGATCTTAGTCCAAATTAAATGTAAGCAGAAATATTCTACAATTGATGACTTTGTTTTATTTATAAGTCATTCAATCCTAAAGTTTAGACATGGGATATATTTTGACAAGAGTGTAATAGATATAGCTTTTCTTGTGTGTGTGTCTGTGTGTGTTTATAGGTTTATGCTTTTCAATCAAGAATGTGGAAAATAGCATATATATGTTGAAAGCTAGAATTTCCTAGTAGCAAAACTATAGTTACAGAAAGCTTCTAACAAGCTGATAAAGTTTTGTTTTGAACAAACTGATATAGTACAGAAATATTAAAGAAGTATCTATTTTTAATGCATGCTTTATGTAAATCATTCCACTGAATTTAATCTATCATAAATACTTCTATTAATTTCACTCTTGAGTTGTTATGAGGGTCAATATCTTTTGTGGAATTATTATGGTATGATGATTATGACTTTGTTTGCTACTTTTTCTACTTATACACAATACTGTGCCTGGACATTCAAATTAAAGTGAATAACTTGGGGACTATCCATGTATTCTAGATTTTTAAAATCTTTTGGTTCAATTATAAAGATCTGTGCTCTCCAATGTAGTAGCCACAAGCCACCTGTGGTTATTTAGTTCTTGAAATGTGGCTGCTACGAGTTGAGATGTGCTATAAGTGTAAAGTAGCTACAAGGTTTTGAAGAATTAATAAGAAAAAATATACAATACCTCATTAATAATTTTACATTGAATAGATATTCAAATAATATTTTGATATATTAAGTTAAATAAAATACATTGTTAAAATTAGTTTTACTTTTATCTTTTCACTTTTTTAATGTGACTACTAAAAGATTTGAAATTATATATATGGTTCACATTATATTTCAATTAGACATCATTCATCTGACTAGTTTAACTGAAAGTTACTTTTAAAAATTGTTATTTGTTGAGATGAAATAACCTTTTTATCCATTTTACCTTTTGAGTATAAACACAATCTTAAAAAGTATTTTATTTCTTTCTAAAGCTAATGTTTGACATAGAATCAAGTAATTATATATATATGCGTATATATCATATATTTTGAAGTTATAAGTCTAAAAGAACAAGCAGTCCAACTCAGATATTTTTGTAATTATAATGTCCTGTCTAGTAGACAGTTCCCAGATTTTCACCACTACTTTTTTCTCTAATTTTTAATCTATGCTTATATCAATACATTTATAAATCTTTGCTTTACAAATACATAAATGAAAGGAAAGGGAAAGCTCTTCTTAAACTAGAATGACAACTAATAAACGTAGAAGAATTAGAAAATCACCACTTGTGAGTCATCATAATAAAATTTACTCAGATAAGACTGAATAAGCAGTGAATATTAAAATTAGTGGGCAAAATTTTGCTGAGGAAAAAGACATTTACATAGATATACAAGTCACAAAATAATTATTCATTATAAAAGGTGAATAATTTTATGATGAAGAATCCCAGTGAAACACCTTCCTAACTAAGCTAACATCACTAGTATGGAACAAATCAAATTGTGTTGATAAGATGTAATGACAAAAACACAGTTGCTTTTGTGATATCCATGCCCAAAATGCAGAACCTGAATTTAATCATGAGGAAACATCAGATAGCCAAAAATGAGGAACAATCTACAAAAATGAAGTGGCCTGTACTCCAAAATCACTGAAGTCATGAAAGATAAGGAAAGGCTAAGGAATTATTGAAAAAACTCAAGAGACATCATAATCATATGTGCTATGTGATCTTAAATTGTATTCTGTACAGGTAGTGCAATGGGTTGAATATTTGTTTCCTACCCTCCTAAAAAAAATTCATATGTTGAAATTCTAACCCCCAATGTGATGGTATTAGATGGGGTTTTGGGGAGGTTATTAGGTAATGAGGGTAAAGCTCTCATGAATGGAATTAGGGCTCTTATAAAAGGAATTCCAGAGGGCTTTCTAGCTCTCTTTCTGACATGTGAAAGGAGGAGGCAGTCTGCAACCTGGAAGAGGGTTCTCACCCACCCCTGAACATGCTGAAGTCCTGACTTCAGACTCTTTAGCCTTCAAAAATGTTACAAATACATATTTTGTTGTTTATAAGCCACCCAGTCTGTGGTAATTTGTTATAGCAGTATGAACAAAGGCAGATTTAAGTTTTTTTTCACTATAAAGAGTGTTATTGAAATAATTGGTGAAACGTGAATGGAGTCTGTAATTTTTCGGTATTATTGTACCAATGTTAATTTTCTGATTTTAATGGTCTTTGTCCTTCAGAACAAGGGCTGTGGTCCTTTTCTTTTAGGAAATACTTATTGAAGCATAAAGTGTAATGGGTAAAATAGCAACTTTCAGTTGGTTCAGAAAAATAAATTACAAGTATATTTACATATACATATGCACACATACAGAGGGAGAGAGAATAAGGCAAATGTGGTAAAATATTAATATTTTTACCAAGGTGAATTCTTTGTTCTATTCTTGTGCCTTATCTAGAAGTCTAAAATTATTTCACAATGAAAGTTTTTACAAATATTAAGTGGAATTCAAGGTAAATCTTGAGAAAATGCAGAAAATTCTTTCTCTGTAAAAGGAGAGAAGCTATTGATGGACAGGCAACATTGAATGGCATACAAATATTCTGAAAGGTACAAGAGCCACTGATTTCCTTTGCTTAACCTCCCACAGTGCCCTCAGCTACTTTCTTGTCTGATCATACACAAACGTGAAAAAAGCTTCTCTTAAAATGCTTTTTCTGTGAGCTAAAAAATAAGAAGTCCAACTGAGTTTTCCTCTTTGATTAGCCTCAGTCAGTTCAAATGAGAGGAGTGGTTTCCAAGGCCAATAGTGAGCCCATAGCCTTCAATGCTTCTTTACTGTTGCCCTTGTATTTTGCAGGGCTTTTTCATGCCCTTCTTTTGCCTCATCTTTTGAATAGGATTGTAGAGTATGGAAAAAAGTGTAAATGCTCTTGGGAGACTGTCTTTTACCTTTCTTTTAGTTCTCTGGAACTATTTTAACTTCTCTAAACATTCCTTCGTGCTGAATTTATGCACTGCTAAATCAAGTACCCACTTATTTCAACTTTACCTTTAGGACAACCTTTGTTATAGTATCACTTGAAAACAGAAAATAAACTAGTAAGCATAATAAAATTATCAACACAACCCCATTAAGCTTTTTATAAATGCCCTGTTACTTAAAACCAGTAACAATCTTCAATATTGCTTCATTGAAGATAATTCATTCCTTTGTTATTAAAGGTTTATTCAAAATGTTGCTCAATTTACAGTATTAAGACAGAAGAAACAGGAAAGTTTCTTAGGCATATATTAAATAATAATAAAACAATAGCAAAAATACATCTAAGATTATGCTAAATTAGATAACAGAAAATTCCAAGTCGAGAAATAATTCTTAAATAAATAATAAAATTACTGCTTCTGCAGTCCTCTTTGCCGTCACCTAATATTGTGATACTAGGCAAATCATTTAATCTCTGAGCCACCAAAATAACACAAAGAAGTGGCAATAGATTTCATGTTTGGATTCATTTCTCTATGAGTAATTAGAAGAATCTTAAAACTTTGAAAATACAATGGGCTAATTCTAAGTTACACTTTTAAGGCTCCAAATACTTAAAATGATAAATTCCAAACAGATTTTACAAGACCCTTTTTCTGAGCTTTGGTGTTCAAGAAATGACCTAATTATCAAACTAATTTTAGACACAAATAGAACTTTATAATATGCTTTATGCACAAAATTTAATGGAAGAAATGTAGATGACTTACAGTTCAGTTCCAGGGGTACAGTATTCCCAGTGACCTATTTACTAAATAAAACTCTGCTACGGTGCTGTTTTCTGTACTGTACAGAAGATCATAAACATACAGAAAATGCCCTTCATTTCTAATTCATTTGAATCACCTTTTTCTCACCTTTATTCAACAGGGAAGAACAACAATCTAAGCTGCTTTAGTAATAATGTTATTCCTTAGAAGATGCAAAAATAGTTTTGACATTTTATCCCATCAAGGACAAAAACAAATGAATGTTATAGAATAAAAAGAGATTGCCCGTGGTATACAACTTCTTCCTGAAAGTAAAACAACAGCAAAGAAATAAGTCTTCATTTTCAAAGGGAGAGATTTTCTACCATCGGGTTTGTTTTTATTTTAATTAGACTTCTATTTTTGAGATAATTGTAGATATGCATGCAGTTATGAAGATAATGCAGAGATCTGGTATACTCTTTACCTGATTTTCCCCAAAGGTAACATCTTGCAGAACTATAATTCAACATCACAAACAGAATATCAATGTTAATACAGTCAAGATACAGAACATTACTATTACTACCATAACCTTTCTGTTGCCCTTTTGTGGCCACATTCAGTTCCCTCCCTCCTTTACCATTGGCAACCACTAATTTGTTCTTTATTCTATAATTTTTTGATTTCAAGAATGTTATGTAAATGGCTTTCCTCACTCAGCTTAATTCTCTGCAGGTTTATTCAGGCTGTTGCCTGTGTGAATAGTATATTTTTGTTGCTGAGTAGTATTCCATGGCATGGATGTACCCTAGTTGGTTTAACTATTCACTTACTGAAGGAGAATCTGGATTGTTTCTAGTTTTTTACTTTTAGAAAATAAAAAAGCTAATAAAATCTTTATGTACAGGATTTTATGTAAAAATAAATCTTTATCTCCCTAGGCTCAATGCCTAGAAGTACAATGCTGGGTTGTATAGTAGTTTCATATTTAGTTTAGTCAGAAACTAACAAAGTGTTTTCCAGAATGTTTTACATCCCCAACAGTAATATACAAGTGATCTAGTTTTTCTGCATCATCACCAGCATTTGATATTGTTACTAGTTTTTACAGGAATTTAGTGAAATATTTTATTATAATTTTGATATACATTTTGCTAATGGCCAACGATGTTGAACATCTTTTCCTGTGCCTACTTGTTTGTATTAGTCCATTCTCATGCTGCTATAAAGAACTGCCTGAGACTGGGTAGTTTATAAAGGAAAGAGGTTTAATTGACTCACAGTTCCGCAGGGCTGTGGAGGCCTCAGGAAATTTACAATCAGTGAAAGTGGAAACAAATATATCCTCCTTCACATGGCGGCAGCAAGGAGAAGTGCCAAGTGAAAGGGAAAAAACCCCTTCTAAAACCATCAGATGTTTTGAGAACTCACTCACTATCATGAGAACAGCATGGAGGTAAGTGCCCCCATGATTAAATTACTTCCCACTGGATCCCTCCCATGACATTTGGGGATTATGGGAACCACAATTCAAGATGAGATTTGGGTAGGGACACAGCCAAACCATATCACTTGTCATCTGTACATCCTTTATGGTGAAATTTTTCTATATGTCTTTTGCTACTTTCTTCTTGGACTTTTTAAACCTTGAGTTTTGAGTATTCTTGATTTATTTTAATGATAATCCTTTTTTCAACATGTGGTTTATAAATATTTTTCCCACTGTGTAGCTCATCTTTTCACTGTCTTAACATGATCTTCTGCAAAGCAAAAGTTTTCAATTTCAATAAAGCCCAATTTATCAATTTTTGTGTTCATGGATTGTACTTCAGCTGTTACATCTAGGAACTACATGCCTGGCCCTAGGTTCTGAAGATTTTCTCCTAACGTTTCTCTAAAAGTTTTACAGATTTACGTTTTACATTTACGCCATAGGTCCATTTTTAGTTTACTTGTGTTTTAAGCCGTGGATGTCTAATCGCTTCACTATTATACATTGAAAATACTCTTTCCTCTATTCAATTGCGTTTTCACCTCTGCCTTTTCACCAATACCCACCTATATCTGCTGGGTATAGGTGTATCTTATTCTATGGATTCATAATTACACATTCTGTTTTATTTAATTGACACAAAATGTGTCCGTCCTTCCACCAATATGAGAGTCTTGATTAATATACCACATTAAAAGTCTTGAATTCAGGTAGATGATTTGTCCCACTTTCTTCTTGTTTTTTTTTTTTTTAATTATACTTTAAGTTCTAGGGTACATGTGCACAACGTGCAGGTTTGTTAAATATTCTTCTTTATCCAGAGAGACTTTAGCTAGTTTCTTTGCTTTTCCATATAAATTTTAGAATAGTCTCATTTATATCTACAAAATGTACGGCTGGAGTTTTGATAGAAATTGTATTACACCTATTCATTAATTTGCAGAAATTTGCATATTTACTATTTGAGTCGTATAACTCAAAATAAAATTAAATTAAATTGAAAAGTAATTTTTTAATTGTAAATGATATTATTTTTCTATTTTTATTGCCCACTTGTTCACAGTTAGGAGACAGAAAAAAACTGATTTTTGTATGTTTTTCTTGTTAAAATCATTTATTACTTCTTAGAAGCTTTTTGCATATTCCTTGGGATTTTCCATGTGAACAATTGTATCATCTGTAAATAAAAGACATTTTATTTCTCGCTTTCTAATTTGTATTTTTTTTTTAAATCTTCTTGCCTCATTGCAATGGCTAGAATTGTTAACACCATGTTGAATGCCAATAGTAAGAGTGGGCATTTTTGCCATGTTTCTGATTTTTAGAAGCAAAACTTTCCATCACTCAACATAAGTATGTTAGGTGTAGCATTTATATGTGCTCTTTATCAAATTTAGGACATTTCCCTCTATTCATACTTTCTGAGAATGTTTATCCTGATTATGTGTTGGATTTTGTCAACTGCCTTTCTGTATTGACATATACATGTGTGGGTGTAATTTTATATATATCTCTTTAACATGATGTATTATATACAGTAGTTTTCAAATATTGAAACAATATTTGGTTTAGCCTTGCATTCTTGGAATAAACCCCACTTGGTTATTTTTATATATTACTGAATTCTATCTTGCGAATATGTTATTTAGATTTCTGTATCTATGTTTATGGAAAATATAAATTTGCAGTTTTAGGTGTATGTGTGTGCATGCATATGTGTGTGGAAATTTGCCTGGTTTTGATATCAGGGCAATACTATCTTTAAAAAATGAATGGGGAGTTATTTCCTCCTTTTCTATTTTCTGAAAAGATTATGTAGAATTAACGTTATGTTTTTGAATTTGAAATTTTTTAATTATAAAATTAATTTCTTAATAGTTATAGGCTTTCTCAAATTATTTCATATTGTTATAAATCATATTTTTCAAAAACTAGTCTATGTTATCTAAGTTATAAAACTTAGATGCATAGAGTTGCTCATAGTACATTCTTACTCTTTACTATTTTGATCTGTTTTATTTTCTATTTAATTACTGTAAATTTATTATTTGTAAATTTGTTAATTTGTCTTTTTTCTTTGTCGGTATTCCCACAGGTTTGTCCATTTTATTGATTCACATATAACTCTTTGGTTTGTTGATTTTTCTCCATTGACATTGACTTCTAATTTTATCTTTATTATAATTTCCTTTCTTCTGTTTGCTTTCAGTACATTTTGCTCCTTGTATTTTTATTTCTTTTGAGAATTTCTCTTTGGCCCATGGATTATTTAGATATATTTTATCTTCAAGTGATTGCAGCTTTTTCTGTTATCTTTCTGCTATTGATTTTAAATTTGACTCCATTGTGTTCGGAGAATGTATTTTGTATGATTTCAATTATTTTAAACTTGTTGAGGTTTGTTTTGCTTTGTTTTGTTTTGACTGAGTTTCATTCTTGTTGCCCAGGCTGGAGTGTAATGGTGTGATCTCGGCTCACTGCAACCTCCACCTCCCTGGTTCAAGCAGTTCTCCTGTCTCAGCCTCCCGAGTAGCTGAGATTACAGGCGCCCGCCACCACACCCGGTTAATTTTTGTATTTTTTAGTAGAGACAGGGTTTCACCATGTTGGCCAGGCTGGTTCTGAACTCCTGACCTCAGGTAATCCATCCGCCTCGGCCTTCCAAAGTGCTGGAATTACAGGTGTGAGCCACTGCTCTTGGTCAATTTTTTTATTTTGTGGACTAGAATATGGTCTACCTTCCACAGACAATTATTTTCCAAAGGTATATTCTGTTGTTGTTGGGTGAAGTAGTCTAAAAATGTTTATTAGAATGTGTTTTTTGATAGTGTTGTTGAGTTTTTCTGTACCCTTTCTGTTTTGCTGTCTAGTTAGTTGATCAATTTTGGGAGAAATGGTGAAGTCTACAACTATAATTGTGCATTTGTTTCTTCAGTCATGTCAGTTTTTGCTTTACATATTTTGAAGATACGTTGTGTGGTGCCCAGTCATTTAGAACTACTATGTCTTCTTGGTAAACTGAAACTTTTAGCATTATATAATATCTCCTCTGTAACTAGTAATTTTCTTTGCTCTGAAGTTTACTTTGTCTGATATTAATATAGCTATACCTGCTTTCATTTAATTAAGGACTGCACAATATAGCTTTTAAATATTAAATTATTTTTTACTTTAACATTATCTGTATCTATCTTCGTGTTAAAATGAGATTTTTTTGTAGATAAAACAGTTTGGGTCATATTTTTAATGCATTCTGCCAATCTCTGTCTTTGAATTTATGTAATTAGACCACTTACTTTAATTAAATTATTAACATATTATGACTTAGCCATTTTATTTTTGGTTCCTGTTTCTTCTGTCTCTTCCTTTATTCTCTCAAGTGTTTTCTCAATTAAGAGACTCAAAAAATTATTTTCTTTTTTGCCTTTCTACAGGTCACTTAAACATTTGTTAGAATCTTGTTTTAATCTATGTCTTTTTTGGTCCATCTTTTTGTAGCTTTTGTAATGATTGTTCTGTGTATTAAATTTTATCAGCACAGGTGTAGAAACCTTACATTTTATTTTGATCTTTTACCTTTTATAACATAGAATACAATTTTAAAATATAATAACTTAAATATTTTCTCTACATATATTTAGAACCACATTACATGTAATTTTTACTTCAACCATCAATAATAATTTAACAAACTCAAAATGAAAAGAAAACTTAATGTATTTATCCATAATTTTCCTTACCATGTTCATTCTCTGTTCCTGATATTTACAAGTCACATTATTTTATCATACCCTTACTGTATAGAGAAGTTTTTTTTATTTTAAAATAAGTCTGCTGCCAACATATTATCTTAGCTTTTCTTCATCTGATAATGTCTTCAATTTCCCTTTACCCAGGAGGGGTGTTTTTGCTGGGTATAGAATTCTGAGTTGTCAATTCTTTCCTTTAGGCACTTGAAAAATATTATGTCTTTTTTTAAATCTTCCATGGTTTCAGATGAGAAATCCATTGTCATTCTATTATTTTTTCTATTAGTAAAGTGTTATTTTTCTTTAGCTCCTTTCAATATTTTTTCTTTCATTTTCAGAAGTTTACTTATGATGTGTCTTGGCATAAATTTATCTGGGTTTATCCTTTCTGGGATTCACACCTTCTTGAATCTCTGACTAAATTTGTAAAGTTTTCAGCCAATATTTATTTGAGTACTTTTCAGCCTCCCTCTTTCTATTCTCTTTCTAAGACTTCAATGCACAAGGATTAGATGTTTTTGCCCATATGTCTGTCCTTGAAGCTCTGTTCATTTTTTTCCATTCAATTGATTTAATTTTTTATGATTAATTTTGGGTGATTTATATTGTTCTACTTTCCTGTTCTCTGATTATTTTCTCTGTTCCTTCCATTCTGTTTTTTAGCTCATCCACTGAGTTTTTTATATCAATATTTTATTTTTTATGTATAGGTTTTTCTATACAACTAATTTATTGCTGAGACATTATCTTTTTCATTTAAATGTGCTTTTAGTTGCTTGCCTAAATACTTTTATTGTGGCTTCTTTAAAAACTTTGTCAGATGATTTTAGTATCTCTATTACCTCAACGCTGACACATCTTGACATTTTAAAAAATTAAGTTTACTTGTTTCTGGTTTTTGGTATAATTAGTAATTTTTTTAATTGAAGCCTAAGCATTGTCGTATTGTTACAAGATGCTGGATTTTATTTAAACTTTCTGTTTTATCTGGTTTTCTCTGATACCACTTAGGGAAGGGAAGTAGGAGGGCTGCATTTTTACTGGAAGGTGGAATTGTATACTCAGATTCTATTGAGTCTATTGAGCTCCCTGAATGGGGAGCTCTTTATTACAGCTAAGTGGGTGTGAGAGTTCTGACTCCCATTTGGTTTCCAATGCATGTATCCATGTGTTATCCACTGACTCTACAGTGGCGATGTTGTTGAAGCTGGAGATGATGAAAGTTCTTTCTCTCCACCAAGCCTCTTTTGACACCATTCCTGCAGTAAAGAAAAGAACACCTTCTACCTACCATCAGTGCTGTAAAGATGTAGGAGGAAGTCCAGGCTATTCAAGTACTTTCCATTGACTCTACAGGGATGCAGAGGAAGAGGGGAAAGACTTTTGTTGTTAGTGGTGGGGTAAAAGTCCCAGATCCCTATTTGGCCTTCTCTGATATCACATCTGTGGGGATGTTGGAGTAATACACAAAGGCCTATGAGGGTATAAATTTAGGCTTCTTATTCAATGTTTGCTAGTGTGAGTGTTGGAGGGGGATACATATTTATTCTTTAGTGTTTGGCTGGAGTAGAGCATTTATTGTCTACAAATTTTCTCTCTTGCTAGGCTGTTCCTTTTGTGGCCCTTTGCTATAGGTAGCACTTTTTATTGGGGCTTTTGTTTTTTTTTTGGTCTGGGCCTATTAGCACTTCTTTTTTGCCAGCCTTTTCTGCTCTGGGCCTGGGATATTTGAGACAAAGAGAAAACCCAAGAAACTTACCATTGTGTTAGTCCTTGGGTCCTAATGACCCAACCTGATTTAACTTATTCTGTCCACCATTCTGAGTCTTTGTGTTATAGCTAATGTTCAGGGTGACCATTGTACTTAGTAGGAACAGTAAGAAAGAGTGCATCTGTTTCACCTTCCCAGAAAATGAATTCCTCTTAAGTTTTTAAATATATGTAATATTTTTAAAGTATATATTCAAATGTTAATACAAAATGAAAGTTATAATTTCAGTTTTTTAAACCTACGTGGTGAAAATGCCATGACCAATTTTTTATTTCTCTTTAAAAACAACTCTAAAAGTGATCGGTATTATACCAAAGAGTATCATCTTTTTACTCTCTTGTAATTTCTTCATTTCTTTATTTCTTGAAAACTATTTTGAAAGAAGTCAATAAATAGAGAAATGAGTCTTGGCAGTAACTTTCTATTTTGTAACTACTTAGGACACTTTGGACCTGGCTTTTCTTTTTGTAAGTTTATATATTTACTGTCATATAATTTTAAGTGTCTATAGAGTATGCTTTTTGTTCTTTAAAATTATATTGTTGCTTCTAAGTTCTTAGACATTATATAACAAGAGTTTAAAGTATTGACCAACTTTTTTAAGTGGCATTGGGGCAACTCCTCCAAGGAATTACATAATCTTCACCTAGTCAGTCTTACAAATCATAATAGGATATTGCCACCCCCAAATAAAAATAAAAATTTCCAAAGTAATTTTATTGGGGAATTTTATTTACCCTTATGAAAACCAGTTTTTAGCAATGATGCTCTATATATTATTACTAAACATAGTCTACAAGTAGTTAAGATATAGAATATTTTATATTTAACAACATTATAAGCATTTTCTATCACTTATTTATTACTTAAATGGTTCATATTTTGTCTCAGCAAACATGCAGCACAAATGCTACAATTCAATATACAGAATCTTGACATTATTACTTTCTCTTCTTCAGTAAGAAAAAAAATTTCTGTGGATCGTAGGTTTAAAATTTGCGAATAAATTTAAAACCAAAATTAAGGTGCCTAGAGATAATGATAATTTTTATTCCAACCCTAAATGGTTTTCTTTATTCAAGTTACTTCTACTGTATTAAAATAAAGTTATTTATTCCCATTTCTTTCTTCATTATAAATATTAATCAAAAATTATTAATATATATTCATGATTTTTAGAAATCCTTAATTTGATAAAGGCTATCTAAAAAACCTCCTGCAAATCTCATTCTTAATGTGAAATATCGGAAGTGTTCTTCAGGTATCAGGAATTAAATAAGGATAACCACTATCCCCATTTCTTTGCAAAATTAAACTTGAGGTCCCAGCCAGAGACTCAATAAGGCAAATAAAATATATAAAAAGTTGAAAAAATTGTGGGATGCAAACACACAACCTTATCAAAAGTAGTCAGCCTCAGCTGCCTCAGCAGCAACTGACTCCCAGGCAATTTGTCAGTGATCTCTGTTAGCAAAATATTCTTCCTACAGTCAGGATAATGTGGATCAAGTTGTCTCGTGGGTCTACATACCCCAGTTTATAGAAAGCTCCATTCAGTACTCTTTATGAGTGACTCAGGAGATTGATCCTCCAGACCTCTGTTCTAACACATACAGTATATCTAGCTGAGCTTTTATGATAAAACATTTTCTACAGAACTGGGATTTAAGACAACCAGGAATCTTAGCATAGATCTTATCAATGCTACTACAGGCTTTCTTTCAAACTCAAGCAACATGTAGAGGCTTTCTTTCAAACTCAAGCAAACATTACCTACTTTTTAGGTTAGGCCTGCTTTCTACTTTTTGAAAAAACTAAACTGCTCTAAAAATGACATTTGCTACACACAAAATGACAACTGTGGTAATAGATGTGTTCGTCAATTTGGCTGTGATAATCATTTTGCAATGTACAAGTATAGCAAATCATTATATTGCACATCTTGAGTATATATAATTTTTGTCAGTTATACCTCAATAAATCCAAAAATAGAAATATATATGCTAAACGAGAAAAACATATATGCTTACGGCATTACTTAAGAATATGTTTACAATTTGACAAGATAGGGTTAAACATTGTCAAAATAATTTTATTTTTTGGGAAACAAGTCATCCTTTAAAAAATTCTTATAAAAATTATATCACAATTTGATTTACAATAGGAACAATGAGTACCAAAATACCTAGAAATGAATCTAATGAAATTGTGTAAAACTTCTATACCTACATTTTAAAAATTATTAATCAGGTAAATAAGAAAAACAAAGAAAGAGATATACCATCTTTATGGATTGAAAGACCCAATATGATAAAGACATCAATTCTGCAAAATTGATCTAAATATTAAGTGCAATCAGAATCAAAATCCTATTAAGAAATTGATAGAAATTCTCAAACTAATACTAAATTAGACAAAAGTAGTCAATAAAATAATGCTGAATTTGGAGGTGGAAGATTTAACTGCCATATATAAATACTTATTATAAATAAACAATTATTAAATCAAGGTGTTATTGGGGCAAAAACCAGATAAATAAACCAACATACCAATCTAGAGAATCCAACAAAGAAACCTTCACATATGTAATTATTTCTCTGATAAAAAGGTGTTACTGCATTCCAATGGAGGAAAAAAAATGCCCCTTGTGTTAAATGGTGTTGGACTTACATAAGAGAAATACATATTTATGGTTACAAAAAATGTATAAGCATATTTACTGCAACAGTATTTGTAATCCTCTCAACTGGAAACAGCCCAAATGGCCACTAAGAATAAAATGGATAAATAAATTGTAACATATTTTCATAATAAAATACACAATAAAGATGAATGAATATCAAAACATATCAAATGAAAAAGGCGAGCACAAAAGATTACATACTGTCTTATTTCATCTGCATGTGTATAATTCAAAAACAAATGAATAAATCTGTGGTTATAGAAGTACTAGAGAGGCAATTTCTTTTAGTGGAACAGTCATGAATCACACAGGACAAGAGGAAAGCTATTGGAGTGCTAATAATACTCTATTTCTGGCCATGAGCAGTATTGACATGGATGAGTTCAATTTATAAAGCAGAATTTTCATTCATCTACTTATTTATGTAGGCTTCTCAGTATGGTATATCTTTGTTATATTTCAATGTAAAAACATTTATTTTTTAAAAAGTGTGACCTACCTTAGAGACCAATCAATAAATTGCAGTTTCTAGATTTAATTTGCTTCACGACTCTCTAGGCATTCCCTTAGTTCAGGTTGCTCTAACAAAAATACCATAGACTGATGGCTTAACCAAGAAACAATTATTTCTCAACAGTTCTGAAGGCCAAACAATCCAAGATCAACACACCTGCAGATCTCACGTCTGGTGAGGGTCCACTTCTGGTTTGCAGACCGTCCCCCTCTTACTGTGTCCTTACATGGTGGAGATTAGAGAAAGAGGAATCATGCTGTCATATCTGTTTTTATAAGTGCACTAATCCCATCATTTGGGCCCCACCCATGACCTAATTACCTTCCAAAGGCCCCACCTCCAAATACCATAACACTTGGGATTAGGGATTCAACATATGAATTTTGAGGGGGCAAAACCATTCAGTACATAGCAAGCACTTATGAGACTAATAAGGAAACTTGATCCAGAAGCAGATATTTGATAAAATTAAGAAATAATGTTTAAGTATTTTTATGCAATAATATTATTATAGTAATGTTTAAAATAAAATAATCCTTATCTCATAGAGGCACATTCTGAGAGTTGTTTCAAAAGTAACCTGTATAGGAAGTGGATTGATCAGCATTGAAGAAGTTCATTACATAATTTTTCCTACCTTTATGTACATTTGAAATTAAAGGATTAAAAAATCAGAATGATTGCTATCTACACTGAAGTAATATATTAATGATCAGAGCCCAATACTTACTTGACAGTCAATGAATAATAATGTGTCCACAGCCCTAAAAAAATCATATTGGGATTGCAAGGTGAAATCTCTATAAATTTATAGGCTATTGTAAAAGCATTAAGTCATCAAAGAAGTTTAAACATAAATTGTGGGTTTTTTTTTTTTTTTTTTTGAGGTGGAGCCTCGCTCTGTCACCCAGGCTGGAGTGCAGTGAGGGGATCTCGGCTCACTGCAACTTTTGCCTCCCGGGTTCAAGCAATTCTCCTGCCCAACCTCCCTAGTAGCTGGGATTATAGGCACCCGCTACCACACCAAGGTAATTTTTGTATTCTTAGTAGAGACGAAGTTTCATCATGTTGGACAGGCTGGTCTCGAACTCCTGACCTCAGGTGATCCACCAGCCTCGACCTCCCAAAGTGCTGGGATTATAGGTGTGAGCCATCACACCCAGCCTAAAAATAAGTTTAAAAATAATAAAAACCTGGGACTTCAAAATATTTTATTTTATTCAAAATAAAATACCAGTAATGAGAAACAAACTCTTGAGTTTTACACAAAATTTCACTCATTGGTTTGTTTATTTTGCCATAATTTCCATAGGTGGAGAATGTCAGCTTGACAACATAGCTAATAAGATGGATTTCACACAAAATGAAATCATCTGTTTTTGGTTCCCTCCCTTATTAAAGTTTCACAGTAATGGCCTGTCATCTTAAAATGTATGCTTAAACTTTTCACATTGTAGTCTTGAACTTTTGATAAACTCATATTACAGAACATTTTATTATTTATTTATATTTTCTCCTGCCCTTCAATAGTAGCAAGTTTCCTACAGGCATATTTAGGGATTTTGTAAGAAGTATATATGAGGAACTATAAGGTACCTTAACAATCATGTAATTCAAATACTTCATTTTACATATAAAATCCTTTATTCCCTGTAAAGGATGTGTATGGGATGGTTTGCACAATAGCCTCTCCCTGGGGCCTTCCTGCAAACTACATTTCACCCATTCCATCCACATGATTTCAATTTCCATATTCTTAAAACATTTCATTTCACCCCCGGCCACAACTGGTTGTTCTCAAAGCTGGCACCTCTCTGAATATTGTTAGATTTTGATAAATCGTAAATTATAATACTGATAGCAGCTGTGTTTTTAATCATTTAGGAAAGAAAAATTATTGGCAGTGAAAGAGAAAGCTGAAGCCAATAGAGAGAAGCAGAAATGAGAACACCAGAAGGATTCAAGTTTGACTGCTAACTCCTGAAACCTGTGCCCAATGATTCTTTATTCCATTAGATTCCCCAACATCCCTCCAATAAATTTCTTCTTTTGATTTATTTAATCTAAGTTTGATATATTCTGTTGCAACAAAGAGAACTGTAATTAACACAATGCCTTTGAAGGGTTAGGGATTTATCCAAGCTTTCGAAACCAGTTTGAAGTTGTTTTGGAAGCCAGATATTCTGGCTAATAGGTACTAATAAATTCTTGTTCAAATGAAATCAACTGTAATATATCATATTTTTAAGAAATATTTCAATATTTGTATATGTATATATATGACTATTATATTGCATTATCTTCAGTAGAGGTTTCAACTAATGAGAGACAGTATATTTGCAACTTTTAACAAAATTTGGCAATTCTTGAAATGGAAATTAAATTATGTCAGATTTACTTTAAATTACTGCACAACAAAAAAGTGAGAAGGTGGCAATATATAAAACTAAATAAGAAAAATACTGATTGCTAAAGCTGGGTAATTGGTAAACAAGGTTCACTATAGTATTCTCCCTTCTTTTGTGCTTGTTGGAAATTTTTCATTATAAAAAGTATATCATAAAATCTGCTATATTATAGATTCTCATTAAATACTGGTTACCCCTGTCATCCATAGCCCAATTTGGGGAAAAAAATAGGAAGAAGTGAGGGTAGCTAATGGAAGTGGGGACTATATTTAGTAACTGTGGGTGCACTTACTTTCTGAATTGTGTGTAATAGAATGAATTTTAGACCAGATATCTTAATAGCTAGTTCCAAATTCTATCCACTTTTTCCTTCTCATTCACCATTTGGCCATTTCACCATTTAACAATTTATATGATGCATTTTTACTGCATTTTATTGCAATCTTGCTTTTTGACTCACACTTTTTTAGGTATTGAAAATGAAAACATTTTATTTATAATAGGAATCTTATCATTTGTACTTTGGTACAGTTTTGAGCTTATCATTTTTTTCCTTAAGCTCCTTTTTCATAGGTAAATCTAAATAAAACTGGGGAAATTCTGAAAATGTGTTCACTGGAGAAAAGTAATGTATAATTGCATATATGCTATACTTCCTTTTTTCTTCAGTGTTTTGTTTTCCTACACTTTAAATTTCATATGGAACCAAAAAAGAGCCCATATAGCCAAGACAATCCTAAGCAAAAAGAACAAAGCTGGAGGCATCACACTACCTGACTTCAAACTACACCACCAGGATAAAGTGACCAAAACAGCATGGTACTGCTACCAAAACAGATATATAGACCAATGGAACAGAACAGAGGCCTCAGAAATAATGTCACACATCTACAACAATCTGATCTTTGACAAACCTGACAAAAACAAGCAATGGGGAAAGGCTTCCCTATTTAATAAATGGTGTTGGGAAAACTAGCTAGCCATATGCAGAAAACTGAAACTGGACCCCTTCCTTATACCTTATACAAAAATTAACTCAACATGGATTAAAGACTTACACGTAAGACCTGAAACCATAAAAACCCTAGAAGAAAACCTAAGCAATACCATTCAGGACATAGGCATGGGCAAAGACTTCATGTCTAAAACACCAAAAGCAATGGCAACAAAAGCCAAAATTGACAAATTAGATCTAATTAAACTAAAGAGCTTCTGCACAGCAAAAAAAAAAAAAACTATTATCAGAGTGAACAGGCAACCTACAGAATGGGAGAAAATTTTTGCAATCTATCCACTTGACAATGGGCTAATATCCAGATTCTACAGGGAACTTAAACAAATTTAGAGAAAAAAAAAAACCCCTTCAAAAAGTGGGCAAAGGATATGAACAGACACTTTTGAGAAGAAGACATTTATGCAGCCAACAAACATATGGAAAAAAGTTCATCATCACTGGTCTTTAGTGAAATTCAAGTCAAAACCACAATGAGATACCATCTCATGCCTGTTAGAATGGCAATCATTAAAAAGTCAGAAAATGACAGGTGCTGGAGAGGATGTGGAGAAATAGGAACACTTTTACACTGTTGGTGGGACTGTAAATTAGTTCAACCATTGTGGAAGACAGTGTAGCAATTCCTCAAGGATCTTTGACCCACCAATCCCATTATTGGATATGTACCGAAAAGATTATACATCATTCTACCATAAAAACATATGCACACATATGTTTATTGCAGCAGTATATACAATAGCAAAGACTTGGAACCAATCCAAATGCCCATCAATAAGAGACTAGATAAAGAAAATGAGACACATATACACCATGGCATACTATGCAGCCATAAAAATAATAAGTTCATGTCCTTTGCAGGGATATGGATGAATCTCGAAACCATCATCCTCAGCAAACTAACACAGGAACAGGCAACCAAACACCACATTTTCTCACTCATAAGTGGGAGTTGAACAATGAGAATACATGGACACAGGGAGGAAACATTATACACTGGGGCCTGTCAGGGGGTGGGGGGCTAGGGGTGGGATAACATTAAGAGAAATACCTAATGTAGATGAGGGGTTGATGGGTGCAGCAAACCACCATGGCACATGTTTACTTATGTGACAAACCTGCATGTTCTGCACATGTATCCTAGAACTTAAAGTATTAAAAAAATTGGAATAAAAACTTCAAATGTTAACAGTAGGTATCAGTCTAGGATACCACATTATAGGGCTGAAGGGTCCACCATTCAGGTTGCATGGCTCTGGGCTAGATAGTGGAACTATATTGATTTCTGTTTACTTCTGAATTCTTTTTTACGTTGTACACATGTTCTTAAGTGAACAGATATTGCTTTTGTAATCAGAAAAATGTATAAAATTTTAAGTGAACATTTATGTGATGTATTTCTTAGAAATATTATTCCAATTTGGATAGGAATATTATTTTGGTCAGGATGTAAAATTACCAAACAGAGCTGAAATGGGGTAGAAACTAGTACAGAGAGGACAGAAACTCATTCTTTCCTAAAGAATAAAGAAGTGAAATTTAATGTAGGCCCATAAGCAAGCATGAGCACTGAACTGCAGCTGAAGAATTCCTTCAGTGCCCGTGAATGATAGTAGATAAAGGGCGTGGCCATGCTACTTGTGATTTTGCCTTGTTTGCATCTGTGCTACTTTTGCTTTCACCTAAAGGCCAAAGCGAATTTATTGCCCTTTTCCAAGTTTGCAGGGAAATAGAAACAAAATGGCACCATCTCAGCAAATGGTTCCAGCATCTATGTGGTTTCTTCTTTTTTTTTTTTTTTTTTTTTTTTTTTTTTTGAGACGGAGTCTCACTCTGTTGCCCAGGCTGGAGTGCAGTGACGTGAACTCGGCTCACTGCAAGCTCCGCCTCCCAGGTTCACGTCATTCTTCTGCCTCAGCCTCCCGAGTAGCTGGGACTACAGGCTCCCGCCATCACGCCCGGCTATTTTTTTTTTTTTTTGTATTTTTTAGTAGAGGCGGGGTTTCACCGTTTTAGCCAGGATGGTCTCGATCTCCTGACCTCATGATCGGCCCACCTCGGCCTCCCAAAGTGCTGGGATTACAGGCGTGAGCCACCACGCACGGCCTCCAACATCTATGTGGTTTCTTAAGCCAGAAATATAGGAATCATTCTTCACAATTCCTTTTATTCAAATCCTCCAGGAAAGCCTACAGATTTTATTTCCTACATACCTATCTTGAATCTCCCAGTCTCTCACCGTCACTACCTACTGCTATCATAATCAGAAATATTGTCATTCCTTGCTTGGACCACTGAAA
This sequence comes from Homo sapiens, assembly GCF_000001405.40. Classification (NCBI taxonomy): domain Eukaryota; kingdom Metazoa; phylum Chordata; class Mammalia; order Primates; family Hominidae; genus Homo; species Homo sapiens. The sequence continues at coordinate 103,794,024 of NC_000001.11, read as the reverse complement.
TAGAGCACGAACTGATCTCCTGCATTCACTTCAGTCCTCCTCTATTCCACAACTAAGGTAATTTTTCACATAGAAATCCGATCTTGTCATTTTCTCAGCTTAATACCCTTCATTGTTTTCATAATAACAATCAAAGTCCTTAATATAGTCCACAAGGCTCTGTATGGCCCTACACTGAGTGATAAAGAAAAGATAAAGGCAACTTTGTATAAAATCATATAATTTTTACAAAACTCTCAGAAACTACACATAGATAACAACATATACATGTGGAGGGGTGTGCATATGTGTGTGTATCAACTCAGGAAACTCTGCACCTCTGTGTATCTCATAAGCTTGTAATATATGAGAGGCTATTTATTACTTGGAGGGGGCAGAAGGTAAAATGGTAAGTAAGAAGCAAGAATCGAAGAAGAAAGGGAAAAATAGAAGAAAAATAAGAAATAAGGAAAGAAATTTATACTTTTAAAAAGTAACGTGTATATATGAATCCCCTTACACAAATTAATATGTGTATGTGTATATATTGAGGGGGACTTGCAGAAGAATTATCACTAAATTGTTAACAGCAGTGGATGTTTGATGATGGGATTTTTTACTAATTTTTACTTTATATACTTTATAGTTTCTTTTTCTACAATTAATGTTTACTAGGTATGTAATTTAAAATGTTTACATTTATCTTTATTTTCAAAAAATAAAGTACATAGACATTGGAATCTGAAAATTTGGGTTTCTATCCCAGCTCACTGTGTGGTACTAGACAAATTCCTGAATCTGGAAGAGATTTGAATCTAATTGTGCCACTCCTCTTTGGTAAAATGAGAATAGTAAATAGTATAATCAACAAGGGATCAGTGAGACAACTGAATGATATAATTCATGCATATCTTAGTACTAGATGTTGAAAATGAACAATAAATTTTAGCTATTATTATTATATGATGGGAAAAAAATTGGTTGAGATAAGTCCAACAGAGGTGACTGCATATGGTGAGAATCTGGCACTTGTCAGGGAAAGGGTACAGGTTAGTTATTCAGACCAATTTTCACCATTGTATTAGATTTCTGTTGCTCCATAACAAGTTACCATAAACAGTGACTTAAAACAAAACCCATTTATTATCTCAGTGATCTGCAAGTCAAAAGTCCAACCCAGCATGGCTGGGCCTTCTGCTCAAGGTCTCAAATCAAGGGTGAAATCAAGGTTTCAGTTGGGCTACATGCTCTTCTGGAGCTTAGGGTTCTTCCAAGCTCATGTGGATACGGGAGGATCCTGTTTCTTTCAGTAATAGGACCGAGGTCCCTTTCTCCATGCTGGCTGTCAGGCAGGGGCTGCTCCAAGTTCGTAGAGGCCATCCACATTTCTTGCACATGCCCTTCTTCATCTTCGAAGCCAGCAACAGAGAATCTCCCTCACGTGGAGCTCCTCTATCACATCCAAGTCTCTCTTCAGGAAGAGCTCTGTCCTTTTTAAAGGCCCTTGTAAGAAGACATGTCCACCCAGGACAATTTTACTTTCTTAATGTCGACTGTGCCATGTAATATAAGCTAATCATGGGAGGGACTATCTCATCATATCCACAAGTCTCTATGGGATCTGGGGGCGGATCTTGGGAGCATCTTAGAATTTGACCTACTTTAATGATGTTCCATTATCTTAGACTGTTTGACTTCTTTCTGGGTCATATATTCAGATTTTTTGGTCCAGTGATTCTGATGGGATGCTGTATCATTTACTGTGGTTTTGTTTGGAGCTTATAAAGTTAATCATAGCGTTTTGAGAGTACACTTGGTCACGTTGACTACATCAGGGTACTGGGAGAGTTGCGTGAGAGCAAAAGTTAGTTACTTCCACCAAAGCTTAATTGTATGCCTTATATGTTCAGTTACATTGTCTTCAATGTTTAAGACTATGTGATACCCAAGTAGCAACAGTAAACTTCAGGAGGAGCAATTTTCCAAATTTCAACATAATTTCACTTCCCTCTCTTTCCTCTCTCTTTTCTCTCTATTTCTTGCACACAGAAGAATGCAGATATAGAAGCAGAATTTTTTGATAGATAAACATATATTAACAATGACAAACATAAGCCTAGTATATGGAAGTAACAGTAAAATGTCCACACAGGACTTGAAAATAAAGAAAATGATTTTACATTTTGAAAGTTGAAGACTATATAATCAGAGCAGAGATATGCTCAGATGAAATAAATTTACATAAACATACCATTTTTCCTTCATTATTTGATGCTCTTTAAACATTTTAATGTTCTCAAACCTGGATCATCTCAAAACTAATAAATACATTTAAAGTGGTATCTGTCTTTATAAAAACACATGGTTAATATACTGATAGACTATCTTACAATCCATAGAAAAAATGTTATGCAACTCCTAGGCAGCAAAACTAAAGTATTGATGTACCTAAACGAACAAACAAAAAAATGCCACTTAAGGTCACATTTCTAATCGAAATGAAAAAAAAAAAAAGAAAAAAAAAAGGAAAAGGCAAACTTTGAAAGTGCCTGTTTAAACATTTTTTACAAATATTCTGGTTCAAATTCTTGATTTATCTATTATGATAGCATGCATATCTCTATGTAGAGTTGTAGTTTGTAAATAATTTTAAATTTTCTCTTAAATAAGAGAAATTATCTTAAGAAAGAGAAGTTAATATTTCTTCTTAATTCTTGTCTTCATAACTCTTCTACTCCCCTCCCTCTGTCTTTTCCATTTGTTAAACCGTACTCATCCAAGGTTTTTCTTTTCTTTTCTGTTTTTTTGAGACATAGTCTCACTCTGTTGCCCAGGCTGGAGTGCAGTGGCGTGAACTCGGCTCACTGCAAGCTCCGCCTCCCGGGTTCACGCCATTCTCTTGCCTCAGCCTCCCGAGTAGCTGGACTACAGGCGCCCGCCACCACGCCCAGCTACTTTTTTGTATTTTTAGTAGAAACGGGGTTTCACCGTGTTAGCCAGGATGGATTCGATCTCCTAACGTTGTGATCCACCCGCCTCGGCCTCCCAAAATGCTGGCATTACAGGCGCGAGCCACCGCGCCCTGCCCCAAGAAGGTTTTTCTAATAAAATTCCCCCCTAACTCACGCTCACCTCTACCATTAGCCACACTGTACTTATCTTTGTTTATTAATTTTACTCCCAAACTTGTCTTGCTTATCTTTGTTTCCCAAGTACATGGCACCTTACTGGCCACATACTAAGTACTCAAATTTTGTATAAGTGATTAAATACATAAATGAATGAATGATGGATTATGCTACATTTATCAAGCTGGCAACTCTGTTACAGGCAGTGTGTCTGAAATATATGAAGCCACAGAAGAGAGCAGCAACCTAGAGAATCACATTTTGATAGGATCAGACAATTTTTATTTTTTTAATGAGTATATTATGAAGTAAATTATAAAGTGTGTAAACATATTGAATATATTTAAGTTATAGCTTAGGGTTCAAGGTAAGTTATTTTACCCTATATCCCCAAACTTCATAGAAGCAGGTAGAGAAAAAGTTTGGAAACCATGTTTGAAGGCCAGAGTTGAAGCTCTCACCTAACTCTTATCTATACCTGTCTGCATCCATCTCAGCTAATACTTTGGCTATGCCACTAAGCCAGCTAACCCCAGAGGGCAAGCATGCTCCAGTTTCAGTTTGAGTTGGTTATCTTAGCTTCACAACCAGATTCTGAAAATAATACTATTTCAGGTCAATAAGAAGACTGAGTTTCTGTATGTCTAACGCTAAAGTCAGACTTAAAATATTCTGAGTTTATTAAGTTAACGCCAGTTGGTGAGTCCTGTTGGTGGCTACAGCTCAAATATTCTTATTACTCAAACTGTAACATAACTCTTATATGTTTTATGTTGCAGATTGGATAGAGAAAAGCAACATGAGGCACCCAAAAGTTTTAGTCAGTTAAGTGAAACCAGATTTCAGGCATTGAATGACACCCAAAATTTGTTATCTATTAAAAGCTGCTTATTATGATGGGGAAAAAAGTAAACACATCTCTAAATCCATGATGTATAAAAATTCATTCATTTATTGAACAAATATTTGGGACACCTATTATCTTCTGAATGGTTGAGACACTGAGGATGCAGCTTTGAACAAAATGATTACTCTGTCCCCATGAGTTTATAGTCTAGAGAGGGAGAAAGGCAACATGGAAGTAGGTATGTCCCATGTTAGGACATAGGGTGAAGAGTGAGGGGCAGCCGAGGAAAGGTTCTCTGATTAGATGACATCAGTATAGGAATCTCTGACTTGAGGGTTTGTGTTTGTTTTGTTATTATTTTTTTTCTTTAGGATTCTACAATCCTCTTTCTTTTCTTCCTTTTCCTTCTTCTTATTTCCAAGTAATTAATAAAAAAGATATTCAGAGGACTGGCTCATCACAGATTAGCTGTCGAATGTGTATCTACAAAACTTTGGTATCCTACTCATGTGTGCTAGCATAACCAAATCATGAGTTAAGCCTAAAGACAAACACACAAGCTATTTATACAGCAAGCAGGTTAAGAATATGCCTTAAGAATAAGGTTTGCTAAGTTTAAAAACCGTTGTGCTATTCTTTCTAAAGCTGTGTTTTACACAAATTCTGTACCTCTTGGCAACTTCAGTAAGGAAGGTTGTGTTAGTATTTTTCTTTTCTCTTTATACTTGTGAAGGTGACTGTTTGCCTTCAGCAAACTTTATTCTTATTAATCTTTCTAACCCGCCTAATGAGCATCACCTCTTACCTCCAGCTTCTGTAGCTCAGATACTTTATTCTCAGAGTAAAACTACATGTAAAAAATGATACACTGTAATTATAATTAAGAACCATGACCATATGTACAATGAAAATAAGCCTAAATAAATGTTAATAATCACAGACCATATGAGCATGGGATGTTATTTTACTGTTTTTATTTCAACTTTGTGGATATGAAATGTATTTTGGTAATAAGTTCTGTGGCACTGCCTTCTTTACAAAATGCTGGTTCAGAATCCCCCATTTATTTCTCTTTCTTAAAGTAATAATTAATAACCTGATAACTAATGGAAAAATGTTGATTGCCACATCCTACTAATGGCATTTAGTAATATGGAATCAATTTTTTTCTGAACCAGTCACTAGAGAAATGAAAATCAAAAATAGAAGTAGGTCTGTGTGATTGTTTTTTCCCTAAGGGCTTTAGATTGGATTAGGATATCTAAATTCAATCAAAACTGGATGCCTGAGAGAGGGAATTTCACAGACTTTGATGGGAAAGGAAGAAAAACCTGCAAAAATTGTAGCCAATAGGCAATACTAATTGTGGATGCTTCTTTTTAAATGTTCTTCTGAAATCTAAGCTCCTTAAAGTAGCATGACAGATTCACAAAATATTTTAAACATTTTAAAATACTGCCCAAAAATAGAAATGTTAGGCATAGTCTGATATTTGAAACAGCAGTGCCACCTTGTGACAAAGACATTTCAAAATAATTCTGCTTCACATTTCCTTATTCTTAACCAATTCTGTTGACCTATAACATACAAAGATAGGATGAAAAAAATCATGTACTTTGATTTTTAGGACATCTTAAAATCACATATTGAAGGAAAAATGTTAATTTTATTTCGCTTCTTAAACATTAGACTAACAATCATCAACATTTTTAAGTAACCACTGTATTTAAAACATCTTCCTAGGCTTTAAAGAAATTTGTAAAAGAAATAGTCATTGATTTAACCCACTGCTCCTGAGAAAATTATAATGAAATATAAATAACGACAAGACAAGGATCAAGAAACAAACATTTGGAAATAAATTAAATAGCTAAGTAGCAGAGAGTTGCTAGTTTTCAGGATACCTCCAACTAAAAAGGCATCCTGGAGAAAAGAAACATTTCTATTCTCTCACTATTCTTGTCAGAATGGCACGGACATTTTAGCAAAGGCTGGTTAGGAAGAACATTCCCCTTATATCATTTAATGTTTTTGTTTTAATCTATATTCCTACTCTATTTTTCCAGAGATAAAAGTTGCAAAATTTTCCTGGAAAACTTAAATTGCTATGAAAAAAAACATAAAAAAGGACAGACACAGTGGGATTCTTTCTGTACTGAGGGCCTATACTAATGACCACTTTTAAAACATTTTAATATTTTCCAGTGTTTTGATTTTTTCCCCAGGATGTAACTGCTATCTTTAGAGGGAAATTTTTAATTTATTAAATAATTAACTTATTATATAATATAATCTATTATGATCTAAAAACTATAAGACATACTGCATATTATTTAACCCAAATAATTAATATTAAATACCTACTAGACAATAAAAGCAATAACAAGTATATCTATTTTCCTGATGTGCAAATTACTTTAACAGAACTCTGGATAATGACAAGAAAAATTACCTAATCCCCTGCCCTAATATCCAGCTCTTAAACTCTCCTAGGTGGGATGACTAAACTATCAGCTGCACTACAGAGCCCTAATTTTGTAGCACTAAAGAGGGGAAAAAGGAGGGATACCAATGAAAACCATACAAGAACTATAAAAGACTAAAAAAGTAAAAAGAACTATAACTAATTCTTTTTTTTCCTGCTTCCCCAGTCAACAGTGTTGTAATTTAATCTTCTGCTGAAATACCTAATTTGGTTACCAAACCATTGTTATAAAGCATTTAATAAGAGTAAAAGAGAAAGAAAATTGAGCAAAAATCTATTTCTTTCTTGAAAACTAAGCATCTTCTTCTTCTCTGTGACCTTGTATAGACATAGCAACAATAAATATTCATTTAATTATTTTTAAATCCCTTAATCAATGCTTTTGATTCCAATATATTTTAAAATTCTTGGAGCTCTTTTATTACATTGTTATAGAAAATTCAGCTATTATTAGCCCAGAAGACAATTAAGACTCCTGCTCTAAATAATTGATTTATATATAGCACATGCATATTTTTCAGATGTTGAGTTGTCTTATAATTCATTCTTAGTCACAAATTTAAAATAATCTAGGAGGACATTTTTTCCCCTAAAGACAGCTAAATATAAACAACTTCCCTAAATCCACTCGTATTTTAAAACAGAAAATTAAAGAGGAGTATGTTTTACCCCTAGGCTAGATTAAGTGGAAATGAGAAAGATTGAAGAAGAAATTGCTCAATACATAGGTTGTGAGAAAACAGAACATTTTCCCTTGGAAATGTGTACATTGATGAGCCACTTTCTCTCTTGATGATAAAAGACAGTTATAAGCTAGAAGTAGAAAAAAAAAAGTCTACAGGTAAGATGACAGTAAAAATGGACCTGAAGGGTAAAGAATTAGGGCTGGTTATAATAAATTTAATTTGGATTTCCTCATGATTTGTTTTCTGTTTGTTTGTTTTTATTGATTTTCACTTATACCAGGCAACATACTATATTTATTCAATATCCAGCCCTATTTCTGTCAATATAAAAATTTAAATGTAAAAGAATAATGTATAAAATTCAGAAATTTAAGGTCAAAATAAAACTACTGCTTATTTAATGTTTTCAGAAAGTAGAGAAATATTTACTTAGCAGTTCAAAATTAACAGTTTTTAGGTTTCTATAATATTTTAAGACATAGCCATGCGCAATCAGATGTGTCATGTAACTTCTAAATATATTGCCAGGGTGAAAATCATACCAAATGTAGCAACAGAAAGTCAGACAAAACTGGAAAGAAATAATACAACAATATGCTTTAGTTTTGCATCTTTTTGTGGGCATGACTACTTACAAGCGTCAAATAATATTATATTATTTATTATGATATCCCTTAAAGACTGCTAAATATGAACATCTTCCCTAAATCCACTTTTATTTTAAAACAGAAAATTAAAGAGAAGTATGCTTTACCCCTAGGCTAGATTAAGTGGAAATGAGAGAGATTGGAGAAAAAATTCCTTATTCCATAGGTTGTGAGAAAATAGAATACTTTATCCTTATAATAAAATAATACTAAAATATATATTATATGATATCATATATATATAATATATATATGATATACACAATATTCTTTTATGCTTTTATATGATTGAATCATATAAATGTATTCAGTGCAATATAAGTTAAATAAAATTAAAATTAGTAATTCTGGACACATTTGTAATGGAAAAAATCATATATATCATATATATATGAGATACACAATATTCTTTTATGTTTTTATGTGATTGAGTCATATAAATATATTCAGTGCAATATAAGTTAAATAAAATTAAAATGAGTAATTGTGAACACATTTGTAATGGAAAAATAAAATTCTAATAATTTAAAAATAACATGTAATAGTGTTTCTAGCATAAATAAATTTTAATTACTAAATTGATTATTTTTCTACAAATAATGTTATTATGCAACATGGAATATTATATATCAAAATTGACAGAGCTGAACGTAGAGATGGAGGCTCACATACTTATGTCTCAGTTATACACATATTGAAATCATTCTGGTTAATTCTATGCTCTGGCTATACATTGCTGACCATCTACTCTGTCACCTTAAGCAATACTGTTATGAAAATAGAATCAAAAGATAATGTATCTTCTGTTCCTAGTTCTTTCTGAATGCTAACATTACTTTAACCATCAGGTAGCTTAAAAAGACAAATATTCACTACCGGCTTGACCTCTAGGATATGTTAGTGAAATTATATTTTAGACTCATGGTAGCATACTAAAATCTTTTTATAATTAAAAGTTGTTATTTATAAACATCTTCTACCAGAAAGTAAAAGCCACTTATCTAAGTAACATAGTAAAGATGTTAAATGATTAACATCTTACTTATTAAATGATTAATAAGTAAGCTTAAAAGGATTCTGTGTGAAAGTGTGTGATGTTGTGTTTATTTATATTTAAATAAATATTACATATATATATACTAACTATATATTTATAATTCACAGGTAGAAATGTAAGGATAAATTATTCAGACAAAATATATTTTTGGAAGGTAGGAGTGACAAGTGAAGGAAGGCCAGACAAACCAAAGGAAGAGGATGAATTGAGCCTCTATGCAAGAGTCAGTATTTTTATTTTTATTTTTATTTATTTATGTATTTATTTTTTGAGACAGAGTCTTGCTCTGTCACCCAGGCTGGAGTGCAGTGGTGCAGTCTTAGCTCACTGCAACCTCTGCCTCCTGGGTTCAAGAGATTCTCTTGCCTCACCCTCCCAAGTAGCTGGGATTACAGGTGCCCAACACCATGCCTGGCTAATTTTTGTATTTTTAGTAGAGACGGGGTTTCACCATATTGGCCAGGCTGGTCTTGAACTCCTGACCTCCTGATCTGCCTGCCTCGGCCTCTCAAGTGCTGGGATTACAGGCGTGAGCCACCGCGTCTGGCCAAGAATCAGTATTTTTAATATGGGAAAAACTCTGTGCATCTTTCACTAGGTTAGTTTCAGTAAAAACTTAACAAATTTTAAATTAATTTCAGGATTGAGCCAATAATTTTGAACCTAAATATTGACTATTGCTATATTAATTATATTGATAGTGTAACAACAAATACCACCCAGCATCAATTATTTTATGACAGTATATTTTCTCATTTTGTGGCAGTATATTTTGAGTGGCACAATTATTACTTTTTTTTCACTTCACAAATTTAAAATATGTTAACTTTAGTGTTAATGGTTGAGAGAATAGCAGAAAAAGTTTTGTTACAGTTTTACTTCCTCTTTTTTGCCCACTGCAGATTATACTTCGGCTCGCTCTTCCTACCTTCCCATTTATTCTTTGAACTTGACAAATAATTAGGAAGTGCTAAGACTTAAGACAAGGTATCTAGGTGTGAATGGTGCAACCAATTTACTGGGAAGCTTATATAGTTTGGATATGTGTCCCCGCCCAAATCTCATGTGAATTGTAATCACAGTGTTGGAGGTGGGGCCTGGTGGTAAGTGATTGAATCATGGGGGTGTTTTCTCATGAGTGGTTTAGCACCATCCTCTTGGTGCTGTTCTCATGAGAGTGAGTGAGTTCTCGTGAGATCTGGTTGTTCAAAAGTGTGTGGCATGTCACCTCTCCCTCTTGCTCCTGCTTTCACCAAGTGACACACCTGCTCCCCTTTGGTCTTCTGTAACGATTGTTGTTTCCTGAGGCCTCCCCAGAAGCAAAGGTTCCTGTACAGCCTGCAGAATCATGTGCCAATTAAAACTCTTGTCTTTATAAATTGCCCAGCCTCAGATATTTCTTTACAGCAATACTAGAATGGCCTAATACAAAAGCCAAAACTAAACATCTAATTGTACAACTAACTAGTAAAGAGACAAGGGAAGGGAGGATAGTGTGGGTGTGTGAAACATGCTCTGCAGAGGGAGAATGAAGGACAAAGGCTATGAACTGAAAAAAAATGTATAATAATTTTAAGTAAATAAGAGAAATCTAATGGAACTGAAACACAAAAATTGACAAAGTGGCAAGAAATAAGAATTATGAGGTAATCTGTTAAGAGCCTGAATGATTATGTTATAGATTTACATCTCTATCCTAAGAACAACAAGACATCTTTGGAAACTTTCAAGCAGTGAATGATATGACAGATTTGCATTTTTGAAACCCATTAATCAAGTTTTAATAAAGCCAGCAGGCACCTACTAGTTAATCATTAGGCTGAGAATAGTCACATCAATGAATAAAAATAGCAATTTTATGTCTATACCTAACATTGACTCAAGATAACATTGGAATTGTATAAAAATTGGTGGTATGCATTTAATGAAGAAATTATTTAAAAGACACTATAAGACAAGAATTAAAAGGAAATGTCTAAGTCTTCCATTTTCACACTTTCCACATTTATTAAGGGCCTACTAAATCATTTTGAACAAGACTAGAAAAGGAAGAAATGAGTTTCATTTTTCCCCCAAGCAGTGAATGGCTGAAAGTACAGTGAGACCCTTAAATGTTCCCCCTGCTAAGGGGATGCTTTTGTGGTTCTTAGTGGCCTCCAAAAATTTTCTTCTTGGCCAAATTGATGGTCACCTTTCATGTTTATTCTAAACAGCCTCCAGCAAATCTCTTTGCTGCAGTGGTGGGAAGGGCATAGGGAAGCTGTATTGGCAGCAACTGTGCCATCTCCTCAGAGGAATGGATCTCAGCCTTGGGGGTATGGGGTGAGCCTCCCCTAAGTTCTGAGTTACTTCAAGGTTCAAATTTCCCTCAGCCCTAGGACTGGAAGCTGCCTTCTGCTGTTGCTAACCCTTACATTTAGAGTACATGATAATTCCTTTCAATTAATCAGCTTTTACCTGATTAACTATTCATATTAAATTCACCCTGTTGAAATTACTTGTGTGCTTATTGTCTCCTAATTGGAGGCTGACTGACACAAGTGCAAAGCATGACAAAAACAATAAACAGCCACTGTTAGAAAGAAGTTTAAAAGTAAGAAAATGCCATGAAATAAAACATCTATATTACCAAGTGGGATCATAGCAGGTTATGGTTTACTTTTTTCTTTTTCTGTATCTACATAGATACATAAACAGATCATAGATAGATAGTAGTTAGATAGATAATAGATAGAATCATTATTCCTGTTGATTATAAAATTATATTTTTCCAAACTCATTTTACATTCCTTGAATCTATGCTTTTTAATAACTATGCAATGGGCCACTGTAAAGGTAGATTTCAATTTATTTAATTAATTTTCTCTAATTCTTTGAAATTTTAGTTAGCTTCCAATTCTATTAGCCTTTAGTGATAAATAGATCAATTTTAAGTGATAACTTGTAAATATCTTTATAAATATACTAATTTATTCTTGGATAATCATTACCTTTTTTTTAATTTGATGATAAGGAATAGTGATATATGTGCAATGCTGTATGAGGGAGTGAATTTCATAAGCTCTAACACCTATTTCTAATAAAGTATAATACATATCTTTTCTGAATTTTACAACCTGAGATATTTAAAATCTTATAAAATACAATGATTCTAGAACAGGAACTGGCAGTTATAGTGGTCCCTAACATGTTACCCTGTTGCTAATGGAGTTTATTCTGTTACAGCCTTGCAATTTTTTTCATAGTATTTGAGTTTTGTCTTTTCTTCCATCTTATTTCCCATCTACCCTTATGGCTCATCTCCAGCATCCCTCAGTTATCCAGTGTTGAGAGCCAAGAACTATTCATTCTAAATCCTCTATGGCGGCACTCCAGTTAGACTTGCCTTCCCAGACTCTGTTTCCCTTTCACTTTTCAAGCTATAATTTCTTCCCTTGAATAACAGGGACTTGGAGATAAGAAGATGATAGCCACAGTATCTTCCCACACTAAACATTCTGATTCTGGGTTCTGCCTTCCCATTACAATTGCTTAATAAAATTTAATACAATATCATCTAAAATACTGAGAACTCTAAGAGACTTCTCTGCCACTTAATAAAAATATTTGACTCCGAAATAAAAAATTTAGACCTGAAAACTCAACTTTCTTTTTAATTAGGTTTCATCTGTAATCAATAATTGCTATAATATTCCCTTTTTTCTGCAGAGGCTTATTTGAATATATCAAATGTTAAAATCTACATTAGCATCCTATATCTAGGAAAACCACCTCCTTCTACTAACTTGTCCAAGGTAATAGCAAAAAGTAATTTTGAAAGTCATATTTAGTATAATTGGATGTATTCATAGCACAGCTGCAAATCTCTTAAAGTTGTTATAAACCATGCAAAACTACTTCCTTGTGACAGTTTCTTGAGCATTTAAATGGAAATCAGAGAACCTAAGCTATCTATTTCAATTCAGCCAGCAATTCTAGAAAGCTTAAAAATCTAAAATGCTACAGTACTGTGAAGGCACAAACTATCAAAAATTTATACAATTAAACTAAAAATCATAGAAAAACTCCATTGTTTCCAAGCATCCACTAATCTTCTTGTAAACATATTTATTTTACAAAGTAATTTAAGCTCTATAATGCCCATATTTTCTGTATTAATTTTAAATTACTCTTATGTTCTGATTGAATTTAAGATTTTGATTTATAAACATGGTTATTTGACATTTTTATCTTCCCCATCTGATTCTGAAATAGGAGATTTCCAGTTCCACTATTCTATTGAAATTGCCAAGGTAACCAATTATTTCATTCAACCTTTCTGCCCCCAGTGTCTTCTGTGAGCCCTTTCCCTTGTTTTACCTCCTTTGTTTTTGTTAATTGATAAATTCTTTGTTCTAACCTTTGCAGTCATTTCTTATCCCCTCTACTGCCTCCTTTTTTCTTCCTTTCACTGTTTTTGTTTACATGTTTTAATTCTTTTTCCCTATTCCTTCTCTCCCTCTTTCTTCTATAAGTAACGTTCCTTTATGGCCTTAACTACCATGTATATATTTAAAATCTCCAGATTCGTATATACAGCAGGTATTTTTCTTATAAAGTCTAAATCTAAATATCCAGCTGCCCACTGAAAATCACTACCTAGAAACTCATGTGTTCAAACCTTAATTATTATATTTTTTTCATTTCATTTACTTTCAATACTCTATTATTTATTCAAATTTCTATTCACCTCTAATTCTTATCTCTACTTAAATCCTTCTTCCTCAACATTCATCAGAACACACTCTGTTATACTTCCTGAATACATTTAAGCTGATTCCCTTGTTTCCTACCCTCACAGCACTGTTGAGATTCTTCCTATTTTTCACTAGCAACATCTTAAGTTTCCCAACCTAATCAAAATCATCTTCCTCACTAAAAACACAATGCTTATTTTCTTTTCTTAAGTTAACATTTCTTACTTATCACTCTTATTAAGTCACAGATGTAAAAGATGTAACTAGAAAATAGAGTAGTCTCACTCCTGCTTGTGATGGCCAAACATTTGAAAGTGAATCTTGACACTACCCAATCAAATGTTGTCATGCAATTAGTAACAGAAACTGAAACACTGTTTCCTCTGGGAACATGCCTAATTTGCAATACCCTGTAAACTTTCTATATTTATTCTTCAATTTTCTGACTCCCAAGACATCCACTCCTATACCATTTTGGTGGCATTTTTGGAAATATCTCTAGTTACTAGCTGCAGGTAGCCTTCCCTGGGGCTCTAATGCTCAACTATATTAGAGCAGCACAACATGGATGAAGCAAGATGGAGACGTTAACCCATTCAAACAATATGTTAAGTACCACCTTTGAGCAATACTCTAAACCTTTAAGAAATCATGCGTTTATTGGAGCTAGGTTAAACATCAACTTTCAAGAGTTTTCTTTACCTATAAGCCTGCATAGACCACCTACAAAATAGCCTCAACAATAGTCATATGACTTTCAAGTATTTTTAAAGAATTAATTCAAGCCTCCTACAATATTTATGTGTCCAACACTTTGTTACTGCTGGCTCAGTTTGGAGGAGTGACTTAATTTAAGATGGAGTGGAGTAAAAAGCCTTAGTACATATGATCATGTCCAGATGCCATGTAGGGCTTGTTTGCTCTTTGAGAGCTAGATGTTGGTAAAATTCCCAACTTTACTTTATTTGGAAAGCATAATTTCTGTTAATAGTTTGTAAGGAAGGAATGGGATCATGTCCTCATGATCACCTCACAATGTTTCACTGGCATTTCTTTGTAACTCACGTCTCTCTTTAGTTCCTAATTTTATTTCCTTTCCTAGAAAAATATTCACTCCTTTCTAGCACAGACCTAGAAAAAATATGTTTACTCTCCATACGTTGTTTCCAAGTCTCACTCTCTATCCCCTCGTGGCTTTTCAAGATATCTTCTCACAGAGGAGCATATTATCTATGAGAACATTGAGATGCCAAAATGCTAAAATAATATATTTCCACCTTCACATAACTGTTAGTCTTATCACTCAACTTCTATGGCTTGGGGATTTATTTCTTAGCTGTAAAGTAGGCTCCACTGAAGTCAGGCCCTAACAAGTACCTTAGAGATCATTCAATCCAACATCCAGAGGCATGCAAAGTGAAATTACTTTCCCAGGACCATACTGCCAGTCAGTATCAGAGCCAGGAGTGCAACTTGAGTTTCTGAATTATAATTCCAGTGACCTTTCTATCACTCCACTCTACATCGATCTTTCTAATAAATGCAATCATTATTTATACAACTTACTAAAATAATTTTCTTTATTGAATCAAATGATATTCAAGATATTAAATAATATATTTAATTTATATTTTCTTTGAATATTTTAATTGATTATTCTTTGTGTTTACATGACAATGTGATTATGTATAGTCACAATTTGTTACTTTTAAAATTACATTTCAAAGTGCTGCATAATAATATAATTGCTAAATTAAATTTTCAATGCTATGTAGTCAATTTTTATTTATTTACATTTGTAATTCAATACATATAAATCTACTTTATAAAATCGAAAACTTAGAGATATTTAAGGAAGGGGATCTTTTGAAGTAATTACACAGGTTTCTGTCTCAATTTATAAAATTACTTATTTACTTATTATTTGTAGTCAAGATAAAAAGGTTTTATTGGAATAAGAACGATAATTTGTTGCATGTTCATGAGGGTAGGCATTGTGCTCTCTTACTCCATTTCTACAACTTCTCTATGAGATAAATATAATCTACTATTATTAGCTAGGGACATTAAAGCATAGAGAAGTTCAATAAATTATCCACAGCCACACAACCAAGTTGCAGACATTCAATTCAAAAAACCTAGGTCTGTCTCACTCAAAAATTCTTTTCACCAATGTGAAAAATTGGTTCTTCATTTTCAGTTATAAATATTTTTGCACTATGTATTTATATTGATTTACATGTAGGTTGTTTCTCAGAGGTTGTGTATTAATATCTAATGAGGAAATACATTTTCTTTTAATTACTCACTCATTAATTCATTCAGCACATTTTTATTTAAAGCCATTTTGTATCAGATAGCATACTAGTTTCTAAAGATTTAATGTACACTTAGATGTGAATAAATATTTGAATAATTGTGAAGATTTGTCTTTCTCAACATTTGTTTATTTGATGGGCTTTCCTCAAATTATTATAATATTTATGGGTATAACTTAAAATTGATATTAATACAATGATTTTTCAATAATAAATTTTGAAAGTATTTTTATAAACAACTCTCTGAGATATTCCCCCCTTGGAAACATTGCCAAATTCCTCATTTAATTTTTTTTCTCCAAAATCTCTGGAACTCTGAGAAGGTAGCGTTGCCTGACCAAACCTATATTCAATATATTTTCTTAGTTTTTTTTTTTAATGAGTCCCATAATATTGATTCATACTTCCACAGTATTCATCCCAAAGCAATAAAATCTATGACAGTAGTGACAGGAAGACTTGCCTTAATTGGCAACATGTCAGCATGTTTTTGGGTGACATGTAATGACGGACTTAGTGGCAATAAAAGCATGGATAAACCTGACTGAGCAGCATATAAGGTATTCACATAATGCAGATGATTTAATTCTATGAGTAGCCAATATTCCCAGGATAAATCATTTATTTTTCTCAAAATAAACTTATTGTATTTTTAAGATTCAAAACTCACATATTAAAATACAGTCTTGACTCTAATAATCTACCAAGGATGATTTAAATAATACAAACCTGTTCCAAATCTACTTCAACTAATTTGATGGAAGATACAAGGTCAAGAGCACCTTGTTCAATTAATTTGATGGAAGATACAAGGTCAGACACCTTGTTGAACCTACTTTGATTTGTGTCTAAACTTCTAGGAGAGTTTAGAGAAATCTTTGCTTCCAGGAATGAACTGAAACTCACACTGAGACCCCCATATTGGCCTATGTACCTCCTTATACATCAAAGACAAAGTGATATAAGGTATTATCTGAAGCATATGAGATGAAAAGAGAGTTCAAAATCTTTATAGGGTTTATTTTATTGTACCTCCAAACATAAACACCACCATTCTCTGGTATATATGGAAGAACATTTATTTAATATATATCCCTGGAGAGTCTACCATATAGATACTCATTTTCACTGCCTCTAGCTCCATTATGAGCCACCACTCACTTCTTCCCTATTTGTCACATTCCATAATTCTTTTGAAGAACACTGCTTTTCCACTTACGTGGCAACAGAGGGCCCTGGCCACTCTTACCTTTTGTTGCTCTGAATCTTTATCTTCCTTATGTCCATTTTAATCATTATTAAAGGATGGGAGAAACTAGAGTCAAAAATAGGAGACGAGAAATTCAAGACAGTAAGCTTAATTTACCACATAGTTCAAAGAAAAGTACAGAACAGATACTTAGCAAATAGTTTTTTTTCCCTAACATACCTTATTCCTAAAGATTAAGCCCACCATCAAGTCTGCCCTTCTCTAGGAGCACCTATTTCTTCAAAGTGCCATAGTACAGATATATAACACTTATTAGTAAAATTAAGCTCTGCCCATAGTGTTGGTCATGCTGTAGAATACATGTTTCTCCAAATCCCCAAGGTGCAGTGAGAGACAGCTCCTCATTTTCCAAAATCTATTAATACCATGGAGTGACTACAGCAGGACTGCCCAGGGTTTGACCTAACATAGATTTGCAATAGGCAAATAATCTACGTCTGTGACTTCAGAAAAGTTGAAATTGGTAAAGAAGTATATTTTGGAACAGACTTGTTGTATTTTGTAAAAGAAAATCATGTCATAAAAAGTCATAATACAAGCCCAAAACTTTGTTACAGTTCCTTGCACTTATATGCAATTTAGCATTTTGTTTGTTTGTTTTTTAAATATAAATAAGGTAGCTTCCAAAATTATTTCAGTAGTTAGTAATTTTAGAAATTTGAACCTAGAACTGCCTTTGGAACTCCAATTCTGGTGACCTTTGATAATTATAAATTAATGTGAGGTGTAGAAAAAGGATTCTTCTCTTGCTCCAGGAGAAAATTGCTATGAAAATATCTCTCTCTCTCTCTCTCTGTCTCTCTCTCTTTCTCTCTCCCCCGCTCTCTGTTGTGGGTATTATGAATCAATTTCCAAATTTAGAAGATTATAATTTAGCACTCCAATATATCCCTCATAATATTCTCTGTTTCTTATTCTCCCTAATGGTTTTATTAGTTCAAATTCAAATTTACTGTCTTCAGTGTTATGGCTCTATAAACAATTTTTATTCAGAGCTAAATATTATGCCAATACAGCCATGTATTGCTTAACAACTGGTTTATGTTTTGAGAAATGCAACTTAGGTGATTTAATCATTGCATGAACATCATAGAGTGCACTTACACAAACCTAGATTGTGTTGCCTACTATAAACCTAGGCTATATGGTATAGCTATCATTCTATTGCAGTCCATCATTGACCAAAATGTACTTATGTGATGATGCATGATTATATTTCATTGCCTTTCTTAGACAATATTTTTTGCTTTTTATAAAGTTATATTTTATTTGCTTAGCATCTTCAAATCTGCCTAAGTCTTTCCAAACTTCCAACAGCTTTTTAAAATGCCTTTCAATTATTCATATGGTCAAACCTGTCAGAAAATATATCAACTTTATTTTACATTTTTTAAAAAACACCTTTTCCTCAAAGTCTGCTATAGCCTTGATCTAATATTTATTTGTCTGCCTCTAGCTGCTGGAACCCTATTGTCATTGTATTGATAATTCCCTTAGCCTCTCTTCTATATTGGAGTTCTACTATCTCAGGAAACTTATTTTTCTCTTTCTGAGTTAAATACTCATTTGGGGGAGAAAAGGTACATGAAAGTTTCATTGTTTTAGGTTTTTGCATATGATTCTTATCTATTTTACCCCAGAAATCATGACTTACAGTTTGTCTGGCTACACAATTCTAAGTTGGAAATCATTTCCCTGGAAAAAGAACACGAATAGACATTTTTTTTCAAAAGAGGACATGAAAATGATCAGTAGGTATATGAAAAAAATGCCCAACATCAAGATCATCAGCAAAATGCAAATCAAAATCACAATGAGATACTATCTTACCCATGGACATATGGCTATTCTTAAAAAGACAAAAAAATAACAGATGCTGATGAGAGTGTGTGGAAAAAAAGGGAACTCTTCTCCACTGTTGGCGGGGACATACAGCTACTATGGAAAACAGTGTGGAGATATCTCACAAATAAAAAAATAAAAGTAGAACTATCATCTGATCCAGTAATCTCATTACTAGCTATTATCCAAGGGAAAAGAAATGAGTATATCAAAGAGATAACCACACTCTCATATTTATTGCACTATTCACAATAGCAAAGATATGAAATCAACCTATGTCCATCAATGGATGAATGAATAAAAGCAACGTTGTATATATACACAGCATAATACTTTTTGTCCACAAAAAAAGAATGAAATCATACCATTTACAGCAAGATGGATGGAACTGGAACTCATTCTGTTAGGTGAAATAAGCCAGGCACAGAAAGACAAGTATCACATGTTCTTACTCTTATGTGAAAGCTAAAAATATTGATCACATGCAGGTAGAAAATAGAATAATAGATAGGTACCAGGGGCTGGAAAGAGTTTCTGAGGTGGCAGAAATAAAAAAAGGTTTGTTAATAGGTCCAAACCTACAGTTAGTTGGAAGAAATAAGTTCTAACGTTTAATAGCAGAGTAAGGTGACTACATATAAACAGCAATGTATTGTATATTCCAAAATAGCTAAAGGACTTGAAATGTTCTTAACATATGGAAATAATACTTGAGGTTATGGACACCCAAGATACATTGACTTGATGATTACAAAGTCTAGGCAGGTAACAAAATATTACATGTACCCCATGCGCATGTAAAAATATATTAATGAAAAAAAGTTCCTCTTCTATAATAAAATTTTATTATTGTTAATCTGACTAATTGAGAATTCATGATGACTTAGAGATTATTTGGCAAAATGTTACCTGTGCAAAGCAAGCTTTTCTTCCTATATTGTGCAAATTATTAAAGTAATATAAATATGTGTATAACTTCAAAAAATGATTTTTAAAATCTTGTTCTACAGTACTCAAGCTTTTAATGTCACTGCTATTATGTTTTCTATTAACAGGTAATAATTTAGCACTCCCTGTAAATCAAGTTCTCTATTAGCCTATTTATTTTTTTCAACAAACTTACAGATAAGAAATTTAAATAGCTTGTCTCACATTACTTAGCAAATATATTGTATTTTTGAGATCTGACTCCAAACTCTATCTATTGTTTTAAACTAGTACTCCAATGCTAATCTCATTTTAATCCAACAGAGGAGAACTATTTATTCTCTCTCTCTGGAAACTTTTAGCAAAGCTTTTTATATGTTTATCTGAAATATAACAATAATATTTCTATCAACATTTTATTTTTTTATCTATGTATATTCTTAAGCTCATAATTTTCTTTATCTTATTTTCCCTAAAATTTATTCAAACTCATTTAAATTAGATTTTTAGTTTTATGGTGGTATAATTAACAAATAAAACATATATATTTACTGTGTACAATGTGAGGTTTCTATTTTTTTTTAATTAACCCTAGTTGAGAAAGGCAAATGCTTACTGGTACATACTAAAAAGTATTCAGGGCAATGCTGCTTCATATAAACTTGCTAACTACCAATCAACAGACTACTCAAATGCTTGTTTGACAAACAAAAGCTACAATTGTAATTAGCATGTTTTTACTGATTTCCTTTATACTGCAGCATTTTTTCAACTAATATATATCTAACATATATAGTAAAATACATAAATCTTAAGCATATAGCATTATAATTTTTATGTCTATATATCCCTATCATCAGCACCTAAATCAAGCAAAATATGGACTACTTCCAGCTCCCACACCCCTGTCTCTTGCCCTTTCTCAACAAGTTACGCACCAAAGGTCATCATTATCGTGAAGTCTATCACGATGGATTTGCCTGCTCCTCAATTTCATATAAATGGAAACTTGCTGAATGTATTCTTTTGAGTCTGACTTCTTTCACTTAGTTGAAATTTGTGAGAATCATCTATGTTGTGTGTAGCAGCAGTCCTTTGTTTTTAAATGCTGTGTGGTATTCCACTGCGGGAAGCAGAAGTAATTTATTTATTCATTCTACTGTGGATGGGCATTTGTGTTGTTTTTCGTTTAGAATTTATGACACGTCAGTAATTTTATTTGATAACTCTAGGATTTGCTGAAGTATATAGAATTGATTGATTGCCTTACACACATTGTTTAAGTTGTGCCTACTCTTTTACGTATTTCATCCTTGGTCTGTTTGTCTCTCTACTGTTTGAAATAAATCTGGAGCTCCCTATAGGAATCTGATATCTTTTTTTTCTTTTCTCAACTTCTATTTTAGGTTCAGGAGGTACATGTGCAGGTTTGTTACGTGGGTAATTGCATGTTGCTGGGGTTTGGTGTACAAATGACTTCATCACCCAGCTAGTGAGCATAGTCCGCAGCAGGTAGTGTTTTGACCCTCACTCTCCTCTCATCCTGCCCCCATCAAGAATATTTTAAATTGATTTTCACAATCAAGCTAATTAACGTATTCATCTCTTCACATAGTTACGATGTGTTGGGGAAGGAGAATACTTAAGATCTACACTCAGTGAGCTTAAAGTATACAATACATTACTATTGACTGTAGTTACCATGTTGTACATTAGATCTCCAGAACTTATTCATCTTATAACAGCAAGTTTGCATGGTTGTACCTGTAGTATTTTTCTTTCTCTGCCTGGCTTATTTCACTTAGCATAACGTAGTCTAGGCTCATTCATTTTGTTGCAAATGGCAGGATTTCATTCTTTTTAAAACTGAATAATATTCCATTGTACGTAGGTAGATAGATAGATAGAGAGATAGATAGATAGGTAGATGAGAGATATAACAATTTACATACCTACTTATCTATCAACACTTAGGTTGTTTCCATATTTTGGTTCTTGTGGATAATGCTGCAATGAACATAGGAATGCATGTATCTCTTCAAGATAGTGATTTTATTTCCTTTGTATATAAAAGGAAAAGTATATAAAAGGTATATACTATTTTTTTTTTTTTTTTTTTAGACAGAGTCTCTCTCTGATGCTCAGTGCAGTGGCGTGATCTTGGCTTGCTGCAACCTCCACCTCACGGGTTCAAGCAGTTCTCCCTGCCACAGCCTCCCAAGTAGCTGGGATTACAAGTGCCCCCCACCACACCCAGCTAATTTTTGTATTTTTTAGTAGAGATGGGGTTTCGCCGTGTTGGCATCTCTGGTCTTGAACTCCTGACCTCAGGTAATCTGCCTGCCTCAGCCTCTCAAAGTGTTGGGACTACAGGCGTGAGCCACCGCACCCGCAGGTATACCCTTTTATACCTAAAAGTATAATTGCTGTATTATATGGTAAGTCTTTAATTATTTAAGGAACATCCATGCTGTATTCCGTAATGGTTGTACCAATTTAAATTCCCACAAAAACTCTATAAGGGTTCTCTTTTTGATACACTCTAATCAACACTATTTATCTGTTGGCTCTTTGATATTGGCCATTTTAAAAGATGTAATGTGACATCTCATTATGGTTTCAGTTTATATTTCCCTCATGTTGTGCATCTCTTTATACATGTGTTGGCCATGTGTAAGTCTTCCTAAGAAAAAATGTCTATTCAGGTCTCTTGCTCATGTTTTAATCAGGTTATTTGTTTTCTGATTATGAGTTTCTTATATATTTTAGATATTAACCCATTATCAGATACATCGTTTGCAAGTATTTTCTACCATTCCATGGTAACCTTTTTATTTTTATTTATTTATTTTTACTGCGCAGCAACCTTTTAGTTTGATGTAGTCCCATGTGTTTATTTTTGTTTGTATTGCCTATATGTTGGCAATCATATCCAATCATATCACGCCAAGGTCAATGTCATGTAGGATTTCCCCTGTTTTCTTCTAGGGATTCTTTGGTTTCAGATGCTATGTTTAAATTCCTTATCAATTTTCAGTTTATTCCTGTGCATAGCATAACAGTTCAATTTCATTATTTTGCATGTGCACCTCCAGTTTTTCCAATGCTATTTATTGAAGAGACTATCCTGTCTCCATTAGGTGTTTTGGGCATGTAAGAAGTGTGGTACCTCCTGCTTTGTTTTTCTTGCTCAAGTTAACTTTAGGTAATTAAGGTCTTTTGTAATTTCACACAAATTTTAGAATTTATTTCTGTTTCTGTGAAAAATGCTGTTGGGCTTTTGATAGGGATTACATTGAATCTGTAGATTGCTTTGTGTAATAGCATTTTGACAATATTGATTTCTCCCATTGATGAACACAGAATATCTTTCAATTTCTATTATTTTTCTACTCTATATTTCTTTATTTTGCTTTGATCTTTCTTATTTTCTTTCTTCTATTAACTTTGAGCTTAGTTTGCTCTTCTTTTTTAATAGTTACTTGAGGTTTAATGACAGATTGTTTATTTGAGATCTTTATTTGTTTAATTTAGGTGTTTGTCATATATTTTGTTCTTTGAACTGTCTTGATGCATCCCACAAGTTTTGGTGTATTGTGTTTCCATTTTTGCATCAAGATTTTTTTTATTTTCCTTTTTATTTCCCCTTTAAACCTCTGCTTGTTAAGAATTGTGTTATGTTCACTTATTTTTGAATTTTCCAGATTTCTTCCAGTTATTGATTTCTAATTGTATACCATTGTCATCAAAAAAGATACTTGATACAATTTCAATCTTCTTAAATGTATTAAGACATTTTGTGACTTTAAAGTATGCTCTATTTTGGAGGATGTTTCTTGCTAGCTTGAGAAGAACACCTGTTCTCTGGCTGTGGATGAAATGTGCACATACAACTGTTAGGTCCATTTGGTCTAAAGTGTAGATCAAGTCAATGTTTTTTCTTTACAGATTATCTGCCTGAATGACCTATCCATTGTTGTAACTGGACTATTGATAATTGCAACTATATCAATAGGGTTACCTATATCCCTAATATTACTGATTGCTGTGTCTCCCTCCCTCCAGATATTAATGTTTGCTTTATATTTTCAGGTGCTGCAATGTTAAGTGCATATTTATTTTTAATTGTTTCATCCTTCTAATCAACTCACCCCTTTATCATTATATAGTGACGATCTTTATCTCTTGTTATGGTTTTATCTTAAAGTATATTTTGCCTGATATAAGAATAGCTATCCATGCTTTTTTTTGGTTTTAATCTGCATGGAATATCAAATTTTCTCATCCCCTACATTCATACCATATGTGTCCTTGAAGCTGAAGTTAGTCTCTTGTAGGCAGCGTATTGTTGGGTCTTCTTTTGTAATCCATTCAGCCATTCTGGCTTTTGACTGTAGAATATAATGAATTTATCTTCAAGGTAATTATTGAAAGGAAGAACATACAATTGCCATTTTGTTCATTGTTTTTTAGGTTTTTAACATATTACTTTTTCCTTTATTTCTCCCTTGCTGTCTTTCTTTGAGATTTTATGATTTTCTGTAGTGACATATTTTGATTTCTCTTTATCTTTTGGGTATCTACTATAGGTTTTTCCTTTTTGATTAGCATGAAGCTTATATATAATATCTTGTAGTTGGAGCAAACTATTTTAAACTGATAACTTTGATCATATTCAAAACTCTATACTTTTACTCAGCCCACCATATGTTATATATTTGATGTCACATTTTTATATATTTTTAATATTGTGTATCTACTAACAAATTATTGTAACTATAATTATTATTACTTTTGTATTTTAACCTTCATACTAGCCATAAAAAAGAGCTACACACCACTATTACACTATTAGTGTCCTGTATTTTTTATATATTTACCTTAATCAATGAGTTTCATACTTTTCTGTGCTTTCATGTTGCTCTTTAGCAACCTTTTACTTCAAATTCAGAAATTCTTTAAAACAATTATTTTGAATTCTTTGTCATGCAATTTATAGACTTCTGTATTTTGGGGGTCAGTTATTGGAAAATTAATGTGTCCATATGGTGATGACATGTTTTCACAGTTTTCCATGTCAAATAATTGTTTTAAAGGAGGGTAATGAGGTACAAGAGAATAAATAGGCAACTTAAAACTTGAAAAAACAAAACACAAACAAAATGAGAAGTTCAATAGAGAGATGGAAAAAATAGAACCCAAACTAAAATTCTGGAGCTAAAGAATAAAATAAATGAAATAAAGAATGTAAAATGAAGAATTGACAGCAAAATTGATCAAGAAGAAAGAATCTGTGAATTTGTTTCAGCCAGGAAAAACCTGCAAAGGTTATTTCAGAGATAAGGTCTCTTCATCCTAGAAAATATCAGTAGTCCCTTTCACCAGAAGTTCAGATGACAAAAAGACTAAACCAGTTCATCTTCCTTCTAGTCTTACTCCTGGGTCATTTGCTAATAAAGACAGTGAATAGATTGCAGACCAACTGCTTTAATTACTTCCTCACGCTGCTGAATGAAGTTTGTTCAACAATTGCCAAGCTGATCATCAAACATATCCTTTGCTATTGCTTACAATGCTTCTTGACTTCTAAAATTAGATTTGTATATAGCTTTAAGGCCCAGCATATCCCAGTAGCTCACTGTTCAAAGTAATAAATATTTGATTGGGTCTTTAAGGCTAAAGACCTCAAAATTTCTAAGAAGTTTGTGCCATGGACAAAATTTGTTGGTTATTTTCTTTATATACCAGTCCAGATTTCACTGTATTAGTATTTCTATGCTGGTTCTTATAATTTATTTGAGCTGGAAATCTCATAGTTTTAACATAGATGAAGGGGTTATTTTCCTACAGATTTTGCTCTTTTTGTCACTTTCTGTTTTTATTAAAGAGGGAGTTGGAGTGAAAATACTTTTGCTCTGCATCTTCAAACATAAAAAATGAAACATTTCAAAAGACCTACCATGCCATAACTAAAATTTCTGCGGTTTGAAGAAGTCTACCAAAAAAATTTGCTTCAATTATATATGTTCAATTTTTTTGTGAATTAACTAAAACTTTTGTAAGACTCTGTATTAACTTTGGAAAGATGTAATAAGCTTTTGAAAAGCAAATGATTATGTTTTCATTACTGTTTTGGATTCTAAAAGTATATGAATGACACAGGCAATATAAGGGTAAAAAAAGGGTAAGAAAAGAAAAAACAAAACTAATCTTCATGTTCACTTTTAACTATTTTGAATAAGAATCTATGGAGTCAAATTTTATTGTCAGTGATAAGGAATTTAATTCACTTCAAGGAAACAGCAAAAAATATTGCATCAGAATATGTGGGTATTTTAGAAATATATACTTTGGATTGATATTTTTCTATATTTTGGATTAACAAGAGAATCAAATGTAAAATCATCCTTAGGCATAAGAAATTATTGGCCAGTTTCCACTAAATGATAAGTTTTCTGGAGAAAATGCTGTACCTAATTTATCTTTTTACCTCTCATATCTGCTATTATACCTACCGATGGTGTGTATTGTACTGCTGTCGATTTGTGATAGAAATATTTAAACAATGTCTTTTAATTTTCTCCTAATTAATTAGTATATCTCAATTATAATGTCAGTGTTTTCGTTTGTACCATGTCATTTATCACTAAAGACTATAAATTTTCTTTCCAATGAGGTAAAATTAAAAAAAAAACAAAACTATTCTCTATTGGAACATAGATAGCACATTTTCAGCAAAATAATACTTGTCAAACACAAAGATGGAAAAAGAAATCCTAGTCAATTTAAAATACAGAGGACTGGCATTGATGGGACACAGTGTCTAAGATAGAATTGTACAGAATTCCTATAGTAACACCCAATTTTGTAAAATATACCTCCAGGAACAGAGGCTCCATTTTAGATCTCATTGTATCTGAAAGGCAATCTTTCTTAACAGAGTTCCAAAATTCCTCTTCAATTTCAATATGATATTTTATTCTAAGGTTAATAGATATTAGTAATATATCCGACCACAGAATATCAGCTACAAAAAGAATAAACATAGAGTAGATAATTCTGTGGCTTTGATTTAATTGCAAGACTATCAGAGGAATCAATTTGGACTAGATGTAAGATCTTCATACTTTAACACATCCAGTTCCAAATAAGGCAGTGCCATTGTGAAAATCTTTGAGTTCAGGTATGATAAGGCAAGTTACTAATATTAATAATAATCACAGTACTGCATGAAGGCATATATCTCAAAATATGTCTTGACATCTAAATATTGTAACACACGCTATATATTTTGACAAAATAATAAATACATTTGGATGACTGAGTGAAACATGTCAGTTCCCAGCAGCGTTATTTATATGTGTGTGCTGGAGGACAGGGAGCCTGGAGCAGTGTTAGGCACTAAAGTAAGTTTAAAGCAACAACCCAAGACAGTCCAAAAAGGAGACAAATAATGTACCTGTTTTAGTCTGTTTGGGCCACTATAACCAAATAGCATAAACTGAGTGGCTTATAAAAGCAGAAATCTATTTTCCACAGTTCTGGAGACTAAGTTCAAAATCAAGCAGATTTTGTGTCTGGTGAAGGCTAACGTCCTGGTTCATAGAGGGTACCTTGTGGATGTGTCCTCATTTGTTGGAATAGGCAAGCATCTTATTCATAACAGCACTAAAAAGAGTTCCACCCTCATGACCCAAGTTCCTAATACTATGCCCTCATGTGTTAGAATTTCAACATATTACTTTTGGGGGCACACCTTCAGACCATAACAATGTTTGATTATTTAAATAATTCTAATAGTGGTGTGATTACTAACAGCTAATGATGGATTCATGGAGAATTCTGAAGTGTTCCTGCTTGCCTACAGGGTTTACTGTAGTATATAAACTGTACATATACTGTAATATATATACTGTAACATATATAGTAATATATTTCTTGTTCTGAGAATAAGACAAGATCATGAGGTTGTATCCTAGAATGAAGTTTAATGCCTATAAGATTCCAAGAAACTTAATACATGTAATCGGAAATGTTTTATTTCTTCATGGTGGAATTCTCAACATGATCAGAAGCTGTACTGATGCTATAATTCGACTAATGAGAAAGACTGCAAGAGGCAAGAACTTTCTTTTTCTCAAGAGTTTGGGAAACTATGAGGAAAAAAAACTCATAAAGAAAGAAAGGCAAAACTTTATCAAAGGATAAAGGACAACAAATGATTCTGAGATCTAAATATTGCCACTTGACCTCAGACTTTTTGTTGTTGTTGTTGTTGTTTGACAAGTCCATAGATTGAAGGTCAAGGTCAGAGAAGGAAATTTGGCAAATAAACTGAAAATCTTTGTGATAAATTTGGATTAAAAGGCAACAATGATTTGAGACCTAATGTAGCACATCACTGTTGAGGGAAAGAGATTCTTCGCAAACAAAACAAGACTTTGGCATACAAAGAGCTTCCACCCCTCAGTATGTAGATGAGTTCAGTTAGTGGTTTTGTTGTGAAAGAAGAACTTCACTACAGCATGACCTTTTTACAAAAAGCATTAGCATCAGCAGGAAAGAGACTGGTTCCTATATTGATTAAAAGGCAATTTCACCTGGCTGCTTCACAGGCACCTTGGAAACCATAATATACAGAAGAAAAATAGCTGGTACTGCATGATTCTGAGGATTGTGTTCAGACATGAGATATGGTACCCAGCCTTTCAGTCAGAGAATTTGGAGACATTGAAAGCAAGCTATAAGTGCCACAGTAATAAATGTTGTCAGTCTTAGACACACAATGAAACATAAAACTTGGAACTCATTTTCACTTAAATCTGGAAGTTAATACCTAACTGAAGAAACAAAGCTGCTGTTTAAAGAACACATTCTATTCAACAAAGCCGCACTTTCAGGAAGACTAACAAATTAATTACTCATAAGTCCAGGATATGTTGAAAAATTAAAATTATGTGGAAATAGAAGACCTTGGGGACATAAAGGGACATGTATGTGTCAGAGAAGGTGAAAGTGAGTCTAGAGAAAAGGAGATTTGGAGAAAGAATACAGAACAAGAAGAATCAATTGGTTAGGCTGGGCGCAGTGGTTCATGCCTGTAATCCCAGCACTTTTGGAGGCCTAGGCAGGCGCATCACCTGAGGTCGGGAGTTCAAGACCAGCCTGACCAACACGAAGAAACCCCACCTCTACTAAAAATACAAAATTAGCTGGGTGTGGTGGCGCATGCCTGTAATTCCAGCTACTCAGGAGGCTGAGGCAGGAGAATCCCTTGAACGAGGGAAGCGGACGTTGCA
Organism: Homo sapiens; assembly: GCF_000001405.40. Taxonomy (NCBI): domain Eukaryota; kingdom Metazoa; phylum Chordata; class Mammalia; order Primates; family Hominidae; genus Homo; species Homo sapiens. Next base: position 103,764,803 of record NC_000001.11, on the reverse strand, counting down.
GTGAGCTGAGATTGCGCCATCGCACTCCAGCCTGGGCAACAAGACTGAAACTCCATTAAAAAAAAAAAAAAAAAAAGCAGTCAGTGTTAGGATAAATGCTTTGGCTTTTGAATGACAAATACAATCGAACTGACTGAAGTCCGAAGACAATTTGTTAACCTTCTAACTGGGACGTGCAGGGATACAATAGATTAGACCTAACTCCAACACACAGCCTGGAGTAAAGCCCAGGCAAACTGCAATATAAAGCAGAACTGCCCTTAAATAACCTAGAAATTTGGGAAAAAAAATATTGTTTAAAGTTAGGAAGAATTTAAGGTTGTTACGTAACATTATTGCAGCAGAAAATTAAATATTAAACATTTTTATACTACTTATGAGTTACATTCAACTCATTTTCAAATAAATGTACAAAAAATGCTTGGGGAAATAGTAACACAATTTCCACATGTGATTAGATTGTCTCACAATACTCTCAAAATTTTTAATTTTTTAACCTTTCAAAAACATTTTCCATGTAAGATATTAAAATAAAATGTATAAAATATCACATTTTAAAGCTTTTTCTCTATACTTGAATTTGAAAGCAACATTTTATGGCTGTATAAATGTTATCCAGTCACCTAGGACAGGGAGGAAAAAGGTGGAGCAGGCATTGATCTCACGTCAATCCACTGAAACTTAAGACAGAAATCCTCACTGAGAGCCTTTGTACATTGGGTTCTACATAACATTTCAACTTCCGTGGAGTAAGAAGGTGAGATTATTTGAGATTATTTTTCTACATTAAAAAGCAAGTTTGTAACTTTCTTTATTACATAGTCATCTTACACAAAACATTTTAAAAACTCTTCTTACTACTAAAAGTAATTTGTTTGTGTATATCTTAATTAAATCTAAATATAGTTTAAAAATAATAATTATGCTAAATTAGACACCATAGAGGGAATATCTCCTTTCCTCATAGCCTAGATAATCACGGTATGAAAAAATGCTTTTTCCTATAACTCCTATAATCATATCATTTGCAGAATATGTCCTGTGTTAAAAATTGTCAGTGCAATGTTGATAACAAATTGCATATTTTAATCCACTAAAGAAAGAGAGATCTATATCTCCATCATTGAGAGTTTATATCTATAATATTTTTCTTTCCAAAGGTGTGATTATTCCAACACACTATGATAACTTAAAAATTATTAATGTAAAATATTTCAGTTCACTGGGAAGGATACACTTTTTTAAATTTTTAATTTTTGTTGGTACCTAGCAGGTGTATATACTTACAGGGCATATGTCACATTTTGATACAGGCAGACAATGTGTAATAATAACATCAGGGTAAATGGTTATCCATCACCACAAGCATTTATCCTTTATGTTACAAACAATCTAATTATATTCTTTTAGTTATTTTAAAATGTACAATTAAGTTGTTATTGACTATAGTCACCCTGTTGTGCTGTCAGATACTAGGTCTTATTCATTTTCCTAACTGTTTTTTTGTACCCATTGAAAATTCCCACTTGCTTCTCATCCTACCCTTCCCAGCCTCTAGTAACAATCTTTCTACTCTCTAAGTCCATGTGTTCCATCGTTTGGATTTCTAGCTCCCACAAATAAGTGAGAACATGTGATGTTTTTCTTTCTGGGTCTGGTTTATTTTACTTCACATAATAATGTACAGTTCCATCTGTATTGTTGCAAATGACAGCATCTCATTTTTTTATAGTTGAATAGTACTCCATTGTATATATGTACCACATTTTCTTTATCCATTCATCTGTTGATGGACATTTAGGTTGTTTCCAAGTCTTAGCTATTGTGAACAGGGCTGGAATAAACATGGGAATGCAGATATCATTTCAGTATGCTGATTTTCTTACTTTTGGGTATATACCTAGCAGTGGGATTCCTGGATCATGTCATAGCTCTATTTTTAGTTTTTTGAGGAACCTCCCAACTGTTTTCCATAGCAGCTGTACTAATTTACATAACCACAAAAAGTATATGATGGTTCCCTTTGCTCCAGATCCTCAACAGCATTTCTTATTGCCTGTCTTTTAAATAAAAGCCATTTTAACTGGGGTGAGATAATATCTCATTGTAGTTTTTATTTGTATTTCTCTGATCAGTGATGTTCAGCACATTTTCATATGCTTGGTTGCCATATGTATACCTGCTTTTGAGAAATGTCTATTCAAATCTTTTGCCCACTTTTAGATCCAATTATTAGATTTTTTCCTCTAGAGTTGTTTGAGCTCCTTAGATATTCTAGTTATTAATCCCTTGTCAGATGTGTGAAAGGAAAATATATTGGGACCCCAAAATCACTAAGGAAAATTCAAGCCGGAAACTGCTTAGAACAAACCTTCCTCCCATTCTACTCAAAGTCATCCCTCTGCTCACTGAGATAGATACAAATCTGATTTTATTCCTTTGGAAAGGCTAATCAGAAACTCAAAATACCAGGGGATTGCAAGATTTCAGTCTACACCTTCACCTAGTAAGTGCTTTTTGTCCCACAATGACAGTCATTTATGGCACTCTATGAGAAGATATTTCACCCCAAGTGAATATCTTCCTCCCTCTCCATTTTGGTTGCTTTTCCTTCATGTAAAAGCTCAGCACTGCTGACTGAATTTAAAGAGTCTATTAATAAGAAAAGTTAATTTTCTACTGCTGGGAGGCATGTATGGTTAAACCCCAAACCTCTCTTTCTAACCTCTCTTTCTAACTTCCCCAAACTTCTCTTTCTAACTTCTGCCTGGAAAAAATTTAGAGTCACAGATTTTACCTAACTGTTCAGAACCTACAGCACCACCTCATGAAATAGGATTTTTTTCTCTGCAAAGAGTCTTTTCAGCCCTTTGCCAAAAACCTCTAGTACCCAGATTTCTTCTCCTTTTGTGTTCCTCTATCAGTAAGCAGACTCTCTGCCCCATTTGTAAGGAAAAATCTCCACATTCAACAGTTGGGAGGAAGCCAGCCTTGAGAGACAAATTCTAGCCTCAGTGCTGTTCCCATCAGAAGGAGGACAGCCGTTAAATGCATATGTTCTCGTGAGACACCTGTTCTGTTTCCAGATACATTGGCATTTAAACAGAAAAGGGTTTTTTTGTTTAAAAGTCACTGGGTAAAACTTTCTGGGAATGCACTTCTTTTCCAGGGCCATAACTAGAGGAGGCAGGAATAGGGTTAAAGCACTCCCTCTAATAAATTGTGTCACCCAACTTTATCTACTGTACAATCTTCTGGGAGGCCTGGGTACCCAGAAGAGCAGTGAGATGAGGCATTGTGCTGGTAAGCATGATTACTCCTGCCAGCTAGCACCTCCAGATCCATGGGTGCAATTCATGCTTGCATCCATGGGCAGCACCTATGATGGTTGCTGGGACCCAAAGGAGGTGGGAGGAAAGAGGAGAAGAGGGACACCCCTGTAATCTTTCTCTTCATCCTGGGTCACTTTGAAAGGAGAAAGGAGACCAAGTGACACCTTCTACTCCCCTCCTTTTCTGCATGGGTAACAACCCATCTTCAAGCCTGCATTCCCCTTGGGTATAGCCTGGCTAGTCTCTAAACTTCAGATACTGAAGATCACTCTGGGCAAGTGCCAACTTCACTCATGTATAGAGGCCTTCCAGGATATAACCCAAGTATTTAAACTCTCCTGCAAGGATGTTATGTTACTCTTAAACCCTAACTGCTCCTGAGAGACAGGCAGCCCTACAGGTAGCAGAAAAAATCAGAGATGAACAGCATGTCTCCTATAGCCATTCAAAATGGGAAAGAGGGTGAGAAAGAGGCAGAATCCCCATACCTAGTAGGAAAAGAGGCAGTATCCATTGAAAACTCTAAATGGAACCCTACGAAGCCCATAGATGAGTGAAAAAGAAATCACTTTCAGATGTATATGGTAGAAGGTGTACAGAGGACCAGAGCCAAACCTGTTAACTACTCTAAGCTATCCATGATAGATCAAAACCTAGATGAAAATCCTTCAACCTTTCTATAAAGGCTGACAGAGACTATGGCAAAACATGCTTCCCTATATTCTAATTCAATTGAGGGACAGGTAATCTTGAAAGACAGGTTTACTCAAGCAGCTCCTGATATTTGAAGGAAGCTACAGAAACAGGCTATAGGACTAGAAGGCACCTTAGAAAACCTTCTAAGAGTAGCCACCTCTGTCTTTCATAAGACATACTAGGAGGAGGCTCAGGAAAAGGAGAGAAAATAGAAGAAAAAGTCAGACAGAGGGTACCTTGGAATGGAATCCAGGCCTGAGACTCCTTGAGCTCACTGTTCAAGACACCCTCATAAACTGGTCAGTAACAAACTTTGCTGCATGTCTCCGACTTGTTTTATGTCCTTAAGCATAACCTGTAACCATGTGGTAGTACCACTTTTCAGCCGTTGCCTTTTTACAATGGTGACCCAGGTTCAATCCCAGCCTGGGTGATGAATACTTTCCAGTTAACAACTGTGTGACGTTTAATCATCTCGTGCTCCGCCATGAAAAACTCTAACTGCCTTTCTGAAATCTTCCTTTCTCTCAACTGACTTTAAAGGTTCTAGATCTGGTAAAAGCTGCTTACCACCACTTATAAAATATCTTGTATACTAACGGTGAACTTATAACCTAACGGAGAGTTTTTAGTTTCCCCTGTGATGTTACCTTTGGTAAAATTCAAAAGCCAGAAATATTACCTGCTTGATTTAGCTAAAGTCAGGAAACAGAAGATGTCAAAGGATTTTCTGAAAGGGTGCTGAGCTTGATTAAAAGTGGATATTCAAGTTATAGGTATATTTAAAAGACCTGCATGTTTTTGTCTTCTTGGATCGTGTTTTTCTTGAAAAGAACTTTTCCATTGACTGAATTACTGTTCTCCACTCTGTCTTTCCACTCTTAATGCACACAAGATAACTTCTGGTGGCCTGAAACGTTTTGGGAAAAACAGAAAATGCATGATGGATTCCATTTTGGGAGAAACCTCTGTTTTCCTCATGGAATCCCAGAATCTAGAGGCTGATCAATCCTGCTCAAAATCTGTTTTTGTCTTACAGCTATACAAGTTGATTAGGCCCTAGAAACTTCGTGGTTTGCTATCCCTGTTCTTAAAGGGCTCTACTGGGAAGCCAGTAATGCAATTAGGAAATGGGACGAGAAGAAATCTTAGAGCTACTGGATCTTCTTCTGTTTGTCTGTGTAGCAATATATGTGTTGTGTGTGATGTCTGTAACGAGGACCAATTGATTGCCTTAAATAAAAATAAGCACTTAAATCAAATATTTTAGAGGAAAGTTAAAACCGTAATGCCTTTTAGTTTATGTGTTTTTAAACTCTAAGAAATAAAAACTGTTTTAAAGATCAAATTGGAAAATGCAAATATCATCAATATGTAAATAGCAGGTTTAAATCACATAAATTAGATAAAAGGCTTGCTAAATATTTCAAGGTTGTAGGCTGCCTACTTTACAACTTGGTAAGGCCTGGGGACATATGAAATTAACCATGCCCTAACTAGAATGGAAAAAGTCAGACTTTATCTGCATCTAGTACATAATTAAAACAACTTACCAGGTTTACATTAAAGTTAAAAATTGCTAAGATTGACCATAAAAATATGTAAATAAGACAACTAAAAATAAATTTACATGCAAGGTGTGTAGGAACACTTAAATGTGTTTGTGGTAAAAGATTATAAAAAGGCATAAAAATGTAAATGTTGCCTATGGAAAAAGGATTCTTTTGAAACCTATGTAAGGGTAAAATTTGGCTTTCCTTCCCTTGTACAGATTTTTCATGTAATAGAGAAGAATAATGAAATATTTGGTTTGCCTTGTTGGTAGAATGCCAAGGAGAGAAAAGAGTAGACAGGAGACAAACTGTTTGGAAAGCTAAGTCTTACCTCTTAATGAGTAAAGATTGTTGCCTAGTTTTAAAATTTTTGAGTCATCCTTTTGCCAAAATAAATAACTTATGTGTAACCTGGAATTGTATTTCATACTATCAAGTGTCTTAAACCTCTTTTTACTAATTAGAGCTTTTATTTAAAATTAATGATATGTAACTATTACTGTATATGTAAGAAAAGAAACACACTTAGCTATTGCTTTGCGGATTTGCATTTAATTTTAAATTTTACAATTTAGATTCAGCATGAATTGCAATAAATGGATCTTCAGCAGAGTTACTAATAGAAAAATGAGCTTTGCCATCATCAGAAACGTAGATTTTAATGCCTGTGCAGTTGCCATTAATTTTATCTCCAGAAATGACATCACAGTATGTGCCAGCAGGAAGACCAGTTTGCAAAGTTAAAGAAAATGTCCTGTAAAATAAAATTTCAGATTTAACTTCAAAACAATGAAATCAAGAATACAGACTAACACAAATAAACAGCATAACTTTATGTTTTAGAACCCTAAGCAGTGAAGTCTCATTAAGAAGAAAACCCATATGCCTCCCTAGTAGGTGTAAACAGCTTTCTAGGACCAAAAGTAACCTTACAGAAAACCTACCAATTTCCTTTTCAGTAGTGAAAATATAACCGAAAAATCAAAGTTGAAGAATATCACCGAAGATTGGCGGGAGCGGTCACATTTTGATAAAGTGCTACCTTGGTAAAATCAAATTTTTTCTCAACTGAACTTAATGCCAATTACTTTAAAAATTTAAAGGGTATTATTTTTTTAACCTTCTTTTATTCTACATGAGGTCAAAAAGAATTTAGGGTGTACATAAAAACAATCTAGCATTTGTATGAGGAAGTGATAGTTTGAAATATAAAGCTTTTTCACAAAAGATTTTTTTGGTATTTTCATCCACAAAAGAAGGAAACTAAGGAAATAGACACGCATTTTTTTGGCAGGAAAGAGATCAACTTGACTTATATATTTTTGTATTTATTTATTTTTCATAAGTGAAGTATAATTTATACTAGAGTGAGCTAAGTATGAGTGTCAGTTGGCCTTGGACAGAGACAATTCAACTGTTTGCAAGGAGGTCTTCTCAGCTACAGTTTCGGGAATCATTTATACTACAGCCAAAGGATACAAAAATCACAGATGAAAGGCCAATAATGAGAAGTTTCAGAACTAAAACTCAAGTCTCCTGAAGCAAATCATTAACCACAAGATACATATTATTTATCCATATGCTTTAAAAATGTTATTTGTCACAAGGAGACAGAGAAGTGAAGAAAGTATACCAAAAAACTAGGTAGAGCTGTCATTGAGAAAAAGAGAAATAAAGATATTTTAGTACTGAGGCAGCATTTTTCCATGATTAAAAGAGCAGGACTATAAGAAACGTTCTTTTAATGATTTCACAATCCTTCTATTAATTACTTTGTGTATTTTGTGGCATGTGTAGGTAAGCATATGAATGTGCATTCTATATATGCATAAGATATTGCAAGGGTGCACAGAAAGGATTCTGCTTACAACAGAAAGCCCTTATGAAAACAGGAGAACGAAGGAGTAACAGCCATCATCCTTTTGCTTCTACCCAATTTTGATCTCTATTGTCTTCTCGCTCCACTGACTACATGATTTTTCAGATATGATAAATGTCAATGAACAGAAAAAAAAAAGAATAAACCAAGAACATACTGGTACAAAATATTATTTTTAATTGATATTTACTTACCAGTCATCATTGTTGAAAACAATGAATCCTCTGTTTCCTCTCCCAAAAGCCACTTGGTTGCTCCCATTATCATACCAGTTTGTAAAAGGCTGGCCATCCACTACATTGCGGAAATTAACCATGTTCCTAAAAACACAATACCATATAAAACGTTGATATTCTTAAACTTCAACTGTTTTAAATAAAGTGCTACGGAAATTTACTATTAGAGGACATGTCTAAATACATATTCTCACCTTATTTGGCGCCATCGATGTTCACAGACCCAGTCATTGCCACAAGTAGTGTCTGGATTAATAGTAACTTCTTTAGTTACTCCATTATCATTTGGTGGCCCAACCCAATCATTAACATCCTTAATTACAGGAGGAAAAGCCAAATTTTAGCATATATATATTTATCTCTTCCTTCTCCTTTAAACCAAACCCAACCTATCCTGTTACTTGTGTCTCTGCATTCAGTGACTTTATCTAGAATCCAATGCCTTCATTGATTTTTATAGCCCTTTACTGGGTCTTCATCATCTCTCTATCCTCTGGTTCTCTTTTGCCATATTTCAAACAAAGGTAGCAAATTGTTATCCTCTCCTTTTCATTCCAAGGCACTGCAAAGACTTCTTTGCTCTGTCACCCAGGCTGGAGTACAGTGGCATGATCGTAGCTCACTGCAGCCTTGATCTCCGAGGCTCAAGCGAACCTCCCATCTCAGCCTCCCAAGTAGCTAAGACTGTTGGTGTGCACCACCGCACCCAGCTAATTTTTTTTTTTTTTTTAATTTTCAGTAGAGGCAAGGTCTTGCTAGCTTGCCCAGATAGGTCTTGAACTCCTCAGGTCAGCTGACCTTCTCAGCTGGCCGCACACAGTGCTGGGATTATAGGTGTGAGCCACTGCACCTGGCCTGCAAGGGCTTCTTAACATCACTGTAAGCCATGCAATGGCATTGAAATGGGAAGGGCATTAGTACTAGAAACACCAGGATTAAAACATAGGCTCTATTACTAGTAGCTGAGAAAATTTAATCAATATAAATAATTTCTCTGTGTCTCAGTTTCCTCATTTGTAAAATGAGAATAATGAGTTCTTTTGCTATAAAAATTAAGTAATATATGTGAAAATGCCTTGAACATGACATATGCTAAATAAATATTGGAGGCCGTCATGCTTCTTTTTAGATAAATGTACAAAATACTACATCTGAACATTTTTTTTTATAAATTGACCATATTTTTAGTATTATGCTTTTCTGATTGGCACTTTAAGAAATCTTCATTAAAAAACACAGAGTAACCCTAGGAAGTTTATCAGTGTTCACCTTAAAATCACGTCATATGGTGAAAAGTGAACAAAACTTAAGAGTTTATAGCATGCAGCAGTCCTGTCAAAGTGGGAATGTTATAGTAATAGAAAAAATAAAAGAACTCTCTGACTCCTAACAACAGAAATAAGACCAATTAGTAGAAATTATAAGAAGTTGTCTCAATATAAAAGTACACCTTCTAAATATTAAAGCTGTTTAACAATAGAATCAGTTGTTATACATAGTAGCGGACTTCTCAAACTGAAAGGAATCTAAAAAAAGCTAGCTAGATATCTGTGTGACTCATAGGAAGGAGGAATTTCTGCTTTAGTTCTGAAGTCTCTGATGCTGTTTCTCAACCCTTTAGTTTAAAAGAAAACCTTCTACTAGCTTTCCAAATATCTTTACACTCTTATTTCTCTGTTCCTTTTTGAAACTACTCAGCAGAGTGATGTCTTTACCATACTCCCAAATATTTTTCTCATTCTTACCTTTCTTGGAATACTCTCTATAAATTTCTATCCTTTAGTACATACAATTTCCTTCCTCTTATAGTATACTTTCCCTATTTAACTCAGCTGAACTGGATCATTTGTTTCTATACCATATAACTTTTTAACAGTATTTAAAAGACATTTATATTGTTCTCACTACGGGCAGATGATGTTTTAAGTTCTCTACAAGGGTTGGCATCTATATTCTTCCAATTAAACCTGAGGAAGGTACGAAGTATATATTTTAATCCCTGTGCCTAGCTCTTATTTTTAAGTGGTTTTTTTAATTTTTATTTTTATTTTCCCTGCGGGCTAGGGGGATGTTTGTCATATCTCTGAAAAAGCTTGCTATTCTTTTTCAATGGAGAATATAAAGTTTATTCCTTTAATATAACCTGCATTACTAAATCACAACCCTGTATCAGGTTTACAATAATTAAATATTTGTTGAATAAATAAACACTTAATAGTTGTCATATTAAATTAGGAGAAGATTGCCTCTTTTTTCTTGAGAAAAGGATATTTTGAACAACTCCAAAACTTACTTTTCCATTTTCAAAATATCTTGGCCAACGGTAGCTTGACATTACTCGTGTAAATCCATAAGGATGAGCAAGCATAAATCCAACTGCCATTTTGTACAGCCTGAAAGTTACATAATTATATTATCATAGAATATCACAATATTCATACCATCATTAAAAGAGGTGTTAAAAAATAGAGAACTTGGTTTTCTACCTAGCATCCCAGAAGGTAAGTATAGAGGCTCCTCCAGCGCCATGTCCTCGTTGATTGTCATGGTTATCCACAAAGACAAGCGCTCTGTCAGAAGGCATGAAACCCCAACCTTCTCCCCAGTTCCTATTTTTGAAACATAAGATATACGTTGATGTATCATTTCACAATAGTTTGAGAGTAACTCTACTGTGCATCTCTTTCTGTAAGGCATGGCATCTGAAGATTAAATTCTTTCTCTAATTAGATGGTTACTCTGTAAGATATATATATATACACACACACACACAAACACACACTCACATATATATACACACACACCTCATAAACAAACACACGTGTGTAATCTACATATATATAGTCCATATTTGTATATACATGTATGGAATACTTATATTCATATTACAAATATAAAATGTTTGTTATTAAAAAATTTCCTTTCAGAGGTTTCAGCACATTATCATTTAGAGGCACTCCAGAAGGATCAATATCCACATCACATTATACAGAATGTCAAACTAGATTAAAATAAGGCTTTAATATTGTATTGTTATAATATAAATCATTTTACATTTCCAATTCGTATAAGTAAATACAATAGCATGGACACTTTGTACATACTTTATAAATGATAGGATCATTTTAATAATAACCTGGCTTTAAAAGATTATATGCAAACATCAGTCAAATCCAGTATATTCATCTTGTACGCAGACAGAAACTCCTAGGGTAAGTTTAGCGTTCCTAGGCATACTGTCTTGTGACAGACACTCTAAATACAAAAGATGATTGATTAGAGTTTAGGGCACTAGAATACTTATCATTAACAACTGACTCCTTAATAGTTGTCTGAATAAGAATGTTCCAGAAGATAACTCGCACTGGGGTAGTATGACTAACAGATCTATGAAATAGTTCAGGGGAAAAGTTGTATTTATTTACTTTAAGTAAGACATCTTCTCTCCATTCCACTTGCGAATAACTGTGCCGAGTTTTGCACCATACTTGAATTCTGTCACCCGGCCATTACCAAAGTAGTCACTGCTTTTAATTGGCTCACCACCCAGATCAATTACCTAGAAGAAATTTAGGAAAAAAAAACATTTTGCATAAGGACTTTAAAGCATTTTAACCGATAAGTTTATATTATATAAAAATTAGCTTTCAGCTATTTCTGAGTTATTTTAGACTTGTTGTGCTTTGTTCTTTAGAGACAGGGTCTTGCTATATCGTCCAGGATGGTCCCAAACTCCAGGCCTCAAGGAATTCTCCTGCCTCAGCCTCCCAAAGTGCTGAGTTACATGCAAGAGCCACCACGCCTGGTCCTATTTGTTATATGAAACGCTCAAAATCGTTTTCTTATTCTTATTATCTTCATCGGTAATATTCTTATATTCTTTTTTTGATAAAGTATACACTACAATATTGAAAGAAACATAATGTCAAAGTTACCTGTTGTCCTGTGAGAATACTTACCTAATTTTTAGTCTTGTACATCAATGATAATAATAACAGCTCACAGGAATACGATATTTACTATCTGACTGACTTTTTTTGATAAATATTAACTCATTTCATTTTCCAAAGAAAATAAAGACATAACTATTATCAGTATCCTACATTCTGTGTACCTCCATAAAACCTGTTGTGATAAAGAATTAGATATGCTGTATGTGAAGAAGAGGAGGTTAAAGAACACTGTTTTAAGGAAATGACTCAGTCTTTATCCTACAGAAATTGCATTTTTAATTGAATCTGCCGTGAATTTTCTAATGAATAGGATGATATTTTATATGCCTATATGTATTGACGTACCTCCTGGTAAATGAAAGGTTTACTACCTTCCGGGAACCAGTTACTGTTTAGATTATGCAGTTTGTCCAAAATTGCCTTTATGTCTCCAGGCCACATGTGCTTGGAAGCATCAATTCTGAACCCTGCAACACCAATGTCAATGAGATGGTTCATATATTCGGCAATCTTAGAACGCACATAATCCTTCCCCAGTGCAAGATCGAGAAGACCAGACAGACGACAATCTCTGACCTGTTGAGGTAAGAATGTTATGATTGATTAATAAAACCTCACTTTTCGCCTGAGAATCCATTTGATTATTCATTTATTCCATGATTCCTCAAGAGATATTCTATGGTGACTTCCTTGCATTGGACACTGGGGATGCTCACATTCTACTATAGATGTATCTTGGAAATATTTTCTAATAGAAAATAGAGAACTTAGGAAATAAAGTCGATGAGTTTTTCAATTGGTTGGGAGCTTTTTAAAAGTGGACAAATGTGTATTGATTAAAAATCTTAAATCAATATTTAAAGGTTTTCAAATATGGATTTGAGTTTCTTAAAGTAGTCAAACTTGTTAACCTCTGTCCCTAAGAGATCTAAATTCATATTTACAACGAAGTTCAATTAGCTACATGTCTACAACAAAAGGCATATATCACTCCTTATTCAGATCACTCTCGTAAAAAAATTACCTGAGTAGCATCATTATAGTTCTCGATATCTCCACTTCCAGTTTTACATTTACCATCATTAAAATCCCATCCAGAATATGGGACTGCTGGAAAGTCCCTACTTCCAGGGTTGAAGTAACTTCCACAGGTACTGCTTGTTCCTGCACTCACAGCATTACCACACATATGATTAATTACAGCATCCACATAAATACGAACCTAGAAAACAAAGTTTCTAATTCAGTGTGACTTACAGAGAGGCAGAAATTTAAAGAATTATTGATTAAATTTATAGTGTGCTAATAAAATTCCAAAATATTTCATACCTTATAACTATTTTCCTACAAGATCAAAAATCAACTGTGAAAGGAAAGTAATGTGAACTAAACACCTACATTCATTCCAGACACTTGGCCAAATATATATAGGAATGATAAACTGAGAGAACCGGAAACTACCATAAATAGGAGGAAAGGCAAAAAGCCCATTTTGGGGAGACACAACTCAGATGAGACTGAAAAGGTTACTATTTGGGAAATTTCAGTGGGTCACCAGGAGAAAGCCTGTACTCTCTACTAAGCTTGGAAGACAAATAAGGTAGCTATTCATCTCAAATTCTGCTCCTCATTAAATAGATAAGCTACCTATTCACCACAAAAAAAACCCAAGAATTAGGAATGGAGACACAAGTCATCTAAAAATGAGAGCAAATATTGTAACTGGAATTAAAATTCCTCACCAGAAAATCCTTCCAGGAAATATGGATAGTTATAGCGGTTAAAATTTGATGTTTTGCTTCAGAAGTAAACTCTGCTATAAACTTTAACTTATCTCTTTAGTAGAGAGCACATATACAAATATTTTCAAAAATTGAACATAAGGTGACAGTTACTTTTGAGTTTTAAAGTATGAAGTAAAATTAAAACTGATATGGAAAACTTTCTGCTCAAAAGGAGCAAGAAAGAAGAGACAGAAATCATTTTCCTATCTGTTATTTTTAAAGGAAACTAGAATTCACTTACCCCAACATTGTTGCATCTAGTCACCATGTTTCTAAATTCATCTTCATTTCCAGATCTTGTGCATAATTTATAGCTAACTGGTTGGTATCTTTCCCACCAAGGTCTGAAAGGGTTGTGAATGGCAACATTTTCATTTGGTGGAGAGACCTACAAATTAAACAGTCTTCATAAGTACCAAATTCTGTCTTACTGTATATCATTGAATGTTCTAGAATCTAATCAATAATACAAAAGATTCTTGAATCTTGGTATAGGCAGCTATCTCTTGAAAATATTAACAGCACATCGGAGGGCTCTTGTTGAAGAAAGATTATATCAGAAACAAAATATACAGTTGCAAAGAATACTACATTGTTTTTTCCTCAGAAAATTCTTTTACTTAGAATACTTACCTGTGAAGTAAAATGTTGCCCAAGCTTCACGTAGAAGATCAGAATAGTGTTTACTACAAGCACAGTGAATTCTGCAATTGATACTATGAATCATACCCACCTGAACCCCTCCAAATCCCTTGGGAGCTAAATATCGCTCACATTCAAGAGCAATATCAACCCATCGCCATTCAAACAGATGAACAATAGATGTTCGTCCTTGTTGTGTATTTGAGGAATACTGAGCCCAGCAGAACCCAATGGTGAAAAGCAACCAAAAGAGCTTCATTTTGCTTTGAAGTTGTCAGTGTCCTTTCCAGAAACTATTTATATTCCTGTAAGAAGCACATTTTACAATGTAAATAGTAGCATGAATAAATACTTGAGGGCAAACTGTTTATTCATAATCTGAAAAGGATTATCAATAATAATCCTAACTGGTGAAGAACATCAAAAAGTCTCTCATGGAAATCATCTCAATGACCTCTTAGACATTAATGTTTCTTTTCTTTTCTTTTTTTTTTTTTTTTTGCATATGGTAGCACTTTTATTTTTCCTTACACAATGACATGTTGCTGTGGCCTAATGTTCTCACATAACAGCAGAAAACCAAAATTTGTTGTCAACTCTTAAAAGATCGAGAATTGCATACTAAAAAACTTTACATAAATTAAAAGGATGAATACATTTACCGGTATAAATGCGAACCGCTTCCAACTCAAGGCAAGTAACAGCCCACGGTGCTCTGGTAGATAACGTAAGCTAAGAAAGGAAACTGGGTCCTATGGCTTGGACTTTCCAACCCTGACAGACCGACAAGACGGAAACAACTGGTTCAGGAGCCCTTCCCAGCCTCTAGATAAATCTCAGAACACTCAGCCCTGACACATTAATACCCTGCACGGATCAGAGACTGCTGACCACACAGACTCACCAAGCCAGACTTGTCTTCCACAAGCACGTTTTTAGCCATGAAGTGACCAAGCCACGTGTACTAAACACTGACATCAAAGGTATGTACAGATACCAAGGGGAAGAGTTAACTTGAATGCCAGGCCAAAATCAGCAACAAGTTCTACAATCCAGTGCTGATATTGAGAAGAGAGAAAGACCCTGTCCTCTTGTTTTATATTGTTTTCTATTCAGTAAAAACAACAAGGAAGCAAAATCAAAGGCACAAAACCAGGCCTGGGCCTGGTTGGCCTAAACCCAGTAGTTACAAATCAACTTATGATTTAGAAGCCGATGTTATTCATAGATTCCAGACATTGTATAGAAGAACATTGTGAAACTCCCTTCCATATTCTGTTTCTCCCTGACCACGGGTGCATGTAGTCCTTGTCGCATATCCCTGGCTTGTTCAAATCAATCACGACCCTTTCATGTGACATCTTTAGTGCTGTGTGCCCTTAAAAGGGACAGAAATTGTGCACTTGGGGAGCTCGGATTTTGAGACAGTAGCTATCCGATGCTCCCAGGTGAATAACACCCTTCCTTCTACAACTCGGTGTCTGAGAGTTTTGTCTGCCGCTTGTCCTGCTACATTTCTTGGTTCCCTGACCTGGAAGCAAGATAACTGATGGACGGCCGAGGCAGCTCCTTAGGCAGATTAGGCATGCCTTGTGGAGTAAGGCCGGGGCATCCCTCAGGCTGCCAGGGACTCTGGCCAGCCTGAGGGATGGGATCCAAAGAGCGCTCCCAGGTAGGAAATGGCCCCGGTTGAACGCCTCGCCAGAGCAGTGATCCCCGCGGAGGATTAACACAGTGGCTGAACACCAGGAAGGAACTGGCACTTGGAGTCCAGACATCTGAAACTTAGTAAGACAAGTCTTTTCAACTTGCCCCACTCCACCTGAGCGGAAGCTTGGCCTGATCGCTCATGGTGTGCCTGCACCCATATCAATTTCCATATAGAGATTCCTAGTTACAGCTAGTTTTAGATCCTCTACAGTGGTAAAAGGACAGGCAGCAGCAGTAGTAGTAGCAAAGGGACATTTATTTCAGGAAAGTTCTCGCTCCACCGGCCAAGAGAAGCCAGCACCTAAAGTTCTGTTTGACCCAGAGCTCGAGGACTCAAGGCAGGAGATGGCACCAACAGTGCCCTCAACCCCTTATCCAGTGGGGAGGCCCCCTTCTCCTGAGCCCACAGCCCCTAGACCACCCAGAGTAGACAAGAACAAAAGTGAAACTGCGGGAAAATCCACTTCCCTGGCAGCCCGCTTAACGGCCCAAGACGGGAATTCAAATGCCCTGAGAGAGCAGCGATATACTAGGACAGATGAGGTCAGACATACGGTAGAAAGGCATGCTTTTGTGTATCACCCTTTTACCTCTGCTGAACTACTCAACTGGAAAAATAACACTCCATCTTACACTGAAAAGCCTCAAGCCCTAATTGACTTGCTTCAAAGAATTATCCAGACTCAGAATCCTACTTAGGCTGATTGCCACCAGCTACTCATGTACCTCTTTAAAACACATAAAAGGCAACAGGTGCTGCAGGCAACAGTTAAATGGCTGGAGGAGCACATCCCAGCCAATTATCAAAGTCCCCAAGAATACATAAGAATTCAGCTGCCAGGAACGGACCCTCAATAGGATCCAAATGAAGGACCAGATATGGAAAGGCTAAGAGGGTACCGAGAGGCATTAATTGAAAGGTTGAAAAAAGGGGCTCAAAAGGGTACCAATGTAAATAAAGTTTCTGAAGTCATCCAAGGAAAGGAGGAAAGCCCAGCCCAGTTCTATCAAAGACCGTGTGAGGCCTATTGCATGTACACTCCTTTCGATCTGGAGAGTCCTGAAAATCAGCCGTTGATTAATACGGCCTTAGTTATTCAGAGTGCAGAAGATATCCAGAGAAAATTGCAAAAACAGGCTAGGTTTGCAGGAATGAAAACCTTGCAGTTACTGGAAAGAGCTAATGAAGTATTTGTAAATAGAGATGCAACAAGCGGCCAAGAAAGCCGTAAGGAGGGCGAACGCCAGGCCAGGTGAAACGCTAGTTTGCTGGCTGTGACAATTAGAGGAATTCTCCTGAAAAGGCAGAAAAAAGGGGGTTCTGGGAGGAATGCCCTGTCCAATCACTCACATTTGCAGCATGACTAATGTGCCTACTGTAAAGAAATAGGACATTAGAAAGATAAATGTCCCCAACTCAAAGAAAATCAGAGTGATGCAGAGCCAAAGACCTCAAACCAAGATGAAAGGATTTTGTTCAATCTAGCTGAGGGGCTGCTAGAATTAAGGGGAACAGGCTCAAATGCCCCCAAGGAGCCCATGGTCAGGATGACAATAAGGGGCAAAGACATTAAGTTTTTAGTGGATACAAGAGCCGAACACTCAGTAGTAAGCACTCCAGTGGCCCCCTCATCTATAAAGACGATTGATAGAATTAGAGCAACAGGAGTCTCTACCAAGCAGGACTTCTGTCTACCGCGCAACTGCTCAGTGGGAGGACACAAAGTGATTTATCCATTTCTGTATATGTCTGACTGTCCCTTGCCTTTGTTGAGAAGAGACTTGCTTAGCAAGTTAAGAGCCACCATTTCCTTGACAAAACAAGGCACTTTACAGCTGGAGTTGCCAGAAACAGGAGTCATCATGGCCCTTCCAGTCCCCCAGGAAGAAGAGTGGAGACTTTTGCTAACTGAGCCAGCTCAGGAAATAAAAGTGGCTCCAGCTGAGTGACGGCTCTGAGTAGAGATGGAGGACAATCCTCTGAGGCTGGCAATCAATCAAGCCCCCGTACTCATAGAAGTTTAGCCTACGACCTAGCCAATTGGACAAAAGCCGTATCCTGTTCCCAGGGAAGCCTTTAAAGGAATAGAGACTCATCTTATATGCTTAAAAGCCTCTGGAATTCTAGTTCCTTGCCAGTCTCCATGGAACACCCACCTCCTACCTGTCCCTAAACCAAGGACCAAAGACTATCGACCCGTACAGGACTTGAAAGATGCCTTCTTCACATCAGGCTAGTTCCTGAGAGCCAAAAGCTGTTTGCCTTTCAGTAGGAAGATCCGGAGTCAGATGTCACCATTCAGTACACTTAGACTCGACTTTCCCAAAGGTTCAAAAAGTCCCCCACCATCTTTCGGGAGGCCTCGGTTGGAGACCTCCAAATGTTTCCTGCTAAAGACCTAGGTTGCATCCTGCT
The DNA here is from genome assembly GCF_000001405.40 of Homo sapiens. Taxonomy (NCBI): domain Eukaryota; kingdom Metazoa; phylum Chordata; class Mammalia; order Primates; family Hominidae; genus Homo; species Homo sapiens. The sequence continues at coordinate 103,746,602 of NC_000001.11, read as the reverse complement.
CCAGTATGTAGATGACCTTCTGCTAGGACACTCCATGGCAGTCAGGTGTGCAAAAAGGACGGGTGCCCTGCTTCGACACCTGGAGGACTGTGGATATAAAGTGCCCAAAAAGAAAGCTCAGATCTGCAGACAGCAGGTACACTACCTAGGATTCACTATTTGAAAAGGGGAGTGCAGTCTATGGTCAGCAAGAAAGCAGGTCATCTGCAGCTTACCAGAACCTAAAACCAGGAGGCAAATAAGAGAACATTTAGGAGCTGTGAGATTTTTGCAGACTGCAGATTCCAAACTTTGTGGTGTTAGCCAAAGCATTGAATGGAGTTATAAAGGGGGTGACCGAGAGCCTTTTAAATAGAGGTCTCTACAACAACAAGACTTATAAGTTAAAAGAAAAACTTATGTCAGCCCAAGCTGACTCTAATGTAACTCTAAGGAACACCAAAAGACACCATTGGCTAACAAATGCTACATTAACTAAACACCAAAGCTTGTTATGTGAAAATCAATGTATAACCATAGAAGTCTGTAATTCTTTAAATCCTGCCACTTTGCTCCCAGTATCAGACAGCCCTGTTAAACATAACTGTGTAGAGGTGTTGGACTATGTCTATTCTAGCAGACCAGATCTTTGAGACCAGCCATAGGCATTGGTAGATTAGGAGTTCTACATGGACAGAAGCAGCTTCATCAACCCGCAAAGAGAAAGGTGTGCAGGATATGCAGTAGTAAACTTAGATGATGTTGTTGAAGCTAAGCCATTGCCTCAGAGCACTTCAGCCCAAAAAGCAGAACTCATTCCTCTAACTCGGGCTCTGGAACTCAGTGAACCTAAGATTGTAAACATCTATACTGATTCTTGATATGCCTTTCTAACCCTTCAAGTATGTGGAGCATTGTATAAGGAAAAAATTCTAGAGGAAAAGACATAAAATGTCAGCAAGAAATTCTACAATGATTAGAAGCAGTGTAGAAACCCCAAAAGGTGGCATTCATGCATTGCAGGGGATATCAGCGAGTTTCCGCTTCGGTTTGCCAAGGAAAGCCCTGAGCAGACACAGAGGCAGGAAAAGCAGCATCTACTCCTTACCAGACATCAGTCACAGCCCTGCTACTCCTTCAAATGCTTGATCTGGTGCCAACTTATTCTAAAGAGGAAAAAGAATTTTTTCAGACAGAGAGAGGACAAACAATAAAGGAAAGATACATAAAGTTACCAGATGGAAGAATAGCAGTGCCACCGCTGCTATACAGTCATGCTGACTGTATGTGAAACTACCCATTGAGGCCAAGAATCACTTGAAAAGCTGTTAGGCCAGTATTTCTACATCTCACCCTTGCCAGCTGTTGCTACAACAGTAGCGCAGTGATGCCTTACCTGTGGACAGCACAATGCGAAGCAAGGCCCCTCTGTACCTCGGGGAATAGAAGCCTCTGGAGCAGCTCATTTTGAAGATCTTCAAGTGGACTTCACAGAAATGCCTAAATGTAGAAGTAACAAGTATTTACTGGTTCTAGTGTGTACTTACTCTAAGTAGGTGGAGGCTTATCCAACATGAACTGAAAAAGCTCCTGAAGTAACCTGTGTACTTCTTCAAAATTTCATCCCTAGGTTTGGACTGCCTCTACGAATTGGCTCAAATAATAGGCCAGCATTTGTTGCTGACTTGATACAGAAGACGGCAAAGGTATTAAGAATTTCATAGAAGTTACATGCCGTTTACCAACCTTAGAGTTCCGGAAAGTGCAGCAAATGAATCGAACTATCAGAAAAAGTTTCTGGAAAGTATGTCAAGAAACAAATTTAAAATAGACACAAGTCCTTCCTATAGTATTGTTTAAAATTAAGTGTACCCCTTCTAAGAGAACAGCATACTCCCCCTTTGAAATTCTGTATCATAGGCCTCCTCCCATACTGGGAGGGCTTCCAGGTACTCCCCAAGAGTTAGGTGAGATTGCATTACAGCGGCAGCTACAGGCCTTAGGGAAAATTACTCAGACTATCTCAACTTGAGTAAATGAGAGGTGCCCAGGCAGCTGATTCTCCCCAGTTCACCCTTTTTCTCCAGGTGACATTGTGTGGATCAAGGACTGGAACGTGGCTCCGCTGTGGCCACAGTGGAAAGGACCCCAGACAATTAACCTGACCACTCCCACAGCTGTCAATGTAGAAGGAATCCCAGCCTAGATTCACCACAGCCTCATGAAGCCTGCAGCCGCTGAGACCTAGGAGGCCAAACCAAACTTGGACAATCCCTGAAAAGTGACCTTGAAGAAAATGACAAGCCCTGCTCCAATCACACCACGAAGCTGACTAGACTACACATGGCCAAAGCATGAGGAAAATCGTCGTAGGACTTATTGTCCTTATAACATGGACCTGTGTGGTAAAAGCTTCCACTACCTCTTCCCACACAGAGGACTGCCTTCAGTGCATACATCAGGACACTGAAGAAGGACAAGTTAAGATGATCGTTTTATTTTACAGCTATTATGAATGCCTAAGAACTCCAAACAGAACCTGTTTGTATAATAACACCCAGTACTAAGTATGTAATCCAGGAAGTGACCAGCCCGATGTGTGCTATGACCCCTCTAAACCCCCATGATCACAGTCTTCGAAGTAAGACTAAGAACTGGTCCTTCTCTAAGTAACACAAGTAAAGTGATAGCTAGAACAGAAGAAAGAAGAGTCCCCACAAATGTAACTTTAAAATTTGATGCTCGTGCCACTATTAATACTAAACAGCAGAGGATAAGATGCATTTCTCTAAATTTGGGAAAAATTACACACAGAAAATAAGTACATCTGTCAAGAACCATATTTATGTTCGATGTGTCAATAGTGGTATTGCGTCAGTTAGGCTACTTAGAAGAAAGATAAAAAAGATCCTGTTTGGCTCCAAAAAAGAAAAGTCAGCCCCTCTTGCACAAGTGGGAGCTGCAACCCTTTAAAATTGATCATCACAAACCCCTCAGATCCAAAGTGGAATAAAAGAAAATATATAACATTAGGCATTGATAGAAAAGGACTAGATTCTAGTGTAAGCATCCTGATAAAAGAAGAAGTTCAAAAACGCTCACCAGGACAAGTATTTCACACTTTCTATGATGAATTCAATGTGCCTATACCTGAAATTTCTGAAAAAAACTAAAAATTTGTTTTTGCAATTAGCCAAACATGTAGCCCAGTCTCTACAAGTCATTTCATGTGATGTTTGTGGAAGGACTGTAACAGGAGATCAATGGCCATAAGAAGCCCAAGAATTAGTTCCTACAGATGGAGTTCCTCACGAATTCCATCCCAAAAGAACAACCCCGACAATTTTTAGTTTCTAAAAGTCACAATTATTAGACAGTAATGCGTAGCTAGAGAAAGAAAAGGATTTACTCATCCCGTAAGGCGGCTTATTTGTCTTAGGCAAAACCTGTATAATGGTGCCACAAAAACAGTTACATGGTACAGTTCCAATTACACAGAAAGAAATGCATTCAGCAAATTTCCAAAGTTGCAGACTGTTTAGGCCCATCCAGAATTCCACCAGGACTGGACGGCCCCCACTAGGTTATGCTAGATATGTAGACACAAAGCTTATGCTAAGCTGCCTGACCAGTGGGCGTGTGGCTGTGTAATTGGCACCATGAAGCCATCTTTCTTCTTACTGCCCATAAAAACAGTTGAACTTGTAGGCTTCCCAGTCTATGCTTCCCAGGCAAAATGAAGCATAGCCATAAGTGGTTAGAAAGATGATGAATGCACCCCTGAAAGAATCATACAATACTATGGACCCGCCACTTAAGTACAAGATGGCTCATGAGGATATCCAACCCCTATCTACATGCTCATATGGTTACAAGCTGCTTTAGAAATTATTACTAATAAAACCCAACAAGCCTTGACTGTTCTTGCCTGGCGAGAGAATCTGACGAAACATGTTGCCTACACATAGATGATAAAGAACAAGTAGTTGAGCATATACTTAAGGATATAACAAAACTGGCACATGTACTCGTGCAAGGCTGGCACAGACTCAATCCAGGAGCCATGTTTAGAAAGTAGTTCCCAGCAATAGGAGGATTTAAAACTCTTATAATAGAGGTAATAATAGTAATAGGAACCTGCTTACTGCTCCCTTGTCTGATACCTGTGTTTCTCCAAATCATAAAAAACTTCGTCTCTCCCTTATTTCACCAAAAGCCTTCAGCACAAGCATACAATATAAATGGCTATCAATCTATTGCACAGAAGAACATAAATCATAAAAGTGACAGCTCCCACTAATAAAAATGAGTGAAAGTCTCAAAGAAAGAAAATGAGAGAGGAGAAAGACCCTCTCCTCTTGTTTTACATTGTTTTCTATTCAGTAAAAACAACAAGGAAATAAAACCAAAGACAGGCAGCCCGGCGCCAGGCCCAAAAACAGACCTGGGCCTGGTTGGCCTAAACCCAGTAGTTGAACATCCACTTATGATTTAGAAGCCGATGTGATTCACAGATTCCAGATATTGTGTAGAAGAACATTGTGAAACTCTCTTCCATATTCTGTTTCTCCCTGACCACCGGGGCAAGTAGTCCTTGTCATGTATACCTCGCTTGCTCAAATCAATCACAAAGCTTTCATGTGAAATCTTTAGTGTTGTGAGCCCTTAAAAAGGACAGAAATTGTGCACTCCAGGAGCTCAGATTTAGAGACAGTAGCTGGCTAATGCTCCCAGCTGAATAAAGCCCTTCCTTCTACAACTCAGTGTCTGAGAGGTTTTTTCTGCGGCTCGTCCTGCTACAATGTCAGATACAAGCTTCAAGGACAACTTCTTTCCCAAGGCTTATTCCAGTTTTGTGAGGCTAGCATGAGGTGTATTTTTTAATTTACCTGACCAAATGCACATAGGGAAAACACATTCTTTTTTGAATTGTTTATATAGAATCAGAAGTTGAGTCTTTTAAAGGATTGAAATAAAACAGAAAATTCTAACTGGACTAAGATCATATGTATGCACTTGTTCATATGAATATTTGCAAATATTTTGTTTTTATAAGAAGTGTTATAATGAACATCTGTATACATGTTTACACATGGGTAATTCTGTATGCTAGATAAACGTATGTGAAACTGGAAGCATATTTTTAAATTTTCATATTATGCAAAATTGCCCTTACAAATGTATCAAAGTTTACTCTCTAGTAGCATTCTGTTATAGTACCTTTTGCCACACTCCCACCAAAAATGAATATTATCATAGCTCTAATTTTTGCCTAATAGATTAAAAATGATTTGGGCCAGACACGGTGGCTCACAGCTGTAATCCCAGAACATTGGGAAGTTGAGGCAGGCAGATCACGAGGTCAGGAGATGGAGACCATCCTGGCTAACATGGTGAAACCCTGTCTCTACGAAAAACACAAAAAATTAACCAGGCATGGTGGCGGGCCCCTGTAGTCCCAGCTACTTTGGAGGCTGAGGCAGGAGAATGGCGGTGTGAACTTGGGAGGCAGAGCTTGCAGTGAGCCCAGATCGCCCCAATGCACTCCAGTGTTGGCGACAGAGGGTGACTCCCTCTCAAAAAAAAAAAAAAAAAAAAAAAGAGATTTGTGTTTTTCCCAATTACTAGCAAGGCTGAACATCATTTCACACTTTTTGGCCTTTTGAGTTTTCTCTTGAAATTTGCTTCTTCCTTTTCCCATCTAGTTTTGCTTTAATTGTTATGTTCTTTCTTATTGAATGTTTTGAGTTCTTATGTTGTTATCATTTGTCATGTATTGGAAATATACTGTCCTAATATATCACTGTTTTTTGAAGTCTTTCCAGTGCAAATTTAAGCAATCATGGATGTTGGTAAGAATTAGGACAGTGCCAAAGGTATGCCTGCATTATTATTTTTTGTCCAACTACACTCATGCATTCCTTAATGACAGGAGTATGTTCTGAAGACAAAGCCCTTAGGTAATTAAGCCACTGTGCAAATATCACAGAATGGACTTCATTAACCTAGATTGCATAGCCTATTCCTCCTAGGCTACAAACCTGTAAAGCATGTTATTTTACTGAATACTATAGGCAACTGTAAAGCAGTGTAGCTGTGTATCTCAATACATTTAAACATAGGAAACTTCCAATAAATGTATGGCATAATAAACTTAACTATACCACCATCATATATGCGGTGCATGACTGTACTCACCATGCAAAAGGTTTTAAGTTTTAAAGTGATTATTTGTTTAACTACAGTGGTTCCTTGTGCCTCCATATCCATGAGGAATTGGTTCCAGGACCCACCATGGATACTTAAAGCAATAACTACTCGAGTCCTTTATATAAAATGTAGTATTTCCATATAACCTTTACATCATCTCAGATTACTTATAATGACTAATGCAACGTAAATGCTATGTCAAAAGTTGCGATACTATGTTGTTTTGCAATCGGGAAGTCCCCAAAATAACACTCTTTCTGCTTACATTTCACAGCCAAAGCAAATCACTTGGACCTTCTGAAAATCAGCAGGATGGGAGTATTCATTTGCAAGGAGGATCACTAATATTTCTGAACAATAGTACACTGCATATGTGAGAGTGGAAATAAAAATTCTAACAGGAAAAGTAAAAGAATTTTCATTGGAGTGAACATTTGAAAAACAAGAAATGTGAGTTTAAATATATATTTTTAAGAAAAATACAATATATACAGAGCTTCTCACACTCAACCTCAATCTCTTACACCTCAACCTTTCCTTCAATAGCAAGACATTCAATTTCTTGCAAGTTTATATGATCATTTCTATGCGTGTTTTTGTGACTTACTTCATCTAATGTACCCATAAATAACACATAATGGTGTTTTATGTAGTTACCTTTTCCTAAGCTTTGAAAAGTTTCTCAAAATTGCTCTCATCTTAAATTTTGGATATTCAAAGATTCTGGTATATAAATTCCATATTAAGTGCTATTTTATAATTTACAGAAAAATAAAATAAAATTTCTTATGTAAAATACCTTTTTTTGGATGTTACTCCATCACCCAGGCTGGAATGCAATGGCGCAATCTCAGCTCACTGCAATCTCCCCTTCTGGGTCAAAACAATTCTCCTGCCTCAGCCTCCCAAGCAGCTGGGAGCACAGGCACGCGACACCAAGTCCAGCAAATATTTTTGTATTTTTAGTAGAGACGGGGTCTCACCGTGTTGGCCAGGCTTGTCTCTAACCCCTGACCACAGGTTGATTTGCCTGTGTTGGCCTCCCAAAGTACTGGCGTTACAGAAATGAGCCACTGTGCCTGGCCTCTTTTTTTCCTTTCTAATTGATACCATTTAAATGGATATAACCACCTCAAATCTTTATATATTAGTCACAGTTGTTCTAGACTTATTTGATTTCCTAGCTTTTTCTTCATTGCTTTGACCTCGTTCATGTTGGGTACAGGGTATATCTTTCCTGAAGTTTTTCAATGTTTTGTGTGTGTGTGTGTGTGTGTGTGTGTCTGTGTGTGTGTGAGATTTCCTGTTAGCTTTTATGTGGACACTCTATATAACGTTTGTTTTCAGAAAACATAGGGTGGGATATTTCACAGCTTACACACTTAGGATGAGAAGTCTCTATTCCTCTTGAAGACCATCAGTTCTACCTCTTAGGTGTCTGACAGAGGGGGTTAGCTCACATATCTACTGAATAATCCCACTGAGCTCACTATTTTTTAGTATGCATTACTAAAGATAATTGAACCTAATAAAGTATCTTACAATTGACACATGAAAGAACTTTCCATTACTCACAAAAGGAAGTGCTGTCTTCTCACAGAGTAGTAAACATAAAATAATGACTACAAGCACTCAGCACAGCTCTTGTTGAGATTTCAAAATTCATTTAGATAATCCTTTCAGTCTCCTAGGTTCTCAATTCCTTTAACTCATCTCCTTCCATCACTTTGCCTCTATGCTACCCCCATCTTCACATCCTAAAACTTATACTCACAAGATAGTATATACTTAGCACTATGCTACTATACTTAGTATACTATACTTAGTACTATTATATACTATTATCCTCTAATACTTCCAATTTCAATCAACCCACTCTTATCTAAATCTCCCAAATTTCTAGTTCCTACCTCGAGAACTCCATTGCATCGTCAACCACACTGCAATCTACAATTGATGATACCATTTTCCACTGTCTCAACCTTCTTTATTTTCTCACTTCACTCCTTAACCCAGATTACTTTCCATATCCCTCTTTTATAATCATTCTCCTAAATGTATGAACATCTCATCACTGACTGTTTTATTCACCTAGAGAAATCTCACCTTTAGTTAAACTGAATTCTGTACTTATTCAGTGATAGCGCCTCTGCTGAACTGAACTGGAAAAGAACACGAAACCACATTGACTAATACCACTTAAATAAACCACAGATTGCCAAGAGTTTGTTTACTTTTGTACATTCCTAGCTATTCATTTTACATCTCTTTTTCCTTCCTTAATCCTTCGTGATTTCTTCCCTTTTTATGAGCTTGCTTCCTATTTCACTGAGAAAATATCACAAAAATTTGACATGCTCCTCCTATCTACTGAACTACAAACATCTGGACCTCCATAATCTGACGTACATCCTACTGTTAGTAATTAGCTGTTTGTGTGCCTATCTTTAAAACCAAGCCTTCTATTTTTTTACCAGGTCTATGTCTTCATCAATATCCCTCTGTTTCCTGCATTATGCTTTTTCTGTCTACTGAATCAGTCCCATTAGCATAGAAACCTGCTATATCATCGATCTTAAAATAAACAGCTTTTTGATGCTATATTACCCTCCATTAACAACCCATTTCTCACATCCCCTTGAAAGCAAGACTCCTTAAGTGTTGTCTTCAATACTCACTATATTAAATTCCTCTCCAACATTCTCTTGAGTACCTCCTCTTACTCCTGATATCCACCAAGTTGGTCAACGTCAATGTCCCAAAGGTTGCTCTACCCAGTGCTTAATCCAAAAACTCATCTTTCCTAACTCATCAACACAGCTAAAATATTTGATCACTCCTTCCTATTTGAGATACTTTCTTCATTTAGCTTCTAGCTATTCCTCCTTAGTCTTCTTTAATAGTTCTTGAACTATTTTATATCTCACCATTGGGATGCTCCAGGGTTCATTTCTCCATGCCTCTAATTCCTGTCTCTAATGTTCTTACTCTCCCTGCCTCACGATGCTGTAAAAGGTAGGAAGCTATGATCCACAACAGCATTTTTACACAAGACTTGAGTCTTTTTGGGCAGTGCCTCTAAGGTAAAGGTGTAATCACAGACCCAGGAACGTACCTATAGGAATGAATCGAATAAAAAGAAGAATGTTTTCCTACGTATATACAGCTGGAACTAATTTCACTAAAGGAAAAGAATAATTTTATGTGGGAAATATTTTCACCTTTGAGTGATGTTCTGACAGATGAAAGATCTGGGAGAACAAAAATGGTAGACTGTATTACGGCAAGGATACAAATTTCTAAATTGGGATAAATCCCCCACTTCCAAAAAACTAAAACCCAATAAAACTCGAAGCCAGACAAATATAAAATAATTACAAAAAGCAAGATTACAATTTAAAAAATGTGAAACTGCATTCATATCCAGGCAAGAACTTTTAAAAGGCAGTTTTTGTAATCATAAATAAAATATATTATAAAATTGCCTTAAAAAGAATTTGATGTAATCATCTAGTTATGTTCTCCTACATGTGTTAAACCAGGTAAAGAAAAAATACAAACACCATTCCATTGGAAAGAAAACAATTTATTGTATTTGAGGAAAGTCATTAAAATACATGTAATATATTTCCAATTCACTGATTTAAAGGCATACAGATTTAATTTTTAAATACACTTTCAAAGCTGTTACGCACAGTTCCATAGTCCGGGTGGTCAATTTCTTCTTCTCAAAGTTGGAAAGCACTTGAAGGACACGGGATTCAAAAGAAACCTAAAACATCATAAAAGCCAATTAGAAATAATAAGTATAACACAGCTCTTTAGTTTAAAAATAACTGAGAGCTGAACCATTTATATTTAGAAAATTAGTGAATCATGTCAGTATAACAAAATTTATCTAAATAAATGACTTATAAAGAAACTGATTTATAATATATACAAACTCATTTTAACTATGCCTGTAGAAAAATAATTGCATTTTCAATATCTATAGGTTTTGTACTTTTAAGGTGATAATAACCGAATTTTGAATTTGTTTTCATAGAACTAAGAATAGCAGCAGATTTTTCAGCAAAGAAACACAGAGGCTCCAACCCTTTATTTTCCTAGTTGTTAATATAAGGTTAGATGGCTAGGTTGATACTAGGTACCTAACCATTTTACTCTAACAAACCAGTATCCAAACTGCTCAGTCCTTAGAATAACTAAGGACACCTTTTCAAATCCGAGTCTTATACTCCATTCCCAGAGATTCATATGTATTAGTTCTAGGATAGAGTATAGGAATCTTTATGCATAAAAACTCTTCCTTGGTGGTTCCCGACCTTGGTTGCACATCAAAATCAGTTTGAGAGGTTTATTCCAACTTCTGTGCTACACTCTCAACACATCAAATGAAAATTCTGAATAAGGGAACCAGGCATCAACATATTTCTTAAGGATTTTTTGAGGAGGGAGAGGGTCTCACTCTGTCACCCAGGCTGGAACGCAGTGGTGTGATCACGGCTCACTGCAATCTAAACCTCGGGGGCTCAAGTAATCCTCTTGCCTTAGTCTCCCAAGTAGCTGAGACCAGAGGTGCAAGCTATTTATTACTAGCTATGTATCCAAAGGAAAATAAATGAGTATATCAAAGAGTTAACCACACTCTCATATTTATTGCACTATTCACAATAGCAAAGATATGAAATCAACCTGTGTCCATCAATGGATGAATGAATAAAAGCAACGTGGTATATATACAAGCAGTGGAAGAGTTTTTGTCCATAAAAAAGAATGAAATTTTATCATTTACAGCAAGACGGTTGGAACTGGAAGTCATTGTGTTAGGTGAAATAAGCCAGGCACAGAAAGACAAGCATCACATGTTCTTATTCTAAGAATAGAACGTGAAAGCTAAAAATATTGATCTCATGGAGGTAGAGAATAGAATAATACATAGATACCAGAGGCTGGAAAGAGTTTCTGTGGGTGGGAGGAATAAAGAAAAGTTTGTTAATGGGTCCAAACATACAGTTACTTGGAAGACATAAGTTCTAATATTTCATAGCAGAGTAAGGTGACTACATATAAACAGCAATGTATTGTATTTTCCAAAATAGCTAAAGGACTTGAAACTTTCTTAACATATGGAAATAATACTTGAGGTTATGGACACCCCGGATACTTTGAATTGATCATTGTAAAGTCCAGGCAGGTAACAAAATATTACATATACACTATGTGTAGGTACAAATATATTAATGAAAAAATAATCCTCCTCTACAATAAAATTTTATTATTGTTAATCTGACTAATTGAGAATTCATGATGATTTGGAGATTATTTGGCAAAATGTTGCCTGTGCAAAGCAAGCTTTTCTTCCTACATTGTGCAAATTATTAAAGTAATATAAATATGTATATAACTTCAAAAAGTGATTTTCAATATATTGTTCTACAGCACTCAAGCTTTTAATGTCACTGCTATTATGTTTTACAATAATAGGTAATAATTTAGCCCTCCCTGTAAATTAAGGTCTCTTTAGCCTGTTTATTTTTTTCAACAAACTTACAGACTGGATGTTTAGGTCCCAAAAATTTAAATAACTTGTCTCTCATTACTTATCAAATATATTGTATTTCTGAGATCTGACTCCAGACTCTATCTGTGGTTTTAGACTAGTACTCCAATGCTAATCTCATTTTAATCCACTGCAGGAGAACTATGTACTCTCTCTCTGGAAACTTTTAGCACAGCTTTTTATATGATTTTCTGAAATATAACAATAAAATTTCTATCAACAGTTTATTTTTTATCTATGCATATTCTTAAGCTCATAATTTTCATTATCCTATTTTCCCTAAAATTTATTCGAACTCATTTTAATTAGATTTTTAGTTTTATGGTGGTATAATTCACAAGTTAAAATTATATATATTCAATGTGTACAACATGAGGTTTTGAGTTTTTTTTAATTAGCCCTAGTTGAGAAAGGCAAACACTTACTGGTACATACTAAAAAGTATTCAGGACAATGATGCTTAATATAAACTTGCTAACTAATAATCAATAGACTACTCAAATGCTTTTTTGTTAAACAAATCTACAATTCTAGGTAGCATATTTTTACTGGTTTCCTTTACACTGCAGCATTTTTTCAACTAATATATATCTTACAAATAGTAAAATACATAAATCTTAAGCATATAGCATTATAATTTTTATAAGTGTATATATCCCCATCATCACTCAAATCAAGCAAGATATGGAGTATTTCCAGCTCCCACAACCACTCTCTTGCACTTTCTCAACCAGTTACTCACCAAAGGTCATCATTATCATGAACTCTATCACGATGGATTTCCCTGCTCCTCAATTTCATATAAATGGAAAGTTGCTATCTGTATTCTTTTGAGTCTGACTTCTTTCACTCAGTTGAAGTTTGTAAGAATCATCTACATTTTGTGTAGCAGCAGATCATTGTTTCATTGCTGTGCCGTATTCCCCTGTGGGAAGCAAAAGTAATTTATTTATTCATTCTACTGTGAATGGGCATTTGTGTTGTTTTTAGTTTAGAAGTTATGACACATCAGTGATTTTATTTGATAAGAAGCCTAGGAGTTGCTGAGTTATATAGAATTGATTGCCTTACACACATTGTTTAAGTTGTGCCTACTCTTGTATATATTTCATCCTTGATAGGTTTGTCTCTCTACTGTTTGGAACAAACCTGGAGCTCCCTATAGGAAACTGATATCTTCTTTTTCTTTTCTCAACTTCTATTTTAGGTTCAGGAGGTACATGTGCAGGTTTGTTACGTGGGTAATTGCATGTTGCTGGGGTTTGGTGTACAAATGATTTCATCACCCAGCTAGTGAGCATAGTCCCCAGCAGGTAGTGTTTTGACCCTCACTCTCCTCTCACCCTGCGCCCATCAAGTATATATTAAAATGATTTTCACTATCAAGCTAATTAACATATTCATGTCTTCACATAGTTATCACATGTTGGGAAAGGATAATACTTAAGATCTACACTCCATGAACTTAAAGCATACATTATTATTATCTATTGTTACCATGTTGTACGTTAGATCTCCCTAACTTATTCATCTTATAATGGCAAGTTTGCATGGTTGTACCTGTAGTATTTTTCTTTCTCTGCCTGGCTTATTTCACTTAGCATAATATCCTCTAGGGTCATTCATTTTGTTACAAAGGGCCAAATTTCATTCTTTTTAATACTGAATGATATTCCATTGTAGATAGATAGATAGATAGATAGATAGATAGATAGATAGATGATAGATATCACAATTCACATACTACTCATCTATCAACACTTAGGTTGTTTCCATATTTTGGGTTTTGGGAATAATGCTGCAATGAACACAGGAATGCAGATATCTCTTCAAGATAGTGATTAGATTTCTTTTGTCTGTGAAAGGATAATTATATAAAATGGCATCAAGTTCTCGGCTCACTGGAACCTCTGCTTCCCAGGTTCAAACAATTCTCCATGCCGCAGCCTCCCAAGTAGCTGGGATTACAGGTGCCCACCACCACACCTGGCTAATTTTTATGGTTTTTAGTAGAGACAGGGATTCGCCATGTTGGCAACTCTGGTCTTGAACTCCTGACCTCATGTAATCTGCCTGCCTCAGCTTCTCAAAGTGCTGGAATTACAGGTGTGAGCCAACACACCCACAGGTATATAAATTTATACCTAAAAGTATAATTGCTGCATCATATGGTAAGTCTTTAATTATTTGAGGACCCTCCATGCTGTATTCCATAATGGTTGTACCAATTTACATTCCCACCAAAACTCTATAAGCATTCTCGTTTTGATACATCCTTGTCAACACTATCTATCTTTTGGCTTTTTATATTGGCCATTTTAAAAGATGTAATGTGACATCTCATTTTCATTTCAGTTTATATTTCCCACTTGTTTAGTGATTTTGTGCACCTCTTCATTCATGTGTTGGCCATGTGCAAGTCTACCTTGGAAAAAAGTCTGTTCAGGTCTCTTGCTCATGTTCTAATCAGGATTTTTTTCTGATTATTAGTTTCTTATCTGTTTCAGATATTAATCCATTATCAGATATATTGTTTTCAAGTATTTTCTACCATTCCATGGGTGACCTTTTTAATTAATTAATTAATTAATTAATTATTATTTTTTTTTTTACTGTGCAGCAACCTCTTACTTTGGTGTAGTTCCATGTGTTTATTTTTGTTTGTCTTGTCTATATTTTGAGATTCATAGCCAAAAAATCATGCCAAGGTCAATCTTAAGGAGGATTTCCCCTGGTTTCTTCTAGGGATTCTTTGGTTTCAGATGTTAAGTTTAAATTCCTTTTCAATGTTCAATTTATTCCTGTGCATATTATAACTGTCAAATTTCATTATTTTGCATGTGGGCCTGCAGTTTTTCTAAACGCTATTTATTGAAGAGACTATCCTGTCTCCATTAGGTATTTTGGGCATGTTATTGAAGATTTTTTGACCGTCTTGGTGTAGGTTTATTTCTAGGCTTTCTATTCTGTTCCATTCTTCTATGTCACTGTTTTCATGTCAGTATATATAAAATTTGCTGTAGTTTTGTAATATAACTTGAAAGTGAGAAGTGTGGTACCTCCTGTTTGTTCTTCTTGCACAAGATCACTTTAGGTACTTATAGTCTTTTGTAATTTCATACAAATTTTAGTATTTATTTCTGTTTCTGTGAAAAATGCCGCTGGACATTTGATAGGGATTACATTTATCTGTAGATTGTTTTGTCCAATAGCATTTTGACAGTATTGATTTCTCCCATTGATGAACACAGAAAGTCTTTCAATTTCTATTATTTTTCTACTGTCTATTTCTTTATTTTGCTTTGATATTTCTTTGCTTTCTTGTATTAGCTTTGGGCTTAGTTTGCTCTTCTTTTTATCTAGTTCCTTGAGGTTTAATGATAGATTATTTGAGATGTTTTTTCTTTAATGTAGGTGTTTGTCATACAAATTTTCTTCTTAGCACGGTCTTACTGCATGCCACAAGTTTTGGAGTATTGTGTTTTCATTTTTGTATCAAGATTTTTTATTTTCCTTTTCATTTCCTTTTTAAAACACTTTTTGTTAAGGATTGCATTATGTTCACTTATTTTTGAATTTTCCAGTTTTCCTCCTGTTGCTGATTTCTAGTTATATACCATTGTGGTTAAAAAAGATACTTGATACAACTTCAATCTTCTTAAATGTATTAAGACATTTTGTAATTTCAAATATGCTCTATTTTGGAGGATGTTTCTTGTTAGCTTGAGAAGAACACCTGTTCTCCAGCTGTAGATGAAATGTGAACATACATCTGTTAGGTCCGTTTGGTCTAAAGTGCAGATCAAGTCTAATGTTTTTTTTCCTTATAGATTGTCTATCTAAATGATCTATCCATTGTTGCAATTGGAGTATTGATAATTGCAACAGTATCAATAAGGTTACCTATTTCCCTAATATTATTGATTGCTGTGTATCTGTCCCTCCAGATATTAATGTTTGCTTTATATTTTCAGGTGCTTCAATGTTAAGTGCATATTTATTTATAATTGTTTCATCCCTTTAATCAACTCACCACTTTTTCATTATTTAATGACCATCTTTATCACTTGCTACAGTTGTATCTTAAAGTATATTTTGCCTGATATAAGGATAGCTATCCATGCTGTTTTCTGGTTTTAATTTGCATGGAATATCAAATTTTCTCATCCCCTACATTCACTCCATATGTGTCCTTGAAGCTGAAGTGAGTCTCTTGTAGGCAGCATATTGATGGGTCTTCTTTTGTAATCCATTCAGCCATTCTGGGTTTTGAATGTAGAATAGA
This sequence comes from Homo sapiens, assembly GCF_000001405.40. NCBI lineage: Eukaryota > Metazoa > Chordata > Mammalia > Primates > Hominidae > Homo > Homo sapiens. The sequence continues at coordinate 103,730,565 of NC_000001.11, read as the reverse complement.
ATGAATTTACCTTCAAGGTAATTATTGATAGGTAAGAACATACAATTGCCACTTTGTTCATTGTTTTTTGGCTTTTTAACATATTATTAGTTTCTTTATTTCTCCCTTGCTGTCTTTCTTTGAGATTTCATGATTTTCTGTACTGACATGGTTTGATTTCTCTTTATCTTTTGGGTATCTACCATAGGTTTTGTCTTTTTGATTAGCATGATGCTTATATATACTATCTTGTAATTGGAGCAAACTCTTTTAAACTGATAACTTTGATCATATTCAAAACCCTATACTTTTACTCAGCCCACCATATTTTATATATTTGATGTCACATTATATATTTTTAATATTCTGTATCTATTAACAAATTATTGTAGCTATAATTATTATTACTTTGGTATTTTAACCTTCATACTAGCAATAAAAGAGATTTACACACCACTATTATACTATTAGCATGTTCTGCATTTTTTATATATTTACCTTAATCAATGAGTTTCATACTTTTCTGTGCTTTCATGTTGCTCTATAGCAAACTTTTGCTGCAAATTCAGAAATTCTTTAAAATAATTATTTTGAATTCTTCGTCATGTGATTTATAGATTTTTCTATTTTTGTGCAGTTTTTCCTGTCAAATAATTGTTTTAAAGGAAAGTAATGAGTTACAAGAGGACAAATAGGCAATTCAACTAAAACTTGAAAAAAACAAAACACAAACCAAATGAGAAGTTCAACAGAGAGATGGAAAAAATGGAACCCAAACAAAAATTCTGGAGCTAAAGAATAAAATAAATGAAATAAAGAATGTAAAATGAGAATCGACAGCAAAATTGATCAAGAAGAAAGGATCTGTGCATTTGTTTCAGCCAGGAATAACCTGCAAAGGGTATTTCAGAGATAAGATCCCTTCATCCTAGAAAAATATCAGTAGTCTCTTTCACCAAAATTTCAGCTGACAAAGAGACTAAACCAGTTCATCTTCCTTCTAGTCTTATGCCTGGGCCATTCGCCAGTGAAGAGAGTGAATAGATTGCAGGGCAACTGCTTTAATTACATCCTCACAGTGCTGAATGAAGCTTGTTCAACAATTGCCAAGCTGATCATCAAACATATTCTTTGCTATTGCTTACAACAGTTCCTGACTTCTAAAATTAGATTTGCGTATAGCCTCAAAGCCCAGCATATCCCAGTACCTCACTGTTCAAACTAATAAATATTTTGTTAGGTCTATAAGGCTAAAGATCTCAAAATTTCTAAGAATTTTGTGCCATAGACAAAATCTGTTGGTTATTTTCTTTATATATCAGTCCAGATTTCACTGTATTAGTATTTCTACATGCTTTTTTTTTTTTTTTTTTTTTTTTTTTTTTTTTTTTGGAGACAGAGTGTCACTCTATCTCCCAGGCTGGAGTGCAGTGGTGTGATCTCGGCTCACTGCAAACTCCACCTCCCAGGATGAGGCCATTCTCCTGCCTCAGCCTCCTGAGTAGTGGGACTACAGGCACCCGCCACTGTGCCTGGCTAATTACTTTTTTTGTATATTTAGTAGAGATGGGGTTTCACCGTGTTAGCTGGGATGGTCCTGATCTCCTGAACTCTTGATCCGCCTGCCTCAGCCCCCAAAAGTGTTGGGATTACAAGTGTGAGCCATCGCGCCCGGCCTCTATACTGGTTCTTATAATTTATTTGGGCTGGAAATCTCATAGCTTTAACATAGACGAATGGGTTATTTTCCTACAGATTTTGATATTTTTGTTACATTCTGTTTTTATTAAAGGGGAGTTGGAGTGGAAAGACTTTTGTTGTGCATCTCCAAATATAAAAAATGAAACATTTCAAAAGACCTACCATGCCATAACTGAAATTTCTGTGGTTCGAAGAAGTCTACCAAACAAAGTTTGCTTCAATTATATATGTGTGATTTGTTTTTGAATTAGCTAAAAGTTTTATAAGACTCTATATTAACTTTCTAGAGATGCAAAAAGCTTTTGAAAACCAAATGATTATGTTTTTAATTATTGTTTTGGATTCTAAAAGTATATGAATGACACAGGCAAATATAAGTGTAAAAAACGGGGGTAAGAAAAGGAAAACCAAAACTGATCTTTACGTTCACTTTTAACTATTTTAAACAAGAATCATCTATGTAGTTAAATTTTATGGTCAGTGATAAGGAATTTAATTCACTTCAAGAAGAGAGCGAAACATACTGCATTAGATTATGTAGGTATTTTAAAAATATATACTTTTGGTTAATATTTTTATATATTTTTGATTAACTAGAGAATCAAAGGTAAAATTATCCTAAGGCCTAAGAAATTATTGGCCAGTTTCCACTAAATAATAAGTTTTCTGGAGAAAATGCAATATCTAATTAATCATTTTACCTCTCATATCTACTATTATACCTTGCTGGTGGTGTGTATTGTTCTGCTGTCAATTTGTGATAGAAATATTTAAACAATGTCTTTTAATTAATATTCTCCCAATTAATTAGTATTTCTCAAGTACAATGTCAGTATTTTCTTTTCATTTATACCATGTCATTTGTCACTAAAGACTCTAAATATTCTTTCCAATGAGTTAAAAGAAAAAAAATCTATTTTCTGTTGGAACATGAATAACAAATTTTCAGCAAAAGAATACTTGACAAACAGAAAGATGGAAAAAGAAATCATAGTCAATTTAAAATACAGAGAGGATTGACACTGATGGAACACAAGTGCATAAGATAGAATTGTACAGAATTCCTATAATAGCACCCAATTTTTGTAAAATATACCTCCAGGAACAGAGGGTCCATTTTAGTTCTCACTGTGTCTGAAAAGCAATCTTTCTTAGCCAAGTTCCAATATTCCTCTTCAATTTCAATATGACATTTTATGCTAAGGTTAATAGATATTAGCAATATGTCCAATCACAGAATATCAGCTACAACAAGACAAGAAACAGAATAGATAATTCTGTGGCGTTGATTTTACTGCGAGACTATCAGATGAATCAATTTGGACTTGATGTAAGATCTTCATACTTTAAAAAATTCAGTCCCTAATAAGGCAGTGTTATCGTGAAAACTTTGAGTTTAGATATGGTAAGATTAGTTACTAGATATTAATAATAATCACAGCACAGTGTTAAGGCATATATCTCAAAATATGTCTAACATGGAAACATTGTAACAAGTGCTATATATTTTGACAACATAATAAATACATTTGGATGCCTGAGTGAAACATGTCAGTTCCCAGCAGAATTATTTATCCGTGTGTGCTAAAGGACAGGGAGTTGGAGCAGTGTTAGGCACTAAAGCAAGTTTAAAGCAACAACTCCAGAGAGTCCACAAAGGAGGTAAATAATGTGTCTTTTTACTCTCTTTGGGCCACTATAACCAAATAGCATAAACTGAGTGGCTTATAAAAGCAGAAATTTATTTTCCACAGTTCAGGAGACTAAATTCAAAATCAAGCAGATTTTGTGTCTGGTGAAGACTAACTTCCTAGCTCCTAGAGGGTAACTTGTGGCTGTGTCCTCATTTGATGGAAGAGGCAAGCATCTTATTCATAATAGCACAAAAAAGAATTCCACTCCCAAGTTCCAAATACTATGCCCTCAGGTGTTAGAATTTCAAGATATTACTTTTGGGGGTGCACATACAGACCACAACAATGTTTGATTATTGAAATACTTCTAATAGTGTTGTCATTACTAACAGCTAATGATGGATTCATTGAGAATTCTGAAGTTTTCCTGCTTGCCTACAGGGTTTACTGTTATATATATGTGTACATATATATATACAGTACATATACATATACTCTATATAAACTGCAATATATACAAACTGTAATGTATATAGTAATATATTTCTTGTTCTGAGAATAAGAGAAGATCATGCGGTTGTATCCTAGAACTAAGTTTAATGCCTATAAGAATCCAGGAAACGTAATCCATGTAATCAGAAATGTTTTATTTCTTCATGGTGGATTTCTCGACAGGATCAGAAGCTGAACTGCTGGTATAATTCAACTAATGAGAAAGACTGCAAGAGGCAAGAACTTTCTTTTTCTCAAGAGATTGGGAAACCATGAGAGGAAATATACTCATAAAGAAAGAAAGGCAAAACTTTATCAAAGGATAAATGACAACAAATGATTCTGAGATCTAAATAGTGTCTCTTGACCTCAGACTTGTTGTTCTTGTTGTTGTTGTTGCTTGGCAAGTCCACAGACTGATGGTTAAGGCCAGAGAAGGAAATTATGCATACAAACTGAAAATCTTTGTCATAAATTTGGATTAAAACGCAACAATGATTTGAGACCTAACGTAGCACATCACTGTTGAGGGAAAGAGATTCTTCACAAACAAAACAAGACTTTGGCATACCAAGAGCTTCCACCCATCAGTAGGTAGATGAGTTCCATTAGTGGTTTTGTCCTGAAAGAAGAACTTCAATACAGCATGGCCTTTTTATAAAAAGCATTAGCATCACCAGGAAAGAGACTGGTTCCTATATTGATTAAAAGGCAATTTCACCTGGCTGCTTAACAGGCACCTCGGAAGCCATAATATACAGAAGGAACATAGCTGGTACTGCATGATTCTGAGGACTATGTTCAGACATGAGATATGGTACCCAGCCTTTCAGATAGAGAATTTGGAGGCATTGAAAGCAAGCTGTAAGTGCCACGGTAATAAACGGTGTCAGTCTTAGACACACAATGAAACATAAAACTTGGAACTCATTTTCACCTAAATCTGGAAGTTAATACCTCACTCGAGAAACAAAGCTGCTGTTTAAAGAACACATTCTATTCAACAAGGCTGCACTTTCAGGGAGAATAACAGATTAATTACTCATGAGTCCAGGATGTGATGAAAAATTAAGATTACGTGGAAATAGAAGACCCTGGAGACACAAAGGGACACGAGGGACATGTATGTGTGAGAGAAGGTGAAAGTGAGTCCAGAGAATAACAGTTTTGGCAAAAGACTACAGAACAAAAGAAGCAATCGGTTAGGCTGGGAGCGGTGGCTTACGCCTGTAATCCCAGCACTTTGGGAGCCTGAGGCTGGCGGATCAACTGAGGTCGGGAGTTCTAGAACAGAATGATCCACACGAAGAAACCCCATCTCTACTAAAAATACAAAATTAACTGGGCATGGTGGTGCATGCCTGTAATCCCAGCTACTCAGGACGCTGAGTCAGGACAATCCCTTGACCCGGGAAGGGGACATTGCGGTGAGCCAGGATCGCGCCATTGCACCTCAGCCTGGGCAACAAGAGAAAAACTCCTTCTAAAACATAAATAAATAAACAAACAAATAAATAAATAAATAAGCCGTTGGTGTTAGGATAAATGATTTGGCTTTTGAATGACAAATACAATCGAACTGACTGAAGTCCAAAGGAAATTTGTTAGCTTTTCTAAGTGGGATGTGTAGGGATACAATAGATTAGACCTAACTCCAACACACAGCCTGGAGTAAAGCCCAGGCAAACTGCAATATGAAGCAGAACTGCCCTTAAATAACCTAGAAATTTGGGAGAAAAAAAATATCTTGTTTAAAGTACCAAGAATTTAAGGTTGTTATGTCACATTACTGCAGCAGAAAATTAAATATTAAACACTTTTATACTACTTATGAGTTACATTCAACTCATTTTCAATTACATGTACAAAAAATGCTTGGGGAAATAGTAACACAATTTCCACATGTGATTAGATTATTTCACTATACTCTTTTAAAAATTTTAATTTTTTAACCTTTCAAAAATATTTCCCATATAAATTATTAAGGTAAAATATATAAAAATATCACATTTTAAAGTTTATTTTCTATACTTGAATTTAAAAGCAAAATTTTATGGCTGTATAAATGTTATCAAGTCACCTAGGACAGGGAGGAAAAAGGTGGAACAGGCACTGATCTCACCTCAATCCGTTGAAACTTAAGACAGAAATCCTCACTGAGAGTTTTTGTACATTGGGTTCCACATAACATTTCAATTTTCCATGGGGCAAGAAGGTGAGATTATTTTTCTAAGTTAAAAAGCAGGTTTGTAACCTTCTTTACTACATAGTCATCTTACACAAAACATTTTAAAAACTCTTCTTACTACTAAAAGTAATTTGTTTGTGTATCTCTTAATTAAATCTAAATATAGTTTAAAAAGAATAATTATGCTAAATTAGACATCATAGAGGAAATATCTCTTTTCCTCATAGCCTAGATAATCACAGTATGAAAAAATGCTTTTTCCTATAACTCCTATAATCATATCATTTCCAGAATATGGCCTGTGTTAAAAATTGTCAGTGCAATGTTGATAACAAATTGCATATTTAAATCCACTAAAGAAAGAGAGATCTATATCTCCTGCCATCTTTGAAAGTTTACATTTATTTTTTTTCTTTCCAAAGCTATGATTATTCCAACACACTATGATAATGTAAAAATGATCAATGTAAAATATTTCGGTTCACTGGGAAGGATACACTTTTTTAAATTTTTAATTGTTGTTGGTACCTAGGAGGTGTATATACTTATAGGGCATATGTCATATTTTGATACAGGCAGATAATGTGTAGTAATAGCATCAGGGTAAATGGGTTATCCATCACCACGAGCATTTACCTTTATGTTACAAACAATCTAATTATATTCTTTTAGTTATTTTAAATTGTACAATTAAGTTGTTATTGACGATAGTCACCCTGTTGTGCTGTCAAATATTAGGTCTTATTCATTCTTCTGTTTTTTGTACTCATTGAACATTCACACTTGCTTCCCATCCACCCTTCTCAGCCTCTAGTAACCATCTTTCTACTCTCTATGACCGTGAGTTCCATTGTTTGGAATTGCTGCTCCCACAAATAAGTGAGAACATGTGATGTTTGTCTTTCTGGGCCAGTTTATTTTACGTCACATAATAATGTACAGTTCAGTTCCATCTATGTTGTTGCAAATGACAGGATCTCATTTTTCCATGGCTGAATAGTACTCTATTGTATATATGTACCACATCTTCTTTATCCATTCATATGTTGATGGACATTTAGGTAGTTTCCAAGTCTTAGCTATTGTGAACAGGGCTGGAATAAACATGGGAGTGCAGTTATCATTTCAATATACTGATTTTCTTACTTTTGGGTATATACCTAGCTGTGGGATTCCTGGATCACATCATAGCTCTATTTTTAGTTTTTTGATGAACCTCCAAATTGTTTTCCATAGCAGCTGTACTAATTTACATAACCACAAAAAGTGTATGATGGTTCCCTTTTCTCCACCTCCTCACCAGCATTTGTTATTGTCTGTTTTTTAAATAAAAGCCATTTTAACTGGGGTGAGATAATATCTCATTGTAGTTTTTATTTGTATTTCTCTGATCAATGATGTTGAGCACATTTTCATATGCTTGTTTACCATATGTCTGTCTGCTTTTGAGAAATGTCTATTCAAATCTTTTGCTCACTTTTTGATGCAATTATTAGATTTTTTTTCCCTCTAGAGTTGTTTGAGCTCCATAGATATTCTGGTTATTAATCCCTTGTCAGATGTGTGAAAGGAAAATATACTGGGCCCCTGAAATCACTGGGGAAAATGCAAGCGGGAAACTACTTAGAACAAACCTTCCTCCCATTCTACTCAAAGTCACCCCTCTGCTCACTGAGATGGATACATATCTGATTTTATTCCTTTGGAAAGGTAATCAGACACACAAAATACCAGGGGATTTCAAGATTTCAGTCTAAACCTTCACCTAGTAAGTGCTTCTTGTCCCGCAATAGCAGTCATTCATGGCACTCTATGAGAAGATATTTCACCCCAAGTGAATACCCTCATCCCTCTCCATTTCAGTTGCTTTTCCTTCATGTAAAAGCTCAGCACTGCTGAATGAATTTGAACAGTTTATTAATGAGACAAGTTAATTTTCTACTGCTGGGAGGCATATACAGTGACAGCCTGTTAAACCCCAAACCTCTCTTTCTAACTTCTTCCTGGAAAAAATTTAGAGTCACAGATTTTACATAACTTTTCAGACCCTACAGCACCACTTCATGAGATAGGCTATTTTTCTCCGTAAAAATTCTTGGTGGCCGTTCGCCAAAAAATTCTAATGCCCAGATTTCTTCCTCTTTTGTGTTCCTCTAACAGCAAGCAGACCCTATGCCCCATTTCTAAGGAAAAAAACTCCGCATTCAACAGTTGGGAGGAAGCCACCCTTGAGAGACAAATTCTAGCCTTAGTGCTGTTTCCATCAGAAGGAGGACAGCCATTAAATCTATATGTTCTTTTGAGACACCTGTTCTGCTTCCAACCACATTGGCATTTAAACAGAAAGGGGATTTTATATTTAAATGTCAATGGATAAAATTTTCTGGGAATGCACTGCTTTTCCAGGTCCATAACTAGAGGAGGCAGGAATAGGGTTAAAACACTCCCTCTATTAAAGTGTCTCACCCAACTTTATCTACTGTAGAATCTCCTGGGAGGCCTAGGAACCCAGAAGAGCAGTGTGAGGAGGCATTGTGCTGGTAAAAATGACTACTCCTGCCAGCTAGCACCTCCACATCCATGGGTGCAATTCATGCTTTCATCCATGGACAGCACCTATGATGGTTACCGGGACCCAAAGGAGATGGGAGGAAAGAGGAGAACAGGGACACCCCTGTAATCTTTTGCTTCATCCTGGGTCACTTCAAAAGGAGAAAGGAGACTAAGGGACACCTTATATTCCCCCCATTTTCTGCATGGGTAACAACCCATCTTGGAACGGGTTGGAATACGTTGGAATGGAATCCAGGCCTGGGACTCCATAAGCTCACTATTCAAGTCACCCACATAAACTGGTAAGTAACAAACTTTGCTGCATGCCTCTATCTTGTTTTATGTCTTGAGCATAACCTGTAACCTTGTGGCAGGACTTTTTTAGCCATTGCCATTTTACAATGGTGGCCCAGGTTCAATCCTAGCTTGGGTGATGAATACTTTCAATTTAATAGCTGTATGACCTTTAATCATCTCTTCCTCCTCCATGAACAACTCTAATTTCCTTTCTGAAATCTTCCTTTCTCTAAATTGCCTTTAAAGTTTCTAGATCTAGTAAAAGCTGCTTACCACCACTTATAAAATATCTTGAATACTCACAGTTAACTTATAACCTGATTGAGAGTTGTTGTTTTCACCTGTGATGTTACTTTTAGTAAAGTTCAAAAGCCAGAAATATTACCTGCTTGATTTAGCTAAAGTCAGGTAACAGAAGATTTCAAAGGAATTTCTGAAAGAGTGCTCAGCTTGATTAAAAGTGGATATTCAAGTTATAGGTATATTTAAAAGGCCCGTATGTTTTTCTCTTCTTGGATTGTGTTTTTCTTGAAAAGAATTTTTCTGTTGGCTGAATTACTGTCCTCCGCTCTGTCTTTCCACTCTTGATGCACCCAAGGTAATGTCTGGTGGCCTGAAACTTTTTGGGAAAAACAGAAAAGGCACAGTGGATTCCATTTTGGGAGAAACCTCTGTTTTCCTGATGGAATCCCAGAATTTAGAGGCTGATAGATCCCACTCAAAATCTGCTTTTGTCTTACAGCTATACAAGTTGATTAGGCCCTAGAAACTTCATGGTTTTTCTATCCCTGCTCTTAAAGGGCTCTACTGGGAAGCCAATAATTCAATTAGGAAGTGGGACAGGAAGAAATCTTAGAACTACTGGATCTGCTTCTGTTTGTCTGTGTAATGATATATGTGTTGTGTGTGATGTCTGTAACGAGCTATAACTGATTGCCTGAAATAAAAATATGCACTTAAATCAAACATTTTAGAGGAAAGTTAAAACTGCAATGCCTTTTAGTTTATGTGACTTTCATCTCTAAGAAATAAAAATTGTTTTAAAGATCAAATTGGAAAATGCAAATATCATCAACACGTAAATAGGAGGTTTAAATCATATAAGTTAGATACCAGGTTTGCTAAATGTTTCAAGGTTGTATACTGCCTACTTTACAACTTGATAAGGCCTGGGGACATATGAAATTAACCATGCCCCTAACTAGGATGGAAAAAGTCAGACTTTATCTGCATCTAGTACATAATTGAAAAAACTTACCAGGTTTTACATTAAAGTTACCATTTTAACTAAAATGGCAAAGTTAAGATTTACCATTAAAACATGTAAATAAGACAACTAAAAATAAATTTACATGCAAAGTGTGTAAAATGTGTGTAAAAACAGTAAAATGTGTTTGTCATAAAAGATTATAAAAAGGCATAAAAATGTAAACGTTGCCTATGGAAAAAGGAATGTTTTGAAACCAATGTAAGGGTAAAATTTGGTTTTCTTTCCCTTGTACAGATTTTTCATGTAATAGAGAAGAATAATGAAATATTTGGTTTGCCTTGTTGGTAGACTGCCAAGGAGAGAAAAGAGTAGACAGGAGACAGACTGTTTGGAAAGCTAAGTCTTCCCTCTTAATGAGTAAAGGTTGTTGCCTAGTTTTAAAATTTCTGAGACATCCTTTTGCCAAAATAAATAACTTCTGTGTAACCTGGAATTGTGTTTCACACTATCAACTTTTTTGAACCTCTAATTACTAATTAGAGCTTTTAGTAAAAATTAATGAAATATAAGTACTGCTGTACATGTAAGAAAAGAAACACACTTGGCTATTGTTTTGAGGACATGCATTTAATTTTAAATTTTACAATTTAGATTCAGCATGAATTGCAATAAATGGATCTTCAGCAGAGTTACTAATAGAAAAATGAGCTTTGCCATCATCAGAAACGTAAATTTTAATGCCTGTGCAATTGCCATTAATTTTATCTCCAGAAATGACATCACAGTATGTGCCAGCAGGAAGACCAGTTTGCAAAGTTAAAGAAAATGACCTGTAAAATAAAATTTAAGGTTGATCTTCAATACAATGAAAATCAAGAATACAGACTAACACAAATAAACAGCATAACTTTATGTTGTAGAAACAAACCTAAGCAGTGAAGTCTTATTAAGAAGAAAACCCATATGCCTCTCTAGTAGGTGGAAATAGCTTTCTAGGACCAAAAGTAACCTTACAGAAAACCTAGCAATTTCCTGGTTAGTAGTGAAAATATTACCAAAACATCAAAGTTGAAGAATATCACTGAAGATTGGCAGGAACGGTCACACTTTGATAAAAGTTCTACCTTGGTAAAATCAAATTTGTTCTCAACTGAAATTAATACCAATTACTCTTAAAAATTTAAAGGGTATTATTTTTTAACCTCCTTCTTCTCCCATGAGATCAAAACGAATTTGGGATGCACATAAAAATAATCTAGCATTTCTATGAAGAAGTGATAGTTTGAAATATAAAGCTTTTTCACAAAAACTTATTTTGGTATTTTCATCTACAAAAGAAAGAAATTAAAAAACTAGACATGGGCTTTTTTGGCAGGAAAGAGATCAACTTGACTTGTATACTGATGTATTTATTTACTTTTCATCAGTGAAATATAATTTATACTAGAGTGAGCTAAGTATGAGTGTCAGTTGGTCTTGGACAGGGACAATTCAACTGTTTACACCAAGGTCTTCTGAGCTATATCTTAGACAATCATTTATGCTTCAGGTAAAGCATATAAGAATCACAGATGAAAGGCCAATAATGAGAAGTTTCAAAAATAAAACTCAAATCTCCTGAAGCAAAACAGTAACCACAAGATACATATTATTCATACATGTGCTTTAAAAATGTTATTTGTCACAAGGAGACAGAGAAGTGAAGAAAGTGTACCAAAAAACTACGTAGAGCAGTCATTGAGAAAAAGAGTTAGAAATAAAGATATTTTAGTACCTAGGCAGCATTTCTCCATGGTTAAAAAAGCAGGATTATAAGACACTTTTTTTTAATGATTTCACAATCCTTATATTGATTGTGATTTTATATATTGATTTTGTGGCATGTGTAGGTGAGCATATGCATGTGCATCATATATATGCATATGATACTGCAAGGGTGCACAGAAAGGATTCTGCTTACAACAGAAAGCACTTATGAAAAAAAAAGAACGAAGGAGTAACAGCCATCATCCTTTTGCTTCTGCCCAATTTTGATCTCTATTGTCTTCTTGCTCCACTGACTACATGATTTTTCAGATATGATAAAAGTCAATGAACAGAGAAAAAAAAGAATAAACCAAGAACATACTGGTACAAAATATTATTTTTAATTGATATTTACTTACCAGTCATCATTGTTGAAAACAATGAATCCTCTGTTTCCTCTCCCAAAAGCCACTTGGTTGCTCCCATTATCATACCAATTTGTAAAAGGCTGGCCATCCACTACATTGCGGAAAATAACCATGTTCCTAAAAACACAATACCATATAAAACGTTGATATTCTTAAACTTCAACTGTTTTAAATAAAATGCAGTGGAAAGTTTACTATTAGAGGACATGTCTAAATACATATTCTCACCTTATTTGGCGCCATCGATGTTCACAGACGCAGTCATTGCCACAAGTAGTGTCTGGATTAATAGTAACTTCTTTAATTACTCCATTATTATTTGGTGGCCCAACCCAATCATTAACATCCTTAAGTAGGGGGGAAAAAGCCAAATTTTACTATGCATGTATTTACCTCTTCCTTCTCCTTTACACCAAACCCAACCAATCCTGTTACTTGTGTCTCTGCATTCAGTGACTTTATCTAGAATCCAATGCCTTCATTAATGTTTATAGCCCTTTACTGGGTCTTTATCATCTCTCTATCCTCTGGTTTTCTTCTGGCATATTTCAAACAAGGTAACAAATTTTTATCCTCTCCTTTTCATTCCAAAGAACTGCAAAGGCTTCTTTGCTCTGTCACCCAGGCTGGAGTACAGTGGCATGATCATAGCTCACTGCAGCCTTGATCTCCCAGGCTCAAGCGATCCTCCCATCTCAGCCTCCCAAGTAGCTAAGGCTGTTGGTGTGCACCACCGCACCCAGCTAATTTTTAAAAAATTTTCAGTAGAGATGAGGTCTTGCTAGCTTGCCCAGATAGGTCTTGAACTCCTCAGGTCAGCTGATCTTCTCGCCTCGCCTCACTAGGTGCTGGGATTACAGGTGTGAGCCACTGCACCTGGCCTGCAAGAGCTTCTTAACATCGTGGTAAGCCATGCAATGTCGTTGAAATGGGAAGGGCATTAGTACTAGAAACACCAGGATTAAAACATAGGCTCTATTACTAGTACCTGAGAAAATTTAATCAATACACATAATATCTCTGTGTCTCAGTTTCTTCATTTGTAAAATGGGAATATTGGTTTTTTTGCTATAAAAATTAAGTAATATATGTGAAAATGCCTTGAATGTGACATGTGCTGAATAAATATTAGAATCATTCATGCTTCTTTTTAGATAAATGTACAAAACAATACATCTGAACATTATTTATAAATTGACCACATTTTTCATATTATGGTTTTCTGATTGGCACTTTAAAAAATCTTCATTAAAAAATCCAGAGGAATCTTAGGAAGTTTTTCAGTGTTGACCTTAGAATCATGTCATATGGTGAAAAGTGAACAAAACTAAGAGTTTTTAGCATGCAGCAGTCCTGGCAAAGTGGAAATGTTATAGTAATAGAAAAAATAAAAATACTCTATGACTCCTAACATCAGAAATAAGACCAATTAGTAGAAATTAAAAGAAGTTGGCTCAATATAAAAGTACACCTTCTAAATATTAAAGCTGTTTAACAATAGAATAAATTGCTATACAAAGTGCGGACTTCTCAAACTGAAAGGAATCTAAAAAAAGCTAGCTAGATATCCGTGTGACTCATAGGAAGGAGGAATTTCTGCTTTAGTTCTGAAGTCTCTGATGCTGTTTCTGAACCCTTTAGTTTAAAAGAAAACCTTCTACTAGCTTTCCAAATATCTTTACACTGTAATTTCTCTGTTCCTTTTTGAAACTTCTCATCAGATTAATGTCTTTACCATACTCCCAAATATTTTTCTCATTCTTACCTTTCTTGGAATACTCTCTAAATTTCTATTCTTTAGTACATATCATTTCCTTCCTCTTATATGATACTTTCCCTATTTAACTCAGCTCAATTGATTCATTTCTTTCTATTCCATATAACTTTTTAAAAGTATTTAACAAACATTTATATTGTTCTCACTACGGGCAGATGATGTTTTAAGTTCTCTAAAAGTGTTGGCATGTATAATCTTCCTATCAGCCCTGAGGTAGGTACTTATTCGAAGTATATATTTTAATCCCTGTGTCTAGCTCTTAGTTTTGAGTGTTTTTCTGTTTTTTGTTTTTTGTTTCCCTGCGGGCTAAGGGGATGTTTGTCATATCTCTGAAACAGCTTGCATACTCTTTGTCAATGGAGAATATAAATTTTACTCCTTTAATATAACCTACATTACTAAAATCACAGCCCTGTATCCAGTTTACAATCAATTAAATATTTGTTGAATAAATATATAATTAATAGTTGTCATGTTAAGTTAGAATAAGATTGCTTCCTTTTTCTTCAGAAAAGGATATATTGAACAACTCCAAAACTTACGTTTCCATTTTGAAACTGTCTTGGCCAACGGTAGCTTGACATTACTCGTGTAAATCCGTAAGGATGAGCAAGCATAAATCCAACTGCCATTTTGTACAGCCTGGAAGTTACATAATTATATTTTCATAGGATGTCAGAATATTCTTGCCATCATTAAAAGACGTGTTAAAAAAATAGAGAACTTGGTTTTCTACCTAGCATCCCAGAAGGTAAGAATAGAGGCTCCTCCAGCCCCATGTCCTCGTTGATTGTCATGGTTATCCACAAAGACAAGCGCTCTGTCAGAAGGTACGAAACCCCAACCTTCTCCCCAGTTCCTATTTTTGAAAAATAAGATATACGTTGATGTATCATTTCACAACAGTTTGAGAGTAACTTAACTGTGCATCTCTCTCTGTAAGGCATGGCATCTGAAGATTAAATTCTTTCTCTAATTAAATGCTTTTCCTGTAAGAGATATATATATATATACACACACAAACACACACACACATATATATACACACACATCAAACACACACACATGTGTAATCTACATGTATGGTCCATATTTGTATATACATGTATGGAATACTTACATTCATATTACAAATATAAGATTTTTGTTATTAAAAAAGGTCCTTTCAGAGGTTTCAGCACATTATCATTTAGAGGCACTCCAGAAGGATCAATATCCATATCACATTATACAGAATGTCAAACTAGATTAAAATAAGGCTTCAATACTGTATTGTTATAATATAAATATTTTTTATATTTTTAATTCATATAATACATGTAAATTCTACAGGATGGAAACTTTGTACATACTTCATAAATGATAGGATCATTTTAATAATAACCTGGCTTTAAAAGATTATATGCAAACATCAGTCAAATCCAGTATATTCATCTCGTACTTAGATGAAAACTCCTAGGGTATGTTTAGCGTTCCTAGGCATATTGCCTTGTGACAGACACTCTAAATACAAAAGATGATTGATTAGAGTTTAGGGCACTAGAATACTTATCATTCACAATTGACTCTTTGATAGTTGTCTGAATAAGAATGTTCCAGAAGATAAGTCACACTGAGGTAGTATGACTAATAGATCCATGAAATACTTCAGGGAAAAGTTGTATTTATTTACTTTAAGTAAGACATCTTCTCTCCATTCCACTTGCGAATAACTGTGCCGAGTTTTGCACCATACTTGAATTCTGTCACCCGGCCATTACCAAAGTAGTCACTGCTTTTAATTGGCTCACCACCCAGATCAATTACCTAGTAGAAATTTAGGAAACAATAACATTTTGTGTAAAGACTTTAAAGCATTTTAACCAATAAGTTAATATTATATAAAAATAGCTTTATGCTATTTGTTATTTATTAATAAATTAAGCTATTTATTATTTCTTTTTGTCTTGTTTTGTTTTGTTTTTTAGAGACAGGGTCTTGCTATGTCGTCCAGGATGGTCCCAAACTCCTGGCCTCAAGCAATCCCCCTGCCGCAGCCTCCCAAAGTGCTGAGATTACATGCACGAGCCACCATGCCTGGTCCTGTTTGTTACACGAAATGTGCAAAATGGTTTTCTTATTCCTATTATCTCAACAGGTAATATTCTTATATTCTTTTATTTGATAAAGTATAGGCTACAATATTGAAAGAAGCATAATGTCAAAGATACCTGTTGTCCTGTGAAAATACTTACCTAATTTTTAGTCTTCTACATCAATGATAATAATAAGAGCTCACACTAATAAAACATTTAGTATCGACTGAAATTCCTTGATAAATATTAACTTGTTTCATTATCCAAAGAAAGTAAAGACATAACTATTATCAGTATCCTACATTCTGTGTACATCCATAAAACATGTTGTGATAAAGAATTAGATATGCTGTATGTGAAGAAGAGGAGGTTAAAGAACACTGTTTTGGTGGGAATGTAAATTGGTACAACCATTATGTTTTATGTAAATGTCTCATTCCTTATCCTACAGAAATTGCATTTTTAATTAAATCTTCCATTAATTTTCTAACGAATAAGATGATATTTTATAGGCATATAAGTATTGATGTACCTCCTGGTAAATGAAAGGTTTACTTCCTGCAGGGAACCAGTTACTGTTTAGATTATGCAGTTTGTCCAAAATTGCCTTTATGTCTCCAGGCCACATGAGCTTGGAAGCATCAAGTCTGAACCCTGCAACACCAATGTCAATGAGATGGTTCATATATTCGGCAATCTTAGAACGCACGTAATCCTTCTCCAGTGCAAGATCAAGAAGACCAGTCAGACGACAATCTCTGACCTGTTGAGGTAAAAATGTTATGATTGATTCATAAAACCTCATTTTTCTCCTGAGAATCCATTGGATTATTCATTTATTCCATGATTCCTCAAGAGATATTCTATAGTGACTTCCTTGCATTGGGCACTGGGGATGCTCACATTCTACTACAGATGTATCTTTGAAATATTTTCTAATAGAAAATAGAGAATTTAGGAAATAAAGTCGATGAGATTTTTAATTGGGAACTTCTTAGAAGTGGGCAAATGGAATACAGCATGGAGGGTCCTCAAATAATTAAAGACTTACCATATGATGCAGCAATTATACTTTTAGGTATAAATTTATATACCTGTGGGTGTGTTGGCTCACACCTGTAATTCCAGCACTTTGAGAAGCTGAGGCAGGCAGATTACATGAGGTCAGGAGTTCAAGACCAGAGTTGCCAACATGGCGAATCCCTGTCTCTACTAAAAACCATAAAAATTAGCCAGGTGTGGTGGTGGGCACCTGTAATCCCAGCTACTTGGGAGGCTGCGGCATGGAGAATTGTTTGAACCTGGGAAGCAGAGGTTCCAGTGAGCCGAGAACTTGATGCCATTTTATATAATTATCCTTTCACAGACAAAAGAAATCTAATCACTATCTTGAAGAGATATCTGCATTCCTGTGTTCATTGCAGCATTATTCCCAAAACCCAAAATATGGAAACAACCTAAGTGTTGATAGATGAGTAGTATGTGAATTGTGATATCTATCATCTATCTATCTATCTATCTATCTATCTATCTATCTATCTATCTACAATGGAATATCATTCAGTATTAAAAAGAATGAAATTTGGCCCTTTGTAACAAAATGAATGACCCTAGAGGATATTATGCTAAGTGAAATAAGCCAGGCAGAGAAAGAAAAATACTACAGGTACAACCATGCAAACTTGCCATTATAAGATGAATAAGTTAGGGAGATCTAACGTACAACATGGTAACAATAGATAATAATAATGTATGCTTTAAGTTCATGGAGTGTAGATCTTAAGTATTATCCTTTCCCAACATGTGATAACTATGTGAAGACATGAATATGTTAATTAGCTTGATAGTGAAAATCATTTTAATATATACTTGATGGGCGCAGGGTGAGAGGAGAGTGAGGGTCAAAACACTACCTGCTGGGGACTATGCTCACTAGCTGGGTGATGAAATCATTTGTACACCAAACCCCAGCAACATGCAATTACCCACGTAACAAACCTGCACATGTACCTCCTGAACCTAAAATAGAAGTTGAGAAAAGAAAAAGAAGATATCAGTTTCCTATAGGGAGCTCCAGGTTTGTTCCAAACAGTAGAGAGACAAACCTATCAAGGATGAAATATATACAAGAGTAGGCACAACTTAAACAATGTGTGTAAGGCAATCAATTCTATATAACTCAGCAACTCCTAGGCTTCTTATCAAATAAAATCACTGATGTGTCATAACTTCTAAACTAAAAACAACACAAATGCCCATTCACAGTAGAATGAATAAATAAATTACTTTTGCTTCCCACAGGGGAATACGGCACAGCAATGAAACAATGATCTGCTGCTACACAAAATGTAGATGATTCTTACAAACTTCAACTGAGTGAAAGAAGTCAGACTCAAAAGAATACAGATAGCAACTTTCCATTTATATGAAATTGAGGAGCAGGGAAATCCATCGTGATAGAGTTCATGATAATGATGACCTTTGGTGAGTAACTGGTTGAGAAAGTGCAAGAGAGTGGTTGTGGGAGCTGGAAATACTCCATATCTTGCTTGATTTGAGTGATGATGGGGATATATACACTTATAAAAATTATAATGCTATATGCTTAAGATTTATGTATTTTACTATTTGTAAGATATATATTAGTTGAAAAAATGCTGCAGTGTAAAGGAAACCAGTAAAAATATGCTACCTAGAATTGTAGATTTGTTTAACAAAAAAGCATTTGAGTAGTCTATTGATTATTAGTTAGCAAGTTTATATTAAGCATCATTGTCCTGAATACTTTTTAGTATGTACCAGTAAGTGTTTGCCTTTCTCAACTAGGGCTAATTAAAAAAAACTCAAAACCTCATGTTGTACACATTGAATATATATAATTTTAACTTGTGAATTATACCACCATAAAACTAAAAATCTAATTAAAATGAGTTCGAATAAATTTTAGGGAAAATAGGATAATGAAAATTATGAGCTTAAGAATATGCATAGATAAAAAATAAACTGTTGATAGAAATTTTATTGTTATATTTCAGAAAATCATATAAAAAGCTGTGCTAAAAGTTTCCAGAGAGAGAGTACATAGTTCTCCTGCAGTGGATTAAAATGAGATTAGCATTGGAGTACTAGTCTAAAACCACAGATAGAGTCTGGAGTCAGATCTCAGAAATACAATATATTTGATAAGTAATGAGAGACAAGTTATTTAAATTTTTGGGACCTAAACATCCAGTCTGTAAGTTTGTTGAAAAAAATAAACAGGCTAAAGAGACCTTAATTTACAGGGAGGGCTAAATTATTACCTATTATTGTAAAACATAATAGCAGTGACATTAAAAGCTTGAGTGCTGTAGAACAATATATTGAAAATCACTTTTTGAAGTTATATACATATTTATATTACTTTAATAATTTGCACAATGTAGGAAGAAAAGCTTGCTTTGCACAGGCAACATTTTGCCAAATAATCTCCAAATCATCATGAATTCTCAATTAGTCAGATTAACAATAATAAAATTTTATTGTAGAGGAGGATTATTTTTTCATTAATATATTTGTACCTACACATAGTGTATATGTAATATTTTGTTACCTGCCTGGACTTTACAATGATCAATTCAAAGTATCCGGGGTGTCCATAACCTCAAGTATTATTTCCATATGTTAAGAAAGTTTCAAGTCCTTTAGCTATTTTGGAAAATACAATACATTGCTGTTTATATGTAGTCACCTTACTCTGCTATGAAATATTAGAACTTATGTCTTCCAAGTAACTGTATGTTTGGACCCATTAACAAACTTTTCTTTATTCCTCCCACCCACAGAAACTCTTTCCAGCCTCTGGTATCTATGTATTATTCTATTCTCTACCTCCATGAGATCAATATTTTTAGCTTTCACGTTCTATTCTTAGAATAAGAACATGTGATGCTTGTCTTTCTGTGCCTGGCTTATTTCACCTAACACAATGACTTCCAGTTCCAACCGTCTTGCTGTAAATGATAAAATTTCATTCTTTTTTATGGACAAAAACTCTTCCACTGCTTGTATATATACCACGTTGCTTTTATTCATTCATCCATTGATGGACACAGGTTGATTTCATATCTTTGCTATTGTGAATAGTGCAATAAATATGAGAGTGTGGTTAACTCTTTGATATACTCATTTATTTTCCTTTGGATACATAGCTAGTAATAAATAGCTTGCACCTCTGGTCTCAGCTACTTGGGAGACTAAGGCAAGAGGATTACTTGAGCCCCCGAGGTTTAGATTGCAGTGAGCCGTGATCACACCACTGCGTTCCAGCCTGGGTGACAGAGTGAGACCCTCTCCCTCCTCAAAAAATCCTTAAGAAATATGTTGATGCCTGGTTCCCTTATTCAGAATTTTCATTTGATGTGTTGAGAGTGTAGCACAGAAGTTGGAATAAACCTCTCAAACTGATTTTGATGTGCAACCAAGGTCGGGAACCACCAAGGAAGAGTTTTTATGCATAAAGATTCCTATACTCTATCCTAGAACTAATACATATGAATCTCTGGGAATGGAGTATAAGACTCGGATTTGAAAAGGTGTCCTTAGTTATTCTAAGGACTGAGCAGTTTGGATACTGGTTTGTTAGAGTAAAATGGTTAGGTACCTAGTATCAACCTAGCCATCTAACCTTATATTAACAACTAGGAAAATAAAGGGTTGGAGCCTCTGTGTTTCTTTGCTGAAAAATCTGCTGCTATTCTTAGTTCTATGAAAACAAATTCAAAATTCGGTTATTATCACCTTAAAAGTACAAAACCTATAGATATTGAAAATGCAATTATTTTTCTACAGGCATAGTTAAAATGAGTTTGTATATATTATAAATCAGTTTCTTTATAAGTCATTTATTTAGATAAATTTTGTTATACTGACATGATTCACTAATTTTCTAAATATAAATGGTTCAGCTCTCAGTTATTTTTAAACTAAAGAGCTGTGTTATACTTATTATTTCTAATTGGCTTTTATGATGTTTTAGGTTTCTTTTGAATCCCGTGTCCTTCAAGTGCTTTCCAACTTTGAGAAGAAGAAATTGACCACCCGGACTATGGAACTGTGCGTAACAGCTTTGAAAGTGTATTTAAAAATTAAATCTGTATGCCTTTAAATCAGTGAATTGGAAATATATTACATGTATTTTAATGACTTTCCTCAAATACAATAAATTGTTTTCTTTCCAATGGAATGGTGTTTGTATTTTTTCTTTACCTGGTTTAACACATGTAGGAGAACATAACTAGATGATTACATCAAATTCTTTTTAAGGCAATTTTATAATATATTTTATTTATGATTACAAAAACTGCCTTTTAAAAGTTCTTGCCTGGATATGAATGCAGTTTCACATTTTTTAAATTGTAATCTTGCTTTTTGTAATTATTTTATATTTGTCTGGCTTCGAGTTTTATTGGGTTTTAGTTTTTTGGAAGTGGGGGATTTATCCCAATTTAGAAATTTGTATCCTTGCCGTAATACAGTCTACCATTTTTGTTCTCCCAGATCTTTCATCTGTCAGAACATCACTCAAAGGTGAAAATATTTCCCACATAAAATTATTCTTTTCCTTTAGTGAAATTAGTTCCAGCTGTATATACGTAGGAAAACATTCTTCTTTTTATTCGATTCATTCCTATAGGTACGTTCCTGGGTCTGTGATTACACCTTTACCTTAGAGGCACTGCCCAAAAAGACTCAAGTCTTGTGTAAAAATGCTGTTGTGGATCATAGCTTCCTACCTTTTACAGCATCGTGAGGCAGGGAGAGTAAGAACATTAGAGACAGGAATTAGAGGCATGGAGAAATGAACCCTGGAGCATCCCAATGGTGAGATATAAAATAGTTCAAGAACTATTAAAGAAGACTAAGGAGGAATAGCTAGAAGCTAAATGAAGAAAGTATCTCAAATAGGAAGGAGTGATCAAATATTTTAGCTGTGTTGATGAGTTAGGAAAGATGAGTTTTTGGATTAAGCACTGGGTAGAGCAACCTTTGGGACATTGACGTTGACCAACTTGGTGGATATCAGGAGTAAGAGGAGGTACTCAAGAGAATGTTGGAGAGGAATTTAATATAGTGAGTATTGAAGACAACACTTAAGGAGTCTTGCTTTCAAGGGGATGTGAGAAATGGGTTGTTAATGGAGGGTAATATAGCATCAAAAAGCTGTTTATTTTAAGATCGATGATATAGCAGGTTTCTATGCTAATGGGACTGATTCAGTAGACAGAAAAAGCATAATGCAGGAAACAGAGGGATATTGATGAAGACATAGACCTGGTAAAAAAATAGAAGGCTTGGTTTTAAAGATAGGCACACAAACAGCTAATTACTAACAGTAGGATGTACGTCAGATTATGGAGGTCCAGATGTTTGTAGTTCAGTAGATAGGAGGAGCATGTCAAATTTTTGTGATATTTTCTCAGTGAAATAGGAAGCAAGCTCATAAAAAGGGAAGAAATCACGAAGGATTAAGGAAGGAAAAAGAGATGTAAAATGAATAGCTAGGAATGTACAAAAGTAAACAAACTCTTGGCAATCTGTGGTTTATTTAAGTGGTATTAGTCAATGTGGTTTCGTGTTCTTTTCCAGTTCAGTTCAGCAGAGGCGCTATCACTGAATAAGTACAGAATTCAGTTTAACTAAAGGTGAGATTTCTCTAGGTGAATAAAACAGTCAGTGATGAGATGTTCATACATTTAGGAGAATGATTATAAAAGAGGGATATGGAAAGTAATCTGGGTTAAGGAGTGAAGTGAGAAAATAAAGAAGGTTGAGACAGTGGAAAATGGTATCATCAATTGTAGATTGCAGTGTGGTTGACGATGCAATGGAGTTCTCGAGGTAGGAACTAGAAATTTGGGAGATTTAGATAAGAGTGGGTTGATTGAAATTGGAAGTATTAGAGGATAATAGTATATAATAGTACTAAGTATAGTATACTAAGTATAGTAGCATAGTGCTAAGTATATACTATCTTGTGAGTATAAGTTTTAGGATGTGAAGATGGGGGTAGCATAGAGGCAAAGTGATGGAAGGAGATGAGTTAAAGGAATTGAGAACCTAGGAGACTGAAAGGATTATCTAAATGAATTTTGAAATCTCAACAAGAGCTGTGCTGAGTGCTTGTAGTCATTATTTTATGTTTACTACTCTGTGAGAAGACAGCACTTCCTTTTGTGAGTAATGGAAAGTTCTTTCATGTGTCAATTGTAAGATACTTTATTAGGTTCAATTATCTTTAGTAATGCATACTAAAAAATAGTGAGCTCAGTGGGATTATTCAGTAGATATGTGAGCTAACCCCCTCTGTCAGACACCTAAGAGGTAGAACTGATGGTCTTCAAGAGGAATAGAGACTTCTCATCCTAAGTGTGTAAGCTGTGAAATATCCCACCCTATGTTTTCTGAAAACAAACGTTATATAGAGTGTCCACATAAAAGCTAACAGGAAATCTCACACACACACAGACACACACACACACACACACACACACACAAAACATTGAAAAACTTCAGGAAAGATATACCCTGTACCCAACATGAACGAGGTCAAAGCAATGAAGAAAAAGCTAGGAAATCAAATAAGTCTAGAACAACTGTGACTAATATATAAAGATTTGAGGTGGTTATATCCATTTAAATGGTATCAATTAGAAAGGAAAAAAAGAGGCCAGGCACAGTGGCTCATTTCTGTAACGCCAGTACTTTGGGAGGCCAACACAGGCAAATCAACCTGTGGTCAGGGGTTAGAGACAAGCCTGGCCAACACGGTGAGACCCCGTCTCTACTAAAAATACAAAAATATTTGCTGGACTTGGTGTCGCGTGCCTGTGCTCCCAGCTGCTTGGGAGGCTGAGGCAGGAGAATTGTTTTGACCCAGAAGGGGAGATTGCAGTGAGCTGAGATTGCGCCATTGCATTCCAGCCTGGGTGATGGAGTAACATCCAAAAAAAGGTATTTTACATAAGAAATTTTATTTTATTTTTCTGTAAATTATAAAATAGCACTTAATATGGAATTTATATACCAGAATCTTTGAATATCCAAAATTTAAGATGAGAGCAATTTTGAGAAACTTTTCAAAGCTTAGGAAAAGGTAACTACATAAAACACCATTATGTGTTATTTATGGGTACATTAGATGAAGTAAGTCACAAAAACACGCATAGAAATGATCATATAAACTTGCAAGAAATTGAATGTCTTGCTATTGAAGGAAAGGTTGAGGTGTAAGAGATTGAGGTTGAGTGTGAGAAGCTCTGTATATATTGTATTTTTCTTAAAAATATATATTTAAACTCACATTTCTTGTTTTTCAAATGTTCACTCCAATGAAAATTCTTTTACTTTTCCTGTTAGAATTTTTATTTCCACTCTCACATATGCAGTGTACTATTGTTCAGAAATATTAGTGATCCTCCTTGCAAATGAATACTCCCATCCTGCTGATTTTCAGAAGGTCCAAGTGATTTGCTTTGGCTGTGAAATGTAAGCAGAAAGAGTGTTATTTTGGGGACTTCCCGATTGCAAAACAACATAGTATCGCAACTTTTGACATAGCATTTACGTTGCATTAGTCATTATAAGTAATCTGAGATGATGTAAAGGTTATATGGAAATACTACATTTTATATAAAGGACTCGAGTAGTTATTGCTTTAAGTATCCATGGTGGGTCCTGGAACCAATTCCTCATGGATATGGAGGCACAAGGAACCACTGTAGTTAAACAAATAATCACTTTAAAACTTAAAACCTTTTGCATGGTGAGTACAGTCATGCACCGCATATATGATGGTGGTATAGTTAAGTTTATTATGCCATACATTTATTGGAAGTTTCCTATGTTTAAATGTATTGAGATACACAGCTACACTGCTTTACAGTTGCCTATAGTATTCAGTAAAATAACATGCTTTACAGGTTTGTAGCCTAGGAGGAATAGGCTATGCAATCTAGGTTAATGAAGTCCATTCTGTGATATTTGCACAGTGGCTTAATTACCTAAGGGCTTTGTCTTCAGAACATACTCCTGTCATTAAGGAATGCATGAGTGTAGTTGGACAAAAAATAATAATGCAGGCATACCTTTGGCACTGTCCTAATTCTTACCAACATCCATGATTGCTTAAATTTGCACTGGAAAGACTTCAAAAAACAGTGATATATTAGGACAGTATATTTCCAATACATGACAAATGATAACAACATAAGAACTCAAAACATTCAATAAGAAAGAACATAACAATTAAAGCAAAACTAGATGGGAAAAGGAAGAAGCAAATTTCAAGAGAAAACTCAAAAGGCCAAAAAGTGTGAAATGATGTTCAGCCTTGCTAGTAATTGGGAAAAACACAAATCTCTTTTTTTTTTTTTTTTTTTTTTTGAGAGGGAGTCACCCTCTGTCGCCAACACTGGAGTGCATTGGGGCGATCTGGGCTCACTGCAAGCTCTGCCTCCCAAGTTCACACCGCCATTCTCCTGCCTCAGCCTCCAAAGTAGCTGGGACTACAGGGGCCCGCCACCATGCCTGGTTAATTTTTTGTGTTTTTCGTAGAGACAGGGTTTCACCATGTTAGCCAGGATGGTCTCCATCTCCTGACCTCGTGATCTGCCTGCCTCAACTTCCCAATGTTCTGGGATTACAGCTGTGAGCCACCGTGTCTGGCCCAAATCATTTTTAATCTATTAGGCAAAAATTAGAGCTATGATAATATTCATTTTTGGTGGGAGTGTGGCAAAAGGTACTATAACAGAATGCTACTAGAGAGTAAACTTTGATACATTTGTAAGGGCAATTTTGCATAATATGAAAATTTAAAAATATGCTTCCAGTTTCACATACGTTTATCTAGCATACAGAATTACCCATGTGTAAACATGTATACAGATGTTCATTATAACACTTCTTATAAAAACAAAATATTTGCAAATATTCATATGAACAAGTGCATACATATGATCTTAGTCCAGTTAGAATTTTCTGTTTTATTTCAATCCTTTAAAAGACTCAACTTCTGATTCTATATAAACAATTCAAAAAAGAATGTGTTTTCCCTATGTGCATTTGGTCAGGTAAATTAAAAAATACACCTCATGCTAGCCTCACAAAACTGGAATAAGCCTTGGGAAAGAAGTTGTCCTTGAAGCTTGTATCTGACATTGTAGCAGGACGAGCCGCAGAAAAAACCTCTCAGACACTGAGTTGTAGAAGGAAGGGCTTTATTCAGCTGGGAGCATTAGCCAGCTACTGTCTCTAAATCTGAGCTCCTGGAGTGCACAATTTCTGTCCTTTTTAAGGGCTCACAACACTAAAGATTTCACATGAAAGCTTTGTGATTGATTTGAGCAAGCGAGGTATACATGACAAGGACTACTTGCCCCGGTGGTCAGGGAGAAACAGAATATGGAAGAGAGTTTCACAATGTTCTTCTACACAATATCTGGAATCTGTGAATCACATCGGCTTCTAAATCATAAGTGGATGTTCAACTACTGGGTTTAGGCCAACCAGGCCCAGGTCTGTTTTTGGGCCTGGCGCCGGGCTGCCTGTCTTTGGTTTTATTTCCTTGTTGTTTTTACTGAATAGAAAACAATGTAAAACAAGAGGAGAGGGTCTTTCTCCTCTCTCATTTTCTTTCTTTGAGACTTTCACTCATTTTTATTAGTGGGAGCTGTCACTTTTATGATTTATGTTCTTCTGTGCAATAGATTGATAGCCATTTATATTGTATGCTTGTGCTGAAGGCTTTTGGTGAAATAAGGGAGAGACGAAGTTTTTTATGATTTGGAGAAACACAGGTATCAGACAAGGGAGCAGTAAGCAGGTTCCTATTACTATTATTACCTCTATTATAAGAGTTTTAAATCCTCCTATTGCTGGGAACTACTTTCTAAACATGGCTCCTGGATTGAGTCTGTGCCAGCCTTGCACGAGTACATGTGCCAGTTTTGTTATATCCTTAAGTATATGCTCAACTACTTGTTCTTTATCATCTATGTGTAGGCAACATGTTTCGTCAGATTCTCTCGCCAGGCAAGAACAGTCAAGGCTTGTTGGGTTTTATTAGTAATAATTTCTAAAGCAGCTTGTAACCATATGAGCATGTAGATAGGGGTTGGATATCCTCATGAGCCATCTTGTACTTAAGTGGCGGGTCCATAGTATTGTATGATTCTTTCAGGGGTGCATTCATCATCTTTCTAACCACTTATGGCTATGCTTCATTTTGCCTGGGAAGCATAGACTGGGAAGCCTACAAGTTCAACTGTTTTTATGGGCAGTAAGAAGAAAGATGGCTTCATGGTGCCAATTACACAGCCACACGCCCACTGGTCAGGCAGCTTAGCATAAGCTTTGTGTCTACATATCTAGCATAACCTAGTGGGGGCCGTCCAGTCCTGGTGGAATTCTGGATGGGCCTAAACAGTCTGCAACTTTGGAAATTTGCTGAATGCATTTCTTTCTGTGTAATTGGAACTGTACCATGTAACTGTTTTTGTGGCACCATTATACAGGTTTTGCCTAAGACAAATAAGCCGCCTTACGGGATGAGTAAATCCTTTTCTTTCTCTAGCTACGCATTACTGTCTAATAATTGTGACTTTTAGAAACTAAAAATTGTCGGGGTTGTTCTTTTGGGATGGAATTCGTGAGGAACTCCATCTGTAGGAACTAATTCTTGGGCTTCTTATGGCCATTGATCTCCTGTTACAGTCCTTCCACAAACATCACATGAAATGACTTGTAGAGACTGGGCTACATGTTTGGCTAATTGCAAAAACAAATTTTTAGTTTTTTTCAGAAATTTCAGGTATAGGCACATTGAATTCATCATAGAAAGTGTGAAATACTTGTCCTGGTGAGCGTTTTTGAACTTCTTCTTTTATCAGGATGCTTACACTAGAATCTAGTCCTTTTCTATCAATGCCTAATGTTATATATTTTCTTTTATTCCACTTTGGATCTGAGGGGTTTGTGATGATCAATTTTAAAGGGTTGCAGCTCCCACTTGTGCAAGAGGGGCTGACTTTTCTTTTTTGGAGCCAAACAGGATCTTTTTTATCTTTCTTCTAAGTAGCCTAACTGACGCAATACCACTATTGACACATCGAACATAAATATGGTTCTTGACAGATGTACTTATTTTCTGTGTGTAATTTTTCCCAAATTTAGAGAAATGCATCTTATCCTCTGCTGTTTAGTATTAATAGTGGCACGAGCATCAAATTTTAAAGTTACATTTGTGGGGACTCTTCTTTCTTCTGTTCTAGCTATCACTTTACTTGTGTTACTTAGAGAAGGACCAGTTCTTAGTCTTACTTCGAAGACTGTGATCATGGGGGTTTAGAGGGGTCATAGCACACATCGGGCTGGTCACTTCCTGGATTACATACTTAGTACTGGGTGTTATTATACAAACAGGTTCTGTTTGGAGTTCTTAGGCATTCATAATAGCTGTAAAATAAAACGATCATCTTAACTTGTCCTTCTTCAGTGTCCTGATGTATGCACTGAAGGCAGTCCTCTGTGTGGGAAGAGGTAGTGGAAGCTTTTACCACACAGGTCCATGTTATAAGGACAATAAGTCCTACGACGATTTTCCTCATGCTTTGGCCATGTGTAGTCTAGTCAGCTTCGTGGTGTGATTGGAGCAGGGCTTGTCATTTTCTTCAAGGTCACTTTTCAGGGATTGTCCAAGTTTGGTTTGGCCTCCTAGGTCTCAGCGGCTGCAGGCTTCATGAGGCTGTGGTGAATCTAGGCTGGGATTCCTTCTACATTGACAGCTGTGGGAGTGGTCAGGTTAATTGTCTGGGGTCCTTTCCACTGTGGCCACAGCGGAGCCACGTTCCAGTCCTTGATCCACACAATGTCACCTGGAGAAAAAGGGTGAACTGGGGAGAATCAGCTGCCTGGGCACCTCTCATTTACTCAAGTTGAGATAGTCTGAGTAATTTTCCCTAAGGCCTGTAGCTGCCGCTGTAATGCAATCTCACCTAACTCTTGGGGAGTACCTGGAAGCCCTCCCAGTATGGGAGGAGGCCTATGATACAGAATTTCAAAGGGGGAGTATGCTGTTCTCTTAGAAGGGGTACACTTAATTTTAAACAATACTATAGGAAGGACTTGTGTCTATTTTAAATTTGTTTCTTGACATACTTTCCAGAAACTTTTTCTGATAGTTCGATTCATTTGCTGCACTTTCCGGAACTCTAAGGTTGGTAAACGGCATGTAACTTCTATGAAATTCTTAATACCTTTGCCGTCTTCTGTATCAAGTCAGCAACAAATGCTGGCCTATTATTTGAGCCAATTCGTAGAGGCAGTCCAAACCTAGGGATGAAATTTTGAAGAAGTACACAGGTTACTTCAGGAGCTTTTTCAGTTCATGTTGGATAAGCCTCCACCTACTTAGAGTAAGTAAACACTAGAACCAGTAAATACTTGTTACTTCTACATTTAGGCATTTCTGTGAAGTCCACTTGAAGATCTTCAAAATGAGCTGCTCCAGAGGCTTCTATTCCCCGAGGTACAGAGGGGCCTTGCTTCGCATTGTGCTGTCCACAGGTAAGGCATCACTGCGCTACTGTTGTAGCAACAGCTGGCAAGGGTGAGATGTAGAAATACTGGCCTAACAGCTTTTCAAGTGATTCTTGGCCTCAATGGGTAGTTTCACATACAGTCAGCATGACTGTATAGCAGCGGTGGCACTGCTATTCTTCCATCTGGTAACTTTATGTATCTTTCCTTTATTGTTTGTCCTCTCTCTGTCTGAAAAAATTCTTTTTCCTCTTTAGAATAAGTTGGCACCAGATCAAGCATTTGAAGGAGTAGCAGGGCTGTGACTGATGTCTGGTAAGGAGTAGATGCTGCTTTTCCTGCCTCTGTGTCTGCTCAGGGCTTTCCTTGGCAAACCGAAGCGGAAACTCGCTGATATCCCCTGCAATGCATGAATGCCACCTTTTGGGGTTTCTACACTGCTTCTAATCATTGTAGAATTTCTTGCTGACATTTTATGTCTTTTCCTCTAGAATTTTTTCCTTATACAATGCTCCACATACTTGAAGGGTTAGAAAGGCATATCAAGAATCAGTATAGATGTTTACAATCTTAGGTTCACTGAGTTCCAGAGCCCGAGTTAGAGGAATGAGTTCTGCTTTTTGGGCTGAAGTGCTCTGAGCCAATGGCTTAGCTTCAACAACATCATCTAAGTTTACTACTGCATATCCTGCACACCTTTCTCTTTGCGGGTTGATGAAGCTGCTTCTGTCCATGTAGAACTCCTAATCTACCAATGCCTATGGCTGGTCTCAAAGATCTGGTCTGCTAGAATAGACATAGTCCAACACCTCTACACAGTTATGTTTAACAGGGCTGTCTGATACTGGGAGCAAAGTGGCAGGATTTAAAGAATTACAGACTTCTATGGTTATACATTGATTTTCACATAACAAGCTTTGGTGTTTAGTTAATGTAGCATTTGTTAGCCAATGGTGTCTTTTGGTGTTCCTTAGAGTTACATTAGAGTCAGCTTGGGCTGACATAAGTTTTTCTTTTAACTTATAAGTCTTGTTGTTGTAGAGACCTCTATTTAAAAGGCTCTCGGTCACCCCCTTTATAACTCCATTCAATGCTTTGGCTAACACCACAAAGTTTGGAATCTGCAGTCTGCAAAAATCTCACAGCTCCTAAATGTTCTCTTATTTGCCTCCTGGTTTTAGGTTCTGGTAAGCTGCAGATGACCTGCTTTCTTGCTGACCATAGACTGCACTCCCCTTTTCAAATAGTGAATCCTAGGTAGTGTACCTGCTGTCTGCAGATCTGAGCTTTCTTTTTGGGCACTTTATATCCACAGTCCTCCAGGTGTCGAAGCAGGGCACCCGTCCTTTTTGCACACCTGACTGCCATGGAGTGTCCTAGCAGAAGGTCATCTACATACTGGAGCAGGATGCAACCTAGGTCTTTAGCAGGAAACATTTGGAGGTCTCCAACCGAGGCCTCCCCAAAGATGGTGGGGGACTTTTTGAACCTTTGGGAAAGTCGAGTCTAAGTGTACTGAATGGTGACATCTGACTCCGGATCTTCCTACTGAAAGGCAAACAGCTTTTGGCTCTCAGGAACTAGCCTGATGTGAAGAAGGCATCTTTCAAGTCCTGTACGGGTCGATAGTCTTTGGTCCTTGGTTTAGGGACAGGTAGGAGGTGGGTGTTCCATGGAGACTGGCAAGGAACTAGAATTCCAGAGGCTTTTAAGCATATAAGATGAGTCTCTATTCCTTTAAAGGCTTCCCTGGGAACAGGATACGGCTTTTGTCCAATTGGCTAGGTCGTAGGCTAAACTTCTATGAGTACGGGGGCTTGATTGATTGCCAGCCTCAGAGGATTGTCCTCCATCTCTACTCAGAGCCGTCACTCAGCTGGAGCCACTTTTATTTCCTGAGCTGGCTCAGTTAGCAAAAGTCTCCACTCTTCTTCCTGGGGGACTGGAAGGGCCATGATGACTCCTGTTTCTGGCAACTCCAGCTGTAAAGTGCCTTGTTTTGTCAAGGAAATGGTGGCTCTTAACTTGCTAAGCAAGTCTCTTCTCAACAAAGGCAAGGGACAGTCAGACATATACAGAAATGGATAAATCACTTTGTGTCCTCCCACTGAGCAGTTGCGCGGTAGACAGAAGTCCTGCTTGGTAGAGACTCCTGTTGCTCTAATTCTATCAATGGTCTTTATAGATGAGGGGGCCACTGGAGTGCTTACTACTGAGTGTTCGGCTCTTGTATCCACTAAAAACTTAATGTCCTTGCCCCTTATTGTCATCCTGACCATGGGCTCCTTGGGGGCATTTGAGCCTGTTCCCCTTAATTCTAGCAGCCCCTCAGCTAGATTGAACAAAATCCTTTCATCTTGGTTTGAGGTCTTTGGCTCTGCATCACTCTGATTTTCTTTGAGTTGGGGACATTTATCTTTCTAATGTCCTATTTCTTTACAGTAGGCACATTAGTCATGCTGCAAATGTGAGTGATTGGACAGGGCATTCCTCCCAGAACCCCCTTTTTTCTGCCTTTTCAGGAGAATTCCTCTAATTGTCACAGCCAGCAAACTAGCGTTTCACCTGGCCTGGCGTTCGCCCTCCTTACGGCTTTCTTGGCCGCTTGTTGCATCTCTATTTACAAATACTTCATTAGCTCTTTCCAGTAACTGCAAGGTTTTCATTCCTGCAAACCTAGCCTGTTTTTGCAATTTTCTCTGGATATCTTCTGCACTCTGAATAACTAAGGCCGTATTAATCAACGGCTGATTTTCAGGACTCTCCAGATCGAAAGGAGTGTACATGCAATAGGCCTCACACGGTCTTTGATAGAACTGGGCTGGGCTTTCCTCCTTTCCTTGGATGACTTCAGAAACTTTATTTACATTGGTACCCTTTTGAGCCCCTTTTTTCAACCTTTCAATTAATGCCTCTCGGTACCCTCTTAGCCTTTCCATATCTGGTCCTTCATTTGGATCCTATTGAGGGTCCGTTCCTGGCAGCTGAATTCTTATGTATTCTTGGGGACTTTGATAATTGGCTGGGATGTGCTCCTCCAGCCATTTAACTGTTGCCTGCAGCACCTGTTGCCTTTTATGTGTTTTAAAGAGGTACATGAGTAGCTGGTGGCAATCAGCCTAAGTAGGATTCTGAGTCTGGATAATTCTTTGAAGCAAGTCAATTAGGGCTTGAGGCTTTTCAGTGTAAGATGGAGTGTTATTTTTCCAGTTGAGTAGTTCAGCAGAGGTAAAAGGGTGATACACAAAAGCATGCCTTTCTACCGTATGTCTGACCTCATCTGTCCTAGTATATCGCTGCTCTCTCAGGGCATTTGAATTCCCGTCTTGGGCCGTTAAGCGGGCTGCCAGGGAAGTGGATTTTCCCGCAGTTTCACTTTTGTTCTTGTCTACTCTGGGTGGTCTAGGGGCTGTGGGCTCAGGAGAAGGGGGCCTCCCCACTGGATAAGGGGTTGAGGGCACTGTTGGTGCCATCTCCTGCCTTGAGTCCTCGAGCTCTGGGTCAAACAGAACTTTAGGTGCTGGCTTCTCTTGGCCGGTGGAGCAAGAACTTTCCTGAAATAAATGTCCCTTTGCTACTACTACTGCTGCTGCCTGTCCTTTTACCACTGTAGAGGATCTAAAACTAGCTGTAACTAGGAATCTCTATATGGAAATTGATATGGGTGCAGGCACACCATGAGCGATCAGGCCAAGCTTCCGCTCAGGTGGAGTGGGGCAAGTTGAAAAGACTTGTCTTACTAAGTTTCAGATGTCTGGACTCCAAGTGCCAGTTCCTTCCTGGTGTTCAGCCACTGTGTTAATCCTCCGCGGGGATCACTGCTCTGGCGAGGCGTTCAACCAGGGCCATTTCCTACCTGGGAGCGCTCTTTGGATCCCATCCCTCAGGCTGGCCAGAGTCCCTGGCAGCCTGAGGGATGCCCCGGCCTTACTCCACAAGGCATGCCTAATCTGCCTAAGGAGCTGCCTCGGCCGTCCATCAGTTATCTTGCTTCCAGGTCAGGGAACCAAGAAATGTAGCAGGACAAGCGGCAGACAAAACTCTCAGACACCGAGTTGTAGAAGGAAGGGTGTTATTCACCTGGGAGCATCGGATAGCTACTGTCTCAAAATCCGAGCTCCCCAAGTGCACAATTTCTGTCCCTTTTAAGGGCACACAGCACTAAAGATGTCACATGAAAGGGTCGTGATTGATTTGAACAAGCCAGGGATATGCGACAAGGACTACATGCACCCGTGGTCAGGGAGAAACAGAATACGGAAGGGAGTTTCACAATGTTCTTCTATACAATGTCTGGAATCTATGAATAACATCGGCTTCTAAATCATAAGTTGATTTGTAACTACTGGGTTTAGGCCAACCAGGCCCAGGCCTGGTTTTGTGCCTTTGATTTTGCTTCCTTGTTGTTTTTACTGAATAGAAAACAATATAAAACAAGAGGACAGGGTCTTTCTCTCTTCTCAATATCAGCACTGGATTGTAGAACTTGTTGCTGATTTTGGCCTGGCATTCAAGTTAACTCTTCCCCTTGGTATCTGTACATACCTTTGATGTCAGTGTTTAGTACACGTGGCTTGGTCACTTCATGGCTAAAAACGTGCTTGTGGAAGACAAGTCTGGCTTGGTGAGTCTGTGTGGTCAGCAGTCTCTGATCCGTGCAGGGTATTAATGTGTCAGGGCTGAGTGTTCTGAGATTTATCTAGAGGCTGGGAAGGGCTCCTGAACCAGTTGTTTCCGTCTTGTCGGTCTGTCAGGGTTGGAAAGTCCAAGCCATAGGACCCAGTTTCCTTTCTTAGCTTACGTTATCTACCAGAGCACCGTGGGCTGTTACTTGCCTTGAGTTGGAAGCGGTTCGCATTTATACCGGTAAATGTATTCATCCTTTTAATTTATGTAAAGTTTTTTAGTATGCAATTCTCGATCTTTTAAGAGTTGACAACAAATTTTGGTTTTCTGCTGTTATGTGAGAACATTAGGCCACAGCAACATGTCATTGTGTAAGGAAAAATAAAAGTGCTACCATATGCAAAAAAAAAAAAAAAAGAAAAGAAAAGAAACATTAATGTCTAAGAGGTCATTGAGATGATTTCCATGAGAGACTTTTTGATGTTCTTCACCAGTTAGGATTATTATTGATAATCCTTTTCAGATTATGAATAAACAGTTTGCCCTCAAGTATTTATTCATGCTACTATTTACATTGTAAAATGTGCTTCTTACAGGAATATAAATAGTTTCTGGAAAGGACACTGACAACTTCAAAGCAAAATGAAGCTCTTTTGGTTGCTTTTCACCATTGGGTTCTGCTGGGCTCAGTATTCCTCAAATACACAACAAGGACGAACATCTATTGTTCATCTGTTTGAATGGCGATGGGTTGATATTGCTCTTGAATGTGAGCGATATTTAGCTCCCAAGGGATTTGGAGGGGTTCAGGTGGGTATGATTCATAGTATCAATTGCAGAATTCACTGTGCTTGTAGTAAACACTATTCTGATCTTCTACGTGAAGCTTGGGCAACATTTTACTTCACAGGTAAGTATTCTAAGTAAAAGAATTTTCTGAGGAAAAAACAATGTAGTATTCTTTGCAACTGTATATTTTGTTTCTGATATAATCTTTCTTCAACAAGAGCCCTCCGATGTGCTGTTAATATTTTCAAGAGATAGCTGCCTATACCAAGATTCAAGAATCTTTTGTATTATTGATTAGATTCTAGAACATTCAATGATATACAGTAAGACAGAATTTGGTACTTATGAAGACTGTTTAATTTGTAGGTCTCTCCACCAAATGAAAATGTTGCCATTCACAACCCTTTCAGACCTTGGTGGGAAAGATACCAACCAGTTAGCTATAAATTATGCACAAGATCTGGAAATGAAGATGAATTTAGAAACATGGTGACTAGATGCAACAATGTTGGGGTAAGTGAATTCTAGTTTCCTTTAAAAATAACAGATAGGAAAATGATTTCTGTCTCTTCTTTCTTGCTCCTTTTGAGCAGAAAGTTTTCCATATCAGTTTTAATTTTACTTCATACTTTAAAACTCAAAAGTAACTGTCACCTTATGTTCAATTTTTGAAAATATTTGTATATGTGCTCTCTACTAAAGAGATAAGTTAAAGTTTATAGCAGAGTTTACTTCTGAAGCAAAACATCAAATTTTAACCGCTATAACTATCCATATTTCCTGGAAGGATTTTCTGGTGAGGAATTTTAATTCCAGTTACAATATTTGCTCTCATTTTTAGATGACTTGTGTCTCCATTCCTAATTCTTGGGTTTTTTTTGTGGTGAATAGGTAGCTTATCTATTTAATGAGGAGCAGAATTTGAGATGAATAGCTACCTTATTTGTCTTCCAAGCTTAGTAGAGAGTACAGGCTTTCTCCTGGTGACCCACTGAAATTTCCCAAATAGTAACCTTTTCAGTCTCATCTGAGTTGTGTCTCCCCAAAATGGGCTTTTTGCCTTTCCTCCTATTTATGGTAGTTTCCGGTTCTCTCAGTTTATCATTCCTATATATATTTGGCCAAGTGTCTGGAATGAATGTAGGTGTTTAGTTCACATTACTTTCCTTTCACAGTTGATTTTTGATCTTGTAGGAAAATAGTTATAAGGTATGAAATATTTTGGAATTTTATTAGCACACTATAAATTTAATCAATAATTCTTTAAATTTCTGCCTCTCTGTAAGTCACACTGAATTAGAAACTTTGTTTTCTAGGTTCGTATTTATGTGGATGCTGTAATTAATCATATGTGTGGTAATGCTGTGAGTGCAGGAACAAGCAGTACCTGTGGAAGTTACTTCAACCCTGGAAGTAGGGACTTTCCAGCAGTCCCATATTCTGGATGGGATTTTAATGATGGTAAATGTAAAACTGGAAGTGGAGATATCGAGAACTATAATGATGCTACTCAGGTAATTTTTTTACGAGAGTGATCTGAATAAGGAGTGATATATGCCTTTTGTTGTAGACATGTAGCTAATTGAACTTCGTTGTAAATATGAATTTAGATCTCTTAGGGACAGAGGTTAACAAGTTTGACTACTTTAAGAAACTCAAATCCATATTTGAAAACCTTTAAATATTGATTTAAGATTTTTAATCAATACACATTTGTCCACTTTTAAAAAGCTCCCAACCAATTGAAAAACTCATCGACTTTATTTCCTAAGTTCTCTATTTTCTATTAGAAAATATTTCCAAGATACATCTATAGTAGAATGTGAGCATCCCCAGTGTCCAATGCAAGGAAGTCACCATAGAATATCTCTTGAGGAATCATGGAATAAATGAATAATCAAATGGATTCTCAGGCGAAAAGTGAGGTTTTATTAATCAATCATAACATTCTTACCTCAACAGGTCAGAGATTGTCGTCTGTCTGGTCTTCTCGATCTTGCACTGGGGAAGGATTATGTGCGTTCTAAGATTGCCGAATATATGAACCATCTCATTGACATTGGTGTTGCAGGGTTCAGAATTGATGCTTCCAAGCACATGTGGCCTGGAGACATAAAGGCAATTTTGGACAAACTGCATAATCTAAACAGTAACTGGTTCCCGGAAGGTAGTAAACCTTTCATTTACCAGGAGGTACGTCAATACATATAGGCATATAAAATATCATCCTATTCATTAGAAAATTCACGGCAGATTCAATTAAAAATGCAATTTCTGTAGGATAAAGACTGAGTCATTTCCTTAAAACAGTGTTCTTTAACCTCCTCTTCTTCACATACAGCATATCTAATTCTTTATCACAACAGGTTTTATGGAGGTACACAGAATGTAGGATACTGATAATAGTTATGTCTTTATTTTCTTTGGAAAATGAAATGAGTTAATATTTATCAAAAAAAGTCAGTCAGATAGTAAATATCGTATTCCTGTGAGCTGTTATTATTATCATTGATGTACAAGACTAAAAATTAGGTAAGTATTCTCACAGGACAACAGGTAACTTTGACATTATGTTTCTTTCAATATTGTAGTGTATACTTTATCAAAAAAAGAATATAAGAATATTACCGATGAAGATAATAAGAATAAGAAAACGATTTTGAGCGTTTCATATAACAAATAGGACCAGGCGTGGTGGCTCTTGCATGTAACTCAGCACTTTGGGAGGCTGAGGCAGGAGAATTCCTTGAGGCCTGGAGTTTGGGACCATCCTGGACGATATAGCAAGACCCTGTCTCTAAAGAACAAAGCACAACAAGTCTAAAATAACTCAGAAATAGCTGAAAGCTAATTTTTATATAATATAAACTTATCGGTTAAAATGCTTTAAAGTCCTTATGCAAAATGTTTTTTTTTCCTAAATTTCTTCTAGGTAATTGATCTGGGTGGTGAGCCAATTAAAAGCAGTGACTACTTTGGTAATGGCCGGGTGACAGAATTCAAGTATGGTGCAAAACTCGGCACAGTTATTCGCAAGTGGAATGGAGAGAAGATGTCTTACTTAAAGTAAATAAATACAACTTTTCCCCTGAACTATTTCATAGATCTGTTAGTCATACTACCCCAGTGCGAGTTATCTTCTGGAACATTCTTATTCAGACAACTATTAAGGAGTCAGTTGTTAATGATAAGTATTCTAGTGCCCTAAACTCTAATCAATCATCTTTTGTATTTAGAGTGTCTGTCACAAGACAGTATGCCTAGGAACGCTAAACTTACCCTAGGAGTTTCTGTCTGCGTACAAGATGAATATACTGGATTTGACTGATGTTTGCATATAATCTTTTAAAGCCAGGTTATTATTAAAATGATCCTATCATTTATAAAGTATGTACAAAGTGTCCATGCTATTGTATTTACTTATACGAATTGGAAATGTAAAATGATTTATATTATAACAATACAATATTAAAGCCTTATTTTAATCTAGTTTGACATTCTGTATAATGTGATGTGGATATTGATCCTTCTGGAGTGCCTCTAAATGATAATGTGCTGAAACCTCTGAAAGGAAATTTTTTAATAACAAACATTTTATATTTGTAATATGAATATAAGTATTCCATACATGTATATACAAATATGGACTATATATATGTAGATTACACACGTGTGTTTGTTTATGAGGTGTGTGTGTATATATATGTGAGTGTGTGTTTGTGTGTGTGTGTGTATATATATATATCTTACAGAGTAACCATCTAATTAGAGAAAGAATTTAATCTTCAGATGCCATGCCTTACAGAAAGAGATGCACAGTAGAGTTACTCTCAAACTATTGTGAAATGATACATCAACGTATATCTTATGTTTCAAAAATAGGAACTGGGGAGAAGGTTGGGGTTTCATGCCTTCTGACAGAGCGCTTGTCTTTGTGGATAACCATGACAATCAACGAGGACATGGCGCTGGAGGAGCCTCTATACTTACCTTCTGGGATGCTAGGTAGAAAACCAAGTTCTCTATTTTTTTAACACCTCTTTTAATGATGGTATGAATATTGTGATATTCTATGATAATATAATTATGTAACTTTCAGGCTGTACAAAATGGCAGTTGGATTTATGCTTGCTCATCCTTATGGATTTACACGAGTAATGTCAAGCTACCGTTGGCCAAGATATTTTGAAAATGGAAAAGTAAGTTTTGGAGTTGTTCAAAATATCCTTTTCTCAAGAAAAAAGAGGCAATCTTCTCCTAATTTAATATGACAACTATTAAGTGTTTATTTATTCAACAAATATTTAATTATTGTAAACCTGATACAGGGTTGTGATTTAGTAATGCAGGTTATATTAAAGGAATAAACTTTATATTCTCCATTGAAAAAGAATAGCAAGCTTTTTCAGAGATATGACAAACATCCCCCTAGCCCGCAGGGAAAATAAAAATAAAAATTAAAAAAACCACTTAAAAATAAGAGCTAGGCACAGGGATTAAAATATATACTTCGTACCTTCCTCAGGTTTAATTGGAAGAATATAGATGCCAACCCTTGTAGAGAACTTAAAACATCATCTGCCCGTAGTGAGAACAATATAAATGTCTTTTAAATACTGTTAAAAAGTTATATGGAATAGAAACAAATGATCCAGTTCAGCTGAGTTAAATAGGGAAAGTATACTATAAGAGGAAGGAAATTGTATGTACTAAAGGATAGAAATTTATAGAGAGTATTCCAAGAAAGGTAAGAATGAGAAAAATATTTGGGAGTATGGTAAAGACATCACTCTGCTGAGTAGTTTCAAAAAGGAACAGAGAAATAAGAGTGTAAAGATATTTGGAAAGCTAGTAGAAGGTTTTCTTTTAAACTAAAGGGTTGAGAAACAGCATCAGAGACTTCAGAACTAAAGCAGAAATTCCTCCTTCCTATGAGTCACACAGATATCTAGCTAGCTTTTTTTAGATTCCTTTCAGTTTGAGAAGTCCGCTACTATGTATAACAACTGATTCTATTGTTAAACAGCTTTAATATTTAGAAGGTGTACTTTTATATTGAGACAACTTCTTATAATTTCTACTAATTGGTCTTATTTCTGTTGTTAGGAGTCAGAGAGTTCTTTTATTTTTTCTATTACTATAACATTCCCACTTTGACAGGACTGCTGCATGCTATAAACTCTTAAGTTTTGTTCACTTTTCACCATATGACGTGATTTTAAGGTGAACACTGATAAACTTCCTAGGGTTACTCTGTGTTTTTTAATGAAGATTTCTTAAAGTGCCAATCAGAAAAGCATAATACTAAAAATATGGTCAATTTATAAAAAAAAAATGTTCAGATGTAGTATTTTGTACATTTATCTAAAAAGAAGCATGACGGCCTCCAATATTTATTTAGCATATGTCATGTTCAAGGCATTTTCACATATATTACTTAATTTTTATAGCAAAAGAACTCATTATTCTCATTTTACAAATGAGGAAACTGAGACACAGAGAAATTATTTATATTGATTAAA
Organism: Homo sapiens; assembly: GCF_000001405.40. NCBI lineage: Eukaryota > Metazoa > Chordata > Mammalia > Primates > Hominidae > Homo > Homo sapiens. Next base: position 103,689,970 of record NC_000001.11, on the reverse strand, counting down.
TTTTCTCAGCTACTAGTAATAGAGCCTATGTTTTAATCCTGGTGTTTCTAGTACTAATGCCCTTCCCATTTCAATGCCATTGCATGGCTTACAGTGATGTTAAGAAGCCCTTGCAGGCCAGGTGCAGTGGCTCACACCTATAATCCCAGCACTGTGTGCGGCCAGCTGAGAAGGTCAGCTGACCTGAGGAGTTCAAGACCTATCTGGGCAAGCTAGCAAGACCTTGCCTCTACTGAAAATTAAAAAAAAAAAAAAAATTAGCTGGGTGCGGTGGTGCACACCAACAGTCTTAGCTACTTGGGAGGCTGAGATGGGAGGTTCGCTTGAGCCTCGGAGATCAAGGCTGCAGTGAGCTACGATCATGCCACTGTACTCCAGCCTGGGTGACAGAGCAAAGAAGTCTTTGCAGTGCCTTGGAATGAAAAGGAGAGGATAACAATTTGCTACCTTTGTTTGAAATATGGCAAAAGAGAACCAGAGGATAGAGAGATGATGAAGACCCAGTAAAGGGCTATAAAAATCAATGAAGGCATTGGATTCTAGATAAAGTCACTGAATGCAGAGACACAAGTAACAGGATAGGTTGGGTTTGGTTTAAAGGAGAAGGAAGAGATAAATATATATATGCTAAAATTTGGCTTTTCCTCCTGTAATTAAGGATGTTAATGATTGGGTTGGGCCACCAAATGATAATGGAGTAACTAAAGAAGTTACTATTAATCCAGACACTACTTGTGGCAATGACTGGGTCTGTGAACATCGATGGCGCCAAATAAGGTGAGAATATGTATTTAGACATGTCCTCTAATAGTAAATTTCCGTAGCACTTTATTTAAAACAGTTGAAGTTTAAGAATATCAACGTTTTATATGGTATTGTGTTTTTAGGAACATGGTTAATTTCCGCAATGTAGTGGATGGCCAGCCTTTTACAAACTGGTATGATAATGGGAGCAACCAAGTGGCTTTTGGGAGAGGAAACAGAGGATTCATTGTTTTCAACAATGATGACTGGTAAGTAAATATCAATTAAAAATAATATTTTGTACCAGTATGTTCTTGGTTTATTCTTTTTTTTTTCTGTTCATTGACATTTATCATATCTGAAAAATCATGTAGTCAGTGGAGCGAGAAGACAATAGAGATCAAAATTGGGTAGAAGCAAAAGGATGATGGCTGTTACTCCTTCGTTCTCCTGTTTTCATAAGGGCTTTCTGTTGTAAGCAGAATCCTTTCTGTGCACCCTTGCAATATCTTATGCATATATAGAATGCACATTCATATGCTTACCTACACATGCCACAAAATACACAAAGTAATTAATAGAAGGATTGTGAAATCATTAAAAGAACGTTTCTTATAGTCCTGCTCTTTTAATCATGGAAAAATGCTGCCTCAGTACTAAAATATCTTTATTTCTCTTTTTCTCAATGACAGCTCTACCTAGTTTTTTGGTATACTTTCTTCACTTCTCTGTCTCCTTGTGACAAATAACATTTTTAAAGCATATGGATAAATAATATGTATCTTGTGGTTAATGATTTGCTTCAGGAGACTTGAGTTTTAGTTCTGAAACTTCTCATTATTGGCCTTTCATCTGTGATTTTTGTATCCTTTGGCTGTAGTATAAATGATTCCCGAAACTGTAGCTGAGAAGACCTCCTTGCAAACAGTTGAATTGTCTCTGTCCAAGGCCAACTGACACTCATACTTAGCTCACTCTAGTATAAATTATACTTCACTTATGAAAAATAAATAAATACAAAAATATATAAGTCAAGTTGATCTCTTTCCTGCCAAAAAAATGCGTGTCTATTTCCTTAGTTTCCTTCTTTTGTGGATGAAAATACCAAAAAAATCTTTTGTGAAAAAGCTTTATATTTCAAACTATCACTTCCTCATACAAATGCTAGATTGTTTTTATGTACACCCTAAATTCTTTTTGACCTCATGTAGAATAAAAGAAGGTTAAAAAAATAATACCCTTTAAATTTTTAAAGTAATTGGCATTAAGTTCAGTTGAGAAAAAATTTGATTTTACCAAGGTAGCACTTTATCAAAATGTGACCGCTCCCGCCAATCTTCGGTGATATTCTTCAACTTTGATTTTTCGGTTATATTTTCACTACTGAAAAGGAAATTGGTAGGTTTTCTGTAAGGTTACTTTTGGTCCTAGAAAGCTGTTTACACCTACTAGGGAGGCATATGGGTTTTCTTCTTAATGAGACTTCACTGCTTAGGGTTCTAAAACATAAAGTTATGCTGTTTATTTGTGTTAGTCTGTATTCTTGATTTCATTGTTTTGAAGTTAAATCTGAAATTTTATTTTACAGGACATTTTCTTTAACTTTGCAAACTGGTCTTCCTGCTGGCACATACTGTGATGTCATTTCTGGAGATAAAATTAATGGCAACTGCACAGGCATTAAAATCTACGTTTCTGATGATGGCAAAGCTCATTTTTCTATTAGTAACTCTGCTGAAGATCCATTTATTGCAATTCATGCTGAATCTAAATTGTAAAATTTAAAATTAAATGCAAATCCGCAAAGCAATAGCTAAGTGTGTTTCTTTTCTTACATATACAGTAATAGTTACATATCATTAATTTTAAATAAAAGCTCTAATTAGTAAAAAGAGGTTTAAGACACTTGATAGTATGAAATACAATTCCAGGTTACACATAAGTTATTTATTTTGGCAAAAGGATGACTCAAAAATTTTAAAACTAGGCAACAATCTTTACTCATTAAGAGGTAAGACTTAGCTTTCCAAACAGTTTGTCTCCTGTCTACTCTTTTCTCTCCTTGGCATTCTACCAACAAGGCAAACCAAATATTTCATTATTCTTCTCTATTACATGAAAAATCTGTACAAGGGAAGGAAAGCCAAATTTTACCCTTACATAGGTTTCAAAAGAATCCTTTTTCCATAGGCAACATTTACATTTTTATGCCTTTTTATAATCTTTTACCACAAACACATTTAAGTGTTCCTACACACCTTGCATGTAAATTTATTTTTAGTTGTCTTATTTACATATTTTTATGGTCAATCTTAGCAATTTTTAACTTTAATGTAAACCTGGTAAGTTGTTTTAATTATGTACTAGATGCAGATAAAGTCTGACTTTTTCCATTCTAGTTAGGGCATGGTTAATTTCATATGTCCCCAGGCCTTACCAAGTTGTAAAGTAGGCAGCCTACAACCTTGAAATATTTAGCAAGCCTTTTATCTAATTTATGTGATTTAAACCTGCTATTTACATATTGATGATATTTGCATTTTCCAATTTGATCTTTAAAACAGTTTTTATTTCTTAGAGTTTAAAAACACATAAACTAAAAGGCATTACGGTTTTAACTTTCCTCTAAAATATTTGATTTAAGTGCTTATTTTTATTTAAGGCAATCAATTGGTCCTCGTTACAGACATCACACACAACACATATATTGCTACACAGACAAACAGAAGAAGATCCAGTAGCTCTAAGATTTCTTCTCGTCCCATTTCCTAATTGCATTACTGGCTTCCCAGTAGAGCCCTTTAAGAACAGGGATAGCAAACCACGAAGTTTCTAGGGCCTAATCAACTTGTATAGCTGTAAGACAAAAACAGATTTTGAGCAGGATTGATCAGCCTCTAGATTCTGGGATTCCATGAGGAAAACAGAGGTTTCTCCCAAAATGGAATCCATCATGCATTTTCTGTTTTTCCCAAAACGTTTCAGGCCACCAGAAGTTATCTTGTGTGCATTAAGAGTGGAAAGACAGAGTGGAGAACAGTAATTCAGTCAATGGAAAAGTTCTTTTCAAGAAAAACACGATCCAAGAAGACAAAAACATGCAGGTCTTTTAAATATACCTATAACTTGAATATCCACTTTTAATCAAGCTCAGCACCCTTTCAGAAAATCCTTTGACATCTTCTGTTTCCTGACTTTAGCTAAATCAAGCAGGTAATATTTCTGGCTTTTGAATTTTACCAAAGGTAACATCACAGGGGAAACTAAAAACTCTCCGTTAGGTTATAAGTTCACCGTTAGTATACAAGATATTTTATAAGTGGTGGTAAGCAGCTTTTACCAGATCTAGAACCTTTAAAGTCAGTTGAGAGAAAGGAAGATTTCAGAAAGGCAGTTAGAGTTTTTCATGGCGGAGCACGAGATGATTAAACGTCACACAGTTGTTAACTGGAAAGTATTCATCACCCAGGCTGGGATTGAACCTGGGTCACCATTGTAAAAAGGCAACGGCTGAAAAGTGGTACTACCACATGGTTACAGGTTATGCTTAAGGACATAAAACAAGTCGGAGACATGCAGCAAAGTTTGTTACTGACCAGTTTATGAGGGTGTCTTGAACAGTGAGCTCAAGGAGTCTCAGGCCTGGATTCCATTCCAAGGTACCCTCTGTCTGACTTTTTCTTCTATTTTCTCTCCTTTTCCTGAGCCTCCTCCTAGTACGTCTTATGAAAGACTGAGGTGGCTACTCTTAGAAGGTTTTCTAAGGTGCCTTCTAGTCCTATAGCCTGTTTCTGTAGCTTCCTTCAAATATCAGGAGCTGCTTGAGTAAACCTGTCTTTCAAGATGAGCTGTCCCTCAATTGAATTACGAGATAGGGAAGCATGTTTTGCCAAAGTCTCTCTCAGCCTTTATAAAAAGGCTGAGGGATTTTCATCTGGGTTTTGATCTATCATGGATAGCTTAGAGTAGTTAACAGGTTTGGCTCTGGTCCCCTGTAAGACTTCTACCGTATACATCTGAAAGTGTTTCTATTTTTCAATCATCTATGGGCTTAGTAGAGTTCCAATTAGAGTTTTCAAGGGATACTGCCTCTTTTCCTACTGGGAATGGGGATTCTGCCTGTTTCTCACCCTCTTTCCCTTTTTGACTGGCTATAGGAAACATGCTGCTCATCTCTGATTTTTTCTGCTACCTGTAGGGCTGCCTGTCTCTCAACAGCAGTTAGGGTTTCAGAGTAACATAACATCCTTCTAGGAGAGTTTAAATACTTGGGTTATATCCTGGAAGGCCTCTATACATGAGAGAAGTTGGCACTTGCCCAGAGCGAACTTCAGGCTCTGAAGTCTAAAGAATAACTCAAGGGGAATGCAGGCTTGAAGATGGGGTGTTACCCATGCATAAAAAGAGGGGAGTAGAAGGTGTCCCTTAGTCTCCTTTCAACTTTTGAAGTGACCCAGGTTGAAGAGAAAGATTACAGGGGTGTCCCTCTTCTCTTTCCTCCCATCTCCTTTGGGTCCTGGCAACCATCATAGGTGCAGCCCATGGATGCAAGCATGAATTGCACCCATGTATCTGGAGGTGCTAGTTGGCAGGGGTAGTCATGCTTACCAGCACAATGCCTCATCTCACTGCCCTTCTGGGTTCCTAGGCCTCCCAGGAGATTGTACAGTAGATAAAGTTGGGTGAGACACTTTAACAGAGGGAGTGTTTTAACCCTATTCCTGCTTCCTCTAGCTATGGCCCTGGAAAAGCAGTGCATTCCCAGAAAATTTTACCCATTGCCTTTTAAACACAAAATCCCCTTTCTGATTAAATGCCAATGTTGTTGGAAGCAGAACAGGTGCCTCAAAAGAACATATGGATTTAATGGCTGTCCTCCTTCTGATGGGAACAGCACTGAGGCTAGAATTTGTCTCTCAAGGGTGGCTTCCTCCCAACTGTTGAATGCGGAGTTTTTTTCCCTACAAATGGGGCATAGAGTCTGCTTGCTGACAGAGGAACACAAAAGTGGAAGAAATCTGGGTATTAGAGGTTTTTGGCAAAGGGCCAACAAGACTCTATGCAGAAAAAAATCCTATCTCATGAGGTGGTGCTGTAGGTTTTGAAAATTTAGGTAAAATCTGTGACTCTAAATTTCTTCCAGGCAGAAGCTAGAAAGAGAGGTTTGAGGTTTAACAGACTGTCACTATATATGCCTCCCAGCTGTAGAAAATTAACTTGTCTCATTAATAAACTGTTCAAATTCATTTAGCAGTGGTGAGCTTTTACATGAAGGAAAAGCAACTAAAATGGAGAGGGATGAGGGTATTCACTCGGGATGAAATATCTTTTCATAGAGTACCATGAATGACTGTTATTGTGGGACAAAAAGCACTTACTGGGTGAAGGTTTAGACTGAAATCTTGAAATCCCCTGGTATTTTGAGTTTCTGCTTAGCCTTTCCAAAGGAATAAAATCAGATATGTATCTATCTCAGTGAGCAGAGGAGTGACTTTGAGTAGAATGGGAGGAAGGTTTGTCCTAGGCAGTTTCCCGCTTGAATTTTCCCTAGTGATTTCAGGGGCCCAGTATATTGTCCTTTCACACATCTGACAAGTAATTGATAACCAGAATATCTAAGCAGCTCAAACAATTCTAGAGGAAACATATCTAATAGTTGGATCAAAAAGTGGGCAAAAGATTTAAATAGACATTTCTCAAAAGCAGACAGACATATGGCAAACAAGCAAATGAAAATGTGCTCAACATCATCGATCAGAGAAATACAAATAATAACTACAATGAGATATTATCTCACCCCAGTTAAAATGGCTTTTATATAAAGACAGGCAATAAGGATTGCTGGTGAGGATGTGGAGTAAAGTGAACCATCATACACTTTTTATGGTTATGTAAATTAGTACAGCTGCTATGGAAAACAGTTTGGAGGTTCATCAAAAAACTAAAAATAGAGCTATGATGTGATCCAGCAATCTCACAGCTAGGTATATACCCAAAAGTAAGAAAATCAGTATATTGAAATGATATCTGCACTCCCATGTTTATTCCAGCCCTGTTCACAATAGCTAAGACTTGGAAACAACCTAAATATCCATCAACAGATGAATGGATAAAGAAAATGTGGTACATACATACAATGGAGTACTATTCAGCTATAAAAAAAAATGAGATCCTGTCATTTGCAACAACATAGATGGAACTGTACATTATTATGTGAAGTAAAATAAGCCAGGCCCAGAAAGACAAACATCACATGTTCTCATTTATTTGTGGGAGCTAGAAATACAAACAGTGGAACTCATGGTCATAAAGAGTAGAAAGATGGTTACTAGAGGCTGAGAAGGGTGGATGGGAAGCAAGTGGGAATGTTCAATGGGTATAGAAAACAGAAGAATGAAAAAGACCTAGTATTTGACAGCACAACAGGGTGACTATAGTCAATAACAACTTAATTGTGCATTTTAAAATAAATAAAAGAATATAATTGGATTGTAACATAAAGGATAAATGCTTGTGGTGATGGATAACCCATTTACCCTAATGTTATTATTACACATTGTCTGCCTGTATCAAAATATGACACATGCCCTGTAAGTTTATACACCTGCAATGTACCAACAACAATTAAAAATTTAAAAAGGTGTATCCTTCCCAGTGAACCAAAATATTTTACATTGATAACTTTTAAGTTATCATAGTGTGTTGGAATAATCACAGCTTTGGAAAGAAAAAAATTATAGATATAAACTTTCAAAGATGGCAGGAGATATAGATCTCTCTTTAGTGGATTAAAATATGCCATTTGTTATTAACATCACACTGAGATTTTTTAACACAGGACATCTTCTGGAAATGATATGATTATAGGAGTTATAGGAAAAAGCGTTTTTTCATACTGTGATTACCTATGCTATGAAGAAAGGAGATATTTCCTCTATGATGTCTAATTTAGCATAATTATTGTTTTTAAACTATATTTAGATTTAATTAAGAGATACACAAACAAATTACTTTTAGTAGTAAGAAGATTTTTAAAAATTTTTTGTGTAAGATGACTATGTAGTAAAGAAGGTTACAAACTTACTTTTTAACGTAGAAAAATAATCTCACCTTCTTGCCCCATGGAAAATTGAAATGTTATGTGGAACCCAGTGTAGAAAAACTCTCAGTGAGGTTTTCTGTCTTAAGTTTCAGTGGATTGAGGTGAGATCAACGCCTGTTCCACCTTTTTCCTCCCTGTCCTAGCAGGCTTGAAAACATTTATACAGCCATAAAATGTTGCCTTTAAATTCAAGTATAGAAAATAAAATTTAAAATGTGATATTTTTATATATTTTATTTTAATATCTTACATGGGAAATGTTTTTGAAATGTTAAAAAATTAAAATTTTTAAAAGAGTACTGTGAAATAATCTAATCACATGTGGAAATTTTGTTACTATTTCCCCAAGCATTTTTGGTACATTTAATGAGTTGAATGTAACTCATAAGTAGATAAAAATGTTTAATATTTAATTTTCTGCTCCAATAATGTTACAAAACAACCTTAAATTCTCAGTAACGTTAAACAACATATTTTTTTCTCCCAAATTTCCAGGTTATTTAAGGGCAGTTCTGCTTCATATTGCAGTTTGCCTGGGCTTTACTCCAGGCTGTGTGTTGGAGTTAGGTCTAATATATTGTATCCCTACGTATCCCAGTTAGAAAGCCTAACAGATTTCTTTGTACTTCAGTCAGCTCGATTGTATTTGTCATTCAAAAGCCAAAGCATTTATCCTAACACCAATTGCTTCTTTTTTTTTTTAGATGGAGTTTCACTCTTGTTGCCCAGGCTGTGGTGCAATGGCACGATCCTGGCTCACTGCAATTTCCGCTTCCCGGCTTCAAGGGATCCTGAGATGGGGTTTCTTCGTGTTAATCAGGCTGGTCTCAAACTCTCGACCTCAGTTGATACGTCTGCCTCAGGCTCCCAAAGTGCTGGGATTACAGGCGTAAGCCACTGCACCCAGCCTAACTGACTGCTTCTTTTGTTCTGTAGTCTTTCTCCAAAACTGTTTTTCTCTGTACTCACTTTCACCTTCTCTCACACATATATGTCCCTCATGTCCCTTTATGTCTCCAGGGTCTTCTATTTCCACGTAATCTTAATTGTTCATCATATCCTGGACTCATGAGTAATTAATCTGTTATTCTCCCTGAAAGTGCAGCCTTGTTGAATAGAATGTGTTCTTTAAAGAGCAGCTTTGTTTCTCGAGTGAGGTATTAACTTCCAGATTTAAGTGAAAATGAGTTCCAAGTTTTATGTTTCATTGTGTGTCTAAGACTGACACCGTTTATTACTGTGGCACTTACAGCTTGCTTTCAATGCCTCCAAATTCTCTATCTGAAGGGCTGGGTACCATATCTCATGTCTGAACATATTCCTCAGAATCATGCAGTACCAGCTATGTTCCTTCTTTATATTATGGCTCCTGAGGTGCCTGTTAAGCAGCCAGGTGAAATTGCCTTTTAATCAGTATAGGAACAGTCTCTTTCCTGCTGATGCTAATGCTTTTTGTAAAAAGGTCATGCTGTATTGAAGTTCTTCTTTCACGGCAAAACCACTAATGGAACTCATCTACTTACTGATGGGTGGAAGCTCTTTGTATGCCAAAGTCTTGTTTTGTTTGTGAAGAATCTCTTTCCCTCAACAGTGATGTGCTACGTTAGGTCTCAAATCATTGTTGCTTTTTAATCCAAATTTATGACAAAGATTTTCAGTTTGTATGCATAATTTCCTTCTCTGGCCTTAACCATCAGTCTGTGGACTTGCCAAGCAACAACAACAACAAGAACAACAAGTCTGAGGTCAAGAGACACTATTTAGATCTCAGAATCATTTGTTGTCCTTTATCCTTTGACAAAGTTTTGCCTTTCTTTCTTTATGAGATTTTTTCCCTAATGGTTTCTCAATCTCTTGAGAAGAAGAAAGTTCTTGACTCTTGCAGTCTTTCTCATTAGTTGAATTATACCATCAGTACAGCTTCTGATCATGTCGAGAAATCCACCATGAAGAAATAAAACATTTCTGATTACATGGATTACGTTTCTTGGAATCTTATAGGCATTAAACTTCATTCTAGGATACAACCTCATGATCTTGTCTTATTCTCAGAACAAGAAATATATTACTATATACATTACAGTATATATATATTGCAGTTTCCTTGCTATATATATATATATATATATGTATGTATTATAGTAAACCCTGTAGGCAAGCAGGAACACTTCAGAAGTCTCAATGAATCCATCATTAGCTGTTAGTAATGACAACACTGTTAGAATTATTTCAATAATCACACATTGTTATGGTCTGAATGTGCACCCCCAAATGTAATATGTTGAAATTTTAACACCTGAGGGCATAGTATTAGGAACTTGGGAGTGGAACTCTTTTTAGTGCTATTATGAATAAGATGCTTGCCTTTTCCAGCAAATGAGGACACAGCCACAAGCTGCCCTCTAGGAACTATGAAGTTAGTCTTCACCAGACACAAAATCTGCTTGATTTTGAATTTAGCCTCCCGAACTGTGGAAAATAAATTTCTGCTTTTATAAGCCACTCAATTTATGGTATTTGGTTATTGTATCCCAAACAGACTAAAACACACATTATTTACCTCCTTTTTGGACTGTCTGGGGTTGTTGCTTTAAACTTGCTTCAGTGCCTAGAACTGCTCCAAGCTCCCTGTCCTCTGGCACACACGTATAAATAATTCTGCTGGAAACCGACATGTTTCACTCAGTCATCCAAATGTATTTATAATGTTGTCCAAATATATAGCACTTGTTACAATGTTTACATTTTAGACATATTTTGAGATATGTGCCTTAACAGAGTGCTGTGATTATTATTAATATTTAGTAACTTATCTTACCAGACCTAAACTCAAAGTTTTTCACAATGGCAATGCCTTATTTGGGACTTATTTGGGACTGAATGTATGAAGATCTTACATTGAGTCCAAATTGATTTCTCTGTTAGTCTCGCAATAACATTAAAGCCACAGAATTATCTGCTGTATATTTCTTGTCTTGTTGTAGCTGATATTCTACATATTAGGACAATTAGGACATTAGTAATATCTATTAACCTTAGAATAAAATGTCATATTGAAATTGAAGAGGAATATTGGAACTTTGCTAAGAAAGAATGCTTTTCACACACAATGATATCTAAAATGGAGCCTCTGTTCCTGGAGGTATATTTTACAAAAATTCAGTGTTACTATAGGAATTCTGTACACTTCTTTCTTAGACATTTGTATTCCATCAGTGTCAGTCCTCTCTGTATTTTAAACTAAATAGGATTTCTTTTTCCATCTTTCTGTTTGACAAGTATTGTTTTGCTGAAAATTTGCTATTCATGTTCTTTTAACTCATTAGAAAGAATATTTAGGGTCTTTAGTGACAAATGACATGGTATAAATGAAAAGAAAACACTGACATTGTAATTGAGAAATACTAATTAATTAGGAGAATATTATTTAAAAACATTGTTTAAATATTTCTTTGTTTTATTATTATTATACTTTAAGTTTTAGGTTACATGTGCACAATGTGCAGGTTAGTACATATGTATACATGTGCCATGCTGGTGTGCTGCACCCATTAACTCATCATTTAGCATTAGGTATATCTCCTAATGCTAAACCCTCCCCCCTCCCCCAACCCCACAACAGTCCCCAGAGTGTGATGTTCCCCTTCCTGTGTCCATGTGTTCTCATTGTTCAATTCCCATCTATGAGTGAGAATATGTGGTGTTTGGTTTTTTGTCCTTGTGATAGTTTACTGAGAATGATGATTTCCAGTTTCATCCATGTCCCTACAAAGGACATGAACTCATCCTTTTATATGGCTGCATAGTATTCCATGGTGTATATGTGCCACATTTTCTTAATCCAGTCTACCATTGATGGACATTTGGGTTGGTTCCAAGTCTTTGCTATTGTGAATAGTGCCGCAATAAACATACGTGTGCATGTGTCTTTATAGCAGCATGATTTATAGTCCTTTGGGTATATACCCAGTAATGGGATGGCTGGGTCAAATGGTATTTCTAGTTCTAGATCCCTGATGAATCGCCACACTGACTTCCACAATGGTTGAACTAGTTTACAGTCCCACCAACAGTGTAAAAGTGTTCCTATTTCTCCACATCCTCTCCAGCCTACAATGAACTCAAACAAATTTACAAGAAATAAACAAACAACCCCATCAAAAAGTGGGCAAAGGATATGAACAGACACTTCTCAAAAGAAGACATTTATGCAGCCAAAAGACACATGAAAAAATGCTCATCATCACTGGCCATCAGAGAAATGCAAAACATTGTTTAAATATTTCTATCACAAATTGACAGCAGTACAATGCACACCACCAGCAATGTATAATTCTAGATATGAGAGGTAAAAAGATAAAACAGGTATTGCATTTTCTCCAGAAAACTTATCATTTAGTGGAAACTGGCCAATAATTTCTTAGGCCTTAGGATAATTTTACCTTTGATTCTCTAGTTAATCCAAAATATATAAAAATATTAACCAAAAGTATATATTTTTAAAATGCCTACATAATCTAATGCAGTATTTTTTGCTCTCTTCTTGAAGTGAATTAAATTCCTTATCACTGACCATAAAATTGAACTCCATTGATGATTCTTATTTAAAATAGTTAAAAGTGAATGTAAAGATCAGTTGTGGTTTTCCTTTTCTTACCCTTGTTTTTACACTTATATTTGCCTGTGTCATTCACACACTTTTAGAATTCAAAACAATAACTAGAAATGTAATCATTTGCTTTTCAAAAGCTTTTCGCATCTTTCCAAAGTTAATATAAAGTCTTACAAAACTTTTAGCTAATTCACAAAAAAATCAAACATATATAGTTGAAGCAATTTTTTTTTTTTGGTAGATTTCTTCAAACCACAGAAATTTCAGTTATGGCATGGTAGGTCTTTTGAAATGTTTCATTTTTTGTATTTGAAGATGCAGAGCAAAAGTATTTCCACTCCAACTCCCCTTTAATAAAAATTGAATGTAACAAAAAAATCAAAATCTATAGGAAAATAACCCCTTCATCTATGTTAAAACTATGAGATTTCCAGCCCAAATAAGTTATAAGAACCAGTATAGAGTCCAGGCTCGGTGGCTCACGTCTGTAATCCCGGCACTTTCGGAGGCTGAGGCCGGAGGATCATGAGTTCAGGAGATCCAGACCATCCTGGCTAACATGGTGAAACCCTGTCTCTACTAAAAATACAAAACAAATTAGCCAGGCATGGTGGTGGGTGCCTGTAGTCCCAGCTACTCAGGAGGCTGAGGCAGGAGAATGGCCCATACCTGGGAGGCGGAGTTTGCAGTGAGTGGAGATTGCACCACTGCACTCCAGCCTGGGAGATAGAGTGACACTCCATCTCACAAAAAAAAAAAAAAAAAAAAAAAAAAAAAGGACCAGTATAGAAATACTAATACAGTAAAAGGTGGACTTATATATAAAGAAAATAACCAACAGATTTTGTCTATGGCACAAACTTCTTAGAAATTTTGAGGTCTTTAGCCTTAAAGACCTAATCAAATATTTATTACTTTGAACAGTGAGCTACTGGGATATGCTGGGCTTTGAGCCTATGTACAAATCTAATTTTAGAAGTCAGGACGTGTTGTAAGCAATAGCAAAGAATATGCTAGATGATCAGCTTGGCAATTGTTGAACAAACTTCATTCAGCAGTGTGAGGACGTAATTAAAGCAGTTGACCTTCAATCTATTCACTCTCTTTATTGGCAAATGGCCGAGGAATAAGACTAGAAGGAAGATGAACTGGTTTAGTCTCTTTGTCAGCTGAACTTGTGGTGAAAGAGACTACTGATATTTTCTAGGATGAAGAGATCTTATCTCTGAAATACCCTTTGCAGGTTGCTCCTGACTGAAACAAATTCACAGATTCTTTCTTCTTGCTCAATTTTGCTGTTGATTCTTCATTTTACATTCTTTATTTCATTTATTTTATGCTTTAGCTCTAGAATTTTAGTTTGGGTTCTATTTTTTCAATCTGTCTGTGGAACTTCTCAATTGGTTTGTGTTTTGTTTTTTTTCAAGTTTTGGTTGAATTGCCTATTTATTCTCTTGTAACTAATTACTCTCCTTTAAAACAATTATTTGACATGAAAAACCTTGCAAAAATACAAAAATCTATAAACTTCTTGACAAAGAATTCAAAATAATTATTTTAAAGAATTTCTGAATTTGCAGCAAAAGTTTGCTATAGAGCAACATGAAAGCACAGAAAAGTATGAAACTCATTGATTAAGGTAAATATATAAAAAATACAGAACACTCTAATAGTGTAGTAGTGGTGTGTAAATCAGTTTTATTGCTAGTATGAAGCTTAAAATCCAAAATAATAATAATTATAGCTACAATAATTTGTTAATAGATATAGAATATTAAAAATATATAATGTGACACCAAATATATAAAATATAGTGGGCTGAGTAAAAGTATAGAGTTTTGAATATGATCAAACCTCAGTTTAAAATAGTTTGCTCCAACTACAAGATAGTATGTATAAGCTTCATGCTATTCGGAAAGCAAAAACCTATAGTAGATACCCAAAAGACAAAGAGAAATCAAAGCATGTCACTACAGAAAATCATAAAATCTCAAAGAACGACAGCAAGGGAGAAATAAAGGAACAAAAATATGTTAAAAGGCTGAAAAGCAATGAACAAAATGTCAATTGTATGTTCTTATCTATCAATAATTACCTTGAAGATAAATTCATTCTATTCTACATTCAAAAGCCAGAGTGGCTGAATGGATTACAAAAGGAGACCCAACAATATACTGCCTACAAGAGACTCACTTCAGCTTCAAGGACACATATGGTGTGAATTTAGGGGATGAGAAAATTTGATATTCCATGCAAATTAAAACAAAAAAACAACATGGATAACTATCCTTATATCAGGCAAAATATACCTTAAGATAAAACTCTAACAGGTGATAAAGATGGTCACTATATAATGATAAAGGGATGAGTTGATTAAAGGGATGAAACAATTATAAATAAATATGCACTTAACATTAGAGCACTTGAAAATGTAAAGCAAACATTAATATCTGGAGGGAGAGATACAGAGCAATCAATAATACTACAGATATAGGTAACCTTATTGACACTGTTGAAATTATCAATACTCCAATTACAACAATGGATAGATCATTTAGACAGACAATCTGTTAGGAAAAAAAAATTAGACTTGATCTGCACTTTAGACCAAACGGACCTAACAGATGTATGTTCACATTTCATCCACAGCCGGAGAACAGGTGTTCTTTTCAAGCTAACAAGAAACATCCTCTAAAATAGAGCATACTTGAAGTCACAAAATGTCTTAATACATTTAAGAAGATTGAAATTTTATCAAGTATCTCTTTTGACCACAATGGTATACAACTAGAAATCAATTAACAGGAGGAAAACTGGAAAATTCAAAAAGAAGTGAACATAACACAATTCTTAAAAACTGGTGGTTTAAAAAGGAAATAAAAAGGAAAATAAAGAAATCTTGATACAAAAATGAAAACACAATACACCAAAGCTTGTGGGATGCAGTAAGACAGTGCTAAGATGAAAATTTGAAATGACAAACACCTACATTAAAAAAAACACAAATATTTCAAATAAACAATCTATCATTAAACCTCAAGGAACTAGAAAAAAAGAAGAGCAAACTAAGCCCAAAGTTAATAGAAGAAAGAAAATAAGAAAGATCAAAGCAAAATAGAGAAATAGAGAGTAGAAAAGTAATAGAAATTGAAAGACATTCTGTGTTCATCAATGTGAGAAATTAATATTGTCAAAATGCTATTACACAAAGCAATCTACAGATTCAATGTAATCCCTATCAAAAGTCCAATGGCATTTTTCCAGAAACAGAAATAAATCCTAAAATTTGTATGAAATTACAAAAGACTATAATTACCCAAACTGATCTTGAGCAAGACGAACAAAGTAGGAGGTACCACACTTCTCACTTTCAAGTTATATTACTAAACTACAGTAATATATATATATATATATGATACTGGTATGAAAACAGTCACATAGAAGAATGGAGCAGAATAGAAAGCCTACACCAATATCGTCAAAGAATCTTCAATAACATGCCCAAAACACCTAATGGAGACAGGATAGTCTCTTCAATAAATAGCGTTGGAATTATTGGAGGCCCACATGCAAAAGAATGAAATTGGAGTGTTATGCTATGCACAGGAATAAATTGAAAATTGAAAAGGAATTTAAACATAACATCTGAAACCAAAGAATCCCTAGAAGAAAACAGGGGAAATCCTCCATAACATTGACCTTGGCATGATATTTTGGCTATGAATCCCAATGTATAGACAAGATAAACAAAAATAAACACATACAACTACATCAAACTAAAAGATTGTGGCACAGTAAATAAATAAATAAATAAATAAATAAATAAAAAGTCACCCATGGAATGGTAGAATGTACTTGAAAACAATATATCTGATAATGCATTAATATCTAAAACATATAAGAAACTCATAATCAGAAAAAAAGTAACCTGATTAAAACATGAGCAAGAGACCTGAATAGACATTTTTTCAAAGGAAGATTTACACACGGCCAACACATGAATGAAGAGGTGCACAAAATCACTAAACATGAGGGAAATATAAACTGGAATCAAAATGAGATGTCACATTACATCTTTCAAAATAGCTAATATCAAAAAGGCAAAAGATAAATAGTGTTGACAAGAATGTGTCGAAAAGAGAACACTTATAGAGTTTTGGTGGGAATGTAAATTGGTACAACCATTATGGAATACAGCATGGACACTCCTCAAATAATTAAAGATGTACCGTATGTTACAGAAATTATACTTTTAGGCATAAAAGTATATACCTGTGGGTGTGTTGGCTCACACCTGTAATCCCAGCACTTTGAGAGGTGAGGGAGGCAGATTACCTGAGGTCAGGAGTTCACGACCAGAGTCGCCAACATGGCAAAACCGCATCTCTACTAAAAAACACAGAAATTAGCCCAGCGTGGTGGTTGGCACCTGTAATCCCAGCTACTTGGGAGGCTGTGGCAGGGAGAATTGCTTGAACTTGGGAGACAGAGGTTGCCATGAGTCAAGATTGCATCACTGCACTCCAGCATGGGCATCAGAGTGAGACTCCATCTCAAAAAAAGGGTATATACCTTTTATATACTTTTCCTTTTATATACGATAGAAATAAAATCACTATCTTGAAGAGATATCTGCATTCCTGTGTTCATTGCAGCTTTATTCACAAAAACCAAAATATGGAAACAATCTAAGTGTTGACAGATGAGTAGGTATGTAAATTATGATATCTATCATCTATCTGTCTATTTATCTATCTATCTATCTACAACGGAATATTATTCCGTATTTAAAAGAATGAAATTCTGCCATTTCCAACAAAATGAACGAGCCTAGAGGATATTATGCCAAGTGAAATAAGCCAGGCAGAGAATGAAAAATACTACAGGTACAACAATGAAAACTTGCCATTATAAGATGAATAAGTTATGGAGGTCTAATGCACAACAGGGTAAAAATAGTTAGTAATAATGTATGCTTTAAGTTCACTGAGTGTAGATCTTAACTATTACCCTTTCCCAACACATGATAACTATGTGAAGACATGAATATGTTAATTAGCTTGATTGTGAAAGTCCTTTTAAAATATACTTGATGGGCGCAGGGTGAGAGGAGAGTGAGGGTCAAAACACTACCTGCTGGGGACTATGCTCACTAGCTGGGTGATGAAATCATTTGTACACCAAACCCCAGCAACATGCAATTACCCACGTAACAAACCTGCCCATGTACCTCCTGAACCTAAAATAGAAGTTGAGAAAAGAAAAAAAAAGATATCAATTTCCTATAAGGAGCTCCAGGTTTGTTCCAAACAGTAGCGAGACAAACAGATCAAGGATGAAATATATAAAATAGTAGGCAAAACGTAAACAACATGTGTAAGGCAATCAATTCTATATAACTCAGCAACTCCTAGGGTTCTTATCAAATAAAATCACTGATGTGTCATAACTTCTAAACTAAAAACAACACAAATGCCCATTCACAGTAGAATGAATAAATAAATTACTTTTGCTTCCCGCGATGAATACCACACAGCAATTAAACAATGAACTGCTGCTACACAAAACATAGATGATTCTCACAAATTTCAACTGAGTGAAACAAGTCAGACTCAAAAGATTACATACAGCAAGTTTCCATTTATATGAAATTGAGGAGTAGGGAAATCCATCGTGATAGATTTCATGATAATGATGACCATTGGTGAGTAACTGGTTGAGAAAGTGCGAGAGCCAGGGGTGTGGGAGCTGGAAATCGTCCATATCTTGCTTGATTTGGGTGGTGGTGATAGGGATATATACACTTATAAAAATTATAATGCTATATGCTTAAGATTTATGTATTTTACTATTTGTAAGATATATATTAGTTGAAAAAATGCTTCAGTGTAAAGGAAACCAGTAAAAATACGCTACCTACAATTGTAGCTTTTGTTTATCAAAAAAGCATTTGAGTAGTCTATTGATTGGTAATTAGCAAGTTTATGTTAAGCAGCCTTGTCCTGAATACTTTTTAGTATGTACCATTAAGCATTTGCCTTTCTCAACTAGGGCTAATTAAAAAAAACTCAAAACCTCACATTGTACACGTTGAATATATATAATTTTAATTTGTGAATTATACCACCATAAAACTAAAAATCTAATTAAGTTGAGTTTGAATACATTTTAGGGAAAATACGATAAAGAAAATTAGGAGCTTAAGAATATGCATAGATAAAAAATAAACTTGATAGAAATATTATTTATATATTATATATTATGTATATTTATATATATTTATATATAATATATAAATAATAATATATATATAAATAATACTATATGTATTTCAGAAAATCATATAAAAAGCTGTGCTAAAATTTTCCAGAGAGAGAGTAAATAGTTCTCCTGTAGTGGATTAAAATGAGATTAGCATTGGAGTACTAGCGTAATACAACAGATAGAGTCTGAAGTCAGATCTCAAAAATACAATATATTTGCTAAGTAATGCGAGACAAGCTATTTAAAGTTTTTGGACCTAAATATCCAGTCTGTAAGTTTGTTGGAAAAAATAAATACGCTAATAGAGAACTTAACTTACAGGGAGTGCTAAATTATTACCTGTTACTGGAAAACATAATATCAGTGACATTAAAAGCTTGAGTGTTGTAGAACAATATTTTGAAATATCATTTTTTGAAGTTATATACATATTTATATTACTTTAATAATTTGCACAACATAGGAAGGAAAGCTTGCTTTGCACAGGCAACATTTTTGCCAAATAATCTTTAAATCATCATGAATTCTCAATTAGATTAACAATAATAAAATTTTATTGTAGAAGACTATTTTTTCATTAATATAGTTGTACATGCACATAGGGTAAATGTAATATTTTGTTACTTGCCTAAGCTTTATAATGATCAAATCAAAGTAACCAGGGTGTCCATAATCTCAAGTATTATTTCCATATGTTAAGAACATTTCAAGTCCTTTAGCTATTTTGGAATATACAATACATTGCTGTTTATATGTAGTCACCTTACTCTGCTATGAAATATTAGAACATATGTCTTCCAAGTAATTGTATGTTTGGACCTATTAACAAACTTTTCTTTATTCCTCCCACCCAGAGAAACTTTCCAGCCTCTGGTATCTATCTATAATTCTATTCTCTACCTCCATGAGATCAATATTTTTAGTTTTCATGTAAGAATAAGGATATGTGATACTTGTTTTTCTGTGCCTGGCTTATTTCACCCAACACAATGACTTCCAGTTCCATCCATCTTGCTGTAAATGATAAAATCTCATTCTTTTTTATGGACAAAAAGTATTCTACTGTGTATATATATACCATGTTGTTTTTATTCATTCATCCATTGATGGACAGAGGTTGATTTCATATCTTTGCTATTGTGAATATTGCAATAAATATGAGAGTGTGGTTATCTCTTTGATATACTCATTTATTTACCTTTGGACAAATAGCTAGTAATAAATAGCTTGCACCTCTGGTCTCAGCTACTTGGGAGACTAAAGCAAGGGGATCACTTGAGCCCCCGAGGTTGAGGTTGCAGTGAGCCATGATCACTCCACTGCATTCTAGCTTGGTTGACAGAGTAAGAACCTCTCCCTCCTAAAAAAGTCCTTAAGAAATGTGTTGATGCCTGGTTCCCTTGGTCAGAATTTTCATTTGATGTGTTGAGAGTGTAGCACAGATGTTGGAATGAACCTCTCAAGCTGATTTTAATGTGCAACCAAGTTTGAGAACCACCAAGGAAGAGTTTTTATGAATTAAGATTCCTATACTCTATCCTAGAACTAATACAACTGAATCTCTGGGAATGGAGTATCAGAATCAGATTTGAAAAGGTTTCCTTAGTAATTCTAAGGACTGAGCAGTTTGGATACTCGTTTGTTAGAGTAAAATGGTTAGGTACCTAGTATCAACATAGGCACCCAACCTGATATTAATAACTAGGAAAATAAAGGGTTGGCGCCTCTGTGTTTCTTTGTTGAAAAATCTGATACTATTCTTAGTTCTATGAAAACAATTGAAAATTTGGTTATTATCACCTTAAAAGTACAAAACCTATAGATATTGAAAATGTAATTATTTTTCTATAGGCATAGTTGAAATGATTTTGTAAATGTTATAAATCAGTTTCTTTATAAGCAGTTCATTTACATAAATTTTGTTAAACTGACATGATTCACTAATTTTCTAAATATAAATGGTTCAGCTCTCAGTTATTTTTAAACTAATGACCTGTGTTATACTTACTATTTTTAATGGGCTTTTATGATGTTTTTAGGTTTCTTTGGATTCCCATGTCCTTCAAGTGCTTTGCAACTTTGAGAAGAAGAAATTGACCACCTGGACTATGGAACTGTGCATAACAGCTTTGAAAGTGTATTTAAAAATTAAATCCATACGCCTTTAAATCAGTAAATTGGAAATATATTACATGTATTGTAATGACTTTCCTCAGATATAATAAATTGTTTTCTTTCCAATGGAATAGTGTTTGCATTTTTTGTTTACCTGGTTTAAGATGTGCAGCAGAACATAACTAGATGATTACATAATTTCTTTTTAAGGCAATTTTATAATATATTTTATTTATGATTATAAAAACTGCCTTTAAAAATTCTTACATGGATATCAATGCAGTTTCACTTTTTTTATTGTAATCTTTTTTATAATTATTTTATACTTGTCTGGCATTGAGTTTTATTGGGCTTTTGGTTTTTTGGAAGTAGGGTATTTATCCCAATTTAGAAAATTTGTATCCTTGCCATAATACAGTCTTCTATTTTTGTACCCCCAAATCTTTCATCTGTCAGAACATCACTCAAAGGTGAAAATATTTCCCACATAAAATTATTCTGTTCCTTTAATGAAATGAGTTTCAGCTGTATATAAGTAGGAAAACTTCCTTTTGTTCTATTTGATTCCTTTTTACGGATACTTTCTTGAGGCTGTGATTACACCTTTACCTTAGAGGCACTGCCCAAAAAGACTCAGCTCTTCTGTAAAAATGCTGTTATGAATCATAGCTTCTTAACTTTTACAACATAGTGAGGTAGGGAAAGTAAGAACACTAGAGATAGGAATTAGATCTTGTAGGAAAATAATTATAAGATATCATGAAATATTTTGGAGTTTTATTAACATACTATAAACTTGCATCAATAATGCTTTAAATTTCTACCTCTCTGTAAGTCACACTGAAGTAGAAACTTTGTTTTCTAGGTTCGTATTTATGTGGATGCTGTAATTAATCATATGTGTGGTAACGCTGTGAGTGCAGGAACAAGCAGTACCTGTGGAAGTTACTTCAACCCTGGAAGTAGGGACTTTCCAGCAGTCCCATATTCTGGATGGGATTTCAATGATGGTAAATGTAAAACTGGAAGTGGAGATATCGAGAACTACAATGATGCTACTCAGGTAATTTTTTTACGAGAGTGATCTGAATAAAAGAGTAATATATGCCTTTTCTTGTAGACATGTAGCTAATTGAATTTCATTTAAAATAGGAATTTAGATCTCTTAGGGACAGAAGTTAACAAGTTTGACTACTTTAAGAAACTCAAATCCATATTTAAGAACTTTCAAATATTGATTTAAGATTTTTAATCAATATTTAGAGTCACAGATTTTACCTAAATTTTCAAAACCTACAGCACCACCTCATGAGATAGGATTTTTTTCTGCATAGAGTCTTGTTGGCCCTTTGCCAAAAACCTCTAATACCCAGATTTCTTCCACTTTTGTGTTCCTCTGTCAGCAAGCAGACTCTATGCCCCATTTGTAGGGAAAAAAACTCCGCATTCAACAGTTGGGAGGAAGCCACCCTTGAGAGACAAATTCTAGCCTCAGTGCTGTTCCCATCAGAAGGAGGACAGCCATTAAATCCATATGTTCTTTTGAGGCACCTGTTCTGCTTCCAACAACATTGGCATTTAATCAGAAAGGGGATTTTGTGTTTAAAAGGCAATGGGTAAAATTTTCTGGGAATGCACTGCTTTTCCAGGGCCATAGCTAGAGGAAGCAGGAATAGGGTTAAAACACTCCCTCTGTTAAAGTGTCTCACCCAACTTTATCTACTGTACAATCTCCTGGGAGGCCTAGGAACCCAGAAGGGCAGTGAGATGAGGCATTGTGCTGGTAAGCATGACTACCCCTGCCAACTAGCACCTCCAGATACATGGGTGCAATTCATGCTTGCATCCATGGGCTGCACCTATGATGGTTGCCAGGACCCAAAGGAGATGGGAGGAAAGAGAAGAGGGACACCCCTGTAATCTTTCTCTTCAACCTGGGTCACTTCAAAAGTTGAAAGGAGACTAAGGGACACCTTCTACTCCCCTCTTTTTATGCATGGGTAACACCCCATCTTCAAGCCTGCATTCCCCTTGAGTTATTCTTTAGACTTCAGAGCCTGAAGTTCGCTCTGGGCAAGTGCCAACTTCTCTCATGTATAGAGGCCTTCCAGGATATAACCCAAGTATTTAAACTCTCCTAGAAGGATGTTATGTTACTCTGAAACCCTAACTGCTGTTGAGAGACAGGCAGCCCTACAGGTAGCAGAAAAAATCAGAGATGAGCAGCATGTTTCCTATAGCCAGTCAAAAAGGGAAAGAGGGTGAGAAACAGGCAGAATCCCCATTCCCAGTAGGAAAAGAGGCAGTATCCCTTGAAAACTCTAATTGGAACTCTACTAAGCCCATAGATGATTGAAAAATAGAAACACTTTCAGATGTATACGGTAGAAGTCTTACAGGGGACCAGAGCCAAACCTGTTAACTACTCTAAGCTATCCATGATAGATCAAAACCCAGATGAAAATCCCTCAGCCTTTTTATAAAGGCTGAGAGAGACTTTGGCAAAACATGCTTCCCTATCTCGTAATTCAATTGAGGGACAGCTCATCTTGAAAGACAGGTTTACTCAAGCAGCTCCTGATATTTGAAGGAAGCTACAGAAACAGGCTATAGGACTAGAAGGCACCTTAGAAAACCTTCTAAGAGTAGCCACCTCAGTCTTTCATAAGACGTACTAGGAGGAGGCTCAGGAAAAGGAGAGAAAATAGAAGAAAAAGTCAGACAGAGGGTACCTTGGAATGGAATCCAGGCCTGAGACTCCTTGAGCTCACTGTTCAAGACACCCTCATAAACTGGTCAGTAACAAACTTTGCTGCATGTCTCCGACTTGTTTTATGTCCTTAAGCATAACCTGTAACCATGTGGTAGTACCACTTTTCAGCCGTTGCCTTTTTACAATGGTGACCCAGGTTCAATCCCAGCCTGGGTGATGAATACTTTCCAGTTAACAACTGTGTGACGTTTAATCATCTCGTGCTCCGCCATGAAAAACTCTAACTGCCTTTCTGAAATCTTCCTTTCTCTCAACTGACTTTAAAGGTTCTAGATCTGGTAAAAGCTGCTTACCACCACTTATAAAATATCTTGTATACTAACGGTGAACTTATAACCTAACGGAGAGTTTTTAGTTTCCCCTGTGATGTTACCTTTGGTAAAATTCAAAAGCCAGAAATATTACCTGCTTGATTTAGCTAAAGTCAGGAAACAGAAGATGTCAAAGGATTTTCTGAAAGGGTGCTGAGCTTGATTAAAAGTGGATATTCAAGTTATAGGTATATTTAAAAGACCTGCATGTTTTTGTCTTCTTGGATCGTGTTTTTCTTGAAAAGAACTTTTCCATTGACTGAATTACTGTTCTCCACTCTGTCTTTCCACTCTTAATGCACACAAGATAACTTCTGGTGGCCTGAAACGTTTTGGGAAAAACAGAAAATGCATGATGGATTCCATTTTGGGAGAAACCTCTGTTTTCCTCATGGAATCCCAGAATCTAGAGGCTGATCAATCCTGCTCAAAATCTGTTTTTGTCTTACAGCTATACAAGTTGATTAGGCCCTAGAAACTTCGTGGTTTGCTATCCCTGTTCTTAAAGGGCTCTACTGGGAAGCCAGTAATGCAATTAGGAAATGGGACGAGAAGAAATCTTAGAGCTACTGGATCTTCTTCTGTTTGTCTGTGTAGCAATATATGTGTTGTGTGTGATGTCTGTAACGAGGACCAATTGATTGCCTTAAATAAAAATAAGCACTTAAATCAAATATTTTAGAGGAAAGTTAAAACCGTAATGCCTTTTAGTTTATGTGTTTTTAAACTCTAAGAAATAAAAACTGTTTTAAAGATCAAATTGGAAAATGCAAATATCATCAATATGTAAATAGCAGGTTTAAATCACATAAATTAGATAAAAGGCTTGCTAAATATTTCAAGGTTGTAGGCTGCCTACTTTACAACTTGGTAAGGCCTGGGGACATATGAAATTAACCATGCCCTAACTAGAATGGAAAAAGTCAGACTTTATCTGCATCTAGTACATAATTAAAACAACTTACCAGGTTTACATTAAAGTTAAAAATTGCTAAGATTGACCATAAAAATATGTAAATAAGACAACTAAAAATAAATTTACATGCAAGGTGTGTAGGAACACTTAAATGTGTTTGTGGTAAAAGATTATAAAAAGGCATAAAAATGTAAATGTTGCCTATGGAAAAAGGATTCTTTTGAAACCTATGTAAGGGTAAAATTTGGCTTTCCTTCCCTTGTACAGATTTTTCATGTAATAGAGAAGAATAATGAAATATTTGGTTTGCCTTGTTGGTAGAATGCCAAGGAGAGAAAAGAGTAGACAGGAGACAAACTGTTTGGAAAGCTAAGTCTTACCTCTTAATGAGTAAAGATTGTTGCCTAGTTTTAAAATTTTTGAGTCATCCTTTTGCCAAAATAAATAACTTATGTGTAACCTGGAATTGTATTTCATACTATCAAGTGTCTTAAACCTCTTTTTACTAATTAGAGCTTTTATTTAAAATTAATGATATGTAACTATTACTGTATATGTAAGAAAAGAAACACACTTAGCTATTGCTTTGCGGATTTGCATTTAATTTTAAATTTTACAATTTAGATTCAGCATGAATTGCAATAAATGGATCTTCAGCAGAGTTACTAATAGAAAAATGAGCTTTGCCATCATCAGAAACGTAGATTTTAATGCCTGTGCAGTTGCCATTAATTTTATCTCCAGAAATGACATCACAGTATGTGCCAGCAGGAAGACCAGTTTGCAAAGTTAAAGAAAATGTCCTGTAAAATAAAATTTCAGATTTAACTTCAAAACAATGAAATCAAGAATACAGACTAACACAAATAAACAGCATAACTTTATGTTTTAGAACCCTAAGCAGTGAAGTCTCATTAAGAAGAAAACCCATATGCCTCCCTAGTAGGTGTAAACAGCTTTCTAGGACCAAAAGTAACCTTACAGAAAACCTACCAATTTCCTTTTCAGTAGTGAAAATATAACCGAAAAATCAAAGTTGAAGAATATCACCGAAGATTGGCGGGAGCGGTCACATTTTGATAAAGTGCTACCTTGGTAAAATCAAATTTTTTCTCAACTGAACTTAATGCCAATTACTTTAAAAATTTAAAGGGTATTATTTTTTTAACCTTCTTTTATTCTACATGAGGTCAAAAAGAATTTAGGGTGTACATAAAAACAGTCTAGCATTTGTATGAGGAAGTGATAGTTTGAAATATAAAGCTTTTTCACAAAAGATTTTTTTGGTATTTTCATCCACAAAAGAAGGAAACTAAGGAAATAGACACGCATTTTTTTGGCAGGAAAGAGATCAACTTGACTTATATATTTTTGTATTTATTTATTTTTCATAAGTGAAGTATAATTTATACTAGAGTGAGCTAAGTATGAGTGTCAGTTGGCCTTGGACAGAGACAATTCAACTGTTTGCAAGGAGGTCTTCTCAGCTACAGTTTCGGGAATCATTTATACTACAGCCAAAGGATACAAAAATCACAGATGAAAGGCCAATAATGAGAAGTTTCAGAACTAAAACTCAAGTCTCCTGAAGCAAATCATTAACCACAAGATACATATTATTTATCCATATGCTTTAAAAATGTTATTTGTCACAAGGAGACAGAGAAGTGAAGAAAGTATACCAAAAAACTAGGTAGAGCTGTCATTGAGAAAAAGAGAAATAAAGATATTTTAGTACTGAGGCAGCATTTTTCCATGATTAAAAGAGCAGGACTATAAGAAACGTTCTTTTAATGATTTCACAATCCTTCTATTAATTACTTTGTGTATTTTGTGGCATGTGTAGGTAAGCATATGAATGTGCATTCTATATATGCATAAGATATTGCAAGGGTGCACAGAAAGGATTCTGCTTACAACAGAAAGCACTTATGAAAACAGGAGAACGAAGGAGTAACAGCCATCATCCTTTTGCTTCTACCCAATTTTGATCTCTATTGTCTTCTCGCTCCACTGACTACATGATTTTTCAGATATGATAAATGTCAATGAACAGAAAAAAAAAAGAATAAACCAAGAACATACTGGTACAAAATATTATTTTTAATTGATATTTACTTACCAGTCATCATTGTTGAAAACAATGAATCCTCTGTTTCCTCTCCCAAAAGCCACTTGGTTGCTCCCATTATCATACCAGTTTGTAAAAGGCTGGCCATCCACTACATTGCGGAAATTAACCATGTTCCTAAAAACACAATACCATATAAAACGTTGATATTCTTAAACTTCAACTGTTTTAAATAAAGTGCTACGGAAATTTACTATTAGAGGACATGTCTAAATACATATTCTCACCTTATTTGGCGCCATCGATGTTCACAGACCCAGTCATTGCCACAAGTAGTGTCTGGATTAATAGTAACTTCTTTAGTTACTCCATTATCATTTGGTGGCCCAACCCAATCATTAACATCCTTAATTACAGGAGGAAAAGCCAAATTTTAGCATATATATATTTATCTCTTCCTTCTCCTTTAAACCAAACCCAACCTATCCTGTTACTTGTGTCTCTGCATTCAGTGACTTTATCTAGAATCCAATGCCTTCATTGATTTTTATAGCCCTTTACTGGGTCTTCATCATCTCTCTATCCTCTGGTTCTCTTTTGCCATATTTCAAACAAAGGTAGCAAATTGTTATCCTCTCCTTTTCATTCCAAGGCACTGCAAAGACTTCTTTGCTCTGTCACCCAGGCTGGAGTACAGTGGCATGATCGTAGCTCACTGCAGCCTTGATCTCCGAGGCTCAAGCGAACCTCCCATCTCAGCCTCCCAAGTAGCTAAGACTGTTGGTGTGCACCACCGCACCCAGCTAATTTTTTTTTTTTTTTAATTTTCAGTAGAGGCAAGGTCTTGCTAGCTTGCCCAGATAGGTCTTGAACTCCTCAGGTCAGCTGACCTTCTCAGCTGGCCGCACACAGTGCTGGGATTATAGGTGTGAGCCACTGCACCTGGCCTGCAAGGGCTTCTTAACATCACTGTAAGCCATGCAATGGCATTGAAATGGGAAGGGCATTAGTACTAGAAACACCAGGATTAAAACATAGGCTCTATTACTAGTAGCTGAGAAAATTTAATCAATATAAATAATTTCTCTGTGTCTCAGTTTCCTCATTTGTAAAATGAGAATAATGAGTTCTTTTGCTATAAAAATTAAGTAATATATGTGAAAATGCCTTGAACATGACATATGCTAAATAAATATTGGAGGCCGTCATGCTTCTTTTTAGATAAATGTACAAAATACTACATCTGAACATTTTTTTTTTATAAATTGACCATATTTTTAGTATTATGCTTTTCTGATTGGCACTTTAAGAAATCTTCATTAAAAAACACAGAGTAACCCTAGGAAGTTTATCAGTGTTCACCTTAAAATCACGTCATATGGTGAAAAGTGAACAAAACTTAAGAGTTTATAGCATGCAGCAGTCCTGTCAAAGTGGGAATGTTATAGTAATAGAAAAAATAAAAGAACTCTCTGACTCCTAACAACAGAAATAAGACCAATTAGTAGAAATTATAAGAAGTTGTCTCAATATAAAAGTACACCTTCTAAATATTAAAGCTGTTTAACAATAGAATCAGTTGTTATACATAGTAGCGGACTTCTCAAACTGAAAGGAATCTAAAAAAAGCTAGCTAGATATCTGTGTGACTCATAGGAAGGAGGAATTTCTGCTTTAGTTCTGAAGTCTCTGATGCTGTTTCTCAACCCTTTAGTTTAAAAGAAAACCTTCTACTAGCTTTCCAAATATCTTTACACTCTTATTTCTCTGTTCCTTTTTGAAACTACTCAGCAGAGTGATGTCTTTACCATACTCCCAAATATTTTTCTCATTCTTACCTTTCTTGGAATACTCTCTATAAATTTCTATCCTTTAGTACATACAATTTCCTTCCTCTTATAGTATACTTTCCCTATTTAACTCAGCTGAACTGGATCATTTGTTTCTATTCCATATAACTTTTTAACAGTATTTAAAAGACATTTATATTGTTCTCACTACGGGCAGATGATGTTTTAAGTTCTCTACAAGGGTTGGCATCTATATTCTTCCAATTAAACCTGAGGAAGGTACGAAGTATATATTTTAATCCCTGTGCCTAGCTCTTATTTTTAAGTGGTTTTTTTAATTTTTATTTTTATTTTCCCTGCGGGCTAGGGGGATGTTTGTCATATCTCTGAAAAAGCTTGCTATTCTTTTTCAATGGAGAATATAAAGTTTATTCCTTTAATATAACCTGCATTACTAAATCACAATCCTGTATCAGGTTTACAATAATTAAATATTTGTTGAATAAATAAACACTTAATAGTTGTCATATTAAATTAGGAGAAGATTGCCTCTTTTTTCTTGAGAAAAGGATATTTTGAACAACTCCAAAACTTACTTTTCCATTTTCAAAATATCTTGGCCAACGGTAGCTTGACATTACTCGTGTAAATCCATAAGGATGAGCAAGCATAAATCCAACTGCCATTTTGTACAGCCTGAAAGTTACATAATTATATTATCATAGAATATCACAATATTCATACCATCATTAAAAGAGGTGTTAAAAAAATAGAGAACTTGGTTTTTTACCTAGCATCCCAGAAGGTAAGTATAGAGGCTCCTCCAGCGCCATGTCCTCGTTGATTGTCATGGTTATCCACAAAGACAAGCGCTCTGTCAGAAGGCATGAAACCCCAACCTTCTCCCCAGTTCCTATTTTTGAAACATAAGATATACGTTGATGTATCATTTCACAATAGTTTGAGAGTAACTCTACTGTGCATCTCTTTCTGTAAGGCATGGCATCTGAAGATTAAATTCTTTCTCTAATTAGATGGTTACTCTGTAAGATATATATATATACACACACACACACAAACACACACTCACATATATATACACACACACCTCATAAACAAACACACGTGTGTAATCTACATATATATAGTCCATATTTGTATATACATGTATGGAATACTTATATTCATATTACAAATATAAAATGTTTGTTATTAAAAAATTTCCTTTCAGAGGTTTCAGCACATTATCATTTAGAGGCACTCCAGAAGGATCAATATCCACATCACATTATACAGAATGTCAAACTAGATTAAAATAAGGCTTTAATATTGTATTGTTATAATATAAATCATTTTACATTTCCAATTCGTATAAGTAAATACAATAGCATGGACACTTTGTACATACTTTATAAATGATAGGATCATTTTAATAATAACCTGGCTTTAAAAGATTATATGCAAACATCAGTCAAATCCAGTATATTCATCTTGTACGCAGACAGAAACTCCTAGGGTAAGTTTAGCGTTCCTAGGCATACTGTCTTGTGACAGACACTCTAAATACAAAAGATGATTGATTAGAGTTTAGGGCACTAGAATACTTATCATTAACAACTGACTCCTTAATAGTTGTCTGAATAAGAATGTTCCAGAAGATAACTCGCACTGGGGTAGTATGACTAACAGATCTATGAAATAGTTCAGGGGAAAAGTTGTATTTATTTACTTTAAGTAAGACATCTTCTCTCCATTCCACTTGCGAATAACTGTGCCGAGTTTTGCACCATACTTGAATTCTGTCACCCGGCCATTACCAAAGTAGTCACTGCTTTTAATTGGCTCACCACCCAGATCAATTACCTAGAAGAAATTTAGGAAAAAAAAACATTTTGCATAAGGACTTTAAAGCATTTTAACCGATAAGTTTATATTATATAAAAATTAGCTTTCAGCTATTTCTGAGTTATTTTAGACTTGTTGTGCTTTGTTCTTTAGAGACAGGGTCTTGCTATATCGTCCAGGATGGTCCCAAACTCCAGGCCTCAAGGAATTCTCCTGCCTCAGCCTCCCAAAGTGCTGAGTTACATGCAAGAGCCACCACGCCTGGTCCTATTTGTTATATGAAACGCTCAAAATCGTTTTCTTATTCTTATTATCTTCATCGGTAATATTCTTATATTCTTTTTTTGATAAAGTATACACTACAATATTGAAAGAAACATAATGTCAAAGTTACCTGTTGTCCTGTGAGAATACTTACCTAATTTTTAGTCTTGTACATCAATGATAATAATAACAGCTCACAGGAATACGATATTTACTATCTGACTGACTTTTTTTGATAAATATTAACTCATTTCATTTTCCAAAGAAAATAAAGACATAACTATTATCAGTATCCTACATTCTGTGTACCTCCATAAAACCTGTTGTGATAAAGAATTAGATATGCTGTATGTGAAGAAGAGGAGGTTAAAGAACACTGTTTTAAGGAAATGACTCAGTCTTTATCCTACAGAAATTGCATTTTTAATTGAATCTGCCGTGAATTTTCTAATGAATAGGATGATATTTTATATGCCTATATGTATTGACGTACCTCCTGGTAAATGAAAGGTTTACTACCTTCCGGGAACCAGTTACTGTTTAGATTATGCAGTTTGTCCAAAATTGCCTTTATGTCTCCAGGCCACATGTGCTTGGAAGCATCAATTCTGAACCCTGCAACACCAATGTCAATGAGATGGTTCATATATTCGGCAATCTTAGAACGCACATAATCCTTCCCCAGTGCAAGATCGAGAAGACCAGACAGACGACAATCTCTGACCTGTTGAGGTAAGAATGTTATGATTGATTAATAAAACCTCACTTTTCGCCTGAGAATCCATTTGATTATTCATTTATTCCATGATTCCTCAAGAGATATTCTATGGTGACTTCCTTGCATTGGACACTGGGGATGCTCACATTCTACTATAGATGTATCTTGGAAATATTTTCTAATAGAAAATAGAGAACTTAGGAAATAAAGTCGATGAGTTTTTCAATTGGTTGGGAGCTTTTTAAAAGTGGACAAATGTGTATTGATTAAAAATCTTAAATCAATATTTAAAGGTTTTCAAATATGGATTTGAGTTTCTTAAAGTAGTCAAACTTGTTAACCTCTGTCCCTAAGAGATCTAAATTCATATTTACAACGAAGTTCAATTAGCTACATGTCTACAACAAAAGGCATATATCACTCCTTATTCAGATCACTCTCGTAAAAAAATTACCTGAGTAGCATCATTATAGTTCTCGATATCTCCACTTCCAGTTTTACATTTACCATCATTAAAATCCCATCCAGAATATGGGACTGCTGGAAAGTCCCTACTTCCAGGGTTGAAGTAACTTCCACAGGTACTGCTTGTTCCTGCACTCACAGCATTACCACACATATGATTAATTACAGCATCCACATAAATACGAACCTAGAAAACAAAGTTTCTAATTCAGTGTGACTTACAGAGAGGCAGAAATTTAAAGAATTATTGATTAAATTTATAGTGTGCTAATAAAATTCCAAAATATTTCATACCTTATAACTATTTTCCTACAAGATCAAAAATCAACTGTGAAAGGAAAGTAATGTGAACTAAACACCTACATTCATTCCAGACACTTGGCCAAATATATATAGGAATGATAAACTGAGAGAACCGGAAACTACCATAAATAGGAGGAAAGGCAAAAAGCCCATTTTGGGGAGACACAACTCAGATGAGACTGAAAAGGTTACTATTTGGGAAATTTCAGTGGGTCACCAGGAGAAAGCCTGTACTCTCTACTAAGCTTGGAAGACAAATAAGGTAGCTATTCATCTCAAATTCTGCTCCTCATTAAATAGATAAGCTACCTATTCACCACAAAAAAAACCCAAGAATTAGGAATGGAGACACAAGTCATCTAAAAATGAGAGCAAATATTGTAACTGGAATTAAAATTCCTCACCAGAAAATCCTTCCAGGAAATATGGATAGTTATAGCGGTTAAAATTTGATGTTTTGCTTCAGAAGTAAACTCTGCTATAAACTTTAACTTATCTCTTTAGTAGAGAGCACATATACAAATATTTTCAAAAATTGAACATAAGGTGACAGTTACTTTTGAGTTTTAAAGTATGAAGTAAAATTAAAACTGATATGGAAAACTTTCTGCTCAAAAGGAGCAAGAAAGAAGAGACAGAAATCATTTTCCTATCTGTTATTTTTAAAGGAAACTAGAATTCACTTACCCCAACATTGTTGCATCTAGTCACCATGTTTCTAAATTCATCTTCATTTCCAGATCTTGTGCATAATTTATAGCTAACTGGTTGGTATCTTTCCCACCAAGGTCTGAAAGGGTTGTGAATGGCAACATTTTCATTTGGTGGAGAGACCTACAAATTAAACAGTCTTCATAAGTACCAAATTCTGTCTTACTGTATATCATTGAATGTTCTAGAATCTAATCAATAATACAAAAGATTCTTGAATCTTGGTATAGGCAGCTATCTCTTGAAAATATTAACAGCACATCGGAGGGCTCTTGTTGAAGAAAGATTATATCAGAAACAAAATATACAGTTGCAAAGAATACTACATTGTTTTTTCCTCAGAAAATTCTTTTACTTAGAATACTTACCTGTGAAGTAAAATGTTGCCCAAGCTTCACGTAGAAGATCAGAATAGTGTTTACTACAAGCACAGTGAATTCTGCAATTGATACTATGAATCATACCCACCTGAACCCCTCCAAATCCCTTGGGAGCTAAATATCGCTCACATTCAAGAGCAATATCAACCCATCGCCATTCAAACAGATGAACAATAGATGTTCGTCCTTGTTGTGTATTTGAGGAATACTGAGCCCAGCAGAACCCAATGGTGAAAAGCAACCAAAAGAGCTTCATTTTGCTTTGAAGTTGTCAGTGTCCTTTCCAGAAACTATTTATATTCCTGTAAGAAGCACATTTTACAATGTAAATAGTAGCATGAATAAATACTTGAGGGCAAACTGTTTATTCATAATCTGAAAAGGATTATCAATAATAATCCTAACTGGTGAAGAACATCAAAAAGTCTCTCATGGAAATCATCTCAATGACCTCTTAGACATTAATGTTTCTTTTCTTTTCTTTTTTTTTTTTTTTTGCATATGGTAGCACTTTTATTTTTCCTTACACAATGACATGTTGCTGTGGCCTAATGTTCTCACATAACAGCAGAAAACCAAAATTTGTTGTCAACTCTTAAAAGATCGAGAATTGCATACTAAAAAACTTTACATAAATTAAAAGGATGAATACATTTACCGGTATAAATGCGAACCGCTTCCAACTCAAGGCAAGTAACAGCCCACGGTGCTCTGGTAGATAACGTAAGCTAAGAAAGGAAACTGGGTCCTATGGCTTGGACTTTCCAACCCTGACAGACCGACAAGACGGAAACAACTGGTTCAGGAGCCCTTCCCAGCCTCTAGATAAATCTCAGAACACTCAGCCCTGACACATTAATACCCTGCACGGATCAGAGACTGCTGACCACACAGACTCACCAAGCCAGACTTGTCTTCCACAAGCACGTTTTTAGCCATGAAGTGACCAAGCCACGTGTACTAAACACTGACATCAAAGGTATGTACAGATACCAAGGGGAAGAGTTAACTTGAATGCCAGGCCAAAATCAGCAACAAGTTCTACAATCCAGTGCTGATATTGAGAAGAGAGAAAGACCCTGTCCTCTTGTTTTATATTGTTTTCTATTCAGTAAAAACAACAAGGAAGCAAAATCAAAGGCACAAAACCAGGCCTGGGCCTGGTTGGCCTAAACCCAGTAGTTACAAATCAACTTATGATTTAGAAGCCGATGTTATTCATAGATTCCAGACATTGTATAGAAGAACATTGTGAAACTCCCTTCCATATTCTGTTTCTCCCTGACCACGGGTGC
Source organism: Homo sapiens (assembly GCF_000001405.40). Taxonomy (NCBI): domain Eukaryota; kingdom Metazoa; phylum Chordata; class Mammalia; order Primates; family Hominidae; genus Homo; species Homo sapiens. Next base: position 103,655,291 of record NC_000001.11, on the reverse strand, counting down.
ATGTAGTCCTTGTCGCATATCCCTGGCTTGTTCAAATCAATCACGACCCTTTCATGTGACATCTTTAGTGTTGTGTGCCCTTAAAAGGGACAGAAATTGTGCACTTGGGGAGCTCGGATTTTGAGACAGTAGCTATCCGATGCTCCCAGGTGAATAACACCCTTCCTTCTACAACTCGGTGTCTGAGAGTTTTGTCTGCCGCTTGTCCTGCTACATTTCTTGGTTCCCTGACCTGGAAGCAAGATAACTGATGGACGGCCGAGGCAGCTCCTTAGGCAGATTAGGCATGCCTTGTGGAGTAAGGCCGGGGCATCCCTCAGGCTGCCAGGGACTCTGGCCAGCCTGAGGGATGGGATCCAAAGAGCGCTCCCAGGTAGGAAATGGCCCCGGTTGAACGCCTCGCCAGAGCAGTGATCCCCGCGGAGGATTAACACAGTGGCTGAACACCAGGAAGGAACTGGCACTTGGAGTCCAGACATCTGAAACTTAGTAAGACAAGTCTTTTCAACTTGCCCCACTCCACCTGAGCGGAAGCTTGGCCTGATCGCTCATGGTGTGCCTGCACCCATATCAATTTCCATATAGAGATTCCTAGTTACAGCTAGTTTTAGATCCTCTACAGTGGTAAAAGGACAGGCAGCAGCAGTAGTAGTAGCAAAGGGACATTTATTTCAGGAAAGTTCTCGCTCCACCGGCCAAGAGAAGCCAGCACCTAAAGTTCTGTTTGACCCAGAGCTCGAGGACTCAAGGCAGGAGATGGCACCAACAGTGCCCTCAACCCCTTATCCAGTGGGGAGGCCCCCTTCTCCTGAGCCCACAGCCCCTAGACCACCCAGAGTAGACAAGAACAAAAGTGAAACTGCGGGAAAATCCACTTCCCTGGCAGCCCGCTTAACGGCCCAAGACGGGAATTCAAATGCCCTGAGAGAGCAGCGATATACTAGGACAGATGAGGTCAGACATACGGTAGAAAGGCATGCTTTTGTGTATCACCCTTTTACCTCTGCTGAACTACTCAACTGGAAAAATAACACTCCATCTTACACTGAAAAGCCTCAAGCCCTAATTGACTTGCTTCAAAGAATTATCCAGACTCAGAATCCTACTTAGGCTGATTGCCACCAGCTACTCATGTACCTCTTTAAAACACATAAAAGGCAACAGGTGCTGCAGGCAACAGTTAAATGGCTGGAGGAGCACATCCCAGCCAATTATCAAAGTCCCCAAGAATACATAAGAATTCAGCTGCCAGGAACGGACCCTCAATAGGATCCAAATGAAGGACCAGATATGGAAAGGCTAAGAGGGTACCGAGAGGCATTAATTGAAAGGTTGAAAAAAGGGGCTCAAAAGGGTACCAATGTAAATAAAGTTTCTGAAGTCATCCAAGGAAAGGAGGAAAGCCCAGCCCAGTTCTATCAAAGACCGTGTGAGGCCTATTGCATGTACACTCCTTTCGATCTGGAGAGTCCTGAAAATCAGCCGTTGATTAATACGGCCTTAGTTATTCAGAGTGCAGAAGATATCCAGAGAAAATTGCAAAAACAGGCTAGGTTTGCAGGAATGAAAACCTTGCAGTTACTGGAAAGAGCTAATGAAGTATTTGTAAATAGAGATGCAACAAGCGGCCAAGAAAGCCGTAAGGAGGGCGAACGCCAGGCCAGGTGAAACGCTAGTTTGCTGGCTGTGACAATTAGAGGAATTCTCCTGAAAAGGCAGAAAAAAGGGGGTTCTGGGAGGAATGCCCTGTCCAATCACTCACATTTGCAGCATGACTAATGTGCCTACTGTAAAGAAATAGGACATTAGAAAGATAAATGTCCCCAACTCAAAGAAAATCAGAGTGATGCAGAGCCAAAGACCTCAAACCAAGATGAAAGGATTTTGTTCAATCTAGCTGAGGGGCTGCTAGAATTAAGGGGAACAGGCTCAAATGCCCCCAAGGAGCCCATGGTCAGGATGACAATAAGGGGCAAGGACATTAAGTTTTTAGTGGATACAAGAGCCGAACACTCAGTAGTAAGCACTCCAGTGGCCCCCTCATCTATAAAGACCATTGATAGAATTAGAGCAACAGGAGTCTCTACCAAGCAGGACTTCTGTCTACCGCGCAACTGCTCAGTGGGAGGACACAAAGTGATTTATCCATTTCTGTATATGTCTGACTGTCCCTTGCCTTTGTTGAGAAGAGACTTGCTTAGCAAGTTAAGAGCCACCATTTCCTTGACAAAACAAGGCACTTTACAGCTGGAGTTGCCAGAAACAGGAGTCATCATGGCCCTTCCAGTCCCCCAGGAAGAAGAGTGGAGACTTTTGCTAACTGAGCCAGCTCAGGAAATAAAAGTGGCTCCAGCTGAGTGACGGCTCTGAGTAGAGATGGAGGACAATCCTCTGAGGCTGGCAATCAATCAAGCCCCCGTACTCATAGAAGTTTAGCCTACGACCTAGCCAATTGGACAAAAGCCGTATCCTGTTCCCAGGGAAGCCTTTAAAGGAATAGAGACTCATCTTATATGCTTAAAAGCCTCTGGAATTCTAGTTCCTTGCCAGTCTCCATGGAACACCCACCTCCTACCTGTCCCTAAACCAAGGACCAAAGACTATCGACCCGTACAGGACTTGAAAGATGCCTTCTTCACATCAGGCTAGTTCCTGAGAGCCAAAAGCTGTTTGCCTTTCAGTAGGAAGATCCGGAGTCAGATGTCACCATTCAGTACACTTAGACTCGACTTTCCCAAAGGTTCAAAAAGTCCCCCACCATCTTTGGGGAGGCCTCGGTTGGAGACCTCCAAATGTTTCCTGCTAAAGACCTAGGTTGCATCCTGCTCCAGTATGTAGATGACCTTCTGCTAGGACACTCCATGGCAGTCAGGTGTGCAAAAAGGACGGGTGCCCTGCTTCGACACCTGGAGGACTGTGGATATAAAGTGCCCAAAAAGAAAGCTCAGATCTGCAGACAGCAGGTACACTACCTAGGATTCACTATTTGAAAAGGGGAGTGCAGTCTATGGTCAGCAAGAAAGCAGGTCATCTGCAGCTTACCAGAACCTAAAACCAGGAGGCAAATAAGAGAACATTTAGGAGCTGTGAGATTTTTGCAGACTGCAGATTCCAAACTTTGTGGTGTTAGCCAAAGCATTGAATGGAGTTATAAAGGGGGTGACCGAGAGCCTTTTAAATAGAGGTCTCTACAACAACAAGACTTATAAGTTAAAAGAAAAACTTATGTCAGCCCAAGCTGACTCTAATGTAACTCTAAGGAACACCAAAAGACACCATTGGCTAACAAATGCTACATTAACTAAACACCAAAGCTTGTTATGTGAAAATCAATGTATAACCATAGAAGTCTGTAATTCTTTAAATCCTGCCACTTTGCTCCCAGTATCAGACAGCCCTGTTAAACATAACTGTGTAGAGGTGTTGGACTATGTCTATTCTAGCAGACCAGATCTTTGAGACCAGCCATAGGCATTGGTAGATTAGGAGTTCTACATGGACAGAAGCAGCTTCATCAACCCGCAAAGAGAAAGGTGTGCAGGATATGCAGTAGTAAACTTAGATGATGTTGTTGAAGCTAAGCCATTGCCTCAGAGCACTTCAGCCCAAAAAGCAGAACTCATTCCTCTAACTCGGGCTCTGGAACTCAGTGAACCTAAGATTGTAAACATCTATACTGATTCTTGATATGCCTTTCTAACCCTTCAAGTATGTGGAGCATTGTATAAGGAAAAAATTCTAGAGGAAAAGACATAAAATGTCAGCAAGAAATTCTACAATGATTAGAAGCAGTGTAGAAACCCCAAAAGGTGGCATTCATGCATTGCAGGGGATATCAGCGAGTTTCCGCTTCGGTTTGCCAAGGAAAGCCCTGAGCAGACACAGAGGCAGGAAAAGCAGCATCTACTCCTTACCAGACATCAGTCACAGCCCTGCTACTCCTTCAAATGCTTGATCTGGTGCCAACTTATTCTAAAGAGGAAAAAGAATTTTTTCAGACAGAGAGAGGACAAACAATAAAGGAAAGATACATAAAGTTACCAGATGGAAGAATAGCAGTGCCACCGCTGCTATACAGTCATGCTGACTGTATGTGAAACTACCCATTGAGGCCAAGAATCACTTGAAAAGCTGTTAGGCCAGTATTTCTACATCTCACCCTTGCCAGCTGTTGCTACAACAGTAGCGCAGTGATGCCTTACCTGTGGACAGCACAATGCGAAGCAAGGCCCCTCTGTACCTCGGGGAATAGAAGCCTCTGGAGCAGCTCATTTTGAAGATCTTCAAGTGGACTTCACAGAAATGCCTAAATGTAGAAGTAACAAGTATTTACTGGTTCTAGTGTTTACTTACTCTAAGTAGGTGGAGGCTTATCCAACATGAACTGAAAAAGCTCCTGAAGTAACCTGTGTACTTCTTCAAAATTTCATCCCTAGGTTTGGACTGCCTCTACGAATTGGCTCAAATAATAGGCCAGCATTTGTTGCTGACTTGATACAGAAGACGGCAAAGGTATTAAGAATTTCATAGAAGTTACATGCCGTTTACCAACCTTAGAGTTCCGGAAAGTGCAGCAAATGAATCGAACTATCAGAAAAAGTTTCTGGAAAGTATGTCAAGAAACAAATTTAAAATAGACACAAGTCCTTCCTATAGTATTGTTTAAAATTAAGTGTACCCCTTCTAAGAGAACAGCATACTCCCCCTTTGAAATTCTGTATCATAGGCCTCCTCCCATACTGGGAGGGCTTCCAGGTACTCCCCAAGAGTTAGGTGAGATTGCATTACAGCGGCAGCTACAGGCCTTAGGGAAAATTACTCAGACTATCTCAACTTGAGTAAATGAGAGGTGCCCAGGCAGCTGATTCTCCCCAGTTCACCCTTTTTCTCCAGGTGACATTGTGTGGATCAAGGACTGGAACGTGGCTCCGCTGTGGCCACAGTGGAAAGGACCCCAGACAATTAACCTGACCACTCCCACAGCTGTCAATGTAGAAGGAATCCCAGCCTAGATTCACCACAGCCTCATGAAGCCTGCAGCCGCTGAGACCTAGGAGGCCAAACCAAACTTGGACAATCCCTGAAAAGTGACCTTGAAGAAAATGACAAGCCCTGCTCCAATCACACCACGAAGCTGACTAGACTACACATGGCCAAAGCATGAGGAAAATCGTCGTAGGACTTATTGTCCTTATAACATGGACCTGTGTGGTAAAAGCTTCCACTACCTCTTCCCACACAGAGGACTGCCTTCAGTGCATACATCAGGACACTGAAGAAGGACAAGTTAAGATGATCGTTTTATTTTACAGCTATTATGAATGCCTAAGAACTCCAAACAGAACCTGTTTGTATAATAACACCCAGTACTAAGTATGTAATCCAGGAAGTGACCAGCCCGATGTGTGCTATGACCCCTCTAAACCCCCATGATCACAGTCTTCGAAGTAAGACTAAGAACTGGTCCTTCTCTAAGTAACACAAGTAAAGTGATAGCTAGAACAGAAGAAAGAAGAGTCCCCACAAATGTAACTTTAAAATTTGATGCTCGTGCCACTATTAATACTAAACAGCAGAGGATAAGATGCATTTCTCTAAATTTGGGAAAAATTACACACAGAAAATAAGTACATCTGTCAAGAACCATATTTATGTTCGATGTGTCAATAGTGGTATTGCGTCAGTTAGGCTACTTAGAAGAAAGATAAAAAAGATCCTGTTTGGCTCCAAAAAAGAAAAGTCAGCCCCTCTTGCACAAGTGGGAGCTGCAACCCTTTAAAATTGATCATCACAAACCCCTCAGATCCAAAGTGGAATAAAAGAAAATATATAACATTAGGCATTGATAGAAAAGGACTAGATTCTAGTGTAAGCATCCTGATAAAAGAAGAAGTTCAAAAACGCTCACCAGGACAAGTATTTCACACTTTCTATGATGAATTCAATGTGCCTATACCTGAAATTTCTGAAAAAAACTAAAAATTTGTTTTTGCAATTAGCCAAACATGTAGCCCAGTCTCTACAAGTCATTTCATGTGATGTTTGTGGAAGGACTGTAACAGGAGATCAATGGCCATAAGAAGCCCAAGAATTAGTTCCTACAGATGGAGTTCCTCACGAATTCCATCCCAAAAGAACAACCCCGACAATTTTTAGTTTCTAAAAGTCACAATTATTAGACAGTAATGCGTAGCTAGAGAAAGAAAAGGATTTACTCATCCCGTAAGGCGGCTTATTTGTCTTAGGCAAAACCTGTATAATGGTGCCACAAAAACAGTTACATGGTACAGTTCCAATTACACAGAAAGAAATGCATTCAGCAAATTTCCAAAGTTGCAGACTGTTTAGGCCCATCCAGAATTCCACCAGGACTGGACGGCCCCCACTAGGTTATGCTAGATATGTAGACACAAAGCTTATGCTAAGCTGCCTGACCAGTGGGCGTGTGGCTGTGTAATTGGCACCATGAAGCCATCTTTCTTCTTACTGCCCATAAAAACAGTTGAACTTGTAGGCTTCCCAGTCTATGCTTCCCAGGCAAAATGAAGCATAGCCATAAGTGGTTAGAAAGATGATGAATGCACCCCTGAAAGAATCATACAATACTATGGACCCGCCACTTAAGTACAAGATGGCTCATGAGGATATCCAACCCCTATCTACATGCTCATATGGTTACAAGCTGCTTTAGAAATTATTACTAATAAAACCCAACAAGCCTTGACTGTTCTTGCCTGGCGAGAGAATCTGACGAAACATGTTGCCTACACATAGATGATAAAGAACAAGTAGTTGAGCATATACTTAAGGATATAACAAAACTGGCACATGTACTCGTGCAAGGCTGGCACAGACTCAATCCAGGAGCCATGTTTAGAAAGTAGTTCCCAGCAATAGGAGGATTTAAAACTCTTATAATAGAGGTAATAATAGTAATAGGAACCTGCTTACTGCTCCCTTGTCTGATACCTGTGTTTCTCCAAATCATAAAAAACTTCGTCTCTCCCTTATTTCACCAAAAGCCTTCAGCACAAGCATACAATATAAATGGCTATCAATCTATTGCACAGAAGAACATAAATCATAAAAGTGACAGCTCCCACTAATAAAAATGAGTGAAAGTCTCAAAGAAAGAAAATGAGAGAGGAGAAAGACCCTCTCCTCTTGTTTTACATTGTTTTCTATTCAGTAAAAACAACAAGGAAATAAAACCAAAGACAGGCAGCCCGGCGCCAGGCCCAAAAACAGACCTGGGCCTGGTTGGCCTAAACCCAGTAGTTGAACATCCACTTATGATTTAGAAGCCGATGTGATTCACAGATTCCAGATATTGTGTAGAAGAACATTGTGAAACTCTCTTCCATATTCTGTTTCTCCCTGACCACCGGGGCAAGTAGTCCTTGTCATGTATACCTCGCTTGCTCAAATCAATCACAAAGCTTTCATGTGAAATCTTTAGTGTTGTGAGCCCTTAAAAAGGACAGAAATTGTGCACTCCAGGAGCTCAGATTTAGAGACAGTAGCTGGCTAATGCTCCCAGCTGAATAAAGCCCTTCCTTCTACAACTCAGTGTCTGAGAGGTTTTTTCTGCGGCTCGTCCTGCTACAATGTCAGATACAAGCTTCAAGGACAACTTCTTTCCCAAGGCTTATTCCAGTTTTGTGAGGCTAGCATGAGGTGTATTTTTTAATTTACCTGACCAAATGCACATAGGGAAAACACATTCTTTTTTGAATTGTTTATATAGAATCAGAAGTTGAGTCTTTTAAAGGATTGAAATAAAACAGAAAATTCTAACTGGACTAAGATCATATGTATGCACTTGTTCATATGAATATTTGCAAATATTTTGTTTTTATAAGAAGTGTTATAATGAACATCTGTATACATGTTTACACATGGGTAATTCTGTATGCTAGATAAACGTATGTGAAACTGGAAGCATATTTTTAAATTTTCATATTATGCAAAATTGCCCTTACAAATGTATCAAAGTTTACTCTCTAGTAGCATTCTGTTATAGTACCTTTTGCCACACTCCCACCAAAAATGAATATTATCATAGCTCTAATTTTTGCCTAATAGATTAAAAATGATTTGGGCCAGACACGGTGGCTCACAGCTGTAATCCCAGAACATTGGGAAGTTGAGGCAGGCAGATCACGAGGTCAGGAGATGGAGACCATCCTGGCTAACATGGTGAAACCCTGTCTCTACGAAAAACACAAAAAATTAACCAGGCATGGTGGCGGGCCCCTGTAGTCCCAGCTACTTTGGAGGCTGAGGCAGGAGAATGGTGGTGTGAACTTGGGAGGCAGAGCTTGCAGTGAGCCCAGATCGCCCCAATGCACTCCAGTGTTGGCGACAGAGGGTGACTCCCTCTCAAAAAAAAAAAAAAAAAAAAAAAGAGATTTGTGTTTTTCCCAATTACTAGCAAGGCTGAACATCATTTCACACTTTTTGGCCTTTTGAGTTTTCTCTTGAAATTTGCTTCTTCCTTTTCCCATCTAGTTTTGCTTTAATTGTTATGTTCTTTCTTATTGAATGTTTTGAGTTCTTATGTTGTTATCATTTGTCATGTATTGGAAATATACTGTCCTAATATATCACTGTTTTTTGAAGTCTTTCCAGTGCAAATTTAAGCAATCATGGATGTTGGTAAGAATTAGGACAGTGCCAAAGGTATGCCTGCATTATTATTTTTTGTCCAACTACACTCATGCATTCCTTAATGACAGGAGTATGTTCTGAAGACAAAGCCCTTAGGTAATTAAGCCACTGTGCAAATATCACAGAATGGACTTCATTAACCTAGATTGCATAGCCTATTCCTCCTAGGCTACAAACCTGTAAAGCATGTTATTTTACTGAATACTATAGGCAACTGTAAAGCAGTGTAGCTGTGTATCTCAATACATTTAAACATAGGAAACTTCCAATAAATGTATGGCATAATAAACTTAACTATACCACCATCATATATGCGGTGCATGACTGTACTCACCATGCAAAAGGTTTTAAGTTTTAAAGTGATTATTTGTTTAACTACAGTGGTTCCTTGTGCCTCCATATCCATGAGGAATTGGTTCCAGGACCCACCATGGATACTTAAAGCAATAACTACTCGAGTCCTTTATATAAAATGTAGTATTTCCATATAACCTTTACATCATCTCAGATTACTTATAATGACTAATGCAACGTAAATGCTATGTCAAAAGTTGCGATACTATGTTGTTTTGCAATCGGGAAGTCCCCAAAATAACACTCTTTCTGCTTACATTTCACAGCCAAAGCAAATCACTTGGACCTTCTGAAAATCAGCAGGATGGGAGTATTCATTTGCAAGGAGGATCACTAATATTTCTGAACAATAGTACACTGCATATGTGAGAGTGGAAATAAAAATTCTAACAGGAAAAGTAAAAGAATTTTCATTGGAGTGAACATTTGAAAAACAAGAAATGTGAGTTTAAATATATATTTTTAAGAAAAATACAATATATACAGAGCTTCTCACACTCAACCTCAATCTCTTACACCTCAACCTTTCCTTCAATAGCAAGACATTCAATTTCTTGCAAGTTTATATGATCATTTCTATGCGTGTTTTTGTGACTTACTTCATCTAATGTACCCATAAATAACACATAATGGTGTTTTATGTAGTTACCTTTTCCTAAGCTTTGAAAAGTTTCTCAAAATTGCTCTCATCTTAAATTTTGGATATTCAAAGATTCTGGTATATAAATTCCATATTAAGTGCTATTTTATAATTTACAGAAAAATAAAATAAAATTTCTTATGTAAAATACCTTTTTTTGGATGTTACTCCATCACCCAGGCTGGAATGCAATGGCGCAATCTCAGCTCACTGCAATCTCCCCTTCTGGGTCAAAACAATTCTCCTGCCTCAGCCTCCCAAGCAGCTGGGAGCACAGGCACGCGACACCAAGTCCAGCAAATATTTTTGTATTTTTAGTAGAGACGGGGTCTCACCGTGTTGGCCAGGCTTGTCTCTAACCCCTGACCACAGGTTGATTTGCCTGTGTTGGCCTCCCAAAGTACTGGCGTTACAGAAATGAGCCACTGTGCCTGGCCTCTTTTTTTCCTTTCTAATTGATACCATTTAAATGGATATAACCACCTCAAATCTTTATATATTAGTCACAGTTGTTCTAGACTTATTTGATTTCCTAGCTTTTTCTTCATTGCTTTGACCTCGTTCATGTTGGGTACAGGGTATATCTTTCCTGAAGTTTTTCAATGTTTTGTGTGTGTGTGTGTGTGTGTGTGTGTCTGTGTGTGTGTGAGATTTCCTGTTAGCTTTTATGTGGACACTCTATATAACGTTTGTTTTCAGAAAACATAGGGTGGGATATTTCACAGCTTACACACTTAGGATGAGAAGTCTCTATTCCTCTTGAAGACCATCAGTTCTACCTCTTAGGTGTCTGACAGAGGGGGTTAGCTCACATATCTACTGAATAATCCCACTGAGCTCACTATTTTTTAGTATGCATTACTAAAGATAATTGAACCTAATAAAGTATCTTACAATTGACACATGAAAGAACTTTCCATTACTCACAAAAGGAAGTGCTGTCTTCTCACAGAGTAGTAAACATAAAATAATGACTACAAGCACTCAGCACAGCTCTTGTTGAGATTTCAAAATTCATTTAGATAATCCTTTCAGTCTCCTAGGTTCTCAATTCCTTTAACTCATCTCCTTCCATCACTTTGCCTCTATGCTACCCCCATCTTCACATCCTAAAACTTATACTCACAAGATAGTATATACTTAGCACTATGCTACTATACTTAGTATACTATACTTAGTACTATTATATACTATTATCCTCTAATACTTCCAATTTCAATCAACCCACTCTTATCTAAATCTCCCAAATTTCTAGTTCCTACCTCGAGAACTCCATTGCATCGTCAACCACACTGCAATCTACAATTGATGATACCATTTTCCACTGTCTCAACCTTCTTTATTTTCTCACTTCACTCCTTAACCCAGATTACTTTCCATATCCCTCTTTTATAATCATTCTCCTAAATGTATGAACATCTCATCACTGACTGTTTTATTCACCTAGAGAAATCTCACCTTTAGTTAAACTGAATTCTGTACTTATTCAGTGATAGCGCCTCTGCTGAACTGAACTGGAAAAGAACACGAAACCACATTGACTAATACCACTTAAATAAACCACAGATTGCCAAGAGTTTGTTTACTTTTGTACATTCCTAGCTATTCATTTTACATCTCTTTTTCCTTCCTTAATCCTTCGTGATTTCTTCCCTTTTTATGAGCTTGCTTCCTATTTCACTGAGAAAATATCACAAAAATTTGACATGCTCCTCCTATCTACTGAACTACAAACATCTGGACCTCCATAATCTGACGTACATCCTACTGTTAGTAATTAGCTGTTTGTGTGCCTATCTTTAAAACCAAGCCTTCTATTTTTTTACCAGGTCTATGTCTTCATCAATATCCCTCTGTTTCCTGCATTATGCTTTTTCTGTCTACTGAATCAGTCCCATTAGCATAGAAACCTGCTATATCATCGATCTTAAAATAAACAGCTTTTTGATGCTATATTACCCTCCATTAACAACCCATTTCTCACATCCCCTTGAAAGCAAGACTCCTTAAGTGTTGTCTTCAATACTCACTATATTAAATTCCTCTCCAACATTCTCTTGAGTACCTCCTCTTACTCCTGATATCCACCAAGTTGGTCAACGTCAATGTCCCAAAGGTTGCTCTACCCAGTGCTTAATCCAAAAACTCATCTTTCCTAACTCATCAACACAGCTAAAATATTTGATCACTCCTTCCTATTTGAGATACTTTCTTCATTTAGCTTCTAGCTATTCCTCCTTAGTCTTCTTTAATAGTTCTTGAACTATTTTATATCTCACCATTGGGATGCTCCAGGGTTCATTTCTCCATGCCTCTAATTCCTGTCTCTAATGTTCTTACTCTCCCTGCCTCACGATGCTGTAAAAGGTAGGAAGCTATGATCCACAACAGCATTTTTACACAAGACTTGAGTCTTTTTGGGCAGTGCCTCTAAGGTAAAGGTGTAATCACAGACCCAGGAACGTACCTATAGGAATGAATCGAATAAAAAGAAGAATGTTTTCCTACGTATATACAGCTGGAACTAATTTCACTAAAGGAAAAGAATAATTTTATGTGGGAAATATTTTCACCTTTGAGTGATGTTCTGACAGATGAAAGATCTGGGAGAACAAAAATGGTAGACTGTATTACGGCAAGGATACAAATTTCTAAATTGGGATAAATCCCCCACTTCCAAAAAACTAAAACCCAATAAAACTCGAAGCCAGACAAATATAAAATAATTACAAAAAGCAAGATTACAATTTAAAAAATGTGAAACTGCATTCATATCCAGGCAAGAACTTTTAAAAGGCAGTTTTTGTAATCATAAATAAAATATATTATAAAATTGCCTTAAAAAGAATTTGATGTAATCATCTAGTTATGTTCTCCTACATGTGTTAAACCAGGTAAAGAAAAAATACAAACACCATTCCATTGGAAAGAAAACAATTTATTGTATTTGAGGAAAGTCATTAAAATACATGTAATATATTTCCAATTCACTGATTTAAAGGCATACAGATTTAATTTTTAAATACACTTTCAAAGCTGTTACGCACAGTTCCATAGTCCGGGTGGTCAATTTCTTCTTCTCAAAGTTGGAAAGCACTTGAAGGACACGGGATTCAAAAGAAACCTAAAACATCATAAAAGCCAATTAGAAATAATAAGTATAACACAGCTCTTTAGTTTAAAAATAACTGAGAGCTGAACCATTTATATTTAGAAAATTAGTGAATCATGTCAGTATAACAAAATTTATCTAAATAAATGACTTATAAAGAAACTGATTTATAATATATACAAACTCATTTTAACTATGCCTGTAGAAAAATAATTGCATTTTCAATATCTATAGGTTTTGTACTTTTAAGGTGATAATAACCGAATTTTGAATTTGTTTTCATAGAACTAAGAATAGCAGCAGATTTTTCAGCAAAGAAACACAGAGGCTCCAACCCTTTATTTTCCTAGTTGTTAATATAAGGTTAGATGGCTAGGTTGATACTAGGTACCTAACCATTTTACTCTAACAAACCAGTATCCAAACTGCTCAGTCCTTAGAATAACTAAGGACACCTTTTCAAATCCGAGTCTTATACTCCATTCCCAGAGATTCATATGTATTAGTTCTAGGATAGAGTATAGGAATCTTTATGCATAAAAACTCTTCCTTGGTGGTTCCCGACCTTGGTTGCACATCAAAATCAGTTTGAGAGGTTTATTCCAACTTCTGTGCTACACTCTCAACACATCAAATGAAAATTCTGAATAAGGGAACCAGGCATCAACATATTTCTTAAGGATTTTTTGAGGAGGGAGAGGGTCTCACTCTGTCACCCAGGCTGGAACGCAGTGGTGTGATCACGGCTCACTGCAATCTAAACCTCGGGGGCTCAAGTAATCCTCTTGCCTTAGTCTCCCAAGTAGCTGAGACCAGAGGTGCAAGCTATTTATTACTAGCTATGTATCCAAAGGAAAATAAATGAGTATATCAAAGAGTTAACCACACTCTCATATTTATTGCACTATTCACAATAGCAAAGATATGAAATCAACCTGTGTCCATCAATGGATGAATGAATAAAAGCAACGTGGTATATATACAAGCAGTGGAAGAGTTTTTGTCCATAAAAAAGAATGAAATTTTATCATTTACAGCAAGACGGTTGGAACTGGAAGTCATTGTGTTAGGTGAAATAAGCCAGGCACAGAAAGACAAGCATCACATGTTCTTATTCTAAGAATAGAACGTGAAAGCTAAAAATATTGATCTCATGGAGGTAGAGAATAGAATAATACATAGATACCAGAGGCTGGAAAGAGTTTCTGTGGGTGGGAGGAATAAAGAAAAGTTTGTTAATGGGTCCAAACATACAGTTACTTGGAAGACATAAGTTCTAATATTTCATAGCAGAGTAAGGTGACTACATATAAACAGCAATGTATTGTATTTTCCAAAATAGCTAAAGGACTTGAAACTTTCTTAACATATGGAAATAATACTTGAGGTTATGGACACCCCGGATACTTTGAATTGATCATTGTAAAGTCCAGGCAGGTAACAAAATATTACATATACACTATGTGTAGGTACAAATATATTAATGAAAAAATAATCCTCCTCTACAATAAAATTTTATTATTGTTAATCTGACTAATTGAGAATTCATGATGATTTGGAGATTATTTGGCAAAATGTTGCCTGTGCAAAGCAAGCTTTTCTTCCTACATTGTGCAAATTATTAAAGTAATATAAATATGTATATAACTTCAAAAAGTGATTTTCAATATATTGTTCTACAGCACTCAAGCTTTTAATGTCACTGCTATTATGTTTTACAATAATAGGTAATAATTTAGCCCTCCCTGTAAATTAAGGTCTCTTTAGCCTGTTTATTTTTTTCAACAAACTTACAGACTGGATGTTTAGGTCCCAAAAATTTAAATAACTTGTCTCTCATTACTTATCAAATATATTGTATTTCTGAGATCTGACTCCAGACTCTATCTGTGGTTTTAGACTAGTACTCCAATGCTAATCTCATTTTAATCCACTGCAGGAGAACTATGTACTCTCTCTCTGGAAACTTTTAGCACAGCTTTTTATATGATTTTCTGAAATATAACAATAAAATTTCTATCAACAGTTTATTTTTTATCTATGCATATTCTTAAGCTCATAATTTTCATTATCCTATTTTCCCTAAAATTTATTCGAACTCATTTTAATTAGATTTTTAGTTTTATGGTGGTATAATTCACAAGTTAAAATTATATATATTCAATGTGTACAACATGAGGTTTTGAGTTTTTTTTAATTAGCCCTAGTTGAGAAAGGCAAACACTTACTGGTACATACTAAAAAGTATTCAGGACAATGATGCTTAATATAAACTTGCTAACTAATAATCAATAGACTACTCAAATGCTTTTTTGTTAAACAAATCTACAATTCTAGGTAGCATATTTTTACTGGTTTCCTTTACACTGCAGCATTTTTTCAACTAATATATATCTTACAAATAGTAAAATACATAAATCTTAAGCATATAGCATTATAATTTTTATAAGTGTATATATCCCCATCATCACTCAAATCAAGCAAGATATGGAGTATTTCCAGCTCCCACAACCACTCTCTTGCACTTTCTCAACCAGTTACTCACCAAAGGTCATCATTATCATGAACTCTATCACGATGGATTTCCCTGCTCCTCAATTTCATATAAATGGAAAGTTGCTATCTGTATTCTTTTGAGTCTGACTTCTTTCACTCAGTTGAAGTTTGTAAGAATCATCTACATTTTGTGTAGCAGCAGATCATTGTTTCATTGCTGTGCCGTATTCCCCTGTGGGAAGCAAAAGTAATTTATTTATTCATTCTACTGTGAATGGGCATTTGTGTTGTTTTTAGTTTAGAAGTTATGACACATCAGTGATTTTATTTGATAAGAAGCCTAGGAGTTGCTGAGTTATATAGAATTGATTGCCTTACACACATTGTTTAAGTTGTGCCTACTCTTGTATATATTTCATCCTTGATAGGTTTGTCTCTCTACTGTTTGGAACAAACCTGGAGCTCCCTATAGGAAACTGATATCTTCTTTTTCTTTTCTCAACTTCTATTTTAGGTTCAGGAGGTACATGTGCAGGTTTGTTACGTGGGTAATTGCATGTTGCTGGGGTTTGGTGTACAAATGATTTCATCACCCAGCTAGTGAGCATAGTCCCCAGCAGGTAGTGTTTTGACCCTCACTCTCCTCTCACCCTGCGCCCATCAAGTATATATTAAAATGATTTTCACTATCAAGCTAATTAACATATTCATGTCTTCACATAGTTATCACATGTTGGGAAAGGATAATACTTAAGATCTACACTCCATGAACTTAAAGCATACATTATTATTATCTATTGTTACCATGTTGTACGTTAGATCTCCCTAACTTATTCATCTTATAATGGCAAGTTTGCATGGTTGTACCTGTAGTATTTTTCTTTCTCTGCCTGGCTTATTTCACTTAGCATAATATCCTCTAGGGTCATTCATTTTGTTACAAAGGGCCAAATTTCATTCTTTTTAATACTGAATGATATTCCATTGTAGATAGATAGATAGATAGATAGATAGATAGATAGATAGATAGATGATAGATATCACAATTCACATACTACTCATCTATCAACACTTAGGTTGTTTCCATATTTTGGGTTTTGGGAATAATGCTGCAATGAACACAGGAATGCAGATATCTCTTCAAGATAGTGATTAGATTTCTTTTGTCTGTGAAAGGATAATTATATAAAATGGCATCAAGTTCTCGGCTCACTGGAACCTCTGCTTCCCAGGTTCAAACAATTCTCCATGCCGCAGCCTCCCAAGTAGCTGGGATTACAGGTGCCCACCACCACACCTGGCTAATTTTTATGGTTTTTAGTAGAGACAGGGATTCGCCATGTTGGCAACTCTGGTCTTGAACTCCTGACCTCATGTAATCTGCCTGCCTCAGCTTCTCAAAGTGCTGGAATTACAGGTGTGAGCCAACACACCCACAGGTATATAAATTTATACCTAAAAGTATAATTGCTGCATCATATGGTAAGTCTTTAATTATTTGAGGACCCTCCATGCTGTATTCCATAATGGTTGTACCAATTTACATTCCCACCAAAACTCTATAAGCATTCTCGTTTTGATACATCCTTGTCAACACTATCTATCTTTTGGCTTTTTATATTGGCCATTTTAAAAGATGTAATGTGACATCTCATTTTCATTTCAGTTTATATTTCCCACTTGTTTAGTGATTTTGTGCACCTCTTCATTCATGTGTTGGCCATGTGCAAGTCTACCTTGGAAAAAAGTCTGTTCAGGTCTCTTGCTCATGTTCTAATCAGGATTTTTTTCTGATTATTAGTTTCTTATCTGTTTCAGATATTAATCCATTATCAGATATATTGTTTTCAAGTATTTTCTACCATTCCATGGGTGACCTTTTTAATTAATTAATTAATTAATTAATTATTATTTTTTTTTTTACTGTGCAGCAACCTCTTACTTTGGTGTAGTTCCATGTGTTTATTTTTGTTTGTCTTGTCTATATTTTGAGATTCATAGCCAAAAAATCATGCCAAGGTCAATCTTAAGGAGGATTTCCCCTGGTTTCTTCTAGGGATTCTTTGGTTTCAGATGTTAAGTTTAAATTCCTTTTCAATGTTCAATTTATTCCTGTGCATATTATAACTGTCAAATTTCATTATTTTGCATGTGGGCCTGCAGTTTTTCTAAACGCTATTTATTGAAGAGACTATCCTGTCTCCATTAGGTATTTTGGGCATGTTATTGAAGATTTTTTGACCGTCTTGGTGTAGGTTTATTTCTAGGCTTTCTATTCTGTTCCATTCTTCTATGTCACTGTTTTCATGTCAGTATATATAAAATTTGCTGTAGTTTTGTAATATAACTTGAAAGTGAGAAGTGTGGTACCTCCTGTTTGTTCTTCTTGCACAAGATCACTTTAGGTACTTATAGTCTTTTGTAATTTCATACAAATTTTAGTATTTATTTCTGTTTCTGTGAAAAATGCCGCTGGACATTTGATAGGGATTACATTTATCTGTAGATTGTTTTGTCCAATAGCATTTTGACAGTATTGATTTCTCCCATTGATGAACACAGAAAGTCTTTCAATTTCTATTATTTTTCTACTGTCTATTTCTTTATTTTGCTTTGATATTTCTTTGCTTTCTTGTATTAGCTTTGGGCTTAGTTTGCTCTTCTTTTTATCTAGTTCCTTGAGGTTTAATGATAGATTATTTGAGATGTTTTTTCTTTAATGTAGGTGTTTGTCATACAAATTTTCTTCTTAGCACGGTCTTACTGCATGCCACAAGTTTTGGAGTATTGTGTTTTCATTTTTGTATCAAGATTTTTTATTTTCCTTTTCATTTCCTTTTTAAAACACTTTTTGTTAAGGATTGCATTATGTTCACTTATTTTTGAATTTTCCAGTTTTCCTCCTGTTGCTGATTTCTAGTTATATACCATTGTGGTTAAAAAAGATACTTGATACAACTTCAATCTTC
Organism: Homo sapiens; assembly: GCF_000001405.40. Classification (NCBI taxonomy): domain Eukaryota; kingdom Metazoa; phylum Chordata; class Mammalia; order Primates; family Hominidae; genus Homo; species Homo sapiens. The sequence goes on along the minus strand of NC_000001.11, from coordinate 103,637,050 downwards.
TTAAATGTATTAAGACATTTTGTAATTTCAAATATGCTCTATTTTGGAGGATGTTTCTTGTTAGCTTGAGAAGAACACCTGTTCTCCAGCTGTAGATGAAATGTGAACATACATCTGTTAGGTCCGTTTGGTCTAAAGTGCAGATCAAGTCTAATGTTTTTTTTCCTTATAGATTGTCTATCTAAATGATCTATCCATTGTTGCAATTGGAGTATTGATAATTGCAACAGTATCAATAAGGTTACCTATTTCCCTAATATTATTGATTGCTGTGTATCTGTCCCTCCAGATATTAATGTTTGCTTTATATTTTCAGGTGCTTCAATGTTAAGTGCATATTTATTTATAATTGTTTCATCCCTTTAATCAACTCACCACTTTTTCATTATTTAATGACCATCTTTATCACTTGCTACAGTTGTATCTTAAAGTATATTTTGCCTGATATAAGGATAGCTATCCATGCTGTTTTCTGGTTTTAATTTGCATGGAATATCAAATTTTCTCATCCCCTACATTCACTCCATATGTGTCCTTGAAGCTGAAGTGAGTCTCTTGTAGGCAGCATATTGATGGGTCTTCTTTTGTAATCCATTCAGCCATTCTGGGTTTTGAATGTAGAATAGAATGAATTTACCTTCAAGGTAATTATTGATAGGTAAGAACATACAATTGCCACTTTGTTCATTGTTTTTTGGCTTTTTAACATATTATTAGTTTCTTTATTTCTCCCTTGCTGTCTTTCTTTGAGATTTCATGATTTTCTGTACTGACATGGTTTGATTTCTCTTTATCTTTTGGGTATCTACCATAGGTTTTGTCTTTTTGATTAGCATGATGCTTATATATACTATCTTGTAATTGGAGCAAACTCTTTTAAACTGATAACTTTGATCATATTCAAAACCCTATACTTTTACTCAGCCCACCATATTTTATATATTTGATGTCACATTATATATTTTTAATATTCTGTATCTATTAACAAATTATTGTAGCTATAATTATTATTACTTTGGTATTTTAACCTTCATACTAGCAATAAAAGAGATTTACACACCACTATTATACTATTAGCATGTTCTGCATTTTTTATATATTTACCTTAATCAATGAGTTTCATACTTTTCTGTGCTTTCATGTTGCTCTATAGCAAACTTTTGCTGCAAATTCAGAAATTCTTTAAAATAATTATTTTGAATTCTTCGTCATGTGATTTATAGATTTTTCTATTTTTGTGCAGTTTTTCCTGTCAAATAATTGTTTTAAAGGAAAGTAATGAGTTACAAGAGGACAAATAGGCAATTCAACTAAAACTTGAAAAAAACAAAACACAAACCAAATGAGAAGTTCAACAGAGAGATGGAAAAAATGGAACCCAAACAAAAATTCTGGAGCTAAAGAATAAAATAAATGAAATAAAGAATGTAAAATGAGAATCGACAGCAAAATTGATCAAGAAGAAAGGATCTGTGCATTTGTTTCAGCCAGGAATAACCTGCAAAGGGTATTTCAGAGATAAGATCCCTTCATCCTAGAAAAATATCAGTAGTCTCTTTCACCAAAATTTCAGCTGACAAAGAGACTAAACCAGTTCATCTTCCTTCTAGTCTTATGCCTGGGCCATTCGCCAGTGAAGAGAGTGAATAGATTGCAGGGCAACTGCTTTAATTACATCCTCACAGTGCTGAATGAAGCTTGTTCAACAATTGCCAAGCTGATCATCAAACATATTCTTTGCTATTGCTTACAACAGTTCCTGACTTCTAAAATTAGATTTGCGTATAGCCTCAAAGCCCAGCATATCCCAGTACCTCACTGTTCAAACTAATAAATATTTTGTTAGGTCTATAAGGCTAAAGATCTCAAAATTTCTAAGAATTTTGTGCCATAGACAAAATCTGTTGGTTATTTTCTTTATATATCAGTCCAGATTTCACTGTATTAGTATTTCTACATGCTTTTTTTTTTTTTTTTTTTGGAGACAGAGTGTCACTCTATCTCCCAGGCTGGAGTGCAGTGGTGTGATCTCGGCTCACTGCAAACTCCACCTCCCAGGATGAGGCCATTCTCCTGCCTCAGCCTCCTGAGTAGTGGGACTACAGGCACCCGCCACTGTGCCTGGCTAATTACTTTTTTTGTATATTTAGTAGAGATGGGGTTTCACCGTGTTAGCTGGGATGGTCCTGATCTCCTGAACTCTTGATCCGCCTGCCTCAGCCCCCAAAAGTGTTGGGATTACAAGTGTGAGCCATCGCGCCCGGCCTCTATACTGGTTCTTATAATTTATTTGGGCTGGAAATCTCATAGCTTTAACATAGACGAATGGGTTATTTTCCTACAGATTTTGATATTTTTGTTACATTCTGTTTTTATTAAAGGGGAGTTGGAGTGGAAAGACTTTTGTTGTGCATCTCCAAATATAAAAAATGAAACATTTCAAAAGACCTACCATGCCATAACTGAAATTTCTGTGGTTCGAAGAAGTCTACCAAACAAAGTTTGCTTCAATTATATATGTGTGATTTGTTTTTGAATTAGCTAAAAGTTTTATAAGACTCTATATTAACTTTCTAGAGATGCAAAAAGCTTTTGAAAACCAAATGATTATGTTTTTAATTATTGTTTTGGATTCTAAAAGTATATGAATGACACAGGCAAATATAAGTGTAAAAAACGGGGGTAAGAAAAGGAAAACCAAAACTGATCTTTACGTTCACTTTTAACTATTTTAAACAAGAATCATCTATGTAGTTAAATTTTATGGTCAGTGATAAGGAATTTAATTCACTTCAAGAAGAGAGCGAAACATACTGCATTAGATTATGTAGGTATTTTAAAAATATATACTTTTGGTTAATATTTTTATATATTTTTGATTAACTAGAGAATCAAAGGTAAAATTATCCTAAGGCCTAAGAAATTATTGGCCAGTTTCCACTAAATAATAAGTTTTCTGGAGAAAATGCAATATCTAATTAATCATTTTACCTCTCATATCTACTATTATACCTTGCTGGTGGTGTGTATTGTTCTGCTGTCAATTTGTGATAGAAATATTTAAACAATGTCTTTTAATTAATATTCTCCCAATTAATTAGTATTTCTCAAGTACAATGTCAGTATTTTCTTTTCATTTATACCATGTCATTTGTCACTAAAGACTCTAAATATTCTTTCCAATGAGTTAAAAGAAAAAAAATCTATTTTCTGTTGGAACATGAATAACAAATTTTCAGCAAAAGAATACTTGACAAACAGAAAGATGGAAAAAGAAATCATAGTCAATTTAAAATACAGAGAGGATTGACACTGATGGAACACAAGTGCATAAGATAGAATTGTACAGAATTCCTATAATAGCACCCAATTTTTGTAAAATATACCTCCAGGAACAGAGGGTCCATTTTAGTTCTCACTGTGTCTGAAAAGCAATCTTTCTTAGCCAAGTTCCAATATTCCTCTTCAATTTCAATATGACATTTTATGCTAAGGTTAATAGATATTAGCAATATGTCCAATCACAGAATATCAGCTACAACAAGACAAGAAACAGAATAGATAATTCTGTGGCGTTGATTTTACTGCGAGACTATCAGATGAATCAATTTGGACTTGATGTAAGATCTTCATACTTTAAAAAATTCAGTCCCTAATAAGGCAGTGTTATCGTGAAAACTTTGAGTTTAGATATGGTAAGATTAGTTACTAGATATTAATAATAATCACAGCACAGTGTTAAGGCATATATCTCAAAATATGTCTAACATGGAAACATTGTAACAAGTGCTATATATTTTGACAACATAATAAATACATTTGGATGCCTGAGTGAAACATGTCAGTTCCCAGCAGAATTATTTATCCGTGTGTGCTAAAGGACAGGGAGTTGGAGCAGTGTTAGGCACTAAAGCAAGTTTAAAGCAACAACTCCAGAGAGTCCACAAAGGAGGTAAATAATGTGTCTTTTTACTCTCTTTGGGCCACTATAACCAAATAGCATAAACTGAGTGGCTTATAAAAGCAGAAATTTATTTTCCACAGTTCAGGAGACTAAATTCAAAATCAAGCAGATTTTGTGTCTGGTGAAGACTAACTTCCTAGCTCCTAGAGGGTAACTTGTGGCTGTGTCCTCATTTGATGGAAGAGGCAAGCATCTTATTCATAATAGCACAAAAAAGAATTCCACTCCCAAGTTCCAAATACTATGCCCTCAGGTGTTAGAATTTCAAGATATTACTTTTGGGGGTGCACATACAGACCACAACAATGTTTGATTATTGAAATACTTCTAATAGTGTTGTCATTACTAACAGCTAATGATGGATTCATTGAGAATTCTGAAGTTTTCCTGCTTGCCTACAGGGTTTACTGTTATATATATGTGTACATATATATATACAGTACATATACATATACTCTATATAAACTGCAATATATACAAACTGTAATGTATATAGTAATATATTTCTTGTTCTGAGAATAAGAGAAGATCATGCGGTTGTATCCTAGAACTAAGTTTAATGCCTATAAGAATCCAGGAAACGTAATCCATGTAATCAGAAATGTTTTATTTCTTCATGGTGGATTTCTCGACAGGATCAGAAGCTGAACTGCTGGTATAATTCAACTAATGAGAAAGACTGCAAGAGGCAAGAACTTTCTTTTTCTCAAGAGATTGGGAAACCATGAGAGGAAATATACTCATAAAGAAAGAAAGGCAAAACTTTATCAAAGGATAAATGACAACAAATGATTCTGAGATCTAAATAGTGTCTCTTGACCTCAGACTTGTTGTTCTTGTTGTTGTTGTTGCTTGGCAAGTCCACAGACTGATGGTTAAGGCCAGAGAAGGAAATTATGCATACAAACTGAAAATCTTTGTCATAAATTTGGATTAAAACGCAACAATGATTTGAGACCTAACGTAGCACATCACTGTTGAGGGAAAGAGATTCTTCACAAACAAAACAAGACTTTGGCATACCAAGAGCTTCCACCCATCAGTAGGTAGATGAGTTCCATTAGTGGTTTTGTCCTGAAAGAAGAACTTCAATACAGCATGGCCTTTTTATAAAAAGCATTAGCATCACCAGGAAAGAGACTGGTTCCTATATTGATTAAAAGGCAATTTCACCTGGCTGCTTAACAGGCACCTCGGAAGCCATAATATACAGAAGGAACATAGCTGGTACTGCATGATTCTGAGGACTATGTTCAGACATGAGATATGGTACCCAGCCTTTCAGATAGAGAATTTGGAGGCATTGAAAGCAAGCTGTAAGTGCCACGGTAATAAACGGTGTCAGTCTTAGACACACAATGAAACATAAAACTTGGAACTCATTTTCACCTAAATCTGGAAGTTAATACCTCACTCGAGAAACAAAGCTGCTGTTTAAAGAACACATTCTATTCAACAAGGCTGCACTTTCAGGGAGAATAACAGATTAATTACTCATGAGTCCAGGATGTGATGAAAAATTAAGATTACGTGGAAATAGAAGACCCTGGAGACACAAAGGGACACGAGGGACATGTATGTGTGAGAGAAGGTGAAAGTGAGTCCAGAGAATAACAGTTTTGGCAAAAGACTACAGAACAAAAGAAGCAATCGGTTAGGCTGGGAGCGGTGGCTTACGCCTGTAATCCCAGCACTTTGGGAGCCTGAGGCTGGCGGATCAACTGAGGTCGGGAGTTCTAGAACAGAATGATCCACACGAAGAAACCCCATCTCTACTAAAAATACAAAATTAACTGGGCATGGTGGTGCATGCCTGTAATCCCAGCTACTCAGGACGCTGAGTCAGGACAATCCCTTGACCCGGGAAGGGGACATTGCGGTGAGCCAGGATCGCGCCATTGCACCTCAGCCTGGGCAACAAGAGAAAAACTCCTTCTAAAACATAAATAAATAAACAAACAAATAAATAAATAAATAAGCCGTTGGTGTTAGGATAAATGATTTGGCTTTTGAATGACAAATACAATCGAACTGACTGAAGTCCAAAGGAAATTTGTTAGCTTTTCTAAGTGGGATGTGTAGGGATACAATAGATTAGACCTAACTCCAACACACAGCCTGGAGTAAAGCCCAGGCAAACTGCAATATGAAGCAGAACTGCCCTTAAATAACCTAGAAATTTGGGAGAAAAAAAATATCTTGTTTAAAGTACCAAGAATTTAAGGTTGTTATGTCACATTACTGCAGCAGAAAATTAAATATTAAACACTTTTATACTACTTATGAGTTACATTCAACTCATTTTCAATTACATGTACAAAAAATGCTTGGGGAAATAGTAACACAATTTCCACATGTGATTAGATTATTTCACTATACTCTTTTAAAAATTTTAATTTTTTAACCTTTCAAAAATATTTCCCATATAAATTATTAAGGTAAAATATATAAAAATATCACATTTTAAAGTTTATTTTCTATACTTGAATTTAAAAGCAAAATTTTATGGCTGTATAAATGTTATCAAGTCACCTAGGACAGGGAGGAAAAAGGTGGAACAGGCACTGATCTCACCTCAATCCGTTGAAACTTAAGACAGAAATCCTCACTGAGAGTTTTTGTACATTGGGTTCCACATAACATTTCAATTTTCCATGGGGCAAGAAGGTGAGATTATTTTTCTAAGTTAAAAAGCAGGTTTGTAACCTTCTTTACTACATAGTCATCTTACACAAAACATTTTAAAAACTCTTCTTACTACTAAAAGTAATTTGTTTGTGTATCTCTTAATTAAATCTAAATATAGTTTAAAAAGAATAATTATGCTAAATTAGACATCATAGAGGAAATATCTCTTTTCCTCATAGCCTAGATAATCACAGTATGAAAAAATGCTTTTTCCTATAACTCCTATAATCATATCATTTCCAGAATATGGCCTGTGTTAAAAATTGTCAGTGCAATGTTGATAACAAATTGCATATTTAAATCCACTAAAGAAAGAGAGATCTATATCTCCTGCCATCTTTGAAAGTTTACATTTATTTTTTTTCTTTCCAAAGCTATGATTATTCCAACACACTATGATAATGTAAAAATGATCAATGTAAAATATTTCGGTTCACTGGGAAGGATACACTTTTTTAAATTTTTAATTGTTGTTGGTACCTAGGAGGTGTATATACTTATAGGGCATATGTCATATTTTGATACAGGCAGATAATGTGTAGTAATAGCATCAGGGTAAATGGGTTATCCATCACCACGAGCATTTACCTTTATGTTACAAACAATCTAATTATATTCTTTTAGTTATTTTAAATTGTACAATTAAGTTGTTATTGACGATAGTCACCCTGTTGTGCTGTCAAATATTAGGTCTTATTCATTCTTCTGTTTTTTGTACTCATTGAACATTCACACTTGCTTCCCATCCACCCTTCTCAGCCTCTAGTAACCATCTTTCTACTCTCTATGACCGTGAGTTCCATTGTTTGGAATTGCTGCTCCCACAAATAAGTGAGAACATGTGATGTTTGTCTTTCTGGGCCGGTTTATTTTACGTCACATAATAATGTACAGTTCAGTTCCATCTATGTTGTTGCAAATGACAGGATCTCATTTTTCCATGGCTGAATAGTACTCTATTGTATATATGTACCACATCTTCTTTATCCATTCATATGTTGATGGACATTTAGGTAGTTTCCAAGTCTTAGCTATTGTGAACAGGGCTGGAATAAACATGGGAGTGCAGTTATCATTTCAATATACTGATTTTCTTACTTTTGGGTATATACCTAGCTGTGGGATTCCTGGATCACATCATAGCTCTATTTTTAGTTTTTTGATGAACCTCCAAATTGTTTTCCATAGCAGCTGTACTAATTTACATAACCACAAAAAGTGTATGATGGTTCCCTTTTCTCCACCTCCTCACCAGCATTTGTTATTGTCTGTTTTTTAAATAAAAGCCATTTTAACTGGGGTGAGATAATATCTCATTGTAGTTTTTATTTGTATTTCTCTGATCAATGATGTTGAGCACATTTTCATATGCTTGTTTACCATATGTCTGTCTGCTTTTGAGAAATGTCTATTCAAATCTTTTGCTCACTTTTTGATGCAATTATTAGATTTTTTTTCCCTCTAGAGTTGTTTGAGCTCCGTAGATATTCTGGTTATTAATCCCTTGTCAGATGTGTGAAAGGAAAATATACTGGGCCCCTGAAATCACTGGGGAAAATGCAAGCGGGAAACTACTTAGAACAAACCTTCCTCCCATTCTACTCAAAGTCACCCCTCTGCTCACTGAGATGGATACATATCTGATTTTATTCCTTTGGAAAGGTAATCAGACACACAAAATACCAGGGGATTTCAAGATTTCAGTCTAAACCTTCACCTAGTAAGTGCTTCTTGTCCCGCAATAGCAGTCATTCATGGCACTCTATGAGAAGATATTTCACCCCAAGTGAATACCCTCATCCCTCTCCATTTCAGTTGCTTTTCCTTCATGTAAAAGCTCAGCACTGCTGAATGAATTTGAACAGTTTATTAATGAGACAAGTTAATTTTCTACTGCTGGGAGGCATATACAGTGACAGCCTGTTAAACCCCAAACCTCTCTTTCTAACTTCTTCCTGGAAAAAATTTAGAGTCACAGATTTTACATAACTTTTCAGACCCTACAGCACCACCTCATGAGATAGGCTATTTTTCTCCGTAAAAATTCTTGGTGGCCGTTCGCCAAAAAATTCTAATGCCCAGATTTCTCCCTCTTTTGTGTTCCTCTAACAGCAAGCAGACCCTATGCCCCATTTCTAAGGAAAAAAACTCCGCATTCAACAGTTGGGAGGAAGCCACCCTTGAGAGACAAATTCTAGCCTTAGTGCTGTTTCCATCAGAAGGAGGACAGCCATTAAATCTATATGTTCTTTTGAGACACCTGTTCTGCTTCCAACCACATTGGCATTTAAACAGAAAGGGGATTTTATATTTAAATGTCAATGGATAAAATTTTCTGGGAATGCACTGCTTTTCCAGGTCCATAACTAGAGGAGGCAGGAATAGGGTTAAAACACTCCCTCTATTAAAGTGTCTCACCCAACTTTATCTACTGTAGAATCTCCTGGGAGGCCTAGGAACCCAGAAGAGCAGTGTGAGGAGGCATTGTGCTGGTAAAAATGACTACTCCTGCCAGCTAGCACCTCCACATCCATGGGTGCAATTCATGCTTTCATCCATGGACAGCACCTATGATGGTTACCGGGACCCAAAGGAGATGGGAGGAAAGAGGAGAACAGGGACACCCCTGTAATCTTTTGCTTCATCCTGGGTCACTTCAAAAGGAGAAAGGAGACTAAGGGACACCTTATATTCCCCCCGTTTTCTGCATGGGTAACAACCCATCTTGGAACGGGTTGGAATACGTTGGAATGGAATCCAGGCCTGGGACTCCATAAGCTCACTATTCAAGTCACCCACATAAACTGGTAAGTAACAAACTTTGCTGCATGCCTCTATCTTGTTTTATGTCTTGAGCATAACCTGTAACCTTGTGGCAGGACTTTTTTAGCCATTGCCATTTTACAATGGTGGCCCAGGTTCAATCCTAGCTTGGGTGATGAATACTTTCAATTTAATAGCTGTATGACCTTTAATCATCTCTTCCTCCTCCATGAACAACTCTAATTTCCTTTCTGAAATCTTCCTTTCTCTAAATTGCCTTTAAAGTTTCTAGATCTAGTAAAAGCTGCTTACCACCACTTATAAAATATCTTGAATACTCACAGTTAACTTATAACCTGATTGAGAGTTGTTGTTTTCACCTGTGATGTTACTTTTAGTAAAGTTCAAAAGCCAGAAATATTACCTGCTTGATTTAGCTAAAGTCAGGTAACAGAAGATTTCAAAGGAATTTCTGAAAGAGTGCTCAGCTTGATTAAAAGTGGATATTCAAGTTATAGGTATATTTAAAAGGCCCGTATGTTTTTCTCTTCTTGGATTGTGTTTTTCTTGAAAAGAATTTTTCTGTTGGCTGAATTACTGTCCTCCGCTCTGTCTTTCCACTCTTGATGCACCCAAGGTAATGTCTGGTGGCCTGAAACTTTTTGGGAAAAACAGAAAAGGCACAGTGGATTCCATTTTGGGAGAAACCTCTGTTTTCCTGATGGAATCCCAGAATTTAGAGGCTGATAGATCCCACTCAAAATCTGCTTTTGTCTTACAGCTATACAAGTTGATTAGGCCCTAGAAACTTCATGGTTTTTCTATCCCTGCTCTTAAAGGGCTCTACTGGGAAGCCAATAATTCAATTAGGAAGTGGGACAGGAAGAAATCTTAGAACTACTGGATCTGCTTCTGTTTGTCTGTGTAATGATATATGTGTTGTGTGTGATGTCTGTAACGAGCTATAACTGATTGCCTGAAATAAAAATATGCACTTAAATCAAACATTTTAGAGGAAAGTTAAAACTGCAATGCCTTTTAGTTTATGTGACTTTCATCTCTAAGAAATAAAAATTGTTTTAAAGATCAAATTGGAAAATGCAAATATCATCAACACGTAAATAGGAGGTTTAAATCATATAAGTTAGATACCAGGTTTGCTAAATGTTTCAAGGTTGTATACTGCCTACTTTACAACTTGATAAGGCCTGGGGACATATGAAATTAACCATGCCCCTAACTAGGATGGAAAAAGTCAGACTTTATCTGCATCTAGTACATAATTGAAAAAACTTACCAGGTTTTACATTAAAGTTACCATTTTAACTAAAATGGCAAAGTTAAGATTTACCATTAAAACATGTAAATAAGACAACTAAAAATAAATTTACATGCAAAGTGTGTAAAATGTGTGTAAAAACAGTAAAATGTGTTTGTCATAAAAGATTATAAAAAGGCATAAAAATGTAAACGTTGCCTATGGAAAAAGGAATGTTTTGAAACCAATGTAAGGGTAAAATTTGGTTTTCTTTCCCTTGTACAGATTTTTCATGTAATAGAGAAGAATAATGAAATATTTGGTTTGCCTTGTTGGTAGACTGCCAAGGAGAGAAAAGAGTAGACAGGAGACAGACTGTTTGGAAAGCTAAGTCTTCCCTCTTAATGAGTAAAGGTTGTTGCCTAGTTTTAAAATTTCTGAGACATCCTTTTGCCAAAATAAATAACTTCTGTGTAACCTGGAATTGTGTTTCACACTATCAACTTTTTTGAACCTCTAATTACTAATTAGAGCTTTTAGTAAAAATTAATGAAATATAAGTACTGCTGTACATGTAAGAAAAGAAACACACTTGGCTATTGTTTTGAGGACATGCATTTAATTTTAAATTTTACAATTTAGATTCAGCATGAATTGCAATAAATGGATCTTCAGCAGAGTTACTAATAGAAAAATGAGCTTTGCCATCATCAGAAACGTAAATTTTAATGCCTGTGCAATTGCCATTAATTTTATCTCCAGAAATGACATCACAGTATGTGCCAGCAGGAAGACCAGTTTGCAAAGTTAAAGAAAATGACCTGTAAAATAAAATTTAAGGTTGATCTTCAATACAATGAAAATCAAGAATACAGACTAACACAAATAAACAGCATAACTTTATGTTGTAGAAACAAACCTAAGCAGTGAAGTCTTATTAAGAAGAAAACCCATATGCCTCTCTAGTAGGTGGAAATAGCTTTCTAGGACCAAAAGTAACCTTACAGAAAACCTAGCAATTTCCTGGTTAGTAGTGAAAATATTACCAAAACATCAAAGTTGAAGAATATCACTGAAGATTGGCAGGAACGGTCACACTTTGATAAAAGTTCTACCTTGGTAAAATCAAATTTGTTCTCAACTGAAATTAATACCAATTACTCTTAAAAATTTAAAGGGTATTATTTTTTAACCTCCTTCTTCTCCCATGAGATCAAAACGAATTTGGGATGCACATAAAAATAATCTAGCATTTCTATGAAGAAGTGATAGTTTGAAATATAAAGCTTTTTCACAAAAACTTATTTTGGTATTTTCATCTACAAAAGAAAGAAATTAAAAAACTAGACATGGGCTTTTTTGGCAGGAAAGAGATCAACTTGACTTGTATATTGATGTATTTATTTACTTTTCATCAGTGAAATATAATTTATACTAGAGTGAGCTAAGTATGAGTGTCAGTTGGTCTTGGACAGGGACAATTCAACTGTTTACACCAAGGTCTTCTGAGCTATATCTTAGATAATCATTTATGCTTCAGGTAAAGCATATAAGAATCACAGATGAAAGGCCAATAATGAGAAGTTTCAAAAATAAAACTCAAATCTCCTGAAGCAAAACAGTAACCACAAGATACATATTATTCATACATGTGCTTTAAAAATGTTATTTGTCACAAGGAGACAGAGAAGTGAAGAAAGTGTACCAAAAAACTACGTAGAGCAGTCATTGAGAAAAAGAGTTAGAAATAAAGATATTTTAGTACCTAGGCAGCATTTCTCCATGGTTAAAAAAGCAGGATTATAAGACACTTTTTTTTAATGATTTCACAATCCTTATATTGATTGTGATTTTATATATTGATTTTGTGGCATGTGTAGGTGAGCATATGCATGTGCATCATATATATGCATATGATACTGCAAGGGTGCACAGAAAGGATTCTGCTTACAACAGAAAGCACTTATGAAAAAAAAAGAACGAAGGAGTAACAGCCATCATCCTTTTGCTTCTGCCCAATTTTGATCTCTATTGTCTTCTTGCTCCACTGACTACATGATTTTTCAGATATGATAAAAGTCAATGAACAGAGAAAAAAAAGAATAAACCAAGAACATACTGGTACAAAATATTATTTTTAATTGATATTTACTTACCAGTCATCATTGTTGAAAACAATGAATCCTCTGTTTCCTCTCCCAAAAGCCACTTGGTTGCTCCCATTATCATACCAATTTGTAAAAGGCTGGCCATCCACTACATTGCGGAAAATAACCATGTTCCTAAAAACACAATACCATATAAAACGTTGATATTCTTAAACTTCAACTGTTTTAAATAAAATGCAGTGGAAAGTTTACTATTAGAGGACATGTCTAAATACATATTCTCACCTTATTTGGCGCCATCGATGTTCACAGACCCAGTCATTGCCACAAGTAGTGTCTGGATTAATAGTAACTTCTTTAATTACTCCATTATTATTTGGTGGCCCAACCCAATCATTAACATCCTTAAGTAGGGGGGAAAAAGCCAAATTTTACTATGCATGTATTTACCTCTTCCTTCTCCTTTACACCAAACCCAACCAATCCTGTTACTTGTGTCTCTGCATTCAGTGACTTTATCTAGAATCCAATGCCTTCATTAATGTTTATAGCCCTTTACTGGGTCTTCATCATCTCTCTATCCTCTGGTTTTCTTCTGGCATATTTCAAACAAGGTAACAAATTTTTATCCTCTCCTTTTCATTCCAAAGAACTGCAAAGGCTTCTTTGCTCTGTCACCCAGGCTGGAGTACAGTGGCATGATCATAGCTCACTGCAGCCTTGATCTCCCAGGCTCAAGCGATCCTCCTATCTCAGCCTCCTAAGTAGCTAAGACTGTTGGTGTGCACCACCGCAACCAGCTAATTTTTAAAAAATTTTCAGTAAAGACGAGGTCTTGCTAGCTTGCCCAGATAGGTCTTGAACTCCTCAGGTCAGCTGATCTTCTCGCCTCGCCTCACTAGGTGCTGGGATTACAGGTGTGAGCCACTGCACCTGGCCTGCAAGAGCTTCTTAACATCGTGGTAAGCCATGCAATGTCATTGAAATGGGAAGGGCATTAGTACTAGAAACACCAGGATTAAAACATAGGCTCTATTACTAGTACCTGAGAAAATTTAATCAATACACTTAATATCTCTGTGTCTCAGTTTCTTCATTTGTAAAATGGGAATATTGGTTTTTTTGCTATAAAAATTAAGTAATATATGTGAAAATGCCTTGAATGTGACATGTGCTGAATAAATATTAGAATCATTCATGCTTCTTTTTAGATAAATGTACAAAACAATACATCTGAACATTATTTATAAATTGACCACATTTTTCATATTATGGTTTTCTGATTGGCACTTTAAAAAATCTTCATTAAAAAATCCAGAGGAATCTTAGGAAGTTTTTCAGTGTTGACCTTAGAATCATGTCATATGGTGAAAAGTGAACAAAACTAAGAGTTTTTAGCATGCAGCAGTCCTGGCAAAGTGGAAATGTTATAGTAATAGAAAAAATAAAAATACTCTATGACTCCTAACATCAGAAATAAGACCAATTAGTAGAAATTAAAAGAAGTTGGCTCAATATAAAAGTACACCTTCTAAATATTAAAGCTGTTTAACAATAGAATAAATTGCTATACAAAGTGCGGACTTCTCAAACTGAAAGGAATCTAAAAAAAGCTAGCTAGATATCCGTGTGACTCATAGGAAGGAGGAATTTCTGCTTTAGTTCTGAAGTCTCTGATGCTGTTTCTGAACCCTTTAGTTTAAAAGAAAACCTTCTACTAGCTTTCCAAATATCTTTACACTGTAATTTCTCTGTTCCTTTTTGAAACTTCTCATCAGATTAATGTCTTTACCATACTCCCAAATATTTTTCTCATTCTTACCTTTCTTGGAATACTCTCTAAATTTCTATTCTTTAGTACATATCATTTCCTTCCTCTTATATGATACTTTCCCTATTTAACTCAGCTCAATTGATTCATTTCTTTCTATTCCATATAACTTTTTAAAAGTATTTAACAAACATTTATATTGTTCTCACTACGGGCAGATGATGTTTTAAGTTCTCTAAAAGTGTTGGCATGTATAATCTTCCTATCAGCCCTGAGGTAGGTACTTATTCGAAGTATATATTTTAATCCCTGTGTCTAGCTCTTAGTTTTGAGTGTTTTTCTGTTTTTTGTTTTTTGTTTCCCTGCGGGCTAAGGGGATGTTTGTCATATCTCTGAAACAGCTTGCATACTCTTTGTCAATGGAGAATATAAATTTTACTCCTTTAATATAACCTACATTACTAAAATCACAGCCCTGTATCCAGTTTACAATCAATTAAATATTTGTTGAATAAATATATAATTAATAGTTGTCATGTTAAGTTAGAATAAGATTGCTTCCTTTTTCTTCAGAAAAGGATATATTGAACAACTCCAAAACTTACGTTTCCATTTTGAAACTGTCTTGGCCAACGGTAGCTTGACATTACTCGTGTAAATCCGTAAGGATGAGCAAGCATAAATCCAACTGCCATTTTGTACAGCCTGGAAGTTACATAATTATATTTTCATAGGATGTCAGAATATTCTTGCCATCATTAAAAGACGTGTTAAAAAAATAGAGAACTTGGTTTTCTACCTAGCATCCCAGAAGGTAAGAATAGAGGCTCCTCCAGCCCCATGTCCTCGTTGATTGTCATGGTTATCCACAAAGACAAGCGCTCTGTCAGAAGGTACGAAACCCCAACCTTCTCCCCAGTTCCTATTTTTGAAAAATAAGATATACGTTGATGTATCATTTCACAACAGTTTGAGAGTAACTTAACTGTGCATCTCTCTCTGTAAGGCATGGCATCTGAAGATTAAATTCTTTCTCTAATTAAATGCTTTTCCTGTAAGAGATATATATATATATACACACACAAACACACACACACATATATATACACACACATCAAACACACACACATGTGTAATCTACATGTATGGTCCATATTTGTATATACATGTATGGAATACTTACATTCATATTACAAATATAAGATTTTTGTTATTAAAAAAGGTCCTTTCAGAGGTTTCAGCACATTATCATTTAGAGGCACTCCAGAAGGATCAATATCCATATCACATTATACAGAATTCTCTTCCCCACAACAATATTCATGTGCCTAGACCAAGAAGTTTAATCTAGTTTAATCAAACTAGACCAATCTAGTTTAATCAAACTAGATTAAAATAAGGCTTCAATACTGTATTGTTATAATATAAATATTTTTTATATTTTTAATTCATATAATACATGTAAATTCTACAGGATGGAAACTTTGTACATACTTCATAAATGATAGGATCATTTTAATAATAACCTGGCTTTAAAAGATTATATGCAAACATCAGTCAAATCCAGTATATTCATCTCGTACTTAGATGAAAACTCCTAGGGTATGTTTAGCGTTCCTAGACATATTGCCTTGTGACAGACACTCTAAATACAAAAGATGATTGATTAGAGTTTAGGGCACTAGAATACTTATCATTCACAATTGACTCTTTGATAGTTGTCTGAATAAGAATGTTCCAGAAGATAAGTCACACTGAGGTAGTATGACTAATAGATCCATGAAATACTTCAGGGAAAAGTTGTATTTATTTACTTTAAGTAAGACATCTTCTCTCCATTCCACTTGCGAATAACTGTGCCGAGTTTTGCACCATACTTGAATTCTGTCACCCGGCCATTACCAAAGTAGTCACTGCTTTTAATTGGCTCACCACCCAGATCAATTACCTAGTAGAAATTTAGGAAACAATAACATTTTGTGTAAGGACTTTAAAGCATTTTAACCAATAAGTTAATATTATATAAAAATAGCTTTATGCTATTTGTTATTTATTAATAAATTAAGCTATTTATTATTTCTTTTTGTCTTGTTTTGTTTTGTTTTTTAGAGACAGGGTCTTGCTATGTCGTCCAGGATGGTCCCAAACTCCTGGCCTCAAGCAATCCCCCTGCCGCAGCCTCCCAAAGTGCTGAGATTACATGCACGAGCCACCATGCCTGGTCCTGTTTGTTACACGAAATGTGCAAAATGGTTTTCTTATTCCTATTATCTCAACAGGTAATATTCTTATATTCTTTTATTTGATAAAGTATAGGCTACAATATTGAAAGAAGCATAATGTCAAAGATACCTGTTGTCCTGTGAAAATACTTACCTAATTTTTAGTCTTCTACATCAATGATAATAATAAGAGCTCACACTAATAAAACATTTAGTATCGACTGAAATTCCTTGATAAATATTAACTTGTTTCATTATCCAAAGAAAGTAAAGACATAACTATTATCAGTATCCTACATTCTGTGTACCTCCATAAAACATGTTGTGATAAAGAATTAGATATGCTGTATGTGAAGAAGAGGAGGTTAAAGAACACTGTTTTATGTAAATGTCTCATTCCTTATCCTACAGAAATTGCATTTTTAATTAAATCTTCCATTAATTTTCTAACGAATAAGATGATATTTTATAGGCATATAAGTATTGATGTACCTCCTGGTAAATGAAAGGTTTACTTCCTGCAGGGAACCAGTTACTGTTTAGATTATGCAGTTTGTCCAAAATTGCCTTTATGTCTCCAGGCCACATGTGCTTGGAAGCATCAAGTCTGAACCCTGCAACACCAATGTCAATGAGATGGTTCATATATTCGGCAATCTTAGAACGCACGTAATCCTTCTCCAGTGCAAGATCAAGAAGACCAGTCAGACGACAATCTCTGACCTGTTGAGGTAAAAATGTTATGATTGATTCATAAAACCTCATTTTTCTCCTGAGAATCCATTGGATTATTCATTTATTCCATGATTCCTCAAGAGATATTCTATAGTGACTTCCTTGCATTGGGCACTGGGGATGCTCACATTCTACTACAGATGTATCTTTGAAATATTTTCTAATAGAAAATAGAGAATTTAGGAAATAAAGTCGATGAGATTTTTAATTGGGAACTTCTTAGAAGTGGGCAAATGTGTATTGATTAAAAATCTTAAATCAATATTTGAAAGTTCTTAAATATGGATTTGAGTTTCTTAAAGTAGTCAAACTTGTTAACTTCTGTCCCTAAGAGATCTAAATTCCTATTTTAAATGAAATTCAATTAGCTACATGTCTACAAGAAAAGGCATATATTACTCTTTTATTCAGATCACTCTCGTAAAAAAATTACCTGAGTAGCATCATTGTAGTTCTCGATATCTCCACTTCCAGTTTTACATTTACCATCATTGAAATCCCATCCAGAATATGGGACTGCTGGAAAGTCCCTACTTCCAGGGTTGAAGTAACTTCCACAGGTACTGCTTGTTCCTGCACTCACAGCGTTACCACACATATGATTAATTACAGCATCCACATAAATACGAACCTAGAAAACAAAGTTTCTACTTCAGTGTGACTTACAGAGAGGTAGAAATTTAAAGCATTATTGATGCAAGTTTATAGTATGTTAATAAAACTCCAAAATATTTCATGATATCTTATAATTATTTTCCTACAAGATCAAAAATCAACTGTGAAAGGAAAGTAATGTGAACTAAACACCTACATGCCTTCTAGACACTTGGTCAAATATTTATAGGAATGATAAATTGAGAGACCAGAAACTACCATAAATAGGAGGAAATGCAAAAAGCCCACTTTGGGAAGACAAAACTCAGATGAGAGTGGAAAGGTTATTGTTTTGGAAATTTCAGTGGGTCACCAGGAGAAAGCCTGTACTCTCTATGAAGCTTTTGAAGACAAACAAGGTAGCTATTAATCTCAATTTATGCTCCTCATTAAATAGAGAAGCTAGCTATTCACCATGAAAAACCCAAGAATTACGGATGGAGACACAAGTCACCTAAAAATGATAGCAAACATTGTAACTGGAATTATACTTCCTAACCAGTAAATTGTTTCCGGGAAATACGAACAGTTATAAGGGTTAAAATTTGATGTTTTGCTTTAGAAGCAAATTCTGATTTAAACTTTAACTTACCTCTTTAGTAGATAGCACACACACAAATATTCACAAAAGTTGAACATAAATAAACAGTTAATTTTGAGTTTTAAATTATGAAGTAAAATTAAAAAAATAAAATACGGAAAATTTTCTGCTGAAAAGGAGCAAGAAAGAAGAGAGAGAAACCATTTTCCTGTCTGTTATTTTTAAAGGAAACTAGAATTCACTTACCCCAACATTGTTACATCTAGTCACCATGTTTCTAAATTCATCTTCATTTCCAGATCTTGTGCATAATTTATAGCTAACTGGTTGGTATCTTTCCCACCAAGGTCTGAAAGGGTTGTAAATTGCAACATTTTCATTTGGTGGAGAGACCTACAAATTAAACAGTCTTCATAAGTACCAAATTCTGTCTTACTGTGTATCATTGAATGTTCTAGAAACTAATCAATAGTATAAAAGATTCTTGAATCTTGGTATAGGCAGCTATCTCTTGAAAATATTAACAGCACATTGGAGGGCTCTTGGTGAAGAAAGATTATCTCAGAAACAAAATATAAAGTTGCCAAGAATACTACATAGATTTTCCCTCAGAAATCTCTTTTACTTAGAATACTTACCTGTGAAGTAAAATGTTGCCCAAGCTTCACAGATAAGATCAGAATACTATTTCCTACAAGCACAGTGAATTCCGCAATTGATACTATGAATCATACCCACCTGAACCCCTCCAAATCCCTTCGGAGCTAAATATCGCTCACATTCAAGAGCAATATCAACCCATCGCCATTCAAACAGATGAACAATAGATGTCCGTCCTTGTTGTGTATTTGGGGAATACTGAGCCCAGCAGAACCCAATGGTGAAAAGCAACAGAAAGAACTTCATTTTGCTTTGAAGTTGTCAGTGTCCTTTCCAGAAACTATTTATATTCCTGTAAGAAGCACATTTTACAAAGTAAATATTAGCATGAATAAATACTTGAGGGCAAACTGTTTATTCATAATCTGAAAAGGATTATCAATAATAATCCTAACAGGTAAAGAACATCAAAAAGTCTCTCATGGAAATCATCTAAATGACCTTTTAGATATTAATGTTTTTCTTAGGTTCTGGCAGCACTTTTATTTTTCCTTAAACAGTGACCTGTTGCTGGGGCCTAATGTTCTCACATAACAGTAGAAAACCAAAATTTGTTGTCATCTCTTTAAAGATCCAGAATGGCATACAAAAAAACTTTACATAAATTAAAAGGATGAATACTTTTACAGGTATAAATGCGAACCCCTTCCAACTCAAGGTAAGTAACAGCCCACGGTGCTCTGGTAGATAACGTAAGCTAAGAAAGGAAACTGGGTCCTATGGCTTGGACTTTCCAACCCTGACAGACTGACAGGACAGAAACAAGTGGTCCAGAAGCCCTTACCAGCCTCTAGACAAATCCCAGAACACTCAGCCCTGACACATTAATACCCTGTACAGATCAGAGACTGCTGGCCGCACAGACTCACCGAGCCAGACTGGTCTTCCACAAGCATGTTTTTAGCCATGAAGTGACCAAGCCACGTGTAGTAAAGACTGAAATCAAAGATATGTACAGATACCAAGGGCAACAGTTAACTTGAATACAAGGTCAAAATCAGCAACACATTCTACAATCCAGTGCTGATATTGAGAGGAGACAAAGACCCTCTCCTTGTTTTATATTGTTTTCTATTCAGTAAAAACAACCAGGAAGTACAACCAAAGACATGCAGCCCAGCGCCAGGCCTGAAACCAGGCCTGGGCCTGATTGGCCTAAACCCAGTAGCTAAAAATCAACTTATGATTTAGAAGCTGATATTATTCACAGATTCCAGACATTGTATAAAAGAACTCTGTGAAACTCCCTGCCCTGTTCTGTTTCTCCCTGACCAGCAGTGAATGTAGTCCTTGTCACGTATCCCTTGCTTGCTCAAATCAATCACGACCCTTTCATGTGAAATCTTTAGTGTTGTGAGCCCTTAAAAAGGACAGAAATTGTGCACTCCGGGAGCTCAGATTTTGAGACAGTAGCTGGCCGATGCTCCCAGCTGAATAAAGCCCTTCCTTCTACAACTCAGTGTCTGAGAGGTTTTGTCTGAGGCTCGTCCTGCTACAATGTCAGATACAAGCTTCAAGGACAACTTCTTTCCAAAGGCTTATTCCAGTTTGGTGCGGCTAGCATGTGGTGTATTTTTTAATTTACCTGACCAAATGCACAAAGGGAGAACACATTCTTTTTTTAATCGTCTATATAGAGTCAGAAGTTGAGTCTTTTAAAGGATTGAAATAAAACAGAATATTCTAACTGGACTAAGATCATACGGTATGCGCCTTATTAATATGAACATTTATTTCCAAATATTTTGTTTTTATAAGAAGTGTTATAATGAACATCTGTATACATGTTTACACATGGGTAATTCTGTATGCTAGATAAATGTATGGTAAACATGAAGCATATTTTTATATTTTCATATTGTGCAAAATTGCCCTTACAAAATTTATCAATTTTTACTCTCTAGTAGCAGTATATTATAGTACCTTTTGCCACACTCCCACCAAAAATTAATATTATCATAGCTCTAATTTTTGACTAATAGATTAAAAATGATTTGGGTCGGGCACGTGTCTCACTCCTGTAATCCCAGCACTTTCGGAAGCTGAGGCGGGCAGATCACGAGGTCAGGAGACGGAGACCATCCTGGCTAACATGGTGAAACCCTGTCTCTACTAAAAACACAAAAAACTAGCCAGGCATGGTGGTGGGCCCCTGTAGTCCCAGCTACTCTGGAGCCTGAGGCAGGGGAATGGCGGCCTGAAGGTGGTA
The DNA here is from genome assembly GCF_000001405.40 of Homo sapiens. Classification (NCBI taxonomy): domain Eukaryota; kingdom Metazoa; phylum Chordata; class Mammalia; order Primates; family Hominidae; genus Homo; species Homo sapiens. The sequence continues at coordinate 103,615,477 of NC_000001.11, read as the reverse complement.
GGTGGAGCTGGCAGTGAGCCCAGATCACGCCAATGCACTCCAGCGTGGGTGACAGAGGGAGACTCCATCTCAAAAAAAAAAAAAAAAAAAATGATTTGTGTTTTTCCCAATTACTAGCAAGGCTGAACATCATTTCACATTTTTTGGCCTTTTGAGTTTTCTCTTGAAATTTGCTTCTTCCTTTTCCCATCTAGTTTTGCTTTATTTTTTGTTTTTTATTGAGTGTTTCGAGTTCTTATGTTGTTATCATTTGTCATGTACTGGAAATATATTGTCCTAATATATCACTGTTTTTTGAAGTCTTTCCAGTGCAAATTTAAGCAATCATGGATGCTGGTAAGAATTAGGACAGTGCCAAAGGTATGCCTGCATTATTATTTTTTGTCCAACTACAGTCATGCATTGCTTAATGACAAGAGTAGGTTCTGAAGAGAAAGCCCTTAGGTAATTAAGCCACTGTGCAAATGTCATAGAATGGACTTCATTAACCTAGATGGCTTAGCCTATTTCTCCTAGACTACAAACCTGTAAAGCATGTTATTTTACTGAATACTATAGGCAACTGTAACACAGTGTACTTGTGTATCTAAATACACTTAAACATAGGAAACTTCCGATAAAAATATGGCATAATAAACTTAATGGGACCACCATCATTTATGTGGTGCATGACTGTATTCAACATGCAAAAGGTTTTAAGTTTTAAAGTGATGATTTGTTTAATTACAGTGATTCCTCCTCCCTCCATATCCATGAGGAATTTGTTCCAGGAACCACCATGGATACTTAAAGTAATAATTACTCAAGTCCTTTATATAAAATATAATATTTGCATATAACCTTTACATCATCTCAGATTACTTATAATAACTAATGCAACATAAATGCTATGTCAAAAGTTGTGATACTGTGTTGTTTAGAAAATAGTGACAAGAAAAAAGTCAACACATGTTCAGTATAGATGCAACCATCATTTTTCTTATCTTTTCCTTAGATATTGTTTAATAAGATTAGATTTAAGACTAAGTGGTAAGGAGGATGGGAAGAGAGACAGAGGAACAATGTATTAATGATAGCTTTGGTGGTGGTTGTTGTTGAGGTGGCCCTATGTCACCCAGGCTGGAGTGTGGAGATGCAATCATGGTTCACTGCAGCCTCAAACTCCTGGACTTTAAGTGATCCTCCCTCCTCAGCCTCCCAAGTTGTTGGGATTACAAGCTAGACCCATTATGCCTAGCAATGATAGGTTTTTTTTTTCAAAGTTAAATGTCATTATTTTTTATATTGAAATATCTTTTACTACTTTTTCGAAATATTACTGATTACTTAGAACCCAAAGTCTGGAAACCATTGAAAAAATGTATTCCAATAGTCTCGTTCACTGCTAACATTCTCTGATCCTATGATTTATCCTTCTCTTGGCATTCTACATCCTAATGGCAATATGAAAATCAAAGAGCTTAAGGAAATGTTGTGGCTGTATCAATCAGGACAGAATAGGCTATTCTGCAGTAATAAAAGAAACTAAAATTTTTCAGTGGCTTACAATAACCAAGTTTCTCATGTTCAACTAGGATCAACAAAGGCACTCTTATTAGTCCATTTGTAATGTCACAAAAACTTCATTTTGACACATGGTTTAGCAATTGGGAACTCCCCAAAGTAAAACATTCTTTCTGCTCACATTTCAAAGCCAAAGCAAATCATGTGTACATTCTCAAATTCAACAGGATGAGAGTATTTCATTTGCAGGGAGGATCAATGATATTTCTGAACAACAGTACACTGCATATATGAGATCAGAAATAAAAACTGTAACAGGAAAAATAAAAGAATTTTCATTAGAGTGAACATTTGAAAAACAAGAAATGCGAGTTTAAATATATATTTTTAAGGAAAATACAATATATACAGAGCTTCTCACATTCTACCTCAGTCTCTTACACCTCCATCCTTTCCTTTGATAGCAAGACATTCAATTTCTTGCAAGTTTATATGATCATTTCTATGCATGTTTTCATGACTTACTTCATCTAATGTTCCCATAAACAACATACATTGTTATTTTACATAGCTACCTTTTTCTAAGCTTTGAAAAGTTTCATGAAATTGCTCACATCTTCTTAAATTTTAGATATTCAAAGATTCTGGTATATAAATACCATATTAATTGCTATTTTCTAATTTACAAAAAAATTAAAATAAAATTTCTTATGTAAAAATGTATATATATATATTTTAATCTTACTCCATCACCCAAGCTGGAGTGCAATGGCGCAATCTCAGCTCACTGCAATCTCTACCTCTGGGTTCAGATGATTCTCCTACCTCAGCCTCCTAAGTAGATGGGACCACAGGCACGTGCAACCATAACCAGCAATTTTTTTTGTATTTTTAGTAGAGACGGGGTCTCACCTTGTTGGCCAAGCTGGTCTCAAACCCCTGACCTCACGTTGATCCGCCTGCGTTGGCCTCCCAAAGTGCTGGGATTACAAGCATGAGCCACTGCACCTGGCCTTTTTCTTTCATGTCTAATTGACACCTTTTAAATGGATATAACTGCCTCAAGTATTTATATATTAGTCATAGATGTTCTGGTCTTATTTGATTTCCTAGATTTTCTTCATTGCTTAGACCTTGTGCATGTTGGGTACAGGGTATATCTTTCCTGATGCATTTTCAATGCTGTGTGTGTGTGTGTGTGTGTGTGTGTGTGTGTGTGTAATATTTCCTGTTAGCTTTTATGTGGACACTCTATATAACGTTTGTTTTCAGAAAATATAGGGTGGGATATTTTGCAGCTTAAAACCCTGGGATGAGAACCCTCTATTCGTCTTGAAAAACATCAGTTGTTCCTCTTAGGTGTCTGACACAGGGGGTTAGCTCACATATCTACTGAATAATCCTACTGAGGTCATTAGTTATTACTATGCATTACTAAAGATAATTAAATGTAATAAAGTATCTTACAGTTGACATATTAAAGAACTTTCCATTACTCACAAAAGGAAGTGCTGTCTTCTCACAGAGTAGTAAAGACAAAATAATGACTACAAGCACTCAGCACAGTTCTTCTTGAGATTTCAGAATTCATTTAGATAATGGTTTCAATCTCCTAGGTTCTCATTTTCTTGAACTCATCTGCTTCCATCACCTTGCCTCTACGCTACTCCCCTCTTCACATCCTAAAACTTATACTCACTAAGTACTATATACTTAGTACTATTCTACTATACTTAGTACTATTCTACTATACTTAGTATACCATACTTAGTAATATTGTATACTATTATACTCTCATATTTTCAATTTCAGTCACCCCTCTCTTATTTATATCCCCCAAATTTCTAGTTCCCACCTCAAGAAGTCCATTGCATCTTCAACCACACTGCAATCTACAATTGATCATTCCATTTTCCACTGTCTCAACCTTCTTTATTTTCTCACTTCACTACTTAACCCAGACTACTTTCCACATCCCTCTTTTATAATCATTCTCTTAAATGTATCAACATCTCATCACTGACTGTTTTATTCACCTAGAGAAATCTCACCTTTAGTTAAACTGAATTCTGTACTTTTTCAGTGATAGCACCTATGCTGAACTCAACTGGAGAAAAACACAGAACCACATTGACTGATACCACTTAAATAAACCACAGATTTCCTAAGAGTATGCTTACTTTCCTACACTCCTATCTATTCATTTTACATCTCCTTTTCCTTCCTTACTCCTTCGTGACTTCCTCCCTCTTTATGAGCTTGCTTCCTGTTTCACTGAGAAAATATCACAAAAATTTGACATGCTCCTCCTATCTACTGGACTACAAACATCTGGAACTCCATAATCTGCCCTTCATCCTGCTGTTACTAATGAGCTGTTTGTGGGCCTATCTTTAAAACTAACCCTTCTATTTGTGTCCCAGGTCTATGGCTTCAGCAATATCCCTCTGTTTCCTGCATTATGCTTTTTCTGTCTACTGAATCAGTCCCATTAGCATACAAACCTACTATATCATCGATCTCAAAATAAACAGCTTTTTGATACTACATTACCCTCCATTAACAACCCATTTCTCACATCCCCTTGAAAGCAAGACTCCTTAAGTGTTGTCCTCAATACTCACTATATTAAATTCCTCTCCAACATTCTCTTGAATACCTCCTCTTACTCCTGACATCCACCAAGTTCGTCAAAGTCAAGGTCCCAAATCTTGCTCTACCCAATGCTTAATCCTAAGAACTCAACTTTCCTAACACATTAACAGATCACTCCTTCCTGTTTGAGATACTTTCTTCATTTAGCTTCTAGCTATTCCTCCGTAGTCTTCTTTACTAGTTCTTGAACTATTTGGTATCTCACCATTGGGAAGCTCCAGGGTTCACTTCTCCATGCTTCTAATTCCTATCTCTAGTGTTCTTACTTTCCCTACCTCACTATGTTGTAAAAGTTAAGAAGCTATGATTCATAACAGCATTTTTACAGAAGAGCTGAGTCTTTTTGGGCAGTGCCTCTAAGGTAAAGGTGTAATCACAGCCTCAAGAAAGTATCCGTAAAAAGGAATCAAATAGAACAAAAGGAAGTTTTCCTACTTATATACAGCTGAAACTCATTTCATTAAAGGAACAGAATAATTTTATGTGGGAAATATTTTCACCTTTGAGTGATGTTCTGACAGATGAAAGATTTGGGGGTACAAAAATGGAAGACTGTATTATGGCAAGGATACAAATTTTCTAAATTGGGATAAATACCCTACTTCCAAAAAACCAAAAGCCCAATAAAACTCAATGCCAGACAAGTATAAAATAATTATAAAAAAGATTACAATAAAAAAAGTGAAACTGCATTGATATCCATGTAAGAATTTTTAAAGGCAGTTTTTATAATCATAAATAAAATATATTATAAAATTGCCTTAAAAAGAAATTATGTAATCATCTAGTTATGTTCTGCTGCACATCTTAAACCAGGTAAACAAAAAATGCAAACACTATTCCATTGGAAAGAAAACAATTTATTATATCTGAGGAAAGTCATTACAATACATGTAATATATTTCCAATTTACTGATTTAAAGGCGTATGGATTTAATTTTTAAATACACTTTCAAAGCTGTTATGCACAGTTCCATAGTCCAGGTGGTCAATTTCTTCTTCTCAAAGTTGCAAAGCACTTGAAGGACATGGGAATCCAAAGAAACCTAAAAACATCATAAAAGCCCATTAAAAATAGTAAGTATAACACAGGTCATTAGTTTAAAAATAACTGAGAGCTGAACCATTTATATTTAGAAAATTAGTGAATCATGTCAGTTTAACAAAATTTATGTAAATGAACTGCTTATAAAGAAACTGATTTATAACATTTACAAAATCATTTCAACTATGCCTATAGAAAAATAATTACATTTTCAATATCTATAGGTTTTGTACTTTTAAGGTGATAATAACCAAATTTTCAATTGTTTTCATAGAACTAAGAATAGTATCAGATTTTTCAACAAAGAAACACAGAGGCGCCAACCCTTTATTTTCCTAGTTATTAATATCAGGTTGGGTGCCTATGTTGATACTAGGTACCTAACCATTTTACTCTAACAAACGAGTATCCAAACTGCTCAGTCCTTAGAATTACTAAGGAAACCTTTTCAAATCTGATTCTGATACTCCATTCCCAGAGATTCAGTTGTATTAGTTCTAGGATAGAGTATAGGAATCTTAATTCATAAAAACTCTTCCTTGGTGGTTCTCAAACTTGGTTGCACATTAAAATCAGCTTGAGAGGTTCATTCCAACATCTGTGCTACACTCTCAACACATCAAATGAAAATTCTGACCAAGGGAACCAGGCATCAACACATTTCTTAAGGATTTTTTTAGGAGGGAGAGGTTCTCACTCTGTCAACCAAGCTAGAATGCAGTGGAGTGATCATGGCTCACTGCAACCTCAACCTCGGGGGCTCAAGTGATCCCCTTGCTTTAGTCTCCCAAGTAGCTGAGACCAGAGGTGCAAGCTATTTATTACTAGCTATTTGTCCAAAGGTAAATAAATGAGTATATCAAAGAGATAACCACACTCTCATATTTATTGCAATATTCACAATAGCAAAGATATGAAATCAACCTCTGTCCATCAATGGATGAATGAATAAAAACAACATGGTATATATATACACAGTAGAATACTTTTTGTCCATAAAAAAGAATGAGATTTTATCATTTACAGCAAGATGGATGGAACTGGAAGTCATTGTGTTGGGTGAAATAAGCCAGGCACAGAAAAACAAGTATCACATATCCTTATTCTTACATGAAAACTAAAAATATTGATCTCATGGAGGTAGAGAATAGAATTATAGATAGATACCAGAGGCTGGAAAGTTTCTCTGGGTGGGAGGAATAAAGAAAAGTTTGTTAATAGGTCCAAACATACAATTACTTGGAAGACATATGTTCTAATATTTCATAGCAGAGTAAGGTGACTACATATAAACAGCAATGTATTGTATATTCCAAAATAGCTAAAGGACTTGAAATGTTCTTAACATATGGAAATAATACTTGAGATTATGGACACCCTGGTTACTTTGATTTGATCATTATAAAGCTTAGGCAAGTAACAAAATATTACATTTACCCTATGTGCATGTACAACTATATTAATGAAAAAATAGTCTTCTACAATAAAATTTTATTATTGTTAATCTAATTGAGAATTCATGATGATTTAAAGATTATTTGGCAAAAATGTTGCCTGTGCAAAGCAAGCTTTCCTTCCTATGTTGTGCAAATTATTAAAGTAATATAAATATGTATATAACTTCAAAAAATGATATTTCAAAATATTGTTCTACAACACTCAAGCTTTTAATGTCACTGATATTATGTTTTCCAGTAACAGGTAATAATTTAGCACTCCCTGTAAGTTAAGTTCTCTATTAGCGTATTTATTTTTTCCAACAAACTTACAGACTGGATATTTAGGTCCAAAAACTTTAAATAGCTTGTCTCGCATTACTTAGCAAATATATTGTATTTTTGAGATCTGACTTCAGACTCTATCTGTTGTATTACGCTAGTACTCCAATGCTAATCTCATTTTAATCCACTACAGGAGAACTATTTACTCTCTCTCTGGAAAATTTTAGCACAGCTTTTTATATGATTTTCTGAAATACATATAGTATTATTTATATATATATTATTATTTATATATTATATATAAATATATATAAATATACATAATATATAATATATAAATAATATTTCTATCAAGTTTATTTTTTATCTATGCATATTCTTAAGCTCCTAATTTTCTTTATCGTATTTTCCCTAAAATGTATTCAAACTCAACTTAATTAGATTTTTAGTTTTATGGTGGTATAATTCACAAATTAAAATTATATATATTCAACGTGTACAATGTGAGGTTTTGAGTTTTTTTTAATTAGCCCTAGTTGAGAAAGGCAAATGCTTAATGGTACATACTAAAAAGTATTCAGGACAAGGCTGCTTAACATAAACTTGCTAATTACCAATCAATAGACTACTCAAATGCTTTTTTGATAAACAAAAGCTACAATTGTAGGTAGCGTATTTTTACTGGTTTCCTTTACACTGAAGCATTTTTTCAACTAATATATATCTTACAAATAGTAAAATACATAAATCTTAAGCATATAGCATTATAATTTTTATAAGTGTATATATCCCTATCACCACCACCCAAATCAAGCAAGATATGGACGATTTCCAGCTCCCACACCCCTGGCTCTCGCACTTTCTCAACCAGTTACTCACCAATGGTCATCATTATCATGAAATCTATCACGATGGATTTCCCTACTCCTCAATTTCATATAAATGGAAACTTGCTGTATGTAATCTTTTGAGTCTGACTTGTTTCACTCAGTTGAAATTTGTGAGAATCATCTATGTTTTGTGTAGCAGCAGTTCATTGTTTAATTGCTGTGTGGTATTCATCGCGGGAAGCAAAAGTAATTTATTTATTCATTCTACTGTGAATGGGCATTTGTGTTGTTTTTAGTTTAGAAGTTATGACACATCAGTGATTTTATTTGATAAGAACCCTAGGAGTTGCTGAGTTATATAGAATCGATTGCCTTACACATGTTGTTTACGTTTTGCCTACTATTTTATATATTTCATCCTTGATCTGTTTGTCTCGCTACTGTTTGGAACAAACCTGGAGCTCCTTATAGGAAATTGATATCTTTTTTTTTCTTTTCTCAACTTCTATTTTAGGTTCAGGAGGTACATGGGCAGGTTTGTTACGTGGGTAATTGCATGTTGCTGGGGTTTGGTGTACAAATGATTTCATCACCCAGCTAGTGAGCATAGTCCCCAGCAGGTAGTGTTTTGACCCTCACTCTCCTCTCACCCTGCGCCCATCAAGTATATTTTAAAAGGACTTTCACAATCAAGCTAATTAACATATTCATGTCTTCACATAGTTATCATGTGTTGGGAAAGGGTAATAGTTAAGATCTACACTCAGTGAACTTAAAGCATACATTATTACTAACTATTTTTACCCTGTTGTGCATTAGACCTCCATAACTTATTCATCTTATAATGGCAAGTTTTCATTGTTGTACCTGTAGTATTTTTCATTCTCTGCCTGGCTTATTTCACTTGGCATAATATCCTCTAGGCTCGTTCATTTTGTTGGAAATGGCAGAATTTCATTCTTTTAAATACGGAATAATATTCCGTTGTAGATAGATAGATAGATAAATAGACAGATAGATGATAGATATCATAATTTACATACCTACTCATCTGTCAACACTTAGATTGTTTCCATATTTTGGTTTTTGTGAATAAAGCTGCAATGAACACAGGAATGCAGATATCTCTTCAAGATAGTGATTTTATTTCTATCGTATATAAAAGGAAAAGTATATAAAAGGTATATACCCTTTTTTTGAGATGGAGTCTCACTCTGATGCCCATGCTGGAGTGCAGTGATGCAATCTTGACTCATGGCAACCTCTGTCTCCCAAGTTCAAGCAATTCTCCCTGCCACAGCCTCCCAAGTAGCTGGGATTACAGGTGCCAACCACCACGCTGGGCTAATTTCTGTGTTTTTTAGTAGAGATGCGGTTTTGCCATGTTGGCGACTCTGGTCGTGAACTCCTGACCTCAGGTAATCTGCCTCCCTCACCTCTCAAAGTGCTGGGATTACAGGTGTGAGCCAACACACCCACAGGTATATACTTTTATGCCTAAAAGTATAATTTCTGTAACATACGGTACATCTTTAATTATTTGAGGAGTGTCCATGCTGTATTCCATAATGGTTGTACCAATTTACATTCCCACCAAAACTCTATAAGGGTTCTCTTTTCGACACATTCTTGTCAACACTATTTATCTTTTGCCTTTTTGATATTAGCTATTTTGAAAGATGTAATGTGACATCTCATTTTGATTCCAGTTTATATTTCCCTCATGTTTAGTGATTTTGTGCACCTCTTCATTCATGTGTTGGCCGTGTGTAAATCTTCCTTTGAAAAAATGTCTATTCAGGTCTCTTGCTCATGTTTTAATCAGGTTACTTTTTTTCTGATTATGAGTTTCTTATATGTTTTAGATATTAATGCATTATCAGATATATTGTTTTCAAGTACATTCTACCATTCCATGGGTGACTTTTTATTTATTTATTTATTTATTTATTTATTTACTGTGCCACAATCTTTTAGTTTGATGTAGTTGTATGTGTTTATTTTTGTTTATCTTGTCTATACATTGGGATTCATAGCCAAAATATCATGCCAAGGTCAATGTTATGGAGGATTTCCCCTGTTTTCTTCTAGGGATTCTTTGGTTTCAGATGTTATGTTTAAATTCCTTTTCAATTTTCAATTTATTCCTGTGCATAGCATAACACTCCAATTTCATTCTTTTGCATGTGGGCCTCCAATAATTCCAACGCTATTTATTGAAGAGACTATCCTGTCTCCATTAGGTGTTTTGGGCATGTTATTGAAGATTCTTTGACGATATTGGTGTAGGCTTTCTATTCTGCTCCATTCTTCTATGTGACTGTTTTCATACCAGTATCATATATATATATATATATTACTGTAGTTTAGTAATATAACTTGAAAGTGAGAAGTGTGGTACCTCCTACTTTGTTCGTCTTGCTCAAGATCAGTTTGGGTAATTATAGTCTTTTGTAATTTCATACAAATTTTAGGATTTATTTCTGTTTCTGGAAAAATGCCATTGGACTTTTGATAGGGATTACATTGAATCTGTAGATTGCTTTGTGTAATAGCATTTTGACAATATTAATTTCTCACATTGATGAACACAGAATGTCTTTCAATTTCTATTACTTTTCTACTCTCTATTTCTCTATTTTGCTTTGATCTTTCTTATTTTCTTTCTTCTATTAACTTTGGGCTTAGTTTGCTCTTCTTTTTTTCTAGTTCCTTGAGGTTTAATGATAGATTGTTTATTTGAAATATTTGTGTTTTTTTTAATGTAGGTGTTTGTCATTTCAAATTTTCATCTTAGCACTGTCTTACTGCATCCCACAAGCTTTGGTGTATTGTGTTTTCATTTTTGTATCAAGATTTCTTTATTTTCCTTTTTATTTCCTTTTTAAACCACCAGTTTTTAAGAATTGTGTTATGTTCACTTCTTTTTGAATTTTCCAGTTTTCCTCCTGTTAATTGATTTCTAGTTGTATACCATTGTGGTCAAAAGAGATACTTGATAAAATTTCAATCTTCTTAAATGTATTAAGACATTTTGTGACTTCAAGTATGCTCTATTTTAGAGGATGTTTCTTGTTAGCTTGAAAAGAACACCTGTTCTCCGGCTGTGGATGAAATGTGAACATACATCTGTTAGGTCCGTTTGGTCTAAAGTGCAGATCAAGTCTAATTTTTTTTTCCTTACAGATTGTCTGTCTAAATGATCTATCCATTGTTGTAATTGGAGTATTGATAATTTCAACAGTGTCAATAAGGTTACCTATATCTGTAGTATTATTGATTGCTCTGTATCTCTCCCTCCAGATATTAATGTTTGCTTTACATTTTCAAGTGCTCTAATGTTAAGTGCATATTTATTTATAATTGTTTCATCCCTTTAATCAACTCATCCCTTTATCATTATATAGTGACCATCTTTATCACCTGTTAGAGTTTTATCTTAAGGTATATTTTGCCTGATATAAGGATAGTTATCCATGTTGTTTTTTTGTTTTAATTTGCATGGAATATCAAATTTTCTCATCCCCTAAATTCACACCATATGTGTCCTTGAAGCTGAAGTGAGTCTCTTGTAGGCAGTATATTGTTGGGTCTCCTTTTGTAATCCATTCAGCCACTCTGGCTTTTGAATGTAGAATAGAATGAATTTATCTTCAAGGTAATTATTGATAGATAAGAACATACAATTGACATTTTGTTCATTGCTTTTCAGCCTTTTAACATATTTTTGTTCCTTTATTTCTCCCTTGCTGTCGTTCTTTGAGATTTTATGATTTTCTGTAGTGACATGCTTTGATTTCTCTTTGTCTTTTGGGTATCTACTATAGGTTTTTGCTTTCCGAATAGCATGAAGCTTATACATACTATCTTGTAGTTGGAGCAAACTATTTTAAACTGAGGTTTGATCATATTCAAAACTCTATACTTTTACTCAGCCCACTATATTTTATATATTTGGTGTCACATTATATATTTTTAATATTCTATATCTATTAACAAATTATTGTAGCTATAATTATTATTATTTTGGATTTTAAGCTTCATACTAGCAATAAAACTGATTTACACACCACTACTACACTATTAGAGTGTTCTGTATTTTTTATATATTTACCTTAATCAATGAGTTTCATACTTTTCTGTGCTTTCATGTTGCTCTATAGCAAACTTTTGCTGCAAATTCAGAAATTCTTTAAAATAATTATTTTGAATTCTTTGTCAAGAAGTTTATAGATTTTTGTATTTTTGCAAGGTTTTTCATGTCAAATAATTGTTTTAAAGGAGAGTAATTAGTTACAAGAGAATAAATAGGCAATTCAACCAAAACTTGAAAAAAAACAAAACACAAACCAATTGAGAAGTTCCACAGACAGATTGAAAAAATAGAACCCAAACTAAAATTCTAGAGCTAAAGCATAAAATAAATGAAATAAAGAATGTAAAATGAAGAATCAACAGCAAAATTGAGCGAGAAGAAAGAATCTGTGAATTTGTTTCAGTCAGGAGCAACCTGCAAAGGGTATTTCAGAGATAAGATCTCTTCATCCTAGAAAATATCAGTAGTCTCTTTCACCACAAGTTCAGCTGACAAAGAGACTAAACCAGTTCATCTTCCTTCTAGTCTTATTCCTCGGCCATTTGCCAATAAAGAGAGTGAATAGATTGAAGGTCAACTGCTTTAATTACGTCCTCACACTGCTGAATGAAGTTTGTTCAACAATTGCCAAGCTGATCATCTAGCATATTCTTTGCTATTGCTTACAACACGTCCTGACTTCTAAAATTAGATTTGTACATAGGCTCAAAGCCCAGCATATCCCAGTAGCTCACTGTTCAAAGTAATAAATATTTGATTAGGTCTTTAAGGCTAAAGACCTCAAAATTTCTAAGAAGTTTGTGCCATAGACAAAATCTGTTGGTTATTTTCTTTATATATAAGTCCACCTTTTACTGTATTAGTATTTCTATACTGGTCCTTTTTTTTTTTTTTTTTTTTTTTTTTTTTTGTGAGATGGAGTGTCACTCTATCTCCCAGGCTGGAGTGCAGTGGTGCAATCTCCACTCACTGCAAACTCCGCCTCCCAGGTATGGGCCATTCTCCTGCCTCAGCCTCCTGAGTAGCTGGGACTACAGGCACCCACCACCATGCCTGGCTAATTTGTTTTGTATTTTTAGTAGAGACAGGGTTTCACCATGTTAGCCAGGATGGTCTGGATCTCCTGAACTCATGATCCTCCGGCCTCAGCCTCCGAAAGTGCCGGGATTACAGACGTGAGCCACCGAGCCTGGACTCTATACTGGTTCTTATAACTTATTTGGGCTGGAAATCTCATAGTTTTAACATAGATGAAGGGGTTATTTTCCTATAGATTTTGATTTTTTTGTTACATTCAATTTTTATTAAAGGGGAGTTGGAGTGGAAATACTTTTGCTCTGCATCTTCAAATACAAAAAATGAAACATTTCAAAAGACCTACCATGCCATAACTGAAATTTCTGTGGTTTGAAGAAATCTACCAAAAAAAAAAAATTGCTTCAACTATATATGTTTGATTTTTTTGTGAATTAGCTAAAAGTTTTGTAAGACTTTATATTAACTTTGGAAAGATGCGAAAAGCTTTTGAAAAGCAAATGATTACATTTCTAGTTATTGTTTTGAATTCTAAAAGTGTGTGAATGACACAGGCAAATATAAGTGTAAAAACAAGGGTAAGAAAAGGAAAACCACAACTGATCTTTACATTCACTTTTAACTATTTTAAATAAGAATCATCAATGGAGTTCAATTTTATGGTCAGTGATAAGGAATTTAATTCACTTCAAGAAGAGAGCAAAAAATACTGCATTAGATTATGTAGGCATTTTAAAAATATATACTTTTGGTTAATATTTTTATATATTTTGGATTAACTAGAGAATCAAAGGTAAAATTATCCTAAGGCCTAAGAAATTATTGGCCAGTTTCCACTAAATGATAAGTTTTCTGGAGAAAATGCAATACCTGTTTTATCTTTTTACCTCTCATATCTAGAATTATACATTGCTGGTGGTGTGCATTGTACTGCTGTCAATTTGTGATAGAAATATTTAAACAATGTTTTGCATTTCTCTGATGGCCAGTGATGATGAGCATTTTTTCATGTGTCTTTTGGCTGCATAAATGTCTTCTTTTGAGAAGTGTCTGTTCATATCCTTTGCCCACTTTTTGATGGGGTTGTTTGTTTATTTCTTGTAAATTTGTTTGAGTTCATTGTAGGCTGGAGAGGATGTGGAGAAATAGGAACACTTTTACACTGTTGGTGGGACTGTAAACTAGTTCAACCATTGTGGAAGTCAGTGTGGCAATTCATCAGGGATCTAGAACTAGAAATACCATTTGACCCAGCCATCCCATTACTGGCTATGTACTCAAAGGACTATAAATCATGCTGCTATAAAGACACATGCACACGTATGTTTATTGCGGCACTATTCACAATAGCAAAGACTTGGAACCAACCCAAATGTCCATCAATGGTAGACTGGATTAAGAAAATGTGGCACATATACACCATGGAATACTATGCAGCCATATAAAAGGATGAGTTCATGTCCTTTGTAGGGACATGGATGAAACTGGAAATCATCATTCTCAGTAAACTATCACAAGGACAAAAAACCAAACACCACATATTCTCACTCATAGATGGGAATTGAACAATGAGAACACATGGACACAGGAAGGGGAACATCACACTCTGGGGACTGTTGTGGGGTTGGGGGAGGGGGGAGGGTTTAGCATTAGGAGATATACCTAATGCTAAATGATGAGTTAATGGGTGCAGCACACCAGCATGGCACATGTATACATATGTACTAACCTGCACATTGTGCACATGTAACCTAAAACTTAAAGTATAATAATAATAAAACAAAGAAATATTTAAACAATGTTTTTAAATAATATTCTCCTAATTAATTAGTATTTCTCAATTACAATGTCAGTGTTTTCTTTTCATTTATACCATGTCATTTGTCACTAAAGACCCTAAATATTCTTTCTAATGAGTTAAAAGAACATGAATAGCAAATTTTCAGCAAAACAATACTTGTCAAACAGAAAGATGGAAAAAGAAATCCTATTTAGTTTAAAATACAGAGAGGACTGACACTGATGGAATACAAATGTCTAAGAAAGAAGTGTACAGAATTCCTATAGTAACACTGAATTTTTGTAAAATATACCTCCAGGAACAGAGGCTCCATTTTAGATATCATTGTGTGTGAAAAGCATTCTTTCTTAGCAAAGTTCCAATATTCCTCTTCAATTTCAATATGACATTTTATTCTAAGGTTAATAGATATTACTAATGTCCTAATTGTCCTAATATGTAGAATATCAGCTACAACAAGACAAGAAATATACAGCAGATAATTCTGTGGCTTTAATGTTATTGCGAGACTAACAGAGAAATCAATTTGGACTCAATGTAAGATCTTCATACATTCAGTCCCAAATAAGTCCCAAATAAGGCATTGCCATTGTGAAAAACTTTGAGTTTAGGTCTGGTAAGATAAGTTACTAAATATTAATAATAATCACAGCACTCTGTTAAGGCACATATCTCAAAATATGTCTAAAATGTAAACATTGTAACAAGTGCTATATATTTGGACAACATTATAAATACATTTGGATGACTGAGTGAAACATGTCGGTTTCCAGCAGAATTATTTATACGTGTGTGCCAGAGGACAGGGAGCTTGGAGCAGTTCTAGGCACTGAAGCAAGTTTAAAGCAACAACCCCAGACAGTCCAAAAAGGAGGTAAATAATGTGTGTTTTAGTCTGTTTGGGATACAATAACCAAATACCATAAATTGAGTGGCTTATAAAAGCAGAAATTTATTTTCCACAGTTCGGGAGGCTAAATTCAAAATCAAGCAGATTTTGTGTCTGGTGAAGACTAACTTCATAGTTCCTAGAGGGCAGCTTGTGGCTGTGTCCTCATTTGCTGGAAAAGGCAAGCATCTTATTCATAATAGCACTAAAAAGAGTTCCACTCCCAAGTTCCTAATACTATGCCCTCAGGTGTTAAAATTTCAACATATTACATTTGGGGGTGCACATTCAGACCATAACAATGTGTGATTATTGAAATAATTCTAACAGTGTTGTCATTACTAACAGCTAATGATGGATTCATTGAGACTTCTGAAGTGTTCCTGCTTGCCTACAGGGTTTACTATAATACATACATATATATATATATATAGCAAGGAAACTGCAATATATATATATTGTAATGTATATAGTAATATATTTCTTGTTCTGAGAATAAGACAAGATCATGAGGTTGTATCCTAGAATGAAGTTTAATGCCTATAAGAATCCAAGAAACGTAATCCATGTAATCGGAAATGTTTTATTTCTTCATGGTGGATTTCTCGACATGATCAGAAGCTGTACTGATGGTATAATTCAACTAATGAGAAAGACTGCAAGAGTCAAGAACTTTCTTCTTCTCAAGAGATTGAGAAACCATTAGGGAAAAAATCTCATAAAGAAAGAAAGGCAAAACTTTGTCAAAGGATAAAGGACAACAAATGATTCTGAGATCTAAATAGTGTCTCTTGACCTCAGACTTGTTGTTCTTGTGGTTGTTGCTTGGCAAGTCCACAGACTGATGGTTAAGGCCAGAGAAGGAAATTATGCATACAAACTGAAAATCTTTGTCATAAATTTGGATTAAAAAGCAACAATGATTTGAGACCTAACGTAGCACATCACTGTTGAGGGAAAGAGATTCTTCACAAACAAAACAAGACTTTGGCATACAAAGAGCTTCCACCCATCAGTAAGTAGATGAGTTCCATTAGTGGTTTTGCCGTGAAAGAAGAACTTCAATACAGCATGACCTTTTTACAAAAAGCATTAGCATCAGCAGGAAAGAGACTGTTCCTATACTGATTAAAAGGCAATTTCACCTGGCTGCTTAACAGGCACCTCAGGAGCCATAATATAAAGAAGGAACATAGCTGGTACTGCATGATTCTGAGGAATATGTTCAGACATGAGATATGGTACCCAGCCCTTCAGATAGAGAATTTGGAGGCATTGAAAGCAAGCTGTAAGTGCCACAGTAATAAACGGTGTCAGTCTTAGACACACAATGAAACATAAAACTTGGAACTCATTTTCACTTAAATCTGGAAGTTAATACCTCACTCGAGAAACAAAGCTGCTCTTTAAAGAACACATTCTATTCAACAAGGCTGCACTTTCAGGGAGAATAACAGATTAATTACTCATGAGTCCAGGATATGATGAACAATTAAGATTACGTGGAAATAGAAGACCCTGGAGACATAAAGGGACATGAGGGACATATATGTGTGAGAGAAGGTGAAAGTGAGTACAGAGAAAAACAGTTTTGGAGAAAGACTACAGAACAAAAGAAGCAGTCAGTTAGGCTGGGTGCAGTGGCTTACGCCTGTAATCCCAGCACTTTGGGAGCCTGAGGCAGACGTATCAACTGAGGTCGAGAGTTTGAGACCAGCCTGATTAACACGAAGAAACCCCATCTCAGGATCCCTTGAACCCGGGAAGCGGAAATTGCAGTGAGCCAGGATCGTGCCATTGCACCACAGCCTGGGCAACAAGAGTGAAACTCCATCTAAAAAAAAAAAAGAAGCAATTGGTGTTAGGATAAATGCTTTGGCTTTTGAATGACAAATACAATCGAGCTGACTGAAGTACAAAGAAATCTGTTAGGCTTTCTAACTGGGATACGTAGGGATACAATATATTAGACCTAACTCCAACACACAGCCTGGAGTAAAGCCCAGGCAAACTGCAATATGAAGCAGAACTGCCCTTAAATAACCTGGAAATTTGGGAGAAAAAAATATGTTGTTTAACGTTACTGAGAATTTAAGGTTGTTTTGTAACATTATTGCAGCAGAAAATTAAATATTAAACATTTTTATCTACTTATGAGTTACATTCAACTCATTAAATGTACCAAAAATGCTTGGGGAAATAGTAACAAAATTTCCACATGTGATTAGATTATTTCACAGTACTCTTTTAAAAATTTTAATTTTTTAACATTTCAAAAACATTTCCCATGTAAGATATTAAAATAAAATATATAAAAATATCACATTTTAAATTTTATTTTCTATACTTGAATTTAAAGGCAACATTTTATGGCTGTATAAATGTTTTCAAGCCTGCTAGGACAGGGAGGAAAAAGGTGGAACAGGCGTTGATCTCACCTCAATCCACTGAAACTTAAGACAGAAAACCTCACTGAGAGTTTTTCTACACTGGGTTCCACATAACATTTCAATTTTCCATGGGGCAAGAAGGTGAGATTATTTTTCTACGTTAAAAAGTAAGTTTGTAACCTTCTTTACTACATAGTCATCTTACACAAAAAATTTTTAAAAATCTTCTTACTACTAAAAGTAATTTGTTTGTGTATCTCTTAATTAAATCTAAATATAGTTTAAAAACAATAATTATGCTAAATTAGACATCATAGAGGAAATATCTCCTTTCTTCATAGCATAGGTAATCACAGTATGAAAAAACGCTTTTTCCTATAACTCCTATAATCATATCATTTCCAGAAGATGTCCTGTGTTAAAAAATCTCAGTGTGATGTTAATAACAAATGGCATATTTTAATCCACTAAAGAGAGATCTATATCTCCTGCCATCTTTGAAAGTTTATATCTATAATTTTTTTCTTTCCAAAGCTGTGATTATTCCAACACACTATGATAACTTAAAAGTTATCAATGTAAAATATTTTGGTTCACTGGGAAGGATACACCTTTTTAAATTTTTAATTGTTGTTGGTACATTGCAGGTGTATAAACTTACAGGGCATGTGTCATATTTTGATACAGGCAGACAATGTGTAATAATAACATTAGGGTAAATGGGTTATCCATCACCACAAGCATTTATCCTTTATGTTACAATCCAATTATATTCTTTTATTTATTTTAAAATGCACAATTAAGTTGTTATTGACTATAGTCACCCTGTTGTGCTGTCAAATACTAGGTCTTTTTCATTCTTCTGTTTTCTATACCCATTGAACATTCCCACTTGCTTCCCATCCACCCTTCTCAGCCTCTAGTAACCATCTTTCTACTCTTTATGACCATGAGTTCCACTGTTTGTATTTCTAGCTCCCACAAATAAATGAGAACATGTGATGTTTGTCTTTCTGGGCCTGGCTTATTTTACTTCACATAATAATGTACAGTTCCATCTATGTTGTTGCAAATGACAGGATCTCATTTTTTTTTATAGCTGAATAGTACTCCATTGTATGTATGTACCACATTTTCTTTATCCATTCATCTGTTGATGGATATTTAGGTTGTTTCCAAGTCTTAGCTATTGTGAACAGGGCTGGAATAAACATGGGAGTGCAGATATCATTTCAATATACTGATTTTCTTACTTTTGGGTATATACCTAGCTGTGAGATTGCTGGATCACATCATAGCTCTATTTTTAGTTTTTTGATGAACCTCCAAACTGTTTTCCATAGCAGCTGTACTAATTTACATAACCATAAAAAGTGTATGATGGTTCACTTTACTCCACATCCTCACCAGCAATCCTTATTGCCTGTCTTTATATAAAAGCCATTTTAACTGGGGTGAGATAATATCTCATTGTAGTTATTATTTGTATTTCTCTGATCGATGATGTTGAGCACATTTTCATTTGCTTGTTTGCCATATGTCTGTCTGCTTTTGAGAAATGTCTATTTAAATCTTTTGCCCACTTTTTGATCCAACTATTAGATATGTTTCCTCTAGAATTGTTTGAGCTGCTTAGATATTCTGGTTATCAATTACTTGTCAGATGTGTGAAAGGACAATATACTGGGCCCCTGAAATCACTAGGGAAAATTCAAGCGGGAAACTGCCTAGGACAAACCTTCCTCCCATTCTACTCAAAGTCACTCCTCTGCTCACTGAGATAGATACATATCTGATTTTATTCCTTTGGAAAGGCTAAGCAGAAACTCAAAATACCAGGGGATTTCAAGATTTCAGTCTAAACCTTCACCCAGTAAGTGCTTTTTGTCCCACAATAACAGTCATTCATGGTACTCTATGAAAAGATATTTCATCCCGAGTGAATACCCTCATCCCTCTCCATTTTAGTTGCTTTTCCTTCATGTAAAAGCTCACCACTGCTAAATGAATTTGAACAGTTTATTAATGAGACAAGTTAATTTTCTACAGCTGGGAGGCATATATAGTGACAGTCTGTTAAACCTCAAACCTCTCTTTCTAGCTTCTGCCTGGAAGAAATTTAGAGTCACAGATTTTACCTAAATTTTCAAAACCTACAGCACCACCTCATGAGATAGGATTTTTTTCTGCATAGAGTCTTGTTGGCCCTTTGCCAAAAACCTCTAATACCCAGATTTCTTCCACTTTTGTGTTCCTCTGTCAGCAAGCAGACTCTATGCCCCATTTGTAGGGAAAAAAACTCCGCATTCAACAGTTGGGAGGAAGCCACCCTTGAGAGACAAATTCTAGCCTCAGTGCTGTTCCCATCAGAAGGAGGACAGCCATTAAATCCATATGTTCTTTTGAGGCACCTGTTCTGCTTCCAACAACATTGGCATTTAATCAGAAAGGGGATTTTGTGTTTAAAAGGCAATGGGTAAAATTTTCTGGGAATGCACTGCTTTTCCAGGGCCATAGCTAGAGGAAGCAGGAATAGGGTTAAAACACTCCCTCTGTTAAAGTGTCTCACCCAACTTTATCTACTGTACAATCTCCTGGGAGGCCTAGGAACCCAGAAGGGCAGTGAGATGAGGCATTGTGCTGGTAAGCATGACTACCCCTGCCAACTAGCACCTCCAGATACATGGGTGCAATTCATGCTTGCATCCATGGGCTGCACCTATGATGGTTGCCAGGACCCAAAGGAGATGGGAGGAAAGAGAAGAGGGACACCCCTGTAATCTTTCTCTTCAACCTGGGTCACTTCAAAAGTTGAAAGGAGACTAAGGGACACCTTCTACTCCCCTCTTTTTATGCATGGGTAACACCCCATCTTCAAGCCTGCATTCCCCTTGAGTTATTCTTTAGACTTCAGAGCCTGAAGTTCGCTCTGGGCAAGTGCCAACTTCTCTCATGTATAGAGGCCTTCCAGGATATAACCCAAGTATTTAAACTCTCCTAGAAGGATGTTATGTTACTCTGAAACCCTAACTGCTGTTGAGAGACAGGCAGCCCTACAGGTAGCAGAAAAAATCAGAGATGAGCAGCATGTTTCCTATAGCCAGTCAAAAAGGGAAAGAGGGTGAGAAACAGGCAGAATCCCCATTCCCAGTAGGAAAAGAGGCAGTATCCCTTGAAAACTCTAATTGGAACCCTACTAAGCCCATAGATGATTGAAAAATAGAAACACTTTCAGATGTATACGGTAGAAGTCTTACAGGGGACCAGAGCCAAACCTGTTAACTACTCTAAGCTATCCATGATAGATCAAAACCCAGATGAAAATCCCTCAGCCTTTTTATAAAGGCTGAGAGAGACTTTGGCAAAACATGCTTCCCTATCTCGTAATTCAATTGAGGGACAGCTCATCTTGAAAGACAGGTTTACTCAAGCAGCTCCTGATATTTGAAGGAAGCTACAGAAACAGGCTATAGAACCAGATGGCACCTTAAAAAACCTTCTAAGAGTAGCCACCCCAGTCTTTCATAACAGGTACTAGGAGGAGTCTCAGAAAAAGGAGAGAAAATACAAGAAACAATCAGAGAGAGGGTACCTTGGAACGGAATCCAGGCCTGGGACTCCGTAAGCTCACTGTTCAAGTCACCCCTGTAAACTGGTTAGTAACAAACTTTGCTGCAAGTCTCCATCTTGTTTTATGTCCTTGACCATAACCTGTAACAATGTGGCAGTACTTCTTTTTAGCCATTGCCTTTTTATAATGGTGGCCCGGGTTCGCTCCTGGTTTGGGTAATGAATACTTACAAGTTAATAGCTGTGTGACTTTTAATCTTCTCTTCCTCCTCCATGAACAACTCTAACTTCCTTTCTGAAATCTTCTTTTCTCTGAATTGACTTTAAAGGTTCTAGATCTGGTAAAAGCTGCTTACCACCACTTATAAGATATCTTGTATACTCGTGGTTAACTTATAACCTAATTGAGAGTTGTTGTTTCACCTTTGATATTACTTTTGGTAAAGTCAAAAGCCAGAAATATTACCTGCTTGATTTAGCTAAAGTCAGGTAACAGCATATTTCAAATGATTTTCTTAAAGAATGCTCAGCTTGATTAAAAGTGGATATTCATGTTATAGGTATATTTAAAAGGCCTTTATGTTTTTCTCTTCTTGGATTGTGTTTTTCTTGAAAAGAACTTTTGTGTTGACTGAATAAGTTTTCTCCACTCTGTCTTTCCACTCTTAATGAACCCAAGATAACTTTTGTTTTGACTGAATAAGTTTTCTCCACTCTGTCTTTCCACTCTTAATGAACCCAAGATAACTTTTGCTGGCCTGATACTTCTTGGGAAAAACAGAAAAGGCATGATGGGTTCCATTTTGGGAGAAACCTCTGTTTTCCTCATGGAATACCAGAATTTAGAGGCTCATAGATAGATTCCACTCAAAATCTGCTTTTGTCTTACAGCTATACAAGTTGATTAGGCCCTAGAAACTTCATGGTTTTCTATCCTTGCTCTTAAAGGGCTCCACTGGAAAGCTAATAATTCAATTAGGAAATGGGACAAGAAAAAAATCTTAGAACTACTGGATCTTCTTCTGTTTGCCTGTGTAGTGATATATGTGTTGTGTGTGATGTCTCTAATGAGCTCTAATTGATTGCCTTAAATAAAAATAAGCACTTAAATCAAATATTTTAGAGGAAAGTTAAAACTCTAATGCCTTTTAGTTTATGGGACTTTAACCTCTAAGAAATAGTAATTGTTTTAAAGATGAAATTGGTACAATGCAAATGTCATCAAAATGTAAATAGAAAGTTTAAATCATGTAAGTTAGATACCAGGTTTGCTAAATGTTTCAAGGTTGTATGCTACCTACCTTACAACTTGGTAAGGCCTGGGGACATATGAAATTAACCATGCCCCTAAATATGATGGAAAAATCAGACTTTATCTGCATCTAGTACATAATTAAAACAACTTACCAGGTTTTATATTAACGTTAAAATTGGTAAGATTTACCATTAAAACATGTAAATAAGACAACTAAAAATAAATTTACCTGCAAGGTGTGTAAGAACAGTAAAATGTGTTTGTCATAAAAGATTATAAAAAGGCATAAAATATAAACCTTGCCAATGAAAAAGGATTATTTTGAAACCAATGTAAGGGTAAAATTTGGCTTTCTTTCCCTTGTACAGATTTTTCATGTAATAGAGAAGAATAATGAAATATTTTGTTTGCCTTGTTGGGAGACTGCCAAAGAGAGAAAAGAGTAGACAGGAGACAAACTGTTTGGAAAGCGAAGTCCTCCCTCTTAAGGAGTAAAGGATGTTGCCTAGTTTTAAAATTTCTGAGTCATCCTTTTGCCAAAATAAATAACTTATGTGTTACCTGGAATTGTATTTCACACTATCAAGTGTTTTAAACCTGTAACATTTGACAGGCTTCCCAAAATCAAACTTCACATTCAAAATTGTCTCTCCTGAACCCTACCTTTTGTATGCTACAGAGGGCCCTGAAGCATCCAGAAGAGAAGTAAACAGAATTTTTTGACAGGTTCATGTAAGTGGGATTGACAAAATTATGTTTAACCTTATTCAGGTTATATTTTAGTGATAATATTAATATATGTTCCAAAATTGTATGGGATTTTAAAAATTCTAATGCTTGAGAATATGCTATGGATCATAATTAGGATTATTGTATTAAGTTATTGCAAACCACAGAAATAACCAAATATCTTTGCCAGTCATGTTTTTCACTGTAACTAACCTGAACACTATGTCATCTACAGATAAATGTTGTCTTGTTTTAATCCTCTTCAAAAGATGTTTTACAATCAGCTGTAGGACTTTACAATGTGCTCTCAAATGCAGGTTTCTGATAACTTTGGAAATCATGACATGAGAATAAAAGAAATCATACAAGAGTCATGAAGATCTTAACTGTTTATGAATATCAGACAGGAGTTAACTGCATGAACTAAACTAATAGAAGTCTGAAATAATCTTTTTTTACTTTTTGCTTAAAACATTGCTGTTCTTTGTTTTGTTCTTCAGAGTTAAGGAAACCTTTCTTTTAAGCTATCTACAGCTTTTAAGAATTAAGTAAGGTATACACCAGTGAACAAAATTTGGAGCGTATTTGTTTCTCTCTGCCAAGTTACTCCAGAATTTGGAAACTATTTGGGAATATTCTAAACTTATGGCAATATCGTTGTTTGCACCAGTGCAGTAAGAATTCATTTTCTTTTGCAACATGACACAATTGGAGAAACTGGTTGTTTTACCAAGGCTTTGATTGGATGGATATGCTTCTCTTTGAGGAATCAAGCTTCACTTACAGAGCCAATAAAAGCCCATTGGGAAATGTGGCCTCCTACCTTGTCTACATAATCTGTGTACGGGGTTTCTAATCTGTGATGAGTAAAGAATGTCACTATATAACAGTCCCAGGAACCACATATTCTTGTGACATTAAGAAGAGAGGAATTCACTCAACTCATAGGTATTTGAGGGTACAAACTCATGGCCGGGCTTGGCTTTAAAAAAGTCCTATCTGAGATCTCTTGTGGAACAGAGTTCCATCAAAGCTTATTTTAAAAGACTGCAAAAATAATTATTTTTGCTGCACATTATGCAAATAATCAAGCCAAGTATGAGCCTAAGTTTACATTGCAAACAACTCAGTCGTAATTTGTTTTTAACAAAATGACTATCATGATTTGTTTTGAACAAAAATGAGGACTGGAGAGAGCAAAATTTGATTCAAAACTTATCATACACTTGTCATTAAATTCTAATCTCATTAGTTGTTTTTAAGTTTTGCCTACTCTATTAGTCTGTTCTCATGCTTCTAGCAAAGACACATCTGACACTGGGTAATTTATTTTAAAAAGGATGTTTAATGGACTCACAATTTCACATGGTTAGGGAGGCCTCACAATCATGATGGAAGGCAAAAACTTGGAAGTAGACAAGAAAGAGGATGAAAACCAAATGAAAGGGATTTCCTCCTATAATACCATCAGATCTCCTGAGACTTATTCACTACCATGAGAACAGTATGGGGAAAAACACCCATCATGATTCAATTATCTCGCACAGATCCCTCCCACAACACATGGGAATTATGGGAGCTACAATTCGAGAAGAGACTTGGGTGGGGACAAAGCCAAACCATATCACGTACATTTTAGAATAACTCTGCTTATTCCTGTAAACAAACCAGCAATCTCTGGCTGCAACTCAAAATAAAAAAGGAATAAGTAGTGTAAAAATCTGAATCAATATTCTAGTTTTGGGCTATTATCCTGCAAATCCTACCAGGTTATGGGAGTATACAGGGTACCCATAACCCAGAGGTTTCTTTGTTTGGGAAAATAAAACCAAGGAAGTTCACCAAAGCAAAGCCCCATGCACCCAAATCTTAGTAGGCATAACTATAGCCACTATTTATCTGGGCATGGCTGAAGCCTTGAGATTTTTGAGCTTTCATTACCTATCCCCTTGTTTCATTTTTATACATGTCCTCTAATAATCCATTTTTTTTTCTTGCCTAAAGTCTATCAAACTACAAATGTTGATGCAAATGAAACCATGCATGGACACAAATTTCTTCCAAGGACCCTTAGAAAGCTCACAGAAGGAACCCTAGCTGCTGTTCCCCATACAATGCCCCTTTCCAGCAGGAAGTAGCGAGCATCACCCCACCTCGCTAACAGCAGTTAGGCTCTCCACTCCCGTGGGTAAAAATGAGAGAGGAGAAATAAACAAACCAGTCAGGCAGGCAGTTAGGGTGGGTACTCAGTTGAATTCATTCAAACAAAAGAACAGCCTAAAAAATCAAACTATAGTCATAGATAAGTAAACTTGCATAGGGGTGTTTGACTAAGACATTCCCACAGCCACACAGACAAGAAAATCTACACAGGTAACTTGTGCAGACATACTCACAATAAAAAGTTCCATCCCCAATGATGTGGTTTGGCTGTGTCCCCACCCAAATCCCAATTTTAATTTCAACATGTTGTGGGAGGGACCCAATGGGAGATAATTGAACCATGGTGGCAGGTTTTCCCATGCTGTTCTGTTCTCGGGGTAGTTAATAATCTCACAAGATCTGATGGTTTAAAAAAGGGGATGTTCTCTGCACAAGCTCTGTTCTCCTGTCTACTGCCCTGTGAGACATGCCTTTTACCTTCTGCCATAATTGTGAGGCCTCCCCAGGCACGTGGAACTGTAAATCCAATAAATCTCTTTCTCTTCTAAATTTCCCAGTCTTGGGTATGTCTTTATCAGCGGCAAGAAAATGGACTAATACGGTAAATTGGTACCAGGAGTGAAGTGCTGCTAAAACGATACACAAAAATGTGTAAGTGACTTTGGGACTCTGTAACAGACAGAGACTGGAACAGTTTGGAGGTCTCAGAAGAATACAGGAAAGTGTGGGAAGGTTTGGAACTCCCTAGAGACTTGTTAATGGCTTTGAGTAAAATGTCAATAATGATATAAAATCCAGGCTGAGGTGGTCTCAGATAAAGATGAGGAACTTGTTGGGAACTGGAGCAAAGGTGACTCTTCTTATGTTTTAGCAAAGAGACTAGTGGCATTTTGCCCCTACCCTAGAGATTTGTGAACTGTTGAACTTGAGGGAGATGATTTAGTGTATCTGGCAGAAGAAGTTTCTAAGCAGCAAAGCATTCAAGAGGTAACTTGAATATTGTTAAAGCATTCAGTTTTAAAATGGGAAACAGAGCATAAGAGTTTGGAAAATGTGCAGCCTGATATGATTGAAAAGGCAAATCTCTTTTTCTGAGAAGAAATTCAAGCCAGCTGCAGAACTCTGAATAAGTAACGAGGAGCCAAATGTTAAACTCAAAGGCAATGGGGAAAATGTCTCCAGGGCATGTCAGGGGTCTTCACAGCCGACTCTCCTATCACAGGCCCAGAGGCCTGGGAGGAAAAAGTGATTTCTTCGGCTGGGCATAGGACCCCTGAGCTGTGTGCAGCCTAGTAACTTGGTGCTCCTCATCCCAGCCCCTTCAGCCATGGCTAAAAGGGGCCATGGAACAGCTCAGGCTATTGCCTCAGAGGGTGGTAGCCCCAGTCCTTGGCATTTTCCATGTATTATTGAGCTGGAGGTGCACAAAAGTCAAGAATTGAGGTTTGGGAACCTCCCCCTAGATTTCACAGGACATATGGAAACACCCAGATGTCCAGGCAGAAGTTTGCTGCAGTGGCGGGGCCTTCATGGAGAAACTCTCATAGGTCAGTAAAGAAGGGAAATATGGGGTCAGAGCACACACACAGGATCCCTGCTGGGGCACCACCTAGTGGAGCTGTGAGAAGAGGGCCACCTTCCTCCAGATCCCAGAATGGTAGATTCCCCGACAGCTTGTCCCTGCACCTGGAAAAGCTGCAGACACTCAACACCAGCCGGGGAAAGCAGCTAGGATGAGGCTATACCCTGTGAAGCCACAGAGGCAGAGATGCCCAAGGCCATGGGAACCCACCACTTTTAAATAAATAAAAGATTAATAAGAGAGGGAAAAAACATATTTAATAATGTAGATAGCCAAGAACGTAAGAGGTATCCACAAAGAGAGTGCAAAAATGAAGTCCTTATGATATGGAGTTCCTCCCAGCAATAGCCAAAAGAAATAAAAATTTAGACAAACCCTCTGAGAGGGTTGGTAGAACATCAGTAGCAAGACAGTGCAACCTGCATCTCTATCTGACCATCTACAAATTCTCAGGGCATACAATCTGATGACTGACTGCCTGTACAGCAAGCCCAACAATGTGGACCCTGCCACCAGGAAGAAAGTGAATCCAAGCGCTCAAGACACAAAATGAGACACACAGGAAAGCAATGGCTCTCCCTGGGAGTGAAAGGGTCAATAACCAATGATACTCAGGAGAAAATTCACCAGAATCACATTCCAAAGAACTAATTCTTATAATTTTATTCTCGTGCAAATCTGAATTTGGAAAAGAAAAAACAGAGTTCTGTATTTGTATTTTTGTAGGCAAAATTCCAGGATCTGGTTCAGTAAAGTTTTCACATCAGCTTTGTCAGATCTCAATTGAGCTGCAGCCTCTGGAGCAAGTGGGATGCCCTGCCTGTCCATTCATGGTTGCCTAAGCCATAGGAAAGCAGAAACACTTTTTCTCTTCCATCCTAGGTTCAGTGTCTGGGACCCTACAAATTAAACTGATCACAGACAAGTTAACAAGAAAAATAACAATTAATTATGTACATACACATGGAAATTCACAAAGAAATGTGATGCAAAGAGGCAATTAGGATTTGGGGTGTATATCTTAGACTAGCCAAAGAAAAGAAGTTTAGGGCTGCTCGGTGCAGGAGGTAAGTTACGGGAAAGTGGGGGAAGAAATGTATTCTAAATCAGGATTGTTTAATAAAGTTTCTTATGCAGATAAGTCATCAGCTATTAAGAGTTGTCTATGGAGTAGTTTTCTTACAAGTACACTAAAGGGAGACGTCTTTACAAATTGAAATTTATGTCTTGCTTTTAGAAAGGTGAAAGTCAGTGAGCTAATTGCTTTCTGCTCAAAAAAATTATTGTGCAAAAATGGCATATTTTGGAGGGGCATATTTTGTCCACTTCAGGATATTTTGCTGGATGCAATTCTATATTTTAATGTATTATAGTGATATTCATCATAAGATATGAAAATACTTTATTTCTTCTACAAAGAGAGCAGTATCACTAAAATCATCAGTTCCTGGTAGAATGTGGGGCTTTCTTTAATTTTATAGCATGCTTGAGTTGTCATTTGACTGACAGCTAAATCAAGGGATAATTCTATTTTTTCCCTCCCTATGGTAAAAAACAGTAAGCAGGAAGCAGGTTGTCATAAAAATCAATTATTTCGACATATGCCAATAGAATCCTGGAGCAAGCATTGACAAATACAGGTTCACGCAAATCTAAAGCCATTCAGAGGTTGGCAGTCCTATGTGTTAGTGAGTGAATTATGATGGAATTTAGTTTCATTTAAATTACAAAGCTGGAGGCTGGGGGAGGAAGGAAGTAAACTATAAACGTAGTGTACCCTATAACTGAATAAGTTAATTCTATAGTAATATTAATAAAGGGACTGATAATTACTTCCTAGAATTTCCCAGTGATAACATATAATTATGTTGCGTAAGTACAGATATCTTTTATATTCAGAGATGACATTGCTGGTATGAACATATCAAATCTAATAAGAAAGTCTTGATAGAAAATGGATCCTTCTGTTATTGGTCACATTCTACCTTTTCATCATATTTTTCACTAGTGTTCCATAAACGTGCTTCTCTAGCCTCACTGATTAACTGATCTATTTTCTGCCATTCATCTCATTTATTCCTTTGTGCTTTTGTCATACTTTTTCTTCTTTTGGAATAAATTTCCCTCCTTTCTCTTCCTTACAAATCTCTCTTACCCATCTCAAGACCTTCCTTATCATTAAGCTTTCCCAGGCCATTTCAGCATATGTACTATCCCCTTCCTTTGAAATCAAACAACATATTTCCGTACTTTATTATGCATCACTTTAACTATTCCTCTGTATTCTTATTAACACATCATATAGTTATATTTTGCCTTGCCAGCTATCCTCTGCACTTAAACATGGGTTACATGTTTCAAAGCACCTAAAAGAGTGCTGCGAAAAATAAATGTATGTTGCATTGGTTGATGTGGGTCTTCACTGTAATGTACAGATTTATTTAATCTTTGCTTGAGGTCATAGAGCACACATAAGATATCTGATCATAATACCTGAGCGTAACAAAGCTGTTGATAAAGTTTTGGAATTAGACTTTCCTACAAATTTTATGACCTAGAACTAAATTAGAAACAACACTAAAGTTAAGACAGCATTTTGTGTCAACTAGCTTTCAGCTAACAGTACACAGACTGAATGTGGAAAGATGTCAAACAAGAATACATTACTTTCTGCTCCAATTCCAATGCTTTGTGATTTTTCTCTTTGAGTTAGATTTTAGGAGAGTATCAGTACTGTGCTGGCCCAAAGTACTGAGAATAACAGTTACTTTTTTTTTTTTTTTTTTTTTTTTGGGATGGAGTCTTACTCTGTTGCCAAGGCTGGAGTGCAGTGGCATGATCTTGGCTCACTGCAATCTCCCAGCGCCATTCAAGCCATTCTCCTGCCTCAGCCTCCCGAGTAGCTGGGACTGGGACTACCAGCATGCACCACCACTCCCGGCTAATTTTAGTATTTTTAGCAGAGATGGGGTATTGCCATGTTGGTCCGGCTGGTCTTGAACTCCTGACATCAAGTGATTCGCCCGCCTCAGCCTCCCAAAATGCTGGTATGACAGGCGTGAGCCACCGTGCCTGGCCAACAGTCATGTCTTTACTGAAAAGATGAGGAGGTATGCATTTAGCCAGAACCAGTGGTTAGTATATCATATATGGTTTCTCATTTGACACAACAAACTGAGAGAGTATATATTGTTTCCATTTCACAGATGAGAAAACTAGGTTCAGATAAGTTTTTCAAAAATGTCTACTGAATTGATTGTGAAAATATAATAATTACTCAAAAATATCTTTGAAAATATTAAAGAAAAAATAGTGAGTTACATTTGGTAAATTTGCAATTATAGGAAAATAATAAATACTACTTTATTGAAGTCTAAGTGGTGGTTGTTTTACCTAAAAACCTTTCAACACACCTGTTTCTGCCTAAAAACAGATTACATGAGTGACCCTGAGCCACACTTCTTTCTTTTATCTTCAAAGTTTATGTTTAAGGACAGGATAAAATGAGCAAATAGATAACGTATAATGTGTATTTGCACATCTGTTCAATTTCTTGTGAAAGGTGTTTAAAAGTCTTTTAATATATCACTTTTCCTACTGTTTTCTTAAATATCGTTTTTATTGACACTCCTAAATGATTTTTTCTAAAACTTTATGATTTCTTACCAAAAAATTGTAAGTTGCATCTGTTATATCTAGATTTTTTTATATCTCCCTTTGTGTGTGTGTGTGTGTGAGGAAAGTTGTAAGAGCAAACAAAACAGAAGAAAAATTGAGACTCACTTAAACTAGCCCTTAGTAAGACCGTGAAATTGTTTCCAGTCACTTTCAAAATAAAGAAGGAATTTGCTTTGATATATTCATAAAAATAAAGTGTTCTAAAACCCTTGGTTAAAATGCTTAGAGGTTTTTCTATCTTTTCCAAAAAAAAAAAAATCTCATTTTTCTAAAATGGAAAGTGATCTCTTTAAAGATTTGGATTATTAAAAATCAGTGTCATTTTGGAAGCTATCATATAGATCTAGCATTTAGGTACACTTTATGTGGAAGCTGATTGATAATGGTGATACTAATAATCATAATAATGAGCTCACTTTGGACAGGTACTGAGCTAATGCCCCAACCATTCCCTGTGACTAGTCACATTCTATGATTGTAAGTTCGTTGGTTCAGTTTGACTTGTAAACGGAAGTCTAATTATACATAGTAATGATTTTTATCACAAAGAGTTATTTTCTCTTCTAAGAATAGAGAAATAGCTCAGTAATTTCACAGGAAGAATTAGATCCGTAGATAAAATGAAATATCTAAAGGATGAAACTGCTATTATAAATTAGTATTACAAAGTTCTAAGAACATAGTAAAATGAATTTCACATTTATTATATTCAGATGAATGTGGCATCATTTTCCCAATAATATTTGAATTATTCTTCATTTACTTACTGAGAGTATAGCTCACCAAAGAATTTACTGTTGTTATGGCTTACAAATCCTGAAAACATGATGGGTTATTGCCAAAGTAGTTGATTTCCCCATGATTTTTATGATCTGAGAAATCAGGGTTAACCAGAAATTAATTAAATTTGGGAAGAAATAGGAAAAAAATGAGAGAAACATCTGTATTCCAGGGCCACATCTTCATTAAAAATGTTCTCCTTCTCAAAAATAGATACATTTTTTCTCTTATTTTTCTCTTTTATTATTATCTCAATTCATTTTACAAATAATTATTGATCTCTTCGTAAGACATTCTGGATAATGTCCTGAGACTAAGGATTCAATAAAGAACAATGCAGATATTTCCCACAGTACTATGCTGAGTGATAAGAAGTACAGAGATTGCTAACAGTCATCAGGGGACTTGACCTAATACTGAATAAATATTCATGCAGGATCAGCATTTGAATTAAGATTTGAATGATGAACAGGAGTTAATTAGGAGAAGAGGTAAGAAAAGAGCATTCCAAGCAGAAAGAGCAGAATGTCTCTTGAATTGAAATTAAAGAACTAAAAAGATCTTGTTGAGTTGCAGTAACTAAAAGATTAGCATGGTTAGAGATCAGAAATTAAAGAGGAGAATTGAGTGAGGTAAGACTTCAAGCACAGGGTTACAAGCCCTGATAAGAATTTTGGCTTTTTATCCTAAGGTAAGTGGTGGTGGTTATCTGATTTGAAAAGATCACTCTGATCGCATGGTAGATAATGGAATGGTTGGAGAAAGGACTGAAGTGGACGCTGATGCTGCAGTCAACCCCTCAATAATCAGCATAAGTGCACGTAAGCTATTCTAAAAGTTAAAATTTCAAGTAATAGACAGGCTTGTTTTATTCTCCGAGAAAAGCTCCGTAACCTCTTGTACAAATAAATTCCCTTGTACAAAAACTGATATCCCATTACAAAACCCCTTTCAAATATCCTTTTTGAAGCTTGCTAGCTTATGTCTCTAATGTTTATCTTTTCTCTCCTGCTGGGGGTAAAGATACATGTTCACCACTACCTGTGTATCAAGGGCACTCTCCTCTACTCCTCTGCTAACCACTAAAAATTCTTAAAGTGGCTCTCTGGTTACTCTCTTATAAAAATGAAAGAATGTGGTTCTGACATGTTAAGAAACTAATATGAAGTGCTCCCAGCCCCTGGCTTGTGATTACATTCTCTGTTTACATTCTGCAATGCATTTGTTATAAACAATAAAGTCTGGCTTTAAATTAAGAGTCGATAGTCTTTTCACCATATTGCTGGAAGTAAAATAGATTTTGGTCATTGAAGAAAAGGGTTACTAGATAGTAGAAGTAGAAAGAGAAAATAATATAGTGAAGAAATAGAATGCAAAAATCTAAAGTATTCAGTGCTTTATTTGTTCTGGGAAATGTAAGAGAAGAGGGTTTCAAACGTAAGCCCCAGATTTCTGAACTGCAGGACTGAAAAAATGGTAATGCTAGTTCCTGTGTTTGGGAGTACTTATAAAAACAGGAGCCAACCATGCTAAGAACTCAGTTAAGAGGATTCCAAAAGAGTGGAGAAACACATACAAAAAGTCCACAACATAAAATAAAAATACATGGCATATTTAATAAAATGACGAAAGACCAGAATACCTAAGGCTATGGGATTGTCAAGGGAAAAGAATAGAACTGAGGTTCATGTCTGATAAGGTGTGATTTTGTAGGCTACCATGAGTGGTTAGAATTATTCTGAATGCAATAAAAATTTAAGAGTTTTAAGCATTAACATTTTAATTGGATTTAAATTGTATGAATATAATGTTGTGGTCTTTAGTAAAATAAAGGGAGACAGTAAAATAATGGAAATAGGAGACCAGTTGCAGAGTTGTTTT
Organism: Homo sapiens; assembly: GCF_000001405.40. Classification (NCBI taxonomy): domain Eukaryota; kingdom Metazoa; phylum Chordata; class Mammalia; order Primates; family Hominidae; genus Homo; species Homo sapiens. Next base: position 103,581,874 of record NC_000001.11, on the reverse strand, counting down.
GGAATGCAGAGAACAGATAATTGTGAGCTGGATAAAGGGGTGATAGAAGATACAAAAGAAGTGCAATAAATGAAGAGATATTTTGAAGATACAATTAATAGTTCATGCTAAGGTTTATATGAAGAGATAAAGTTGTTGAGCTAAGAGAGATAAATCAGAAAATATCCTGGGTTTCTAAGCAGTAAGAAAATAATGTAGTAAAAGGTTTATGCAAGGAAAAAAAATGAGGGTTCCATTTTAAATATGTTAATTATGAGATGTCTGTGGAACATGGAAGTGGTGATAACAAGCATCTGATGGAAGTATGAGGCTGAAGTCCAAGTTCTGAATTGAAGATACCTAGGTGTCCACAGAAAATATTTGTTTAAAATCCATGGAAATGATTCCAATCACCTAGAGAAGAGAAGATAAAGAAGAGAAATAGATAAAAGTTAGGACTTAGGTGGAACAGAATAAGATGATCCACCTAAGAATAAGATAAAAAAAAAAACAAAAACCTGAAACAGAGCAATCAATGAGACAGAAGGCAACCAGGAGAGTAGAATAACACGAAAAAAGGAAGATAGAAAGAGAAAGTGACCCACCATCATTAATACTGCTATGAAGTGGTTTAAGGTGAGGACAGAGAAATATATTGGACTGGTAACATAAATGTCACTCATGATGTTGACAAGAGCAGACTGAATGAAGTGATAATGGTGAAAACTGGACAGTAGAGAGATGAATAATGACGGAGGCTGAGGATGTGGAGACAGTGTGATAAAAAGAGATGTTTAATTAGGAGAGGGAGCAAGGAAATGAGCAAAGTAATATACCCAGAAGAATATCTGAGGATGGTCATTGATGTTTTTAATTGGAAGACTGTAATACATGTAATCTAGGATGACTAATGCAGAAGAAAGGGAAAGACTGCTAAATCAAAAGAGGGAGGATAATCTAAAGTCCTCCAAAAGATAAAAATGGAATGGTATCATTAACTTAAGCAGAGAAAATGGCCTTTCTTAGAATGACATGTACTTTCTTTATTGTAATAGGAGAAAAAAAAGGAAAATGCTAGAGGAAATGCAGGACAACTCTCCAAGTGGCCTTGGAGCAACCCAGGTTTTCCTCCTCTATAACTTGTGCATCTCAAGAATAGCTGTAGAATGAGCTGGGAATGCAACATCCTGAGATAAGTCTCAGACTCTCTTACTGTGCCTCTTAGAACATTTCCTTAAGTGCTTTAGCCCAGTGTATCATGGGATGCCTGGGTTATAAAACACGGGGCAGGCTTCTTTCAAGGGTCCCTCAGCTGTGGTACAAATAGGGCATGTGCAAATGAGTCTTCAACACCCTGGGCAAACGGTCTGAGTCTTGGGAGGCTGGCTCCTCCTGAACGCCGGGCTTCTGTGTCACTTGATGCCTATCTATAAGCAATAAGCCTGCTTCATGCAACTTTTTGTGTGTATGTTCTAAATCACTGGACTCAATCTTAAGTAGTAGAAACTGCAGCCCAAGATGCAGTGAGCCGAAGTGGTACCAATGCACAGTGAATCTGCTTTGTGGCAGGGACAATTTATAGGTGAAGAATAGACAGTTTCTGAGTTATGGCCTCTATGTTCTCATTTAAGCATAAACAAAACAACTGAGAGTTATAAGGAAACCTAGATGAGAGCCCTAATGAATTCCATATGTAAAGTCAAGATGAAGAAGAATGAATAGGTAGAGAATTGGGAAGAAAACCCAGACTACAAGGTGTCATGAAAGCCCTAAATAAATATCCAGATTGTAGAATAAGAAAAAGAACAAAAAGTCATATACAACAAGTCTAAGCAATTAGGAAAAAAATGAAAAAGAAGGAAGTCTATAAAGTAGGAGAAGATTCCAGTGAGCTCAATAGAACTGATAACTGTAGATTGTATAATTTAGGTTTCTTCTATTTTTTAACCTTATTAACACCAGAAGTACTTGCATATTATAAAAAGCATACAACCGGGCTAACTTTGCATGGGAATCAGCATTAAACCAGCTATCCCTAACTAACTGATAAAAACACTCCTTGGAAGGATTATAGAATGGCAGAAATTAAAGGTACACAGCTCGGTAAATGATGCTAATGGCAACAAACATATTGGTTGAGATGCTTTTCTGAGTTCATAGCTTAAATAGGTTAAAGTCAGTCTTCTAAAGCATAACAACTTGCTGACTATTATTATCTTACACTTATTCAACAATTAAGTGGGATTTTAATACTATTGGTTTTTTTGTGAATTTTACAAGTTGATTACTAATTAGAGCTTTTACTAAAAATTAATGAAATATAAGTATTACTGTATATGTAAGAAAAGAAACACACTTGGCTATTGTTTTGAGGATATGCATTTAATTTTAAATTTTATAATTTAGATTCAGCATGAATTGCAATAAATGGATCCTCAGCAGAGTTACTAATAGAAAAATGAGCTTTGCCATCGTCAGAAACGTAGATTTTAATGCCTGTGCAATTGCCATTAATTTTATCTCCAGAAATGACATCACAGTATGTGCCAGCAGGAAGACCAGTTTGCAAAGTTAAAGAAAATGTCCTGTAAAATAAAATTTCAGATTTAACTTCAATACACTGAAAATCAAGAATACAGGCTAACACAACTAAACAGCATAACTTTATGTTGTAGAACCCTAAGCAGTGAAGTCTCATTAAGAAGAAAACCCATATGCCTCCCTAGTAGTTGTAAATAGCTTTCTAGGACCAAAAGTAACCTTACAGAAAATGTAGCAGTTCCCTGGTCCGTAGTGAAAATATTACCAAAAAATCAAAGTTGAAGAATATCACTGAAGATTGGCAGGAATGGTCACACTTTGATAAAAGTGCTAGCTTGTTAAAATCAAATTTGTTCTCAACTGAACTTAATACAAATTACTTTTAAAAATTTAAAGGGTTACATAAGTATACATGTGCCATGCTGGTGCGCTGCACCCACTAACTCGTCATCTAGCATTAGGTATATCTCCCAATGCTATCCCTCCCCCCTCCCCGTACCCTAAAATTTAAAGTATAATTTAAAAAAAAATTTTTAAAGGGTTTTATTTTTTTAATCTCCTTTTTTCCCCATAAGGTAAAAAAGAATTTGGGGCATACATAGAAACAATCTAGCATTTCTATGAAGAAGTGATAGTTTGAAATATAAAGCTTTCTCACAAAAATTTATTTTGGTATTTTCATCCACAAAAGAAAGAAATTAAAGAACTAGACATGGGCTTTTTTGGCAGGAAAGAGATCAACTAGATTTATGTATTTATGTATTTATTTATTTTTCATCAGTGAAATATAATTTATACTAGAATGAGCTAAGTATGAGTATCAGTTGGCTTTGGACAGAGACAATTCAACTGTTTGCAACGAGGTCTTCTGAGCTATAGGTTAGGGAATCATTTATACTTCAGTAAAGGATATAAGAATCACAGATGAAAGGCCAATAATGAGAAGTTTCGGAACTAAAACTCAAATCCCCTGAAGCCAATCATTAACCACAAGATACATATTATTTATGCATATGCTTTAAAAATATTATTTGTCACAAGGAGACAGAGAAGTGAAGAAAGTATACCAAAAAACTACATAGAGCAGTCATTGAGAAAAAGAGTTAGAAATAAAGATATATTAGTACTCAGGCAGCATTTTTCCATGATTAAAAAAACAGGAATATAAGACATGTTCTTTTAATGATTTCACAATCCTCATATTAACTACTTTGTGTATTTTGTGGCATGTGTAGGTGAGCATATGTATGTGCATTCAATATATGCATAAGATATTGCAAGGGTGCACAGAAAGGACTCTGCTTACAACAGAAAGCCCTTAATAAAACAGGAGAATGAAGGAGTAACAGCCATCATCTTTTTACTTCTGCCCAATTTTGATGTCTATTGTCTTCTTGCTCCACTGACTACATGATTTTTCAGATATGATAAATGTCAATGAACAGAAAAAAAGGAATAAACCAAGAGCATACAGGTACAAAATATTATTTTTAATTGATATGTACTTACCAGTCATCATTGTTGAAAACAATGAATCCTCTGTTTCCTCTCCCAAAAGCCACTTGGTTGCTCCCATTATCATACCAGTTTGTAAAAGGCTGGCCATCCACTACATTGCGGAAATTAACCATGTTCCTAAAAACACAATACCATATAAAACGTTGATATTCTTAAACTTCAACTGTTTTAAATAAAATGCAATGGAAAGTTTACTATTAGAGGACATGTCTAAATACATATTCTCACCTTATTTGGCGCCATCGATGTTCACAGACCCAGTCATTGCCACAAGTAGTGTCTGGATTAATAGTAACTTCTTTAATTACTCCATTATTATTTGGTGGCCCAACCCAATCATTAACATCCTTAATTAGGGGGTGAAAAGCCAAATTTTAACATACATATATTTACCTCTTCCTTCTCCTTTAAACCAAACCCAACCTATCCTGTTACTTGTGTCTCTGCATTCAATGACTTTATCTAGAATCCAATGCCTTCAATAATTTTTATAGCCCTTTACTGGGTCTTCATCATCTCTCTATCCTCTGGTTCTCTTTTGCCATATTTCAAACAAAGGTAACAAATTGTTATCCTCTCCTTTTCATTCCAAGGAACTGCAAAGGCTTCTTTGCTCTGTCACCCAGGCTGGAGTACAGTGGCATAATCATAGCTCACTGCAGCCTTGATCTCCCAGGCTCAAGCGATCCTCCTATCTCAGCCTCCTAAGTAGCTAAGACTGTTGGTGTGCACCACCGCAACCAGCTAATTTTTAAAAAATTTTCAGTAAAGACGAGGTCTTGCTAGCTTGCCCAGATAGGTCTTGAACTCCTCAGGTCAGCTGATCTTCTCGCCTGGACTCGCCAAGTGCTGGGATTACAGGTGTGAGCCACAGCACCTGGCCTGCAAGGGCTTCTTAACATCACTGTAAGCCATGCAATGTCATTGAAATGGGAAGGGCATTAGTACCAGAAACACCAGGATTAAAACATAGGCTCTATTAACAGTAGCTAAGAAAATTTAATCAACATACATAATTTCTCTGTGTCTCAGTTTCCTCATTTGTAAAATGGGAATATTGTTTTTTTGCTATAAAAATTAAGTAATATATGTGAAAATGCCTTGAACGTGACATGTGCTCAATAAATATTAGAGTCCATCATGCTTCTGTTTAGATAATTGTACAAAACAATACATCAGAACATTTTTTATAAATTGACACCAGTTTTAATATTATGTTTTTCTGATTGGCACTTTAAAAAATCTTAATTAAAAAAACCAGAGTAACCCTAGGAAGTTTTTCAGTGTTGACCTTAGAATTATGTCATATGGTGAAAAGTGAACAAAACTAAGAGTTTTTAGCATGCAGCAGTCCTGGAAAGTGGAAAAGTTATAGTGATAGAAAAAATAAAAATACTCTGTGACCCTTAACATCAGAAATAAGACCAATTAGTAGAAATCATGATAAGTTGGCTCAATATAAAAGTACACCTAAATATTAAAGCTGTTTAACAATAGAATCAGTTGCTATACAAAGTAACAGACTTCTCAAACTGAAAGGAATCTAAAAAAAGCTAGCTAGATATCTGTGTGACTCAGAGGAAGGAGGAATTTCTGCTTTAGATCTGAAGTCTCTGATGCTGTTTCTGAACCCTTTAGTTTAAAGAAAACCTTCTACTAGCTTTCCAAATATCTGTACACTCTTATTTCTCTGTTCCTTTTTGAAACTACTCATCAGATAAATGTCTTTACCATACTCCCAAATATTTTTCTCATTCTTACCTTTCTTGGAATACTCTCTAAATTTCCATTCTTTAGTACATATAATTTCCTTCCTCTTATTAGATACTTTTCCCTATTTAACTCAGCTCAACTGAATCATTTTTTTGTATTCCATATAACTTTTTAAAAATATTTAACGAACATTTATATTGTTCTTACTGTGGGCAGATGATGTTTTAAGTTCTCTAAAAGTGTTGGCATGTATAATCTTCCTATTAACCCTGAGGTAGGTACTTATTCGAAGTATATATTTTAATCCCTGTGCCTAGCTCTTATTTTTAAGTGGTTTTTTTTTTTTTCCTGTGGGCTAGGGGGATGTTTATCATATGTCTGAAAAGGCTTGCATACTCTTTGTCAATGGAAAATATATATTTTACTCCTTTAATATAACCTGCATTACTAAAATCGCAGCCCTATATCAGGTTTCTAATCAATTATTTGTTGAATATATAATTAATAGTTGTCATATTAAGTTAGAACAAGATTGCCTTCTGTTTCTTGAGAAAAGGATAGTTTGAACAATTTCAAAACTTACGTTTCCATTTTGAAACTGTCTTGGCCAACGGTAGCTTGACATTACTCGTGTAAAACCATAAGGATGAGCAAGCATAAATCCAACTGCCATTTTATACAGCCTGAAAGTTACATAATTATATTATCACAGAATATCAGAATATCATTACCATCATTAAAAGATGTGTTAAAAAAAATAGAGAACTTGGTTTTCTACCTAGCATCCCAGAAGGTAAGAATAGAGGCTCCTCCAGCCCCATGTCCTCGTTGATTGTCATGGTTATCCACAAAGACAAGTGCTCTGTCAGAAGGCATGAAACCCCAACCTTCTCCCCAGTTCCTATTTTTGAAAAATAAGATATATGTTGATGTATCATTTCACAATAGTTTGCGAGTAACTTAACTGTGCATCTCTTTCTGCATGGCATGGCATCTGAAGATTAAATTCTTTCTCTAATTAAATGGTTATTCTGTAAGATATATATATATATATATATATATACATACACACACACAAACACACACTCAAATATATATACACACACACACCATATACACACACGTGTGTAATCTACATATGTAGTCTATATTCGTATATACAAGTATGGAATACTTATATTCATATTACAAATATAAGATTTTTGTTATTAAAAAAGGTCCTTTCAGAGGTTTCAGCACATTATCATTTAGAGGCACTCCAGAAGGATCAATATCCATATCACATTTTACGGAATGTCAAACTAGGTTAAAATAAGGCTTCAATACTGTATTGTTATAATATAAATATTTTTATATTTTTAATTCATATAATATATGTAAATTCTACAGTATGGAAACTTTGTACATACTTTATAAATGATAGGATCATTTTAATAATAACCTGGCTTTAAAAGATTATATGCAAACATCAGTCAAATCCAGTATATTCATCTCGTACTTAGACGGAAACTCCTAGGATATGTTTAGCGTTCCTAGGCATACTCACTTGTGATAGACACTCTAAATACAAAAGATGATTGATTAGAGTTTAGGGCACTAGAATACTTATCATTAACAATTGACTCCTTGATAGTTGTCTGAAAAAGAATGTTCCAGAAGATAACTCACACTGGGGTACTATGACTAATAAATCTATGAAATACTTCAGGGGAAAAGTTGTATTTATTTACTTTAGGTAAGACATCTTCTCTCCATTCCACTTGCGAATAACTGTGCCGAGTTTTGCACCATACTTGAATTCTGTCACCCGGCCATTTCCAAAGTAGTCACTGCTTTTAATTGGCTCACCACCCAGATCAATTACCTAGTAGAAAATTAGGAAAAAGTAACATTTTGCATAAGGACTTTAAAGCATTTTAACCAATAAGTTAATATTATATAAAAGATAGCTTTAAGCTATTTGTTATTTATTAATAAATTAAGCTATTTATTATTTCTTTTTGTCTTGTTTTGTTTTGTTTGTGATAAAGAATTAGATATGCTGTATGTGAAGAGGAGGTTAAAGAACACCATTTTATATAAATGACTCAGTCCTTATCCTATAGAAATTGCATTTTTAATTAAATCTGCCATTATTTTCTAATGAATAAGATGATATTTTATATGCATATATGTATTGATGTACCTCCTGGTAAATGAAAGGTTTACTTCCTGCAGGGAACCAGTTACTGTTTAGATTATGCAGTTTGTCCAAAATTGCCTTTATGTCTCCAGGCCACATGTGCTTGGAAGCATCAAGTCTGAACCCTGCAACACCAATGTCAATGAGATGATTCATATATTCGGCAATCTTGGAACGCACATAATCTTTCTCCAGTGCAAGATCAAGAAGACCAACCAGACGACAATCTCTGACCTGTTGAGGTAAAAATGTTATGATTGATTCATAAAACCTCATTTTTCACATGAGAATCCATTTGATTATTCATTTATTCCATGATTCCTCAAGAGATATTCTATAGTGACTTCCTTGCATTGGGCGCTGGGGATGCTCACATTCTACTATAGATGTATCTTGGAAATATTTTCTAATAGAAAATAGAGAATTTAGGAAATAAAGTCGACGAGCTTTTTAATTGGTTGGGAGCTTTTTAAAAGTGGGCAAATGTGTATTGATTAAAAATCTTAAATCTATATTTAAGTTTTTAAATATGGATTTGAGTTTCTTAAAGTAGTCAAACCTGTTAACCTGTGTCCCTAAGAGATCTAAATTCGTATTTAAAATGAAGTTCAATTAGCTACATGTCTACAAGAAAAGGCATATATCACCCCTTATTCAGATGACTCTCATAAAAAAATTTACCTGAGTAGCATCATTGTAGTTCTCGATATCTCCACTTCCAGTTTTACATTTACCATCATTAAAATCCCATCCAGAATATGGGACTGCTGGAAAGTCCCTACTTCCAGGGTTGAAGTAACTTCCACAGGTACTGCTTGTTCCTGCACTCACAGCATTACCAGACATATGATTAATTACAGCATCCACATAAATACGAACCTAGAAAGCAAAGTTTCTACTTCAGTGTGACTTACAGAGAGGCAGAAATTTAAAGCATTATTGATTCAAGTTTATAGTATGTTAATAAAACTCCAAAATATTTCATGATATCTTATAACTATTTTCCTACAAGATCAAAAATCAACTGTGAAGAAGTAATGTGAACTAAACACCTACATGCCTTCTAGACACTTGGTCAAATATTTATAGTAATGGTAAATTGAGAGAACCAGAAACTACCATAAATAGGAGGAAATGCAAAAAGCCCATTTCGGGGAGACAAAACTCAGATGAGACTGGAAAGGTTACTGTTTTGGAAATTACAGTCGGTCACCAGGAGAAAGCCTGTACTCTCTACTAAGCTTTTGAAGACAAATAAGGGAGCTATTAGTCTCAAATTATGCTCCTCATTAAATAGAGAAGCTAGCTAGTCACCACGAAAAACCCAGGAATTATGGATGGAGATACAAGTCACCTAAAAATGATAGCAAATATTGTAACTGGAATTATAACTCTTAACCAGAAAACTCTTTCCAGGAAATATAGATAGGTATAAAAGTTAAAATTTGATGTTTTGCTTTAGAAGTAAATTCTGCTTTAAACTTGTTTCTTTGGTAGATAGAGAGCACATACACAAATATTTACAAAAGCTGAACATAAGGCAACGGTTAATTTTGAGTTTTAAAGTATGAAGTAAAATTAAAAAAATAAAATATGGAAAACTTTCTGCTGAAAAGGAGCAAGAAAGAAGAGAGAGAAATCATTTTCCTATCTGTTATTTTTCAAGGAAACTAGAATTCACTTACCCCAACATTGTTACATCTAGTCACCATGTTTCTAAATTCATCTTCATTTCCAGATCTTGTGCATAATTTATAGCTAACTGGTTGGTATCTTTCCCACCAAGGTCTGAAAGGGTTGTGAATTGCAACATTTTCATTTGGTGGAGAGACCTACAAATTAAACAGTCTTCATAACTACCAAATTCTTACTCTATATCATTGAATGTTCTAGAAACTAATCAATAATATAAAAAATTCTTGAATCTTGGTATATGCAGCTATCTCTTGAAAATATTAACAGCACATTGGAGGGCTCTTGTTGAAGAAAGATTATCTCAGAAACAAAATATAAAGTTGCCAAGAATACTACATTGTTTTTTCCTCAGAAAACTCTTACTTAGAATACTTACCTGTGAAGTAAAATGTTGCCTAAGCTTCACGGATAAGATCAGAATACTATTTACTACAAGCATAGTGAATTCTGCAATTGATACTATGAATCATACCCACCTGAACCCCTCCAAATCCCTTGGGAGCTAAATATCGCTCACATTCAAGAGCAATATCAACCCATCGCCATTCAAACAGATGAACAATAGATGTCCGTCCTTGTTGTGTATTTGGGGAATACTGAGCCCAGCAGAACCCAATGGTGAAAAGCAACAGAAAGAACTTCATTTTGCTTTGAAGTTGTCAGTGTCCTTTCCAGAAACTATTTATATTCCTGTAAGAAGCACATTTTACAAAGTAAATATTAGCATGAATAAATACTTGAGGGCAAACTGTTTACTCATAATCTGAAAAGGATTATCAATAATAATCCTAACAGGAGAAGAACATTAAAAAGTCTCTCATGGAAATCATCTAAATGACCTTTTAGAAATTAATGTTTTTTTGGTTCTGGCAGCACTTTTATTTTTCCATACACAATGATATATTGCTGGGGCCTAATGTTCTCACGTAACAGTAGAAAACCAAAATTTGTTGTCATCTCTTTAAAGATCGAGAATTGCATACAAAAAAACTTTACATAAATTAAAAGGATGAATACATTTATAGGTATAAATGCAAACCGCTTCCAACTCAAGGCGAGTAACAGCCCATGGTGTTCTGGCAGACAACAGAAGCTAAGAAAGGAAACTGGGTCCTATGGCTTGGACTTTCCAACCCTGACAGACCGACAGGACAGAAACAACTGGTTAAGGAGCCCTTACCAGCCTGTAGACAAATCCCAGAACACTCAGTCCTGACACATTAATACCCTGCACAGATCAGAGACTGCTGGCCATGCAGACTCACCAAGCCAGACTTGTCTTCCACAAGTACGTTTTTAGCCATGAAGTGACCAAGCCACATGTACTAAAGACTGAAATCAAAGATATGTACAGATACCAAGGGGAACAGTTAACTTGAATACAATGTCAAAATCAGGAACAAGTTCTACAATCCAGTGCTGATATCAGATACAAGCTTTAAAGACAACTTATTTTCTAAGGCTTATTCCAGTTTGGTGAGGCTAGCATGAGGTGTATGCATTTGCCAGGGGCAAATTTTTACTTCTGAATTAACCCATGAAGCAATTGCTAGCCATCTGCTCACAGTCCATTTAGAAGCATTTGCGGTGGACGATGGAGGGGGCCAAGTCATTGTACTATTGCTTGCTAATCCACATCTGCTGGAAGGCTGACAGTGAGGCCAGGATGGAGCCGCTGATCCACACGGAGTACTTGTGCTCTGGGGATGCGATCATCTTGATCTTCATGGTGCTAGGTGCCCGGGTGGTGATCTCCTTCTGCATCCTGTCGGTGATGCCTGGGTACATGTTGCCACCAGATAGCACCGTGTTGGCCTACAGGTCTTTGCGGATGTCCACGTCACACTTCATGATGGAGTTGAAGATGGTCTGGGTGGATGCCACAAGATTCCATGTCCAGGAAGGAAGGCTGGAACAGCGTCTCGGGACACTGCAACCTCATTGCCGATGGTGATGACATGGCCATCAGGCAGCTCATATCTCTTCTCCAGGGAGGAGGAGGATGTGGCAGTGGCCATCTACTGCTCAAAGTCCAGGGCAACATAGCACAGTTTCTCCTTGACGTAGTGTCTGATCTCCCGCTCGGCAGTGGTGCTGAAGCTATAGCCAACCTTGGTAAGGATCTTCATGAGGTAGTTGGTCAGGTCCTGGCCAGCCAGGTCCAGATGCAGAATGGTGTCAGGGAGGGCGTAGCCCTTATAGATGGGCACCATGTGGGTGACCCCATCTCCAAAGCCCATGACAATGCCAGTGTGCAACCACAGGTGTAGAGGGACAGCCTAGCCTGGATGGCCACGTACATGGCCAGGGTGTTGAAGGTATCAAACATGATCTGAGTCATCTTCTCTCTGTTGGCCTTGAGGTTCAGGGGGTCCTCGGTCAGCAGCACCAGGTGCTCCTCCAAGGCCATGTGCAGTCCCTTGTAGAAGGTGTGATGCCAGATCTTCTCTATGTCATCCCAGTTGGTCATGATACCATGCTTAATGGGGGTACTTCAGGGTCAGGATACTGTGCTTGCTCTCAGCCATGTAGCCCACATAGGAGTCCCTCTGGCCCATGCCCACCATCATGCCCTGGTGCCGGGGGCACCGATGATGGAAGGAAACATGGCTGGGGGTTGTCGTCCCCAGCAAAGCCAGCTTTGCACATGCTGGAGCCATTGTCAATCACCAGTACGGCAATCTCTTCTTCCATTGCGACTGGTGGAGGAGTGGGACAGTGGAGCGGCAGGACAACATGGTGCATGGGCTGGCAGAGGTGACTGGTTTTTTCTTACTGATAAAATCTTAACCTTTTTAAACCTCTGGCAGTGTACACACACACACACACACACACACACACACACACACAAACCCACATAAATAAGGACAGTAAATATATATTTAAACACATAAGGACTGTATTTATATATATATATACACAAACACACACATATCTACACAGTCCTTATGTGTGTGTGTGTATGTATATATAGACTCTGTGTGTGTGTGCGTGTGTGTATATATGTATATATGTATGGTTTGGCTGTGTCCCCACCCAAATCTCATCTTGAATGTAGTTCCCATAACCCCCATGTGTTATGAGAGGGACCTGGTAGGAGGTAACTGAAATTGAATCATGGGGGCGGTAATCCCATACAGATGTTTTCATGATAGTGAGTGAGTTCTCCCAAGACCTCATGGTTGCATAAGGGGCTTTTCCCCCTTTTGCTCAGAATTTCTCCTTCCTGCCATCAAGTGAAGAAGGATGGGTTTGCTTCCCCTTCCACCATGATTGTACATTTCCTGAGGCTTCCTCAGTCATGTGGAACTGTGAGTGGATTGAATCTTTTTCCTTTATATATTACTCAGTCTTGGACACTTCTTTATAGCAGCATGAGAACAAACATATATATATACACACACATACATACAAACATATATATATACACAAACATATATATATTCCATATATATATAATGCAGTGTATATATATATAGTCTATATAGTCTTTATATATGTGTGTATATATATAAATCCTAATAACAAATAAGGACTGTCTTTTGTTTGTGATATCCGTCACTAATAGAAAATAACAATTGAAGCCAACTGAATTCTCAAAATATTTAACTATTTTCAAATTTTTGTCATGTTTCCATTTCAAACAGACATATTATGTGATATTTCCATTTTTAAAATCAGCCCTGTTTCCCATCCTTAATTCAAAGTTTTGGTTATTTAAATTTCTCCATTAATGATTTAAGAAAACGTTTAAAATCTCAAAGCCCATGAATTGGAGAAACTAACTTTTTTCCCCTTGATCAACTCATGTGCTTAATATAGTGCATATAGTAGTAGGATTGGTGGTGGTGGTGGTTTTCTCCCTGTAGGCAAATATTTCTTGTACCTGACAAAATGCTAAATAAATAAATTTGTGTAATTTTTCCTTCTTAATGTAATGTAAGTGAAATGCTATGAAAGGGAGTAATAGTACAGGTAGGAAAAACTTCATCCATCCATTCAACAAGTGTTAAGTGTGTGTCTGCTTTTTGCTAAGCACTGTAGGTGATGTTCAGGAGACAATTATGAAAAAGACAGGTTTCTGTTCTCAGAGAACTTACATTCTAGTGGAAAGAAAAGAAAATATATTAGTAAATAACAGTAATAGCAACAGTACTAACAGTGATGATAAAAATAATTTCAGATAGCAATAAGAACTAGTATAAAATCATAAAATAGAAAGTGACTTTTCCATCAGGGTATTATAGACTGGATGGTAAGGGAAGACATCCCTTAAAAGAGTGACTTTATGATGTGATTTGAAGGATTAGAAGTGTCCAGTCATTTAGAGATCAGAGAAAGAGCAACAGATAGAGGAAAGAGCAAGAGTAATGTCCCAAGAAAGGAAAAAGCTAGTACATAAGACACATTAAAAAGAAATCAGTGTGGCTAGAGCACATGTGATAAAGGGTGGGATAAAATGAGATGAGATCAGAGAGGTAGGCCAGATCATGTAGAACCTTGTAGAACATGAAGAAAGAGAGAGCTGTTAAGGCTGTGACATGGGGAACTGAAAGACTAATAAACTTTAAAAGAAAATCACCCTGCTTCTGGGAAGAAACCAGATTATAGGAGGATAAGAGTGGAAAGGGGTAGATGTTAGAAGACTTTTACAGTGGTCCAGGAAAGAGGTGAGTGGCTTGGACTAGGGCATAGACAAGGTATATTTCAGAGGTAAACAGGCAGTAGATTTATGAATAGATTAGAGCTGAAGGATGAGGAAAAATATTAAAGATATAGGTATTTGGGGATGATACCATTTTTTAACATGAGACAAAATGAGGAAGTACCAGCTTTGACGAAGGGTATCAGGAGAGCTGTGGATCTTAACTATTCCACTGTCGATCCTGATGCTGCCCTTTGGTCCTTCCGCCAGCCAATCCTGTGAACTCTGTTCATTGCAAAACTAGAAGTTCCTCATATTTTATATGAAATATCATACCTTCATGAATTTCCTAGTGGTTTTGTTTCCCATATCATCCCCTTCCACATCCAACTTAGTGTGGAAGCAACTACTTTTCCTTCCACATTAAGTTGAAACCACAACTTTATGAAGCTTACCCTCATATTCTCAAGCATAGTTAGCTCCTCTGTTGTATGAAAGCTTCTTAATTTATATGACATTAAGCTATATTTGACTTCTTTTGTAAGTATATTATAATTAACAATTTACTTGTCTGTCATTCTGGACCAAGCTTCTTGAAGTTAGACTTCATATCTAGTATTTCCAAATCCTAGTAAAATGATTGACATTGTCTTATGTGCTCAATAAATGGCTATAACATGAAAACTCTAGGTTCCAGGTATTGTGCAAAACATTGGCATAACATGGGTTATGTCCTCATTGATTTTCTAAAAATCAATGAACTCTATATTAGAAATTGTGCAATAAACTTGACTCTAATCCTAGCAAAAGTGTTGTACACATGTTGGAACTAAGGCCCAGACAGACTGGGTAAATTGTCCAGGCTCATATGGTAAGTGACAAAGACAGGATTTGATAATAAGTCTGATTGCAAGTCAACATTCTCTGTACTACACTAATGTTTCTCCTAGAATTCTAGAGTTGTGATGTCTAATATGGTAGCCACTAGAAACAATTGGCTACTAACCAGTTGAAATGTATGTGGTTTCAACAGAGATGAGTAGTAAGTGTAAAACACACTCGGATAGTGTGAAAATAAAAAGTAAAAAAATATATTTTTATGATGTTTACAGGTTGAAATAACATACTGTGATACATTAGGCTAAACAGAATTTACCATTAATATTAATTTCCCTAGTGTCTTTTGGTTTCTTTTAATGCAGTTAGTAAAATACGTTAAATTACATATATGATTTACATTCTATTTGTATTAGACAGAGCTGTTCTAGAAGTTATGTTCAGTTAGAGAAGGGATATGTCCATACACAAAAACAAACAATAAAGTGAAAGATATGAACATAGTTTTAAGAGGGTTACGATTAAGTGCTTCAGGATTTAATTGGTAGGAAAAGTTCTTTCTGACAGATGGGAATAAGGGGAGATAAAATTGACTTGAAGAATGGGTTTGACATCAATGAAAAGAGATAGGTAAAATTGCTTTTAAGTAAGAAAAACATGTAGAAGAGCAAGGAAAATGGCAAGAAGTCAATACAGTGTTTTAGAAACAAGTCAAGTGTGAGGGAGACATGACAGTTAAATTTGGAAAGGTATATTGGGGACACTCAAAATCAGGGAGAAGAAAAAAGTACTTACCTCAGAAGGTTTTTTGGTTGTTTTAAACAGGAAAGTAATAATAAAAACTTTTAATTATATCAGATGGACCAGAAAACAAAGAGATAGGAACATTAGTAAGCAGAGCAGTGACAGAAATCTGAATTAGGATTACAGCAGTAAGAATGAAAATTAGGGAAGTGTGATAGTTATATTAAAGGGCATCCAATGAATGACACTTCCCAGTATCCATACCTATATAAAGTCTCTCTCTACAAAGACTATGGAATTAGCTTGATATTT
Organism: Homo sapiens; assembly: GCF_000001405.40. Taxonomy (NCBI): domain Eukaryota; kingdom Metazoa; phylum Chordata; class Mammalia; order Primates; family Hominidae; genus Homo; species Homo sapiens. Next base: position 103,565,708 of record NC_000001.11, on the reverse strand, counting down.
GTTTTATCCGATGGGATATCAGCAAACAAGACACAAGCAAAGTTTGACTGGGGTTTGCAGAAGGGAGTTTGATCTCTTGGAACTCTGAGATCATACATTGTGTTGTGAGCCTACCTGGGATGAAAGATCACTTGAAGTCTAGTTGTCCCTAGTCATTCCAACAACGTGAGTTGACTCGCCAGCTAATAGTAGTTGAGTGATGTGCCAGGAAAAAACATGGTGTATATAGTCAGCCCTCCATATCCATGGGTTCCACATCGCCAGATTCAACCAACTGTGGAAGAACATATTTTTAAAGAAGGATAGTTGCATCTGTACTGAACATATAGACTTTTCTGTCATTATTCCCTAAACAATGTAACTATCTGCATAGCATTTATATTACAGTAGATATTACATCTCTAGCAATATAGAGATGATTTAAAGTATACAGGAGGATGTGCATTGGTTATATGCAAATACTATGCTATTTTATATAAGGCACTTGAGCATCTGTAGATTTTGGTATCCATGGGAGGTCCTGGAACCAATCCCCCACAGATACTGGAGAGATGACTGCAAAAGGCTTGGTACTATCTGTGGTTTCAGGCACCTGCTGGGGGTCTTGGAACATATACCCCTGGAATAGAGGGGAAATGTTTATGTAAAACAGAGAGGGGAGATATAACAGACTTGGTGGAGACTGTACAGAAAATGGTGGTTAATCAGATATAAGAGAATAGAGAATATAAAGAGTCAAATGGGGACTCTGTGATTTAAACTTTGGGTGAATATTAGAATGGCAATGTCTTTATGACTGATAGTGCAATCTAAAGGCAGATTTGGTTTAGAGAAACCGATGAATATGGGGACATATTGAATTAGAGGTACCATTTTTAAAACAAATGGGTATATAAAAACAATTAAAAAAAGATATGAAGAAAGAAGCAGAGAATTGGTAGTTTTCAACAAAGCAATGACAGTCTAAGAAATGGAACAAAAAATACTTAACTGATTTAACACAGACACTGAACAGAACAGATGCTATCCCTAAGCAACTACTATACAGAGGGCAGTGTACACTGGCTGAATTATCAGGCCTGGAGAGTTGTACCCTTGAGGGCTGACAAAATACCAAAAAAGATATTGGATGAAGTCACCAAGCTTTATAAATGATGGGGTACAGGGAGTAGGAAGGAGATAATAAAGAGGTGCCTTCAAAGTAGCAAAGGGAGTTTTATTACCCGAGATGATTTTTAAAAGCAAATAGGGAAGGAAAATTTGCAGGGAGTACAACAAACTAACTGGATACGGGTGAGTATCAGAATTTAAATAGAAGACTGACTAGATAGTGATACAGGGCTGATGGTGTAAAGAGTTGACAGAGAAGAGGGGCACCATTTGAACTTCATGCTTGACTCAAGGTTCCAAATGTGAAAACGCAATTATTAGGAGTTAAGACAAACTATAAATCCTGACTTTTCCATTTATAACCTGTGTGATGCTGGAAAATAACTTCTCTAAATGTATCTATTAACTAGAAAAAGTAATGTTTACCTCATAGAGTTATTGTGATTAAACGAATAATGCAAATAAAGCTGTTATCCCAATGTATGGATATGGTAAAAGCTCAATATGGTTGATAATGTTATTTTTGTATTGATATTTTTACCTGGTCCTATTAAAAATCCTATCAACTCATACTGTCTTTCCGCCTTCGCTCTACTAACACTTGGCCATTCTGTCTTCCCATTCTACCCTTCTTAACTTCTAATACTTTCTACTTCTCAGAAGTATTTTCATTTCCAGTAAAGGAATGGACAGAGATGAAAAAGAATCACCAATATTTTCTACCTGCAATTTTTTCCTTCCTTCCCTCACAGTATTCTTCTTGCTTATTCGCTTAGGATTTCTGGCAGATCCATGGTAGTTTTGAAATATACTTTTCAACAATGCCAGATCAATGAACTCTGTTCTTGTAATAGCAAATCAGCATTTTTCACAATGCATTTGGAATGTTGGTAAAAAAAAAGGGATAATTTGCAGATATAATTTAGGGAATTTAGCACTGCATGAAAGGTAGAGTTAGACACACATATAATAAGCTTCTACTAAGAGTCAGGCATTATCATATATTTTCTCATTTGATCTTAATTTTCACCTCAAACAAGCAATCTGAAGAGCTATATACCCCATAGGAGAAGCATTAAAACAATTAAAGTATATTTATGTCTTCTGAAATAAAAATCTGCACAAACAATTCTTAGCATCTTCGGCATCAAAAACACAAAAATAAGGATTTAAAATAGTTGTTATATCTACTTTCTGAAATAGTTATTCTAAAAGAGTTATCCTTAGAGAAGCTATTCAGTTATTAGTAATATACGGCATTATTGCCCATATTTTGTACTTCCTAGAATGCTCTACAAAGAGAAAACTTCCCTTTACTCTAAAGCTCTAACGGTTACTATCATGTGCCAAATGACATATCTTGGGAATTCCCTAAGAATATGAAATAGGACATTTGATAATATCCTGACGACAAAGCAATAGTCACTAAAGATTTATATTTGGAGTGTCAAAACATATTCTCTCTTCTCATTTGGGCTCATATAAAAAATAAAATATATCCGGTATCAAGAATTAACTCAAAATTAGCCAGTTTCTGAGGGTCTCAAAAGTATTTTTTCAATCAATATCATATATGAGGTATCTATTTTGACATCCATAATATAAATGGCATTATAGGGAAACGGCTCTAGTGTAAACTCAGTATCCCTCTTGACACATCAAGTACCATAAATTTAATCATTTAGCTCAAAGCCTACTTAAATCACACCAAAGCCTTGACTTAAATAAAATGAAAGAGCTCTATTGTTAAGCAGAAAGTAGCAACTTCCAAATAACTTGTCTTTCTAGAGCTCCCTTTCTACTTATATAACTATCAGTTATTTACAAGTTCTTTCCCCCTATCCAAAGTAGCCTCACATTTATACCAGATATTATAGTTTTTTAACATGCAAATGAATTAACATTGACAAAAAAAAAAAAAAAAAAGACAAGTTATCTATTAATGTCATTCGTAGTTCTTAGCCTAGATGCCTTATAAATATCTTTGGAAGTAATTTAAGTGTGATTAAAAATTACAACTGAAATACCTTAATGTCACATTTATGAACTTGATCAAGTTAGTTGTTTCTCTTACTAAAAAATAAAGTCTTAATTCCTCTGAGTTTTGCAATAAATTAGGTACAATTTTCTCAAAATAGTAAACCTTCAACCACCAGCCCTTCCCCCAACAGTTTTCTGTTTTTCTTTTGAAAATAAAATAAGAAAGAAAATAAACCTGAACTCAGGATAAGTTGCAATGTAAAGGTTAGAGAAAAGAAAGCACAGATAATCAAGTTTGCCTAACAGATCTCTGAAATCAGAGAAACCTTTTGAGCCAAGGCTAAGACACATTTTCAATATAAATAGTACATTTTGTACTGCACAGCACTGAAACATGATTTGTCAACAAACTGAAAATAGATTGTGAAACTCTATATCAAATCATGTGACAGAAACCACTTATTTCAAGACAAAAAGTTGGAGGAGGACTTACATAATACTCAAAAAACATTAAAACAACTTACCACATTAACTTCTCTCAATCAGCAATCTCCCAAACCCACAGTTGAGTGTTTTACAATCATAAAATAAAAATCTCACAGTTCTGGTTTTGCTTTTTCTTCAGTTGGAAAAAAAATTGCTGAATTTAGAATCTTATAGATTTTCTATAACCTCTTACTTTCAATATGTGGCCCTAGAGTCCTACTCCAATTCTCCAAATCAGATTTGTACAAGGAATCTTCTCTGAACTCCAGTATTACAACAGGTTGATCACCACACTCCTGTTTCCTAAGCAAACCACTGTCTTCTCTCCTCTGCTCAGTTTGCTGCCCTGCCACCTCTTCTTACTACACTATATCTCGTCTGCTTTCTGTCTTCCTTCCTTTTTCTACAATATCCTCTCGCAATCTCTATTTCTTTTCCCTGAACCATTTATATTTATAATATATAGGGAATATATAGATAATAAACATATAGGGAATAAAATAATCTTAATAAAATAACCTTAAAAATAAAATAACCATATAAAATAAAATAACCTTAAAGACCCGATTGGCATAGGGCTGGGTTAAATTAGTTAAATGAGACTAGAATGTAAGCAGTGTCACTAAATCAAAAATTTAACTCTTTGAGACCAGCCTGGCCAACATAGCAAAACCCTGTCTCTACTAAAACTACAAAAATTAGCTGGGCATGGTATCTGGCACCTGTAATCCCAGCTACTTAGGAGGCAGAGGCAGGAGAATTGCTTGAACCCAGGAGGTGGAGGTTGCAGTGAGCCGAGACTGCGCCACTGCACTCCAGCCTGGGCAACAAGAATGAGACTCCGTCTCAAAACAAACAAAAAACCAAAAAAAAATTAACTCCATGCATCACCATCTACTAGATGCTTCACCATGTACATTTTTTTCTGTATGAACCTTAGAAAAAAATTAAAGTCTATGGATTTCATACTAGGTTCTCAATTAGGAAATGAAGATATTGTTGATAAATATAAAAATAAAATAACCACTAACAACATATAGTTACTATGTGCCATTTCTATGCATTATCACTTTTACTTATCACACACGCGTACCCTACATGATAGAAATATGATTATCCTCATTTTTAAAATGAGAAAAAAACACTAAAAAATTAAATAATGGGATTTATTAATGGTCAAATTGTAGTACATGTTGGGACTGAATTTCAAAGCCAAGAAGCCTAACTCCACAGTGAGCTCTTACCTACTAATCAGTCTTATATTCCCTTTCATTGGATTGTTAGAAAAATCAAATAAAATATTATATGAAAATATTTTAAAACCTGAGTTCTGCTTAATCTGATTAATTTTTAAAAGATTAACAGTAGAAAAAATTCTGCAAAAATAATGTCTTGGAGGATTAAAAATACAGAAGTAATTTCAAAAATAAAAACAACTGCAAACTGGAATAAAACAGTGTTCAAGTATTCTAAGGTCACATTATTGTCTTTGGCAATGGACATAGGCATTAACTTTGGACTGTGAGAATATGCATGGGTATAATCAGTGCTAATCATTAACAAAACAGAAAATGTGCCTAATTCCTGTGGTATAGGGTAAAAAAAATTCAATGTAAATTGATTAAATGTTTCTGCTAAATGCATTTTTAGACAGATTTTTTAAAAACAGATAGAAAAAAGGTAAAGGTAAAGCTAGAACCAAATAAATGATGTAAATTCTAACCAAAGGAAAGACAGTGAGGCTTTATTAGTATTGGACAAAGATCTAAGGCAAAATTAATACCACAGTAAAATGGTTGTACATTTATAATTAAAAATGTTTGACTCTCTGACTAGAAATTCAACAAATATATGTTTACTCACCTTATAACATGTTTAAAATTACTAAAGCAAAAATATTGACAGTACAATAATAGGGAAATCTACAATTATGAGAGAGTTTTAACAACCTTATTAAGAGCAGGCAGATTTCAACAAGTTTTAATTAACCTGACCAAATGCACATACGGAGAACACATTATTTTTTTAATTGTCTATATACAGTCAGAAGTTGAGTCTTTTAAAGGATTGAAATAAAAAAGAATATTCTAATTGGACTAAGATCATATAGTATGCACTTGTTAATATGAACATTTCCAAATATTTTGTTGTTATAAGAAGTGTTATAATGAACATCTGTATACATGTTTACACATAGGTAATTCTGTAGACTAAACGTAGTGAAACTTGAAGCACATTTTTATATTTTCATATTATGCAAAATTGCCCTTACAAACCTGTCAGTTTTTACTCTCTAGTAGCAATATATTATAGTACCTTTTGTCACACTCCCACCAAAAATATTATCGCTCTGATTTTTGCCTAATAGATTAAAAATGATTTGTGCTTTTCCCAATTACTAGCAAGACTGAACATCATTTCACATTTTTTGGCCTTTTGAGTTTTCTCTTGAAATTTGCTTCCTTTTTCCATCTTCTTTTGCTTTTATTATTTTTCTTATTGAATGTTTCCAGTTCTTATGTTATTATCGTTTGTCATGTATTGCAAATATATTTTCCTAATATATCACTGCTTTTTGAAGGCTTCCCAGTGTAAATCTAAGTAATCATGAATGCTGGTATGAATTAGGACAGTGCCAAAGGTATGCCTGTATTATTATTTTTTGTCCAACTACAGTCATGCATTGCTTAATGACAGGAGTATGTTCTGAAGAGAAAGCCCTTAGGTAATTAAGCCACTGTGCAAATGTCATAGAATGGACTTCCATAAACGTAGATGGCATAGCCTATTCCTCCTAGGCTACAAACCTGTAAGGCATGTTATTGTACTGAATATTATAGGCAACTGTAACACAGTGTACTTGTGTACCTAAATATATTTAAACATAGGAAACTTCCGATAAAAATATGGCATAATAAACTTAACTGGACCACCATCATATATGCGGTGCACGACTGTATTCACCATGCAAAAGGTTTTAAGTTTTAAAGTGATTATTTGTTTAACTACAGTGGTTCCTCGTCCCTCCATATCCATGAGGAATTGGTTCCAGGACCCACCATGGATACTTAAAGCAACAACTGCTCGAGTCTTTTATATACAATGTAGTATTTGCATGTAACTTTTACATCATCTCAGATTACTTATAATAACTAATGCAACGTAAATGCCATGTCAAAACTTGTTATATTATGTTGTTTACAAAATAATGACGAAAAAAACTCAATACATGTTCAGTATAGATGCAACCATCCTTTCTCTTGTCTTATCCTTAGATCTTGTTTAATAAGATTAAAGACTAAGTGGTAAGGAGGATGGGAAGAGAGACAGAGGAAAAATGTATTAATGACAGCTTTTTTTTTTTTTTTTTCAGTTGGGGTCTCCCTATGTCACCCAGGCTGGAGTGCAGAGATGCAATCACGGTTCACTGCAGCCTCAAATTCCTGAGCTTAAGTGGTCCTCCCTCCTCAGCCTCCCAAGTTGTTGGGATTACAAGCATGACTAATTATGCCCAGCAATGGTAGGTTTTTGTTGTTGTTGTTTACAAAGTTAAATGTCATCATTTTTTATACTGAAATATCTTTTAATACTTTTTTTTGAAATATTACTGATTATTTAGAACCCAAAGTCTGGACCATTGAACAAGTTCATTCCAATAGTCTCTTTCACTGTTAATATTCTCTGATCCTATGATTTATTCTTCTCTTGACTTTCTACATCCTAATGGAAATATGAAAATCAAAGAGCTTAAGGAAATGTTGTGGCTGTATCAATCAGGACAGAATAGGTTATTCTGCAGTAATAAAAGAAACTAAAATTTTTCAGTGGCTTACAATAACCAAGTTTCTCATGTTCAACTAGGATCAACAAAGGCACTCTTATTAGTCCCTTTGTAATGTCACAAAAACTTCATTTTGACACATGCTTTAGCAATCGGGAACTCCCCAAAGTAAAACAATCTTTCTGCTCACATTTCACAGCCAAAACAAATCACATGGACATTCCCAAATTCAACAGGATGGGAGTATTTCATTTGCAGGGCGGATCACTAATATTTATGAACAATAGTATATTGCATATATGAGATCAGAAATAAAAACTAACAGGAAAAATAAAAGAATTTTCATTGGAGTGAACATTTGAAAAATAAGAAATGCGAGTTTAAATATATAAAGAAAAATACAATATATAGAGCTTCTCACCTCCATCCTTTCCTTCGATAGCAAGACATTCAATTTCTTCCAAGTTTGTATGATCATTTCTATGCATGTTTTTATGACTTACTTCATCTAATGTTCCCATAAATAACATATAATGGAATTTTATGTAGTTACCTTTTTCTAAGCTTTGAAAAGTTTCATAAAACTGCTCACATCTTCTTAAATTTTGGATATTCAAAGATCACGGTATACAAATACCATATTAAGTGCTATTTTATAATTTACAAAAAATTAAAATTTCTTATGTAAAATACTTTTTTTTTTTTTAATCTAACTCCATCACTGAAGCTGGAGTGCAGTGGCCCAATCTCGGCTCACTGCAACCTCCACCTTCGGGTTCAAATGATTCTCCTGCCTCAGCCTCCCGAGTAGCTGGGACCACAGGCATGAGCCACCATGCCCAGCAATTTTTTTTGTATTTTTAGTAGAGACGAGGTCTCATCGTGTTGGCCAGGCTGGTCTCAAAATCCTGACCTCACGTTGATCCACCTGCGTTGGCCTCCCAAAGTGCTGGGATTACAGCCGTGAGCCACTGCACCTGGCCTCTTTCTTAATTTCTAATTGATAACCTTTTAAATAGATACAACCACCTCAAGTCTTTATATATTAGTCACAGATGTTCCAGTCTTACTTGATATCCTGGCTTTTTCTTCATTGCTTAGACCTTGTGCATGTTGGGTACAGGGTATATATTTCCTGATGCTTATTCAATGTTTTGTGTGTATGTATGTATGTATGTATGTGTGTGTGTGTGTGTGTGTGCGCGCGCGCACGCTTTAAGATTTCCTATTAGCTTTTAAATGGACGCTCTATATACCGTTTGTTTTCAGAAAATATAGGGTGGGACATTTTGCAGCTTAAGTACTTGGGATGAGAACTCTATTCTTCTTGAAAATCATCAGTTGTATCTCTTAGGTGTCTGACACAGGGGGTTAGCTCACATATCTACTGAATAATCCTACTGAGGTCATTATTTGTTAGCATGAATTACTAAAGATAATTAAATGTAATAAAGTATCTTACAGTTGACACATTAAAGAGCTTTCCATTACTCACAAAAGGAAGTGCTGTCTTCTCACAGGGTAGTAAAGATAAAATAATTACAAAAAGCACTCAGCACAGTTCTTGTTGAGATTTCAAAATTCATTTAGATAATGCTTTCAATCTCCTAGGTTCCCAATTTCTTGAATTCATCTCCTTCCATCACCTTGCCTCTATGCTACTCCCATCCTCACATCCTAAAACTTATAATCACTAAGTACTATATACTTAGTACTATTATACTATACTTAGTATACTATACTTAGTACTATTATACTATACTTAGTATACTATACTTAGTACTATTATATATTATTATACTCTAATTTCAATTTCAGCCACCCCACTCTTATTTAAATCTCCCAAATTTCTAGTTTGTACCTCAAGAACTCCAATGCATCTTCAACCACACTGCAATCTACAATTGATGATACCATTTTCCACTGTCTCAACCTTCTTTATTTTCTCACTTCACTCCTTAACCCAGATTACTTTCCATATCTCTCTTTTATTATCTTTCTCTTAAATGTAACAACATCTCATCACTGTCTTATTCACCTAGGGAAATCTCAACTTTAGTTAAATTGAATTCTGTACTTTTTCAGTGATAGCACCTATGCTGAACTCAACTGGAGAAAAACACAAAACCACATTGACTGATACCACTTAAATAAACCACAGATTGCCTAAGAGTATGTTTACTTTCCTACATTCCTGGATACCCATTTTACATCTCCTTTTCCTTCCTTAATCCTTCATGACTTCCTCCCTCTTTATGACCTTGTTTCCTATTTCTCTGAGAAAATATAACAAAAATTTGACATGCTCCTATTTACTGAACTACCGACATCTAGAACTCCATAATCTGCCCTTCATCCTACCGTTACTAATGAGCTGTTTGTGTGCCTATCTTTAAAACGAACCCTTCTATTTGTATACCAGGTCTATGGCTTCAGCAATATCCCTCTCTTTCCGGCATTATGTTTTTTCTCTCTACTGAATCAGTCTGATTAGCATACAAACCTGCTATATCATCAATCTTAAACAGCTTTTTGATACTACATTGCCCTCCATTAACAACCCATTTCTCACAACCCCTTGAACGCAAGACTCTTTAAGAGTTGTCTTCGATACTCACTATATTAAATTCTTCTTCAAAATTCTCTTGAATACCCTTACTCCTGACATCCACCAAGTTTGTCAACGTCAAGTTGACAAAAAAGAATGTTTTCCTACGTATATACAGCTGAAACTCATTTCATTAAAGGAACAGAATAATTTTATGTGGGAAATATTTTCACCTTTGAGTGACGTTCTGACAGATGAAAGATTTGGGGGAACAAAAATGGAAGACTGTATTACAGCAAGGATACAAATTTCTAAATTGGGATAAACCCCCATTTCCAAAAAACCAAAAGCCCAGTAAAACTCAAAGCCAGACAAATATAAAATAATTACAAAAAACAAGATTACAATAAAAAAAATGTGAAAGTGCTTTGGTATCCAGGTAAGAATTTTTAAAAGGCAGTATTTGTAATCATAAAAAAATTATATTACAAATTATATATATTTTTTATAATATTATGTTTTCCTAGATGTGTTAAACCAGATAAAGAAAAAATACAAACACTATTTTATTGGAAAGGAAACAATTTATTATATTTGAGGAAAATCATTAAAATACATGTAATATGTTTCCAATTCACTGATTTAAAGGCATATAGATTTAATTTTTAAATACACTTTCAAAGCTGTTACGCACAGTTCCATAGTCCAGGTGGTCAATTTCTTCCTCTCAAAGTTAGAAAGCACTTGAAGGACACGGGATTCAAAAAAACCTAAAACATCATAAAAGCCCATTAAAAATAGGAAGTATAACACAGGTCATTAGTTTAAAAATAACTAAGAGCTGAACCATTTATATTTAGAAAATTAGTGAATCATGTCAGTATAACAAAATTTATCTAAATAAACCGCTTATAAAGAAACTGATTTATAACATTTACAAAATCTTTTTAACTATGCCTACAGAAAAATAATTACATTTTCAAAATCTATAGGTTTTGTACTTTTAAGGTGATAATAACCGAATTTTCAATTGTTTTCACAGATCTAATAATAGTAGCAGATTTTTCAACAAAGAAACACAGAGGCTCCAACCCTTTATTTTCCTAGTTATTAATATAAGGTTGGATGGCTAGGTTGATACTAGGTACCTAATCATTTTACTCTAACAAAGCAGTGTCTAAACTGGTCAGTCCTTAAAATTACTAAAGAAACCTTTTCAAATCTGATTGTTATACTCCATTCCCAGAGATTCAGATGTATTAGTTCTAGGGTAGAGTACAGGAATCTTTATGCATAAAAACTCTTCCTTGGTGGTTCTCGACCTTGTTTGTATATTAAAATCAGTTTGAGAGGTTTATTCCAACATCTGTGCTACACTCCCAACACCTTAAATCAAAATTCTGACCAAAGGAACCAAGCATCAATATATTTCTTAAGGATTTTTTTAGGAGGGAGAGGGTCTCACTCTGTCACCCAGGCTAGAATGCAGTGGTGTGATCATGGTTCACTGCAACCTCAACCTCTGGGGCTCAAGTAATCCTCCTGCCTTAGCATCCCAAGTAGCTGAGACCAGAGGTGCAAGCCACCACACTTGGCTAATTTTTGTATTTTTTGTAGGGACAGGGTCTCCCTACATTGCCCAGGCTGGTCTCAAACTCCTGGGCTCAAGTGATTCTCCCATCTCGGACTTGCAAAGTGCTGGGATTACAGGTATGAGCCACTGCACCCTTTTAAAATTAGTATTTAAGTTCCAGATCACTGCAATGTGCAGCCAAGACTGAGAACCACTGTTCTTGGTGATTACGGTCATCAACCAGTCTGGAAACCACTATTCCTATATACCTGCCAAGACTGTTTTTCCTTAATGCACTACCCTTAGTGGGCATTATGTGTTCTCCCCTCTATTACGCTTTTCTTCTCTTGTTTAGAAAAAGAAAGGGGAAAGAAGAAAGATACTTCTATTGCTATCTATGTCAAAAGAGATTCACTAAGACTTCAGATGAGAGGTCTGCTACTCTCTAGAATTTACATAGTAATCCAGACATCTTAATTTTCAATGTAAGTACTTTTTAAAAGAAAAACATTTCCTTTGCCCAAATTTTAAACACATTATAAATACCTAAACCAGATATATTACACAACAGAAAGCATATGTTATTGAATTAGGTTTAGGAAACATACAAATAGAAGAAACAAGACTGTATTCTGGGTTAAAGTAAATGAACACATTCTCTAAGTAAGTTGACCTGATTCACTAACTTTCCCTCAAAAAATTATATAAAGGACAGCACAGAAAATTCAACAACAAATCTAAAAACACATAAAAGATCTGTTCAGTCTATACAAATAATTTTAGAAATATTTCATTTGAATAAAGTGTAAAAAAGTATTCCTTAACCTGGATCAACAGGTGGGGGAAGGACAAACATTTCTAGGAAAAAAACAAAAAAACACTGCCCCAAAAAGGATACGACAAGAAAGGATACACTTTGCATGACAGTATTACAGCAGTATTTACGCAGGAATGCTTCTAAAGAAGAACAGCAGAATGCAGTTTAATTTTTTTCTTATTTTTCAGCACCAGATTTAAAATAAATGATGTTTAAAAATACAGACTGAAATCCATCTTTCCTCTAAAGTGTTTATAAGACTTGTGACTACCCAGTATAGACGTACAACAAAATTCAAATATTCAAGCCATCTCAGAAGGACTAAATATTAAACAAAATTTTCCCTTATTTACCCATATTTGGCAGTTAAACACCAGTAATTGTGACCAATTACTTCGTGTTCTTTTAGTTTACAGAGGAACAAAAATTTAAATAAAAAACAAAGGAATATATTTCTACTTATTTCTTGAACAATGTAACAAACATTAACATTTAAAATGCTTAATTCTACCATATTTAATCATCAAATTAAGTATGCACTAAAATTACCTGTTTTAAAGACAAAAAATATTTAACTCCACAAACACATATTGTTGTGAAATGTGTTAATAATTTTATATACTCAGCACTGTAGATTTTTTTTTTTTTTGAGATGGAGTCTTGCTCTGTTGCCAGTGTGGAGTGCAGTGGCGTGATCTTGATCTCGGCTCACTGCAACCTCCACCTCGCAGGTTCAGGCGATTCTCCTGCCTCAGCCGCCCACGTAGCTGGGACTACAGGTAGGCGCCACCACACCCAGCTAATTTTTGTATTTTTAGTAGAGAGTCGGTTTCACCATGTTGGCCAGGATGGTCTTGATCTCTGGACCTTGTGATCCGCCCACCTCCACTTCCCAAATTGCTGAGATTACAGGGGTGAGCCACCGTGCTCAGCCAGAATTATTTTTAATGACAGTTTGACTTTTTTTTTTAACTTTTATTTTAACATTTACTTTAGGTTAATTTTAAGAGTTAGAAAATGTATCTGTAAGTGTTTATTCCAGGAGTTTTCAAGCTGTGGTCTCTGGATAAGATGCCTCATCATTACCTGAAACCTCATTAATCTCGCAAATTTTCAGGTGCCAACAAGGGTGACCGACCTGTCTTGGCTTACCAGACACATTCCCCATTTCAGCACTAAATGTCCAGCATCCTGGAAATCCCCTCATTAAAAGGAAAACTGGTATAAACAGTTTCCCTAGGTCCCCACATCAGACCTACCAAATCAACTCTTTCAGGGAAGGAAGGAACCTACGAATCTGTGTTTTATTAGGCTCTCCAAGTGATATGATACATATTAGGGTTTAAGAACCATTGCTTTACTATAGGCAGAAAAAGTTAAAAAAAGAGTAACAGGCACACTCCCCTTATAAGATTCATTCTCCAAACTTAATTTTCACATATAAATGGGTTTTAATCTGTAGTTATAGTTTTGACGTTTAATGGGACTTAACTGCACAGATAGGTATTTCCTCAAAAAAAAAAAAAAAGAGATACCTGAATTACTACCTTGTCAAACTTTTATTCTTAATTTTATCTCAAGAATTAGTCTTGTCTTTTTATTATGTTTTATTCACACTTACCTTTATTAATTTTTAACACTTTCTTTTTCCTTCCTTAGGATCTTGTTTTGGTCTAGCAGATCGAGCAAACTGCTAATAATTTAAAATTAAGGTTTCCTTCATGAATATGCAAGTAATCTTTTCTAAATAATTCTCAAAAACTTTCTAGTGTATGGTGGGAGTATGGTTTTTTAATTTACCTTGAGTGCCTCCTGCCTCTCTTCATGACTTGAGAGGAAATTAATAATTAACTTTTCCTTTACAGTCATTATTTTTTATACCTGGGCCTTTGCTTCTTTACCTATCTTGCTGATTTCTAGTTTGCAAACTGCATTGACTACTAAAAGCAAGATGGTTAATCAATGATATACTCTAGTTATTAAAATTCTCATGTAGAAATATAAATTACAATAAAATGATAAAATGAATTAGTTCTTTTATGACTCCAAATGTACTTCTGGATACTCTAGTCTCTTAGCATGCCTATGTACTTTTGAGCTGCATAAGTGAAACATTTAAACTTGGCTGAAATTGAACAACCTCATGCTGCTGAAGCTCTTTTATTAAAAATCTAAATAACACTGTCATCTGACTCAGTAAGGTGGGTTTAATTGTAACGAATGAATATCTACTGCTAGAATGCCAATTGTGGAAATTTCTAAAGGGTAACATGAAAATTAATTTCAGTTATATCCTTCTAAAAATTATATAGTTTTGAAATAGATGGATTTAAAGGATACAACCACCATGGGTTTTCCAAAAAGCACATATCCATTAGCTTCCTTTAAGGCTTTTGCTGCTGCTTTTTCATTAGGAAGTCCAATGAAAGCTTGTCCTTTCATACGACCTTCTTTCATCAAACGTATATCAAACCTAGAAGGAAGAAACAGTTTTGATTCAAAGAATGTCAGTTTCAATGTGAATGAAAATGTGTTGAATAATCTAACATTTTGCTATTTCAAATAAAAGTGACTACACTATTTGATAGGCACGTCAATTATTCAGTTTTCTAAAAATATATTTCATGTTCTGCACTAAAATTGATTCTACAAGTAGGTAGTATTTGTTTAAGATATACTTTTAACTATTCTCAACTATCATAAAAGTATGTGATTTAAAAATTATACTATTAGCAACTAGAAAACCAAACTTCTTTTTTTTTTTTTTTTTTTTGAGACAGAGTCTCACTCTGTCACCCAGGCTGGAGTGCAGTGGCATGATCTCCGCTCACTGCAAGCTCCATCTCCCAGGTTCACGCCATTCTCCTACCTCAGCTTCCCAAGTAGCTGGGGCTCCAGGTGTCCGCCACCACGCCTGGCTAATTTTTTGTATTTTTAGTAGAGATGGGGTTTCACCGTGTTAGTCAGGATGGTCTCGATCTCCTGACCTCGTGACCTCGTGATCTGCCCGCCTCGGCCTCCCAAAGTGCTGGGATTACAGGCGTGGACCACCGCACTGGCTGCAAACTTCTTAAATTACTATTTATCTCAATTTTTTAAGTTCCTTACAATCTGGCACTATCTGCTCAAGTGATTAAAAAAACAACTACTACTACATAACCAAGAATGGAAAAATAGAAAGGATTAACAGCCAGTTATAAGCAATTATAGAATTCATTATATTATTATTATTATGATTATTATTATTTTTGAGACAGAGTCCTGCTTGGTTGCCCAGGCTGGAGTGCAGTGGCGTGATCTTGGCTCAGTGCAACCTCCACCTCCTGGGTTTAAGCGATTCTCCTGCCTCAGCCCCCCGGGTAGCTGGGATTACAGCCGTCTACCGCCATGCTTGGCTAATTTTTGTATTTTTAGTAGAGATGGGGTTTCACTATATAGGCCAGGCTGGTCTTGAACTCCTGACCTCAAGTGATCCCCCCCGCTTCGGCCTCCCAATGTGCTAGGATTACAGGCATGAACCACCACACCTGGCCTAGAGTTCATTATATTATTATAAGCAATTACAGAACTTCGGAGTAGAAAGGAACCTCAATGATTATCTAATTAAAACCATAATTTTACAGGTGATGTCCAGAGACAGTGAGTGACTCTTCAAAGCAGATAGCTAAGATCTAAAGTCAGAAACACAAACCAAATTTTTAAATTCCTAATATAGTGATCTACTATTCCATGTATCCATTTTTTGAAATTTTTGAGAGAAAATCATAGTCAAAAGCTACTTAGAAAAATCAGATTGTAATTTGCAACTGAAATATTACCTAATATTTAGTCTATGAGACTACCAAAGTAATACATAAAAAACTATCAAAAAATGCAGTAAAGTAATTTTTTTTTCCTTATAATCATGACTCAAAGATGGCAACAAAGAAAAAGACCTAGCATTTTGCATGGCCAGCAGAAAAAATATATTTTGGCATTCTGGTAAGAAGAGGTATTTGCCCCTAATGGATATAAATAGAGAATTGTGAAACACGGTTCCATTTGTGTATACCTATCTAAAAAAATACATAGGCCAGATAAGATTTGTAAAGTATTGGTGTCACTTGAAGATTAAAACAAAATTTAGTTATAGTCACTTCTTTATTTTATCTGCACTCAAAAGCCTCTTACCTTTTCTACTTCTTCTTACTTTTAATTTATATGACAGGGAGTCTTTCATACTTTGGAATTAACAAATACGGTATTGTAAAGAATGAAATTCTAACTCCAAACATTAGCTGATATGGTTTGGCTCTGTGTCCCCAAATCTCATTTGAATTGTAACTCCTACAATTCCCATGTGTCATGGGAGGAACGCTGTGAAAGGTGATTGAATTATAGGGGTGGGTCTTTCCTGTGTTCTCATGATAGTACATGAGTCTCACAAGGTTTGATGGTTTTAAAATAATGGCAGTTTGCCCGCACGAGCTCTCTCTTTTTGCCTGCTGCCAGCCATATAAAATGTGACTTGCTCCTCCTTGCCCTCCGCCACGATTGTGAGGCTTCCCTGGCCTCGTGGAACTTTGAGTTTTCCATTAAACCTCTTTCCTTTGTAAATTGCCCAGTCTCAGGTATGTATTTATCAGCAGAGTGAAAACAGACTAATACAGTAAATTGGTACCAGTAAAGTGGGATACTGCTGAAAAGATACCCAAAAATGTGGAAGCAACTTTGGAACTGGGTAACAGGCAGACGTTGGAACAGTTTGGAGGGCTCAGAAGAAGACAGGAAAATGTGGGAAAGTTTGGAACTCGCTAGACTTGTTGAATGGCTTTGACCAAAATGCTGATAATGATATGGACAATGAAATACAGGCTGAGGTGGTCTCAGATGGAGATGTGGAACTTGTTGGGAACTGGAGCAAAGGCGACTCTTGTTATGTTTTAGCAAACTCTTTGTTTTGGCAAAGAGACTGGTGGCATTTTGCCCCTGACCTAGAGATTTATGGAATTTTGAACTTGAGAGAGATGATTTAGGGTATCTGTCGGAAGAAATCTCTAAGCAGCAAAGCATTCAAGAGGTGACTTGGGTGCTGTTAAAGACATTCAGTTTTAAAAGGAAACACAGCATAAAAGTTCGGAAAATTTGCAGTCTGACAATGCAACAGAAAAGAAAGAGGAGAAATTCAAGCCAGCTGTAGAAATCTGCATAAGTAATGATGAGCCCAATGTTAATCCCCAAGAAAATGAGGAATATGTCTCCAGGGCATGTTAGAGGTCTCATGGCAGCCCCTCCCATCACCTGAGGACTAGGAAGAAAAAGTGATTTTGTGGGCCGGGCCCAGGGTCCCTGTGCTGTGTGCAGCCTAGGGACTTGGTGCTCTGTGTCCCAGCCACGGCAGCTGTGGCTGAAAAGGGCCAACAAAGAGCTTGGGTGGTGGCTTCAGAGGATGCAAACGTCAAGCCTTGGCAGCTCCCACATGGTGATAAGCCTGCCAGTGCACAGATGTCAAGAACTGGGGTTTGGGAGCCTCCACCTGGATTTCAGAGGATATATGGAAATGCCTGGATCCAGGCTTCCCTGGTGGAACTGTGAGTTTTCCATTTAACCTCTTTCCTTTGTAAATTGCCCATTCTCGGGTATGTCTATCAGCAGTGTGAAAACAGACTAACACATTAGCTTTTATAACATTTATAAATCACAACCCTCTCTTTTGCTTTTACAAAACTGGAAGCCTTGCTCAATGCAGTTCTTTTAAAAGATGACAATCTACTGTCAGAATAAGAATCTAAAAAGTTTTGACTCATTGCTTCATATTCCTGGATGATGCATTGAAAGAATGGTTTTCAAAGCATAGTCTTTGGATCAGAAGCTGCAGCATCATCCAGGAGCCTTTTAGAAACAAATTCATGAGTCCTACCCATGAAACCTAGAAAATCAGACTCTCTGCAGGTGGGCCCAGAAAACTGTTTTGCCAGGCTTTCCAGGTGATTCTTATGCAATGTTAAAGTCTGAGAACCATGTATTTAGAGGGAAGATTACGGTCGGAATCCATCACCGACCTGTTTCTGTAAAGAGTTTTATTAGAACACAGCCATGAATATTCATTCAGGTTTCATGGCTGCCTTCACAATACAACTACAAAACTGAGTAATTCCAACAGACACTGTATGGTCTGCAATAAAATAAAAATATTAAATTTTTACTATCTGCCCATTTACAGAAAAAGTTTGCCAACTCCTATTCTAGACATCTAAAAGATTAATTGTGCAACAGAATAGACGAACTTTTTCATATAATTTTTATCTCTAAAAGGAAAATGATGGGATTAAAATAGTGGTAAATTTGTAATAGATAAAAACAAAATATAATTGAAGATTGTATTTTACTGTCACTTACATGATCCGCTGTGTTTCTGATGAAAAGTCAACATATCTTCCAAAAATATATTTAAGGTCCTAGAATTTCAATAAGAAAAAGACAAATAACAAAGCCAGGGGAAAAAAACTTAATAAATAAATAAATACATCAATGCATCAGTAGAAGAGGTCATACTGGACTAAGGTAGGCTTTAATCTAATATGACTGGTGGCCTTTCAAAAGGGGAAATTTGGACAGATACTCACAAAGGGAGTATGCTATGTACAAAGGCAGAAATTGTGGTGATGCTTCCACAAGCCAAGGAAGGTGAAAGTTCGCCAGCTTCTGCATACCAGCAGAAGCTATGGGAGAGGCACAGAACAGATCCTTCACTCAAAGCCCTCAGAATGAACCAATCCTGCCACACTTTTGACTTCAGTTTGCCTCCAGAACTGTGAGACAACACATCTCTGTTGTTTCAGCCACTTAGCCCTAGGAAATTAATACATACCACAAACTCTGTCTCAGTATTTACTGCCAGAGAACCCAAGCTATGAGAGTATTATTTTAATAAAAAATTAACCTGAAAATACTAAACAATAATTTGTCATGCCCTGAAGCACAGTAAGAAAACCACATTCTTAAAGGTAGTTTCAAACAGACTTTAACACATCAACTATAAAACCTTCAAATTATTTTCATTTACATGAAAAAAAATCAATTTATACCTACCTTTTCTTGAACATGTTTAGCTAAATTCTTTACATAAATTCTACAGTTTGGTTCACCCGGTTCATAACTTCTGAAAACTGAAAGTGTTTCCATTTCTTATTAAAAAACAAAAAACAAAGATATAAAATTAAAATATTTTAAGCAAGTTTTTAAAGATAATTACAATTTTGAAACCTAATTGTTAAATAGACAAAATAAGCTTTATGAAAATGTTAAAATTTTCACTTTAACATAAAATGAAAATTAGTTCATTTTCATATGAACTAATTAGTAACAATATTACATAAAATTAGTAACAAAATTAGTAACAATATTACAAATGGGTTTAAATATACTCACTGAAAATCTGAATTGATTATATAAAAAACTTTATATATATATAACTTTTGTTTTAAAAATTTCAGACTTCTAGAGTAACTACAATTTGTCCAATAAAATATCTACTATTAAAGGTCCGTTAAGATGAGTCATGTTATAAAAAAGAGCAAAGTATATATGTTAATTGATTTGGGTACTTATTTTGCTTAAAGTGAATTTCCCAAACCATCAGCCACCTCCATATTTAAATGCAAGAATGAAGTAAACACAGTATCAGGCATCTCAGACAAACCATGGCCTAAGAACCCTTGTATAGCTCCTCTCATTTAATGTCAGTAATCTGTTCTAGAAAATCAGATAGATGTTTTGTGTAAAAATCCTAGCTAGAAGTCTATTTCCCATTACCGTAGGAAAAATTATGTGCTACACATCAATCTAAAGCCTCTAAATATTTTCTGACAATGTACCAAAACAGTAAAAGTCTTTGAGAAGTAGAAAATTATCATG
This sequence comes from Homo sapiens, assembly GCF_000001405.40. Taxonomy (NCBI): domain Eukaryota; kingdom Metazoa; phylum Chordata; class Mammalia; order Primates; family Hominidae; genus Homo; species Homo sapiens. Next base: position 103,545,517 of record NC_000001.11, on the reverse strand, counting down.
TTAGGATATAAAATCCTAAAATCATGTATTTCTAATCACCATTTTTTTTTAAATCGCTTTGTATGTATCTCAGACACAGTATTTGTGACAGTCTATCAGCTGCATTTGGAAAATATAACTCCAGACTTGTGGGACACACTGACTTATTTTAAATGCCACATGAAAGTTTTAGGAATGAAAACAAAATTTTTTCCTAAATATAGACTGGAAACACTGTATGGAAAGGAACGTTCCCTCCACTATAAAGTATGAGTATTTAAAAAAAACAGAAGAAGTGATTACAAACATTAATTGGAGAGATGTTTTAAAGTATGTGCCTTAAATTAAGGTAAATGGCATGACAGATTTGTTTTGTTTCTATAGAGTCAAAGATATGTAAAATGGAATATGTGCTTAGTTTATTTCGTGACATTACCTTCTCTAGAAATTCTGCCCTTTTCCAATTCCCTTCTAGAAATACATTCTGAAGGCATTTCATCAGAGTCTTCTTTAATCTCCTCTGTGATGTCCAAATTAGGTTTGGGGAAGATTTTTCCAAATCCTATATTGGATGCATCAACTTCAGTAGCAGGTAAATCTAAGAGTTCAATATTAACATTAACCATTAAGAATCTCTCCTTTAAAAATAGTTTTTGGGTCCCCACCTCCTATTTTATATTCAATAATATATCTTCTGGCACTAAAATTCTTTGGTGTTTCTCAATATACTAAAAGAGGCATACACAAACATTTTCTATAAAGGTCCAAATAGTAAAAAAAAAAAATTTTGTTAAAGGGTGACTAGCCATGAGATAAGAAAAATTTATAAAAAGAAAAATGTTAAATAAACACACTAAAAAGGAGCTACCTGAAAAGGCACTACATTCTCACTCACCATCCAAGATAGGAATTAAAACTAGTCACAGTTTTTCACTCACTATGTTTGCAATACTTACTAGAATTCTATCCTATATTCACACAAGTGCTCAAAGATATATGTGCAAAGACATATTCCAGTATTTTCTGCAATAGTAAAAGAAGGGAAACAACCTCAACTTCTATGAAAAAGGCATGATAAAATATTGACAAAATTATATTAAGGGCTATTATACAGCCAAAAAATGTAAAGTATATGTTTATGCTTTGACATAGTAAGCTACCCCTAACTAGATTGTAAACTTCAAAAAAGAGACCATGGCAAACTTCTCCATGGAGGCCGCTAGATAACAAACTTTCAACAAGTCATTAATGAGTGAATGATAAATACCGTCAAAACATTATGTTCATTTAAAAAATAAGAGTGAAATGTGTTCATACATATACAGGATAAGGTCTGGAAGGATACATACATACACACACACAAACACACACACATGTATGTATATACACATACCAAATTGCTAACAGTATTTGCCTTTAGGTAGTAGGACACAGGAGAGTGAGGTTTGAGGTGTTAACTTTTTAACAATTTTACTTTGTTTTGGTTACATTTCTATCAACTTGTATTATTTCAGAAATTTCAAAATAAAGACTTAAAGAACAAAAGAACACCATTATATCATCAAGTTCATGGTTAAAACAAGTAAAAAAAATCTGTAATTTCAATACATTTGTTTTAAACTTAAGAATAGTATTCTTGGCAAACAATCTTCCATGTCTTTTGGATTAAAAAATATATATATGTATTTTTACATTAAGTCTACAACTCACAAAATAGTCACATTGCTTGTTTTCTAACCAGTATTAATATAGTTACACTAATAAAACCATAGGCCACGGCATGAAACAAGAAATGAAAAAGTCAATAAAAGAAACTCCATTATATTTTTAGTGTAAACATCAGCAAAAAGCACTAAATTTCATTCTAGAGGTCATTATTAGCAAAGGGTAACAGTGACAATCTCACCGTTTACCATCAATTTCTGTTATATAAAAAAGTTGAAAGCGGATATTATTCCATGATTTTGGGAAACACTAATTGCATATTTTAAATAAAGTTGACAAATACTAAAATATGAAACATTATATGTAAAACTTAATTCTAACACAATAAGTTGATTTCAGCATGTGAAATAACTAGAATATCCTTACCATGATTTTTTTCCTCACAATTTTGTTCCTTTTCTAAATCTTTCTTAAATGCAGCTGGCATGTCGGTAGATATATGGAATTCAATTCTTTTGTTACCTACAGGTTGTGGTTGGTCAAATACATCTGAAGGTAACAGCACTGGATGTAAACTGCTATTTAAAAACAATCATAGCATTAGTTTGTAATTGCAAATAAAATCCTGAGTAAAATATTATTTCAAGTTTATTTTAAATTTTAAAAGTTAACACTGATAAAGGACTCACTACACTTTTGATATTCAATAAAGTGAGTGACTTAGACTTATTAGTTTAATAAACTTTAATGCTCTAATATAGGTACTACTAAATTATTAGTTTACACATAAAAAGACCGAGGTTCAGCGATGTCAATAATTTGTATAAGGTCATTCTGTAAATGACAGAGAAGGGATTTGATGACTCTTGATTCTAAACACCAGGATATTTATTAATATGCAAAACAGTGCATTCTATGTTTGATATTTTAAACATATCTATATAATATTAGACTTTGATGACTTAAAATTGTCAATAGTCACATTAAAACCATGAAAAGAAACAGATGAAATATTGATAATATAACGTATTATTTCTCATTATATCCAAAATATTATTTCAGCATATAATCAATATAAAAAGTTATCAAGATATTTTACATTATGTTTTCATACAATTTTAATGTGGCTCACATTAATTTCTACTGTTCAGTGTCACTATAAAGATTCAAAGGGAAAAAAAGGTAAAATACTCCAAATCAAACATGTATAAAACAAGTATCATTTTACTGGCAACTTCTGGACTATAACAAAATGTCCAAAACACAGTGGAAAGGTAAGGTATATCTACTAACATTCTTGGATAACTACGGTCTGACCCTTATCCCAAATCTGCAAATTATTTAGGAAGTTTATTACAAGATAAAGTAGTGCAAAAGGAATTCTTAATTTTTAAAAATATCAATGGCATTCCAATGGCTTCTTCAATAAATTCAAACTCCATCGCCTAACATTTAGGGGAGGTTTCACATCCTTCTAGCTTTCCCTTTCATCATTTCTATTCCTATTCAATACATTTTCCTACCTCTGGAAACTTTCCTTTTATTCTTCCACTCACATAGGATACAGTTTCCCTGCCTAATTTTTGTCTCCCCTCCTTAAAGGGCCAGCTCAAATATCTCCTCTCTCTTACAACCTTTTCAAATTTCTCAACTGGCTGTGACCTCTCTTTTCTCACAACCTTTTAGTTCTTAGTTTATATTTCCTATGTCATGTATTATAATTGCTAATGCAATAATCATCTGTGCATTTGGCTTATTATACTTAAGACTATTAACTCACTGTTTGAAAAGACAGCATTAAACTTTAAAAGCATGCTTCAAACTACACACAATATTTAGCAGAAAACCTTACCATACACTCAATAAATACTTAAAGGCACTCGGGTTAGTCCTGTGTGCCAAGTAAAGATATGTGAATTTTTATCTGCTGGGTACTTTTTAAGTAAAAAATGTTTGATATCAGGTGATGGAGTTAAGAGAAACTAAATAACTGTATATAAACACACTGATGTTTATATTAGTGACATTATTCACTAATATATTACACTAGTGACAGTAATGTCACTAACAAAACTGTAAATGCACGAGGAGAAAGAGAAAAGAAATGATAAAAGGAAAGTAAATGAATTTTGTTTTCGACAATATCTTAAGTGCCTATAAGATATTCTGAGTCTGCAGACAGGAAGCTGGAAGCAAATACCTTAAGGCTTACGACAGAGAAGAGAGTAGTGGTCAACTGTGAGAGAATTATGAATATTTGTAAATTTGGTAACTAGGAAGCCAATGTAAACCAAGAACACTGACAGGAAACAAATGCCAGAATGAAGAATGATGTGAATTAAGCAAGTAAACAAAGTACATACAGACAACCCTCATTTCTTAGTTCAAATAAAATTACCTGTGTGAAGGACACAAAGGTGTATTCAACATATCCTTTATTTTTCTCTTTTTTCTCACATGGCGCTGCTTTATTGTTTTAGGTCTTTTGGGCTGAAGATTTGCTAGTTCCATTAATTTGTTCATTCTACAATGAGGAGAGGGATGATAAACAAAATTTCCTTTCTAGAAGCATAGCTATTTACCACTGTTTCTATTAACGTTAAATTTGTATTTTGGTGTATAATTTAAATTATAAAATGATTTACTTACATCAAATATATAGAACACCATCAATTAAGAGATAATCAATTTGATAAAAGCTCAAATACTAAATTGCCTTGCTTAGCTTTCATCTTACTTAGAAAAAATTAAAAATAGACTTAATTACATATTATCAATTTTTAAAATGTATGTTTCATCATAAGCAGTTGCCGAAATAAAATGGCTGGACTTCATGCCAAACGGCTGAACAAGATACAATAATAAAATCGATATAATATTAATGTTCTTAAATCATTTTTATTCATATTCTAATTATTAAACGGAGCCTGGACTGAAATATGTCATTTAAAAGCATTTTGTGAATAACTGTTGCAAATCATTATATAAATAAGGTAACTTAAATTACCTGAGAACTGTTTTCAAATACTGTACTATGCTCTGAAGTAGTTTCAGGAAGTGACAACACCTGTACATAGCTTTTCTCTATTAAGAATATGAATATTTAATATTAAAGATAGATCTTGTCTAGGCATTTCTGTATCATCTACAGAGCAGGAACTTGGAAACCGCTAGTCCCAGCTCTACTTCTCAGGGTGGTATTTGTAAAATACACACACAACAAAATACAAAAGAGAGGAAGGAGGGCATTGTTCAAATAAGCTTTAAACCTTTTTTCCCTGAGGAAAAATGAAAACATATGCTGTAATTTAAACCCTTTTAAAAAACCATGGTTTACCAAAAACTTTATGAAAAAATTTAGTTATTCAAAGTATATGTCCATATTTATAAATTGCTGACCCAAAGTACACCAAGCCTCTACAAGAGTGCTAGGCATATATTCAGTAATTATTGGCTGAATAAATGAATAGTACAGGTTGAGCACCCCTTATCCAAAATGGCTGGAACCAGAAGTATACCAGTTTTGTAATATTTGCATATACGTGAGATCTCTTGGGGATGAGACACAAATTTAAACACGAAATTCATTTAAGTTTCATATACAACTTATACACAAAAGACTGAAGATAATTTTATACAATATTCTTAATAATTTTGTACATGAAATAAAGTTTGTGTACATGGAAACATCAGAAAGCAAAAGTGTTGGCTGGACATGGTGGCTCACGCCTATAATCCCAGCACTTTGGGAGGCCAAGGAGGGCGGGTCACTTGAGCCCAGGATTTTGAGACCAGCCTGTGCAACATGGTGAAACCCTATCTCTACAAAAATATGAAAAATATTATATTAACCAGGTGTGGTAGCACATGCCTTTAGTCCCAGCTACTGGGACTGATGCGGGCAGATTGCTTGAGCCCGGGAGGTTGAATATGCAGTAAGCCATGACTGTACCACTGCACTCCAGTTAGGGCGAAAGAGTAAGACCCTGTCTTAAAAAGAAAAAAGAAAGAAAGAAAACAAGCAAAGGTGTCACTAAGCCAGCCATATGTGGTATCATACTGGTACTCAAAAAATTACAGAGTCTGAAGCATTTTGGATTTCAGATTTAGTTTAGAGATACTCAACCTGTACCATTTTTCTTTTGTTTAGGTCTTGTTACATTTCCTGAAGATAAAAGAGAAGCATGAAACTAGAGCTTGGTACACTCAAAGGCTATGTTCTCTCTCAGGACTCAAGATGAATTACTGGCAGAATTCCTCACTACATCCTTTAATGGAAACCTAAGTAAACAAACAAAAAAGGGTTTGGCCAGGTTACTGTAGCATTTCTAATTACTATCATTATTTTTATAAAGAAAGTGAAGTTCACAGAGGTTAAGTAATTAGTCCGCAGTTAACACTCAACAAGTTAAAGTAACCATCTATCAGGCACTGCCTGTTTCCCTAAATGTCTCTTTTTAAGACAGATAGTGTATTCACTCCCATTTTATAGTTTCAGCCCCACCTATGCTTTGATTTTAACTCTTCCCTTAGAAAGATAATATACTGCACATTGTACCACTACTTGGGTGGACACTGACTCAGTCAAATTGCGATTATTTGTATATGTTGCTCAGAGTCTGCTTGGGTTCTGCCTCATGCCAACCACTCACACCTCCTATATACCACTTCTTCCGTGCACAGTCACCTAAGATTTTGATCATTTTCCCATTAGAGTCCTGCAGACAGGGGTTGACAAACTACAGCTCAATGACCAAATCCAGCTAGCTGCCTGTTTTTGTAATTAAAGTCTAGTTGGAATAAGGCCACACCAACTCATTAGGTATACTATCTATGGATGCTTTCCTACTACAAGGGTAGAACTGAGTAGCCACAACAGAGACCACATGACTCTCAAAGTCAAAAATATTTACTCTTTGGACCTATAAAGAAACAGTTTGGCAATTCCTGTTCTGAGCCAGGCTGTGGATTATATACATGACCATTATTAACAATGTACTATTCTATGTCAGAATCCTTAAATAAAATGCATAGATTGTCAAGAACTATCAATAAAAAGAATAATTCATCTGCAGTAGTTACTAATTATAGTTTTGTATGAAATCCTAAAGAATTACTCTAGAAATTATTCTGAGGTAAGTAGAGTCCAGAAGAATAAGCATCTGTCAAAACATGAACATGGTCGATGTATGTTATGTTCTAAGTTATGTTCTAAGGTTACCATAAACACTAAATCACTGTCCCTAGGAAAATTCAGCATTAGGTTCTTGGAAGTCTTTGTTTACAACATCTTGTCATCTGATCAATACATTACCTTGTTTGATATGTGTTTATGTCTAAGAACACCTTACTTAATATACACTGTTGATTCATTAACATTGACTCACAGTCAATACTATCGTAACTCTGGCCTGAAGGAAAGCCATGTATTTTCTCCATCAGGCTTGACATAGCGTTCTTGAGCTCAGGAACACTAAAGAGCACTTCAACACCATGCTCAAGGGCCATTTTAAACACAAGAGTCACAACAAAAAAACTCAAAAATGTGAAAAAAGGTAGTGCTGAACAGACTATGAAAAGGATACTTGTTTGTAGTATAAGAACTGAAACAAGAAGGCAGAGGGTGTCTTTATTTGACTTCATCTCAGAACGTGTGTGTTGGCTGACTCAAATTTTTCATCACATGGTACAATGTCCATTTCCACAAAAAAACTTTAAAAAGTACATCGAGGCCAGGCACGTGGCTAATGCCTGTAATCCCAGCACTTTGGGAGGCTGAGGCAGGCGGATCACCTGAGGTTGGGAGTTCGAGACCAGCCTGACCAACATGGAGAAACCCCATCTCTACCAAAAATACAAAAATTTATCCAGGCATGGTGGCACATGCCTGTAATCCCAGCTACTCGGGAAGCTGAGGCAGGAAAATCGCTTGAACCTGGGAGGCAGAGGCTGTGGTGAGCTGAGATCGCGCCATTGCACTCCAGCCTGGGCAATAAGAGCGAAACTCCGTATCAAAAATAATAATAATAATAATAATAAATAAAAAGCACGTCGATTATTGATTTTGAAGTCACAAATAAATTTTAGCACATAGGCAAATTCTCAGATATGGAATCCACAAATAACAAGGCTCGAACGTACTTTATAATACCATAATCATCAATCTAAAAAATTATGCATAATCCAAAAATTTTCACTTAGGTCTTGTTATCTATTCTCAGGTCTTAATTTATAGCTGCTATATATGCCTGAGGTGCTGGGGGGCTGAGGACAAATTCTAATCACCCCAAACTATTAAGTATTATACACACAAAATCTAGGGAGAGCAAGAGTCTCTTTCTTACATTCTATGTTTCTTGGAAACTAAACAAATTTTTCATGTTACAAACCTCTGTCGGTCCTCATCATCAGTGCTTTCATATTCTGATTCTTCACTAGATAATTCCTCATCCTCGTCTGGCAAAGGAGGTTCCTCAGGTGGCTGAGGAGATGTGGGTGGAAGAGGTGCATGCAATGGCATATAGTCTTCATACTAATTAAAAGAATAAAACAAAAATACTATGGCAGTCCAAAATATTTATAGAACAAACTCCATCTGAATACTTCATTCTCATTTCTATCACATGGTCTTTTTTTTTTTTTAACACATTCTACACATATTAAGGGAACACCTTGTATGGCAGATCACTAGCTGATGACAAAATTTGTCTCTTCTTCCTTTACCCTCAGCTGAACTAAATTTTCAAAGCTCCTCTGCAGTTATATTTCTCCTTGTAACTGAGTTATAGCCAATGAAATGAGACCATTAAAAACTCCCACATACAATTCTTCCTTCCTGATCTGCAGACTGTGTAGCAATGTCTTCATCAACCTGGGAAGGCACATGGTCGAAACAATTCAGGTGTTTTTCGTGGCTCAGTAGAACAAAATATCCCTCTGCTCTACTTTTGGAAAGGATCTGACATAACCAAAAATAACTTTTATTGTATTAAATGACTAAGAATTTATTTGTTAACAGCAGCTAGTATAACCTTAACTAATTCTCCAGTAATATATCAAGCATTGAGTAGGTGTTGGGGTTACAAAAAGAAAAAAAAAACAAATCCTAAAGTTAATAGTACATACATTAGAAAAGAAACAAATCCCAAACCACATTCTCTTCTATTCATATATGAACACTCAAAGTATTAATAATTTTGCATTGCTATTATTCATAAATATACTAGTACTACAGCAAAAGAATAACTAAAATTATTCAAGAGCAGGTATAGCCTACTTCTAAATTATTGACAGATTTGCATAGTCAAGTCTAATAAAAATATCAGCTCCCTTTTTCGTCTTTTGCAAAAAAAGCTCTATTTGTGACAAAACCAGAACTATGAAATCTTTAGGTAATTTAGTTAAATATAACTACCTTATAGGATGGCACAATGTTTTGGCTCAAAAAACTTAACAACACTGGATGAAATGATAGCCTTTATTGACAAAAGCATTTCTTTCATATTCCGGCTTTTACTCACTTAACAGTTCTCAGTTCTACTATTATCATCATATTACTTTATACCCGTTCCTTATTTTCAATGTACATCAGAGGTTGCTACAACACCTGTATAATTCAGCCTCAATAATCCCATTCAGGAAGAGAAATTTTGACTTGAAAATTCTAAGAGTTTTCTTACCATGGGAGGTCGCGCAGTAATTGGTCCAAAAGGTGTGGGCAAATTCATTTTATTCATAAGATGAAGGACCTTAAAGTGGTAAGACATTTAAATTCACATATAAAATGATTCAACTCACATCTTGTATTTTATGTACTAAGAAACTTTGCTATAACACTATTTATTGAGTGTAAAGGAAGACCTGCCCATCTCTTGCCTTTAAAATCTCTGCATAAGGTAAAACAAGGCATTAGTATATCTCAGATTAACCTTCCTAAAATGTCAATTCTACATGTTCAATTAGTCCCATCGCTAAGAATGTAACGTTCTTGCAATATAAAAACCACTGAAATGATTTTATATCTTTAACCCAATTATTGTAAAATTATAAAATAGAGAAATACATTAAAAAATAAACATCATCTATACTTTGTACTTCAAAAAAATATGTTATTACTGCCAATATTTTTAAGCATTTGCTCAGGGGTCTACTATAACTTTTCTTTTAAGAATCTCTATGTTAATGATGTATTCTAAAGTAATAGAGAATTATCACAAATTACATTTCCCAAACTAGCTTCTGTTTATTAGTATCCACTTATACGATACCTTATAAAAGTCTCTACTTGGAAGTAGAAAATATTTAATTACATTTAAAATACTGTATCACTGGCTGTCTAGAATTAGTCTGATTACTTTTATGAGAATCAGCATGAAAAATAAAGTATCAAGCTATACAACAAGTCCTTTTAGGAAAAGTTTTATTCTACTTACCTGTACATAGAACTTAGGCACGCTTGCCAAGGCATTTACAATGTTTGCTAGGATTGTGCTGGAAGGTGGTGGGTACATATACTTGAGGCATGAATTTAAAGGAAAAGTCAGCCTATAAAACAAAAAACATTTAAGATGCTTATGTTTTCATAATTTCATATCAGTAACTCATTTTAGGTAACCTGATAACAAACACACTGCTCAAATGATACAGTACTATTAGATTTACCTTGTTCCTAAAAGATCCAAAGTACATTTAAAAAGAAAAATAAGCTACTGCATTTCTTGGCAGAGGTTTATCTTGTAGCTCTGAACATCTTAATAGATGCTTTATCTGCACTGAATTCAGTGACAAACTCAACTCAAAATGTTTATTCAACATATTAAAAATATGCATGACATTAAATATCTTTGTTTTTAAAATTATCTTATTTGCAATAAGATATCTGTATATAACACAATATACAATAAGCAATAAGATATCTGTATATTACAATATATAATAAGCAAAAAGCAGTAAGATATCTGTACATCTGTATATAACACAGAACAAAAGCAAAAGAAAAGCAAACAAAAATGCTAACCCATGGTTTGGTGCAATTCCATTTTCTACTGTTAAATAACCAAGTTCTTTTTTTTCTTTATCATCTTCGACAGGGTCATCAGACCTGGGACATACAGAATCAAAGTTAATCTTATCTTTCCAAAGGGTGAAAAACTGCACACAGAAAAGATAAATTACCTTTTCAAACATGTCATTATAAAAACAGCTTCATTAAAAAAAAAAAAAAACTTTCAAGTATTTCTCAAGCAAACACCAATAAATGGGAAGGGAACTAAAATTAACTAAAAGTAACCTTCACTGAATCCTTTCTGTATTATTATTACATTGAGCACTACACATTTTCATATACTCTTCACAGCAAGACTATGAAGATGGCATAATTGTCACTGAACAAAAATAAAACTAAAGTTTACATGGTATAAAACAGTGGTAATCAAATGTCTTTAATGTGTGTCATAATCACTTGGAGAGTTTATTAAAACTCATAGACTTCTACAACATTTTCCCATCCCTTCCATCCCTCAGTTAAGTTTCTGATTCAGTAAGACTGGGTTAAAGCTCAAGGTTCTGTATTTTGATCAAGTTTACAGATGATACAGCTGATCTAGGGACCACACTTTGAGAACCACTAGTGTAAAGCAAATTTGTGAAGCTGTACTACGAAGAGTCACAGCCAGAAACAAAATGCCAGTCTTGATTTCATGACACTGTTATATCTCTGATACAAAGACTTCATACTAGTTATTTTCCCTCCATTGAAAGTTGAAGATGAATTCGTTTCAGCCCACTCCCTTGCCACTTCACAATGATTAACCCATAATATTAAATCTGGTTCCTAATGCACAATTAGCAGCAAAAATAAACATACTGTTTTACTGTACTAGGTTTAATGGAAAAATCTGTCATTCCTCTTCCAATTACTTGCTAGTCTGAAAACAATACAATAACTGTATAACTGATTTAAAAAAACACACACTTTAAAAATGTAACAAAAATGTATGATTTACTGATCTACATACCTTTTTTTTTTTTCAGAGCCTGAAGTGGGACATGGGGAGTGAACTCGATCTTGCTCTTTTGCAAATTCAACGACTAAAGTATGACCTAAAAGTTTCAGTTGATGGAGTCTTGTCAATGCCTTCAGTTAAAAGAACAAGAGTAAACATTTCACAATTGTACCAAAAATGATTCGTTAGAGACCAATTTTTATACTTTTTTTTTTTTTTGCTAATGCTGTAAACAGTTCCTTGACTATTTCCTAATTTATTTTTAATCTCAGGCTATCAAGCCTTTATTACTTATTAAAGGACTACTTCCTATAACTTAGGAAAATAAAAATCTAGCTAAATCCCACTTTATGCCAGCTCTGCTTATACCCAGGCAGCTGAAAATGGCTAGAAAACAAACTAACAAATTTCCCTGGCCTCACTTTCAATTTATAAAAACTACCACAAATCTCAGGGTGATTTTTAATTATGCCACAAAATTACTTATTACAATCTTAGTCTATTTTTTCCACCTATATCTCAGAGAGTATTTTGTACTTTCTCCTTGTTCCTTAACCTCACAATATTTTTCTTGTATTCCGTTAGCTTAGCACCTTGTTTTCTACTTTGAGACAACAGAATTGATGACATGAGAATATCAGACTCCCACTATAACCCCCCATCTACCAGCATATGCATGCTATCTGTTATCATCTATTAACTATCCACATGCCTATCTAAATCCAGCTGCTTAACTTATATACTAAATTCCATCCTCTCATCTCCTCAAGGGTCTTTACTTAGCTATGCTCTGGAATTGTGTGTGGTGAGGGGTGTGGAGGGTGATCTTATTTATACTGTTAATTTACTGTCCTCTATTGGATTATCCGTATCAGTATGAAAACATGCTCCTATTTCTCCCATCCTAAATTTGTATTATTAGTTTTGCAGTAAAACTCTGTACAAGCTATCTAAACCCTCTATCTACAACTCCTCTCTGCCTATTCAGTTTCAAACCTATTTCAATCAGGTTAATGCTTTAATAAGTTTACTGAGACTGCTTATCATAGACAACAAATTTTGCATTGTTGGGCTAATGATCAACTCCTAGTCTTCACTTGGTTGCATTTAACATAGTTAATCACTCCTTCCTGGATACATGTCATTCACTTGGCTTCAAGACTTCATACATTCTTAGTTTTCTTCCTAGCTCGCTGGTTTGTACTCCTCCATCTCTTTGACTTGTGCCTTCTCTCACGTTCTTAATGTTAGAATGCTCCAGAGCTCTTGTCCTGGTCTTCCTCTCTCTCTCAACATATTATGTTGGTGATTTAATCCAGCATCCGAACTTTAAATCTGTATGCTAATGATTCACTAATTTATAATTTCAGCACAGACTTCTGTCCTGAAGTCAAGGAACACATATTCAAATAATGGATAGCGCCCCATAGATATCTAACAAACATTTCAAATTCAACATTTCACTTAATCTTTCCCCCAGCCCCAAATGTGCTCCACCAGGAGCCATCTCTATTTCAGTTGATAGCAACTCCATTCTTCCAATTATTCAGGTCAAAAATCTTGTAATCATCCTTAATGCTTCTTTCCTACATTCCATATCCAAGTCATTAAGAAATCCTGTTTGCCTATACCATAAGGCCATAGTCATCAAAACAGCATGGTACTGGTATAAAAATAGGCACATAGACCAATGGAACAGAATAGAGAACACAGAAATAAACCCAAATACTTACAGGAAACTGATCTTCCAGAAAGCAAACAAAAACATAAAGTAGGGAAAAGACACCTTATTCAACAAATGGTGCTGGGATAATTGGCAAGTCGCATGTAGAAGAATGAAACTGGATCCTCATCTCTCACCTTATACAAAAATCAACTCAAGATGGATCAAGGACTTAAATCTAAGACCTGAAACCATAAAAATTCTAGAAGATAACATCAGAAAAACCCTTCTAGACATTGGCTTAGGCAAAGACGTCATGACCAAGAACCCAAAAGCAAATGCAACAAAAACAAAGATAAATAGATGGGACTTAATTAAACTAAAAAGCTTCTGCACAGCAAAAGAAACAATCAACAAACAGACAACCCATAGCGGGAGAAAATATTTGCAATCTATACATCCAAAAAAACCACTAATGTCCAGAATCTACAAGGAATCCAAACAAATCAGCAAGAAAAAAAACAATCCCATGGGCTAAGGACATGAATAGACAATTCTCAAAATAAGATACACAAATGGCCAACAAACATGAAAAACTGCTCAACATCACTAATGATCATGGAAATGCAAACCAAAATCATGAGGCAATACCTCCTTACTCCTGCAATAATGGTCATAATGAAAAAATCAAAACATAATAGATGTTGGCAGAATATGTGGTGAAAGTGACTTTCACACTGCTGGTGGTAATGTAAACTAGTACAGTAAGTATGAAAAATAGTGTGGAGATTCCTTAAAGAACTAAAAGTAGACCTACCATTTCATCCAGCAATCCCACTACTGAGTATCTACCCAGAGGACAATAAGTCATTATACAAAAAAGACAGTTGCACATGCACGTTTATAGCAGCACAATTTGCAATTGCAAAAATACGGAACCAGCCCAAATGCCCATCAATCAATGAGTGGATAAAGAAATTATGGTATATATATATATAACATGGAATACTACTCAGTCATAAAAAGGAACAAAATAATGGCATTTGCAGCAACCTAGATGGAATGGGAGACCATTATTCTAAGTGAAGTAACTCAGGAATCAAAAACCAAACATCGTATGTTCTCACTCCTAAGTAGGAGCTAAGCTATGAGGACCCAAAGGCATAAGAATGATACAATGGACTTTGAGGACTCAGGAGAAAGTGTTGGGAGTGGGGGTGAGGGATAAAAGACTTCACAATGGGCACAGTGTATATTGCTTGGGTGACAGGTACATCAAAATCTCAGAAATCACGACTAAAGAACTTATTCATGTAACTAAACACCACCTGTTCCCCCAAAACCTACTGGAATAAATACAGTAAGAAATCCTTGCTTCTACCTTCAAAATATATAAAGAATCTAATCACCGCTAACCACTACCATTGTGGTCAAGGCAACCATCAATTCTGGACTGAATTACCACAATATTTTAACGGATTTCCCTGTTTCTACCTTTCCCTCCCTTCAGTCTAGTCACAACAGCAAAAGCAATTCTTTGAAATACCAAGGTCACCCCCTTGCTCCAATGGCTCCCTATTTTACTGACAGCAATCTAAGTTCCTTACTATAATCTACATAATATAGATTCTATGACTTCTCTGACTTCAAATCCAATGATCACTCCCACTCCTGCTCCCACAGATCACTCCCACTATGTCTGCTCCAGTCACAGTGGCTTCCTTGAACAACGTGACAGGCATGGTCACATCCTAGAGCCCCTGTTCCAGCTGTTCCTCTAATTCAAAGGTACTTCTCCCAGAAATTTCATTAGCTAACTCCCTTCGCATCCTTCAAATTGTTGTTCAAATATAACCCTAACTACAGCCTGACCTCTCCCCACTTAGCACTCCTGATCTTATTGCTCTACTTGTCCTTTTTCCATAGCATTTATCATCTTCTAAAATATTAAAGTTTATTATTTATTGTCTGTCTCCCCTTTTGAGAATATGAACTATAATCATCTTTGTCTTCACATATAATCCCAAAACCTAAATCAGCATCTAGCACATAGTAGGTACTTAATATTTTTGAACACATGAAAGTACAAGCCTTAACCAGAGACCGGTTTTGTGCAAGACAATTTTTCCACAGGCTGGGGTGGGGGGTGGGGAGAAGATGGTTTCGAGATGAAACTGATTCATCTCGGATCATAAGGCATTAGTCAGATTCTCATTGAGAGCGCAACCTAGATCCCTTGCATGTGCAGTTCACAACAGGGGCCAAGGCACTGCTGATCTGACTGGAGGTGGAGCTCAGGCAGCCAGGCGGAGTCGCCCTGAATAGAGATAAAGCTTCCTCAGCCTGCCAGTCACCTCCTGCTGTGCGGCCCAGGTTCTAACAGGTGGTGGTTAGGTACCAGGCCGTGGCTGGGTACCAGTCTGTGTCCCAGGGTTTGAGGATCCCTGCCTTACATCATCATACAAAGTTAATTTTAAAATGTTTCAATAATTTTCAAGACCCTAAATGAACTTTAGACCTCTTTATTATCAGTGAAGCCTTGATTATCTGAAATGAAGGTCATCTAACCTGACTTACTCCAACTTTCTTCTTCTCAAATGGGTATCACATATGTTCTTATTTTCAAAGATTTATGGTTTTTCATTTTTAATGTTAACTCCTCCTACCTGACTCGGCTACTTACTCTATTCTTGAACATTTCTCCCTTTGTTTTCTTAATCTATCACTTTCCAATTAGGCCAAATGCTCTCTAGCCTAAAAGCCCTATCAATATTGCCGTTAACCTCTTACTGCTTCCTTTCACTACAGACATTTCCAAAGACAATGACTGGCTCCATGTCCTCTCCTCCAAGTTATTCTTGACCCTAAAACAATGCGTTTTTCATTACCATACTTTATTTACAATGTATTATGATATATTTTTAAAAATACTTTTTTTCTGAAAAAAAATTACCTACCATTATAAAAGTACATATTAATATAATATGAAAGCCCTCTGTAATCCTACTCTCAGAGAAAGATGTTTTTAACATTTTGGTGTATAGTTCTGCCATATTTTTTCTGTGTATATGCTAACATGTATACTATTAGTTTCAAAAAATCTGAGGTTACATCATATATAATGTTTCACAACTTTATTCATGTACTCTATCTGGGCTATCATTCCATATTAACACATACCATTTGACATCATTCTCAGACAGTTGCAGTCCAGTATATGGATATAATGTGATTTAAGGCTTCCCTTCCTTTTACCGATGAGAATTTGGGTCATTTCTATTGTTTCATGGCAAAAAGACTTTAATAGATGTGTTCATTCCTCATTTTGCATCATCACAGGATTTCATCTTCTTAAAACACACTTCTCTTTGCATCAGTGATAATTTCCTTTCTAGTTCTCCTACTTTAACTGCTCCTTCCCATTCTTCTCTCCTAGCTTATTATCCTTTGGGCAAACATATCTATTCACATGGTTGAAGAATCTTTCCATTCTTCACCTTGCCTCAGCTCTCATTAATATTTTTAAATATTTCCATAAAAGTAGCCCAATGACCCCTCCAAGTTAACAGATGACAAGTGAATTCATCCTATGCCTTTGCAAACATCCTCTGGATCCTCATGTCAGCTAATATAACAACCCAAATAACTCAATCCTCAATCTAAATATCCTGAACTATTCTCTCTCAACCCCTATATTATAAAACCTACAAACTCAATCTCTATTGAATATATATTTACTTCCCCCTTTGTCTTCTTACTGTCTTCTTCAGATAGTTATTCTTGCCTTGGCCATTATAACAGCCTTCCATTTGGTCTCCTACCTCTAATAATTCTGCACATCCAATCCATGATATGAACTATACCAGATATCTTTAACAGGCCTGATCATATTATGAGCCAGCTCAAAAGTATCAAGTGTCCACCTACTAAACCAAACTCAATACCTCTCTCCCAGACTCAAATCTATTTTTCAAGTTCCATTTCCATCTCAACCCTTAGCTCCTGCTCCACTTATAACTTCCAATGTCTCACAGCTTTATTTGGTGTTCTGCAAGCCCAGAAGGCCCATCTCCACTTGTTTCCTTCTGAAAAAATCCAATTAATCATTAGACTTCTAGCTAAAAGATCACCTCCTGTGAATGATTCCCTGGCATTATAAAGAAATGTATATTCTCCTTTTAACACTTGAAACATCTTACCTTGTAACAGTCACAGAGATATTTATCAATCTAAATCATTTAGAAATTGTTATTTTAATTACATACGCAGTTAGTTTTTCTTTATAGATAATCTACTAAAGGACTGGGCAAGATCTGCCAACTGACAAATCAAATGTAGTCTGTTGGGGAAACTGTTGGAATACAAACGCTTTTGCTTCTTAAAAACCACAGTTAAACATTATCTGAACCAAGATTGTATAAGAGGATCCTGTTGACAACTTTAATCGTCAAGAAAAAGTCATACCTTTATAGCTGCTTTTTCATTAGGGAATGTGGCAAAAGCTGTATGTTTCTGAAACAGAGTTAAGGTACAAATTACTTCCAATATAATTTCAGTTTCTCACAAAGAAATCTGACTTTTTACCAGTGGAGTAATGTGACATGTTAATAAAATCACGGGAAAGGATGAAAACTCAAGACCATTTAACTGATTACTAATTTCAGTCCAGTGGTTTTCAATACTTTTTGAGTCAGACTTGAGATGAAAGCTATGCAACCTCTATCATATAAAGACACACGTTTTACACATGCAAATAGTTCAAAAGACCAAAAGTTTAAAGACCTGTTCTACACAGAGGGTCACTTTTAACCAACTAAAAATTTATTTCCTTCATTTATGACAGATCTAAAGATTTTAAACTTTCCTCTATACATAACAATGCGTAGTTTAAAAACATTCACCAACAGAGAAATCGTTCTTCAAGGTGCATATTTCCTTTGTGCTTTATCTTTGTAATAATGTTCAATGGGAGAAGTCTATTTTTAAACATAAATTATACGGATTTTAAAAACCATCAGAAAAGAAACACAAATCAACAGTAAAAGAATCACTATGCTAAGGAAGAGCTCTGGTCAATGCTTATTAAAAGTTACTTTAATAATTATATCGCACATTCTAATTTTGTCTAATCTGATACACGATGACCTGATGTACTTAAATTGAGCCATATATAATTTTTTTTTTTTAATTTGCAGGCATAAGTGACATTTAAACTGATCAAAATTGGTCTTTCTTCTAATTCAGTAACTCTCAACTTGGGCTGCACATTAACATTAAAATCACCTAGGGAAACTTTAAAACCACTGAGTCTTGCACCATCGCTATTCCTATTTTAATGAAGAGAAATCTAAAATATCTTTGGATATAAAGCAAAACAAAGTAATTGTGTAAATTCCTACACAGGTACTCTTAACAGCCCTAAAAAATTGTTCCCTAAAAGATGTCATCGGGAAATTTTTATGAAAAGCCTCTTTTTCTAGTTGAAATTCTGCATTTAATTTACGCAAGTCACCAATGTAGCTTCTCCTCTATTTTAATGAACGATTTAACATTGGCTTATAAATGAAGTAGGACTTTAAAAAATCCCTTGATGCACATTTGTAAGAATACTCTTGAGTCCAGGAGAAATAACCCCAAATTCAAAAAAGTTGTGAGGCTCTCAGGATGGATCCGAAAACTCAATATAACTAAGCTAATTTCCATTCTTCTGCTTTGTCGTTCTCACTTGCCCTTTTCTGCAGTGCTATGACTAATCCAGACTCGAGCCGATTAAAACTCCACTTCGCAGAGCAGATATTTTGATAAAAAAGAGGTAGGATGGGGGAGCTCTCATCACACAAGTCCATCTTCCCCACTCGTTTCCATTTTACTCTTGTCAGCGCTCCCCCTCCCCGGTCACTTCCCAAATGCCTTCCCGGGAGACTCCGGAGGGGCGCGCCCTTACCAGTCGCCCCTTATCTGACAGGACCCGCACAGACTGAGCCCCGAAGTACTTCAGCAAGTCCTCTTTCTCCTCAGCAGTAAGCTCAGCCGGCAGGTGCCTGACCAGAAGGGTTCGGTCGCCCCGAGGCGGGGAAAGCGAGGAGGAGCTCGTGCATCCCCTTGATATCGCAAGCGGCTGCTCGGGAGCTGCCATTTTCCTTGGAGAAGCAAAAACAGAAATCGTGGGAAGAAGTCTCAGTCAAAATCGCGGCATCAACACAAGCTGGGAGAAATATTTTTTCCGCCTCGCGCTAAGGATTCTGGAAACCAGGAAATACCGAGAAAGAAAGTCACCTTCTCGCGAGAACTGCGCCACCGAAAAGCGGCAACCCTTCGAAGACTCTTCGGGGAAGGGCGCGGTGCTAATGATTTAAATTCCAGGGGTCTCCGGAAAGACTTACAAGCAAAAATTGGCCCAGAGATGTGCGAGGGTTAACACAAGTTGTCAATCAAAGAAGGAAACAGGAACCCCAGCCACTTCAGGGAAAGAAGGTTGACGCTCAAGGACAAGAGGACTCACGACTGCGCATGTGCGGGCTGGGACCGTCACAGGGCGGGGCGGGGCGCACGGCGGGGCGGGGCGCACGGCGGGGCGGGGCGCACGGCGGGGCGGGGCGCACGGCGGGGCGGGGCGCACGGCGGGGCGGGGCGCACGGCGGGGCGGGGCGCACGGCGGGGCGGGGCGCACGGCGGGGCGGGGCGCACGGCGGGGCGGGGCGCACGGCGGCGAGCGCTATCTGGAGCTGACCGTGCGGCTCTTAATCCCTGGCCTTGGGAAAGTGAATTGGCCTGAATAGCAAGGAGGAGAACTTGGGTGTGGAAATACCGGGTATGTTCTTACAGTATTTAGATGGTAAAATATAAAGCTAGCCAGTTATTCTGTCAACTCATTAGACACCATTGTAGGGAGGAGAACTCAGTTTAAGGGGCAAAACGTTGAGAGTTCAGACTTTTTTCTTGAATCAGTAGGCATTTAGCAGACGGATAGGCCCCTGCCAGGGTTCATTTCGCAGAAATGGCAGCCTCTAGGGAGAGGTAACCTAATAAATAAATTATTGCATGTGTGTGTATGTGTGTGTGTGTAGGGGTGTGTGTGTGTGTGTGTGTGTATGTGTGTGTGTGTGTAGGTGTAGGTACTTTTCTCCCTATTTTACAGCTGAGGACACTGATGTACAAAGAGGTTAAATCACACAGCTAGAAAGTGGAAGAACTAAGTTTTGACCCTTGGTGTTCTGACTGGGGGTCTACATTCTAATCCACTGTTCTGCCTAGATTCTGAATGGAGTGAGGCAGGGATCATCCCCGGAGGGTCAGGAATGTACCCCTCACCCCATACAGAGAGGGCCTTGAGGATTCTAAAGAGAGGTTTTATGCTAGATGTAGCTGCTACAGTCTGGAGAACCAGAGTTCCTCTTACAGTTCTTTTTGCCACTTAAATAAATGTTAGAGATACAGCAGTAAGCAGTATACCAGCAATCTGCTGTCATCCCGCATTGGTTGGGGAAAAGGAGAGAGACAGATATTAATGAAAACTAGAAGACAAACATGAGAAGAACCTTCCCCACACACCCACCAAAATATCAGATAGGTAGAGCCAGACCACGTAGACGCTGTAGATTTGTTAGGAGCCCTTTTTATTTGAGGAACATTTAGAAACTGACAAATTCTTTAAGTAGGTGTGTGTTGAGGGGAGAGAATCAAAGTTTAGGTATGAAAATTTCTCCGGTTGCAATGCAAAAAACAGAAGCAGAAAGACCAGTTGGACTACTGTAGAAGTCTGGAGAAAAACACTACCATAATAGTTTGGTGAAAGTGGACATGTAGAGAAGGAACTGGAATTGAGATACGTTTTAGAAGTAGTTGATAGGAACTTGCAGATGAAGAATAGTAAGCAAGGATAAATTCTGGATTTTTGGCTTAAGCTAGATATTATCCATCTGTAGATGATGATGCCATTTACTGAATGTGAGAAGATTGACCAAGTATAGCTAGGTTAGAAACTGTAGTGGGACATTGGGAATAGAGGAACATATATTAAGTTTAAGGTATCTATTCAGTATCCCTGTTTCAAGTAGGAAGTTGAATGTGTGTGTTTGGCATTCTTGGGAAAGGTTACCACGAGGTATGGCATCAACCTATATGGTATTTATATCTGAAGAATGACAAAGGGTATAGATAGAATTGTGCCCATAATGGAGTCATGGGACATGCAGATGTTGAGAAGTTGAGGCAAGGAAGAAGAAGAAGACAATCAATTCCTGCCCTCTCAATGCTTACTTTCTAAAATCAAGACAGAATAAATATGTAAATAAAGTTCTTTTCAGAGAATAATAAGTGCTTTGGAAAAAATAGGGTAGTGTTATAAACCGATTGGAGTGGTCATGCTATTTTAAACACTATCCTTCAGCGGCTTTTTTGTGTGTGTTCTTTGAAGACTTGTTTGGAGCTTCTAGCAAGGGAGCACTGCTACACGTATGCCCTTACAGAAAAATCATCCTCCTTTATGGGGGTAAGTCATCCTCCTCAGCCGAGTGGGCAGCTTTGGAAGAGACATATATGGGGCAGTTAGGAAGGAAGGGGAACCCAGCTAGTTAGCCAGATCAGCCAAATCAACTGTTGGGATCAGTTGGTGACAGGTGTCATGCAAAATGACCGTCACATCCTCCCTGTGACTCTTATGTTTAGTAAAATGTTCCAGACATAGTGCACATTCTGTAAATATCTATTCAATGAATGAATGCATGAAGGAATTCACTTTTATATTTACCACTGCCTCCTACGGTTAGGAATTACTACAGGGGCTATCAGGCAGAGTTTAATGGTCATTATCTACTGTAATTCAGGTATCATGACTGAGTGGAATAGTTACATGACAGAATTTTATTTTCTCTCTACTTAATTGCTTTTAGTTGTACTCAATGAAATCTACCTTATCCTTTCCTTGACAATATCTCAGGTAGAGGTCATAATTTTCTAGTCACTTTCAGTTGCTATCAGTACAGTTGGTTAGAGATGTCAAGTCCAAACTCCATTAAGGTGTCTCTTCTTACACTCCCCTCATATCAGGCTTGACCTAAAGGATTGCAGGAATATGTAATACACTCTAATCTTTTCTGTGTCTGAGTGTAGGTATGTGTGGTCGTATCTGAGAAGTACCTTTCTCATTCCCTCCTCTTTGTCTAGCCCAGAAGTTGCCAAACTTTTTCAGTTATTGGTAGCTTTATTGTCCCAGCAGTTTTTTCTAGCACCCCTTGATGCCACCTTATTTCCTATTCCACTCTGGTTTTCCAGGAAGCACTTGTTTTATATGAGAGCAACAGCCAAAAACCCAGCTTTTCAAATATATGACATTCTTAAAAGGAATTAAACAGTATCTAATGTTCAAATTGAGAAACATCTCAAGCTGGTAGTTCAGGTAGTGTCTGGTAAACAGTGAGTATTGCTATGTTTCCCTCAAATATTTAAAATATCCTATAGTACCTCTATAAGGTGGCAAGGGTACCTGGGGCACCTTAGCACAGTTTGAGAACTGTGAATTTAACTCATTTTCAGTCTTGATTTTCTATGTTGGGGAATGGGAGGCGGGAAAAGTAGTGGAGCTTGGGAGTGTCTGACTTCACTGAGCAATTGTTGGTTCTTTATCTCATTCTTATTCTCAGGGGTTTTGTGTGTTGATGGAGGTCCCCGCTAATGTGGTGGTTTTCTTGGGTTAATTTTCATCTTCATCAGTTCCTCCATGTTACTGAGTACCTTCTCAGACAGAATTACCTTTTTTGCTTCCTTTGGTTTATGTCCCTAGTTTTCCTCACTTGACCACATGGCTACTTGTACTTCCCTATTACATCTTCCCTTTTACCCCCAAACTCCCCATTTTTCCGCATGAAGACAGGAAAACTGCTGGGTCCTATCTCTGGCATGCTTTGGAGAACTACAATAGGGAGAAGGGTTGATCCCAATATTTGTCCTGGCTTCTAGCCAAAAGCATTCCCCTCACCCTTCATAGCCAAGCTTCTAAAGAGAGAGACATAATTATTCTTATTTCTTCATCTCCCATTCACTCCAAAGTGTGCTCCTGACTTCTGATCCCATCAGTCCACAAGGTAGTTCTTCTTAGGGTCACTAGTTACCTCCCAGTTACTAAATCTAATAGGCCTTTTCAGTTCTCATTTTAGCTTCTCAGCAATGCTTGGCATACTTGACCACTTCTTCGTTGAGACGCTATCTTCCCTTGGTTTCCAAAACACACCACTTCTCCTACTGTTCGATCTCACTTTCTCTCATTGCCTTACTCTAGTAAATCTTTGACTCCATGCTTTCTCCTATTTCCTGTCACCTTGAATCCTTCCCACTTTCATTCTTAGATGGTGACCTTGCTTCTTAATCTCATTTGGGGAAAAAAAGTGAACCAAGTTATAGAGGATTCCCATACCTATTAATCCTAACTGTATCTGTGAGTCTTGGTTAAGCTAACCTCTCTCGGGAAGTAAATCTCCTGCCTTCTCATGTACTTTACTGAGCCTTTCTCATCAGTGTATACAAATGCAATTATTTACCCTTTTGTTTAAAAAAGCCAAAAGCAAATAAAATAATTTTTAAAAACTCTCTTCTTTCCACTTTCCTCTTTGGCTACCATTCCATTTCTTTCTGTTAATAGCAGAACTCTTGGAAATGGTGGTTTATATTTGTTGTCTCCAATTTTCTTCTCCCATATTCTGTTTAGAATATTCCAATCAGATTTGTATCCCAATTGTTTTTCTGAAATTGCCCTTCTCGAGGTCATCAGTGACCTCTACACATTGCTAAATCCAGTGGTAATTTCTTAGATCTTATCCTACTTGATCTATAAGCATTGCTCACCAAACACAGTTGTTTACTCTGCTCTAAAAACAGTCAAACAAAAAACACCCTACAAACAACCAATAAACCAAACTCCCTTCATTTGGCTTGCTGAACACCAAACTTGCCAAGTTTTTCTCCTATCATTCTGATCACTCTCTTTGTTTCTTTTGCTGATTGCTCTTCATCTCCTTGACCTCCAAAGGCTGGAGTTTCCCATGCTCAATCTTTTCTCATTTTGCCCTACTTGTACTGGACAAGTCATCTCATTCAGTTTTATGGCTTTAAGAACCACACATTGATGACTACCAAATCATATCTTCAGCCTGAACCTCTTCTCTAAACTCCCAATCCATATATTGAACTGCTTACTTGACATTTTCTCAATGTTGTGTAATAAGCATCTCAAAACTAACAGGCCTAAAACTGAGCTCTTGATAGTATTCAAAACTTTTCTTTCAGTTTTTCCCATCTCAGTTACCTGTGACTCCTTTATATCTTTTATATCTCATGCCTTGACATTCAGCAAATTCCCTTTATCTTACCTTCAAATTATATTCAAAATTTGACTATTTTTCACTGTTCCCACTGTTTCTACCATCCTTGTCCAAGCAGCCATGATCTATCTGGAATATTGTCATAGCCTCATGGCTAGTCTCCTACTTTTGCCCTTTCTGTCTGGACGACACAGTAAGACTCAACAATTATTTCATATATTCCTTTCCATTTCCCAACTCTCTTGTTGTTAGTTGGGACTATGTGATTCATTTTGGTAGATGGGGTGTTAATGAAAGCAACATGTGTCAATTCCAGAGTATTGCATGGAAGATTGGGTATGAAAACAGTGATCATGTAGGCCACATATTGAGGTGATAGAACCTCAAGCTAAACATAGCCTAGAGTACCAACTCACCACATCAATGACAGCTCCCCTACAGAATAACTTCCCTCCCACCAAACTTTGCATAAGTAGTAAATAACTTTTTTCTCTTAAAGGTATTGATAGCTTAGGACTAGTTTTTACCATGAAAAGTCCATTTTAACATGATTAAAAATATATTGCTTCTTCAATATATTTTTATCACAGCAGCTAGAGTGATTCTGTTAAATCTTCAAAACTCTGCAGTAGCTTTCCCCCTCACTTAGAGTAAATGCTGAAGTTATTTTGATCTGTGAGAATTTACATGATCTAACTCCTCCAGTATATTATTTTTATGACTTCATCTATTCTTCCCCTCTTCTTTCCCTCTGCTATAAATACACTGACCTTCTGGCTGTGCTTGAACACTTCAGACCCATAACTAAGACCTTTGCCTTTACCATTCTCTCTTTCAGGGATGCTGTTCCTACAGATATCTGCATGCTTAGCTCCCTGACTTTCTTCAGATGCTTACATATGACTTTCTCATTAAATTCTTCATTGTCAGTCAACACCATCTCTGCCTCCTCTATTCTCTTCCCATACTGGCAAAGGAAACAAAAACAACAATAACAACAACAACAACAAAAAACCTGAACACTAGATTTTTCAGTGTTTTGGTTGTCACTGTGTAATAAGCCATCCAATTACTTAGTAACTTAAAACAAACATCATCAAAGTCTTTTCTTTTTTCCCAAGGTAGAATTCATGTCTTCATCCCATTTGTTATTGTAGAACTTTTCACCTCTGTTATAAAATTATCATAAATATATTTTATTATAAATAATTATGTACATAATTTCATTATTACTAATAAGCTCCTTGAAGACAGGAATTTCTATATTCGTCTGTATATCTTCCAAGCATTAACATAGTACCTTACAAATAGATTAATGATCATTGAATGTTAAAATATATATTAGTGAATATTTGACATATGTTTTAAAACATTTATCAGTGAATAAATTAATGTTATTATCAAGAAAATAAAAAACACTGCTGACAACCAGGGATTACATATTCAGTGGTTTGCATGATGACTTTAGGAAACCTGTCTAAAGATTTCTATGCAAAATGATCAGAAAGTTAAAATGTCAATATTATTTTTGTTATTTATTGATAGATTAGATTATGTGTGGATCTCACACATAGTTATTTGTAGACTTAGTCTCTGCCTTTAAATAACAAATGAACAGAGGCAGGATTTATGTGAACTTTTGGCTATTGCAGGGGTAATTAGCCTTTTCTTATGGGGTATAGCTTGCTTATGTCTTCTGTTCTGGGATGGAATCTAGAGAAGATAGGGAAATAGCACCCGAAAAATATTCCTGTTCTAAAATACTTTCTTAACTCCATTTACAATTTGGAATCCATTTGGATGGCACATTTTTTTTAATGTATGCAACCTGGAAGGCTATTTTTCTTAATATAAACCTATACATTTAAGTATTAGTTGATATGGTTTGTCTGTGTCCTCACCCAAATCTCATCTTGAATTGTAACTCCCACAATTCCCACATTTTGTGAGAGGAACCCGGTGGGAGGTAAAGGAATCATGGAGGCGAGTCTTTCCCATGCTGTTCTTGTGATAGTGAATAAGTCTCATGAGATCTGATGGTTTTTAAAAAAGTTTCCCTGCACTAGCACTCTCGCTTTGGCTACTGCTATTCATGTAAGATGTGACCTGCTCCTTGCTTTCCACTATGATTGTGGAGCCTCCCCAGCTATGTGGAACTGTAAGTCCATTAAACCTCTTTTTCTTCCCAGTATCAGGTATGTCTTTATCAGCAGCATGAAAACAGACTAATACATTAGTCAATCAAAAAATTAAAATGTACTAAACATTTCAGAAGATGCCTAGAGAAAATGTTTCACCTGATAAATGGTACTGTCATAAGTAGTTGTTTTTCTGTAATGTGACAATGCTAGATTATCTTCTCTTACGTAAAAACGTCAGAAAATACAGCTGGTACCAAAAAATTGGAAAAAGAAAGACAAATTAATAGAAAAATGTGTTTAAAGAATATAAACAGGTGATTTTACAAAAAGGAAACCTGAATGGCCCATTAACATATGGAAAGGTGTTTAACCTTACTATTGGTAATGGGAATGCCAATTAGACCCCACAAGAATATACCAATTCTCAGTTCTCAAACTGGAAAACATTATACATAGCTATAAAATTTAATGTAGGTGTGTGCATGAGGGCAAATGTTTGTCACAGGCATTTAGAAAAGTAAATCTTCATATTTATTTGGATAAATGTTACCATACTTTTTGATCCAGTAATTCTGCTTTTCAAATCTATCTTATAGAAATAAAAGCATCTACATACAGATGCTGAAAGGTTGAATTAGCTGGACCTAATGGGGCTACCAAAAGAAAATCAGAAAACAAAACAAACTATTTTACAATTTCAACATGCTTTATTGGATCTCCCTTCTCTGCAGTCACCCTTAGCATTCCTATTTATTTTGATTTTAAAAACAATCTATTATTTATAATTAAGATTCACTTTCAGTTCAGTTTTTAATACTAATCTCACTTCTAAATATACACCCTTCTCTAAGCTCAGGGAACCTATGGTGGGGAAGGTGACGTAGTCTTTTCTTTCATTTTCTTCATCTCTTTTTCTTTCTGCTTTAGAATCCACTGGGAAAAGTAGTTCTCTCTTTGCTGTTGATGTCCTATCAAGGCAGGCAACCAAATATATGGGTCACCTTAGTTGTCCTTTTGAGGGCCCTGCAGCATTTATGCCATATAGTCTCATGATATCAGTAATATACTTGCTGGTTGACCTCTTACGATTCTTCTTCAGTTCCTGCCTCTAACCCCTCTGAGTCATTCACCCCAACAGATAAACCTCTTGGGTATGGCCCTATACACATAGAGTCCAGCTACCACCTACAGTGATTTGCTGGTCTAGATGTCAATTATTTTCCAGGAAATCTCAAACTTCTTAGGACTAACTTACAAGTGGCCTGAACAAAATGACAATTTTTCCCTCACTTAACTCTCTAAGTACCTCTGATCTCCCCCTTATTCAGTCACAAGAGAGGGATGCTCCTGACTCATATCAAAACCAAGGTATTAAAATTAAACTTTAATAAAATATACTAAAAGCTATAGTGGTGTAAAAGTATGAAATGATTTCTTTTGTCAATTAACTCCAGTGACAGCATTGAAAAACTTTGTTCTGTAAAAATTACAAACTGTCAGAAATTTTGCTTTTTGAAATTATGTTAGTGAGACAGGAACACCCCACTATTGCCTGAAGAGCTAAGCTATGTGGGTACTTTGACACAGAGAAGCAGCCTCAATTTTCCACCCAGGTGCAAAGCTTCAGATAATGTTTTTCAGATACAAGATTCCACAGTCATCTTAACTTTGTAGATTTCAAGGAAACAGAACCCTATACCCACTTCTTAGTCCAGGCTTTATGCTAATACAGCCAGGCTATTCTTTCAGCCTATCAAAGAACTGTTCATTTAAATTTTATTTAAACCCCACCTTACTCTTAAATGAATCAGAATGCTGGCTCTTCCTTCATCTGTTTTGGCAAAATGCCCCATCAATTGTGTAGTCTTTTTTTACTGCTGCAAAATGATAAACTTACCTTTGTCAGACCATAGATGTGTCATAGTCTGGTGGTCTTTGAGCAATTTATTAGTCATGCCTGAATAACATTTTCTGTGCCCAACACTCTCAAAGGTATTAAAAAGACATATATCACAGTAGATGAAAACCAGTATGTAACTGAGTTGTTATAGGGCTGAAAGCTGCTTAAGAAAGTAGAGAAAAGAAATAAAATAAAGCAGAGCCTAATTTTTATCTCCGGAATCCTTTAAGTCCCTCCATTTAGTTGACTCTTTATGTTTCACCCTTACATTCACCTTATGCTACATGGAAGCTAAACTATACTTTCTTAAAGACACCCACATATTTTTGTCTTTCTATACTCAAATATGCTGCATAGGCCACACCCCTAATGATTTTCTTGATTCTCATCTAAATGTGACCTTTCATTTGATTTTCAGAAAACTCTTTGGCTTGTTATGACACATACAATTTCCCTTTTATTATAATTATTGGAAAATGTGATTTGGTTGACTTTTAGATTTCATCATATGTCTTCATCATTTTCTCTTACCTGGAATGTTCCAATAGCCTCTTGATTAGTTTCCTCGCTTCTATTCTAGGCACTCTACAGTGTATTTTCCTCACACTAACTCATGTGATTTTTAAAAACATAAATTACATCAGATTACTTTCCTGTTTGCAACCTTTTATTGGCTTCCCATCACAGTTGG
This sequence comes from Homo sapiens, assembly GCF_000001405.40. Lineage (NCBI taxonomy): Eukaryota > Metazoa > Chordata > Mammalia > Primates > Hominidae > Homo > Homo sapiens. The sequence continues at coordinate 103,516,159 of NC_000001.11, read as the reverse complement.
AATAAGACCTACAGTCTTTCTCTTGTCATATAAAGCCCTTCTTGGTACTTCTATCATCTTATGTCCTACTTCTCTGCTTCATGAGCACCCCCCATTAGTCATTCTTGCAGCAGTGGGAGTGGGGGTATAAAATAAAAAACCGAATCTTTTCAAATGTCCTTTATCTCTCTAACATTCCTCTTCCAGATGCTCATATCCCTCATGTTTACTCAGTTTTTATTCAGATGTGCTTTCCTCAGAGAGGACTTTCATGCCATCTCTGGAAATAGCATTTCTCCTCACCTAACCAACACTAATAACTTAACCTTGCCTTATTAATTTCTTGTAAAATAACAGCCCCAAAATATATACTAATGTGTGTGTGTGTGTGCACGTGCATTTGTTTGTTAGAAGCTCTATGAGGTAAGAGTTTTTGTCATGTTTGCTACTTTGTTCACCTGCCAAAAGTAGTACCTGGCACGTTATAGGTATGCAATAAGTAGTTGTTGAATGAGTGAATAAACAGATGAATAAATGAATGAATGAAAGTTTTCCAATCATGTATTTACCTTGCTTGTGTTTGCCACACTATTACACTTTTAGTTTTATATTCAGAAGTGGCTAAATCATAGACTTGAGAGGCAAAATATCTGAGATTTATATACCTGCTCTGTTATGTGACCTAGGAGAAGTTACTTAATCTGTCTTTTTCAATGTTCAAATATATAATAGAGATAATGATATGTATATCTCATAGGCTTATGAGTATTACATTAATTAATGTGGCACAGAGTGCTGTAGAAGTTGTTATATTTGTTATTTTAACATTTAATTGGTGATTATTTGAATAATATCTGTCTTCTTCGTTCAACTTTTGGGAGCCATATTAATTTTTATCCATCACTTTATCTTCAAGCCACAGTTTGTAATGTGTACTCTATAAATATTCTTTGAACTTTTTTATAAAAAGCTGGTTTCAGTTTTGAGATCATGCATGCATGTATGTTTGAGTGCACTGGGCCTATTTTCATATTCTGTAATTACCAGTCATTGTCACTAGATGGCAAGTTTGTCCCAGCCAAGGCAAAATGTTTTAAGACCAGAAACTGAAGAGTAGCCCTAAATAGGGGAAAATGTCATGTATGTGTTTTTGTAGACTGGTAGGATGATAAACATTTACTTATCAATAATAATTTTCCATATTTTATTCTTTTTTTCATTTCATTAGGTACTCTACCTTCCTGGGGAGCTCTTTTGTATAGTGATGCATTTTAGCATTACTGTCATGCCATTGACCCTTTGTTAGTATATTCACACGTTTCTATTTAAAAAGCAATGTTTAAAAAGGTCTCTTAATGTATTCTTTATCAACAGATGTTTCCCAAGTCTTTCAAAATCATACCTTTTACCTGCTGGTTCCAAATATGTTTTGATTTTGTCTAAGACATAAGCTACCCTTTTTGAGCAAGAACTTTGTCTTTTTTTCTGATTACTAGCCACCCTATATCAATGTGAAGTATATGTCCCTTTTGATTATTTTAAACTCTCAATGTACCATCTTGGAAAAAGAAACTGTTAGGCTCAATGCTATTGTACCTGTCCAGCTTCACCTATGTTTAGCAAAATTATCAAAAGGCTCCTGGTGTAAAGGAACAAAAAAGAGTGTTAAGGAACCTACAAATTAGATAATCAATCTGTAAATGATCATCTTATTGAATTATTACAATTATCTTCATAAATATAAATTTCTTAGAATTGGTTAAATGTATATATATGCTTTGGCAAGTTAAATTTACCAAAATACATTAAAATTGTGGGCATGTAAACAAATATAAATAATAGTACCTTTAATATGGTGCTGATTGTTTTTAGTACAGCAATATTTAGAAAGAATCATTATTTTCTTTTAGGAAGTTAGCTACTGAATAAAATAGACCTAAAAATTAACTATTTTTTGATATCCTTTTTTTCTGTGCCTTGATGCGTCATATTATAGGTTAAAAGAAAGAAATGTGGTTACTTTTCTTACAACTGCTAAAATACTTTTTCCCTCTTTTCCTCTTGTCTTAGTCCATTTGGACTGGTATAACAAAATACCATGAACTAGTAGCTAATAAACAACAGAAATTTATTTCTCACAGTTCTGGAGCCTTAGAAGTCCAAGATTGAGGCACAAGCAGACTCAGTGTCTGCTGAGTTCCACCATTTCCTGATTCAAAGATGATGCCTTCTCACTATGTCATCACATGGTAGGAGGGTCAAGGCAGCTCTCTAGGGCCTCTTTCATAAGACCATTAATCCACTCATGACTTAATCACCACACCAAAGGCCACATCTCCCAATATTATCTATCACCTTGGGAGGTAAGATTTCAACATAAGAATTTTGGGCAGAATACAAACATTCATACTTTAGTATGTCTTCTTATTATGAAAAATGACTATCTTGGCTGTGCGGGCCCTTTTTTTGGTTCCATATGAAATTTAAGTGGTTTTTTTTCTAATTCTGTGAAGAAAGTCAATGGTAGCTTGATGGGAATAGCATTGAATCTATAAATTACTTTGGGCAGTATGGCCATTTTCACTATATTGACTCTTCCTATCCAGGAACATGGAATTATTTTCCATTTGTTTGTGTCCTCTCTTATTTCCTTGAGCAGTGGTTTGTATTTCTCCTTGAACAGGTCCTTCATGTCCCTTGTAAGTTGTATTCCCAGGTATTGTATTCTCTTTGTAGTAATTAGGAATGGGTGTTCACTCATGATTTGGCCCTCTGCTTGTCTATTATTGTTGTATAGGAATGCTTGTGATTTTTTCACATTGATTTTGTATCCTGAGACTTTGCTGAAGTTGCTTATCAGCTTAAGGAGGTTTTAGGCTGAGTTTTTTTTTTTTTTTTTTTTTTTTTTTTTGACAGAATCTTGCTCTGTTGCCCAGGCTGGAGTGCAGTGGCATGATCTCGGCTCACTGCAACCTCCACCTCCCAGGTTCAAGCGATTTTCCTGCCTCAGTCTTCTGAGTAGCTGGGACTACAGGCACGTGCCACCATGCCTGGCTAATTTTTTGTGTTTTTAGTAGAGACGGGGTTTCACCATATTAGCCAGGATGGTCTCGATCTCCTGACCTCGTGATCTACCTACCTAAGCCTCCGAAAGTGCTGGGATTACAGGCGTGAGCTACGGCGCCCAGCCAACGATGAGGTTTTCTAAATATATAATTTTGTCGTCTGCAAACAGAGACAATTTGACTTCCTCTCTTCCTATTTGAATACTCTTTATTTCTTTCTGTTTCCTGATTGCCCTGGACAGAACTTCCAATACGATGTTGAATAGGAGTGGTGAGAGAGGGCATCCTAGCCTTGTGCCGGTTTTCAAAGCGAATGATTCTGGCTTTTGTTCATTCAGTATGATATTGGCTATGGGTTTGTCATAAATAGCTCTTACTATTTTGAGATATGTTCCATCAATACCTGGTTTATTGAGAGTTTTTAGCATGATACAGTGTTGACTTTTATCAAAGGCCTTTTCTGCATCTATTGAGATAATCATGTGTTTTTTGTCATTGGTTCTGTTTATGTGATGGATTACGTTTATTGATTTGCATATGTTGAACCAGGCTTCAATCCCAGGGATGAAGCCAACTTGATTGTGGTGGATAAGTTTTTGATGTGCTGCTGGATTCGGTCTGCCAGTATTTTATTGAGGATTTTCGCATCCATGTTCATCATGAATATTGTCCTGAAATTTTCTTTTTTTGTTGTGTCTCTGTCAGGTTTTGATATCAGGATGATGCTGGCCTCATAAAATGGGTTAGGGAGGGGTCCCTCTTTTACTATTGTTTGGAATAGTTTCAGAAGGAATGGTACCAGCTCCTCTTTGTACCTCTGGTAGAATTTGACTGTGAATCTGTCTGGTCCTGGGATTTTTTGGTTGGTAGGCTATTCGTTACTGCATCAATTTCAGAAGCTGTTATTGGTCTATTCAGGGATTTGACTTCTTCCTGGTTTAGTCTTGGGAGGGTGTATTTGTCCAGGAATTTATCCATTTCTTCTAGACTTTCTAGTTTTATTTGCATAGAGGTGTTTACGGTATTCTCTGATTGTAGTTTGTATTTCTGTGGGATCAGTGGTGGTATCTCCTTTATCATTTTTTATTGTGTCTATTTTATCCTTCTGTCTTTTCTTCTTTATTAGTCTTGCTAGCGGTCTATTTTGTTAATCTTTTCAAGAAACCAACTCCTGGATTCAATGATTTTTTTGAAGGGTTTTTGTGTCTCTATCTCCTTCAGTTCTGCTCTGATCTTAGTTATTACTTGTTTTCTTCTAGCTTTTGTATGTGTATGCTCTTGCTTCTCTAGTTCCTTTAATTGTGATGTTAGGGCATTGATTTTAGATCCTTCCCATTTTCTGATGTGGGCATTTAGTGCTATAAATTTCCCTCTTAACGCTGCTTTAGCTGTGTCCCAGAGATTCTGGTATGTTGTCTCTTTGTTCTCATTGGTTTCAAAGAACTTCTTTATTTTTGCCTTCATTTTGTTATTTACCCAGTAGTCATTCAGGAGCAGGTTGTTCACTTTCCATGTAGTTGTGCGATTTTGAGTGAATTTCTTAATCCTGAGTTCTAATTTGATTGCACTGTGGTCTGAGAGACTGTTATGATTCCTATTATTTTGCATTTGCTGAGGAGTGTTTTACTTTCAATTATAGGTCAATTTTAGAATAAGTGCTATGTTGTGCTGAGAAGAATGTATATTCTGTTGATCTGGAATGGAGAACTCTGTAGATGCCTATTAGGCCCATTGGTCCAGAGCTGAGTTCAGCCCTGAATATCCTTGTCAATATTCTGTCTTGATCTGCCTAATATTGACAGTGTAATGTTAAACTCTCCAACTATTATTGTGCGGGAGTCTAAGTCTCTTTGTAGGTCTCTAAGAACTTATTTTATGAATCTGGGTACTCTTGTATTGGGTGCATATATTTTTAGAATAGTTAGCTATTCTTATTGCATTGATCCCTGTGCTACAAAGCTGTAGGCATCATGCTACCTGACTTCAAACTATGTTACAAGGCCACAGTTACCAAAACAGCATGGTACTGGTACCAAAATAGATATATACACCAATGGAACAGAACAGAGGCCTCAGAAATAACACCACACATCTACAACCATCTGATCTTCAGCAAACCTGACAAAAACAAGCAATGGAGAAAGGATTCCCTGTTTAATAAATGGTGCTGGGAAAACTGGCTAGCCATATGCAGAAAACAGAAACTGGACCCCTTCTTTACATCTTATACAAAAATTAACTCAAGTTGGATTAAAGACTTAAAGGTAAAACCTGAAAACATAAAAGCCCTAGAGGAAAACCTAGGCTATACCATTCAGGACATAGGCATGGGCAAAGACTTCATGACTAAAACACCAAAAGCAATGGCAACAAAAGCTAAAATTGACAAATAGGATCTAATTACACTAACGAGCTTCTGCACAACAAAAGAAACTATAATCAGAGTGAACAGGCAACCTACAGAATGGGAAGAAAATTTCACGATCTATCCACCTAACAAAAGTCTAATATCTAGAATCTACAAGGAACTTAAATTTACAAGAAAAAAAAAAAAAACCATCAAAAAGTGGGTGAATGATATGAACAGACACTTCTCAAAAGAAGACATTTATGTGGCCAAGAAACTATGAAAAGAAACTCATCATCACTGGTCATTAGAGAAATGCAAATCAAAACTACAATGAGATACCATCTCACACCAGTTAGAATGGTGATCATTAAAAAGTCAGGAAACAACAGATGCTGGCGACGATGTGGAGAAATAGGAACACGTTTACACTGTTGTTGTGAGTGTAAACTAGTTCAATCATTAAGACAGTGTGGCAATTCCTCAAGGATATAGAACCAGAAATACCATTTGACCTAGCAATCCCATTGCTGGGTATATAACCCAAGGATTGTAAATCATTCTACTATAAGGACACATGTACATGTATGCTTATTGCAGCACTATTTACAATAGCAAAGACTTGGAACCAACCCAAATGCCCATCAATGATAGACTGGATAAAGAAAATGTGGCACATATACACCATGGGATACTATGTAGCCATAAAAAATAATGAGTTCATGTCCTTTGTGGGAACATGATTCAAGCTGAAAACCATCATTCTCAGCAAACTAACAGGTATAGAAAACCAAACACTGCATGTTCTCACTCATAAGTGGGAGTTGAACAATGAGAACACATGGACACAGGGAGGGGAACATGACACACTGGGGCCTGTCGAGGGGTGGGAGGCAAGGGAGGAAGAGCATTAGGACAAATACCTAATGCATGTGGGGTTTAAAACCTAGATGACAGGTTGATAGGTACAGCAAACCACCATGGCACGTATATACCTAGTTAACAAACCTGCACATTCTGGACATGTATCCCAGAACTTAAAGTAAAAATTTTTAAGTGATTATCTGTTACTTTATTCTACTTTTTAAGAATGTCTTAAAATGAATATTAATTTATTCTGGCATTGATTTTTTTCCAAGTCAACCCAAACATAGCTGAGATGCTACCATTAGCAATGTAGGGATTCAAACATACTGATAGTCTCTCTCAGGTTAATTGATTCAATGTAAAAGTAAACATTCATTGACAGTGATTTCCTGTATTACGGAAGACTTGTATGAGACTTGCATTGACTTCTACTTCCTCTTTATTTTTCCTACCCCATTTCCAACTTCCCTTTCAAATCTGACTCATAAATTTATTTTATATCCAACTTGAGAAGATATTAATGACATAATCTAATATAATGAGAAGGCATTATCCAAGTACATTTTTCAACTATATACTATCCTACAAATCTCTGAGATTTTGTCACTGTCTCACTTTTTAAATAATGATTATAACTTAGTTGAAATTATACATTACTGTTATCAAAAGATAATATGTAGTTATTGTTGAAACTATACTGATTCACAAAAGAAAAAAATGTAACCCTAACAACTATTGATAATCTTCTAACAACTTAGTATAATTCCTTCTACTCCTTTCTCTTCCTGTATTATTAATATGTATTTATAAAAATTGAACTCAGTATTACCATTCATATTGGTTTGTAATGGTTAGCAATGTTTAGTTAACTTTTTTGTGTGATTATACATTGTTCTGCAAATCATGTTTTGTAGGATTCTGACACTGCCTAACACTGTGCATCTACGTATCTGTACCTCCTGTGACATTATATTGTTGTATCTACCTATGGGTTTATACTTCTTCAGAAGTAATCTAAATTTCTCTTCTGTATGATTTCAGAAGGCTTAGTCTGCAAAATGGTCTTCACTTCAAATGTCACCAAGTTACCCCCAAATGCTTGTATGTCCTACAAATTTGTATGGGTTGCTGATTACCATCTTAGTTCCCTACTTTTCTTGCTTTACATTCCCCTCCTCTGCCACTTTTTGATGGGTGTGGCAATCGTGTTTCAAATATGGATGTAGGTTCATTCCTTAATTTTCTCTCTCCGTTACCTCAGCCTTTAACAATAATGTATTAAAGACGGGGAATAATAGAAGAAAGTTTCAATATATTTTTAAGAAGAAAGCTTGAAACTAGAGATGAATACTCCCAGAGTTTATAGTTAAGTCCTCTTTGGTGTTATATGGGTACCCTATTGGCCCCTTCTCTCTTTAGTTTCTGCTTATAGAATTCACTTCTTATTTAAAAAGGAATGCCTTTGAGAAAGTTTATTTTCCTAGATGTTCAAGTCTCAATTCCAAATCCTTACTTTCCATCATGAATCTCCTCCCTTCCAAGATGACTGACAGTTGGAGTTCCAACACCCTTTGGAAACACCTTGACTCCTATTAATATGAATAGGTCTTGTTCTAGAAAGCACCATCAGGGAATATCCAACAGGGTGTACCCACTAGGACACAGTATCGTTCTACACTGGTAAATTTCCCAATGTAGAAGAATACCCTGTGAGGGAATTAGAGCTGAATAATCCAGGTTGGGTTCCAACAACCTCAGTCCTGCTCCTAAAGAATCTCTCCATTTGCTTAAGCTCAAATTTTACCTTCTCACCTTTATCTAGTATCTTGTTTTGATTTATTCCTGTGTGTAACTCTTTCAATAAGGATAGGCAGACAAAGGAGACAGATATCCTATCTCTGCAAAATGAATACTTTTCGGAGACATTGTCTTAATCTAAGTTTAGCTAAGATCTATTCTTATAAAAGAAGCAAGCAACATTAATGCAACTTCTCTCACAGTAAAGAAATTATTCACAACATTATACAAAATAGGTAACTCTTCATCTTTTTACATTTTTTAATCCCAAATTAGGATCTTTGCTTTACTTTTTTTAACCGAAGGCTCATTAAATTATTTCTACATTCAGAAAATAATGAAAAAACACCCCACAAACTTAAAGCTTTCTTCTGCTTCTGTCAAGATTTAAAAAGTTTTAACTACTTTTGGATAGCAAGTTTTAAATAATCTTAGCTAGATTATTTATTGTATTTAATTAAGTCAGAGAATAGCTATTCCTTAAGAACAAAAACAGTATCTTACACTATTCTTGGTAATGGTTATGGCATACTTAACCAATAGAAGGCTAGCATCTAGTCAATATTTGCTAAATAAAAGATTTTGGTCAGTACAGTTATTCAGTAACACCACAGTTACCTAAAATTAAACAAACTAGCAGCTTATCCTGTATAAAATACAACCTAGCAAGAAAAAGAAATAATTGGCAAAAGTCTCTGAGCAGTGCAAATAAATGTAAAAAAAAAAAAAGTAATGCAATAAAGCTTATCCTATGTATGTAGAACTTCTCCCTATCTTACCATTTCTCAAACACAAAGTTTGAACTGGGTTACCTCACCCTATTTCAAGGCTAAACTCATATTGGCTTGAAGTAATCATGATCTGGTAGTGAGCAGGACTGCTGATCCAATCAAAGTACACTTCAGGGCTTCTGTGGTGAAAATGCCAAAACAGATCCTCTCTTCAACACTGGACTTGAAATGACCAGTATCTTGAAAGTAGCAGGACATTTTGCTAAAGGAGAGAAGATGGCCTAAGATCAGGGTCTCTGAAGGGAGTAGAGCCTGGAAATTTATTCTGGTCAAGTTCACTTTCTGTCCTGGGAATAACTCTACCCATATGATAGCCAGTGTCTTTTTTTTTTTTTTCTGTCATCCAACTTTGTTGAGTTTCCTATCACTTGCAATCAAAAGAATCCTTACTGATTGATTTATTTAGAGGTGACTTCATTAGTTCTTTATTTAAATTCATATCTTTAGTTTATGAACAGTTCTAAAAACCGCTTTTTTGTGGATTTCAAGCAAACACTAGAAATAGAAATTTGAAGGAGAATGATGGGCAGGCCCATTTTCATTAGTAAGCCATTCAGTCAGTCAGTGTTTGTTAAACATATGAGGCTGGAAGATTCATGAAGGCATTGGAACATGTCTTCCTTATATATGTCTTTGTCCTCATCCTTAAAAAAGGTCTTGCACATTGTACCTGCTCAATTAATATTTACTGAATAAATGAGTAAAACAATTATAATCTAGTATAAGAATTTAGGTTTATAATTTAGTATAAAAATCAGGATTGTTTAAAATATTTGATAATTAAAGAAAAACAGATAATTGTGTATGGTTAATACATGAAGCTACAGATAGTATAAATGGGTAAGAAAAAACTCTTATTATTAGTTTGTGATCCTAAGAGTTTACTTTATTCCTCTAAACCTCATCTGCAAAATGTAAGTAATATAAAAGTGAGCTAATGAAGTTCTGTGAGAATGTTAATGAAATAATATATGTGAAGTGCCCCATTAGAGTTCAGTATATATTAGCTACTATTGTTGTAATGAATAAATCAACTTTGCCTTAATGTAATAATGCTTGGTTGTTACTGTGTTGTTATAACTTTTAAATTTTTATTGAAAACTAAATTTCATAGTTAAATTTGACACTAAGTATATTCAGTCATGTTTGGTTTTACATATTCATTATTATGAAGTAATCATGTCAGATTTTCACATCAAATGTTTCAATTTAAGAATATTGCTGTCAGATGCTTTTATAGAATGCCTAACAACAACAATGTTGAAAATCTTCATTGACTTGTCCAACTACTTTTTTATAGAAAATACTATTTATTAGAAAAGAAACAGAACTAGAGCTAATTAGCACTACAGTCATAAGGATCAAGAACATTTTAATAAAAGAATAAGACAACAAATTATTGAAAGTCTTCAACTAGAGCTAATTAGAACCACAGTCATTAGAATCAAGAACATTTTAATAAAAGAAGAATAAGACAACAAATTATTGAAAGTCTTCACTTCTGCTAAGTAAAAATCAAAGAGAGCCTGAAAATCATCTCATTAGGTCTTTTCCAATTAGAAAATTCTAAATAACCACAGAGTTAGTACAAAAGATAATGAAACAAAAAAACAATTTGCATCTTAACTTACCTTGTCCAAGTGTGCTTTAAGTGTATTCATTTGTCGCATTTTTTCTTTCATGTTAAAATTACCTATCAGAAAAATAAATATTCAAGAATCAAGTACTACTTTTGTCCACTGTTACCTGCTATCTTAATTTCTTTTCTCTTGCGTTCTTACACTGTTATAGATACATCATATATCTACCTCACTGGTTTGGAGTATATAAGATTTATATATATATATATCTCACATTTACATATACATATGAATATACACAGGCATGCATACAAGTTGAGTATCTCTTATCTGAAACGTTCGAGGCCAGAAGTGTTTCAGATTTTAGATATTTTCTGATTTGGGAATATTTCTATATGCATAATGAAGCCTCTTGGGGATGGGACCAAAGTTTAAGTATAACATTTATTTATGTTTCATATACACTTTATACATATACCTGAGAGCAATTTTATACAATATTTTTAATAGTTTTGTGCATAAAACAAAGTCTGTATACACTGAGCCATCAGAAAACAAAGGTGTCACTGTCTCAGTCACCCATGTGGACAATCTGTGGTTGGTTGCCATCACCATCATCCTTGACTCTGAATTCATATGCTACCAATAAACAATTATTTTCTTACACTTACTTGCACATAGATACTTAATAGTCAAAAATAAAGGCATACCATTAATACAGTAAGAAAAAAAGTAATGTATTCAGGGTAACTAAGGAGCACAGTAGCATCAGCAGAATTCCTGTATCAGCTATTAAACAACAGCAACAACAAACAACTGCAGGCTTTCAGTCTCTACCTACAATTCTGCATTTTGATTAATAGGTTACTGTACATGGTATTTTTTTAAGTTGAGAAGAAGTATTAGAAGCAGATGAGAGACCAAGAAGTGAGTCTTTTGGATTAGGGCTTTTTCTTCAGACACATCTGCCTCATTAACAATGTTTTTTGCTTTAGAAATCCCTTTTTTATTTTATAAACTTACATCATGTCTTGTTCTGTTATGATTGTATGCTTCTCTAGTCCTTCAGCAAGCCCATATACATTTTCATCATGATGTCTGTAGGCACTTTTTCTGTAGAGTTAACAACCTTATCTTCATTGTTACTATTATCATGATCACCTTGATTCAGAATCGTTTTGGCTACTTCACCATCAGTCAATCAATAAACAATTGGAGCTGCATTATCAGTGTTCAAAATATCTTCAAAATCCACTTCTTCCAGCTTACTGTCAGACTCTGATGCTATTTTTTTTGTGTGTATGTAAGGAAGTTAGATTTTCTTTTTCAATTGACATGGAAATACTTCAAAGTCACCACCTAGTTCATGGTCATCATTGAACATAGTCACAGGCCAGAGGTTGTGCCAGGCATGCACAGCTATGTCTTTAGTTACTATTTTCAAAGCATTGGCAACAGAATATAAGACATCCTTCATGCTAAAGCCTATCAAAAACTTTTCCAGCCCTCTGTTCACTGCTGCTAGCATGCTGTTCACGAAAGGGCTTTTGCATTTACTGTTCATTGATCTACGTAGACCCTGGTGTCATGGCTGAATTAATGAAGTCACGTTTGAAAGAAAATACATGAACATTATTTCTGATGAAAATTTTAGCTGCAGGATGAGCAGAATAATTGTCAAGGCATAGCAAAATCTTGCAGTTGCCATTTAATCCAGCATCCCTACAGTGAGCATGAGCCACTATTACAAAATGTTTGTGAAACCAGTCAGAAAAGATATTTCTGTTATCTATGCATTTTTGTTAGCATAATAATGGACTGGTAAGAAATTCACTCCTTGAAAACAGTGAGGACAAAAGCTTTTGCCTATCACAGCAAGTCTACATGTATGCACATCTGCTGCATTAGCACATCCTAGCAGTACTTCTGTCTTTGGCATCCTTAATTTTTGTAGGGGCCATCTCATCATTTGTAGCCGCTATCTTTCTGGGGTAATAATGTTAAAACAGGGATGTTTCATGAGCATTTTGGACATGTTCTGGCATTAGATTTTCATCAGCAGAGACCTTGGCAAACTTGTCAATGAATTGAATTTCTTTGCTGTTTTGTGATCAACAGATAACTTTATATCTAGAAATCTTTAAAAACTTAATGTCATGTCTTTTCTTAAATTTATTCAACCAGCCTGTTGAATATTCACAGTTCTCTTCAATTTTCAGGTAATCATAACAAATTTTTGCTTGTTTCTTGATCAGCATACCATTAAGTGGCCTGTGTTCACTGTGACGCTGACAGATGCACTGTTTCAATACACAACTGAAATCTTCATTTTTTAGCTTTATGCAGTGCTTTTCTGTTTTTTATTAGCTGCTGTTCACTACTTTCAGCACATAACTTCAAACATTTATTGTTTTATCTCTTCAGGTCATATATGGTTGTCCTTCCAATACCATACTCTTCTGTAAGATAATTCACACTTACAGCGCTGTCTGATTTCTCTAACAGCTTGACTTTCTGTGCTATAGAGAAACATAAATGCTTCCCCTTTTTTTAGTCACTGCCACCAATGTGGATATCCACAGGTCTTTTTGACATTTTAATAGTATTTTCACTTAGACGAGAATTAAAAAATATAAAAAAGATCACAGTGAATAATGCTTGTAAGTCTTGGCCCCACGTGGAGCATCATGGGAACCTGCTGTTGGCACCTCCCATTTTATTACTCTTTGTGGGCATGCATGCATAAGGAAATCTGGGCATGCACAGAAAAGATATATCCTGGCTGAAGGGAGTTGGGAGGGTATTTTCTCCCTTGGGGATGCTGAATAAACTTTGTAAAGTGTGCCTGTGTTTTGACTGTAACATGTCACATGAGGTCAAGTGTGAAGTTTTTTACTTGTGGCCTCATGTCGGCGTTCAAAAGTTTTGATTTGTGGACCATTTGGGATTTTGAATTTTTGAATTAGGGATGTTCAACCTGTGTATACATGACACACACATATACATATATGTATATACATATGCATATATACTGGAAATGTAAATAAATAGAGCAATATTTATAGAAAATTAGGTTTTTGGTGATTTTTTCACTTGTGTGGTAGATTGAATTATTTGCTTTAACCCCTCTCTGAAATCATTTGCCATGTAACCTTTTAATTCCACCCATACACACACAAAAATACTCTTCCTTCATTACCCTTTGATGTTGAGTTCAATCATGTGACTTGCTTTAGCTAGTAAGATTTTAGAAGATAAGACACAATGTGTTTTTGTGAATTCAGCCTTACCCTCCAGCTCTTTGCCATCACCATGAGAATAATAATCCTGGCCAGCTATTGGCTCCAGAAGAAGAATGAGAAATGTATGGAGCCGACCCATCCCAGCAAAAATTACAGACATTTTAAAAACATATCTTTCAGAAAACCTTCTGGATTTTCTTTCTTTTTTTCTAGGCTGGAATAGATGCCTCTTTCATATCTTTGTAATTGTTATCTCCATAGCTTTATCACTGAGTTTACCACAATGTACTAAGATTGCTTTTTACTTTGTCATAATCTTTCACCAGACTGACTTCTATAGAGCTGGACATATCTCAAAAATTTTGGAAAAGATATCTGTGCCTTGATACCATAGTAGCCAAATAAGTATCAAATAAATTACTTAATTTACAGTACTAAGTCTAATATGCAAAGTGAAATTACATTCACATTGAAATGATTCAATAAGATCTTATAGTCAATTGACTGACTTGTCCCAGTTTTTACTTCCTTATAATAGTAACATATGTCTACACCTTTGTCATGTGTCAAGGTAGAGGAGGTATTTCAGCTCTTAATTTTGGACTTGGACGTACGCCTTGCAATGGCCTATGGACTATTAGCAAACATGACACAAGTAAAAGCCTGAAAATAATGTAGCAGTTGAGCCTACCCTCGGGCTTATTATTTTCATGTGCAAAACATGTCCTGGGTAGCCCATTAGTCCCATTCGTCCAAGAAAAACAAACCAAGAGAACTTGGATCTAACCTGTAATTTGGAGCCAAGCTCAGCCTAAATCAGCCAGCCTCTAGTAAGCACACACATTTATGAGGGAGAATCAATGGTAGTTATTTTTTGCCTCTCAGTTGCAGGGTGGTTTGTTACAAGAACGATTGTGGCAAGAACTGATACTTATCTATGAAGAGATTTTTTATTCATGTAACTAATGAATAAATCACAGTTTATTTTGTATCCAAAGAGAAATTTTCTAGTGCTTGCAAATTGTCATAATCAAAATGAATCCAGAATGCTTTATTCACAGAGTTAAATTAAATCACCATCACCATATTAACAGATGGATGGCCATAATTTTAATTAATTTTAACTGATAACATTACCTACTTCTTCCTCTAAATATTTATATACGTATACATTCACACATACACATACATACATGTATATATCTACATAATTATTAAACTAAGGTTTAGATATGTGGTCAATACTGCTGCATATGTATGTCCCATCTTCTCTTTTCTCCATTTTTCACATAGTTCCTCACAAGGCCATCTGGACTAAAGAAGAGGGTTTGTAGTTTCCCTTCAAGCTAAGTGAATTTGTGTACTGGACAACAGGATGTCAGAAGACATAATCTCTGCCACTTGTATGTAATACCTTAAAGGAAAGGAAAATGCTGCTTCTTCCTCTTTTACCCTTTTACTATTAGCTAGAATTTGGATAGGTGGTGGTAAGCCATTTAAGAATCGAGATGAGCAAAACACTAGGTAAAAGAAGGCTGACTGATTACTTTGTATAGCACAGCTACCATATTACCTTGGGCCTTTAACTCGTGAGAATAAATGTCTGCCTTGTTTAAGCCATTGCTAATACTGTATATAAAATGTATGTAATAAAAATGCAAGGTATATATCCTGTTCATTTGAATTACTCTAATTAGGTGGCCTAATTTTTTAATTAAATATTTTTAGAAATTATAAAATTAACGTGTGTTAATGCACTTGTTCATTGAGTAAAAAATATAAATTTTACTGTCTGAATTCTCCTCTCTAGGAATTGTCATGAATTTGGTACTATTATTGCCTTGCCAGACTAGGCTAGTTGTCTTTACCCTACTCCCAACTGTGTAAGGCATTATATGTCAAATATTTGTCACCAAAGCCAGTGGTGGCAAGCAATTCAAAGGTTTTTCACTCTCAGGCATAGGCTAACTGAGTTTGGAGACCACAAATGAGAAGAAGGGAGAGGAGGAGAGGAAAGGAGAGAATAGGGGAGGGGAGAAGACGGAAGAAATGTATGATAGAATACTATCTGCTGCATTTTTGAGGGCTGATGGTGAACTAATATTGTGTGTCTTTTCCTAGTAGGAGTGGGCATTGGAGATTGAAGCTGAGATCAATGGCAGACAGGGCAGCATGGCTTGCACATGATTTATCTGTTCGGCATAGCAGAAGTGATTGAAACAGGGATGGGTACTTGACAATTGTTTTTGCTTGTTTTTTTCTGGTAGTGACTTATTTCACTCAGCTCTTTCTCATATGTGGATATAATTCTACTTCAAATTTTGAAGTTGCACTAAAATTGGTTACATTTAAGGAGGGTTGTAGAGGCTGGGCCACATAGCCTAAATATATGATCAAACCTTATTCCAGATGCTTTTGTGAGAGTGTTTCTGCATAATAGCAACGTTTAAATCTGTGGATTTTGAGTAAAGCAGATTGCCCTTTGTAATGTACATGGGCCTTATTCAATCAGTTGAAGGCCTGAACAGAATGTTGATCTACAACACACACACACCACGCACACACTCTCACACACACACAAACATATACATATCTTATTGGTTCTCCTTCTCTGGAGAACCTTGATATATAGGGGGCATACCAAAGTTACTAAATATGAAATATGTTCATATGCATTTTCTAGAAGAAACTTATATTCTACATAAAAGTAAAGTGATGATTGTGATGAAAATGATAATTGCTACTAGATACTTAGATTATAATTCACTTTAAGAATTCACAGTGTTATATTGTCATTAACTTAGTACCTTCCATCTATCCTGGCTCTTATGTGTTATTTATTAATTTATCACACAAAGCTATTGTGTATAGTGAACTAGTTGAACCATAAATAAAACAGTTTACCATAACAAGTAAACAGGAATGTTTACCCAGTAAGTTTTACCTTCAGTTTTGTCTGCAACCAGTGGAAAATGCTGTCTTGTATTAATGAATAGATTCAGTGAGGCTAGCCAAAGCACCTGCCAAAACACCTTTAAAATGTTTCTTTTAAGGAAGTTAAAAAAATTCGTGTTCAAAATGTTAACTCAAAGTATTCAGGGAACAAGCACATACCTTGTGTTAACCAGTATTTATATGAAGTGGGAGTTCAAATTACTGAGGCTTAATTTTGTGAAGGTAGCTGGAACATATAAATAACTTTGGGGTAAGGTGTTTGGATAAGGCACTACTCAAGTAAAGACCTTCTTTCTTTCTTTCCTTTTTTTTTTTTTTTTTTTTTTTACTTAATGAAGTATCTTTCTAAGTTTCCTTTTAGAAAGATGCTTTCTAAAAGGGTGTGGATGCTTTTCTAATATACCATGGATAACAGGAAATGACAACAATAATGATAGCAGATACTTATAAATGTGTGGGTCAAAAATGAATATTCTTCGAGTTTTAGGTGGAAGCTTACTCAAGATGAGATACTCCATGAAAATCTTTTCCCAAATATTTGGGTCTTCCATATTGATACCCATCCTTACCACCTGTCTCACAGGGAAAGATGACTTAGGTAAATACCTTTCTTATGCTTTAAATTCCATCCACTCCCATTTCATCAAGGATATTGTTTCACAGATTACCATTATTTTTTCTTGGCTTCATTTTCTCGCTCTTTGCTGTCTCCTTCTCTTCAAAAAATAAATGCATGTATTCAATTTCTCCTGTATTGAAAATATCTCCCTTAGTTCTGTGTACCCCAGCTACACTCATGTCTTCACCTCCCAACCACCCTTTTTGTCAGGGCTGTACAGGTTTGCTCTCTCCAAGAATTTATTTAGTCATCCAGAAATATTTCTAAGCCAAGCCTTAGGGATTGGTCTTTGTATACATTATAAAATTTAATTCTTAAGTGTCTGACAAAATACATGTAGATATTTCCTATTCCTAATTTATAGATGTGAAAACTGAGACTGAGAGAGGCTGAAGGATATGCTGAAGGCAACTGGAATCCAAAGCCTGCCCACTAGAATGTGGATATTGTCATCCTCGCCTAAAATGTTCAACTGGTGCTCATTGATTGGGTGCCTACTGTGTTACTATGTATCAGGCACTATCAAGCTTTCTGCCCATTTTTTTTAAGTCTTTATGACATTCCCTGTGAAACGGGTACTCTCATTAGTCAACTCTGTAATTCTCTCAAATTCAAAATGAAATGGTTTTTTTAAAGTTGTGAATAAAGTGAACACTTCTTTTTTCTTTTTATTTATTCCCCATATTATTTGTTATTTCTGAGCACTCTTTTTGGAGGAAGATGTCTTCGTGGCTTATATATATTTGTAACAGAAAAATTTGAAAAATACTTACATAAAGAAGAATGTAAAAATCAACAATCATCCTACTATTCAGATGATTACCATTACCATTTTACTGTATATATTTTCAATTTGTTTCTGGTACACATTCACACACACAGAATACACACACATACACACACATATTTGGAAAAGTAATATCTTTTTTCCTCACCCATTGCCAGGTACATGGTTGAGACCTTTAGGCATATTAACAAGAGAAAAGCATATACATTTATTTAATGTAAGTTTTACATGACATTAAAATCACATTCATGCCTTTTGGAATGAAGACCCAAATAAACAAGAAAAATCTGTGTATTTTATGGTCAGTCATGGGGAACTATGATTGGAGGACAAAAGGGTATAATCTAGTAAAAAACTGGGGGAAACAGCAAGACATGTTTGTTCAGATTCTTCTTGGCATCTCTGTGCCTTCAGACATTAAGAACATTTCTTTCCTCCAAGTACAGGGAGGATCCTTTTGGAATGAGGGCCTTATTACTCACTTTGGAGGAAGATCAGGTAGGTTTTGCAGTCTGTTGCAGAGGAGCAGATTGGGGGAAGGGGTGCAAGTGCCTCTCTTGCTTCTGCTGTTCCCTCAAATACCAAGGTGCTATATGAGGTAGCATATTCTAAATTCCATCATAAATATGTGGTAGTTTCACAGAATGGCTCTCCTGTTAGGTATTTAACCAGGAGCTCTATTATTGGATTTTTAGTTTGTTTTTGAAATTTTATTTGGCTATTTTAAAAAATGCTGTGGTTTTCCTGAGGATAATTTGCCAAAAGTATAATTGTAAGTCAAAAGTTACTCATATTTTCATTTGCTTTTTATCATAGTTATTTTTAACGTTTATTTTAGGTTCATGGGTACATGTGCAGGTTTGTTATATAGGTAAATTGTGTGTCACAGGGGTTTGGTATATGGATTGTTTTATCACACAGGTAATAAGAATAGTACCTCAAAGGTAGTTTTTTGATCCTCTCCTCCTACCCTCCACTCTCAAGTAGGCCCCAATGTCTGTTCTTCCCTTCTTTGTGCTCAATGTTTAGCTCCCACCTATAAATGGGAACATATGATATCTCATTTTCTGTTCTTGGATTAGTTAACTTAGGATAATGGCCTCCAAGTTCATCCATGTTGCTGCAAAGGAAACGATCTCATTCCTTTTTATGTCTGCATAATATTCCATGGAGTATATGTACCACATTTTCTTTATCCGGTCTAGCACTGATGGACATTTAGGTTAATTCCGTGTCTTTGCTATTATGAATAGTGCTGTGATGGACATATGCATGCATGTGTCTTTATGACAAGTTGATTATATCCCTTTGGGTATGTACTCAGTAATGGGATTGCTGGGTTGAATGGTAATTCTGTTTTGAGTTCTTCGAGAAATCACCACAGGCTTTCCAGAATGGCTGAATTAATTTACATTCCTAACAGCAGTGTATAAGAGTAAATGCCATAAAATGTCAACAGTAGATGAATTTGTGTCCTGCAGATTTAATGGAACAACATAGTGTTCTTTGTTCCATTCTCACGCTTGCTTATTTTTGAAAATAAAGTTTTCAGAAATTTAAGCTATAAAAAAAAAAAAAAAGAGTTCCCTTTTCTCCACAACCTTGGCAGCATCTGTTATTTTTTGACTTTTTAGTAATAGTCATTCTTACTGGTGTAAAATGATACTTCCTTGTGGTTTTGATTTCCATTTTTCTAATGATTCATGATGTTAAGCATTTTTTCATATGCTTGTTGGCCAGGCATATGTCTTTTTTTGAAAAGTGTCTGTTCATGTCATTGCTCACTTTTTAATGAGGTTGTTTGCTTTTTGCCTGTTAATTTGTTTAAGTTTCTTAAAGATTCTGGATATTAAACCTTTGTCACATGCATAGTTTGCAAATATTTCCTCTCATTCTCACAGAGTAGACTGTTTACTCTGTTGATAGTTTATTTTACTGTGCAGAAGCTCTCTAGATTAATTCAGTCCCATTTGTCAATTTTTGTTTTTGTTGAAATTGCTTTTGGCATCTTTATCATGAAATCCTTGCTAGGGCCTGTGTCCAGAATGGTATTTCCTAGATTACCTTCCAGGGTTTTTTTCAGTTTTAGAATTTTTTTTTTTTTTTTAAGACGAAGTTTTGCTCTTGTTGCCCAGGCTGGAGTGCAATGGTGCGATCTCGGCTCACTGCAACATCTGCCTCCTGGGTTCAAGCGATTCTTCTGCCTCAGCCTCCTGAGTACCTGGGATTACAGGTGCCCACCACCATGCCCGGCTAATTTTTTTTATATTTTTAGTAGAGATGAGGTTTCTCCTTGTTGGCCAGGCTGGTCTCAAATTCCTGACCTCAGGTGATCCGCCTGCCTTGGCCTCCCAAAATGCTGGGATTGCAGGCATGAGTCTCCATGACCAGCCTAGTTTTAGGTTTTACATTTAAGTCTTTAATCCATATGGAGGGGTTTTTTTTGTACATGGTGTAATAAACGGGTCCAGTTTCAACCTTCTGCATATGGCTAGCCAGTTATCCTAGCATCATTTATTGAATAGGGGGTCCTTTTCTAATTTCTTGTTTTTGTCAACTTTGTTGAAGATCAGGTGGTTGTACGTGCGTGACATTATTTGTGGGCTCTCTATTCTGTTCCATTGGTCTATGGGTCTGATTTTGTACCAGTACCATGGTGTTTTGGTTACTGTAGCCTTGTAGTATAGTTCAAAGCTGGGTGACATGATGCCTCCAGCTTTGTTCTTTTTGCTTATGATTGCCTTGACTATTTAGGCTCTTTTTTGGTTTCATGTACATTTTTAAATACTTTTTTTCTAATTCTGTGCAGAATGTCATTGGTAGTTTGATAGGAATAGCATTGATTCTGTAGATTGCTTTGTGAAGTATGGCCATTTAAGCAATATTGATTCTTCATATCTATGAGCATGGAATGTTTTTTCATTTGTTTGGGTTATTTCTGATTTATTTGGGCAGTGGTTTGTAATTATCCTTGTAGATATCTTTCACCTCCCTGGTTGGCTGTATTATTAGGTATTTTATTCTTTTTGTGGCTATTGTGAGGGGATCGTGTTCTTGATTTGGCTTTCAGTTTGGATGTTGTTGGTGTGTAGGAATGTTACTGACTTTTGTACATTAATTTTATATCTTCAAACTTTGTTGAAGTTGTTTATCATATCTAGGAGCTTTTGGACAGAGACTATAATATAGAATCTTACCAAATTCTCATAGAATTGTATGATCTGCAGAGATAGTTTGACTTATTCTCCTCCTGTTTGGATTCCTCTTATTTTTTTTTTCTTTTGGCTGATTGTCTGGCTAGGACTTCCAGAATTAGGTTGAATAGGAGTGGTGGGGGTGGACATCCTTGCCTTGTTCCAGGTCTCAAGGGGAATGCTTCTAGCTTTTACCCATTCAGTATGGTTGTGGGTTTGTCAGAGATGACTCTTATTACTTTGAGGTATGTTCCTTCAGTGCTTAGTTTGTTGAGGGTTTTTAACATGAAGGGATGTTGAATTTTATTGAAAGCCTTTTCTGCATCTAATGAGATGATTATGTGGGGTTTTTTTTTAGTTCTATGTGATGAATCACATTTATTGATTTACTTATGTTGAACTAACCTTGCATCCCAGAGATAAAACCTATTTGATCATGGTGGATTAGCTTTTTGATTTGCTGCTGGATTTGGCTTGCTAGTATTTTGTTGAGGATTTTTGCAGTTGTGTTCATCAAGGGTATTAGCCTGAAGTTTTACTTTTTGTTGTGTCTGCACCAGGTTTTGGTATTACAATGACGCTGGCCTCATAGAACAAGTTAGGGAGAAGCCCTTTCTCTTCAATTTTTTGAAATAGTTTCAGTAGGAGTAGAACCACTTTTCTTTATACATCTGGTAGAATTCCACTGTAAAGTTACACATATTTTTAAAGCCTGGAGTACATATTGTCAAATTTCTCACAAACAAATTTCTGGCCCCTACTTGATTTGCTTAAATCACTCTTTCCTGGTTACGTATCTACTTCCTCAAACATTATCTGTCAATATCCTTTACTCATAGATTCTTTCTGTATGCACACCTTAAAATGTTTTCCCGGGATCTGATTGTACTCTTCTCACTATACATATTTTCACCAGGATATATCAAGTAGGCATATGATTTCCACTTCTAGAATCCTATAACAATTTTCTTACCATTTTTCAACATTCACCCATAGTTTTATCTCTACTTTTCAGGGCTCCACCCTTAACTCAATTCCAAAGTCAATGTCATTTGCTCTACAATTTTAATACTGCAAACTCAAATTATCAGTACCTATGTCTGTATCAATTATTTATTGCTGCCTAACAAACCACATAGAATCTTGGCAGCTGAAAATATCAAATAGTTCTGTGGATCATCAATTAAGCTAGGCATAGTTTGGATCCTTATATTCAAAGGCTGCAGTCAACTGAAAGTTCAGCTGGCGATGAATGGTCTAAGATGACTTATTAGTTTTCTTTTTTTTTAATTCTATTGTCATTTATTTTACTAGTTTTTAAAGTTACTTTAAACTAGGGATCACAAAGAACATCTCACCACTCTATTTCCAACCTTAATTATAAGAGTGTACACAAATTTTACTCTGACATAACTCCATTTCCTTCCCCTCTTCAATGCTGTTATTGTCATCAAGATTACATCTTTATACATAGTATACCCATCAACACAGATTTGTAATTACAGCTTCATGCAATAGTCTTTAAAATTAGATAGTATAAAAAGTTGCAAATAAAAATATAATTACATTGTTTTTATATTTATCCATGTAGTTACCTTTACCAGTGTTATTTATTTCTTTTTTGGGGGGTGGGGGCAGCTTTCCTTTTTTAGTCAGGAAACAACAGGTGCTGGAGAGGATGTGGAGAAATAGGAACACTTTTACACTGTTGGTGGGACTGTACACTAGTTCAACCATTGTGGAAGTCAGTGTGATGATTCCTCAGGGATCTAGAACTAGAAATACCATTTGACCCAGCCATGCCATTACTGGGTATATACCCAAAGGACTATAAATCATGCTGCTATAAAGACACATGCACACGTATGTTTATTGCGGCACTATTCACAATAGCAAAGACTTGGAACCAACCCAAATGTCCAACATAGACTGGATTAAGAAAATGTGGCACATATACACCATGGAATACTATGCAGCCATAAAAAATGATGAGTTCGTGTCCTTTGTAGGGACATGGATGAAATTGGAAATCATCATTCTCAGTAAACTATCGCAAGAACAAAAAACCAAACACCGCATATTCTCACTCATAGGTGGGAATTGAACAATGAGAACACATGGACACAGGAAGGGGAACATCACACTCTGGGGACTGTTGTGGGGTGGAGGGAGGGGGGAGGGATAGCTTTAGGAGATATACCTAATGCTAAATGACGAGTTAATGGGTGCAGCACACCAGCATGGCACATGTATACATATGTAACTAACCTGCACGTTGTGCACATGTACCCTAAAACTTAAAGTATAATAATAAAATAAAATAAAGACATTAGTTTTCTATTGCTACTAGAACAAGTTATCACAAATTTAGTAGCTTAAAACAATACAAATTTATTATTTCACAATTCTATAGGTCAGATGTCAAGAATGGCTCAGCTGGTTTCTCTGCTCTGGATTTCACAAGGCCAGAATCAACGTATTGGCTGGCTGGGCAGTTAGGGGAAACTCTAGGAAGAAACCACCCCCAAGCTTATTCAGGTTGTCAGCAGAATCTAGTTCCTTACAGTTGTAGAACTGATGTCTTTATTCCTATACTTGCTGTCAGCTGGTGGTTATCCTTAACTCCTAGGGGAATGTTTCTTCCCCAGTTATTGCATGTGGACACCTACAGCACAGAGCCAGCTTCAGTGTATTGAATCCTTCTCATGTTTGGAATCTTTCTGAGTTCCCCTACTCCAGTATATAATGATTAACATGCAAATCACTCTGACTCATTCTTCTACCTTTAAATGAAACTTCAACTAGTTATATAAAAGAAAACACATTAACATCAGGACTCAAAGTAGAAATTGAGGCTTCTACTTTGCTGGCTGGTTATCCTAATTCCTTGTTTTTATATGAAGGGGTGTTTATATTAAGGTGCTGTAATATGTTTTTTTCTGTCAAATTATTTTTGTTTTAAGGTACCAAAACCTATGTAAACTATGCCAACTGAAGAAGAGTTGTTTATTACAAAGCCACAGATGTCTCAGTGTTCCAAAGAATGGGAATAAGTAATGTTGGTTCTCATGAGGACTGGATTTGGGATATCAAGAACTGAAACCACTCTCTGTGATTCCTAGGAGCCCTGTGGACTCTAAAATCTTTTTTCTAGTTTTCTAACTTCTGCTTAGCAACCCCGTTTTTCTCTCTGTCCCACCATCTTCTTATTCATTTATATGATATTCATTGGAACCACCAGTAACAACTCTAAGTTATTACTGCTCAGCATGTATTCCTGTTAGTAATTGATTAAAATTTCTTTGTCTCAGCTCAATTCTTGAAAGACTCAGATTTACCACTGGCCTGCCATGGTAAATCTGGCTTTGGGCCAGAGAATTTTCCATAGTTGGACAAAAGGAGGTGGTTGACAAGGTCATAAAGCCTGTCCTTTTAGGACCTGTGGTTATAGCAGATTTTAGAAATGAATGTTTAGGAGAAGAAATTATAGATATGTCTAGTATACTTGTTAAAAATAAAAGGAAAGGAGAGTTTTAAGGAGAATTTACATAATATAAACTTTCAATTATATATTAATGATTAAAATGCTGTACTCTCTAGTCTTTGTACACATTTTGTAGTTATGTGTGTATACACACATATGTGTATATACACTTTTTTGTTACCTACATATAAAGAATAAAGATTTCCTAGATCTTAAATGTTCTCACCAAAAAAAGAGAAAATGATAACTATATGAGGTGATAAAAGTGTTAATTAACTTGACTGAGGTAATTATTTCACAATGTGTGTGCATATATATATATAAATATATATAGAGAGAGAGATAGGTAATGTCTAATACCTCAACTTGGTTGAGGTAATTATTTCGCAATATATATTATATATATACACGCACACACACACACATACACACACATTTAATACATATATATCAAAACATCAAGCTGTACCTCTCACATATATACCATAATTATTGGTCAATTAAATCTCAATAAAGCTGAAAAGAAGACAAATTATAAATGACTACATCATATTAAATTATTTGGCTATATAACTAACTTAGCCATTCCTCTAATATTGCACATTTGGTCTGTTTTCAATGATACAGATATTGGTATGATGATCTCCTTTAGATCAATAAAATTTTTGTTTGTATTTTATATTTTACTTTTTTTGAAGGAGAGGTAGATTTCTCAAAGTATGTAGTAAGTAAGCACAGTATGATTTGTAAAGCTTTTGAATTTTGCCAAGTTATTCCAAATTTCTGGAAGGATTATATCATTTTACAACTTTGCTTCTGTTAATCATTTTTACTTGTGATCTAGTGATGAACAAATGAAAAATAATAGTCCTGAGAACATGAATCTTGTTGAAATTTAATTTTAACTCCAGGAAGAGAAATCTAGGTTCGTACTTTTATTTTAACTAGACTTTTGCTCTTTGAAATAGAGGCAGATCATGAAAAGTACTAGACATTTTTGTGAAAGATCTAATTAACCATGATCTATTAAACTAATTTTTTGTTGCATCATTTGTCTTTAGTCCATCACTTTAACATAGCCTAAACATAACTTGATGAGTCCTTTCAGACTGGTAACTCAGTAGATAGTCTCTTGGGCTTTTATAGCAGAAAACTATTTATGGCCTTCACACTTGTTATGCTAGTATAGTGCTGTGCTATCTAGGCTAAAATAATTACCTCATCAATGACTGGCAGCATACTCTCTGCATATTGATGCTTCATTATCTTAAAGTCTATGATTGGTGATCTTAGTGGGAACTCCTTAGAAGGAAAATCATTAGCATAAAGATTGAAGGCTTGGCTCTGAGGTCACAGAGACTTGGTTTCATATTACAGATTTGTTTCTGTTACACATTAGCCTGGATGACCTACAGTAAGTTATGCAACTTGTCTTTTTCCTCATCTGTAATACAGGGTAATGCTGGAACTCATTTCATGTTGTTGTTAAAAGAGTTAAATGGGTTATTGCATGTCAGCAACTGGATCCATAGTAAGCACTCAAATTTTAGTTAATATTATTGATTTGTAGAGCTAAGAGATGTTAGCCATTAATTATTTCTGCCCTATATCCTTTTTGTTATTTTTACTTTGTCTAAACCTTGATTCTTTGAAGCAAATCAAAAATCCATGTCTCTCCTCACCCTTATTTTCTCCATATGTGCTTTTAGATCTTACTGGATTATTAACTTTAATGATAACATTCCCACTACATGATCCGAAGTGTAAAGTGGAAGCCCATCCAATATTACAAAAACTGATTTTTTAAGATCTCATTATTAGTTATAATAAAAAATAAACAGGAAAAGTAATACTGAGTTTACTGTAACTATATTGCTTATTAAGTAGCACATCTGTGTCAATAGCAGTGAAGATATAGTATAAAATTCAGTAAAAACAAAGCCACTATGTATATGTTTACTCAATTAAAATCAATTAGTTGATTTCATAAGTCAATACTAAGAAAGGAAAATTAGCCCTTGACATCTGGGAGCTGACCCGGTACTATCAACCAGGCTTTGGTGTTTCTACGCACTGGCCCCACATTCACAGTTAAGTCTTAGTGTTCTGTTAAGCACAGAACAATTTTACAGAACACAAGCATCAGACAAGTCTACTCTGTGACCATTATGGAGTAAAACAAAAAGAGTTCCACTTTGTAATCATGTCTAAACACAAAACATGAACAACGTAGAAGCAAGTCAGCAAACACTTCCCTCTCCTAGCTATACGGCTGACTGTTGCTTCTTTAACAATTATAGCCATAGCCTCACTTTACTCTGCCTTTTCTATAGATTAGATTTTTTGAGATACCCAACCATAAAATTGTCCCTGCCCTCTGTCAGAACCCAGTCCAGGGCATTCCTGCTTGACCCTCCTCCAAATCCCCTAAGCAAAGTCTTT
Organism: Homo sapiens; assembly: GCF_000001405.40. Classification (NCBI taxonomy): domain Eukaryota; kingdom Metazoa; phylum Chordata; class Mammalia; order Primates; family Hominidae; genus Homo; species Homo sapiens. Next base: position 103,489,010 of record NC_000001.11, on the reverse strand, counting down.
AGTAACAACCCCTTCAAAGTTCCATAATTCTCCATATTATCCCTTCTTTCTCACTGCAAAAAGTAATAACCCTAACTTGTTCAACTATAATTGTGTTTCTGGTGGTCTTTGGCTGAAGACCATTGATCACACATAAGAGTTATCGACCTACTCAGATTGTCTTTACTTTTGTTCAACATCAATTATTATCCATTTTACCAATAGTGAGGGTACTTTTAAAATGTCATCGCTAGGCTGAGCGCGGTGGCTCACGCCTGTAATCCCAGCAGTTTGGAAGACCGAGGCAGGTGGATTACTAGGTCAAGATATCAAGACCATCCTGGCCAACATGGTGAAACCCCGTCTCTACTAAAAATACAAAAATTAGACAGGCATGGTGGCACACGCCTGTAGTCCCAGCTACCCGGGAGGCTAAGTCAGAAGAATTACTTGAACCTGGGAGGTGGAGGTTGCAGTGAGGGAAGATTGCGCCACCGCGCTCGAGCATGGGTGACAGAGTAAGACTCAGTCTCAGAAAAAACAAAAAAACGAAAGTCATAACTTGTCCTTTAAAATTAAGCTTTCAAAAATTATGTATAGTTTTTATAGCTTCAAAAACTTCAGCTCTGTGGTTTTTTTTGATTTAGTGATTGCTGTACATGTTACTTTCTATTAAATATCTTTCACATATTGTGTTTACCAAACAAATGCTTTTAGTTACTATTTAATTTACTTAAGATAAGTTCATTTAGGAGATCATTAGAGACACATTTTGAATTAGAATGCAACATTTAATAGCATGCTGAGACAGTTAATGGTTTGTGATTTCAGAGTACTATGTGTAAACTTTATAATGCTGTATTTTTTAGCAGGACAAAATGAGATATAGTTATACTACTTTCCATATTGAACTACTGCCTAGAAGAATTGTTTAATCACCAGTTCCAAGGATGGTAATATTTAACAAGATAAACATTTAAGTAAATGGAGCTTTTTAGTACTTTGCTGTCAATTGCAAATTCACTTTAATAGAGAAACTTTCTCATGAATTCCTTTTTCGCTTTTTTATCTAGCTTAATTAAACTAGTTTTGGCATTTTTTTTCTAAATTGTTATATCAAAATGTCAGGGAGTGGAAAGAAATAATACTACTATTGTACATGTTATAAATAAAATGCTTAATCTACCAAATATCAATTCATGTTTATCTTCTAATTTGTCATAAAGTTTATATGTAACATCAATATGATATGACATTTTTATGTTTGGGTAATTAAAAGTCTAGGTAGACAATAATGTAACAATATGGTCAATGGAACTGTGAATATTTGATACAAAGTTAAATTTACGTGTCTATCAACTAGATCTTTTTAAATGACTATTATGGATCAACAATACCATGGGAAGCAAAAGAAATATGGAAATACTCTTTGTCTTTAAAATGCTTTTAATAAGACTTAGTTATTCTAAGTTAACTGGAATTTGAGTGTGGGAAAATAATTGAAAATAATAATCACAAACACTAATTGAGCACTTACTATTAATAAGGGATTATTTTTTCCTTTTTTTTTAATTATACTTTAAGTTTTAGGGTACATGTGCACAACGTGAAGGTTTGTTACATATGTATACATGTGCCATGTTGATGTGCTGCACCCATTAACTAATCATTTAGCATTAGGTATATCTCCTAATGCTATCCCTCCCCCCCTCCCCCCTCCCCCCACCCCACAACAGGCCTCAGTGATGTTCCCCTTCCTGTGTCCATGTGTTCTCATTGTTCAATTCCCACCTATGAGTGAGAACATGCGGTGTTTGGTTTTTTGTCCTTGCGATAGTTTGCTGAGAATAATGGTTTCCAATTTCATCCATGTCCCTACAAAGGACATGAACTCATCATTTTTTATGGATGCATAGTATTCCATGGTGTATATGTGCCACATTTTCTTAATCCAGTCTATCATTGTTGGACATTTGGGTTAGTTCCAAGTCTTTGCTATTGTGAATAGTGCCGCAATAAACATACGTGTGCATGTGTCTTTATAGCAGCATGATTTATAATCCTTTGGGTATACACCCAGTAATGGGATGGCTGGGTCAAATGGTATTTCTAGTTCTAGATCCCTGAGGAATCGCCACACTGACTTCCACAATGGTTGAACTAGTTTACAGTCCCACCGACTGTGTAAAAGTGTTCCTACTTCTCCACATCCTCTCCAGCACCTGCTGTTTCCTGACTTTTTAATGATCGCCATTCTAACTGCTGTGAGATGGTATCTCATTGTGGTTTTGATTTGTATTTCTCTTATGGCCAGTGATGATGAGCATTTTTTCATGTGTCTTTTGGCTGCATAAATGTCTTCTTTTGAGAAGTGTCTGTTCATATCCTTTGCCCACTTTTTGATGGGGTTGTTAGTTTTTTTCTTGTAAATTTGTTTGAGTTCATTGTAGATTCTGGATATTAGCCCTTTGTCAGATGAGCAGATTGCAAAAATTTTCTCCCATTCTGTAGGTTTCCTGTTCACACTGATGGTAGTTGCTTTTGCTGTGCAGAAGCTCTTTAGTTTAATTAGATCCCATTTGTCAATTTTGGCTTTTATTGTCATTGCTTTTGGTGTTTTAGACATGAAGTCCTTGCCCATGCCTATGTCCTGAATGGTATTGCCTAGGTTTTCTTCTAGGGTTTTTAAGGTTTTAGGTCTAACATTTAAGTCTCTAATCCATCTTGAATTAATTTTTCTATAAGGTGTAAGGAAGGGATCCAGTTTCAGCTTTCTACATATGGCTAGCCAGGTTTCCCAGAACCATTTATTAAATAGGGAATCCTTTCCCCATTTCTTGTTTTTGTCAGGTTTGTCAAAGATCAGATAGTTGTAGATATGCGGCATAATTTCTGAGGGCTCTGTTCTGTTCCATTGGTCTATATCTCTTTTTGGTACCAGTACCATGCTGTTTTGGTTACTGTAGCCTTGTAGTATAGTTTGAAGTCAGGTAGCGTGATGCCTCCAGTTTTGTTCTTTTGGCTTAGGTTTGACGTGGTGATGCGGTCTCTTTTTTGGTTCCATATGAACTTTAAAGTAGTTTTTTCCAATTCTGTGAAGAAAGTCATTGGTAGCTTGATGGGGATGGCATTGAATCTATAAATTACCTTGGGCAGTATGGCCATTTTCATGATATTGATTCTTCCTACCCATGAGCATGGAATGTTTTTCCATTTGTTTGTATCCTCTTTTATTTCATTGAGCAGTGGTTTGTAGTTCTCCTTGAAGAGGTCCTTCACATCCCTTATACGTTGGATTCCTAGGTATTTTATTCTCATTGAAGCAATTGTGAATGGGAGTTCACTCATGATTTGGCTCTCTGTTTGTCTGTTATTGGTGTATAAGACTGCTTACGATTTTTGCACACTGATTTTGTATCCTGAGACTTTGCTGAAGTTGCCTATCAGCTTAAGGAGATTTTGGGCTGAGATGATGGGGTTTTCTAGATATACAATCATGTCATCTGCAAACAGGGACAATTTGACTTCCTCTTTTCCTAATTGAATACCCTTTATTTCCTTCTCCTGCCTGATTGCCCTGGCCAGAACTTCCAACACTATGTTGAATAGGAGAGAGGGCATCCCTATCTTGTGCCAGTTTTCAAAGGGAATGCTTCCAGTTTTTGCCCATTCAGTATGTTATTGGCTGTGGGTTTGTCATAGATAGCTTTTATTATTTTGAGATATGTCCCATCAATACCTAATTTATTGAGAGTTTTTAGCATGATGGGTTGTTGAATTTTGTCAAAGTCCTTTTCTGCATCCATTGAGATAATCATGTGGTTTTTGTCTTTGGTTCTGTTTATATGCTGGATTACGTTTATTGATTTCCATATGTTAAACCAGCCTTGCATCCCAGGGATGAAGCCCACTTGATCATGGTGGATAAGCTTTTTGATGTGCTGCTGGATTCGGTTTGCCAGAATTTTACTGAGGATTTTTGCATCGATCTTCAGCAGGACATTGGTCTAAAATTCTCTTTTTTTGTTGTGTCTCTGCCAGGCTTTGGTATCAGGATGATGCTGGCCTCATAAAATGAGTTAGGGAGGATTCCCTCTTTTTCTATTGATTGGAATAGTTTCAGAAGGAATGGTACCAGCTCCTCCTTGTACCTCTGGTAGAATTCAGCTGTGAATCCATCTGGTCCTGGACTTTTTTTTGATTGGTAAGCTATTAATTATTGCCTCAATTTCAGAGCCTGTTATTGGTCTGTTCAGATATACAACTTCTTCCATTTTAGTCTTGGGAGGGTGTATGTGTTGAGGAATTTATCCATTTCTTCTAGATTGTCTAGTTTATTTGCGTAGAGGTGTTTATAGTATTCTCTGATGGTGGTTCCTATTTCTGTGGGATCAGTGGAGATGTCCCGTTTATCATTTTTTATTGTTTCTATTTGATTCTTCCCTCTTTTCTTCTTTATTAGTCTTGCTAGCAGTCTATAAATTTTGTTGATCTTTTCAAAAAAACAGCTTCTGGATTCATTGATTTTTGAAGGGTTTTTTGTGTCTCTATTTCCTTCAGTTCTGCTCTGATCTTAGTTATTTCTTGCCTTCTGCTAGCTTTTGAATCTGTTTGCTCTTGTTTCTCTAGTTCTCTTAATTGTGATGTTAGGGTGCCAATTTTAGATCTTTCCTGCTTTCTCTTTTGGGCATTTAGTGCTATAAATTTCCCTCTACACACCGCTTTGAATGTGTCCCAGAGATTCTGGTATGTTGTGTCTTTGTTCTCGTTGGTTTCAAAGAACATCTTTATTTCTGCCTTCATTTCGTTATGTACCCAGTAGTCATTCAGGAGTAGGTTGTTCAGTTTCCATGTAGTTGAGCAGTTTTGAGTGAGTTTGTTAATCCTGAGTTCTAGTTTGATTGCACTGTGGTCTGAGAGACAGTTTGTTATAATTTCTGTTCTTTTACATTTGCTGAGGAGTGTTTTACTTCCAACTATGTGGTCAATTTTGGAATAGGTGTGGTGTGGTGCTGAAAAGAATGTATATTCTGTTGATTTGGGGTGGAGAGTTTTGTAGATGTCTATTAGGTCCGCTTGGCGTAGAGCTGAGTTCAATTCCTAGATTTCCTTGTTAACTTTCTGTCTCGTTGATCTGTCTAATGTTGACAGTGGTGTGTAAAAGTCTCCCATTATTATTTTGTGGGAGTCTAAGTCTCTTTGAAGGTCACTAAGGATTTCTTTATGAATGTGGGTGCTCCTGTATTGGGTGCATATATATTTAGGATACTTAGTTCTTCTTGTTGAATTAATCCCTTTACCATTATGTAATGGCCTTCTTTGTCTCTTTTGATCTTTGTTGGTTTAAAGTCTGTTTTATCAGAGACTAGGATTGCAACCTCTGCCTTTTTTTGTTTTCCATTTGCTTGGTAGATCTTCCTCCATCCTTTTATTTTGAGCCTATGTGTGTCACTGCTCGTGAGATGGGTTTCCTGAATACAGCACACTGATGGGTCTTGACTCTTTATCCAGTTTGCCAATCTGTGTCTTTTAATTGGAGCGTTTAGCCCATTTACATTTAAGGTTAATACTGTTATGTGTGAATTTGATCCTGTCGTTATGATGTTAGCTGGTTATTTTGCTCATTAGTTGATGCAGTTTCTTCCTATCCTCGATGGTCTTTTAAGTGCTTCATATGTATTAATTCATTTAATGATCACAAAAATCCTCTAAGGAAAAGTGACATAACTTCTAAGTGCCAGCCTAAACCACAGCCTCTTCTTCCTTCTCAGCTGACAGACATTCCTCATTTTCATTGAAGTTAAAAGTGGTCATGTGACTAAGTTCTAGCCAGTGGAATATGAAAGTGATCTGTGCTCCTTCCAGGTCTGGCTCATAAAACCCTTCTACAAGTGATCCTCTGTGCTCCTTTTTGTCTTATGGTTGACAGAAATGAAGATGTTCCCTAGAATGTCCTTGGAAGGCCTAGGTTAGAAATGAACCACCACTGTCTTCAGTCATTGAAACTGAATCTCTGTTATAAAGTCAAACCTAATTGTAACTGATATGGTTCTAACACAACATACATGAAAAGGTCTTTTAATTCTTAAAGCAATCTTAAAATTATATCTCATCATATTTTGCACCATATAATTTCACTGTTCATCTTCTTGGGTTTTCTTGCTACAGATATTTAGAATTATATATTTTTATATTTCTCACAACCTATAACAAAATACTGTCTAATAAATATATTAAGATGCATCGATAAATGCATGAACAGAGATTTACTGCATATATTCCCTCTAATTTCTTAAGTTCCTTGAAATACCTAAAATATTTTAAATATTAAAAGACTCTAATTTCTAAAATAATTGGGAAAGCTAAAATACTTGGAAGAGATAAATACCAGAGACAAAATAAAACATCAGTATAAAAAAAGTACTTAAAAATGTAATTATAGACCAAATTCTTGTAGAATGCTTGTCTCCTTGTGTTTAAGAACAGAGAATGACTTAGTTTGTTAAGAAAGATTGTTAAAGATTTAAATTTGACATTTCAGTTTTAATCAGGATGTTCCTTTTGTTCTTTAATCTCTAGCCTCTATTATCTGTAAATCGTGTAGCTACTTTGAAAAATTATACTGCCTTTGATTGCTTCTGCATGGTGTACTCAGAGTACAAATAGTATTAAAGTAGCAGCATATTCAGAAAACAAATAATATTAAAGGAGAACTTTAACAATTGGAGCAAACAATATAAATGTGAAGATTTTAAGAGGATACATATCTTAATGTTCATTCTTCAAAAAATTATTGCTTAGATGTAAAGATCCAATTGAATTCAAGTTCTAAACTTTGTGTAAGCCTTTTCAGCAGATTTTACAGGAAAGAGCAAAAGATTGATGACTAAATGATCCCAGTTTTTGAAATTTGCAATACAACCTTGAACCTCTAATGTAAGGCTTATTATTATTTCCTTACAGATACAGAAAGAACTGGGCATACTCTCACGGTATATTATATTTCTTCAAAACACAGAACAATTAAGTTCATTGATGGGTGTAGGATGTTAGAAGGAGGTCTGAATATAAATATGACGTACAAAAGGTCAACTTTTGATTAAATACAGCTCATAAGCTTTTATTTTGATTCTTTGCATATGAGTTAGTAGACAGTATGTCTCTTGATACCACAGTGACTGGATACTAGCTATCTCTATTCCATGAAGTTTGGGAATGCTAAATATGTTCCTGTTAAGTATGCAAAGCTATCAATAGTGAAGGTAGTGAAGGATGTGACAGATGTGTTTATATAATCAGATAAGCAATGTAGTAAATTAAGGTACCACATTTCATCAAATTGAAGATATTTATTTTTTCCAAATATTAATATATCTGAAGCTAATATGCATCTTACAACTATTGTCAACTAAGTCTCAGTTGTGACATAATAGTCGGTGCCTGTACACATCTAAACCTGGCATAGCAGTTTATATTTTACTCACCTCGTTAAGTTACATGTGTTGTTGGAACTAGACCTATTGTTACTATACACTTAATGGTGCACTTGAAACTGGAAAAATTGCCAAATCCACTGAAGTAGATAAAACAAATTTGAAAGCAAAAGGAGGCTGCTATGACCATATTAATGTATCACACAAGATAACTGTTAGCGTATTGAAACATCAATTTGTTAACAGTCTGTTGTCTTCAAACAGATCCTACTACAATTTTAACAAAATGTAATTGAATTGAGAAAAAATAAAAGTATGAGCTTACTAAAATAGAAAAAACACCTGCATCACAACTTTTAGATTGGGTGTCAGCAACTTGAAAGAAAATCTTGGAAGACTAGAATACAAGACTCTTTTAAGAAATGCTGCCTCACCAATTATTTTGATGGGACAGAGAACAATATTGTTTTGAAAACCAATAGAGTCCAACATTAACAAAGTTTTTAATAAATGAATTAAATGGTTTTACTAACATTTTTCTTATGTGATATACGTTAAAAACCTGTCTGAATACAAAATGATGTTTTCAATAAAATTATAAGCGAAAAGCCATTTATCACAATGTAATTGGGAGCATTTTGCTAATGTTGTATAATAAATGGTAATGGGACATCTTATCAATAGCTTCTTGGATTAGATAAAATATAACATTATAATTTCCATGAATGAACAGTACAGTATTTTTGAGATCTTTCTTAAAATCATAACTCTAAGGTTAAGGATATGTATTATTTATATGTTAAAATACCCATATATTGGCTGTTTCTCTGTCCATCTTATGTTACAAAAGAATTAGGCTATCTCTCATTGAATCTTTCTCACCCCTCTTATCTAATAGAGGGGAAGAGCTACTTCATTACCATAATCATGGCTTATAATGATTGAATACTTGCAATTATTGAGCACTGAGCCAAGTGCTCTACATGGACTACCTAATTTAATCCTGGTAAGGATCTGTATAATATATCATTCCATTATGCAAATTAGGAAACTGAGGCTGAGAGAAATTAAGCTCCAAGTCACATACTTAGTATGTAGTGAAGCTGTATTTTGAATTCAGGATATCTGGCTCCAGAATCTGTGCTCATCCCCACTGTACTGTACGGAGAGGCTGTATTGGGTAGTGATTAAAGAATAGGCTCTAAAGCCTGATTAGCTGGATTAAAATTCTACTCTGCCATTAAACTTTGTGTGACCTTAGAGAAGTGACAGAGACTTTCATTCTCACTTTTCTCTTCAACAAAATGGCAATAAAAATAGTAATAGTGTTTTTCTCATTAGAAAGATATAAAGATTACATAAAATAATATACATATCAAGCATTTAGAACAGTGTCTGGTGACTAGGGTTATCTACATCTTTGTCATCTCTTTGTGTTATGAGTGGCCAAAATAAAAGATTATTTGCCCTGAAGTAAACAACTTGGAGATTATAGAAAAATCAATCAGGAATTTAAAAAATTTTCTGCGGCCTACATTTATTTTTACCTGGACACCAAATAGGTTGGGGCTTTTTCAGTTGTTCTATTTAATTGAGCAGTTAGAATTAAAGATCATCATTTTCCTTGATGAGTTTTCCTATAACTACATTAACCCTACTCTTTAAATTGGTGTTCAATGGACCTATTCTCACTGAAGGCAGCAAAGTCACAAGTAAAGTCATTGTTATATTCCCTCCTTAGGGAGCTAGATACTGCTACTTTAAAGTTTGCTTTACATTGCTAACGAGTTTTTTTAAAAAAGGGAAGAATGCCAAGAAAGATTAAAAGGACTCTTTGAAAATCACAAGGACAAATTACACAGTTGTAGAGACTATTGCTGAAATGTCTTTAATGTTGGATTCTTGTTGTACCAATTATCTTGTTGAAATAAACTCTTCTTGATAGAAGTAAATTATTTGTCTTAGCTCTAAACATTACCTAGTATATCATAAATGAAAAATTACACAGTGACACAGATGTGGATTTTAAATCTGGTTCTGTTCATTATTAGTTGTATGATGCTGAACAAATTGTTTAACCTTTTTGTGTACTGTTTCTTAGTAAGCAATAGATTCATGTCTATTTTATAAGCAATTGTGATAATTAAATGAGTAGGTAATATAAAACATCTAGTACAGACACTCAAAAATAGTTGTTCATTCTACTCTTCTCTCACTTTCTTATGCCCATCCTCTGCCGCAGCCTTTTCCAAGAAGTAGGGCCACTGCTAGAATATATGGGACAGCAGGAAAATATTTTTTGGTGGGATTGAAATAAATAATTTGATTTAAAAATTTGCAAAATTCATGAGTCTCTATAAGGCATGATGATGATAATTTAGAGCAGTGAATAAAGAAGAAGCACATACATTTTTACAATTGCCAAGCAGTGCAAGAGGATTCTTCGTAGTGTTTAGACACTATCCTTTCTCATTTAGATTGAGGAACCATTTCTTTTCGTTCTTTATTGTCAAAGTGCAATTCTTGGATAATTTTATATCTCTCATTACAAGAAAAAGGCAGCAACACTTCTTACTGACAATGACATGGCTGTTTGGAATCTATTAATATTAAAACAATGCAGGTCTTTTCACCTCTGCAATTCTTATACCACTTATTTAATGCTGGTTAGTCATTTCTTATGGTTCCATGTCATCCATCATGCTGCTGTGAATACTGGCTTACAATGCCTTTCTCAAAGTATTTCACTGGTAATGATACTCATGCAAGTCTTAGAGCAAGCAGAAAATGTAATGATAGCTTATGTGATATAATTATAATTTCATAAATTGTCATTAATTTTCTGCTCTTAGTAAATTTACTACTAGGAATTGAATAGTATAAACTTAGAACAACTTATTTTCAGTGATGTCTTCTCTTGAACTCGTAGGCAATAATGACTGCACTCCTAAGAGATAATCTCTTTCAATACAGACTGCACCCCTGCCTACATATACTGCCAACAGTGGGGATAAAAGATAAGGGGCCTGTTGGCAGTGCAAGAAGAGTTGTCTCATTGGCTGTTCTTCAACAGGCAAGTCTTAAATGTACCCAGAAGAACATGACATTACTACACAGATTAAAGACAATAGAGAACATCAATTGGAAGAGACCATTAGCATCACAGAGCTATCATTTCAAAAGCCTTCTAATGGGCACCACTAGAAAATAACTTAACATGTAATGTGGAGTCTGCAGAACGGTGGGATGACCACTCTGTGTGCCATTGGCAGAGGTTCACAGAGTAAAGAATGTTAACTGCTACTCCCATCTCCCTTCTGTATTGTTGACTAAAGTTGATGCTGTGGTTAAAATATGTACAAAGGATAACCCATGCACAGAGCCATACATAGAGTTCAAGGCCAAGATTTGATGATAAACCAATGACAGCCAATAGCATTGATCTTGGCTTGTGTTCAACATGAGTGAGTCATCAAAAATTATCATATGAGTATGATTCTAGGGCCAATCTCACAATACACCATTACAGAAATACTACTTCGGCCAGCAGGAGTGAGCCATTTGCTAAACCATGTCCCAGGAACCAGGGCTCAAGCATAGTTAGTATAGCTGAAAATCTCAGACTACTCACACCATTTGGTCAAGACCACACACAGAATGGAGGTTTGGAGAACACTCAAAAGGGGAAAAACAGAGACTGTGGTCCACATGGGCCCTGGTCTGGACTTAGCATGCCTGGATGGCCCTGGATGGTTTCAAGAACCATAAGAGAACTTGGGAAATATTAAGGATGTTAGTCCAAAGTGTGGAAACTTTCAGGTGTGGGGCTTGCAGTAAGGGTTTTATTTGTCCTCTTCTAAGGGTGATTCTCTATAGGATTATAGTCTCTCTGAGATTCTTGAGTAACATAGCAAGGATCATTCTGTTGGTTACTTTGACTTCCAGAGTCTTATATAAATTTATTGACATAAGCCATTCCCCACAACATCATCAAAATAGTTAGAATATCTCAAGCCAAGTTGCAGTAAGTAAATGTTTTCAAAAGTTTAAAATCCTATCTGTATTCTAGCATCTTTCGCAGCCTTCCTTCAAGTTCAGCCTCTTTCCATTAACCATTATAGGGTTAATGTTATCAGGAGCTTCAAATGAGTGGGCCTACAAATGGATCCTTTGCCTTGTATTCACAGGTATTTTTCTTCAGAGATTTCATCAAGCAATCTTTTTTTTCTTCTAATAGATTTTTGGCATTTTGTGCCTTACATCTCATAATTGTTAACACAGATGCTTTCTTGGCTCTTGACAAACATCTTGGCACCAAGGATTCAGCTCTTCATGTTTGGCAAACATAACTATTACATATCAAGCCTTATTTCATTCATAATATGACACTGCTGACAACTCCAAAAGAAAAGAAAACTAACAAAGAGTTCACAAATTAGCTGGTAATACAGTATATTGAAGAGTAAAAATGCAACAATGAAAAGGAGAAATCAGCTGAAAATATTTTTAATTACTCACCTCTACTTTAATTAAGTTGCTTATACTACAGTTCATCAAATTCTGTCTCACTCTCCTCACCTTTGAACCCAACTCAACCATGTAAGCTAGTTTTTAAAAATTACTTTTTAAATTCCTGTCAGTTTTTCAGTGATTCCGTTTTGCACTTCTTTTTCTTAATGCTGTCTCTAGGGATTACAATATGCATCCTTAATCTGACATAGTCTGTTTCAAGTTAATATAATACTGTGCTGCTTCACATGAAGTGTAATAACCTTACAAGAGTAACATTCCATTTGCACTCCATTCTTTTGAGTATTGTCATCATATACTTTAAATCTATGTATGTAATAAACATCACAATAGAGTGTTCTTATTTCTACTTTAAAATGCTGTTTTGAAGCAAATATAATTTTTTTTCTTTTAATGTTTACCCACCAATTTAGCACTTCTGGTGCTTTTCATTTATTCTTGTATGGATTTCTACGTAGTGTCATTCCTCATAAACCTCAAAAACTCCCTTTATCATTCTTGTAGAATAGATCTGTTGGTGACTTATTTTCTCAGCTTTTGTTTATTTGAAAATGTTAACATTAAGCCTTCATTTACATGAGATATTATCACTTAATATAGACTTCTGAGTTCTTTTTTCTATTAGCACCTCAAAGATGTTTCATTGTCTTCCAGATTTTCTCCTAAAAAGTCAGCAATAATTCTTACTGTTCTTTCCCTGTATATTTGTTTGTAGGTGCTTTTGAAATATTTTTTCTTCTCTGTTTTTCAGAGGTTTGACTACAAGAGTTATACTGTGGATCTGTTTATATTTATTATTCTTTGGATTCCTTGGACTTCTTGAATATTAACTTGATTTTTACACCAAATTTGGGAAACTTTTTGATGATGGTTTTCTGAAATATGTTTTTTGCTGTATCTATCCTGTCCTCTAAAATTCCTAGTAAACTGCTTGATACTTGTTCACATGGCACAAAGGCCCTGGTTATTAATTTGTAATCTCTTTTCTCTATTCAATCTTCAGATTGAATAATTTATTTTGATATATATTTACCCCAGTAACTCTTCATTCTGTGATATCTTATTTGCTATTAAATCAAAACAGTATTTTTTTCATTTCAGATATAGTACTTTTCAGCTTTAGAATATCCATTTGTTTATTTTCTATTCCCATACTCCAACCTGCTCACTCACTAAGTCAGTTTTTCAGTTATTCCTCTTCATACTTCTTTTTCTTAATGCCTTCTCTAGGGATTACAATATGCATCCATAATCTCCAACCTGCTCACTCACTATGACCACGTATTTCATTAAATCTTTGAACAGAGCTCCTGTAAGCCCTTGTCTGCTAATTCCAACATCTGGGTTATCTTTGGGTTTGTTTTTATTGGCTGCTTTTTATATTCTTCATGTGGATTACCCTCCCTTGTTTCTTTCAGGCATAGTAATTTATAATTTTAGTAAACACTGTGAGTGGTTCAGTACATAACAGAAAGTCTAGATTAAGTGGTCTTCCTTTACAGGGTGTTGAAATATGTTATGGAAAACTGTTAAATCACTGGTGAATTTTATGTATGTTTCAGGCATGGTTTTATTTATTTATCTTTATGGTATAGTTCTTTCTGTAATGGGGCATCAGTACTCATGAGATGTAGCCTTGCAGAACTCAAGTAATTGACCAAAATTCTCAGTGAAGTGTCTCCACTGTACCTGGATTGTAACTCCAGTTTGTTGCAGCACTCTGGCATCACCATTCAGTTTTCAGACGTGTAGGAGGCAATCTCTGCTAGGCTATGCAGGGCCTCACATTTTGCTTCTACAATTTAGCTCCTGACCAAAAAACAGCAGGTAATCCTCATGAATTCTCATAAGCTTCCTATCTATTAGGCTGTCCCCTTTCTGGTAACCTGGCCCACAGTTCTAGCTGTTTCAGCGCCCAGAATTCTGAACTCTTCCTTCTCAACTACTGAATAAATGAGTTCCACTTTATTGTACAGTGTTCAGAATGGGTATTGCACAATTTATATTATAAAAAATTAAAGAAGAATTTTCAGGAAACTGAGGTTAAAACCCTCCAAAAGTCACTATTTCTTGTCCAGTTTCTAGTTCTGAGCAAGTGTTCATACATGGAACCCAATGAATGAAAACACTATAGCCATTATGTACAGTAAAGATTCTTCAGGGTTTTTTTTCCCCCAAGAGACCTACAGCTATTTATTAGGGTATCATTACACTGAAGAAAGGGGAATATTCAAACATTTTGAAGATGGTTTGATTCTTTGTCTGAACTGACATTGGTACCCAGGTATCCAAAGCATTATCTTGATTCTCTGTTAGAGTTGGGGTTTATGGTGGCCCATAAATAGAATCTTGGTCCAGGTCCATTTCACAGTGGATTAACTGATTTGATGGACCCACTGAGTGGTCATTTCTCTAGTTGCTGACATAAATTTTAAATGGAGACACTTAATAGTTGTTAGAGCTCTATCTTGATTCCTAGCGTATAGATAAAAGCGAAAATACTAGGGGAGATCAAGTGCAAGTCTTACTGCTTTCCAGAACTATTTTCCAAGTCCTTAGAGAATGTTTAATCACCAAGAAAGGATTCTGCATATTGCTGTATCAAAATGTGGAAGACTATTCACAGCAAAATAGGTATGGTGGTAGTAGACACCTGCATATAGGATCTACACAATGCTTCATCCAAAAGTTTCCAGTCTAATAAAAGTGATGCAACAGAATTTTGAAGCTGGGGCTCCAGGTTGGAGATAAATTCTGCCAGGATGGATAGCCATTTTCCAGAACACAGTATAAATAAATGCTAAATGAATTATAGTAGTTGATACTTTGTTATCTATGGCTACAATGTCTATTCTTAAAATATGAGTGAAAAAATGTGATGAGAGAAATAATGAGTAAAAGTAGGAGTGGCTTGATTTATCATCACTCTCAGCTACGCACTTGAACTTGTACATTCTATTCTCACAGCTTTGGCTCTTTGGCTTTAGACATTCCAGTTGACAGAGTGCGAATTCTTCCATCAGAGGTCAAAATAAAAGACTCGATAAACTCTATTATGGTACTACACAATGACTTCTGGTTCCCTGTACCAAGAAACTTGCAGGAAAAAAAAAAAAAGTGTAACCATTGTCTGTAGTGATAGGGCTAAAGCTTTTCCGTTAGTACTTCTCTTTTACTTTCCTTAAAAAAAATGATCACCTAGAATATTAGAGGAGATATTACCAGATAGGGTAAACTTATTATACATATAGAGTGGATTTGAGGGGATTTAAGTGGACTGTAGTAAATAATGCTGTATTAGACTGCCTAGATTCCCCCTTCAGTACCAAGATTCTTAGTACAGAGATGCCAGCAGTGTTAGTTTCTGATAGCTCAGTCTTTCTCTCCAAATCTCCCTTAGAACAAGGAATCTGCCTTACTATCTCTGCACGGGCAGCCTTCATCCAATGACTGATTTGTGTCCAGCAAGAAAGTCACTGCCCCGACTGGTGCAGTGGCTCATGCCTATAATCCCAACACTTTGGGAGGCTGACACGGATGGATGGATTGAACACAGGAGTTCGAGACCAGCCTGGGCAACATGGCAAAGCACGTCTCCACAAATAATTTTAAAAATTAGCCAGGCATTGTGGCATGTGCCTAGGGTCTCAGCTACTTGGGGGACTTTGTCAGGAGGATAACTTGAGCCCAGGGAGTTGAGGCTGCAGTGAGCTGTATTCAAACCACTGCATTCAAGCCTGGGCTACAGAGAGAGACCCTGTCTAAACAAACAAACAAAAAAGTTACAGCTCCCTTTGCCTACATTCCGTACAACTTAGAAGTGACATTCTTGTTTCAGAGCTTTTTGGGTGATGGACTGAAGCCTTTTGTTACTTTATAATAATTCAACTTCTTCCACTGCCCAACATTATTTAGCCATTCACAGGTGTGGTTACACAGTGAACTCTCCTAATAATCTTTCTAGATGTTAATTCCTCTTTCAGTCTTGTTTTTTGGGGAATCTAGCCTAACATTTGTTGATTGTATTACTATTTAGTGTTTTAAAGTTATAAAAAGAGAAGTAGGAATGTAGCAACTCAATTACTTCATGAAAAGCACTTTTGTTTTTCATCCTTGCCAATATAGTTAGATTAATATTTTTCAGTCTGGTATGTGGTATCTCAATTTTGCTTTTATTTGCATTTCTCTGATTGCTTGTAATTTCAAGCATAATTTTACATTTTTTTTTCTTTTTTAGTTTACCTATTGATGTGTTTTTTGAGATCTTTGCCCACATAGTGGATTTTTTTTTTTGCAAAAAATATGTTTACACCAATACTCTTCAACTTACAATGTGATTACATACTGATGAGCCCATTGTAAATTTAAAATATCATGTTAAAAATATTAACTTACCAAACATTATTGCTTAGCACAGCCTACCTTAAACGTGCTAGGAACACTTAGCCTACAGTTGAGCAAAATCATTGAACGCAAAGCTAATTTTATAATAAGGTGTTGAATATCTCCTGTAATTTTTGAATACTATACTGAAATTGAAAAGTATAACAGTTGTATGGGTATTTCAAATAGTTTCTGTTGAATGAGTATCACTTTCACACCACCATAAAGTTGAAATGTAAGTAGAACCATCACTAGTTGGGGGAACATCTGTGGTTGCTACATATTCTGCAAATAAACACTTCATCAAATTTATGCAACAAGTGTATTTTTCTACGTATGGCTTGACTTTTCACCGTCTTTATGTTGACTATTTGTAAATAAAAGCTTTTTTATTCTTTTAGTGTGTTTGAATTAATCAACAATTTCTATATATTTTGTGATTTTTTTTTTGAGACTGAATCTCACTCTGTAGCTCAAGCTGGAGTGCAATGGCGTGATCTCGGCTCACTGCAACCTCCACCTCCAGGGTTCAAGCGATTCTTGTGCCTCAGACTCCCGAGTAGCTGGTACTACAGGTGCACTCCACCAGACCTTTTCTGGTATATATATATTACCTTAAGGCTTTTTTTTTGTAGTTACTGTAGCAATATGCGTATTACTTTAGTTAATATTTGTCTGATTTTTTTTCCATATTAGCTTTCAGTCTTTCAGTGTTTCTTGCTTATTTTGGTCATATTCAGTATAATTAATAAACTAGGTATTTCAGCTCTACTTTCTCATTTTTTTCTAACATTGGTGATATGGTTTGGCTGTGTCCCCACCCAAATCTCATCTTAAACTGTAATCCCGTCAATCCCCATGTGTCAAGGGAAGGACCTGGTATGAAGTGATTGAATCATGGGGGCGGTCTTCTCCATGCTGTTCAAGTGATAATGAGTGAGTTCTCACGAGATCTGATGGTTTTGTAAATGGCAGTTTCCCCTGGGCTTTCCTCTTTCTTTCCTGCTGCCTTGTGAAGAAGGTCCTTGTTTCCCCTTTGCCTTCTGCCATGTTTATAAGTTTCCTGAGCCCTCTCCAGCCATGTGGAACTGTGAGTCAATTAAACCTCTTTCCTTTACAAATTATCCAGTCTCGGGTATGTCTTTATAACAGTGTGAAAATGGGCTAATGCAATGGGAAAGAAAGAGAGAAAGATACAAAGGAAAGAAAGAAGAGAGAAAGAGAGAAGGAAGGAAATAAGGAAAGACAAAAGAAAAGAAAAGAAAAAAGAAAGGAAAAGAAAAGAAAGAGTCAAAGGAAGGAAGGAAGGAAAAAAGGAAGAGAGGGAGAAAGGAAAGAAGAAAGGAAGAGAAAAAGAAAGAAGGAATAAATTTCTAGAGGTAAAACAGAACTTTTGTGACAATTAAATGGAAATGTTTTCAAGACTATTACCTAACAGATAAACATGAGGTGATATCATTAATGCATCAATGACTTTTAATTCAGGGTGTCCCACCCTAACTTAGGCTAAAAATAGAAGACAGTACTTATGGAAAACAGTACTCTTGGAAGTCAGTATCTCCCTGGCCAAGGATCAATTGTATCACATGAAGTTATTGATGAAATTTCTGCAGTATAAACACACTCAAAACAATCAGGTTGTGAAAATTCATGGGATTAATTTAATATCAAAGCTCTAATTTTACTAGATGTTGTAGAACTTTGTTGCATTAAAAGTAATAGCAAAAACCACAATCACTTTTGCACTGACCTAATAGTTTCCCATCTCAGAAATGGCTTGTAAAAACAGTACACCCTGCATAAGCAAGTACTATTTTCTTCTGAGCCTGGATAAAGTTAGAATTTCTGTCCCATGTTTTATAATCTACAGCACATGAAATAGAAGGCCCACAGAGATTTGAGACCATTACCAGAGTGATAGGAAAGTAATGCTTAATTTATCTCTAGTCTCATACAACTACTTTCCTACAGCCGCACCTGACTTCCCCTTTACATGTCTATGTCATTAACTTTGTCCTACAGGATAAGAAGACTTCCCCCAATAAGTACCTGGATGTGCAAAGACAGATGTAGAAAGGAAATGACATATTCCCAGGAGCACAATAACTGACACTAACTGTGGCCAAATTCAACAAATGAGAGATACAGATTTATAGTTATGTATTTTTATGATGGTACTCTTCTAGCCATTTTTGGAATTTTGTCATTGAATTAATAGTTCGATTCTACAATATTCCAGAACAGATCATCAACATTATAGATGTCAACATTTTTGTTAATATGAAATCTATAGTACATAAAAGTTTTATCAACTTCATCAGTTAGCCTTTGCTTCATAACATACTACCCCACAAGTTAATAGCTTAAAATTTCTATGTATTTTGTTTATGATTCCAGGCTGGCCTCCACTGGGCAGTTCTTCTGGTCTGGGCTACACTTGGCTAATCTTGACAAACCTTTCGCAAGTGTCTATGATCATTTTGTATATTGGCTGGGGCTGGCTCCTTTATGATGGTTTTATGAGGAAAACAGGAATGATAAGCTTCTGACATTGTTTCAACCTTTCACTACACTGGTCAGAGATCATTCATGTGATGGTGTCAGAATTTCAGGAGCAAGAGAAGAAATTGCAAAGCTTCTTGAAGTCCATTCTTGGAACTTACTGAATAGTACTTCTGGCATGTTCTTCTAGCCAAAGTAAACCACTAGCCATGCTTGAATTAAAGAGATAGAGAAACCACTTCACTTTTTTATAGAAAGAATTGCAAAAAACTGTGGCCATTTGTGGAATTTACCACTTCAAGTAACCTGTGCAAAGAATTCAAATCAAATATTTATCTCTGACGTCGAAACTTTAACAAAAAGGAAAAAATTTACTCAAACTTTAAATGTTTTAACCACAAATTTAATAATCCCTTACAGCTGGAAACAAATTATTTGACTTGACATAACTTATCCTGAATTTTTGATATTCATAATTCTTTCAGTCTTTGTCAGAGGAAATAGAACATAAAAATATCAATATAGGAAATTATAATATTTCTTATTAGTACTCATAAATAGCGTGGAAAGTAGGACATTGGTTGAAATAAGGTTTTGGATTACTTATGGATTCTATATATCCATCTTATCACTATCATTAATGTAAAAATTCATGTTATTTATAAACTGAAATTGATAAAAAATTTGATAATTTTAATAATGTTGGATTAAAAATGAAAATTTTATGGAAACCCTTGAGTGCTTAACCTAATTAGAATTTTTCTTTTCTTTTTTTCTTTTTTTTTTGCGACAGAATCTCACTCTATTGCTCAGGCTGGAGTGCAGTGGCCACAAAGCGGGAGGTGAGTGGTGGGTGAGTGGGTAAAACTTCATCTGTATGTACAGTCACTCCCCATAGCTCACATTACCACTTAAGGTCCACTTTCTGTGGGATCTCAGCTCACTGCAACCTCCGCCTCCTGGGTTCAAGCAATTCTCCTGCCTCAGTCTCCTGAGTACTGGGATTACAGGTGTGTGACACCACAACCAGCTAATTTTTATATTTGTAGTAGGGATGGGGGGGTTTCACCATGTTGGTCAGGCTGGTCTCGAACTCCTGACCTCAAGTGATCCTACCCGCCTTGGCCTCCCAAAGTGCTGGTATTACAGGCATAAGCCACCACACCTGGCCTAACCTAAGTAGAATTTTTTATAAATTAAGAAATAAATGGAAATTCTGAAGTGTTAGAACTAAACATAGATTAATCCTTTAGGTTTTTTCAAAACTATAAATTTAATTTACATTGGAGTAATTAAAGGCTGTTCACACCTGTAGCTTCATCATCCTGTATTTCTAATTCTTCAAGCACTACATTAAAGGCTTAAAAAATAAAGTTCTAAAAAATAACATTCTCCAGAAAAATGTGTTTACCGATATAGCATAATAAATACTGTACGTTTTATGGAGTATTGCATGTTATTAAAAAAAATAATTAAATTATTCATAATTTTGTCAACATTAAAAAAATCAAGCATACATTAATTTGTATACCTACCTATTAAATTATATTTTTAAATTGTATGAGTATAAATATTATACAAAAAGCAATTGTAATTCATTATTTTCTACTATTTATTGCACTTGAAGAATGAAGTAAAATGAAGGCGGGTATTCAAAGATGTCTAATTCCAACTGTGGGTTTAAAGGAATTCACCTAAGAATACATGGGGTAAGGCTCTAAAAATTTAAATGGAGAAAAATAATGTCTAGTTCAGAAAAAAACACAAGGAAAAGATTAACATTACAGAGTTTTTAGAGACTGAAGAAACATATTGTTATGAAAACTGAGCCTTGGACCCACTGAAGGTTACAAAACTAGTGAGTTGTGGGTTGGAAGTCAAATTTCATAGCCTTAAGCCCGTTGTTTTTTCTTTAATATGATATTCTAGAAAAAGGTGGATAAATAAGCTTCCATGTCTTTGTATCACATTTTAGGAGGTCTGCCTCATTTATCTATTTTATTGTTATTCTGAAGCTTGTCAAAGTTTTGATGATTTTTAGAAATTATTTCTAATGATAAATGTCAAAAAACTGGGAACAACATGAACCCTTTTTTCATGAATATCTATGTACCTGTTGCCTCATAATAAAAAAGGTGAGTCAGTCTCATTTTCTATTTCTCCAACATACATACACACAAATACACACACACACACACACACACACACACACACACACACACACACACACAACATAGAACCTGAAAATGTTAAAGATGCTTTTTCTTTTCTCATCTCCATTGGGGCCAATAGCTACCCAACCCATATATCTTGAGTTAATTTTAGAACTTTTTCCCCACTTGATTTTCACATCACAAAATCTAATTGATTCTACATCCCTACTAACTCTTAAAATAAAGCTTTCTGAACAGCTATTGGCTTTTATCAGGCCTCGTAAGTGACCTCCCAGGCTGCTTTTGCCCTCTACCTAGCACCATCTCCTTAATCCACCTTTATAATCTGGGTCCCACATTCTACATTCTCCCAGAGTAGCCTAAGCTGCAGTCAGACTGTACCATTTGCTCTTCTTCCAATTAACCATGCTCTCTCATGCCCACATGCATTTGCTCATTCCATATCCTATGCCTGAAATACCCTTCTCCACTTCCACTGCTTGATAAAAACTCAGCAGTGTTTTTTTTTTTTTAAGACAACTCAGATATGGTTTCTTATGTTCCAAAAATGATTCCATTAGCACGGGGTCCCCAACCCCCAAGCCACAGACCAGTAGCAGTCTGTGGCCTGTTGTGAACTGGGCCATACAGCAGGAGGTGAGTGAGTGGTGGGTGAGTGGGTAAAACTTCATCTGTATATACAGCCGCTCCCCATAGCTCACATTACCACTTGAAGTCCACTTTCTGTCAGATCAGTGATGGCATTAGATTCTCATAAGAGTGTGAACCCTATTGTAAACTGTGCAGGCTGGCCATGGTGGCTTGCACCTGTAATCCCAGCACTTTGGAAGGCCGGGGCAGATGGAACACTTGAGGCCAGGATTTGGAGACCAGGCTGGTCAACATGGCAAAACCCCATCTCTACTAAAAATAAAAAAAAATCACCAGTCTGGTGATGTGAGCCTGTAGTCCCAGCTACTTGGGAGACTGAGGCAGGAGAATGGCTTGAACTTGGGAGGCAGAGGTTGCAGTGAGCTGAGATTGCACCACTGTACTCCAGCCTGGGCAACAGAGTGAGACTCTGTCTGAAAAAAAAAAAAAGAAAGTGAATTGTGCATGCGAGGGATCTAGGTTGCCCACTCCTTATGAGAATCTAATGCCTGATGCTCTGATGATCTGTCACTGTCTTCTATCACCCCCAGATGGGACCATCTAGTTGCAAGAAAAGAAGCTCAGGAATCCCACTGATTCTATATTATAGTGAGTTGTATAATTATTTCATTACATATTACAATATAATAATAGAAATAAAGTACACAATAAACGTAATGTGCTTGAATCATCCCAAAACCATCCCCCTACACTTGGTTCATGGAAAAATGGTCTTCCACTAAACTGGTTCCTGGTGTCAAAAAAGGTTGGGGATTGCTGCTTTAGCAGCAGTAACAATATCTCCTTAACAGAAGATGTTCTTATAAGACAGTTGGGTCAAATCAAACTTTATGAAAAGCTCTGAATGCTTCCATAGCTACAAGAAACATATATCCCTTGCAAGGTATGGATATAGAAAAATAAAACTGGTTACAGTAGGTAAGTTGTACTTCATTACATCGTGAATAAAATCTATTTTAGACTTTTTCTTTTTTTTCTTTCTTTTTGTATTTCCATAGGTTATTGGGGAACAGGTGGTGTTTGGTTATATGTGTAATTTCTTTAGTGGTAATTTGTGAGATTTTGGTGCACACAATACCTGAGCAGTATACACTAAATCCAATTTGTAGTCTTTTATCCCTCACCTGCTTTCCACCCTTTTCCCCTGAGCCCCCAAAGTCCATTGTGTCATTCTTATGCTTTTGTACCCTCATAGCTTAGCTGTCACTTATGAGTGAGAACATACGATGTTTTCCATTCCTGAGTTACTTCACTTAAAATAATAGTCTCCAATCTCATCCAGGTTGCTGTGAATGCCATTAGTTCATTCCTTTTTATGGCTGAGTATTATTTCATCATATATATATATATATATATATATATATATATATATATATATACTAGTTTATTTATCTACTTGTTGATTGATGGGCATTTGGGTTGGTTCCACATTTTTGCAATTGCAAATTGTGCTGCTATAAACATGTGTGCGCAAGTATCTTTTTCAGATAACGACTTACTGTCCTCTGGGTAGATATCCAGTAGTGGGATTGCTGGATCAAATGGTAGTTCTACTTTTAGTTCTTTAAGGACTGTCCACACTGCTATCCATAGTGGCTGTACTTCCTACCAGCAGTATAGAAGTGTTCCCTGTCCACTGCATCACGCCATCATCTATTATTTTTTGAATTTTGATTATGGCTCTTCTTGCAGGATTAAGGTGGTATCACCTTGTGGTTTTGATTTGCATCTCCCTGATCATTAGTGATGCTGAGCATTTTTTCATATGTTTCTGGTTTCTCTTCAAGTCATATAAATCTTTCACCTTTTACTATTTTAGACTTTTTCTATCCCCATTCTATTTCATTCAAGTGTATTGGATCATATTGATGACAGACAAATCTCAGTGTGGTCAAACTACTGAATACCAATCAATATCATATGGAAAATTTGTTACACTTTAAGAGTTTCGTGTCACAAACATACATCTTAATTTTCCCATTAATTATTCTAAAACTTTTCATATTTATATATGCTTGTGTACCTTTGACTTGTTCTGAATCCTAAAATGGTATATTAAAGTCCTGTATCATATGGTAATTTTATTAAAACCTCCTCGAGTTTCCAAAAAAAAGAAGCTTTTGCACTATATAATTGTATTTATTCTAAGTGCTGCAACTCCAAATAATTTTGAAAAATTATGTACCACACATATTCTAAGTTGACTTCTAAACTTTTTATTATAAGCTGAAAGTTTAATAAGTTGCAAAAGTATGTAATTGTCATTGTGTATTATAAACACTTCATTTTTTAAAAAATCCACTTTAATAACATGAAAAATGCCTTGGCAATTTAATGCCTACTGTACTAGGTTGTCCAGAGTCCCTTGAAAATCCTTGTTCAGAACCATTTTATTTTGGCAACTCTAAGAAACTAATACAGATTTTGATACTGACAGTAGGGTATAGAGTAGGCTGCTGTAACAAACGCTAAAAAAGTGGAGGTGGCTTTGGAATTGAGTACTGTGTACAGCCTAGAAGACTTTTGAAATGAATGATGGAAAAATCCTAGATTGTCTTGAAAAGACTATTGATAAAAATATGGATGTTAAAAAAGATTTTGGTGAGGGCTCAGCTGGAAATAAAGAACATGTTATTAGACATAGGAAGAAAGGCAGTCTTTGGTATAAAGTAGCAGAAAACTTGGCTGAATTATATTCTGTCAGTGGGTGGAAAGTTAACTCGTAAGTTATGAACTTGAATACTTAGCTGAAGAGATTTCTGTGAAAGTATGGAAAGTGTGTCCTGGTTTCTTTTTGCTGCTTATAGTAAAATATGAGAGGAAAGTGATAAATCGAGGAAGGAACAATTAAGCAAAAGGAGCCAGAATAATAATTGCTAATTTAATATTCTATAAAAATATTTTTATTTTATCAAACTCCTTAAATATTTTTGAATTATTTTTTAAATATATGAAAAATAACATTAATTTAATTAGCACAATCTTCATTGTCTAACAAATCAACCAGATTCTGCCTACTGTTTGTCTATAAGTCTACCTTTATTTAAAAAATAAATTAAATGTGTTACTGTGTGTATTTCAATCATCCCAGGTCAGAATTGGTCAGATTGATAAATAGATGGATTAGGTATGCAATCTGCCATGAGATTTTGAAATAAAGTGAAGCTACCTTTAATATTTTCCTACAGATATTCTTTTTGCTTTGTTCTCATGGAACTTATTCTAAAGAATTAGGCATTTTTGGTGAGAGTTTGGGGGACAGAAAAAGTGACATCATTAAACAAAATTTTATCACTTCTGCAATGTACCTGAATGCATTCTACAAAATATCTGAATTCAGAACATCTTTTCATCATCTAGACTACCTTATATCTACTGCTAAATTGAGCCTTATCAGATTATTTATATATTTATATATCTGCTCTCTCCCTCCAAACCCTTTTTTATAACAGGTTCTTATATTCAGAATACAGATCTTCATGACATTCAGGCAAGAAGATCCAGGAAGTACTTCTCTAATCTTAAGTTCGTAGTATTTATGTATGTGATGCGCGCAGGGATGCTTAATATATTATTTTGGAAAATTTCCTTTATGCTTAAAATATTGCATAATTTTTAAAATTTTAATATTGGTAAAAAAACATACAGAAATGTACCATCTTAACCATTTTTAAGTGCACAGTTCAGAGGTGCTAAGTATATTCTCACTGTGGTGCAACAGATCTCCAGAACATCATTATTTTGCATAATTGGAACTCTATATCCATTAACTACTCCCCACTTCCCTTTCCCTGTAGCTGCTGGCAACCACCATTCTACTTTCTTTATCTATAAATTGGATTACTTTAGATACTTCATATAACTAGAATCATATATTATTTGTGTTTTTGTAACTAGCTTATTTCACTTAGTATAATGTCCTCAAGGTTATTCCATGTGTTACATACATTCCATGTATGTAACAGGATTTCCTTCCTTTCTATAGCTGAATAATATCTCATTGTGTGTGTGTGTGTGTAAATATTGCATTTTTTATTTACTTATCTATCAGTGGATATTTGGATTGCTTCCACCTCTTGGCTATTGTGAATAGTACTGCTATAAAAAAACACAATATGCAAATATATCTTTGATATTTTGCATTTAATTCTTTTAGACGTGTGCCCAGAAGTAGGATTGCTGGATCATGTGGTAATTCTATTTTTAATTTTTTGAGGAATCTCCGCACTATTTTCTATAGCCACAGCACAATTTTACATTCCTACCAGAATGCACAAGAGTTCCAATTTCTCTACATGCTTGCCAACACTTGTTTTTTTTTTTTTTATTTTCTTTGTTAGTTTTAATAGTAGCCATTCTAATGGATGTGAGGTGATTATGCATAATTTTAAAATAAAAATATAGTAAATATCATTTTCAGTATTCTATTGAAAAATGCACTACAGAGTTAATAACATAATTAGTGAAATGTATGTGGCATGCATAAAAATAGGTTTCCATTTTTAATGGCAAGATTAGAAGCAGAACATTTTTAAAGACATGAGACAGAATGAGTACTTCCAAGATTTTTCAAAATTCTGACTCATTACTGTTGTGTGAATTTTAGTAGAATCAGTTTCTTTAACACATATAAAGCTCTGTGCCAAGCACTATTCCAAGTGCTTTTCAAATATTAAGCATCCACTCATACTAATTTTTCTATGATATAGATATTTTTATGCTCATTTTACACAAGAGGAAATTGAGGCTTAGAGGGAGTCTTAGCAAGTAAATGGGAGAGCAAAAATTCATTTAATATTGACTAAAATTAACTTCAGAAAGCCAAAGATATTTCAATCATATCTTGTTATTTTCAAGAGATTCTGCCTCATTTTACTGGGAAATACTTGTATTTCTTAATCATATTCTCATATTGTCAAGTTCCTCCTTCTGAGAATAGGCCTACCAAGGTAGAAAAGCAGACATTGAGGGTTGGAGTTCTGCTAGCCTAGTGGCACAAATAGAATAGAGTCAAGGAATGTAAGGTATTAACAAGAGAGTGCCATGGCTAGGAAAAATATAGAGATTTCAGTGAACATGATGGCTCAGTGAAGTCAAAAATACAGGAAGTAGATGAAAGAATAAGAGTTTGGAGTCAGAACAATGTGATGTATGAATTTATAGTTTTCAGCGGTTCATTAGAACATCCAGTTTAACTAGAGAAAAATAACATCAAAACTAGAAAGCTTAGTTATTTAATTGAATATTTTTTTAGCTGACTTGAGTAAAAGAAAGTTTTAGAATAAAAGTCCAATATATAATTTAATTACATGTAGCAATATTGAAATGTTTCTCAGTTTATTTGTGTAAACTTATCAAATTTAGTATTTCAAACCAGGATACTTTAACTTGTGTGGACTTATCGAAGTACATTGTCATTTAAAAACCATGCATTAGTCACATATTAAGAAAACAATAGTGTACAATGTAGTCTTATAAATGCAAATGTTCCACAATTACTCATTTGTAGTATTGTTTTAAAAGTAATTCCTTGGTGAATAAGAAAAAACATACTGTCAAAGCTCTGAGGTAAGATAGATTCATTTTTTTATGTCAACTTTCCATATTCACATACTTTTCAGAAAAAGAATCTATAATATAATGTTGTCTTCTTAATTTTACATTATAAAAAGATTAACATTACATACACTTTGGGGTTTTCTGCTTCTAAGCTATTTCTTCAAAATTTATTAATTCTCTTTGACTAAATCAGCTAAGACCTTGTCAAGTATTAGTTTGTTTTGAAATTAGACTCCACAAATGTATATAAGACAATTACATTCTTGTCTTGAGCTTAAAAATTTAAAATATAGTTTGGCACTGAGGGTCTAAGATATTTTAAGTTTAATAGTACAATTATACCACTGTTCACTAAATAAATCTTGAGTCTAGAGCAGCTACCTAGGGATTCTATGCTATTGTTATGATTGACCTGTAGAGGTCACTATTAACAGACAAATGAAAAGCTTTTTGCAATTACAGGTTAAATAGCTAAATTTTAATTTCTGTCTGCTCCAAATTAGTAGAAAGATTATAACACTACCTGGCACTAAGACATCATAAAATGTAACACAGCTTTAAAATTATATTTTTAGATAGTTAAATGATTAAAGTAGATATTACTACCTGAATAAATTAGCCAAATCATATGATTTCCTAAACTTCCAATTTCCATAGTTCCTTAAGCAAATTGACAGAAGACAGACCCTACTGAATTGAGTTTTAATACTTTTCTATTTAATTATCTTCTCTAGTATTTAATATAAGAATCTATGACAAGCAAAGGGAAACCAGACCTTGTTTGAATTCTCTGAACTTGAGATGTATCCTAGGAAGTGTGAATTTTACCCATTAAAAAAAAAAAAAAACTGAGCAGAAAACACTAATAAAAAGTGATATAAAGTAATCAACTTATAGCCTTTTCAGTTAGATGGCAACCAGGTGGATATAGGTAGGGAAAGAGAGGAAGACTGTTCAATAGAAAAACCATCCTTACCATGAATGCCAGTAAAACGCCCTCAGAATGAAGGGAATCTGTCATTTTGTGTAAATTCTCTTCTGCTTCCATAAACACAGCCGTAATCAATTAAAGACCAACTTGTGAAGGAGCCATTGTTTGCAGTTCCATTCAGACATTGCTGAGTTGTCTTTTAGACTGCCCGTGCGGAAACACTGGTAAGGTGATGAGAAAGTTCAAAGCACCTAACTTTTCAATGTGGATTTTGTTCCTTAGACTTTATTTTATCTTTTTATTCATTAAAAAAATTGGAGTGTCATATATGTGTTGATTTTTGCTTCTGGGAAATGAAGGGGGCTTAAGAACATAGCAATGCTTGAAAATACTCTAAAGATACAATTCCCTGTGACTTTCAGAGAGCAGTGTCTCTCATACATGAGTTCAAGAGGAATCAGTGTTAAAAATGCTTGTTAAGAAAATAAGCAATACTACTTCATCAAAATTCTCTTGGTAGAAAGTGAGAGTGTTTTCTTTAACATCAACAAATCACTTTTTAAATTTTCCATGATTGCCATTTTCTTCTTGTTCTCAACCTCTCTCCTATGCTCCTAATTTGAGAGAGGCCCTATTATTGGCACTGAAGTTGTCAATGTCCAATCTTGATTGCTGGATTTGGGAGACTGGTGGAACTTTACTGAAGAGGAGATGTAATACTACATTCAAACTATTTGGCATAAATGATTTTTAAAATTAACATAATAATGATGAATCAACATTAAACATTTAATGCTATTGGTATGTATGAAACTAGGAGTAACCAAACTCTTTCTCTCTCTCTCAGACATAGGGAATAAAAGTTACTTAGTAATAAAAGTAAACCCTTAGATGCTTTTCTAGACAGAAATGGTCCAAATTTCTTCCCTGCCTGCCTAAAGAATAATCTGGAGTAGGCCTGGATGAAGTCCCATTCAACCATAGTTGAATATTCAAGCCAAATATAAAAGTTTATAAAATGGAAATTAAAGAATAAAGTGATTCAACAAGAATATGTTTTTTTTTCCTAAGACTTCTTTACTTTTCTAGATCAAATAAGGAGAACAATTCTCTTTGGGACTACAATTTAATAAAACTGCTGTGTCTTGTCCCCATTATGTGTGCACATAAGCCTCTCTCTCTTCTCCTTGAGTGACATGTCTGGGGAGGTTATAAGGAAAAGCCTTAGTGCCCAGACCAGCCACTGTACAGATGACTCAGGACACCTTCACTAAATCCATTCATTACCCTGGCCCTAGTGGGAGTTACAAGCAAAGCCTGCCAATTAGATGTTGGTAATGTGGACTCTGCTTTAGGGAATTGGGTAAGACTGCCAGAATTCATTCCTGAACTTTAGCAGCCACAAAAGCGTATTTTTCTGTCGTCTGAAACTGATTCAAAACCAGGTCCCAAAAGGACAAGCTTCCTTTTGTGCACCATGTATCCTCAAGTCCAACGACTACTAATGTCACAACATCAGGTTTTGCACAGGATCACAGGAAACATCTGATGAAGGAAAAGAGAAGAAAAAAGTCATCGTTTGAGTTGATTAACCTCTGTTTTACTCTATTTTCTAATTTTTGACTATTCTTTTTGGAAAATTATTCTTTGGTAGTTCACCACAAATTAATGGTGTTTTATTCTTAAATGAGAGATTAAATGTGTGACATATCAGAATCATAAAAAAAGCTTTCCAAAATCTTTAGATGTTGAATTTAGTAATAATGTCATTTCATATTCAGGGCTGCTTGTCCTTGCCTTGAAAAAATATTTCCAAAATCCTATTCTGAAGCTGTATTGGCGTCACTATTTCTTTCTCTGTTAATAAACACACATTAAGTGGAAATGCTTTGCTTTCAAGTTCATTGACATTATCATTGTTTCATTTTTATTTTTTATTTTTTGGTTTTTATTTTTACATGTTAGTTTGAATGTTCGGGTGATGATTTGAAATTGTTGAGGGGCAAAGGTAGATTTTCTTAATAAGGATTCTGTGAGTTTAAATATCTTATTAGTATAATAAACAAATCTTGGAGAATTTCCAAGTCATTTTGCAGAAAATGTGAGAGAACTCTAAACAGTAAGAACTTTAGATAGTAAAACTGCTAGTACATGTAGACTCAAACAAGAAAGATTTGACTCTGTATCAAGGTGATTTTTTCTTTTTTTCTTCCTAAAGCAATGTATTCTTTTGGCTTCTAGTCCTAATTTTACTTTAGAAATTATTTTTTAATGTGTTTCAGACAGGGGCCTTCTGTCCAGGTCTTGAATACAAGTACTGTATCTTTGTTTTGTATTCTTGTACAAATATATTTTATTGGGAACCTATTTCAAAATGCTTGTTAAACATATGAGCCTATTCACATAAATGCACTCTAGTGCTGTAAATGTAGGGGCAGAAGTTGGAACAGAGGAACCTATGTGTCCTGCTCATGGCAGCAGCTCACTGTTTGGGGAGAGAGGTTTTTCTTCATCAGCTCACTGCTTGTGCACACGCCGCACTTCATACGCACTTACTTCTCTCTGCTGTGACATGCAAGCACAGATACGCACACACACACACACACACAAACACACACGCGCGCACACACACACACCCATTTATAATTTAAGGGAAAAAACATATTAGTCATAAAGCTTAAGAGTTGAAAGTAAGCAAGTAAGGCCAGGATAGTAACTGTTCAGAACTTGAATGAATTGCCACAGTTTTCACCAAGTAACTGGCTGGCCCTTCTCAGGCAGGCTCCAAATTCCTGTTGAAATGAAGACTTTCTTTCCTGGACTAGGACTGGCATTCCTGGGAAACAATGGCCCTTTTCAAATAGGCTCTGAAATTTCACAGGTGAAGGGAGAGGGGCAGTCATTTGATCCCACCCACAAGAAGCCTGTTAGTATTTTAAAAAGTGAAGACAGAGCCTATCATGGAAATACAGGCAAAGCTGGCTAGTGGCTAAGAGCTGCAATCTAGACCCACAGTTCTGCAGATCCCTGTGAAATATGAATCAATTTCAATGTTCTGTCTTCGACTTACATTGCAACTCTTTTTTCTAGATTTTCTAAAGAGCAGAGTACAGAACCACTGAAATTGAGTTTTACTTCATATTACATGTTCTAGAAGAGCAATACAGAAGTTTAATTAGGGCATGATATTAGAATCTATAAAATAAACATCTACTAATGTATATGTGTGTGAATATATAAATACATATATAAATATATATATAATAATTTTGAAAGAGATGCAAGATTAAAATACCAAATAGATACACAAAACTCACGCATATATAATAAATATCATATACAACCTAATATGATAATTTTACCTTGCATCTCTTCTAATATATTTGAGTTTGGTCTAATTATATTTTAATTCAGTGATTTAAAGATTTAAAATACTAAGATAATTTAGGGAATTCTTTATAAAAACATAGACTATATCCAATTTGAAAGAATTTGAGCATATTGATTATTGTAATTACAGTTAATCTCAGGTGTATTTCATAGCTTAAACTTTTGAGAATAAATTCACAGCTATTTTTGAAACTTTTATTTGATCAGATCTCTCTGTGATTAAGGTACACTGTGGGTTTTAGTACTCTGTTTCATGTATGAAAAAACCAAAGAATGTTCCAATTGTGATATTTATTATTAATAAAATAGGCAAAGCTTATTAGACACACCTTCCTGCAAGTGACTATATCATTCCTTTTTTAGTCTTTCCAACGATCCTGATAATTGTTCCAAGAATGTTGTTGCACCCAGTATTTAGCTTAGTCCTAACTTGAAGACTGATTTTAGATGTATATTACTGAAGACTCAGAAAACACTTATTTTTTCCTTAAAGGCAAATACAAATCTATTTATGAAACTATTATTGAATTATATAGGCCTTCTCTAAGAAACACAATTACCTAATCTTTTTGTAGCAGTATAACATTTTGATACATTTTTCCTCTTTTGGTTACTACATGGTATTCTTTACCCTACCCCCAATATCCACTAGTACTAACCCGAGTTCTAGCAGGAAGGAAGCAGGGTTTTCTGAGCTTATGTCCTAGAAAAGAGATGAAACATTAGCCAGGTGTGGTGGTGCACACCTGTAATCCCAGCTGCTCAAGAGGCTGAGCCAGGAGAATCGCTTGAACCTGGGAACCAGAGGTGGCAGTGAGCCGAGATCGTGCCACTGCACTCCAGCCTGGGCAACAGAGGGAGACTCTATTTCAAAAAAAAAAAAAAAAAAAAAGAAAAGAAAAGAGGTGAAACAGTAAAACAACAATAAAATTAAAGTATAGACTTTAAAGTTTCAAAAGCAAAGATGTAAATAATTGGAAACACACACGTATACACAATAAATGATAGAAGGAAAAAGTCACTTTCTAATACTTAAACTTATTATCAATCAAAGCCAGTTTTTTCAAATCCACCAAGAAAAATTTCCTGGGTTGGAGAGAGGACAAGAAACAGAAGAAGGGTATTTAGATGTCGATATGTTATTTGAAAAGGGCTCTTAAATACTTTGTTTTCCCAATGCCTGGGTTGTGTTTGATGATTAACAATACAACAAATACATAAGCTTGAGGTTCTAGAATTAAGACAACTAGTTTCCCTAGTGGAGCTTACAGACTTGTCAAGCTTTATACTGTCCTTCTCTTCCCCTGTCTCCAGCCATGTCCCCTCCCCATGTATGGAGAACAAAAGAGTAGAGATCGGTGAGGTCTGAGATAATAGACCTAAGATGGCTTCTCAGAATCTCTTGTCCCTGTAGGCTCTTAATAAAGCCTACAGAGCAGCAGAATGTTTTCCCGGTGAGCTGAGGGTAGCATGGACATGGCACAAAGAACTAAGAGACTGGCGGAGAAATTATTTTAAAGAGGAGGATGATACAGCTGAAATCTGCATAGGTCAATGACAGGGACCAGGAGAAAATATGTACGACACATTGGAAGTTAGTGTGAAGTGATTGCAGAGAACCATATATAACCTGCTAATTGTGTGATAATACCCTCTTATACACATCATGTATTGCTCAAAAATGGGGTTTCATTCTGGGATATGCATAATTTGGCAATTTCATCATTGTGCAAACATCATATAGTGTATTACACAAACCTAGATGGTATAGCCTACTATAGACCTATGCTATATGGTATAACCTATTGATCCTAGGCTACAAAACTGCACAACATGTTACTGTACTGAACACTTGGGCAACTGTAACACAGTGGTAAGTATTAGTGTATCTAAACACATCTAAATATAGAAAAGGTACAGTAAGAATACAATATTATAATATTATAGGACTACATATATGTGTTCATTGCTGAATGAAGCATTGTTACAAGGTGCATGACTTACTTGTTATGAGGTGCATGACTTACTTGCAGTGTTTGTAAGGAAGACTAGTAACTGAAATGATTGAGATTACTCTAAATTGACCAAGTTTATTTCTACTCCCCAGCAAAATGGGAGCATATAGTATAAATTAAGTATATTTATAATAAAATACAGTTAGTAATTTTTCACACTTAAGTTTTAGAAACTGAAAGTCATACCTTCTATACTTATTACAAAGAATAAAATTCAAAAGAAAATATCTGGCCAGGCACAGTGGCTCACGCCTGTAATCCTAGCACTTTGGGAGGCCGAGGCGGGTGGATTGCCTGAGCTCAGGAGTTCGAGACCAGCCTGAGCAACACGGTGAGACGTCATTTCTACTAAAATACACACACATAAAAAAAATTAGCCGGGCGTGGTGATGTGCACCTGTAGTGCCAGCTACTCGGGAGGCTGAGGCAGGAGAATTGTTTGAAACCAGGGGGCGGAGGTTGCAGTGAGCCCAGATTGTGCCACTGCACTCCAGCCTGGGTGACAGAGCAAGACTCTGTCTCCAAAAAATAAATACATACATACATACATACATACATACATACATACATACATACGTACATAAAAGAAAATATCTAAGTCTCCTGCCAGTTAATCTAACAAAGCTAGTTTTATTGAATCATTTATCTCTGCTTTCCTACAACCTCATTTGAACTCACATTGAGACTTCTGGACATTTAATGGTACCCCAAAGCCTTGGCAGTTTACAGTTTGCTGCAAGCTACTATCTGGATTCTTCTTGCTCTTGTTGCTTCAGCGGGCACATATCAGAGTTAGTTGTAAATGTGGGCAATGCAGTCACTTCAATCTTTAACTGTAACCAGGGCATTTTCTATTTATACCTAAATTCTAGCAATTCTCACCAGTGATGCTGTCAAAGCCAACATCCTTCATTCTGATCCTACATGAACCAATGAAAAAAAATAGAAAATAAGAGAAAAAGAAATGGATATTCTAAGTACTTTGCGAAGATCTCATTATTATACTGTCTCTTAAAATAGACCTGAATTTCAGACCATATCAGTCTGAAAGCAGCAGCAATACTCCTGGCTCTACACCAAGCAGATAGTCAGCCCTTTTCTCCTTTTCTCACCCTTTAAATAGACTAGGCAAGTGTCTGACTCCAAGTTTCAAGACCCTCCAATATCAGGAAACACATATAAAGCTCCTGGATGGTCTCACTGAAACCTTTTTGGGGCTGAATTGGAAGCATCCAGCCAGGAGACTGAAATGCCGCAGCTATGGAAACTTCCAAATCCAATCCACAAAAGCATCTCATAAGAGAATAAGCTTTGATCCTCATGTCAGGCACAGAGAATATGGCACAATCAGCAAGGACAACAACATTTCATTCTCTTACCATTCCTGCTTACTTTGACCCTGGAGTGTTCTGAGAAAACAGCTACTCAGTGAAGGAGGAGGTAGACATGTAAAGGAAAAGCGTAGATGAAAACCAACCATTCTCATTGTGTTGAGGAAGGCAACTATAGGCCTTGGCTTTGGGAAGAAGTCATAATTTGAATGGCCATTGAAACATTGATTAATAATTTTGATTGTATATATTATAATTATTGAATTGAGATAGTGTTTTGTGACTTAAGGAGTCATAAACTACTTACTACCTAAGAGTAGGCTGGAAAGTAATAAAATCTAAAACAATTTTCCACCCAGGGGCAGGAAAGATTAGCCAAACTTAATGAATTTTAAATGGGTATTAGAGATAAAACAGAATTGTGATTTGAGCTTATCTTACAAGTTGCATGTTCAACATACTAATTATATATCTTATAAAGATTTCACAAATGCTATGCAATCACAGCTAATAAACTGACCAGCTCTTGTACCAAAGCACTGTCGAGTAATATAAAGATCACTCAATAAGGACTCGCTGGAGCATTGTTTTATTTTTAGCTCCCTCATCTTTTTTGCTGGTCACCTTATCTAAGTTTCACAATGTTTCTTAATTTCAGCTTCTTTACATGTAAAAATGAATAAAAGTGTAATAATGCAGTGTGAAATGCTTTTTGCTTCAAATTAGATGATATAAATCAAATCAGGTAATGAACACATTTTGAACACTAACTGCAATATATGTGTAGTATTAATATTATTAAAATAATGACAACCACTTTTTAGTGGAACTTATGAACTCTATTTTGTTAGACAAAAAGACGATTTTTAGCCCAAAAATTGGTGTTCATATGCATTTCAGACATTTTTGTGAAATATACATACACAACATACATAGTTTACTTATAAATTTTTCTTATACTTTATATATAAATGTATTTATTATACCTTACTTTGTTATTTATGCACTTTTGCACCTTAAAATGGGAATTTTGTCTCAATGTTAAGGCATACATAGACTGAGAATAAAATAAGTGATAAAATAAGTGACAAGTCTGTATATACTGTATACTAATAATTATATATAGTATATTATTAGTGAACATGAATACATATATACATATATACATAAACACAGTACAGAATATATGTAAGTGTGTATACATACTGGGCAGGTATATATGCTGACGTGTATAGAGTTGCGTGTAAGAATGTGTACATAATTAATTTAATTCTCATAACTCCATGAGATTTATGGTATTATTTAGTGTATTTTACAGGTGGAGAAACTGAGATGCAGAAAGTTTAAATAACTTGATCATGGTCACAGTGCTGGTGAACAGTAGGGCCCCCAGCACAATAGCACAAATTTGTCTTCTTATATTTATACTCTATATTCAGTTGGCCCTCTGTATCCATGGGTTTCACATCCACAGATTCAAACAACCGTTGATCAAAAATATTCAAAAAATAAATAGTTAAATAAAAAACTAAAAAATAACAACAACAATAAAAATAGAAATAAAAATATAGTATAACAACTGTTTACATTGGATTTTCTTTGCATTAGGTATTATAAGTAATCAAGAGATGATTTAAGTGTATGGGAGGATGTGTGTAGGTTACATACCAATACAGTGCCATTTTATATCATGGACCTGAGCATCTAAAGATTTTGGTATCTCTGGTGGAGGGGAAGGTTCCTGGAGCAAATGCCCCTGCTGATACCAAGGGATGACTGTACACCTTCTTCCCTTCATTGAGAGAGAGAGCCACAATACAATCAAGTACTAATTACAAGGGAAGTTACTAAAAATCAGCTTTGGAAAGGTCAGTGTTTATATAAGAGAATGTTAATAATTCAGTTAGAAAGTAGGGAGTTGGAAAGACTGCCAAGGTAATATGGGTCCTCACGAATGGAAATGGATTGCTTTCCCACTTACAAGTCAAATGAGAAAGACATTAAGAACAATACAAGTACAACTTGGTAAGTTCCCCTTACAGCCTGGGGGACATAGAGACTTACAGGTGTCTGATTTACATGTAAGAAATCAAAACAGCAAAGTTTGACTGAAGCAGCTTGTGGCAGCATAGCAGAGGATGCAGGTAGAAGGTAACTGCACTCTCACTGAGATTAAACTAAAGCTGAATGTTTCCTCTGCTCCAGATGTAGGCTCTTACAACAAGGAGTCTGCAGGGGTTGTCTTAGACCCATTATCAGATGCTTGTCTAAAAGGAAGAGGAGAGACCACAACAGAAAGATACGGACAATGAGGATATGTATCATAAGAAACTATCCAGTAGCTAGGTTTTTGCACTCATCAAGGGAGCCGTTGGTACAAGACCTCAGTGATTGGAGATCTCCAAGGAACCCACAAAGTGATCCAGAAAACAAGTGATAGATACAGGAGGCAGATAAGACAGGGAGGTGTCCCAGACAATCTCCAATCTGCCCCACAAGTGTTTATACCAGATGTTTCTGTGCAGGGAGTTTTTTATACCAGTTTAAAATTTGGGAGTATTACAGAGAAGCTTCATGCTTGTGCCAGCAATTCAGAGTGAATGGAAAGAAACAGATTGACAGTGGCCTTATTCCATAAAAGTGACTCAAATGATAAAAGAGAAAAAAGAAAATATGCACCTGTCCTCCAAGATCTTATAGTCCTGTCTAGGGAAACTAGAATCTTCTTAACTGTATATAACACACTATCCCAGAAAAAATACAGCTTTAATAATAAAAATTTCAAATAAAATAATAGAGTTGAAAGCTCTTTATTTAGTTCAATAAATTCAATTTTCTTCATATTTATCTTAGATGAAAACAAAAATAGATGCTGGTTGATTCTTTTCTATTTATTGATTTTTTTCCTTACAATATTGTTTACCTGTAAAAATACAGTAATTTTTTATTTTGCTTTTGGTGACATTTTCCTTTCTTCAGGAATTCTTTTATCTTAATTAGAAAATCTGTTTACTATGATCTTTCCATATGGTTGTCCAGAACTTCAGAATTGATACACATCTTAGAAGTCATTTATCACAGCACCTTTATTTTAAATATAGATAAATTGAGAAGCCTAAAGGTTAAGTAACTCACAAATGACAGTAAAAAAGAAATGGCAAGAGTCCACATCTCCTATTACACAGACAATTGTTTTTCATGTAGTATGCAATATCATATTGCTTCTCCACACACATGACAAATTCATTTTGGGGGGGAAGAAAGAATGATGCAGTTCTAGCTAACCATCAACACAAAGATAAGATGAATTTACATTGTTTCAATGCCTTTATTTGATAAGCGATATCAAACATATCATTTAATAATTTCACAATTAGCAGGCACTAAAAGTGGGTTAGATTCTTGTTAAAAATATTTATAAGGAACAGCCAGGCAAAAATATGCACATGGACTTTTTAATGTTATGTACCTAGGAACTATCAGTGCTGGTTATTTTTACTGACTCCTCCTACCGTCTTGTTAGTCCTGATAATGAATAATTGTAAAATATTTTTGAAGACTTAATTTACAAATTTATTTTTTAAATTCTTTTTGGGCATTTCAATAAGTCTGGAGAAATATTGGTTGATTAGAACTATTAATAATTAGAAAAGAACGAACCTCAGCCTCACTGTGGGTGACAACATAAGTCTTTGGTGTTGTGACTTCTCCCGTGTAAAGACTATATCGAATAGCCTTGGGTCAAATTGTTTTTTGGAAGAAGGTTGAAAATACTTGGTCACCAGCTATCTGATTAGGTTGTCTTGACTACAACTGGGGCCATTTAGAAAATGACCACAGCAACTCAAGAAGAGATTTTTATTGTAGTTTCCAATTATTACAAAAGTGCAGATTGTGGGTCCCAGGAAATTTAAGAGGTCTTTGCCCTCAAGTGGATTGTAGTCTAAAAAGAGAAATTAGACCTTATTTTGTATTTAGCATGGTACATAAAGAGAGCAGGAGGAATCTCATATTTGCAAATAAATTTGTGATGTAGGCCAGTCTGGAGACCAGATTCTTCATGCTTGTTAAGAATGGAATAAGGTATTTTGAGCATATTTGTTCCTAAAACAATAGAGTTGAAATCTTCAGTTTTTCCAACACATAGTTTAGGTTTTGTTTTACAGACACTGCTTTAATTAGTAGTTAAGAGAAAAATAAAGCTTAGCATCTACCAGGCCACATTCATTTGTATGTGTGGAACTGGCTCATGTTTTGCTGGAATTCAGCTTTACCAAACTGGTGTTGTACTTGGCTAGGTAACATTTTTATTTAAATAAATGTAGAAATTTAAGAAAAGTAAAATACAGGGTTTACTTTATTCAACATATTTCAGGGAAAAAAAGGCTTATAAAGCTAGTTATATATCTATTCTAAATATTAGCTAAAGACTAAATAGCTCTTTTTATAGTCATGGTAGATAAATAATACTGAAAAATTAGTCTATTAGGCTGTTATATAAGACCCATTTTAACGTAAACTATAGAAATTATAAGACTTAAGAGGAATACATCACATGCTTTGTTTCAATAAACTCATACACAAGAGAATATATGGTGGCATGCCTCCCTTTATTGTGCTGCACAGATATTGCATTTTCTTACAAACTGAAGATTTGTGACAATTCTATAGTAAGCAAGTTTATCTGTGTCACTTTTTCCAACAGCATGTGCTCCCTCACTTCATGTCTGTGTCACATTTTGGTAATTCTCACAATATTCCAAAATTTTAAGTTATTGTTAGGTTTGTTATAGTAATCTATAATCAGTGATCTTTAATGTTACTACTGTAACTGTTTTGGGGGTACCATGAACCAGGCCCATATAAGATGGCAAACTTGATGGATAAATTTGTATTGTGTTCTGACTTCTCCACTAGACCAATGGTTCGCCTGTCTTTCTCCCTCTCCTAGGGCCTCCCTATTCCCTAAGACAAAACAATATTGAAATTAGTCCAATTAATGATCATACAATAGCCTATAACTGTTCACATTAAAGGAAGAATTACATATAATTACATGTCTCTCACTTTAAATCAAAAGCTAGAAATGATTAAGCTTAGTGAAAAAGGCATAAATGCTGAAAGCTGAGATAGGCCAAAAGCTAGTCCTCTTGTGCCAAACAGTTAACCAAGTGGTTACTGGAAAAAAAAATAGTTACTAAAGGAAATTAAAAGTGCTACTCCAGTGAACACATGAATAAGAAAGGAAAACAGCCTATTGTTGATATGGAAAAAGTTTTCGTGGTTTGGATAGAAGATCAAACCAGCCACAACATTCCTGTAAACCTAAACCTAATCCAGAGTAAGGCTGTAACTCTCTTTCATTCTGTGTCAACTGAGAGAGGTGAGGAAGCTGCAGAAGAAAAGTCTGAAACTAGCAGAGGTTGGCTCATGAGGTTTAAGGTTAGAGGCTGTCTTCATAACATAAAAGTGTAAGCTGAAACAGGAAGTACTGGTGTAGAAGCTGCAGCAATTTATCCAGATCTAGCCTATATCACTGATGAAGCTGCCTACAATAAGCAACACAAGAAAGCCATCTACTGGAAGAAGATGCCTTCTAGGACTTACATAGCTAGAAAGGAGAAATCAATGCCTAGCTTCAAAGGACAAGATGACTCTCTTCTTGAAGACTTAGGCAGCTGGTGACTTTAAATTGAATGCTTATTTGCCTAATTTACAAAAATCCTATGGCCCTTATGAATTATGTTAATTCAACCTCTGTGTGGACACTATAAATGGAACAATAAAACATGGATTAAAGTACATCTGTTTACAGCATGGTTTCCTGAATATTTTAAGCCCACTATTGAGACATACTGCTCAGTAAAAAAGATTCATTTCAAAATATTACTACTTATTAACAATGCTTCTGGTCATCCAAGAGCTCTGATGGAGATGTCCAAGAAGATCAA
This sequence comes from Homo sapiens, assembly GCF_000001405.40. Lineage (NCBI taxonomy): Eukaryota > Metazoa > Chordata > Mammalia > Primates > Hominidae > Homo > Homo sapiens. Next base: position 103,448,181 of record NC_000001.11, on the reverse strand, counting down.
TGTTATTTTCATACCTGCCAACTAAATGTTCATTCTGCAGCCAGTGGATCAAGGACTAATTTTGACCTTTGAGTATTTTGATTTAAGAGGCCAGGTGTGGTACCTCATGCCTGTAATCCCAGCATTTTGGGAGGCTGAGACGGGAGGACTGATTGAGGTCAGGAATTTGAGACTAGCCTACGCAACATAGTGAGATCTCATCTCTATTAAAAATACAATTAAAAAAAATAGCTGGACATACTTGCATGTGCCTTTAGTCTCAGCTACTCAGGAGGCTGAGGTGGGAAGATCACTTGAGCTCAGTAACTCAAGGCTGCTGCAGTGAGCTATGATCACACCACTGCATTGCATCCTGGGTGAAACAGCAAGATCCTGTCTAGAAGAAAAAAAAGTAAAGAAATAGCTGCTATAGATAGTGATTCCTCTGATGGGTCTGGACAAAGCAAACTGAAAACCTTCTGGAAAGAATTCACCATTCTAGATGCCATTAAGAACATTCATGATTCAGGGAGGACGTAAAAATATCCACATTAACAGGACTTTGAAAGAAGTTGATTAGAACCATCATGGATGACTAAGCAGTTCAAGACTTCAGTGGAAGAAGTAACTGTAGATGTGGTAGAAATAGGAAGACACCTAGAGTTAGAAGTGGAGCTTGAGGATGTGACAGAATTGCTGCAATCTAATGATAAAACTTGAGTGGATGAGCTGTTACTTCTTATGGATGAGAAAAGAAAGTGGTTTCTTCACATGGAATCTATTCCTGGTGAAAATGCTGTGAATATTGTTGAAAAGAAAACCAAGAATTTAGAATATTACATAAATTTAGTTCATAACACAGCAGCAGGCTTTGAGAGGATTGATTCTAATTTGAAAGAAGTTCTATCTTGGGTAAAATGCCATCAAACAGCAACACATGTTACAGACAAATCTTTCATAAAAGGAAGAGTCAGTTGATGAGTAAACTTTACTGTTTGTTATCTTATTTTAAGAAATTGCCACAGCTACCCCAACCTTCAGCAATCACCACCCTGATTAGTCAGCGGCCATCAACATCAAGGTAAGATATCTCAGCAGTGAAACGATTATGACTCTCTGGCTTGAGCCCAGGAGTTTGAGGCCAACTTGGACAACATGACAAAACCGTGTCTCTACAAAATAAATAAAAAAATACATACATACATACATACATACATACAATAAATACGAAAAATTAGCCGGGTGTGGTGGCGTGTGCCTGTAATCCCAGCTACTCAAGAGGCTGAGGTGGGAGGATCCTTTGAGCCTGGGAGGTCAAGGCTGCAATGAGCTGAGATTGCACCACTGCACTCTGGCCTGGACTGGAACCTATCTCAACAAAATAAAATAAAAATATAAATAAATAAATAAATAATAAATAGATTATGACTCTCTGAAGGCCCTGACAATTATTAGCAATTTTTTCTTCATATTTTCTTTTAAGTTCAGTGGTACATATGCAGGATGAGCAGGTTTGTTGCATAGGTAAATGTGTGCTATAGTGGTTTACTGCACCGATCATCCCATCACCTAGGCATTAAGCCTGGCATCCATTAGCTATTCTTCCTGATGCTCTCCCTCCCCAGACCCAACCAACAGGCCCCAGTGTTTGTTGTTCCCCTCTATGGGTCCATGTGTTATCATCATTCAGCTCCCAATTATAAGTGAGAACATGCAGTGTTTGGTTTTCTGTTCCTGTGTTACTTTGCTGACGATAATGCCTTCCAACTTTATCCATGTCCCTGCAAAGGACATGATCTTCTTCGTTTTTGTGGCTGCAGAGTATTCCATGGATGTATATGTACCACATTTTCTTTATCCAGTCTCTCATTGATGGGCATTTGGGGTGACTCTATGTCTTTGCTATTGTGAATAGTGCTGCAATGAATATAGACATGCATGTGTCTTTATAATAGAATAATTTATATTCATTTCAGTATATACCCAGTAATGAGATTGCTGGGTCAAATAGTATTTCTGCCTCTAGGGTTCTGAGGAATTGCCACACTGTCTTCCACAATGGTTGAACTAATATACACTCCCACCAACAGTGTAAAAGTGTTCCTTTTTCTCCATAACCTCAGCAGTGGTTTTTTTACTTTTAATAATAGTCATTCTGACTGGTGTGAGATGCTATCTCATTATGGTTTTGGTTTGCATTTCTCTTATAATCAGTGATGTTGTGCTTTTATTCATGTTTGTTCGCCTCATGTATGTCTTCTTTTGAGAAGTGTCTGTTCGTGCCCATTGCCCACTTTTTAATGGGGTTTGTTTTTGTCTTGTAAACTTGTTTAAGTTCATTGTAGACTCTGGATATTAGACCTTTGATAAATAGATTGTAAAAATTTTCTCCCATTCTCTAGGTTGTCTGTTTACTCTGATGATAGTTTCTTTTGCTGTGCAGAAGCTCCTTAGTTTAATTAGATCCCATTTGTCCAGTTTTGGTTTTGTGGCAATTGCTTTTGGTATTTTCATCATGAAATCTTCCCCTGTGCCTATGTCCTGAATGGTATTGCCTTGATTTTCTTCTAGGGTTTTTATAGTTTTGGATTTTACATTTAGGTCTTTAATTCATCTTTGGTTAGTTTTTGTATATGGTGTAAGGAAGGGGTCCAGTTTTAATTTTCTGCATATGGCTAACCATTTCTCCCAGCACTATTTATTAAACAGGGAATCCTTTCCCCATTGCTGGGTTTTTGTTTTGTTTTGTTTTGTTTTTTAGGTTTTTCAAAGATCAGATGATTGTAGGTGTGCAGTCTTATTTCTGAGTTCTCCATTTTGTTCCATTGGTCTATGTGTCTGTTTTTGTACCAGATCATTAGCAATTTTTAGCAATGAGGTATCTTTCAATAAATGTATGTATATCATTTTTAAGACATAATGCTTTTGCACACTTAACAGGCTGTAGTGTAAACATGACTTTTGTATGCATTGAGAAACAAAAAAATTTATATGACTTGATTTAATTCAATATCCATTGTCTTGCAGCAGTTTGAAACTGAATCTGCAGTATCTCTGAGATATGTCTGTACAAAAAAGAACCATTTAATAAAATTATTAAAGGAGTTCAAATATGATAAACACAAACATTTTAAAAAATAAAACTGCATACCTAATTTAGACCTTAATCTTGAAAGGGCAAGTAATGGCTATTGTACCTTATAGAATATTATGCTCAAATATGGCAGAATTAGTATAATAGATACCATCAATAGTTTACATGTAAAATACCATGCACATATTCATCAAAGAAGAAATTACACATAATGCTCAAAGAAAGTAATCAGGATCACATCTAGGATATCACATTACATTAGTTTTATGTCTCCTTATGTGCCTGTTAGTTTTGATAGTTTCTCAGACTTTATCTTTATTTTTATTTTGAGACAGAGTATCCCTCTGTTGCCTAGCTGGAGTGCAGTGGAACAATCACAGCTTACTGCATCCTTTGCCTCCAGGGACAAGTGATCCTCCCACCTCAGCCTCCCAAGTAGCTGAGATCACTGGCATGTGCCACTATGCCAGCTCTTTTTTTTGTGAAGATGAGGTTTCACCATGTTGCCAAGGCTGACCTTGTATTCCTGGGCTCAAGCAATCTGCCCACCTTTGCTTCCCAAGTGCTTGGAGTATAGACGCGAGCCATCACGCTCAGAAGACTTTCCTTATTTTTAATGACCTAGGTAGTTTGAGAAATATTGGTTAAATATTTTGTAGAATGTCCCTCAGTTGGAATTTTTGTGATGTTTTTCTCAAGTTTACACATGGGGTAATGTGTTTTAGGTAGGATGATCACATAGGTAACATGCCAGTCTTTGTAGTACATTGTGGTAAAGATACATACACAAATATGACTTATCACTGTTGATAATGTTAATTGACCACCTGGCTTGAGCTAGTGTTTATCAGGTTTATCCACTGTAAATTTATTTTTTTCTCTCCCTTTCCATATTGCACTTTGTGGAATAAATCAGTGTATATAACACATACTTAATGAGTGTGAAGTTATGTGGCTCTTCCTTAAGAAAATAACTATTTAAAAATATATTTGTAATTCTTCTGTATGAGAGATTTGTCTGTTTTTCATTTATGTGTTTGCTTAATCATTTTATATCAAAATTGACTCATGGATAGTTATTTTTACTTTGGTTTGTAATCCAATAATATTTCACATTGTTGCCCAAATTTGCCATTGGGTGTTCTTCAGTTAGCTCATGCATCCCTTTGTCATTCCCCCATCGTTGGGATATTTTTTTCTTTAAACCCTTTTTTACTTTTTGATAGAACAAAATGCTGTGTTCATCTTGTATATTTCATGTCCCAGCTCTAGATTCAACCATTTCTCCATGCATCCCAAGTTTTTTTTATTAGAGAATGATATTAGACCCAAAGATCTGCGTGCTAGTTGTGCTCATTGTTAATAGGGTGCCATTACTTCTATGCCCTCTCAACTGAAAGAGCAAGTCAATATATGTTTGTATGTTTACATATCTATAAATCTATATCCAGCATATGTGTCTGCATTAAGCAAATGAAGAGTGCATACTGATATATCCAATTCTATTCCATTTCCACATGGACCACTTCAGTGGGTCCACTCTCTTGCTTCTCTTCTACTCCAACAGTGAGAAACTTGGTTCCTACTATCTGCCACACATTTCCTTAAATGTCCAATTTCAGTATATCTGTATTGTGTTTCAGAATTGTTAACCTGCATGTCAATCGAGAATAACTGTATGAATTAGAGTATAGCACTTAGGTACGGTTCTTTTTACCTGTAAGAAAAGAAACTTTACTCCAGTCTCCATTAATTTCCAAAATCTTACATCAGTATCTTTTTCTCTTTTCCCTTTCAATAAGGTTGGTTCATACATTTGTAATACATTTACTAATAGATTTGTTTATAACATTCTGCATCTCACCCTGGGATTTCTGGACACTTAAATTGTTTTGTAAAATTTGCATGCATTGAAGATTTTTGTGCTGTTTTTCACAATATTCTTTGTGCTATAAAATTCACCCAATTTATGTGTAGAAATTAATGTCATTTATTTACAGAGTTATCTAATCATCATGACTTTACCTCTCACGATGGCAACAGTAGGAAGAAAGCTGAAGTTCCCTGGGTCATGAGGATACATTATGCTTTAACCTGATCTATGTAGCTAACTTCTACTTAATAAAAAAGGACTTTTAGACAATGCTCAACTTTAGGCTCTGGTTCATTATAGAACACCCAATTTTGATGGACAGCGCAAATCACATGGTCATTTATCCCATGGTTGGCCATTCAGTCTTGTGCATATTTTAATAACAACATAAGAACTGTTTTTCAAAGGAAAGGTAGTTATTTGCTAAAGAATAAGTTTGCTTCAAAACTTTGTGGGACTTCAGTATGATTTTCTTATTGTGGATTGCTATAGGCTCCGATCAGCCAGAAGCATTTTGAGCATCACTGAATTTGCTGCATTATAAGGGTCTTGTGTAGAGCAACTTGCTCTGCATCTTGAACAACTGGAGAACAGCACACCCAAGGTAGTGTAAAATGCCTTCTAAATTAAAAGCAAAACAAAAAATGCCACGTGGTTTGAGGTAAACCTCCTTAAGAACGTTAGGATGTGCATGGTGCAGAAATCTATTACTTAGAGGAGCACTAGATTCATGGCTAAGCTTTGGAGAGGACAGTAATCTGTGAATGGTGAAAAGGAGTGATAAATGCACGGTAGTGTTAGCCAACGTAGCAGTGAAGTTAGAATAAATCCAGCTTTTGAGGAGGTGAAAAAGTACAGGAGGTAGTCTTCAGGAAGAGCCTATTATACATATGTGTTTAGGTAGAGAGAAAAAAAATCCTTACTATTTAAATTAGGCTAAGACGAACTATTTAAATTTTCTCAGGCAGTTTCAGAGACAATTATTTTGAGAGTGAAGATGAAAAGCTAAATAAGAATAGGATCCTTGCCCTTGTTTCCCAAGAGTACATGGAATATAAAAAAGGTATTCACAAGCATGAGAAATAATTTTAAAAGATAGTCCTTTAATATCAAATAATTGTCTCTCAAAAATATGCCCTTCATTTTGGAATTTTAATTGCATATGCTTGTATACCTATTGGTGGATGTCTCTCTATTTGCAATTTTTTGGGTTAAAGTCTCAAATTTATGCTTCCTCTAACTGTTAAAAACAAGGAGCTCACAAACTTCATCAATGTTTGTTAAAAACAGGAAGAAATCTCTCTAAAGTTTACTATAGACCCTACTATGGAGAAGCAAACTTGGACACCTGGAGATATCTGGACAAGGTAGTAAGAAATTAGGTAATAGGGTCACAATAGCCAATAATATGTCCTATCTGATTTCAGGTAAGGAGACCGAGTAATTTAGACAGTGTTATTTTTGTCTGGTAGTTAAAAACTTTCTGTCAGAGCAAAGATGAATGTAGCTATTTCTTTTTCCACCTTGTGAATATATCAAGCTTTTGAAAATTCATTCTCTAGTCAAATTGTTACATTAATCCATGATATGCTAACATCTCTGTGCATTTTAAAAGCGACTTTCTGCTTTGTCTCTAATGAGGAGAATTCCAGGAATGTCCCTAAGGAAAGATATGTTTAGCAGGTGGGACCTCTTGGTATTTCTCAGGTCATACCACCTACTCATATGGCCAGTCTTAGGAGCCACTGAAATCTAACCGAGGTATGTTTTCCTAGGTGTAACTCCGGAGCTAAGGAACAAAAAATCACTTCTCTCTTAAAATGACTTTTCCCTGATTATTTGTCAGGGACTGCATGCTGTCCTTCAAACTATAAGGTTGGTGCAAAAGTAATGGTAGTTTTTGCTGTTACTTTTAATGGTAAAAATCACAGCCACTTTTGCACCAACCTAATACAGTTTGGGCCAAAGTAGAGATGAAAGATGAGGGCCGAGAAGTAACTTAAAACAGATGCTATAGCTATAATCCTGTGTTTTTTACTAGTCAAGTACTTCATGGAATTTTCTACAGTTTGTTTTATCAACAATAGGAGTAACAACACCTTATATTTATGCATGCCTTTATAATCTTCAAAGCATATTTACATGCATTATCTCATCTGAACTTCACAATATGTGAAGGTCTGGAAAATATGTATATGTATGTGTTTATATATGTACATATGCATATATATACATATACATACATATACACACATGTAACTGATGTTTATATATCACTTCACATTTAACTTGATAAATATGACAAACATTTATCAAACAAAAACTTTATAAGGTGACAAACAATATCACATTTAATCTTCACAAAATCCCTATCAGAGATATAGAAAATGTATTACTAAATATCCATTTTTTACAGATAAGGAAGAAAATTTTGGAGAAGTCAACTGTCTTGCTCAAGACACTACAGTCAATAAGCAAAAAGAGACTGAATTTAACTCGACTTCAGATTTCTCATGTAGTTTGGATCCCACTAGACTAGCTATTTAACTGAAGAGAGTTCAATAACCCCAGTGCTCAAGTTGCACTCCACAGTAATTAAATAGGAATGTTTGGGGGTGGGACTCAGGCAGCAGTATTTTTTTTTTTAAGATCCTCAGATGATTCCAAAATTTGGGAGTATGCAAACTACTAAACTAGTCTTTTTTATTGTAATTTAACCTGACAAATATCTATTCACTTTTCAAAGTATGTTTCTAAGTTGCCGTTAACATAACTTCTCATTTGCTTTTTACCATGAATTTTATTCACAGAAGCTGTGAATGGTATCTCTAAACATATAAACGTGATTAGTAGGTTTTTATCAATGAAATCACATATGCTAGAAACGTGAAAAATAAATCGGCATTTATAAGTCCTATAAGAGGAAAGATTAAATGCTCACCTCTCTAGTTTTGCCAACCTATTAAGAAAAAAACAGACAAAACACAAATATGAATTCCTGAGAAATATTTTTAAGCGAAAATTCCTGTTTATTCCTTTTGGGAGCTACTTGCAAAGTTAGCCTACTTATCTCATTCTCTTATTATCATCTCTACTCCTTTTCTGTTTTTTTTCAAAGGGAATTTTGCTAATAAGATCAAAGGAAAACAAGCAACTTTTGCTATCAGTGGATATGAAAGAAGGTCATAGATACCCAGGAAGCCACTCTATGCTTTTTATAAACTAGGAGTCCAGGAATCCAGGTCTAATTTGGCAGGATTTTCTGTGCCCAGTAGACCAAGAGAATCCAATTCAGAATACTCCAGGAAGTCTGCCCTTATTGGAACCAGAAACTAGTATGATAATGCTTTTGAGGTAGTCCAAGTGGAAAACTCAGTCAAATGTTCAGGTTGCCCATCAGGTACAGGTTTGTTATCAACAACTACCTTCAAAGCTTCTGTCTCTAGTCAAAGAAGTAAGTGTACTTTAAAAGCAATAGTAAAAATAAAAAAAACCTCCTTTTTAATGGTTCTGGGCAGGTAGACTCTTTGAAAGAGCCAGAAATTTGTGGCAATGAGGATAAGATTCAGTGGGTGCAACTAGAGCAGTTCAGTATCTCACAAAGTCAACCAGAGTGTAATCCCTTAGAGCAAGAATGCAACTGAGAACTTACTCATTTCTAGTTGATTCCTCAGATTAATTGGTCATGGAACTTCTAAAAAGTTTGAAAATAGCTGTGAGAACCCCCAGATGGTTTGTGAAAAATGTCTTCCTGGCATATTAACTACTTTCAATAGAGTGGGTATTTTTCTTTTTCTCTTTACCTTCTTTGCTTTTTTTCTTTTTAGAAAATTTGAGCATGTCAGTTTCATTCTTTTAAGTACAAGTGGTAACATTTCAGTATTTAAAAAAAACACACCTGTGTCAGGGACAGACATTGCCCAGCAAATTCAATATGTGAAATCTTACTGTACTAGCAGACTTATGTAATACTGTCCTTGTGGTCTATGTTAGGATGACCTATAAAGCTGCCTGCTTTTCATTGTGGTACAACTAAATTCATTTGAATGTGATCCAAGATAAATTGGTTTTATACCATATTCTCCTCAGGATGAGTAGAGATTATAGAATTGGCACTGGATTCAGAGTCAGAAAATATTTTATTTTCTTGGCTCTGATTTTACATGTGCAATTTAAATTCTCTATGTTTCAATTTTCTCATTTATTTTTAAATGGACATGAATATACTTTTTTCTGATATACTGCCAGAGGTTAATCAAGGGTCAAATATGAAAGTTCTTTGCCAAAAAATAAAGTTCGAGGTATTATCTTTCACGTAAATCTTTCAAAAAGTGCACTTTCGCCTCTGTTTAAAAAGGTAGAAAGTGTCAGCTATTGCCTATGTCATGCTTGTGAAACAGTGGTGTGCATACCTTAGGAGAAACTATGTGGCATGCTGTAGTGCCACAACATGAGCACAGGAATTTTCACACAGTGTCAACATCACATTAATATACAGGCGAAAGTTTTATACTTTGATAAATAATACTAATATCTTGTATTAATCATGAACACACAAATTTCTCCTGAGTTTTAACAATAACACAAAAACATTCAGTATTTTGGCAAGTGGCAAGCAGCTTCAATAATACCTTGAGAACACTGAGGCATATTTATTTATGTTCTTCTCTGCTACTCAGAATAGTTAGGCAGAACATTTTGAGAAGCCCTAGTCCTGTATCAAAGTATCAAACTCTTCTGATTCATATATGAGCCTTCCATAATACTGGATCTAATTGTCTATTGACTCTCTTTTCCACTATATCCTATGTCTCAATTGAGGTTCTGATTGGTATATCTCCTTTAACCCATTGCAGAATGACTTTGAGGAGGTATTATGTATTTTATAAACAGTTCAGGCTGGGCATAGTGGCTCATGCCTGTAATCCCAGCACTTTGGGAGGCTGAGGTGGGTGGATCACCTGAGGTCAAGAGTTCGAGACAAGCCGGACCAATATGGTGAAACCTCGTCTCTACTAAAAATACAAAAATTAGCTGGGTGTGGTGGCACAGGCCTGTAGTCCCAGCTACTCGGGAGGCTGAGACAGGAGAATTGCTTGAACCAGAGAGGTGGAAGTTGTAGTAAGCCAAGATCACACCACTGCACTCCAGCCTGGGTGACAGAGCAAGACTCCGTCTCAAAAAAAAAAAAAAATAAATAAATAAACAGTTCATTCTATAATATACTAGCTTGCTTCCCTGTATTAAAGTTGATTTATCACCAGGTACCTAGAAGAGGGAAATAGGCATATTTAGTGTGTGTATGGGAGGGGAGGCAAGCACATGAAAACTGAAAGATTGAAATGACTTTAGTTGCTCAGCTCCTCTACTTTTCCACCCTAGGATCCATGGTACAAGTTTTAAGGTCTGAGCATCCTTTTCTTCATGGTGAAAGTTTTCCATATTAGATGATTATAACATCAATCTTCTTATACCATGGCTTATCTGTGAGCATTCTCACCTTCCCTATAAATTAAATTTTTTTTAAAGTTGTAAGGGTACAGATGAGTGTCAGGAAAGCTTATTAACAAGATTGATGTTCATCCATGTTGTTATATATATATATATAAGTACTTCCTTAATATTGCTAAATAGTATTTAATCATATTGATATACATTAATTTACTTGTTTGCCTATTGATGGACATTTGGATTGATCCAATTATTGGACAATTATTAATAAAAACTGCAATGAATATTCATGAGAAAGTCTTTGTGGGACCATACGGTTTCATTACTCTTGGGTATGTTGCCGGAAGTCAGGGACCCCGAACAGAGGGACCGGCTGAAGCCATGGCAGAAGAACATAAATTGTGAAGATTTCATGGACATTTATTAGTTCCCCAAATTAATACTTTTATAATTTCTTACACCTGTCTTTACTGCAATCTCTAAACATAAATTGTGAAGATTTCATGGACACTTACCACTTCCCCAATCAATACCCTTCTGATTTCCTATGCCTGTCTTTAATCTCTTAATCCTGTCATTTTTGTAAGCTGAGGATGAATGTCACCTCAGGACCCTGTGATAATTGCGTTAACTGCACTAATTGTTTAAACAATATGAAATCTGGGCACCTTGAAAAAAGAACAGGATAACAGCAATGTTCAAGGAAAAAGGGAGATAACCTTAAACTCTGGCTGCCTGTGGGCCAGGCAGAACAGAGCCATATTTCTCTTCTTTCAAAAGCAAATAGGAGAAATATTGCTGAATTCTTTTTCTCAGCAAGGAACATCCTTGAGAAAGAGAATGCGTCCCTAAGAGGAGGACTCTGAAATGGCCACTTTGGGGACGGCTGTCTTTTACAATCATAGATAAGGGATGAAATAAGCCCCAGTCTCCCGTAGTGCTCCCAGGCTTATTAGGATGAGGAAATTCCTGCCTAATAAATTTTAGTCAGACCGGTTGTCTGCTCTCAATCCCTGTCTCCTGATAAGATGTTATCAATGACAATGCATGCCAGAAACTTCATTAGCAATTTTAATTTTGCCCTGGTCCTGTGGTCCTGTCATCTTGCCCTGCCTCCATTTGCCTTGTGATATTTTATTACCTTGTGAAGCATGTGATCTCTTGACCCATACCCTATTTGTACACTCCCTCCCCTTTTGAAAATCACTAATAAAAACTTGCTGGTTTTGCGGCTTGGGGGGCATCACGGAACCTGCCGACATGTGATGTCTCCCCTGGACACCCAGCTTTAAAATTTCTCTCTTTTGTACTCTTTCCGTTTATTTCTCAGACTGGCTGACTCTTAGGGAAAATAGAAAAGAACCTACGTGAAATATCAGGGGTGAATTTCCCCCAACAGGGTAAATAAAAGCAGAACTGATGGTCAAATTGCAAGTTTATGTATAACTTTTAAAGAAAGTTCCCAACAATTTTCCAAAGTAGGTTTTACCATTTTGCATTCTGATCACCAATGTATGAGAGTTCCAGCTGCTCCACATGTGTACCAACACTGAGTGATATCAGCCTTTTTTTTTTTTTTTTGAGACAGAGTCTTGCCCTATTGACCAGGCTGGAGTGCAATGGCATGATGTTGGCTCACTATAACCTCCACCTCCCGGGTTCAAGTGATTCTCCAGCCTCAGCCTCCTGAGTAGCTGGGATTACAGGCATGGGCCACCACTCCTGGCTAATTTTTGTATTTTTAGTAGAGACGGGGTTTTACCACATTGGTCAGGCTGGTCTCGAACTCCTGACCTCATGATCCACCCACCTCGGCCCTCCAAAGTGCTGGGATTACAGGCATGAGCCACAGCACCCAGGCACTATCGACCTTTTTAATTCTAATTTTTTGGTCATTTTGCAGTGGTATCTTCCTGCACTTTTAGTTTGTATTTCTTTGATGATAAAATTGAGCATCTTTTAATGTACTTATTAATCATTTATATATGCTCTTTTGTGAAGTCACTGTACACATTTTGTGTACTTTTAATGGACCTGTTTGCCTTCTTATTAGCAAGTTATAGTGTATGTGTATATGTTGAAAATATTAGCTCTAGATCTGTAATTTGCAGAATTATCTCAGGTCTGTATTCATAGAATATATAGTGATGTCATCTCTTTCGTTTTTATAGTTACTATTTGCTTCTTCTCTGTTTTGTCTTGGTCAATCTGGCTAGCAGTTTATTAATTTTATCAATCTTATAAAATAACTTTTTTTTATCAATTTCCTCTGTTGATTTTCTATTTTCAATTTCAATTATTTTTACTTGTATCTTAATTGTTTCAATTCTTTTAGCAAGCTTTAGGCATATTTCATTTGGATTTTGCCAGTTTGTTCAGTTGGAAGTTTAGATTTTTTATGTGCTTCCAATTTCACCCTCTCACCTTTGAACTTTGCTGTCATATATTCTGTTTTCCACATATACTATAAACACATATTCGAAGGCTCTAATTTTGCTTAGAAAGTGCAAATACCTTTTGGAGAAATTAAAAATAAAAATCAAATATATATATTTTAACTTTCATTTGTATAATTTTCATTGTCATTGCTCTTCATTTATTTACTTATATTTAAGTTTCTCTTTGGGGTACTTATTTATTTATTTATTCTGCAAAGCCCTAGAAACCATGGGGTATTTTTTTTTCCTGACAGAATTTTTAAAAAATATGTCTCATTAGACAGACTCATTGGTCATAAGTTCTCTAAGCAGTATTTTTCTCTGGAAAAAAAAAGGTTTTTTTCTTTATTTTTAAATATATTTTTATTGATAATAGAATTCTGGGCTTATAAAGTTTTTTCAAAGCACTTTAATGTTACCAATTCATTATCTTCCGGTTGATTGTATATTATCTAACAAGAAGACTGCTGTATTTCTTCTTTTATTTTCGTTTTTATTTTTTTGAGACAGGGTCTTACTCTGTCACCCAGACTGGAGTGCAGTGGCCTGATGTCAGCTCACTGCAACCTCCACCTCCCAGGCTCAAGCGATTCTCCTGCCTCAGCCTCCCGAGTAGCTGGGATTACAGATGTGAGTCACTACCACCGGCTAATTTTTATATTTTTAGTAGAGACTGGGTTTTACCATGTTGCCCAGGCCGGTCTTGAACTCAAATTATCCGCCCGCCTCGGCCTCCAAAAGTGCTGGGATTACACGTGTGAGCTACCGTGCCTGGCTTGAACTTCATATAATTGTTCTTCTATACATAATATGCTGTTTTCTTCTGGCTGCCTTGTTTTATTCTTTGGCTTTTGGCACTTTTAATATGTTGCACCTAGTATTTTTTTTTCTTTTCTTAATTCCTGTTCTCCAAGTTTTTGGTTTTGTGATCTAATTTATTACATAAAAAATTCAACTATTCGTTAAAATATTTTTTAAATATTTAAAAATATACTTTGCCCTTCTTCTCTTTCTAGTATCCCAATTACACATCTGTTAGACTGTTTGATATTGTCCCATCGCATTGGATTCTCTGTCATTCTCTCTCTCTCTCTCTCTCTCTCTCCTCTTTGTGTCTTAGTTTGGGTTATCCTTTTTGACCTATCTTGACCTTTACTAATATTTTCTTCAGCTATGTTGAGCATACTCATGGACCCATTGAAGGCATTCCTCAGCTCTGTTACTATGTTTCTATTTTTTTCTAGCATTACTATTTTATTCTTTCTTATACTTTTCATCTCTTCAAAATACCTCATCTGTTCATGAAAGATGTCCACCTTTTCCTCTAGAGCCTTTAACATCTTAGACACTGTTATTTAAAATTCACTGATAATTCCAACATCAGGGCCTAATCTAATTCTAGTTTTGTTGATTGCTTATTGAGTTGTATCTTAACCTTCGTATGTGTTTGGCGGTGGGGGTGTTGTATGGGTATGTACGTGTGCGTGTGTGTGTCTGTGTATTTTATACACAGGCATCATGTGTTGGCAAGCAGAGGCTGAGAGAAATACTATTGATGCCTGAAAAGTGACAACCATCTTTCCTGGACAGTGAATTAAGGTTATGAGTATATCTAGCTGGCAGTGAAGCTGGTTTGTTTCTTTTTTTTTTTTTTTACACCTCCAGGTTTAGGTGGGTGCTCCACTGTTACCTTGTGCTTGAGGATTGGGAGCTGAATTACAGGAGGATTTTTCTGTGTTCCTACAGTACTCCCAGCCTTAGGCTTTCTCTACATGCAGAATATGTATATGTTCTTGTCCCTCTCCCAGTGGTTTGTTCTTATTATTTTATGCTTATATGCCTGACAACCTACCCAAAAGGGGTGAGGGTGGGGATAGAAGGTTATACTTTTGTGTTTTCTGTTGTCCTGGTTTAGTCTTAAGTAGGCTTTGTGTCCTTGATTCTTGAGGTTGTGTCTTTCTCAATGATCATGTCCTGCCCTAAGCAGTAAGGAATCTCAAATAGTCTGAGCCCAGAGGCTTTCCTACCGCCCCACAAAAGGTAGAGAAAAAATCAGTTCTTTCCTCCCTAAAATGTGGAAAGATGTCATCATCTATAATTCATCTAAAATATTAAGATGTCTTCATCTATAATATCAATGAAAGAGATCATTTGCTGCTCTTCCCTCAGTGGTTTAGGCTTGTGTATTGTAGGGAAGAGGGATCCAGGTGAAACTCTTGCTCTACAGTGTTGGCTGTTCTTCTCCCACAGATTGGCACGAGGGATACCAACACCGGAATATGTGATGAGATGTGTGAAGAGCATGGCAATGGATGCAAACTCCCTTTGTGTTTCTGGCTTTAAGCAGCTCTATACTCTCATGCTGTCCTACACTCAGCAGCAATTTGTCACAAGTTTGGGAAATTCTTCCTACTCTTTTGAACTCCAGCCCAATTTCCTTTCTATCACTGCCCTAGGTAAGTCAAAAATTGTGTCCTGTCTTTCCCTGAAAGTGCCTGTCATCTTAGATTTAGGGCTATTTGATTGCCCTGCAACATTAATTCTCTCATAGGTTCATGGAAAGTTATGATTACATAGGTTATCTGACTTTTTCTAGGTGTGAGGGTGGTCACACACTTTTTTCAGCTTATTCTATACTAAGCAGACAGGATAAGTTCAGATTCTTGTAGGGTTTAAAATGTTAACATTTTAAATAATGTGATATACTAAATTTGAGAACTTAATGAATGTAAACATTTGATTAAATATTTCTATCAGGTTTAAATATTTGGGACAATTTAATTTGTTAACCTTCTACATCTTTTGAACTTTTTATTTTGAAATAATTATAGACTCACAGGAAGTTGAAAATACAGTAAAGAGAGTCCTGTTACTGTTCACCCAGCTTCTCTGAATGTTTATATCCTGCCCAACTGTAATATAATCTTAAAACAAGTAAATTGACATTGGGAAAATCCCATTAACTAGACTACAGAACTTATTCAGATTTTACCAATATGTGAATGTGTGTGTGTGTGTGTGTGTGTGTGTAGTTCTTCACAATTTTATTGTGTATATAGATTCATATAACTAATACACAGAAATGTTTCATCACTGCATAGAAGCTCTCTTGTGCTAAGCATCTTCTCATCAACTCCACCCCCACAATCACTAGCTCCTGTTAATTGCTAATCTATTTTACTTCTATGTTTTCATTTTCAAGACATTTTATTTTGTCATTTCAAGAATGCAAAAGACATACGTAGAGTTGGAATATGTAACCTTTTGAGATTGGCTTGTATTATTGCTTTTCAGAGTCATTAAAATTTTTGCATGTATAACTTGCTTGTTTCTTTGTGTTACTGAGTAGTATTCCACTGTATCCATGTACCATAGTAACTTCAACCAGTCCCCTGTTGAAATTTTTTTTTCCAATTTTTGGTTATTATTGATAAAGCTGCTATGAACGCTTATGTGAAGAAAAGTTTTCATTGCTTTGAGATAAATGTGTAGATATGCAATTATTGGGTCATCTGAAAAGTGTATGTGGTTTTATAAAAAGCTGCCAAACTATTTTCCAGAGTAGTTGTACCATTTTACACTCCCAGCAGCAATTTATAAAAGATAGAATTTCTTTGTATCCTTATTAGAATTTGATAATATCACTATGTGTAATTATAACTGTTTTACTATATACGTAAAATTCAATTGTTGTTTTAATTTGTATTTCCCTAATGGCTAGTGATTTTGAACATCGTTTTATGTACTTTTTGCCATCTGTATATTGTCTTTGGTGAAAAGTCTACTCATGTCTTTTGCCATTTTCTAATTGGATAGTTAAAAGTTTTTTTTTTCACTAGTTAAGGAGTACTTTATATATTTTAAGTATGGTTTACAAATATTTTTTCCGGGTTTTAGCTTGTCTTTCATATTCTCTACAGAATTTTTTTGTAGAGAAAAAAACTTTAATTAGGTCAAATTTATCTATTTTATTCTTTTAGTGATTGTGTTTTATTCACATCTAAGAACTCTGCCTAATCTCCCACCTAGAAGATTTTTTCCTTCATTGTCTAAAAGTTTTATAATATTATATCTTACAATTAAACTGTTGATTCATTTTGAGTGAATTTTTATAAAGTGGAGGTTTTATTTCACGATGTATTTATTTTGGTGATGGATATCTAATTGCTGCTACATCACTTGTTGAAATGTACACATTTTAGCTTTAAGATTAATACTTATTTAATAATTAAAAGAATATTTATTGCTTACAAAAAATTATAAAATGTACAAAAGGTGCTAGTGACTATCGTATTTCATGTGCAAAAGCCTTTTGGCAGTTATGAATCTACCCACACTAACATGGTGATAACATGTTAATAATTATAACAATAGTAGCATGATGAGAGTATTACGAGCACAAAATTTAATTTATTGAGGAAATACTGATAAAGAATAACAGTGTAGAAGAAAAATAGAATGTGAACAAAGCAAAGCAAATCTATTGCACAATTTTAAGGGTCATTGACATTTGGGAAGATTACTTTTCTTTATAGCACATTACATATTATATGTGTAAAATATAAACATGCCGTTAAGCAATGTTATTTTTTAAAGTTTGCCTTGTTTCTCTTGTGTTTTCCATATTCTTTTTCCAAAAAGCAGTATCTAAATCCGAAATGACTAGAGCATGCTTCTTATACTCCTTCTGTATTTACATCTTCTTTTGTCTCAAGGTAAACTTTCTCACTATTCAAGGAAGCTATAAAATATGTAGATCACTGCCACAAATTTTTTTTATTATTTTGAGATAAAATGGAACCTAGAGAACTGACATTTTATCCAGCTGAAATGAACCAATGTTAAATAACCTGGAACCCTCTAGCAAAAACCCTGAAGTTTTAGATTTTTCATCCAAAGAAATTAGACATTATCTAACCAAAGGTACAATTATAAATGTACCTAACCAAAATGACTGCATTATTGAGTGGGAGTACAGGTTTACAGCTTAAGAGAAGTTTATAAAGTTAAAATTTATGAAATAATATTTAATAATTGTTATTAAATATTTTTATTAATTATGTAATTTATTGTTATATACTTATATATAATATATAAAACAAAAAATTGATTTGTATTGTTTTTATAAATATATTTTATTTTAAATAAAGATAACTAAAAATTGAGCCACATGAAGAGATACACCATATAATTAGACATCCAAAAATTGGGTTGTAGAAAGGGTATATAATACTTTAATTCAGATAGAATTAAGCCCTATCATATTAGCAAATAGTACAGTTGCAATGAAATAATAGTTTTGATGCAGACAGCATGTCTAATATATTGGGCCATAATTATTTATTCCGAATAAATGCTTTTCTGGATTCCTAAGAAGCTGCATTCATTGTTCAAAATTATTAAATTGCAGATTATTGTTAATTTGAAAAGTCTACATTTAGAAACCCCTTAAATTGTAATCGTTTGTGTGTTGTGTTTGTTAAAATGCTATAAGATACTTGAAGCTATATATGTCTATTTCAGGATTGATATATATGTTATTTACAACATGTACTTTAAGCTGCTTCTCAGTGTCCCATTAATTGGAATAGGCAAGAGATATGTATAAATGAATGCCTTCATTACTTTTAAATTTTTCCTTGAAAAACTTCTAGCTCAAATATCACCAAATGACTTAGCATATTATTTATTTATGTCTTTATACTGAGAACATAGAGAAAAAAATAAAATTAATTTTACTTATCACAACCACAATACTTGTAAGCAAATAGGTAAAAGAACAAAAAATCTGAAAAGATATGTTCAGAGAAGTACAGAGTTAGGAAAAGGCGAAAATCAAGGGGTCATTGCCATGGCAACTTGTCTATAGTCTGCCTCAATAACTACAATTCTCATATGACCCTCATATTTCTTCTCTTCATATACAAGGAGAAATCTCATTCTTCTTTCTTCCACATCCTGAATTATATTTAGGTCTTACTCTTCCAGAAGAAAAAGGGAAAACCCAACCTGAATGTCCCCTAAAAGTGAAGAAATGTCCACACTTCTATGTGCAGATTGGTAAGAACTTTCTCTCATTTCCATTTACCTCCTTGGCTGGAATGAAGTGAGTGCTGGTAAAATTGCTTCCTCTTACCCCCGGCTGGTGATCGATGCAGGTGAGAACAATTGGTATTACTAGTGATGATTGATTATTTCTCTCTGGAGTATCTGAGGGAAACCCAATAACACTTCTTTTTAGGTAAAAAGAAGATATTGGAGCTCAGAGCCCCTCTTGGTTTAATATATGTGCTCTGGGGTATTTTCCGGGGACCGTCTTCAACTAGTAAGAAAAGAGGAAAAACAACTTGGCTGAGAGTTATGTACCTGCTTTGTATTATCTACCTATGCATGTAATATTGAAGATTTCATTCAATGAGTTATAGCAACTCATAGCAAAGTGGAAGCAGAAATAGTCTTTGGTTTTTAAATGAAAGTTCTCTAACTGAAACTTTTTGATACTGGAATTATCTTCCTTTCCTTTTCTATTATTCTCTTATTGAGTTACAAGGAAACAGAAAATAGAGACACCCAACCCAACAGTATGCTTTTTGAGACAGAATCGTACTCTGTCACCCAGGCTGGAGTGCAGTGGCCCCATCTTGCCTCACTGCAATCTCCGCCTCCTGGGTTCAAGCAATTCTCCTGCCTCAGCCTCCCAGGTAGCTGGGATTACAGGCACATGCCACTAGGCCCAGCTAATTTTTGTATTTTTAGTAGAAAAGGGGTTTCACCATGTTGGCCAGGCTGGTCTCAAACTCCTGGCCTCAAGTGATCTGCCCACCTCGGCCTCCCAAAGTGCTGAGATTATAGGCATGAGCCACCATGCCCAGCCAACAGTATGTTTTTAATGGAGTAAAGCAAGATCCAAGTTGTCCCATTCTAAGTCATTCTAGAATAAAATTTATATAGAATTTATATAGAATAAGATGTTGGTAAGGACTCTGAGATAGACGGCATCGTTATTCCGAATTGCTTACTCTTATACTTGGAGAGAGTGAATACATCACTGCCCACTGCCATGTGATGTGCAATGCTCCCTCTTAAGAGAGAGTCTTACTCCTGCTTCATTCATGCCTTATTTACAGCATGCTTTGGCCATATGAGTAGCTCTGACCAGTGAAATAGGAGTAAAAGTGATGTATAGCATTGCTCATTCATTGCATGGTTGCAACATTGCTTTTCTTCTTTCATAAGATCAAAATAGGGCTGTTCTTTACACCTTGGTCCAGCAGTGAAGACAATATGAGGCAAAGCCACAACTGAACAGTGAAGGATGAGTAACGTGCAAGAATAAACCATTGTTGCTGTAAGGTTATTGCCACTAAGATTGTTGGGGTTATTTATTACTGCAAAATAACTTAGAAAAACTATTAGCAAACTTAACATAAACTCAAAAAAGAACTAAAGCTCTTATATGAATAATTGTGCCTCTTAATACTCACCTTCTAAGATAAGCTTCCTCCCCACTTTTTCTCCATTTCTTTCATTTTTTTCTTCATTCATGTTTGTGTGTGTGTACACACATACATAAAAATTTGGTTATCCATAGTAAAATCAAATGTGTTTTTAATACTTTTAGAACAGATAATTTTAAAATACTGAGCATTCTTAAGCTGAAATTGAAACTTGGAAAAACCACCACAAAGCTAACCTTAAAAATGAAAATAAAAACAACCAAAAATGTAGATGGAGTCAATTAGATCTTGGAATTGCTAGGGCAAACAAAAGAAAAGTTTTAATTTTCTGTTTTCTGAATGTTCAATTTTCTTTTCTTTTCTCTTTCTCTCCCTTGTTCAATAAAATGAGGAAAACTCTATGACTACATTTTATTTTTGTCATTATTACACACATGGTAGTAAGAATAATAATGCAACTGAGAACAATTTTAGTCTACCTCTATGCCATTCATGGAAAGAAAATCAATAACCATCCCTAAATTGAAAATGTAATACTTCTCTATTAGATATGATACCACTAGTAATATTTCTGCTTAGTCAAGGAGGGGAAAAGAACTCATTTGCTTATCTACTCTCCTATTTTCTCATCAATTCTTTCTCTTGTCAGGACTGTGCTTTCCCTGAACATGATGAAAACACAAGATTGAGTGCCATCCTATTTATTGTTGTGGTTGTCCTAATCTAAACTAAGCCTACTTTTGAAGTTTCCTGGATGCAAAGGTGGTTAAATCCCAAATGCTTATGGTTCTTAAAAAATATAAACATTCTTTCCCTCTGGGATAATAGAAAGTATAATTTTAGAATTATTCTCCTGGTATTAATTTATATGCTCTATTTTATTCTTTCCAAACTTGTGTTTATTCAGTGGGCATGCAATTTTAGAAATTAAATTAATAAATGATAATCTCACCTCATATTTATTCTAATGCTTACAAAGAGTATGTGTAACTTTTTCCAGTGCTACCTTATTAAGCTTCCTTCCCCTAACCTGCAAAAGAGGGTAGTCTTAAGTGCTTACAGTGAATTTGTAACAAGAATCTCTTTTTCCACCTCATTTTCTCTCTCTCTCTCTCTCTCTCACACACACACACACACACACACACACACACCCAGACACAGAACTGGTGTCTCAGGTTTCATTACTGCTATAGACTCTTACCAAGGAAGAATAAAGCATCTTCTTTCTCCATACCTTCCCTGTTCCCTAAAAGTCAGAAATCCTCATTATATTAATATTTTTTAAAGTCGGTGTTCCCCCAAGTAAGTAATATATTCAAGAGGGAAATGAACAACACTTTTTAAAGGCGAGATTATTTCAGAGAGGTAGGCAGTGAAAGTCCTTTTTTAGTGGGAGCCGATGTGACTAGCCCAAGAGTTTGAAGTTACCTGAGATTTACAAAAGGAGCTTTGGCATTTCAGTTTGCTATGGAAACTTGTGTCCAGACGGCATACATTGCCCCAAAATGGGAGTGGATTACAAGATTGCTGTGTGCTTTTAGATGAAGGTCAGTGCAGAGAACTGGAATGGCATGAATATCTGAATTTGGTTAAACTCAGAGGAAACCAGTGCCTAAAAGGTAGTCAACATCACTGCTCAATTGCAGCAGCGAGAAGCTAAAGGAGCAAGGCTAAGGAGAAAATCATGATGAACTGTTTTTTAGGCGTTGTATAAACTCAGGAGTTTTCAATGTTTAATGAGAGAGTCTCAATATTGACTGAATTGAAATTATTGTCAGTATTTCGAAGCTTGGAGGATATTTGATTTAACATGGTGACTCAAAATAAAATTCCTTAGACTTGAATATTATGGGGGTAAAATTAATATCAGTTATACATGAAACAATTTGGGTACTATTATAAAACTTTATGAAATATATATTTATGAGGAAGACTAAAATACTTAGAATTGAGGGTTGTTAATTTTCAGATAACGGCTTTTACTATGTTGGAGAATTAATGAATAGTGGAACTCCCATAAAACCCTGTGGATTTGGGGAATACCAGTGATCTGATACGAGATTTAGTGTGAATGGGGCTTATTAAATATTTTAAACATTGGGAGCAGATATATAGTGATTGGCAGAATGCTCATTAAGGGAAGAGAATTTAGCCTTTTTCAATAAATAACTTTGTTATTCCCAAGAGACTATTGAGAAATAAGGAACATGGAAGAAGATATTTAAGTCCCCTATCTCAGACTTCAAATTTCAAAAATGACTTGATCATCTCCATCTGAGAGATGAATACATACTAGCCAATGTCCTCAGTGTCCTTCAGGAGTTTTTTCCAAATTATTTTTGGGGCCCCTTAGTGAGTTATGAAATCAATCTGGGAAATCACCACAGGCATTTAAAAAAAATCAAATGAAAATATCTCATTGCATCACATAGAATAAGACTCTGTACTGTTTTATTTTTGTTACATATATTTTTATATACCTATATACACTTATAAACACATAAAAGTTTGTATAAAGAGTCATAATGAAAACCATTATTTCTGACAGAAATTCAGATCAAATGAGTTGGAGACCTCTGTTTTATTTTATGGAAACTTCCATATTCCTCCTAGCTTAAATATCATTTAAATATGGGCTGAAATTTTAAGACAAGGGAAAACTGCACTGACAGTGAGTGGATAAATCCCATGAACTCTGTTTTTTGAAGAGGATGAAACTTTGGGTTGATTGAGAAGTCCATTTGGAGAAGATTCACTGCTAGAAGAATGGAAGGCGTCTGGGGTCCTGAAATACAAACAATGATGAAATGGAGTTAAAGTCTTGAGTCTGAGGCTATTTGAGTCTCAAAAAGTGTTCAGTGCCATGGCTGAATGTCTCAGTAGTTTAGAATAAGCTTCTTTTCAGGTCAGTTTTTAAAATACCATCCAGAGGGTTGGTTAAAAGTTTTTACGTTGACTGACGCTAGAGGCTTTGGAGACTTGACTTTGGCCAGAGGAGCCATAGACCCAGGGAGTATGGCTCAGGCCCAGCATGAGCAGGCAAAGGGAGGGGCTGCTCTGAGTAAACTCTCCACTGTGAGCTCAGCCTGGTGGAAACTGAACCCCTCCCTTCAACTGTTCAACTGTTTTCAACTTTAAAAACTCATTAGAGAAGAAAATGAGGGGGAAGTGGTTGTTCACTCCAGGAGAGAGGGAGTCAGGCATGAAAGAGATGATTTTAGTGACCCAATTTCAGACTCTGCCAGCTAGGGCAGATGGAGACTTAATATACCAACTGAAGACTTGATTGTTGCTTTGTGTATTCCATTAATCTATATGTGGGTGCTCCTCCACAAGATCCTTAATATCCCAATACTTTGGTATCTGGGCAATCCTTTATCCACCATTTTGCAGTAGCTTGGGCTATACACTACAGAACTGAAGACTTCTAAGGGAAGTCTGAACCTAACACAAGACTATAAAGCATACTGCTCAACTACAAAGAAGACCATTTCAGATGTAGCTGTCTAAGATTTCAAGAAAGCATAAGGGGTATTTACTTTACTTCGTGAGTAGGGAAGTTAGATATTTCATGCAGATTTTTCTTGCAGTTGTAAATGCTAAAGCCTAAAAGCAGTCGTAAAAGTTTCTAGGACTGAGTCTGCGATGAATAAAAAGGCATTTAAGAGGTAACTGTCAGTGAGTCTGAAGCTTCAGGGCCTACCAGATAGACAGTAGCTATCAGAATTTCAGACTAGCATCAATGTGGCCAAGGGAGCAATAGTCAAGATGGCAACAATCTTGGAGCATAGACCAAGAACATTCCCTGCTTTTCTACTGTGACACTTGTCCAGAAATTGTATATTATCCTGTGGATCTATTGTGGCGAGGAGACTTCAAAATGAGTGACAATGAATTTCTTACCATCCAGGCAGGTGCAAGTTCAAAGAAGATTAAATTTGATATAAAACAATAATAGAATATGAAAGCTTTTATGCAGTGTTGTGATGTGATAAACACACACACATGTAAATGCATATAACCTATTCATTTAAAATTAATATATATTTATAATGCATTTAGTTCTCATTTCAAATTTATTCATACACATTAGGTTTAGTGTAGAGTCTATGTGTATGGGCTCTGGAGTCAGATGGCTACAGCATGAATCTCAGCTTATTTACTATGTGATCTCGGACAACTTGCTTACCTTTCTGAGTTTCAGTTTCTCACCCATAAAATGAAGATGATAACATAGTTGATCTGCTTAAGTGATTCTTGATTGCTAAATTTCTTAGAAATTTCTCTTGAATGTGGAAAGAATTTAGTAAATAATAGATCTCTTTAAAAGTTCTCTTAAGACATAAGCTATTTTCTCTTTTGAATACATGCATTTGACATTTTAACTTATTTTCTGTATTTTTTATTTTTTATTTTTATATATATAATTTACCCTCCAAACTGCACTTTTCTCTGTCACTTCATAAACTAGTTTTCACCCCGCATACCTGTATATACTTGCACGCCTTCCCCCAAATTGTATGCCCAAAGTCTGCCCCAGAGTTTATTTAATATTTTCTCCTCTTCCACTCTCAATTTTGTGTTTCTTATGTGGCAGTAAAAATTTTGGACACAATTTTACTTCTAGTTTCATGACTGTCTGAGACTGAGCATCAAGTTCCACTTTATTTATGTATCACTACATTCTCCATCCCAATTCCTGATACTGGATTCAAGGCTGCTCCTTAGTCCGTGCACTCAGTCAACTAACATTGGTTTTGCTTGTTTTCTCTCTGCCAGGCAGTATGACAATCACTAGAGATTGTCACAGATAAAATAACTCCTGATATCCATTGATATAGCTGTAAATCTTGCATTTGCGTGGTATGGCTTTACTAGCCAATAAAGTTCCCCTTTTACTTAAACCAATGTCTTAGTCCATTTGGGCTTCTATAACAAAATGTCACTGACTAGGTAGCTTATAAACAGCTGAAGTGTATTTCTTACAAATCTGGAGGCTGGAAAGTCCAAGATTAAGGTGCCAACAGATTCAGTGTCTGGTGAGAGCCTGTTTTCTGGTTTGTATGTGACACCTTCTAGCTGTGTCCTCACATACTGGGAGGATCAACACACGTCCCTGGGGATTACTGGTATCATTGGATCTTTGTCCTCTCCAAATCTCATGTTGAAATGTGACTCTCAATGTAGGAAGTGGGGCCTAATGAGGTGTTGGATTATGAGGGCATATTCTTCATGAATGGCTTGGTGCTGTCCCCTTGGTGATGAGTGAATTCTTACTCTATTAGTTCATGGGAGAGAAGTTGTTTAAAAGAGCCTGGCACCTCCTTTCTCTCTTGCTCTCTCGTAACACCTCTGCTTCCCATTTGCCTTCCACCTGGTTGAAAGCTTCCTGAGGCCCTCACCAGAAACAGTTGCTAGCACTATGCTTCTTGTACAGTCTGCAGAACGATGAGCCAAAATAAACCTTTTTCTTTATAAATTACCCAGCATCATGTGTTCTTTGGAGCAATGCAAAATGGACTAAAACAGTCACTAATCTCATTTATGAGGGCCCCACCCTCATGACTTACCTCTCAATGGCCCCAACTCCTAACGCCATCACATTGGTGATTAAGTTTCAACATAAGAATTTAGGGGCGGATTGGGTGGGACACAAACATTAAAACCATAGTAACCAATTTGAGTTGGGTTTCTTTCACTTATAACCCTAAATGTCCTGAGTAATATGAGACCACTTCATCATACACTAAATCCTCATGTACACTAGAGTCCTGTTTTGTATGATATATTCTAATGTATTGATTTATGAATTTGTACCAGTCCTTGGACTTGAATTGCATTGTTTTATTATAGTAGCTTTACAATATATTTTAATGTGTTACTGGAAGAATCTTCACTAATCACATATTCACATTTTGGAGGGAGTATTTTATATGTTGATTTTTCCAAGTGAACTTTAGATTTATTTTGTCTTGTTTTGTTTATAAAGCATAGAAAAGGAACAAGAACTCTGAAGTGTATGTTGGTGTTTTTACTGAGAATATATTAATTTTATGTGTTAATTTTGAAGGATTGAATCTTTCCAATATTGAATTTGACAATACAAGAGAACAGTATATTTTTCATTTATTCAAATCATTTACAATACTTAAGTGAATTTTAATGTTTACTTCCATACAGTTATATTGATTTTTAGATTGATTTACTCAGAAATATGAAAATTATTTTTTATACTTACGCAAAAAAATCTTTCCTTTTGTTATACTGTCTTTTATTTCTTTCTTTCCATTTTTTTTTTTTTTTTTTTTTTGAGACAGAGTCTCACTCTGTTGCAGGCTGGAGTGCAGTGGCCCAATCACTGCGACTTCCGCCTCCTGGGTTCAAGCAATTCTCCTGCCTCAGCCTCCCGAGTAGCTGAGACTATTAGCATGCCACCACACCAAGCTAATTTTTGTGTTTTTAGTATAGACAAGGTTTCCCCATGTTGGCCAAGATGGTCTTGATCTCTTGACCTTGTGATCTGCCCACCTCAGCCTCCCAAAGTACTGGGATTACAGGCGTGAGCCACCGCACCTGGCACCTTTTGTTATACTTTCTAAATGGTTATTATTTGTGTAAATGCAGGATTTTGATTTTTATAATATGCTATTTTCAGGTATTCTCATTTTAATTTCAATTGTTTTTGTTTCTAAGTATTCAAACCATCACTGCAGATAAAATAAGTTTGCTTCTCACTTAATTTTCTTGTTTAATTACATTGATTGTACCTTTCAAACAATTTAAAATAAAGTGGTAACAATTGTTTTACTCCTGACTTTGCTAAGAATGCATGCTTATTACACAATTAGGCATAAGGTTTCTGCTTCAGAAATTATATATGGATGTTTAACTTTTAAAATGCCTTCTTTGTGTTATATGATCTTTATTTGACCTAATTTTATATGATTTTTAATTGATACCAAACCTTTTTTTTTTTTTGCATATCTAGAATAAATCCCTTTTGGATTTGCTATGCTCTTTTAACCTTTATTTATAATCTTTGCATTGAAAATAATGAGTAAGAATCACATGCAATCTCACGCTGGATGCTTTTGAAACTTTTTTTCCCCTCTATCTGTAGAATAATTTAAATTCCAGAAAGATAACAGTTTTTTCAAATAAATATACTTTTTGAGAATACCAGCAAGAGCTTGTCACCATTCTTTTAGAAAAAAATCTATCTACATTACACAGAAACCCTAAAAACCCAACCAATTTCCTAGAGTATAGCTGAAATATGAACATTTGTAAGAGTGATGAACTATTTGTTTAGGATTTAATTTGGTTAAAACATGACTTCTAATCTCAAAGTAATTGACATGGTTGTTAAAAATTAGCTGCTTTGTATGCAGAAAAACCTTTTCTTCTATTTAAGTCAGTTTTTTCCCTTAAATTGCTTAATTCTCTAAAATTTCCTCCAACACTTTCTCAAAAATGTGGATACTAAACGCACAGCACTAGTCAAAAAGAAGATCATGCTGAAAGAATGGTAGAGGATAAGACATAATGGTACAGTTGCCTTGCGTATGACACTGTGATGCACTGATCATCAGCCATATCTATGCCTGAATCTGCCAGCCTGTCAAGTGTATTTTTATTGCAACTTGAATATTTTCCTGCACACCATTTTCATGAAAGTGTTTTACAAAGTGTAGAGGATTAAAATATATTTTTTTCCTTTATTACCGTTGACCAAAACCTTTGTACTGAGAAATAAGTATATTCTCTGAAATTTAGGTATTGAAAACCAAGAGGTTTTCTATCAAGAAAATGTTTCTATTATAAAAACATAGAAATATTTTCTATTCTTGCAAAGACCTATATGTAATCTTAAAATCTTTTAAAAGTTCACTTTCCAGAACAAGTTTTGAAATATTTGTTGCTAGAGTTTCACCTTTCCTAGATAATTATCATGTCTACTACTATCACAGATGAATTTTGCAGCACTTATTATTAAGATAAACTTGATAAGACAATTTTTACTTGTTCATGTATTAAAATTGTACAATTTTCAAATATACTAGTTGTGTCCTCCAAGTCTATTATAAATGGAAAAAATTCAACTTCATATTTAAATATTATAAGAAATACTTAAATGCGAGTAACAGAAGGCCAATGACAGTAATAGAATCTTTACTTTTGAGGTAGTTTTAGTCATAAGTAACAGATGCCAAGAACAAAATGGAACTTATTGAGATAATATTGATGCCTAATGGGTTCAGAGATCTTAGGAAGGGTTGACACCAGGACAGCTCCAGAAAACTTACCAGCAGAGACACTGGGACTTCTTTTTGGAGCCAGAACTTTAATGTGACCCATCTCAAAATAATTCTGTCTCTTTCTCTTTCCATTAAAAACTTTAAGTTCCTGTATAAATAATCTGGACTAGAAGTATCAATTTTCCACTGTTGCTTTGATATTTGACGGCCACTGTGAGATGGTCATCAGATGCAAGTGTGGTCACCCTGGACCTATTCTTATATATCAATGACAATAAGTACAGTAAAGGACATTTTAAGCTACATTGATGTTTTTCAAAGCTATCATATTGTAATTCTAATCTTTCTGGAATTATTCACTATGTTCATTGTTCCCAGGAATGAGCAAAATAACTTTTACCATTTATATTTAATAGTGAATTATTTAATTCTATCCCAGTCGTGGGTGTTACAAGACAAATATCCTACTTGGGAATTCCTTATATCTTAAGCAGATGAATTAGAAGAATGGAAAATTGGCTGCTGTTTTTTTTTTAATGTGAAAATACCTACAAATAGTAGAATTAATAACTATGTTAAAAATGAATTTTTAAAGTCTGCATCTAAAATATTAAAATGCTATTTTTTGAAGCTATGTGCAAAATTTCAGTTTGTAGGATTGCATCCTGAAACTGCATCATCACCATCAACCAAAACCTTTATTTCTAGGAGTTAAAGAGTGTATGTTTCTTTATATTAATAATGTACTTTATATTAATTAGCAAGAAAGGCTTAATGACTTGATAATGGTTATGTAATCTGACATACCTTACATAGGTATCTACATACAGACCTCTTGGAGGAGTCAGACAAACAAGATCTTGAATCTTTACTGATCTCAGTTGAAAGTGAGTTTCTATTTTGTGTGGCAAATATTTAAGAGAGAGAACACAGGAGCAATTTGTTGCTGCATAATTATGTTAAACTTTAAATTTGACCAGTGTATTTTAATGATAAATTTCTAGTAAAATTAAATTACTTTATAGAATTTCAGATTTATTTTTACATTGCAGAAGTTCATTCTATGATGGTTATATTTTAACTTTGAAACATTGACTCTGGTTGAGTGTTGATTTTAATTCTTGGGCATTTGACAGTTCACCAAAAAGTCTTCCCAGTATATCTCTGTTATAGATCAAATTCTCTATAAATAGTGGTTGTAACAAGGGAACATGGTGCCTTGCATGCTTTTTGGAAAATAGCCATCTTTTATTAGGAGAAGTTTTCCCTTGACTCAGGAGCAGCTTCAGGATATGCATATATAGAGTAAAGAGGAAAGGAGAGGCTATATTATCTATTCATTAATTCTGGCAATTTGTGATGCTTGAGGTAGATATTAAATTTGCTTCTTATTTTTTTGGATTACAGTAGACCTTTGGAATCTACATTCAACATTTGATACTGCGTGTGACTCCTGATGAACACGCTGAAGATACATGATGTCCAGTAATTTTTACTGGGGATAATACCTGCAATATACATAAGATGGTGTCATTAAAGTACATTTAAAATTACACAAGACATTTTAAAATTACATAAGTGTATATAAGGAGTTTAACACAAATTTCAATTACCTTGGCTTAAGATGATTTAGCTGTTTCGTAAGTTAACAAAGACCTACCATTTACTTCCTACTTAGTCTATGGCTGAATTTGGCATTTTTGAAAATCTTTTGATAGCCTCTGAGAACTTACTATTATTTGTACTCATTTACTTCCTAATGAAAGCTATTAACAAGATTTATTTTAGGAAGTTTATCTCAGACAGGTTTATGTCCTTATGGAGCTTTCAATCTTAATTTCAAAGACGAAAAGGAAAGTTGTGTGTGAAACAGCACAGAGTACTTTACAGCTTGTTGCAAGAGCTACAGGGAGCAGCATGGACAGTGGAAACTCACATAAAGTTCTTCAAAATTTACTTTTTCTTTTGCTCCCTGAAAATTGTAATCAGTTCCTCTTTTCCTACTTAACATGAAAAATAAGTCCAATGGAATAGTCTGTTGATTAATAAAGTTCTATCATTTCTTCTTCATGAAATGACTAATTTAACAAATTAAATCCTTCATTTATTAAGGTTTGTTTATTACTTATTTTTCCTCTATTCCTTTCTCTGAGCTACAAATCACAGAGATTTATATTTACTTAAAATTTTCTTAGCACTACCAATTTGCCTATTTAATGATCATTTATGGCCCATCTGTTGTATTACTTGGGATATTTTAAATTGAATTGATAGAACTTTATATTCAATTAAGTAGAAATACCAATTCCAGAGAAGGACTCACTATCTTTATTTAGACTATGATTTGGCTTTGTGTCCTCACCCAAATCTCATCTCAAATTGTAATCTCCACCTGTCAGGGGAGGGATCAGGTTGGAGATGATTGGATCATGAGGGTGGTTTCCCCCACGCTGTTCTCAGGATATTGAGTAACTCAGGATAGCTGATGGTTTTAAAGTGTGGCACTTCCTCATGCTTGCACTTCTCTCTCCTGCCACCATGTGAAGAAGGGCCTTACTTTCCCTTTGCCTTCCACCATGATTGTAAGTTTTTTGAAGCCTCCCCAGCCATGTGGAACTATGAGTCAATTAAACCTCTTTCTTTTATAAATTACTCAGTCTTGGGTATTTATTTATTTATAACAGTGTGAAAATGGACTAATATAGACCATGTGCATAATGCTTAACAAATTATTGCCAGAAGAATTTGGCATGTACCATGATGAGTCTAGACTGGGCTGTTTGCCCAGAGAAGAGGTGCTGGAGGGAGAAGTTGAAGATATGTGTATATAAGACAAAGGAGAAAACTAACCAAGTCTGAGATGTAGTTTCCTTAAGAATAAAACTTTATATTTTATTAATTTTTTTTTACTGTTCTTGGAAGATAATCTGGTTCAAAACTGATGCTCAATAAATCATTGTTGAATAAACGAATGAATGGGCAATACTGCTTCCTAACATAGTACATTACTCTTCTGAGTAACTCTGCTAGTTTCTAGCACTGCAATGATTGTCTATCCTTAGGTCAACAGTATAATAAAACATTATTAAATATTGTGACTCAGATTTGCATAATACTAATTACTATAAAATGAATGAATCCATAATTCTTCAGTGTATGGTGGTTTTTCTAACTGCATTGGAAATCCTTTGAGAACAAAGATAATAGCGTCTACTTTTTTTGGTGTTCCAATATAGCAAGTAAATGCTCGCCTTGTTAAATTGTGTTTGAATGAAGAGAGGCTGAAAAATGAGAGTTACTAACCAAATAGAGGATTAATTTGGTAGAATCAGCTGTAGTCTTGGTACAGCTATATTTTTTGTAGAATCTGATATATTTAGTCCTGATAGTTAAATTAGCTACTTAATTATATTTGTTTACTTTGTGAGTTATGTCTTCTGTAAAGTCTGAAGGCAAGAGAGTGAATTATTTTAACATACTTCCAAAAATTACATAACACTTAAAACTTCTATTTCATAGGTGATTCATTTATTTGTGATTAAATATTTAGAAGATTGCAGCATGTAATTTAAAGATAAGGAATTCAAACTTTTTAATCCACATTTGTGTTCTTTGAGAATGAACAACTGTAGACTGTGAGCATGAGTTCCTTTTTCTATACCTTTCTATACTTTGAATGAGTATTCAAATAATATCTGATTTCTATTTGTGATGTAACCATGAATTAATTACACACATGGAGATTCTGTTTTGAATGAATTTTTTTATTCAACATTTTTGTGCCTCTGTAAGGTTTCTTTTTCTATTAATACTTTAATATTCTACTTTTTGGAATATATTACAGTAGTGAAATAAGAAATTTATTATTGCTAATTAATGGTCATATTACATGATGCAGAGATATAATTTTAAATGCTTATTTTTATTTAAACTATGGAGTGCTTTGATTAAACATATTTTTCTAATATAAATATTTGATCGTTGAAAAAATTGGAAACCATGTTTATAAATGGAAATTAGAATCTTTGGGCGGGAGGTCTTTGGCAAGGCAACTGCTTTACACAAACAACTGAATCTGTGGGAGGGGACCACACGAAGCCTGCATCCCCTTTTGAACCCTCAGTAGCATCCTCCAGGGAAAGTCACTGTGTGAAGATTGTTTAAATGGCAGCAGTAGGGTGCATAGTAACACTGCTCCTCAAAGGAAGCATCACCTTATCTGACCCAGTCTTGGAGTTAGTCAGGCGCCTGCTTCAGCCAGTTGACGATAATGTCTCTAACCATTTCCATTTTTTAGCATTCAGGAGCCATCCGAGGACATCTTTTGTTTGTATAATAGATCTACACAGGATACATTTTGTCAAAACTTAGGATGAACGTGATCTTTTGCTGGACTTTAGCTTCTAACAATATATAACTCTACGTATTTCTCAAGTTGTATGATGGCATTGATTAAGCATCTAACAATGATATCAAACAACATGCTCTTACCTACCTGAGCCATTTGGTAGAATAAAAGTTAACATCTTTTGGATTTGCAATAAGTATTTGAAGGGTTGCCCTTTTCATTTAACATTTTCTGAGACATTAAGTGTATGGTTTTCTTCCCCTATAACGAGCTTCTTAATTTAAAGAAGTATAAAGTTATGTTTGTGAAAAAAGGTATTATGCAGCTTGAAACGTAGGCAGCAGTTACCTTGTTCAGTTTGTGGGAAATGATCCTCTTGGCAAAGCACTTCAAATGCAAAGAGCTGTGAAGAACACATGGTTGGTTTGATTAGTACAGCATGTTCAGTTATGATTCTGTCTATCATGGTCTTGATTAATACAATATGTTCAGTTATGATTCTGTCTATCTCTTCACTGAAAGATCAGTGGTTAAGCATATGCTGTTAGCTGCCAGAGTCAACACTTATATTTTTCTTTCCATTCTGTGAGAAGAACTTTAAATGTTATTATTCGTAAAGGCCTTTACTGCAGCCCATTGGTCTGGACTAAGAACACACATTATTCCATGTCATATTAAGAATTCCAACCTAGAAAGGTCAACTGTTAGGTTTATCACAGTGTTTATGGAGGTACTGATTATTTACTTACAACTGCAGAGTATTTGAGATATTTTTTAAATTTATAAATTAGAATGAAATATTGCTACAGTAATTAGCAATGTAGCATCATTATAATTTATCTACTACAGCACATTTTTTTCATTATTTGTCACTCCTACTTCTATATATATGAGCAAACCAATGTTTGTAAAAAAAAATTAAGTATAAGTTGATAAATGGTAGTATTCATTTCCCACTTTTTTTTTTTTTTTTTTTTTTTGAGACGGAGTTTTACTCTTGTTGCCCGGGCTACAGTGCAATGGCGCAATCTCGGCTCACTGCAACCTCCACCTCCTGGATTCAAGCAACTCTCCTGTCTCAGCCTCCAGAGTAGCTGGGATTAAAGAAGTCTGCCACCATGCCTGGCTAATTTTTTGTATTTTTAGTACAGATGGGGTTTCACCATGTTGGCCAGGCTGGTCTTGAACTCCTGACCTCAGGTAATCCACCCGCCTAGGCCTCCAAAAGTGCTGGGTTTACTGGTGTAAGCCACTTTTTTTTTTCTCTGTTTTGTTTCAAAACATTTGTTTGTGTCATACTGAAAGCAGCTTTCTAGACAATCAATCAACATTTTAAAAAGAAAAGAAAATGAAATAACTGATTATTAATTATGAAGTTCCTACAATGTCTTATCTAGACTTACAAAAAAAGTAATACGGAAGGAAACTGATAATATAAGGCACAGTATAATTTGGAAACACTTGCTTTTTAATTGTGTGAGACAAAAGTATTGTATCTTTCATTTCTTTTTATCCAATAACGAATGAATTTTAAAAGGATAGAGACCCAGGGTAGAGTAATACGCTGTCATAGTATTCAGTGCTAGCCAATCTAGAAAGTCTGAGGGACACAAGACTTCCCCTTTTGCGATATCAATTGCAAGGTCAGGAATTTTGAAAAACCATCTAGTTTGATAATTCACTGAAAATACCCACAGAACTCATGGCTACATTTATTACAGAGAAAAGATACAGAAAATTAGCCAAAGGAAGAGATGGTCAAGACAGAGTCTGGGGGAGATCCAAATGTGGAGCTTCTGTTTATTCTCTTCCCATGAAGTCATGAATGGTGTTATCTCCTCCTTGCCACGGAGTGTAACAATATATACAAAGTATTGCCAGTCAGGGAAGCTCACCTGAACCTAATCACCATGGAAATAACAAAAAGAACAAGAGAAGACAAATGAAAAATAAGGACTGTGATATCGAGACCATTGGGCTATAAAATCCTATCTTTATGTTTTTAATGGTATCATTTAAATATATAAGAGAAATGTGCAATACTGTATTATTGGCCAAAAGATTATCTCACACTCAAAAGGAATTAGCATTAGGAAACCTAAGTTGAAGAATGCTTTATCAAAATGTATTAGAGTTAGGAAACCTGAGCTCTTGTTCCAGTCTTATAAGAATATCTATGTAATTATAAGATGTAATTTATGATATATATTATATATAAGATATCCATGCAATTTGTAAGAATATCTATGTAAATTATAACATTTTCTATGTATTCAAGCTACTCTGAACCCCAGTGATTTTAGGAAGAAAATAAGATAATTTAATTTCCTCTTTTGGGGTCACAGAGAGATTCACTGATGTTCAGTAATGAAGCCATGCACCCTCTCTCTAAGAAAATGAACAAATGCTCTTAATAGTCACAACTGTCATGAATTTTCCATGAGTTCAAGACATTTGACCCACATCCCTAAACCTAGTTTAGGAAACTCTAAAATTTGGTGACTTCCAAAGAATCTCTCAGATTTAAAATTGTAGATTGTTTTATAACATAATAACAAAATCATATGTGAAATTCTATTTTTAAGTGAAATGGATATAGTATAAAAAGTGCAATCGTTTTCTAGAATGTCTAAGGAAAGTCAGTTGTTCTTTTATTCCTTCTGTATTGTTCAAGTTTTACTATTGTGTGTATAGTGAGAAATATGTGGGTGTATATTTATATATGTACATGTATATATGTGTATGTACATACACACAGACACACATACACACACATGTTGTTTTGTTTCTCTGGTAAAGCCTAACTAATACAACAGAAAATAATTTGTCAGAATTTTAAAAGCATTTGCTCATTCTCCTTCTGAATCCACTGTCATTATTAAGTCCAATGCTATTCTTATTCCAGATCCCTTGTATGTCACCTATTTATGCTCTTTACAAACTTTCAGATCTTATTTTTTACCTATTTCAGATATTCTAAATTTCATACTAAACTACTATTATTTGGAACATTTTTAATTGTATTTTCTGCGTGCAATCAATTTGAAAGTCCAGGTACTTTGGTTCTAGAAAATGTCATCACATCATTTGGTTAAAAACTGTTTTTTTTTCTAATTTTTCTAATCTTTCTGAGGCTTCCATTATTGGAATACTACATTTATGAATGGAGCTTTCTAGTTTACATGTTTTGGTCTTTGTTCAACTTATGGAGTGATTTCATCAGAAATAAAAGATATCTCTTTACTAAAGTTATTTATGCCAAAAAGTGATACTTTAGTTTCTAAGAGTGCCTTTTCCTCTAAATTTTTCTTTATTAAGGAAAAACTTTTTAATGCATGAATACGAAATCTTCGATTTTTGTGGATATTAATTTTAGTTCTGCTCAAATTTTATTCTTACCCTTCATTGTTTTTATTTTCTCTAAATTCCTTTATTTTCTTGAAATGTTGATCTCTGTTTAAGCTTCTGTCTTAGCAGCTATCAGTCCATATTTGTGAATAGAGCACCAAGAAACTTATTGATAACTCGTGTGTGTGTGTGTGTGTGTGTGTGTGTGAGAGAGAGAGAGAGAGAGAGAGAGAGAGAGAGAGAGAGAGAGAGAGAGAGAGAGAGAGTTTCCAGAATGGAACTTATTGAGTGGTAAGCTTTAATGTAAAATGAATGACTGGGAAGGCACTCATCTCTTTCTTTTAGAATGACTATATGTCATTGTTTGAAGATATTTTCTCTTTGGCCAATTTCCCCAGAAAGGAATCTTTCCATGTACTAGTGTGGCAGTGGGGGCCACATAGAGAGAAGAGCCTGGGGGCTGACTGTCCAATGGCAAACTTTCACTGAGTCCTGCTAGTTTTAATAGAGGTCCCCAGTCTTCATTGAGACTGTTGTCTCAAGTTTAAATTACCTCTAGTTCAAACTTACCAGAGAATAAACAACAGGTTTTCTGAAAGTCAGGAGCTTATCCACAATTATGTGAAAGTATGAAGGGAGAGGAGTATTCACATGGCTGTGTAGGACAGGATAGCTGATTGAGAGTTCTGGCGACTTTTTATACAGACTTTCTGCCTATCATCCTCTTTGTTCTGTTAGAACTGAGACCCTGCCTTCAGAACCATCTAGTAATTATCTTCCTGAAATGTTCTTTGCTCCTCAACATCAGACTGTGCTTCAACCCCTTCCCTAACCCCCATCCTTAGAGGCAGTTAAGTAGCTTCTGGCTTCATCCAGTCCGCTCATATGGCTGCTATTCATTCCTGAATTTTCCAGTTTACAAAACATTGTGATTTCTTGTGCTCTTTCCCATTTTAGTGCAGATCCTGTGTTTACTTGTCTAATTTTACCAACATTGAATATAGTCTCAAAAGTCAAAATGACCGTCATTAGCTCAGATGTTATAAAATATAGTCTGTTTTCTAAATACCAAAAACCATTGAACAACAATGGATGTTAGGTGGAGATTGAATATTTGAGTATCGGTTAGTATGTGTTTTGAAGTGAGCTATGTATTGGGGAAATTAATATAGTTACGGGGCATAAAAGTTTACTAATTTGTATTTAATACTTAAAAAAATAAAATTGAATTGAAACACAATGACGAAGACTTGGAAGAAAAAGAGACATTAAATTATAATCATTTTAAAGGTTAATTAGGCATTATCTTCCCATAAAACCAAGTGTGCAATTAATGAAATGTCATAGCAAGAATAAATCTTATCTTCTAATTTTATACTTTTCTTATAACTAGGTATTTTACTTTTTTATCATTCTTATTCTCCTAGTTTTTTGTTGGAAAACTATAGTTTCCAAATTTAACAACGAATATTTTTCACTGCATTTAAAATCTCAGCTACAAGCAGATATCCTTGTAAATTCTGAATTCTCCATAAATTTTTACATAAAGTCTGTTTTATTTAAAATTTTAATTTAAAAAATGATTTCTTAGATACTGCGTGTAATTCTATGTTTTCTTAGAATTGCACCTATGTCACTGGCACCCAATCACTATGAAATATTAAGAAATAATTATTTAGCAAACATAGGATATATTTAGAAAACCAAAGTTTTTTGTCCGCATGTTATTAAAATTGATTGCTGAAACTGTGATGTAGACAAATGGAACACTTATTAGTATAATACTTTCTAAATTATCAGTGGTATTTTAAGACAAAGAACTCATTTTTAATTTTAAATAAGCCAATGTAACAGACTGAGTGGGACATTTATTTACTTTTAGAGTCACTAAAATGGTTCGGATTGGACCTATTGCCATACAACAGTCTGAACAAATGAAGTCTTCTGTAATAAATTACAGATAAAATTATAATGACACTGGTCATTGCATTGAAGGTACTAGCACCAACCAACATACCAGCTGAAATTGAAAACATATTTTGCCATGTTTAAAACAAAATATAACTATGAACAGATTTAATGTTCTGCTGGTTGAATTTATTGCCAGTTAATAGAAAATTTCTGTTTTTAAAATAGAGTTATTTGATGTCTGATGCATATTGTTCTTTAAAAATCACATTAAATATTAAAATAAAATGCTTTTTATAGATGTGATTATAATTTTTTAATGATCAGGAATAAATCTAGAACTCCATGTTGTTAAAATAAAATGGAAGTGGATAACAGCCCAGTGTTTAAAAGAATACAGGATTAACATGATGTATTTATTATTAGTGAATTGCAGCCAATCTGGTAAAATTTAATTAGAATTTAAAATATATATACCTCAAAGCTTTTCTAATATTGCTCTGCCAATTTCATTTACCACTAATAAGAAAAGATATACATTGTTTTTATCTTTATTTATAGAGGATTTCAGTTATTTTGTGCTAGAGTGGCATTTCATATTGAGCTATAGATTTTTTTCTAAAAGTATAACCAACTTTCTCTAGACAAGAGTCAATTTAAGGTTCAATTGAAATTCACCAAACTTTGATATATTTTCAAGTTAAGTTATTGAAAGAAATAAGAACATTTAACTTTTATTATGTGAGAAAAAAGGTTAGTTATATTTTTCGTACTTAGGGTTCAAGTTAGTGCATAAGAATTATAAAATGCAGCATTAGTAAGTCTAACGAGCATCAACAATGAAAAACGTGTCTTAAGAAAATCTAACTTGTGCTATCCATTTCCACTGATATATAGCCCAGAGTGGACAACTCTCACCAGATGGCATTAAATTATAAGCAAGAGCAGGAAAGGAACTCCCAACACACTTGCCCTGGTCTTTTCACTGCGATACTGCCAGCCATAATATTTTTAAGTTGGATTTTCAGACTTCACTAATGGTGTTATGACAGATTTACACTATATGTTGTTTACAGTTTTTGCCTCTATGTTCATGGATGAAATTAGCTTATGATTTTTGTTCCCATACTATTCTTGTCATTTACTGGTATTAAGATTTTTCTATGATAATAATGACAGGAAAAACTTACAAAGTGCTTAATATATGCTAGACTCTGTTGAAAGCACATTACAAGCACTAAGTTATTTAATCCTCATAATCACTTTATGAGGTGAGTAGTATTATTAATCCCACTTTGTAGATGAGAATAGTGACAGGTAAGTCATTTACCCAGACAAGGATAAAAAACAGTAGAGCCTGGAAACGTTTGTGAAAGATGGCAGTTTTATGTTCCTTTTATATTTGGCAGGGTTCAATTCTAGGGGTTTCTTTCTTTGTGAACAGATTTACTACACACTCAATAAATATACTGGTCATAGAACTACTCAGGGTTTCTATTTATTTTTGAGTAATTTTCTAAAAATTACTTCAATTTTTTGAATATTTTTATTTACATAATTTTATAATCTTTTCAATTTCCATTGCATCTATAGTTTTATGCCTCCTTTGTTTTTAATGAGCTTACCTGTAGCATCTCTTTTCTTGATGAAGTTAGATATGTAGCCTAGTTGTTATTAAGTTTTCCTTTGACACATGAGTTTTATTGAAATATGCTTATTGGTTTCCAAATATATTTGCTTGTTTGTTTGTTTTTGTAGTTTTCAACTTTACCTTGCAAACACATATTGTGAATCTTTTAAAATATGTTGAAAGTATCTTCTTTGCCAGATTGTTATCAAGTTTTGTAATTTGGTTAAAAACAGAGTTTTGTCTAACTGTTGGGTGCAGGATTCTATATATGTCCACTATTTCAAACTTATTTTTTTTATCTTTTCTATTATTTTTTTCTGTTGAATATACAAGTTATGAAAAGAGATATTTTAACATTTTTCACTTTGACATGCAGTTCAACTATTTCTCCATATAGTTAGTTCTGTTAAGTTTTGTCCTTATGCATTTTGTGTATATTTTATCTAGTATACATATTCAAGTTTGTAATTTTTGTTTCTACCTGATATATTGAAAACTTCATTGTTATGAAGTTTCCCTTTATATCCATAACAATGCTTTTTACGTTGATGTTCATTTGCCTAATATTATTAGGTTGATACAAAAGTAATTGTGGTTTTGCCATTAAAATTAAAATTAATGGCAAAAACTGCAATTAGTTTTGCACCAGCCTAGTAGTATAGCTGCACCAGCTTCATTTTTATTAGTATGTACCTAGTATATCTTTTTATCACTTCTTTACTTTTAAATTTTCAGTGTGCTTATGTGTTAGATGTGGCTTTCATAAATAGCATATACATGGATTTAGCTTTTTAATTAAGTGTGACAAAATTTGACTTTTATTGATAACATCCATTGTGCATTTCCTATAATCACTGATATTTTAAAGTGCATTTCCACTATTTTGTTTTCTCTTCCAACTTTTGTTTTTTTGCTCACTGTCCTTCAATATTTCTTGTGAATTGATTAGCTTTTCTCTTTCTACATTGTTTGTTTGTGTGAATAAATGGCCATAGGTTCTTTTTGGGAATGCACTGTGGGAATCATTACTATACATTTAGAGGTATTTAAGGATTTTTCCTCACGGGTGCCTGACTTCTCCTACATTAATGGGATTCTGGGCCTGAGAAAATGGCTCATTTCAGAAACTGGGCAAGGCATGATCATTTTACTAGAGACGTTTCCACAGGCTCATGATCATCCATCTTTATTTTCTTCTGCTTGTATAAACATAGCAGTATCCTTCTTGGCTGCCCATCTACATATCTCATCTCTAAGAACATCTGGCTTACATTCAAACTTTCCTGCTCTTTATACTGAATATGCTTATCATGCTTCTAAATTTTAGTCAATACCACCTGGACTCTACTATTTCAGGGTTCTCTCCTTTCTGTTGTTAACAGGATTCCAAATATTTAACAAGCCTGGTTGTAGATAACAGCTACCACTGAGCTTTGCACTTTTATCATTTTAGTAATTCTGACCACATGCATTTCATTAACTATCACATGCCCACTTCTAGCTTTTTGATCCCTTCTTTTACAATCTACCACAGTAGTTCCAGCATTTCTGCATCACTTTTACTGTGGACTGTCACTTTCTCCAGGCTTCCAAGGGTCATCTGAGCAGCGGTTCCCAAACTTTTTGGCACCAGGAACTGGTTTTGGGGAAGACAATTTTTTCATGGACGGGGTGGGGGATGGTTTCGGGATGGAACTATTTCACCTGAGATAATGAGGCATTAGTTAGATTCTCATAAGGAGTGCCCAAGAGAGATCCCTCACATGTCCAATTCACAATAGGGTTCACACTCCTATGAGAATTTAATGCCTCCGCTGATGTGGCAGGAGGTGGAGCTCAGGTGGTAATGCTCATTTGCCTTCTGCTCACCTCCTGCTGTGTGTCTCTGTTCCTAACAGGCCAGGGACTGGTATGAGTCCATGGCCCAGGGGGTTGGGCACCCCGATCTAAGCAGTGTGTTAGCACCATTCTTGCCAGGGTGATTATCATGTATCGCAGAAAATTGTTCGTATTTTATTAAGCTATGTTTTATTCAACTTTCTATTGTCCTTGATCCAGTACCTTTGGATGCACTGTATACATTGGTTTATTCTCTTCTACCCTTGGCAGGTGCAGCACTTTCTTGGCTGTCTGTCTTAGCCAAAATTTTTGATCTGGTGGGTAAAAGGGAAGTTGGGGACACATGCTCCGGTGTTTCTATACCATCTTTGATAAGGATGACACTAGCCTTTAACTGGAAGGAATGAACTACTTCTTCAGGAGGTTTCAGAAGAATCTGGAGATTCAATGTATTCAACAGTGTCAACCCAGCTGGTTCAGTCAAATCTCAGTGTTCCACTTTGTCCAGTCAGGGACCTGAACATAGCGTAACGCCCTAGCCATGCAAACTTCTCTTCAACTTTGCCATCCTTAGAATTAAAATCTAAGCCTCACTCACAACATTTGTCTGCATTCCAACTATAGGAAATAAGAGACTATTTATATGATGCCAAGAAGGCCCTCAATTCTACTAGTGATTAATCACTTTAAGCCTTTTATTGTCTTTCACTAATGCATCAGTGTCACTCAGCAATACCCATCTGAATCTGCAGTCCTAGTAGTTACTATTATGTCTGCATCTCTCAAACACTCAAGACACTGAATCTGCCAGTGCATTCCCTTCCTCTAGTATTTGATCCCAATTCACCTCTAGTTGAGGTTTCATCAATGGCAATGACATAGTATAACAGGAGCCATTAATTTTCCATGTAGCAACAAATAATGATGTCCTAATTGCTAACCTGCCAATGGTGACACAAACCATTGGCAAACCCATTTTTGGGTCGGCTTCCTAGAATTACTTCTCATATTGGTTGCCTTATAAATTGTCATATCAATTAATTTATTAAAATACGGGCGCTGAAATGTAGATTAAGTGTGAGAAATGCGGTTTGAGTTATCTATTGCTGCATAACAAAAAAACGTGGGCTTAAAAAAACTGCTTTATTATATCCCACAATCATGTAGGTCAGAATATAGGTACGGCTTGGCTAAGTGATTATTTTATTCCATGTGCAGTTGACTGTGGTCACTTGGGGTTATATTCTCTTGGCAGCTGGACTGATCTGCAGATCACTCACACATCTCATGTGTTGGGAGAGCTTACTAGAAAGTCACACTCATCTGGACTCTTCTCTCTTTCCATATAATTCCAGGAATTCCTAAGGTTCTAACTCCTCTTAAAGATTAGCTCTAAACTGTTATATTGTTCCTTCCACTGCAGTCTGCTCATCGAAGTAGTCATAGGTTAGCCCAAGTTAAAGGGGAAGAAACTTAGATCCGACCCCTGGGTGGGAGGAGTGTCAAAGAATGTGTGGCCATCTTTAATCTGCCACAAGTACACTCAGAGCAATGCATATTAGGTAATGGGGGAAGCAAGGTAGGGCAGAGGGAGAAGTTAAGCTGTGACAGGGACCTAGGGCAATCCCATGGGGTGTTCTGGGATTGGAGTAACTGTTGTTGTCTTGAATTGTGGCAAGGAGGCCAGGCTTGTGTGTGGCTCCCATAGGCCCGTCATTTAATATGATCTGTTCCTTTGGAGGGAAGGCATGAAACTTTGGTTGAGGAAGCTCCTTTTGATCCAGGGCAATCCTCAGACAAAAACTAAGCTGTGAGCCACTAGCAGCTAACACTCATGGCAGATTAGCATCTCTGTGTGTGGTGCACCACAACATCCATTATACACCAGACAATAAATTGAGCCTGCAAACACATTATTATTGCCCAAATACATCCATTAAAAATAGCAATGCACAGAAATCAGTAGCAATACAAATTAAAATACTGATATGAAAGGAAGAGCTGAGATCAATGCAGTGCATTCAGCTTGAAAAGGTAAAGATGTCAAAAAGAGATAAACCAGTAAAATATAATCAGTGTCTCTGAAGGGAGAATCCAATCAGTGGAACAAAAGATGATTTCTAAGATATATATCAGGAAGAAAATAGGAAAGAAACTACTCTGGAAATGAAAGGAGCATATGGTATGCAAGGAAATTATGTAATTGGCTGCTGAACATAAAGCCAGATTATTTTGAAACTATTGCTTTTCAAAGGTAAAAACAGAATTATTCACTTCTAGTAAATGTTTTCCATTTTCCTACTATGTGTGTTATAGAAACAACAAGGCAAGTTAAAAAAAAAAACACTGCTTCCCTTTTCTATTGAAACTAGAAAACAAATATATCCCATAGATTTTTAAAGTGCAAAGGCTGCTAAAGGCAAATAAAATTGGCAGAGAAAATGAATGAATTGAAAAATAGTATGAGTTATATGGTTTGGCTGTGTCCTTACCCAAATCTCATCTTGAATTACAATTCCCACAAATCCCACATGTCATGGGAGGGACCCAATGGGAAGTAATTGAATCACGGGGGTGGGTCTTTCTTATGCTGTTCTCATGATAGTGAGTAAGTCTCACCCTATCTGATGGTTTTAGAAAGAGGAGTTCCCCTGCACAAGCTCTCTGTTTTTGCCTGCCACCATTCATGTAAGACATGACTTGCTCCTCCTTGCCTCTGCCATGATTGTGAGGCCTCCCCAGCCATGTGGAACTGTAAGTCCATTAAACCTCTTTTTCTTCCCAGTCTGGAATATGTCTTTATCAGCAGTGTGAAAATGGACTAATACAGCAAATTGGTACCAGTAGAGTGGGGTGTTGCTAAAAAAATTCCCAAAAATGTGGAAGCGACTTTGGGACTGGGTAACAGGCAGAGTATCAGGGGAACCTTCCC
This sequence comes from Homo sapiens, assembly GCF_000001405.40. NCBI lineage: Eukaryota > Metazoa > Chordata > Mammalia > Primates > Hominidae > Homo > Homo sapiens. Next base: position 103,403,626 of record NC_000001.11, on the reverse strand, counting down.
CCAATTTCATGTAGGTTCTTTTCTATTTTCGCTAAGCATCAGCTGGTTTCAGAAATAAAGGGACAGAGTACAAAAGACAGAAATTTTAAAGCTGGGCATCCAGGGGAGACATCACATGTCGGTAGGTTCCATGATGCCCCCTGAGCCGTAAAACCAGCAAGTTTTTATTAGTGATTTTCAAAAGGGGAGGGAGTGTACGAATAGCGTGGGGGTCACAGAGATCACGTGCTTCACAAGGTGGTAGAATATCACAAGGCAAATGGAGGCAGGGCGAGTTCACAGGATGACAGGACTGGGGCAAAATTAAAATTGCTAATGAAGTTTCAGCATGCATTGTCATTGATAACATCTTATCAGGACACAGGGTTTGAGAGCAGACAACCAGTCTGACCAAAATTTATTAGGTGGGAATTTCCTCATCCTAATAAGCCTGGGAGCACTATGAGAGACTGAGGCTTATTTCATCCCTACAGCTCGACCATAAAAGACAGCCACACCCAAGGGGGCCATTTTAGAGGCCCACCCTCAGGGATGCATTCTCTTTCTCAAGGATGCTCCTTGCTGAGAAAAAGAATTCAGTGATATTTCTCCCATTTGCTTTTGAAAGAAGAGAAATATGGCTCTGTTCCACCCGGCTCACCAGTGGTCAGAGTTTAAGGTTATCTTTCTTGTTCCCTGAACATTGCTGTTATCCTGTTCTTTTTTCAAGGTGTCCAGATTTCATATTGCTCAAACACATATGCTCTACAAACAATTTGTGCAGTTAACACAATCATCACAGGGTCCTGAGGTGACATACAACCTCCTCAGTTTATGAAAATGACAGGATTAAGAGATTAAAGTAAAGACAGGCATAGGAAATCACAAGGGTATTGATTGGGGAAGTGATAAGTGTCAATGAAACCTTCACAATTTATGTTCAGAGGTTGCAGTAAAGACAGGCATAAGAAATTATAAAAGTATTAAAGTGGGGAACTAATAAATGTCCATGAAATCTTCACAATTCACATTCTTCTGCCATGGCTTCAGCCGGTTCTTCCATTTGGAGTTCCTGACTTCCCACAACAGCAGAGGTTGGAACAGTTTGGAGTGTTCAAAAGTAGACAGAAAATGTAAGAAAGTTTAGAACTTCTTAGAGAATTGTTGAATGGCTTTGACCAAAATGTTAATAGTGATATTAACAATAAGGTCCAGGCTAGGTGGTCTCAGATGGAGTTGAGGAACTTGTTGGGAACTGGAAAAAAGATGACACTTGTTATGTTTTAGCAAAGAGACTGGCGGCATTTTACCTCTGCCCCAGAAATTTGGAACTTTAAACTTGAGAGAGATGATATAGGGTATCTTGTGGAAGACACTTCTAAGCAGCAAAGCATTCAAGATGTGACTTGGGTGCTGTTAAAGGCATTCAGTTTTAAAAGGAAAACAGAGCACAAAAGTTTGGAAAATTTGCAGCCTGACAATGTGATAGAAAAAAAAATCTCATTTTCAGAGGAGAAATTCAAGCTAGCTGAAGAAATTTGCATAAGTAATGAAGAGCCAAATGTCAATCCCCAAGACAATGGGGAAAATGTCTCCAGAGCATGTCAGAGGTCTTTATGGCAGCCCCTCTCATTACAGGCCCAGAGGCCTAGGAGAAAAAAATGGTTTCAGGGGCCGGGCCTAGAGTCCCCATGCTGTGTGCAGTCTGGGGACTTCATACCCTGCATCCCAGCTGCTCCAGTCATGACTAAAAGAAGTCAAAGTATAGCTCAGGCTGTGGCTTCAAAGGCTGCAAGCCCCAAACATTGGCAGTTTCCATGTGGTGTTAAGCCTGCAGGTGCACAGAAGTCAAGAATTAAGGTTTGGGAACCTCCACCTAGATTTCAAAGGATGTACAGAAATGTCTGGATGTCCAGGCAGAAGTTTGCTGCAGGGTTGGGGCTTACATGGAGAACTTCTGCTAGGGCAGTGCAGAAGGGAAATGTGGTGTCAGGGCTCCCACACAGAATCACTACTGTGGCACCACCTAGTGGAGCTGTGAGAAGAGGGCCACCATCCTCCAGAGCCCAGAATGGTAGATCCACCTACAGTTTGCACCGTGTACCTAGAAAAGTCACAGACACTCAACACCAGCCCATGAAAGAAGCTGGGAGGGAGTCTGTACCCTGCAAAGCCACAGAGGTGGAGCTGCCCAAGACCATGGGAACCCACCTCTTGCATCAGCATGACCCAGATGTGAGACATGGAGTCAAAGGAGGTCATTTTGGAGTTTAAGATTTGATTGTGCTGCTGGATTTTGGACTTGCAGGGGCCTGTAGCCCCTTTGTTTTGGCCAATTTATCTCTTTTGGAGTGACTGTATTTACCCAATGCCTGCACCCCTGTTTTATCTAGGAAATAACTAACTGTTTTTTAATTTTACAGGCTCATCAGTAGAAGGGACTTGCTTTTTCTCAGATGAGACTTTGCTGTGGACTTTTGGGTTAATACTAAAATGAGTTAAGGCTTTGGGGGACTGTTGGAAAGGCATGATTGGTTTTGAAATGTGAGGACATAAGATTTGGGAGAGGCCAGAGTGGAATGATATGGATTGGCTGTGCCCCCACCCAAATCTTATCTTGAATTTCAACTCCGACAATTCTCATGTGTCATGGGAGTGACCCAGTGGGAAGTAATTGAATCATTTAATCATGACGGTGGGTCTTTCTTGTGCTTTTCTCATGATAGTGAATAAGTCTTGTGAGATCTGATTGTTTTAAAAAGAGGAGTTTCCCTGCACAAGCTCTCTTTTTGCCTGCCGCTATCCATGTAAGATGTGACTTGCTCCTCATTGCCTTCTGCCATGATTGTGAGGCCTCCCCAGCCATGTGGAAATGTAAATTCATTAAACCTCTTTTTCTTCCCAGACTTGGGTCTATCTTTATCAGAAGCATGAAAATGGACGAATACAATAAGCCACACAGAAGTGAAAGAGCAAAGTGACCCAGGAGCAGCAGATCTCAGGGAAGGCCAATATGAACAAGGGACCATGGGATCTGGAGAGGACAAAACAGAACCTGAAATGACAAATGGGGCAAAATGAATAAAATAAATATACAGAGGAGAAAAATGGATGAATGGTGACATATCTTAGAAAATATTGGTGAAATTGTACTTCTTAAAGGAAAATCTTACAATATCTAGACAAGAAAAATCTATTTTATTCCATAGTTGGAAGTAAAAGTTAGCCCAACATTGACACAAAAAATACTATAAGAAATATAATGGGAAAGACTTCCTCAAAGAACAACTCACAAAATGAAAAGGGACGGGAGAAATTTCTAACCAAAAATTTAATCATGAACTAAAAAGTTAGAAAAATCAAATAATAAAATAATTACTTCTATGAGGAAAGGCCTAAAAGTGAAAACACAAGATTTTAGGGAAAATATGGTAAGGAAACAGGAGATAATGAAATGTATGTTGACAGAACACAGGAAAAAAGTAGAAGAAACAAAAAATATCACAGAAATGAAGAAAAAATTGGAAGAAGCACAAGGCAATGTATACATTGAGGATAACAGAGGAAGAGACCTGGAGTACAGAATGAGAAAAGTTACCAAAATAACATGGAAATACGGAGGAGTTCAAAAAATGTCAAGGGAATGGTTAGATACTGAAGAAAAGTAAAGGAAATAAAATACACATAATTGGAGTTAAGCAAGAAGAAAGCTAGAATAATAGAACAGAATATAGAAACATATAATTAAAGCAAACATTCCTGAAATAAAATAAGGCTTGGTTTCATATTATTCAAAAGGCATACCATAGGCCAGGGCAACTTAAACCACAATGGTCAATACTGAGGTACATCTTAATAAAGTTATTGATTCTTAAAAATAAAAAGAATGCTTTTCAAAGGTAGGCCTAATATCAAGTCAGGTAAAAGAGAATAAAACAAATTGATCCAAACTCATGTTTTTCTTGAGCAGTATTCAGCAACACAGGACAATAGAGTGATACCTATATGATAGGCAGGGTGAAATGTGTAAGCCAATAATTATCTGTTCAGCCAAGTTATACTTCAAGTGAAAATTCAACAGATAAATTGTTTTGAATATATAATTTATTCAGGAGTTATTGCTCCCATAAGTGCTTATTGAGCAAACTGTTGACTGATGAACCTTAATCAAACAAGGGGCAACTGGAAAGCAATGTAAAAGTAATGAACTTGGAACACATTGTTCCAACTTTTGCACTCCTGTTGTTGTTTGGTGAGAGGGAGGAAGTATTACAACTCTTTTACTCCTGCCACCAGTGAGCTCCAGGTTCTTGTCCCATGGTCAAGAAGAATAAGGCACATGGACACAAAAGAGTAAGGCAGAGTCAGATTTATTAAATGACAGAAAAGGTCTCAGCAAAGAGAGGGGACCTGAAAGAGAGTTGCTGGCTGTGGGGCTACGTTTGGGGTCTTTATGGACTGGGAAGGGGTAGGAATGTGCTCACTGGTCTGTGGGCTGTTTTGAAGAAAGCACCACTCAGAAAGAGACACAATAGTGAAAAGAACCAATTGAAGGCAGAGATGAAGGCTTGGCCCCCAATCATTCAGGGGCTGGAGTGACATTACACTTTTTGCAAATGAAGATTCATCCTGTGGCCAATCACAGAAAGATAGGTATACATAAAATAGGTGGAAGGTAAGGACCAGTTGGGAGGAAGCACATGAAATGAGACAAAGGTGCACAGGAGAGGGAAATGTGTCCAAAAAAGGAGTGGAATTTGTTCATCTAGGTTCAGAGAGTAGGCATTTCCATTCAAGGATGTGGGCTCTTTCTTATCTGGAGCTGCAGCTTGATTTTTAGGGTGTTCTTATTTTGAAAGAGGTTTACTTACTGCATGCCTGACTGGTTTATTCCTTCCTCCTCTCTATATCTTATTAAGAACCAAGACTAGAGGGAATGTGGAGATGAGGACAAACCAAATATAAATTTAATAAGCCCTAACAATGGGAAAATGTCAACCATTTACAAAGTAGGAGAAGAATAGAGGAAGAACATGGAAAATAGAGTAAGTTTGTTGATTGCCATATTTGAAATATCTGTGAGTCAAAGTCATTCTAAAATTTTAATTATGTAGTATATAAATAAGCATACTAAATCACATGAAGGAATACTGAATTATCTGTTGTCAAACTGATATTACTGCTACTATCTAAGTCTGGAAACTGTTTCCCAGATTCCTCTTCATTCTGTGGTGCCTGGTTAGAAGTGGTCAAAGGCAGGAATTCCTGCAAGGTCTGGAGGGTGGAAGGGAAGCCAAGGACATTTCTTTCGGAAGACCGTGGTGGTCAGACATGGTAATGGTCAAATGCAGCTTACCTGGTAGACCTCAGCTATTCTTGTCCTCCTCCTGCTTTGAGTCAATGTATCTCCTGAACATCTGAGCTGCTGACCAACACTGACTTAGTGTTCACCATCAGGGCCATGGTTATGCACAGGCAGAGGCTGCAGAGCCCACACAGGAGGCCATTTTCTCTAGTCACTCTATAAACATCCCCAGTGCAGACTATGTTTGTAGACAGATGTGCATGGCTTCTTGGATGTTCTGACAAATTCAGACATCACACCCATGCCTGTACTTTAGGCAGTGTGGTAGGTGCCTATTTCTCTGAACCTCCAATTCCCCATTTCCAGAACTTCACTTTTCTAGCTCCTCTAACATTTGTGTAATTTCTAATTAATTGCTAAATTAACCCTTTTACTGCTATGATACTTACAGTGGCTTTGGTTTATGGCTGACACAAAAAGGGAATGTTAAGCAGGATAATTTTAGTGACTAACAAAAATAAATGATGAAAATACACATTTAAAAGAAAAAGTAGGAGTGGTGATCTTAATATAAAACAAATAAAATTCAGACCCCAAAGCGTTAAACTAGATGAAGGAACATTTCTTTTGCTAAAGGCTTCTATTTATAATTAAATCATACATTTATGAATATATATGCACAAAATATCACAGTTACACTATTAGCTAAAGATGTTATCACTGAGATCCTGAGTTTTCTTTTTATTTTAGTGGCATTGCTTTTAGTATTTTCTATTAAGCATGATGCTGGATTTGAAGGAAAAATATACAATTCTTATGTTAAGGAAGTATTTATCTATGACTAAATTATTGTGTGATTTTTTAAAAATCCAAAAGATTGTTGAATTTTATGAAATGCTACATTAGCATCTATGGAGACAGCCATCATAGGATATTTTTTCTTGGAGTTATCACCATGTTCAATATTGATTCATCTGTGTACTTCTGGAATAAATCCCACTAGGTCATAATTCTCTTAATATGATGCTGGGGCTTTTAAAAATATTTCAGGAGGGGCGGGCCACCATCTTTACTGTTTGGAAAACTTAGCCATTTCAGACTCTTGGCTTAGGAGAGTCCAGACCATCTGGGGATGGAAGTGGTATGCCAGCATGGCACAACTTCTCTATGAAAGCATGGAAAGACTGCTTCCTTAAGCAGTTCCCTGATCTGTTCCTCATCACTGGGCAGTACTTCTGAACCAAGGCCTCCAGCCACTCCCATTGATGTTCTTTGGCTGACAGAGATTTGAAAACTTTCTGGGACTGAGTTACTAAAGGGAGGGGTGGACTGCCATCTTTGCTGTTTTGGCAACTTAGCAGTTCCAGCCTCCAGGCTTTAGAAAGCCCAAACCAAAGAGGCGTAGAAACAGCACCTCAGCACAGCACAGCACAGCACAGCTCAGCTGCTCTACAAAAGCAGGCTAAACTACTTATTTAAGTAGGTACCTGATTCTGTTCCACTTGGCTGGGTGAGACATCCCAACCAGGGTCTCAAGCCTCCTCCCTCCTGTAGGTGCATTCAGGCTAGCAACAGCTCTGTATTCACCTGGGATGGAACTCCCAGAGGAAGGGGCAGGCAGTCATCTTTGCTGTTTCACAGCTTTTACTGATGACACCTTCAGGTACTAGAAAATCTGAGGTGACTCAGGACTCAAGAAGATGCCTGGAAAACTGCGCCAGCACTACAGAAAAGTGGCCAGACTGAAAAAAACAAACAAACAAACAAAAAACACTCAATCTAAAGGTCAGCAACCTCAAAGATTGAAGGTAGATAAGCCCACAAAAATGAGAAAGAATCAGCACAAAGAACATGGAAAACTCAAAAAGCCAGAGTTCCCTCTCTCCTCCAAATGACCACATCTCTCTCCAGCAAGGGTTTGGAATGAGACTAAGGCTGACATGGCTGAAATAACACTAGACCTCAGAATATGGATAAAGATGATCTTCACTGAGCTACAGAAGCACATTCTAACTTACTGCAAGGAAGATAAAAATCATGATAAAACATTGCTGAAGCTGACAAAAGAGCTAGGATAGAGAAGAACATAATCAACCTGATAGAGCTGCAAAACACAATACAAGAATTTCATAATGCAATTGCAAGTATTAATAGCAGAATAGATCAAACAGTGGAATCTCAGAGCATGAAGACTGTCTTTCTGAAATAAGACAGGCAGATAAGAATAGAGAAAAAAGAATAAAAAGGAATGAACAAAACCTCCAAGAAATATGGGATTATGTAAAATCTTAAATTTACAACTGATTGGTGTACCTGAAAGAGCTGAGGAGAAGAGTACCAATTTGGAAAACATATTTCAGGATATCACTCTGTAGAACTTGCCCTACCTTGCTAGACAGGCCAACATTCAAACTCAGAAAATGTAGACAACCCCAGTAAGATACTCTGTGAGAAGATCATCCCCAAGACACATAATCTTCAGATTCTGCAAAGTTGATATGAAAGAAAAAGTGTTAATAGCATCCAGGGAGAAAGGCCAGGTCATCTACAAAAGAAGCTCATCACACTAACAACAGACCTCTCAATGGAAATGCAAAAAGCCAGAAAACATTGGGGGCAAATATTTAACATTCTTAAACAAAAGCAATTCTAACCCAGAATTTCATATCCAGCCAAATTAAGCTTCGTAAGTGAAGGAAAAACAAAATTCTTTTCAAATAAGCAAATGCCGAGGGAATTCATTACCACCAGACCTGCCTTACAAGAACTCCTGAAGGAAGCACTAAATATAGAAAGGAAAAACTACTACCATCGACTTCAAAAACACACTGACCAGTGACACTATAAAGCAACCACATAAACAAGTCAGCAAAATAACTAGGTAGCATCATGATGACAAGATCAAATCCATACATAACAATACTAACCTTAAATGGAAACAGGCTAAATGCCCCAATTAAAAGACATGGAGTGACAAGCTGGATAAAGAACCAAGATTCATTGGTATGCTGTCTTCAAAAGACCCATCTCACATGAAAAGACACACATAGACCCAAAATAAAGGGATGGAGGAAAATTTACCAAGCAAATAGAAGACAGAAAAAAGCATGGGTTGGAATCCTAGTTTCCAACAAAACAGCCTTTAAACCAACAAAGATCAAAAATGACGAAGAAGGGCATTACATAATGATAAAAGATTCAATACAACCAGAAGAGCTACGTATCCTAAATATAAATGCGCCTAACACAAGAGCACCCAGAGTCATAAAGCAAGTTCTTAGAGATCTTCAAAGTTAGACCCTCCACATGATAATAGTGGGAGACTTCAACACCTCACTGACAATATTCGACAGATCATGAGATACAAAATTAACACAGATATTTAGGACCTGAACTCAGCTCTTGATCAATTGGACCTCATTGATATATACAAACTCTCCACCCCAAAACAACAGAATATACATTTTTCTCATAGCTACATGACACTTACTCTAAAATTGATCACATAATCAGAATTAAAACACTTCTAGGAAAATGCCAAAGAACTGAAATCATAACAAACAGCCTCTCAGACCACAGTGCTATCAAATTAGAACTCAAGTCTAAGAAATTCTCTCAACACAATACAATTATGTGAAAATTGAATAACCTGTTCCTGAATGACTTTTGGGTAAATAATGAAATTAAGGCAGAAATCAAGAAGTTCTTTGAAACTAATGAGAAAAATGATAAAATGTACCAGAATCTCTGGGACACAGCTAAGGCAGTGTTTGGGGGAAATTTATATCACTAAAGGCCACATGAAAAAGCTAGAAAAATCTCTAATTAAAAATCTAACATCACATCTAAAAGAGCTAGAGAACCAAGAGCAAACAAATCCCAAAGCTAGCAAAAGACAAGAAATAACCAAAATTAGTGCTTAACTGAAGATAGAGAGGTGGAAAAACCATTCAACAGATTAATAAATCCAGGAGCTGTTTTTTTTTCGAAAAAAAAAATTAATGAAATAGGTAGAACACTAGCTAGACTAGTAAAGAAGAAAAGATAGAAGATTCAAATAAACAAAATCAGAAATAATAAGGGATATATGTCCACAGACCCTACAGAAATACCAACAACCATCAGAGAATATTATAAACACCTCTATGCACACAAGCTAAAAAATCTGGAAGAAGTGGATAGATTCCTGGATACACATACCCTCCCAGGACTGAACAAGGAAAAAATTGAATCCCTAAGCATACCAACAATGATCTCTGAAATTGAAGCAGTAATAAATATCCTACCAACCAAAAAAAGACCAGGACCAGAAGGATTCACAGCTGAATTCTACCAGATGTACAAAGAAGAGCTGGTACCATTCCTACTGAAATGATTTCAAAAATTGAAAAGGTGGGACTCCTCCATAACTCATTCTTTGAGGCAAACATCATCCTGATACCAAAACTTGGAAGAGACACAACAAAAAAAGAAAACTTCAGGCCAATATCCTTGACAAACACAAATGCAAAAATCCTCAAAAAAATACTGGCAAACCAAATCCAGCAGTGCATCAAAAAGCTTATCCACCGTGATCAAGTAGGCTTCATCTATCAGATGCAAGTTTGGTTCATAGGCAAAACAAAAAATGTGATTCATCACATAAACAGAACTAAAGACAAAGTCAGGGATGATAGTTTATGCCTGTAATCCCAGCACCTTGGGAGGCTGTGGATGGCAGATCACATAAGGCTAGGAGTTTGAGACCAGCCTGGCAGACATGGTGAAACCCCATCTCTGCTAAAAGTACAAAAATTAGCCAGAAGTGGTGGCACACACCTGTAATCCAAGCTACTCGGGTGTCTGAGTCATGAGAATCACTTGAACATGGGAGGTGGAGGTTGCAGTGAGCCGAGATTATGCCACTGCACTCCAGGCTGGGCAATGGAGCAAGGCTTTGTTTCCAAAAAAAAAAAAAGGACATGATTATTTCAATAGATGCAGAAGAAGAGTCTTCTGATAAAACACAGAATCCCTTCATGTTAAAAACTCTTAATAAACTAGGTATTTAAGGAACATATCTCAAAATAATGAGCCATATATTGGCAAACCCAGAGCCAGCATCATACTGAATGGGCAAAAGCTGGAAACATTCCTCTTGAAAACTGGCACAACACAAGAATGTCTATTTTCACCACTCCTATTCAACATAACATTGGAAGTTCTGGCCAGAGCAATAAGGCAAGAGAAAGCAATATCGGGCATTCATATAGGAAGAGAGGAAGTCAAACTATCCCTGTTTGTAGATTACATGATCCTAGGACTAGAAAACCCCATCATCTTATCCCAAAAGCTTCTTAAGCTGATAAACAACTTTGCAAAAGTCCCAGGATACAAAATTAATGTGCCAACTAACATTCTTATACACCAACAATCATCAAGCCAAGAGCTAAATCACAAACAAACTCCCATTCACAACTGACACAAAAAGAATAAAATACCTAGGAATACAGCTAACAAGGGAAGTGAATGATCTCTCTGAAGAGAACTATACACCATAGCTAAAAGAAATCAGAGATGACACAAATGGAAAACACTCTCTACACTTAAGAATAGAGAGAATCAGTATCATTTAAGTGGCCATATTGCCCAAAGCAATTTATAAACTCAATGTTGTTCCCATTAAACTACTACTGACATTTGTGCAGAACTAGGAAAATCTATTTAAAATTTATATAGAACCTAAAAAATGCCCAAATAGCCAAGGCAATCCTAAGCAAATAGAACAAAGTTGGAGGAATCATGCTACCTGACTTCAAACTATACTACATGGCTACAGTAACCAAAACAGCATGATACTGGTACAAGAACAGGTACATAGACAAATGGAACAGAATAGAGAACACAGAAATAAGACCATACACCTACAACTATCTGATCTTTGAAAAACCTGACAAAAACAAGCAATAGGGAAACAATTCCCTATTTAATAAATGGTGCTAGGAGAACTGGCTAGCCATATGCAGAAAACTGAAACTGGAATTCTTCCTTACACCATATACATAAATTAACTCTAGATGGATTAAAGACTTAAATTTAAAACTCCAAACTATGAAAACCCTGGAAGACAATCTAGGCAATATCATTCAGGACATAGGCACAGGCAAAGATTTTATGATGACACCCAAAGCAATCGCAGAAAAAGCAAAAAATTGACAAATGGGATCTAATTAAACTAAATAGCTTCTGCATAGCAAAAGAAACTATCAACAGAGTAAACAGACAACCTACTGAATGGGAGAAAATTTTTGCACACTATGCATCTGACAAAAGTCTAATATCCAGCATCTATAAGGAACTTAAACAAATTTACAAGAAAAAAACAACCCCATTAAAAAGTGGGCAAAAGACTGAACAGACACTTCTCAAAAGAAGACATACATGCAGCCAACAAGCATATGAAAAAAAATCTCAACATCACTCATCATTAGAGAAATACAAATCAAAACCACAATGAGATACCGTCTCACACCAGTCAGAATGGCCATTATTAAAAAAAAAAAAAAAAGAGATGCTGGCGAGGTTGTGGAGGAAAAGGAATGCTTATACACTGTTTTGGGGAGTGTAAATTAGTTCAACCATTGTGGAAAACAGTGTGGCTATTTCTCAAAGACCTAAAGACAGAAATACCATTCAACCCAGCAATACCATTACTGAGTATATACCTAAAGGATTATAAACCATTCTATTATTATAAAGACACATGCATGTGTATGTTCCCTCAAGCACTATTCACAATAGCAAAGACATGGAATCAACCTAAATGCCCATCAAAGATGATAGACTCAATAAAAAAAAAAAATGTGGTACATGTACACCATGGAGTACTATGCAGCCACAAAAAAGAACACGATTGTGTCCTTTCCAGGGACATGGGTGAAGCTGAAGGACATCTTCCTCATCGAACTAACATGGAAACAGAAAACTAAATATCTCATCTTCTCATTTATAAGTGGGAGCTAAATGATGAAAATACATGGACATATAGAGGGAAACAACACACACGGGAGCCTCTCAGCGGTTGGAAGGTGGGAGGAGGGAGGCGATCAGCAAATAACTAATAACTAATTTTGGGTTTTACATTTAAGTCTTTTAATCCACCTTGTGTTAGTTTTTGTATACCAGGTCTAATACCTGGGTGATAAAATAATCTGTACAACAACCTCCATGTCACATGTTTACCTGTGTAACAAACCTGCACATCCTGCACATGTACCCCTGACCTTAAAATAAAAATTAAGCTAGAGTAAAATAAATTATGTCATTATGGACTTTTACATCAATATTCATGAATACGATTGGTCTGTATTTTTGTTGTTTTATGTTTTGGAATTTCTCCTAAGTGTTGGAATCAATTTTATTAAAAATAATGTATTATCTACTCTTTAACATTTTGAAATTGATGGGATCTTTTGCTTTATGGAGGGATAAAGGGAATTTTTTAATGGAAATTGGCCATTTAATGTTCTCTTACTCTGAAATTTATTTTATTCTATTTTATTATACAATTATCAATTTTATTTATACTTCCAAATTTTTAATGAGAATATAAATGAAATATTATAGTGAGCAATTTGACTCAGTTCAAACTCAGGTTGAAGACCTTAAATTCTGAAGAGGCACAAATATCCTGAATGCATAATCGTTCTGTAGCCAGATTGATTCATATAGGTAGAAGTTTAGAGAAAGAAAGTTTAAATTGGTGTCATTTGAAGTTTATAATTGAGAAACATGAATGTGGAGATTAAGATAAATTAATATAGTTTTACTGAATATTTTTCTATCACTTAAAAGGCAACAGAAAAGAGAAAACATAACATATGGTCACTGCCTTGAAAGCACTCTCAACTCAATTGTGAGTTTCTTCAGGACATAAGACCAAAAAGGATATACTTCAACTATTCAAAGTAGTTATAATTAAATACTAAAGGAGTTAGTTTATACTGTAACCCTTATACGATTATAGAGGCTGGAGAGATTACTTAGGGTTGAGTTTGTCAGAAGTCTTATTGGAGGAGGCAAATTCTACATGAAAGGCAGGATTAAATTGGCAGAACTCCAGGTACAGGGACAAGAATATAACCTGAATCGGCACAGAGGCAGCATACAGTATCTTCTCCATCAATATTTGTTGAAGGAATAAGTATGTGGATAAATATGTGGATTTATGTAGACCAAGAGATAAAAATAATTGCAAAGATGAAAAGATCAAAAAGTCAAATACTACAAACAGGTCATGTAAAGTGATTGCAAAGTACACATCAGATTTCCCAGCTAGGGATTGTTGACCACGCAGAGAACCATCTCAGTGGAGTAAAACCAGGTTTCAGATTTTAGTAATTAAAATTTTTTCTTTCTTTCTCTCTCTCTGTATATAAATGCATCTATGTGTGTGTGTGTGTGTTAGTGATTTGAAAGTGAATGTGTTGAGAAGGAAAATAGTAAAGGCGATTATAAACAAAGAACATATTTGTTGTTGTTTGTTAAGGTGGGAGAGACAGCACATTTGCAGATTGTAAGAAAGGAATTAGATGAGGGAAAATATTTAATGACATAAAAACAGTTAGTATTGATGGAGACCACAGGAATAAAGATAGACCTTAGACAGGAACAGGACAACCTGCTTTGAGATAGAATTAAAAGTAGAGATGGATGCAATTAAATCTGGTTGTGGGGTATCAGGAAAATTGATGAAATTTTGTTAAAGTGATCTTATTTTCTTTTACAAATTGGGAAATGTAGACATTTGCCAGAGGGAAGAAGGTGGTGCTATAGGCAGTTTGAGAATAATGAATTTTGAATTGGATTGCAATGAAAATGGCAGTGAGGAAGGTACTTCTCATTTCCCAATTTGGTACTTCTCAGTTTGGAGACCTTAAACTTTTTTGATCACAAAAATATAGATGCACAATTTTTCTGTAGTGATGTGTATACAATCAGATAGAGTGTACATTAGTCAAGTGTTTGGAGTTTTTAATTAGTGTAAGAAGTGGATTGAAAGACTGGTTGAAACAATACTATTTCGTCTATATTACATCAGGAGGAAAGAAAATCAAAGAGCCTGATAGGTTGGGATGAAAATAAGTGGTACAGAAAAAAGATGTTTCAGTGAAATTGGATAAGATGACTTAAATAAGAGAGACACAAAGAAAGAAGGTATGATTTTTTTTAATAGCCTATTAAGTCTCAAGATTTTAGAGGCTGATCCTTATAGAAGACAAAAGGTTTTCTGGAGTAGGAGATTGAAATTGAATGAAAGTGAAGATCACTGAAACTGAGGTTGACAAACTGAAGGTAAAATCAACGTTGTATACAAGGTCCCAAATGTTGACATCTGTCTCCTCTGTCTGCATTTGTGTCTGGAAAACGTAAGATGAACTAGCATTCTATGAAGGAATTGGAAACCTAAAGGAGAATCTTTAGGGTAGAACAGAATTCTAAAAAGGAAAATTATAGAAGACTATGAGGAAAGGGTGCAGTGGTAGGATGGGTAAGGAGAGAGGAAACATACAGCAATACGAAGTTGAAAATATGTGGAAAGAGAAAACCAGAAGACCTACCAATTGAATAATAGCAAGGGTGATAGGTATGAGCTTAGAGCCTGGTGCAGTGTACTCAATAGTCAGATTCTAGATGAAAACTAAAGTAAAAATTATTTACTTATTGGTGTTTGCTGATTCTTTTCCCGGTGATAGAAACTTGGGGATATTAGGACATGATCATGCCACATATAAGTGATTGAGTCTGAGGATATAAGATGTGTTATATACTTTTTAATTTTTAGAGAAATATTAAAATAATTAAATATAAACAAGTAAAATTACATTTCAAATAAAAATATGAATTTCTCAAATGTAAGTTTTATTTAATGACAATCATCTCAAAAGAAAAAAAACCTGAAACAGTATAGAAAGTTGCATTTTTGATAGAGTCAAATATTTTCCTGAGATTTAAATTTGCTGGCTCTATTTCACATAGAATTTGATTTACATTTAAAAAACATTGGCCATTCCAAAATCTTGGGTATATAAAAGATACATTTTAATGCTAGAATAAAATTTGAGTGAGAATGTAAATAATGCAAGCATTAAAATATGTGCATTTTAGATAGTATTTAAAACTTTTATTTGAAATGTAACCCAGGGCTGACAGATTTTCTTTGTCAGCCTTGATCAACATGTAGGTAGCAGGCTGCATGAGACTCATAAACACACTGGAGGCTTGCCATTTGCCTGCCTGCTGCGTGGGAGGGAGTCTTCATGACTGGCAGCTTCACAGGCATCAGACTGGAAACAATAGGCCATCATCTGGATATGATAGTCACTTATTAAAATCTCAGATGTTTGCATTATTCTTAAAAATACCATATTTAAGATATTCCTTAGTAATTGAAACAAAGTTTTTTTAAGCCTTCTAGAATGATATAAATAAACCTTTGTAATGATTAAATAGTTAATTTGAAAATTATTTTGTAAGTAGTTAGTGACATAAGTAAAATAGAATATAGTGTTATTTGTAATAATTTATAAAATATGAATTTAGTATAGTAGTAGAAATTTCAAATGTTAATAATACTGAGTAATATATCTCCTCAAATTCCACAGATTAGTGTCTACTGACCTCAAAATTGAATTTTTTCTTTTTTTTTTTTTGGTCTAAGGCAGCAAGTATTTGATTTAGGTTTCATATAAATTGGCATTTTCTGGGCTCACAAGAGCCACCTCATCTTGCACATATTTCTGTTCTTTATTGCCACAGTGGAGAACAAAGAGAACTAGGTCCAAGCACAAAGTGACTTGATATTTGGCTCAAAAACAGCAACTCCCAAACACTTACAAAACTTTCCTTAGGCCTTTTCAGAAGGTGTAAGACTGTTTGGTCCGTACAATGAGCACTTAGCCAACGAGGGATCATTTTCTCCGTTTATAGAGACCCTAGGACTTTTTCCCAGTAACATAACCCATCTCATAAAGGTTGACAAAACAGTGGTGATTATCTTGTCAGAAACAAATGAATATATCCGAAAGAAGGGAAAAAGATCACACTGTGGGAAGAAAGAATCATTTAGTTCAGCATTTAATTTGTTTTCATTGTATGGCACATCTATGAAACTTTCCAGAACTCTTTGCAAATATTTCAGATTAAGAAGGAAAGAAGGGATTGTTCCCTGTGGTCATTTAGCTTTTCTCTGGTCAAATCATTAATACGTACACTCAAACACCTATCCATAACACACCACACCATATATGTGTCAGCATTATGTGTCTTTCCTTACTGTGTGGTTCACTCTAACTTTATATTCCACATGTTGGTTCAAAAAATAACATAGAGGACCAAAGATCCCATAATTCCAAATATTTCACAAAAGATTTTCAGATGTATTTTCAAGCATAAATTTCACCAGGATGTAGGGCACCATAATCTCTCATTGGGGTATGGCAATAGCTTCCTAACTTGCCTCTCTGCTTCCATTCTTTCTCTCCTGTACTTTGACAGCAGCCAGAGTAAGCTTTTTAAAATGTCATCTCATGTCCCAAAATTCTCAAAAGAATTCTCATCTAACTCAGAATTAAAGCTCAAATTCTTAAACAGCATGTAAGGCTCCACACACAATCTGCCCTCATCTCCTACCTCTTCTTCCTTACTTGCCCTGCTCCCGGCACACTGGCATCCTTGATGTCTTTTGAGGCATTTGCTGCTCCTTTTCTCAGGGATATTTCTTCGCCCCAACACCTCAGATGTGTGCATGGCTTGCTCCCTTATCTCTTCCAGATCTTCATTCTGATCACAACTTTGTAATGAGTTGTTTTCTGAGCACCTTACTTAAAATTACACCTATTACTCTGGAATTATTACCCTACTTAACTTTTCTTCATGCTAAGCATCTTCAAACAAGCATCCAGTTTACCTATTTTTTTTAATTATCTGCCTCTCATCTCTGTAATAAAAGCGCCAACAGGAAAAATGTTTTGTTGTCTGTTCACCGCTGTATCTTCAACATCTAGAACAGTGCTTGGCACATGGATTTTGTTAAAAAACATTTGTGAAAAGTTGTTGGAATTCAGAGTCCCATTTTCAGGAGTATAGATATGAGGAATTTCTCATATATCAGAAAAATTCTTAGGGATATAGTAAGCAATTTCTGCTTGTTTACATTTTTATATTTTCTCCAAAATCAAGACTATTTTAAGAATAATGATGAGATTTAGGTTAATTTGATAGGAATAGCATTGACCCTATAAAGTGCTTTGGGCAGTACGGCCGTTTTAATAATGCCAGTCCCTTCTATCCATAAGCTTGGGATATTTTTCCATTAGTTTGCCATTTGTTTGTGTCTTCTCTGATTTCTTTAAGCAAGGTGTCTTAATTCTTATTATAGAGATCTTTCACCTCCCTGGTTGACTGTATTATTAAGTATTCTATTCTGTTTGTGGCAATTGTAATTGGAATAGCCTTCCTGATTTGGCTCTTTGGCTTGGCTTTTGGTGTACTGGAATGCCAGTGAGTTTTGAACATTTATTTTGTATCCTGAAACTTTGCTGAAATTGTTCATAAGCTGAAGCAGCTTTGGGGCCGAGACTACAGGGTTTTCTAGATATAGAATCATGTCATCTGCAAACAGGAATAGTTTGACTTTCTCTCTTCCTATTTGGATGTCCTTTCTTTCTGTCTTTTGCCTGATTGTTCTGGCTAGGACTTTCAATACTATGTTGACTCAAACTATCAATGACATTCTTCACAGAATTGGAAAAAAATCCATTTTAAAATTCATGTGGAATCAAAAATAGCCTGAATGGCCAAGGCAATCCTAAGAAAAAAGAGGAAAGCTGGAAGAATCATGCTACTTGACTTTAACCTGTACTTCAGGGCTACAATAACCAAAACAACATGGCACTGGTACAAAGACAGGCCTGTAGACTAATGGAACAGAATAGAGAACCAGAAATAAGTCCACACACATACAACCATCTTATCTTCAACAGAGCTTACACAAAAAAATGAAATGGGGAAAGGATTCCCTACTCAACAAATAGTGATGGGATAACTGGCTAGCCATATGCAAAATATTGAAGCTGGACCTCTTCTTTATATCATATACAAAAATCAACTAAAGATATATTAAAGACTTAAATATGAAACCCAAAGCTATAAAAACCCTGGAAGACAACCTAAGCAATACCATCTTGGACATAGAAATGGGCAAAGATGTCATGGCAAAAAATTGCAAAAGCAATATGCAACAAAAGCAAAAATTGACAGATGGGATGGAATTAAACTGAAGAGCTTCTGCCCAAAGAAACTATCAACAGAATAAACAGACAGCCTACAGAATGGGAAAAATATTTGCAAACTATGCATCTGAAAAAGGCCTAATATACAGCATCTATAAAGAACTGGAACAAATCTACAACAGAAAAACAACCCTATAAAAATGTGGGCAACAGACATGAACAGACACTTTTCAAAAAAAATGTACATGCAGTCAACAAGAGTATGGAAAAAAAAGCTCAATATCATTGGTTATTAGAGAAATGTAAATCACAACCACAATGAGATATAATCTCACATCAGTCAGAATGTCTATTATTAAAAAGTCCAAAAGTAACAGGTGCTGGTGAGGTTGCACAGAAAATTGAACACTTATACACTGTTGGTGGGACTGTAAATTAGTTCAACCATTGTGCGGTGTGGCACATTCTCAAAGAGCTAAAAGTAGAACTACCATTCAACCCAGCAATCCCATTACTGGGTATGTACCCAGAGGAATATAAAACATTTTACCATAAAGACACATGCATGAAAATATTCATTGCAGCACTATTCACAGTAGCAAAGATGTGGAATCAACCTAAATGCCCATCAATGACAGATTGGATTAAAAAAAAAAAAACATACACAAGATGGAATACCATGCAGCTGTAAAAAGGAACAAGATCATGTTCTTTGCAGGGACATGGATGGCCATTATCCTCAGCAACCCTTAACACAGAAACAGAAAATCAAATAACATATTCACATTTATAAGTGTGAGCTAAATGATGAGAACTCATGAACACAAAGAAGGGAAAAACAAATACTGGGATCTACTTGAGGATGGAGGGTTGGAGGAGGGAGAGGAGCAGAAAACATAACTCTTGTGTTCTGGGCTAAATACCTGGGTGATGAAATAATATGTACAACAGACCTTTACATGTAGCCCCATACTTAAAAGTTGAAAAAAAAAAAAAGAAAAATAGCAAGGAAAGATAAAACTTAAAAAAAAAACCATGCTATTTTGGTTAGGCATGAGGTTATGCATTTATGTTATCTTTAATGTTAAAAATTTGAATGAGATATTTCAATTATATAGAAAAAGACAAACATATAAAAAGTGAATGTGGGCTGAATAATAAATTTTATCAGGTCCTTAAAATTTTGTTATATTTGTTTCTCATAATTTGGTAGAAAAAAATAAAATAAAATGTTAGAGATACAATTGAAACTTCTTGAAATTTCCAAGGATTCAATTTTCCTCTTACCACATCCCTTGGTTATGTATTATATTAAATTTGATATCTGGCTTTCCCATGGATTTGTATACATAACAACATATGGGTGTACCACATACAATATATAATATTATTTTATATGATTTCAAGCTTTATATAAGTGATGCTATAATTTGTTTTATTCATCACATGCTTCCTCCCTTACTATGATTATGTTGATAGGACATTTATCTGCTAATACTTTCAGCTCTAATTAACTAACTGTAATTACTATATAATATTAAATGATATGATTATACTAAAATGTATTGATTCATTCTCTGTTGATGAACATTGATGATTGAGGTGTTTCAAATTATTGCTATTGTACACTGTTGTGCTTAGTTTTTTGTACACCTTTCGTGAACATGTGCAAGAGTGTCTCTAAGAAGTGTATCTAAAAACAGAATTTTTATTTTTTTTATTTTTTTTAAATTTTATTATTATTATACTTAAAGTTTTAGGCTACATGTGCACAACGTGCAGGTTTGTTACATATGTATACCTGTGTCATGTTGGTGTTCCGCACCCATTAACTAGTCATTTAGCATTAGGTATATCTCCTAATGCTATCCCTCCCCACTCCCCCCACCCCACAACAGTCCCAGTGTGTGATGTTCCCCTTCCTGTGTCCATGTGTTCTCATTGTTCAATTCCCACCTATGAGTGAGAACATGCGGTGTTTGGTTTTTTTGTCCTTGCAATAGTTTGCTGAGAATAATGGTTTCCAGCTTCATCCATGTCCCTACAAAGGACATGAACTCATCATTTTTAATGGCTGCATAGTA
This sequence comes from Homo sapiens, assembly GCF_000001405.40. Taxonomy (NCBI): domain Eukaryota; kingdom Metazoa; phylum Chordata; class Mammalia; order Primates; family Hominidae; genus Homo; species Homo sapiens. The sequence goes on along the minus strand of NC_000001.11, from coordinate 103,382,987 downwards.
TTCCATGGTGTATATGTGCCACATTTTCTTAATCCAGTCTATCATTGATGGACATTTGGGTTGGTTCCAAGTCTTTGCTATTGTGAATAGTGCCACAATAAACATACGTGTGCATGTGTCTTTATAGCAGCATGATTTTTAGTCCTTTGGATATATACCCAGTAATGGGATGGCTGGGTCAAATGGTATTTCTAGTTCTAGATCCCTGAGGAATCGCCACACTGACTTCCACAATGGTTGAACTAGATACAGTCCCACCAACAGTGTAAAAGTGTTCCTATTTCTCCACATCCTCTCCAGCACCTGTTGTTTCCTGACTTTTTAATGATCGCCACTCTAACTGGTGTGAGATGATATCTCATTGTGGTTCTGATTTGCATTTCTCTTATGGCCAGTGATGGTGAGCATTCTTTCATGTGTTTTTTGGCTGCATAAATGTCTTCTTTTGAGAAGTGTCTGTTCATATCCTTCACCCACTTTTTGATGGGGTTGTTTGTTTCTTTCTTGTAAATTTGTTTGAGTTCATTGTAGATTCTGAATATTAGCCCTTTGTCAGATGCATAGGTTGTAAAAATTTTCTCCAATTGTGTAGGTTGCCTGTTCACTCTGATGGTAGTTTCTTTTGCTGTGCAGAAGCTTTTTAGTGTAAATAGATCCCATTTGTCAATTTTGGCTTTTGTTGCCATTGCTTTTGGTGTTTTAGACATGAAGTCCTTGCCCATGCCTATGTCCTGAATGGTAACGCCTAGGTTTTCTTCTAGGGTTTTTATGGTTTTAGGTCTAACACGTAAGTCTTTATTCCATCTTGAATTAATTTTTGTATAAGGTGTAAGGAAGGGATCCAGTTTCAGCTTTCTACGTATGGGTAGCCAGTTTTCCCAGCACCATTTATTAAATAGGGAATCGTTTCCCCATTGCTTGTTTTTGTCAGGTTTGTCAAAGATCAGGTAGTTGTAGATATGCAGCATTATTTCTGAGGGCTCTGCTCTGTTCCATTGGTCTATATCTCTATTTTGGTACCAGTACCATGCTGTTTTGGTTACTGTAGCCTTGTAGTATAGTTTGAAGTCAGGTAGTGTGATGCCTCTGGCGTTGTTCTTTTGGCTTAGGATTGACTTGGCAATGCGGCCCCTTTTTTGTTCCATATGAACTTTAAAGTAGTTTTTTCCAATTCTGTGAAGAAAGTCTGTGGTAGCTTGATGGGGATGGCATTGAATCTATAAATTACCTTGGGCAGTATGGGCATTTTCATGATATTGATTCTTCCTACCCATGAGCATGGAATGTTCTTCATTTGTTTGTATCCTCTTTTATTTCAGTGAGCAGTGGTTTGAAGAGGTCCTTCACATCCCTTGTAAGTTGGAATCCTAGGTATTTTATTCTCTTAGAAGCAATTGTGAATGGGAGTTCACTCATGATTTGGCTCTCTGTTTGTCTGTTATTGATGTATAAGAATGCTTGTGATTTTTGCACATTTATTTTGTATCCTGAGACTTTGCTGAAGTTGCTTATCAGCTTAAGGAGATTTTGGGCTGAGATGATGGGGTTTTCTAGATATACAATCATGTCATCTGCAAACAGGGACAATTTGACTCCCTCTTTTCCTAATTGAATGCCCTTTATTTCCTTCTCCTGCCTGATTGCCCTGGCCAGAACTTCCAACACTATGTTGAATAGGAGTGGTGAGAGAGGGCATCCCTGTCTTGTGCCGGTTTTCAAAGGGAGTGTTTCCAGTTTTTGTCCATTCAGCATGATATTGGCTGTGGGTTTGTCATAGATAGCTCTTATTATTTTGAGATACGTCCCATCAATACCTAATTTATTGAGAGTTTTTAGCATGAAGGGCTGTTGAATTTTGTCAAAGGCCTTTTCTGCATCTATTGAGGTAATCATGTGGTTTTTGTCTTTGGTTCTGTTTATATGCTGGATTACATTTATTGATTTGTGTATGTTGAACAAGCCTTGCATCCCAGGGATGAAGCCCACTTGATCATGGTGGATAAGCTTTTTGATGTGCTGCTGGATTCGGTTTGCCAGTATTTTATTGAGGATTTTTGCATCGATGTTCATCAAAGATATTCATCTAAAATTCTCTCGTTTTGTTGAGTCTCTGCCAGGCTTTGGTATCAGGATGATGCTGGCCTCATAAAATGAGTTAGGGAGGATTCCTTCTTTTTCTATTGATTGGAATAGTTTCAGAAGGAATGGTACCAGGTCCTCCTTGTACCTCTGGTAGAATTTGGCTGTGAATCCATCTTGCCCTGGACTCTTTTTGGTTGGTAAGCTATTAATTATTGCCTCAATTTCAGAGCCTGTAATTGGTTTTTTCGGAGATTCAACTTCTTCCTGGTTTAGTCTTGGGAGGGTGTATGTGTCAAGGAATTTATCCATTTCTTCTAGATATTCTAGTTTATTTGCATAGAGGTGTTTATAGTATTCTCTGATGGTAGTTTGTATTTCTGTGGGATCGGTGGTGATATCCCCTTTATCATTTTTTATTGCATCTATTTGATTCTTCCCTTTTTTCTTCTTTATTAGTCTTGCTAGCATTCTATCAATTTTGTTGATCTGTTCAAAAAACCAGCTCCTGGATTCAGGTTTTTTGTGAAGGGTTTTTTGTGTCTCTATTTCCTTCAGTTCTTCTCTGATCTTAGTTATTTTTTGCCTTCTGCTAGCTTTTGAATGTGTTTGCTCTTGCCTCTCTAATTCTTTTAATTGTGATGTTAGGGTGTCAATTTTAGATCTTTCCTGCTTTCTCTTGTGGGCATTTAGTGCTATAAATTTCCCTCTACACACTGCTTTGAATGTATCCCAGAGATTCTGGTATGTTGTGTCTTTGTTCTTGTTGGTTTCAAAGAACATCTTTATTTCTGCCTTCATTTCGTTAGGTACCCAGTTGTTATTCAGGAGCAGTTTGTTCAGTTTCCATGTAGTTGAGCGGTTTTGAGTGCATTTGTTAATCCTGAGTTGTAGTTTGATTGCACTGTGGTCTGAGAGACCGTTTGTTATAATTTCTGTTCTTTTCCATTTGCTGAGGAGTGCTTTACTTCCAACTATGTGGTCAATTTTGGAATAGGTGTGCTGTGGTGCTGAAAAGAATATATGTTCTGTTGATTTGGGGTGGAGAGTTCTGCAGATGTCTATTAGGTCCGCTTGGTGCAGAGCTGAGTTCAATTCCTGGATATCCTTGTTGACTTTCTGTCTCGTTGATCTGTCTAATGTTGACAGTGGGGTGTTAAAGTCTCCCATTATTATTGTGTGGGAGTCTAAGTCTCTTTGTAGGTCACTCAGGACTTGCTTTATGAATGTGGGTGCTCCTGTATTGGGTGCATATATATTTAGGATAGTTAGTTCTTCTTGTTGAATTGATCCGTTTACCATTTTGTAATGGCCTTCTTTGTCTCTTTTGATCTTTGTTGCTTTAAAGTCTGTTTTATCAGAGACTAGGATTGCAACCCCTGCCTTTTTTTGTTTTCCATTTGCTTGGTAGATCTTCCTCCATCCCTTTATTTTGAGCCTATGTATGTCTCTGCATGTGAGATGGGTTTCCTGAATACAGCACACAGATGGGTCTTGACTCTTTATCCAATTTGCCAGTCTGTGTCTTTTAATTGGAGCATTTAGCCCATTTACATTTAAGGTTAGTCTTGTTATGTGTGAATTTGTTCCTGTCATTTTGATGTTAGCTGGTTATTTTGCTCGTTAGTTGTTGTAGTTCCTTCCTAGCCTTGATGGTCTTTACAATTTGGCATGTTTTTGCAGTGGCTGGTACTGGTTGTTCCTTTCCATGTTTAGTGCTTCCTTCAAGAGCTCTTTTAGGGCAGGCCTGGTGGTGACAAAATCTCTCAGCATTTGCTTGTCTGTAAAGTATTTTATTTCTCCTTCACTAATGAAGCTTAGTTTGGCTGGATATGAAATTCTGGGTTGAAAATTCTTTTCTTTAAGAATGTTGAATATTGGCCCCCAGTCTCTTCTGGCTTGTAGAGTTTCTGCCAAGAGATCAGCTGTTAGTCTGATGGGCTTCCCTTTGTGGGTAACCCGACCTTTCTCTCTGGCTGCCCTTAACATTTTTTCCTTCATTTCAACTTTGGTAAATCTGACAATTATGTGTCTTGGAGTTGCTCTTCTCGAGGAGTATCTTTGTGGGGTTCTCTGTATTTCCTGAATTTGAATGTTGGCCTGCCTTGCTAGATTGGGGAAGTTCTCCTGGATAGTATCCTGCAGAGCGTTTTCCAACTTGGTTCCATTCTTCCCGTCACTTTCAGGTACACTAATCAGACGTAGATTTGGTCTTTTCACATAGTCCCATATTTCTTGGAGGCTTTGTTCATTTCTTTTTATTCTTTTTTCTCTAAACTTCTCTTCTCACTTCATTTCATTCATTTAATCTTCCATCACTGATACCCTTTCTTCCAGTTGATTGTATCAGCTACTGAGGCTTGTGCATTCATCATGTAGTTCTTGTGCCGTGGTTTTCAGCTCCATCAGGTACTTTAAGGACTTCTCTGCATTGGTTATTCTAGTTATCCATTTGTCTAATTTTTTTCAAGGTTTTTAACTTCTTTGCCATTGGTTCGAACTTCCTCCTTTAGCTTGGAGTAGTTTGATTGTCTGAAGTCTTCTTCTCTCAACTCATCAAAGTCATTCTCTGTCCAGCTTTGTTCCTTTGCTGGTGAGGAGCTGCATTCCTTTGGTGGAGGAGAGGCGCTCTGATTTTTAGAGTTTCCAGTTTTTCTGCTCTGTTTTTTCCCCATCTTTGTGGTTTCATCTACCTTTGGTCTTTGATGATGGTGATGTACAGATGGACTTTTGGTGTGGATGTCCTTTCTGTTTCTTAGTTTTCCTTCTAACAGTCAGGACCCTGAGCTGCAGGTCTGTTGGAGTTTGCTGGAGGTCCACTCAGACACTGTTTTCCTGGGTATCAGCAGCAGTGGCTGCAGAACAGCAGATATTGTTGAACCGCAAATGCTGCTGCCTGATTGTTCCTCTGGAAGTTTTGTCTCAGAGTACCCGGCTGTATGAGGTGTCAGTCCACCCCTACTGGGGGGTGCCTCCCAGTTAGGCTACTCGGGGGTCAGGGGCCCACTTGAGGAGCAGTCTGCCCATTCTCAGATCTCAAGCTGCATGCTGGGAGAACCACTACTCTCTTCAGAGCTGTCAGACAGGGACATTTAAGTCTGCAGAGGTTATTGCTGCCTCTTGTTTGTCTGTGCCCTGCCCCCAGTGGTGGAGCCTACAGAGGCAGGCAGGCCTCCTTGATCTGTGGTGGGCTCCACCCAGTTCGAGCTTCCTGGCTGCTTTGTTTAACTACTCAAGCCTCAGCAATGGAGGGTGCCCCTCCCACAGCCTCACTGCCATCTTGCAGTTTGATCTCAGACTGCTGTGCTAGCAATGAGCGAGGCTCTGTGGGTGTAGGACCCACCAAGCCATGTGCGTGATATAATCTCCTGGTGTGCCATTTGTTAAACCCATTGGAAAAGTGCAGTAATAGGGTGGGAGTGACCCAATTTTCCAGGTGCCATCTGTCACCCCTTTCTTTGACTAAGAAAGGGAATTCCCTGACCCCTTGTGCTTCCCGGGTGAGGCGATGACTTGCCCTGCTTTGGGTCACACATGGTGTACTGTACTCACTGTCCTGCACCCACTGTCCAGCACTCCCCAGTGAGATGAACCCAGTACCTCAGTTGGAAATGCAGAAATCACCCGTCTTCTGTGTCACTCACACTGGGAGCTGTAGACTGGAGCTGTTCCTATTTGGCCATCTTGGCTCCCAGACAAAATAGAATTTTTAAATGAAAGATTATACATGTTAGCTTCATCCATGTCCCTACAAAGGACATGAATTCATCCTTTTTTATGGCTGTGTAGTATTCCATAGTGTGTATGTGCCACATTTTCTTAATCCAGTCTATCATTGATGGACATTTGGGTTGGTTCCAAGTCTTTGCTATTGTGAATAGTGCCTCAATAAACATATGTGTACATGTGTGTTTATAGCAGCATGATTTCTAATCCTTTGGGTATACACCCAGTAATGGGATGGCTGGGTCAAATGGTATTTCTAGTTCTAGATCCTTGAGGAATCACCACACTGTCTTCCACAATGGCTGAACTAGTAAAACAAACACCGCATGTTCTCACTCATAGATGTGAATTGAACAATGAGAACACTTGGACACAGGGTGGGGAACATCACGCACTGGGACCTGTCATGGGGTGCGGGAAGTGGGGAGGGATAACATTAGGAGAAATACCTAATGTAAATGATGAGTTAATGGGTGTAGCACACCAACATGGCACATGCATACATATGTAACAAACCTGCACGTTGTGCACATGTACCCTAGAACTTCAAGTATTAAAAAAAAAAAAGAATATGGAAGGTCAGTCGTATCAAACAGATTTGCAAAATTAATCGTACTATAGTCATGGCACATTATTTTTAAAAATACCAATAAAACAAGTAAAATGTAAAAAAAAAAAGATTATACACATTAGATAACAAAATTATCCTGGAATTGGTTATACCCATATACACACATAAAAGTAAGGTTGCGCTTTTGTTTCTTCAGAACATCTTCAGCATTCACAGTTGTCAGATTTTATTTTTTTCCTATTTTAATTGTGTGAAATGGTGTTTAGCAGTTAGTGTATTTGCATATCCCTGATTTCTGAGGAGATTGAGCATCTTTTTGTTGTGATTAGCTATGTAGCTTTTCTCTTCAATGAGTTCTTTGTTCAATAGTCACTAACCATTGTCCTCTAACATAGTTAGTCCTTTTTTGTAGACTTTAAAATATTCTTTATAAAATTTGTACATTAAACTTCAGAAAGTTTTATTTAAGGTGACCATAATCACTTATTTAAACTAAAACATTTTTAAGAATGAAAGAGTGCATCCTTAATAATTATGTCCAGATAAGAGAAGAAAACTAGAACTACACTGGGCAAATGGAATTGCATGGTTTCCTTATTTATAAGTATTGATATCTGAGTTAAACTTTGTTTCCAGTGTCTTTCACTAAACAGATTATTTCAATTCTAATGTAATCACATCTAACAATGTATAATGCCACTCACAAAAGAAAAATGCTGTGTGATTCAATTTATATGAAGTACCTATAGTAATCAAATTTATAGAGAAAGTAGAATGATGGTTTCCAGGGGCTGGGAGAAGAGGAGTGGGGAGTTACTGTTAATAGGTACAGAATTTCAGTTTTCTAAGATGAAATGTGTTCTGGAGATGGATGGCAGTGATAGTTGTCCTACAATGTGAACATACTTAATGCCACAGAACATTACACCTAAAAATGGTCAAAATGAAGAATTTTATTTTATGTATATTTTATTACAATAAAAATATAAAATTATTTTAAAATGCGCGTAGTTTATTGCATTTGGCAAATATTCATTTCTTCTTTTAGTGAGTATCTAAAGGTTTTAGAAAACTGTAGTTTTCATTTGTTTGTTTATTGAGAATCTTCATTTTGCCCACACATTTCATGGTTGTTTTTAGCTGGATACAAAATGCTTAGAAGGGCCAGGTGTGGTAGCTCATGCCTGTAATCCCAGCACTTTGGGAGGCTGAGGTAGGAGGATTGATTGAGCTCAGGAGTTTGAGACCAGACTCAATATTTTCTATTTTTTGAGACCAAAAAATAGAAAATAAATTAGACAGGCATGGTAGACCACATCTGTAGCCCTGGAAACTCCAGAGGCTAAGTTGGGAGGATCCCTTGATCAGGAGTTTAGGGCTGCAGGAATCTACGATTATGCCACTGCACTCCAGTCAGGGCAACAGAGCAGAGACCCTGTCTCTAAAATTAAAATGCAAAATAAATAAAATAAAATACTTAGTGGCTTATGTTTTTTTCTGGATATTTTGTGTTCAGCATAATAGTTATTTGTGGGAAATACATTTTCTCTGTGATAAACTTGTATCTTCCCTTTCACTTTGATTGCAGTTTTATGAAACTTTCATTAGTTTATATTCAGCATAATTTAATGTTTTTAGTGATTAGCTTTTACTACAATCTGAGGACTTGGGTATTTTGTGGTTGTGGAAAGTATTCTGTCACTATTTCTTTAAAATACAATTGTTTCTCCATCAGATTTTCATTGAATTAATATTAAATAATTTAATTTTTCTTAATCAATCTTACAATTCCCATAGTTGCTCTTTATTTCTCTATGTTGAAAATGTTGGTAAATATTTTTAGACTAATTTTTAAATTAAATTTTATCTTGATTACATAAACTTTATTCTAACTATTGAGCTTTTTTTCAGAAAATAGATTTCATTTTCAATATTTTTGTTGGTTCTTTTTTATATTCTCTATTTTATTTTATATGTACTGCTTTTTAAATTGTTTTTAATAAATGTTATTTCTTTACTTCTCTGACCAACCTAGGCATGCTTTTGAGAAGTCTCCTTTGGAGTGTTACCCACATTCTTTTCATCTGGAATGGGTTGACACTTTGCTAACTTTCTTGGTTACCTTTCTTGGCATTTAATTTTTATATCTAATGAAAATTTTATATTTTGGTTTGGTAATCCATGGGAAATGAAAGATTTTTAGTTTCACATTTGTTTTCTGTTAACTTTCCTCTATTTCTCTCCATATAGAAGATTTGGGGGTTTTGTGTTTTCCTATACTTGTCTTTGTGACCTTACTGAAGTATCAGCTGGTGTAACATTGGTTTGAGTCTCCTGTCTTACTGTAAGATAGCGGAGCCCCAAGAAATGGTTATATAAATAGTGAGTAGTTGATTCAGTTCCTGAGTCATGAGTGTGCGTCTTTTTTTGCTCACTACCCTAGGTACAAATATTCCCTTGAAAATCTAGCCCAAGGCAATGTTTCAGTAGCTTTTTAACGTCTTCTTGTATGACTGAGAATTCTCATAGTAACTCTTGCCTCAAGCAGTGATTTTGACTCTTGCCTTCCATTTCTTATGGATAATTTAAATATTAATTACCACATAGTTATCAAACTATTGGGCAACACTGCCTGCTTCCAGCCTTGAAGGCCATTAGGCCTGTAATTTTCTTCCAGGTTACCATTTTGTGCTTTTACTTCAGATCCATGCTTTATTGCTATTGATATGTGTTTGGAGTAGTAGTATATCTAACCATGCACATAATAGTTTGACCATAATCATCCATTAAATATAATTTAAAATGAGACATATGACATTACAGAAAAGACTGGAAATAAAGATTTTTATCTTATTTCCCAAGGCTCAAAAGCTATCCTGGAATAGTTTAAGAACTAAATAAGCTTCATTTGAAGATAATCTTTGACACTTTTTCTTGAATATTCCATTATTCTTATCCTGATAAGAGTTTTTCGATAGCCCTATTTTTCTTTCTGAAGCCTTTAATTAAAGTGGGTATTGGGTGATCAGGAATTAAGAAAGATAGAACCTTCAGTGGACATTTACAAAAAAATTTATTTCAGCCAGGCTCACGTCTGTAATCCCAGCACTTTGGGAGGTCAAGACAGGTTGATCACCTGTGGTCATGAGTTCAAGACCATCCTGGCCAACATGGCAAAACGCCATGTCTACTAAAAACATAAAAATTAGCTGGCTGTGATGGCACACGCCTGTAATCCCAGCTACTTGGGAGGCTGAGGCAGGTAAATTGCTTGAACCTGGGAGGCAGAGATTGCAGTAAGCCAAGATTGCCCCATTATACTCCAGCTTAGGTAACAGAGTGAGACTCTGTCTCAAAAAAAAAAAAATCCATTTAATTGATTGGAGATGGCTTTAAGTATTGGGCCAGACACTATGTGAATCCTCAAAATACAATGCCTTCTGTTTGTACAAAGCTGACTGTGATATATATTGATTTTGAAACAAAATATTTGTTCATTCCTAAGAGACATTCCAAAATTCCCACAAGATTTAGCTCTTAGGAAATCAAACCACTGTGACAATGAGCCAGTCTACTGTTGCTTTGACTGACCCAGTTTTCCTGTGGAAACAAGGCTTCATCAGATGGTAAAAATAGATAATGCTGCTTGTCAATTAAATACAAATTTTAGTAAAATAATGTGAAATATAAAATGGAAAACTGCATAGTCAAAATTTGAAAGGTCACCTGTGAGGCTCTAGTGATCCAATCTTTTTTAAGTGAATAATAAAATTTTTTGGGGGGGGACAGACTGATTGAAAAGTCTGGTATAAGAAATAGGTGGCTTCAGTTCATAAAGGAGATTAAAGGGTAAGTATTTCTAAAGTTGTAATATTCCACTGACTGCCCAATAGCTTACAATATTATGTAATTCTAGAATAGCTAACATATTAAGTATTTAATACTGGGCACTGCTAATGCTGTTCATGTATTATCTTACTTAATCTTCCAAACAATTCAATGAGGTAGGCATGATATTAATCCGTACTTTAGAGTCTGATAGTTAAAGTGGATAGGTTACTTATCCATAAATGTGCAGTTAGTGTATCATAGATTCAGCCTCGAACCCAAGTTATTCTAAGCTTAGCAATTATTCTAATTTGTGTCTCAATAATTTAATAAATTTCCAATAGACAAAAAAAGTGGTGATATGAAGTTTTGTAAATCTTTCAATTAGGACCAGATTGCAAAATAAAACTTAAAAGCAGGAAGTTCTCAAAAACTGATGGAAATGCATAAAAAAATAGATGAGTCTACTTGAAGGGACTTCCTCTAACCAAATATGAAATATTTTGAACATCAAAATTATAATTACATCAATGGATTAAAATGTAATGAAAAATTGTTACTGGATCCATTATGTTGCTTAAATAAGAGGGAGGAAGGAGGGAAGAAAAGCTTTTGTTTTTTTCTTTTTCTTTACTCTTTTCTTTTTTTTGAGGTAAAGTCTTTCTCCATTGCCCAGGCTGGAGTGCAATGGCATGATCATAGCTCACTGCACTCACAGTCTCCCAAGCTCAAGAGATCCTCCCACCTCAGCTTCCTAGGTAGCCTGGACCACAGATGCACATCACCACACACAGATTATTTTTCAACTTTTTTTGTGGAGACAGGTTCTCTCTTTGTTGCCCAGGCTGGTCTCAAGCTTATGAGTTCAAGCCATTTCCTGCCTCAGCCTCCCAAAATGCTGGAATTATAGGCATGAACCAGCATGCATGGCTAACTTTTCTTAATAGAAGAATGCCAACTAATAAATGTAGAAAGAATGATAGAGATAGAAAATTACCATTTGCAAGTATCATTGTAATAATTGATTCAGTCAAAGGTTACCAATAAACACTGAAATTATTGGATTACAGATTTTGAGAATAAGATATTCATGCAGGGTCAAAGTGTTACTCCACAGATTTCTTGTCAATTATGAAGAGAAGAGGGTCCTTTGCAATGAGATAGTTGATGAACATGACCTTAATCACACGTTCAAAAGTAATGTCATCAATTATTTAGAGAAAAATTCTAAAACTGTGTTTCTCTTCTGCTCTTACACCACCACAGCAATCATCAACATAGAAGACTTATGTGAGCAAATGTCTGGGAATTTTCCTCCACACACCAAGTAGCAGACACCAGCTGGCTGTCCTCCAATTCAATTGCAACACTATCTGGAGATAGTGTTAGATCCCGCAGCCTGAGAGGTCAGCCCCTAGGACTGTTCCCCAAACCCCAGAAATTAGTCTGGGCTTCCAGAACTTCTGATCAACTGGCTGCAAATTGGGGTTCTGGAATTCCATGCCCTCCCTGGGTGTGCCACCCTCCAGGAACCTCCTCATTTTCTGCTATCTGGAAGCCCAGGAACCCAGCCTCTTGGGTTTCGGTGGAAGCTGCATGATGTTAGCATTCTTTACCCCAAGACATAGGGAGGGACCCTCTGTGGAAAGGGTCTTAAAACCCACAGTCAGGGAGGTTGGGTAAAATTGGAGTCCTGCATTGAGGCAGGTGAAAAGGAGGCAGAAGATCAGAGTGATTCTATTTCCTTAAGCCTGCCCCTGAGGCCTAACTACCCAAATTAAAACAGAAGGTTGTAACAAGGGCTATGGAAGTTATGAGCCAGGAACTACGAAAAAAAACAGTGTGTGTGGGCGTACATATAAAATTGTCAGATTTTCCTATTATTGGTATGATGTTATTATATATATATACACATATATGTATATGACATATAAATGTCATATACATATTCACATATGTATATGATATGCATATGTATATAATATGTACATATGCATACATGTATATAATATGTATATACATAACATCATACCAATAATAGGAAGACATGCCAAATTCTGTTACTTTGTTACGATATAAGTATATAATACCTATTATAAAATATTTTTGAAAAAATATTTAATATGTATATAATCAAGAAGAAACAATTATAAAATTCTAGAATGTAATATGATCTACTGAATAACTTGGCCAGACTTAAAAAAAGGGCAATGTCATGGGTAAAAAAAGGAAAAGAAGGAGTAGAAGGAAGAGAGGAAGAAGGAGGAAAAGAAAAGGAGTTGACAGTTCTAGGAGAGTAAAGGGACTTGATAACTTAAATGCAAAGTGATATTTGATTGGATCCCATATAAATGTTAAAATGACCAGAAAAACTATTGAGACAATGGGGAAATTTGAATGTGAACTATTTTATACAATATTAATCAATGCTAAATGTCGCGAGTGTGATGGTATTACCCATGTGCTGAAAAATGTTCTTATTCTTAATAGATACGTGTTGAAATATTTAGGGTGATGGATTATGATATCTGCATCTTACTTTTAAATGGATCAAAAACAGGTGCATCTAATAAAGGGTATGTGAGTATGTATTGTACTGTCTTACTCAACACTTCTGAAGACTTGAAATTTTGCAAAATAAGAAAATGTTGGAACAATAAAAATTTCATATATTTGTATAATTGATTTCATAAACTTATTTGACTTCAATAATGATCTAATGTAATAATGACTGAGGATATTTGGCGAAAAACTATAATTAGTAAAAACTCCTCCCCATTAAGTGGTCATGTCTCTCCTATGAGAGACATCGTCTCCTATGACGATTTTCCTTTTCTATTTTTTCTTTCTTTGTTCTTCTCTTTTCTTTTTTTTAGGAAGAAATATAGGAATATTCACTGGCTCAAAGCAACATAATTCCAAGCTATGCATCACCATTTCTCTGATGACTGCAGAAATATTTTCTCTACCTTCCTAGTTAAACTTGGCTGATGGAAGGGCAATGTTAAAACTTTGACATTTGGACTTGGCAAATATAGAATTCTCTTAAATATAAACTTAGAAATAACAGATGGAAACTTTATGGTTTCTTAGGTTATTCAAGAAGTAGGCCATTCATCACTTACAGTTTAATTTTTTAAAAGCCACAGTAAGCTACTAAAAGAGTTCTACTTAGGTAAGCATGCATATTAATTAGAAAATATTTATGTTTTATTCTAGTTTAATGTTTCTATGTTTCGGGTTCAAAAACTTATGCTAAAGCAAGCACTTTTAAGAACTTTATACATTAGCTATAATGTGAAAATTTTCTACCCGATTTAGGTATTATTCCCACACTTTAAAAATGAGAAAACAACTCAGAAATGTTAAGTATTTTGCCCAGGTCCCTACTACTTGCTTAGTGTTTGAGTTAGCCTTCAAACCAGATCTATCTTGCTGCAAAGCCCTTTCCCTATCTACCACCACAGACTGTTTCCTTTATTGACTATCTTAGTTCATATACTCTACAATGCATGGTTGGCAAGAGTAAAAATTATGTGTTTATGTATGTGTACAGATACTCATAGCCTACTATACAGCAACATCAAATAAATAATTCAGTCTTTATTGTTTATTCAAATCTTCTGCTGTTTATTCAAGGTAAATGACTGGAGGGTAATGAAAAGACAAATAAAACATGGCTTCCTCCTTAATAAAACTTTTGGATAGAGAACAAATTTTCTTTTCTACTTTTATTTTAGATTCAGGGAGTACATGTGCACATTTGTTACAAGGGTATATTGTGTGATGCTGAGGCTTGGGATACAATTGAACTCGTCACCCAGGTAGTGAGCCTAATACCCAAAAGATAGTTTTTCAGCCTTTGCCCCACTCCCTCCCTTCCTCTCCCTCTTGCAGTCCCCAGTGTCCCTTGTTCCCATCTTTATGTCCCTGTGTACCTGATATTTAGCTCCCACTTATAAGGGCAGTATTTGGTTTTCTGTTCCTCCATTAGTTTGCTTAGGGTAATGGCTTCCACTTGCATCCATGTTGCTGCAAAAGACATGATTTCAGGGAATGAAATTTTTTTAAAGTTCAAAGACATCCATAGCAGAGTTGGCTTCCTGACCAATACAATTCATTTTACTCTTTCTATTTCATAGAATTTATATTCTATTCATAGTTCTAAGGGAATTGTCAATGGAAAATTTTTGTCCAGCAAAGTAACTTAATTTCTCAGTTCGCTTTACATCATGGCATTGTCAAGAGTTCTCATCAATAAAAAGCAAATAAAATGGATGTTTTTACTTCCAAGACATAGGTTTTAAAAAGCTAGTGTGCTTTGTCACACCTTTTACTTTTTCATCTACTGAAACCTAGATGGTGCTGTCAAAAGATGAGATGAGCTAGGGTCATGGGTCATTATGTTGCAGAAAGCCACGACAGACCAGGAGCACTTGTCTCAGCCTGTTATGAGTTAAAAATAAACTACCAATGAATTAATATATTTATTTGCTACAACCATTAGTTTTTTCCCAAATAGTACAGATATTAGTACCTTGAAGTCAAGTCTTCTTATTATAACAAAACCAAAAAATATGTTACACTGGCTTAACATTTTGTGTTAAGGAGAAAACAGGTGTTGGAGGTTAGAAATATAGAGACCCTATTATAAGAAATCAAAACCTTTAACAAATTACCTTCTGTTCTAACCATCAAGACAAGCCAGGTACCCACAGAACCTGTACCTCTAAGGAAAGAGATTAGAAAACTCAAAAAAGTTATAGTGTATTGTTATTTGCTCTATGTAACAAGGTACTAGAAAAGATATGAGCTAAGGCAGGTATTAAGTGGTTTAAGAGAAGAAATAAAAGAAAATTATGAAAATTCAAGAATTTTGTTCTTGTAGAGTTGGAAAAGCAATCTGTTTTTGAAACCCCAAATAACTGAAAATAAACTTTAAAAAAGTGTAGTGCTATAAAACCCCATTAAATTGTTCCAGTTAGACAAATAGGTTTATATTTGAGGTAGAGATCATATTAAGGAGTTTTCTTTCACTCTAAGTCTGTTGTTTCAGATGCCAGTAGCTATAATCAAATTGAAAAGAGGCATTTAGATGACAAAGCAAGGAAAAAAGTCAGCATGTGAACTATGTCCAAGAAATAGTTTTTGATGAGGTTACTGACAAATGAAAATGGCTACAAGAAACTTGATTAGAAGTTCATTAATCTTTGTAATTGTATTGCTGGATAAACCATGAGTCTGACATGAAAAAGGCTTTGACTGAGATTTTTCCAGAGAAAATAATATATGGGGAAGAGCCACTCGGAAGGCATTAGGTTGAACAATGTATAAAAGAATTCCTCCCAGAAAGCAGAATATCCATGAGGGCACTGGAAAAGTCCGAAGGAAAGATTTCTCACAATGCCTGACCAGCAGAATTCCATTACTTTTATGAATCACTTGCAGTTAGGTATTCCCACTTTTTCTTTCCAAAAGAGAGATTTTAATGCAGATATCCTGCCTCTGCCTCAGCACTTTATTTTCGGTGTGGAGCAGAAGACAAATAATTTATCTTTCTAATTTATAATTTACTGGATTATAAAGAGTGATATTCGAACCAGAAGGGTGGTACTGAGCATGAGGTTTTGGAGTTTGAGCTAGAAAAGATAACTGGATTTACCTTCTGTATTAGTCCATTCTCACATTGCCATAAAGAACTACTTGAGACTGGGTAATTTGTGAAGAAAAGAGGTTTAATTGACTCACAGTTCCATAGGCTGTACAGGAAGCATGGCTAGGAGGCTTCAGGAAACTTACAGTCATGGTGGAAGGTGAAAGGGAAGCAAGCAAGTCGGACAATGGTGGAGCAGGAAAGAGAGAGAGCAAAGGGGTAGGTGCCAGACACTTTCAAACAACCAGATCTCCTGAGAACTCACTCACTATCACCAGAACAGCAAGGAGGAAGTCCACCCCCATGATTCATTCACCTCCCATCAGGACTCTCCACGGACACATAGGGATTACAACTTGAGGTGAAATTTGGGTGAGGACACAGAGCTAAATCATATCACCTTCCTTGAGGAGAACTGTGTTTCATGTGTAAGAGAAAGGTGTAATGGCAGAATTTTGCAAAGTTGCCAGCTATGATCTAGATTCTGTGCTCTACTTGCCATGGAATACTTATCACTGGGAAGACCATTTTTATAAATTTATATTAAAACTAAAAATTATCAGTCTTTTTAATGTTTGCCGATATGATGGATGGTAAATTTCTCATTATTATTTTACAACATGCTTTCCTGATAGTGAACTTGTGCACATAACAAGGTATGTTTATTGGCCATTTTTGTAGTTATCTTCTGTGAACTGCCTGGATGTAGAGCAGATACCATTTATGTACTACTTCATATTCATTTCATCTAACATATTCTGAGACCTTGGACATTTGTGTTGTTCAATACACTACTAGGGCGACCAATTCTGTATGAGCTCTGACTGAGTTATGCGGGAATCATGCAATGATTCCTCAACTCATGCCTATTTGATGAGCCCCTTAGCTTCGACCTCACAAGATCTGTTTGGAATCATGTATGTATAATCCAGTAGTCTGGGAAAGTTAAAGTCCCCTGAGACACAATTTTCACAAGAGTGAGACAGAACGAAAAATAAATACCAAGAATGACTCTAGAACACAGAGGCCTCAGAATGAGATTTGAAGCTAGATTACTCATCATTCTAAAGGCAATAGGAACCCCAAGGTAGGTGGCAAGTGGAGTGGCTATAGTCCTCCTATAATCCTTGGTACACAAGAGGTTATTATCATAAAATAAAATCTTATATACATCTTATATGATAAAGTCTTTCTCTCTCTTGAGCCACTCCATTTGGATTATATAATTATATAAATATATATATTATATATAATACATTATAATATATAATATATATTATATATAATAATTATATATGTTATATATAATATATATAAATTATATATCTTATATAATTATATAATAATAATTATTATATCATATATAATATATATTATGTATTATATATATATTATAATATATTATATATGATATATTATATATAATACATAATATATTATATATATAATATATGATATATATAATGTAAATATAATATATTATATAATAAAATATTAATATATTATATATTATATATAATGTATTATATAATATAATATTAATATATTATATATTATATATAATATATTATATCATATAATATAATATATTATATATAATATATAATATATTATATTATATATTATATGTAATAGATTATATTATATATTATATATTATATATTATAAATAATAAATAATATATGTTATATATTATATATTATATATAATATGTTATATATAATATATAAATAATAAATAATATATAATATTTTGTATATTATATATAATATTTTATATATTGTATATGATTATATATAATATTTTATATATTATATATGATTATATATAATATTTTATATATTATATATGATTATATATAATATTTTATATATTATATATGATTATATAAAATAATAAATATATATAAATAATATATAAATATGTCTATAATAATATTATATTTATATATTTATTATTTTATATATTTATATTATATATATAATTATATTATATATAATATATAAATATGCATAATATATAAATATACATAATATATAAACATATATAATACATAATATATATATAATATATATGCATAATATATAAATATATATAATATATAAATATACATAATATATAAACATATGCAATATATATTTATATATAATATATAAATATACATAATGTATAATTATATATAATATATAAATATATATAAGTATATATAATATATAAATATATACAAGTATATATAATATATAAATATATAAGTATATATAATATATAAATATATATAAGTATATATAATATATAAATATATAAGTATATATAATATATAAATATATATAAGTATATATAATATATAAATATATATAAGTATATATAATATATAAATATATATAAGTATATATAATATATAAATATATAATTTTATATAATATATAATATATTATATATCATATAATTATTATATAATATATAATATATTATATATCATATAATTATTATATAATATATAATATATTATATATCATATAATTATTATATAATATATAATTATATTATATATTATATATAAAATATATGTTATATAAGTATTATATAATATATAATTATATATTTTATATATAATATACAAGTTTATATTATATATTCATATGTAATATATAATTATATATAAATATTATATATAATTTATATATAAAATATATATAAATTTAGGTATTCATTTTTATTTATTTATTTTATTTATTTATTTTATTTTTAATGATATAAATATATATTATATATAATTGTATAATATATAATTCTATATAATATATAAATATATGTAATATATAATTCTATATAATATATAAATATATGTAATATATAATTCTATATAATATATAAATATATGTAATATATATAATTATATATAATATATAAATATATGTAATATATATAATTATATATAATTATAAATGTATGTAATATATATAATTATATACAATGTATAAATATATGTAATATATAATTATAAATAATATATAAATATATGTAATATGTAATGATATATAATATATAAATATATGTTATATATAATGATACATAATATATAAATATATGTAATATATATAATGATATATAATATATAAATATATGTAATATATAATGATATATAATGTATAAATATATGTAATATATATAATGATATATAATATATAAATATATGTAATATATAATGATATATAATATATAAATATATGTAATATATATAATGATATATAATATATAAATATATGTAATATATAATGATATATAATATATATTTGTAATATATATAATGATATATAATATATAAATATATGTTATATATAATGATATATAATATATAAATATATGTTATATATAATGATATATAATATATAAATATATGTAATATATAATTATATAATATATAAATATATGTAATATATAATTATATAATATATAAATATATGTAATATATAATTATATATAATAAGTAGATACATGTAACATATAATTATATGTAATATATAAATATATGTAATATATAATATATGTAATATATAAATATATGTAATATATAATATATGTAATATATAAATATATGTAATATATAATTATATGTAATATATAAATATATGTAATATATAAATATATGTAATATATAATTATATATAATATATAATATATTTAATATATAATTATATATAATATATAAATATATATACAGTCCTTGATTTTTTTAATATATATAAGTATATGAAAGTATATGAAATCTCCCTCTCTCTCTCTCCATATATTTATATGTGAGCCTAGAGTCTCTTCCTCGTGTGTGTATATGTGTATATATACACGTATACAGACACATACATATATATACACATATACATATATACACACATATACATATATATACACACACACACATATATATACATATATATATCTAGAGCGAAAGAGAGCGCAAGAGAGACTGTGTTGAAAATAGCCTTAACATCTAATTGTAATGCTTCAGAGGCACAAAAGAGATTGAACGTGCAGCTTCAAAAGTCTCTTATGTGAAAGTCAGACACTGACAAGACATGGAAGAGACCCTAGGCCTGAGATGGGGATGTTTGAATAAAGGGCCTGAGAATAATGAACATATCAATTTCCCTGAAATTTCTAGGTCAGTAGAAATACCTCCCCACTCCCACTTTCCAGAAGAAACTGACTTTTCCTTGCCTCGAGGTTATGCGGTTATGCTGTGGCCTTGTCTGAAAGCAGATGCTGTGTTAGATGATGCTTACACCTCCCAGTCCTTATTGTGCCAGGATCAGTTTTCGTAGTCTGAGTTGGAAAGTACAGTCTAAGCTCCAGAAGAAATAGCTTAAACACAAAAAAGTTGAAGGAACTAGTTAATATATGCCAGCAAGGACCAAGGGAAAACATATGGGGAAGGATATTAAGAAGGTTGAAAGAAGAGAGTAGATTTTTAGGCTGGAAAAAGAACTTTTTGACATTGGGATACTCACCTGTGCTTCAGACTTCAACATTTCAGCAAGAATGCTTGGATGAGTCACAATACTATATTGGGGTGTTTCCTAAAATGTATGTGATTAGTATAGCTTGGGCATATGCTAGTCACATTCTTCTCACACTCAGTTATCTATGCTACCAAATAAAGTAGGAGTACATGGGTATTTTATTGTCTCAGCTTTGCTTTCTGGAGAAATCGGGCTGAGTTTAGCTGTTTGATGCTTTGTTACTACTTTGTAGAAACTCCTTACATTGTAAATTTATATTATATGTATATGCAGATTGTAATACATGTAACATATACTACATATGTAATATGCTATATTTATGTTTTAATATAATACATATTTACTTTCTGTATCATAGATGTTTTCATCCTTTTCTGTATATAGTGCAAATATTTATCTTTCATCTTTGTTTTTTGTCTTTTAACTTTATATGTGGTGCCTTTTACCAAATAGACATTTTTGACTTTAATATGTAATTTTAATATGTAATTACTAGTTCTAATATATAATTAATTTTAATATATAATTATAGACAAATCATGTTAATTTTTCTTGAATGAATTCTGGGATGTTGTGTTACTTAAGAAGTCTTTCCAACCCTAAGGGGAGAAAAACAGGACTAGAGTTCTATTTATTTGTTCTTTCTTCTATCCATTTGATGACTGCTAGTTTTCATATGATACAGTTGGAGACACTTTCTGCCTTTTGTCTTATTGATGATTACAACAATTGATTTACTACTACTAGTAGTACTAATTTTAAATTCTTCATTTCTTAGGGAAAAATACATGTTTATAGTGGAGGATAATTGTATTATTACTGGTTTGAATTAAAATTACTTATTACTGGATTGGATTGAAATATTATTAGGATATTTAATATACATTAAGTATAATTGTTTAAAGTGGGCATGGTAGGAAAGATCTGCCTTAAGCGTGCATATATGTGTGTACGTGTTTACTGAAATATTTATGCAGTGAGACTGAAAAAACAAGAAGTAGGAGGCTCTGGAGCCAGACTGCCTGGGCTCAAAAACATAATTCAATAATAATGTTTATATAACTTTACAAAACTAACTTAAATTTTCTCCCTCCATTTTGGCATCTGTAAAACCAAGATAAAAGTAACAGCTGCTTTAAATGATTATATTAGTATATTTTTCATTTACTACATTAAAAGTGCCTAAACAGTGCTTTTTTTTTTTTTTTTTGACAGAGTTTTGCTCTTGTTGCCCAGGCTGGAGTGCAATGGCAGGCTCTTGGCTCACCGCAACCTCTGCCCCTGGGTTCAAGTGATTTTCCTACCTCAGCCTCCTGAGTAGCTGGGATTACAGTCATATGCTACTACACCCAGCTAATTTTGCATTTTTAGTAGAGACAGGGTTTCTCCATGTTGGTCAGGCTGGTCTAGAACTCCCAACCTCAGATGATTTGCCTGCCTCAGCCTCCCAAAGTGCTGGCATTACAGGCGTGAGCCACTGCACCCAGCCATACCATGCATTTTATATAGCAGGGTCTCTAAATGTTATCACTTCACCTCATTTTTCCTATATTATTATTATTGTTATTTTTTTTACTATTGTTTTTATGTAAGGCTTACACATTACAGTTGTTCATGGACTCCACTTCGTTGTATTAAAATATGCATGACCTGAGTCAAATATTTGTGTCATATTCCTGGTCTTGATTAGGCATTTGTGTTTGAGACCCTGATCTATTTTTCTTTTTCCTGCCATATTTTCATTGTTTATATGAATAACTTGCTTCATAAATTGAACTGTGTAGTTTTCAAACCTGTTTTTGTCTATTCTAACAAATTTTATATTTCTAAAAATGCTAATAAAATGAACTGAACTACTGGTCCTGGAGGATTTGGGGTGTTGATGGGTAATTATTTGGTAATTTTATTAGTTTCCTTTTCCTACATGAATGAATTTAGTAATAAATATGTTTCCTGAAAATCAGTATTTTAATATTTATTAGCATAAAATGATAACTAGTATGCTTCTTTATTTAAAAAACTCATGAATATAAGTTACAAATTCTGAAACAAGTTGGGGTTTCTGGGAGGCAGAAACCTTTAGTGTTTTTTTGTTTAGTGTTCAAAAGTTTATAGAGAGTGCTTTTGACATCAACACCTGTGGATGGCAGGGGTAGAAGCAGAGTAGGGCAGAAGTCAAGATATTTTAACTGGATTGAGAGCCTCAGCTGACCTAATTAGGTCCTTCTGAGCTGAAATGGTCCTTCTGGTTATCCCACCGTGAATAGCCAGAACTTTATACCTTCACCTTGATCAGTCCTTGGCTGTGAGGAAAGGACATGCTCTTGGGAGAGGAGTCTATGAAGGAGTTGACAGCTGAAAGTCATCCTTTCACAGCACACCCAAAGGCAGGATAAAGAGTATTCCCTTGAAGAGTGATGTGGTTAATGCATTGCAAAGCCCATCATAGATTCCTGTTTATAATCATTCTTTTTTCTTTCTTGTTACTTTAAGCAAAATAGCAAGAGATTTTCAGAACATTTGTCTATATTATTTTAAAAACTGTGCTTTTATTTGTGCTTTTAAAAAATTTACTAATTTATTTTTTTCTTCTCATTTTCTTTCTTTTTTCTTTCTTTTCTTTCTTTTTTTTTCTTTTTTTTTTTTTTTTTGAGATGGAGTTTCACTCCTGTTGCCCATGCTGGAGTGCAATGGCACGATCTAGGCTCACTGCAACCTCCCCTCTCGGGTTCAAGCCATTCTCCTGCCTCAGCCTTCCGAGTAGCTGGGATTACAGGCATGCGCCACTATGCCCGGCTAATTCTTTATTTATTTTTTTTTTTTTTTGTATTTTCAGTGGATACAGGGTTTCTCCATGTTGGTCAGGCTGGTCTCGAACTCCCGACCTCAGGTGATCCGCCTGCCTCGGCCTCCCAAAATGCTGGGATTACAGGTGTGAGCCACCATGCCCAGCCTTTTTCTTCTCATTTTCACACACTCATGATTTCCTTGGGGTTTATTTTTAAATTATCTTTCTAACTAAGTTGAATATTTAGTAAATTTATATTAATTTTTAGTTCCAAACCAGAAAGTCTTTAGTCATCTTATATTTCACACTTTTTAAAAACAAATTTATGAGGTATATATGCAATTTTTTATATGTACAGATTGGATAATGGTCAGGTCAGGGATTTTAGGGTATTCACTATCCAAATAATTTATATCATACCCTTTAATTTCCCATCATTCATCCCTAGACTCCCCAACCCTCTGTGTCTCCATTGCCTAACATTCCACTCTCTAAATCTGTGTGTACACGTTTTTTAGCACCCACTTACTAGTGAGAACATGAGATATTTGACTTTCCATGCCTAGCTTATTTCTCTTAAGATAATGTCCTTTAGGTTCATCCATGTTGTTGCAAAAGACATAATTTTATTGTTTTTTTATAGCAGAATAATATTTTATTATGTATACGTACCACATTTAAAAAATCCAATCATTCATTGATGGACCCTTAGGTTGTTTCCACATCTTTGTTATTATGAATAGTACTGCAATAAACATACTACCAATATCTTTTTGATATAATGATTTATTTTCTTTTGAGTAGATACCCAACAGGGGTATTGCTGGATCTAATGATAGTTCTACTTTAGTTCTTCATGATACCTTAATACTCTTGTCCATAGTTGCTGCACCAATTTACATTCCCACTAACAGTGTATTTAGTTCTCTTTTCTTCACATCCTTACCCATATCAGTTATTTATTTCTTTTTAATAATCATCATACTGACTGAGGTAAGATTCTATCACTTTGTGGTTTTAGTTTGCATTTTTCTGATGAGTAGTGATGTTGAACATTTTTCATATGTCTGTTGGCCATTTATGTGTCTTATTCTAAAAATATTTGTTCATATCCTTTGCCCACAATTTAATGGGATCATTTGGGGGTATTTTGTTCTTATTGTTGAGTAGCTTGAGTTCCTTGACTTATCTGGATATTAGTCCCCTGATGGATTAGTAGTTGGCAAATATTTTCTCCTGTTCTGCAGGTTGTCCATGCACTCTATTGATTATTGATTTTGCTTTATAGTAGATTTTTAGTTTAATTAAGTCCATTTTGTCTATTTTTGATTTTGTGGTCTCTGCTTTAGAGGTCTTAGTCATAAATTATTTGCCTAGATCAATGTCTAGAAGTGTTTTTTCTACATTTTTATTGGTATATTTATAGTTTTGGGTCTTATGTTTAAGTCTTTAATCCATATTAAATTGATTTTTGTATATGGTGAGAGTTAGGGATCCACTAATATTCTTCTGCATATGGAAATTTAATTTTCCCAACTCCTTTTTTGAAAAGAATGTTTTCCCAAAGTATATTCTTTTTAGCTTTGCTAAAAATCAGTTGGCTGTAGGTATGCAGCTTTATTTTTGGCTTCTCTCTTTTGTTCCATTGATCTATTTATCTATTTTTATACCAGTACAATACTGTTTTGGCTACTATAGCCTAATTCAGTGAAATGTGACACTGATATTTTCATTGTGATCAAACTGAATCTATAGATAGTTTTGGACAACATGGTAATTTTATCAATATTAATTCTTTCAATCCATGAGCATGGGCTGTTTTTCCCTTTGTGTTAGTGTCATCTATGATTTCTTTCATTGGTGTTTTTTAGTTCGCCCTGTAGAGATCTTTCATTTCCTTGGTTAAATTTATTCCTAGTGATTTTAATTTTTGGAGTTATATAAATGAGATTGCCTTCTTGTTTTCCTTCTCTGCTAGATTGTTATTGGTATAAAGACATTCTACTGGTTTTTGTGTGTTGTCTTTGTATCCTGAAACTGCTAAGTTCATTTATCAAATCTAAGTGATTTCTGTGGAGTATTTAGGTTATTCTGTATATAAGATCCTATCATCAGCAAACAGGGATAGTTTGAGTTTCTATTTTTCAATTTTTATGCCTTTTATGTATTTCTCTTGCCTGATTACTCTGGCTGGGATTTCCAGTGCTATGTTGAATGGGACTGGTGAAAATGGGCATCCTTGTTTTGTTCCAATTCTTAGAGAAAATGCTTTGAATTTTTTCCTATTGGGTATAATATTACCTGCGGATTTATTGTATGTGTTCTTTATTATTTTGAGGTATGTTCCTTCTAAGCATAATTCATTGGGAGGTTTTTATCATGAAGAATGTTTTTATGCATTTATTGAGATGATCATGTGATTTTGTCCTTGATTCTGTTTAGGTGATGTATCACATTTATTGATTTGTGTCTGTTGAACCAACCTTGCCTCCCTGGTGTAAAACCTGCCTGATTATAGTGTATTATCTTTTTTCTTGTGCTGCTGTATTTGGTTTGCTAATATTTTGTTGAACATTTTTGCGTCTATATTTATCAGAAATATTGGTCTTTAGTTTCCTTTTCTGGTTTTGTCTTGTCTGGCTTTGGTATCAGGTGGTACTGACCTCATAGAATGAATTAGGGAGAATTCCCTCTTCCTTGATTTTTTGGAACAGTTTCAGTAGGATTACTACTAGTTATTCTTTGTACATCTGGTAGAATGCAGTTGTGAATTCATTTAGTCCTGGGCTTTTCTTTCTTGGGAGATGTTTTTATTACTGATTTAATCTCATTGTTGGTTGTTGGTCTGTTCAGGTATTCTATTTCTTTCTGGTTCAGTCGTGGGAGGTTGTATGTTTCCAGGAATTTATTTATTTTCTCTTGGCTTTCTGGTTTGTGCACATATAGTTGTTTATAATAGTCTCTGGTGATCTTTTGTATTTCTGTGATATTTGCTGCAATGTCTCCTTTTTATCTCTGATTTTGTTTATTTAGGTCATCCCTCTTCTTTGTTAGTATAGCTAGCAGTTTATCAATTTTCTTTATCTATTTGAAGAACCAACTTTTAATTTTGTCCTTTTTTCTTTTTTTTTTTTGGTCTGTATTACATTTATTTCTGTTCTGATCTTTGTAATTTCTTTTCTCCTGATAATTTGGGGTTTGGTTTGTTTTTGCTTTTCTTTTTTTTTATTATACTTTAAGTTTTAGGGTACATGTGCACAATGTGCAGGTTAGTTACATATGTATACATGTGCCATGCTGGTGCGCTGCACCCACTAACTCGTCATCTAATATTAGGTATATCTCCCAATGCTCTCCTTCCCCCCTCCCCCCACCCCACCACAGTCCCCAGAGTGTGATATTCCCCTTCCTGTGTCCATGTGATCTCATTGTTCAATTCCCACCTATGAGTGAGAATATGCGGTGTTTGGTTTTTCGTTCTTGCGATAGTTTACTGAGAATGATGATTTCCAATTTCATCCATGTCCCTACAAAGGACATGAACTCATCATTTTTTATGGCTGCATAGTATTCCATGGTGTATATGTGCCACATTTTCTTAATCCAGTCTATCGTTGTTGGACATTTGGGTTGGTTCCAAGTCTTTGCTATTGTGAATAATGCCGCAATAAACATACGTGTGCATGTGTCTTTATAGCAGCATGATTTATAGTCCTTTGGGTATATACCCAGTAATGGGATGGCTGGGTCAAATGGTATTTCTAGTTCTAGATCCCTGAGGAATCGCCACACTGACTTCCACAATGGTTGAACTAGTTTACAGTCCCACCAACAGTGTAAAAGTGTTCCTATTTCTCCACATCCTCTACAGCACCTGTTGTTTCCTCACTTCTTAATGATTGCCATTCTAACTGGTGTGAGATGGTATCTCATTGTGGTTTTGATTTGCATTTCTCTGATGGCCAGTGATGATGAGCATTTTTTCATGTGATTTTTGGCTGCATAAATGTCTTCTTTTGAGAAGTGTCTGTTCGTGTCCTTTGCCCACTTTTTGATGGGGTTGTTTGTTTTTTTCTTGTAAATTTGTTGGAGTTCATTGTAGATTGTGGATATTAGCCCTTTGTCAGATGAGTAGGTTGCGAAAATTTTCTCCCATTTTGTAGGTTGCCTGTTCACTCTGATGGTAGTTTCTTTTGCTGTGCAGAAGCCCTTTAGTTTAATTAGATCCCATTTGTCAATTTTGGCTTTTGTTGCCATTGCTTTTGGTGTTTTGGACATGAAGTCCTTGCCCATGCCTATGTCCTGAATGGTAATGCCTAGGTTTTCTTCTAGGGTTTTTATGGTTTTAGGTCTAACGTTTAAGTCTTTAATCCATCTTGAATTAATTTTTTTATAAGGTGTAAGGAAGGGATCCAGTTTCAGCTTTCTACATATGGCTATCCAGTTTTCCCAGCACCATTTATTAAATTCTAGTTCCTTGTGGTGCCCTTTCAGATTGCTAATTTGTAATCTTTCTACTTTTTTGATGTAGGCTTTTAATGTTATAAATTTTCTTTTTACCACTGGTTTTGCTATATCCCACAGGTTTTAGTATGCTTTGTTACTATTTTCATTTGCTTCAAAACATTTTTAAATATTCATCTTAATTTCTTCATTAACCCAATGGTCATTCAGGAGCATGTTGTTTAATTTCTACATATTTTTGTTTGTTTGTTTTTGAGTTTTCAAAGTTTCTCTTGGTATTGATTTTCATTGTGGTCGGAAAAGACACTCAATATTATCTCAATTTGTAAAACTTTGTTGAGAATTGTTCTGTGGTATAACATACATTTTATCATTGGGAATATTCCATGAGCTTATGAAAAGAATGCATATTCTGCAGTTGTTGGGAAGGATGTTCTGTAAATGTCTGTTAGGTCCATTTGATTTAAAGTACAATTTTAAGTCCGTTGTTTGTTGGTTTTCTGTCTAGATGATCTGTATAATGCTGTTAGTGGGGTGTTGAAGTCCTCTACTGTTACTACATTGCTGTATGTCTCTCTCTGTAGCTCTAGTAATATTTGTTTTATGAATCTGGGTGCTCCAGTGTTGGGTGAATATATTTAGCATTGTTATATACTCATGCTAAATTGATAGCTTTAGCATTATATAATGACTTTTGTCTTTTTTAAAACTGTTTTTGACTTAAAGTCAGATTTATCTAAGAATTGCTACTCTTGCTCACTTTTTCTGCAGGTTATTTCATAATAATAATATGGGTTGTTTCATATTAATTAACATTATTGGTTATTTCATAATAATAATTGTTAATAAATCAAAGGTATTTGAATACTTACTGGTCTGAAAATTTTGAAAGAGTATAAACTTTTAAAAAATATATCTTAGTTGCATTTTCCAACAATATGCTCAAAATATTTACATTTAATTTCCAAACACATTTTCAGGTAAAATGACTCTAAATTTAAAGAAATAAATTTTAGATTTAAAGTCATTTAACATTTTAATTAAACATTTAAATTTTTAAATTTAAATGTTTAATTTCTTTAAATAAAAGAACTTACTTATTTATTCTGTAATTAAAGAATACATGACAGCCAGGTGCGGTGGCTTATGCCTGTAACCCCAGCACTTACTGAGAGGCCAAGGCTGGTGGATCACCTGAGGGCAGGAGTTCAAGACCAGCCTGGCCAACATGGTGAAACCTTGGCTCTACTAAAAATACAAAAATTTGCTGGGTGTGGTGGCATGCACCTGTAATCCAAGATACTCAGGAGGCTGAGGCAGGAGAATAGCTTGAACCCTGGAGGAGGAGTTTGCAGTGAGTAGAGATTGTGAGATCGTGTCACTGCATTCCAGCTTGGGCAACAAGAGTGAAATTCTGTCTCAAAAAAAAAAATAAATTACTATTATTGCAGAATAAATACAATACAGAGTCCAAAAATTTGATAACTCATGGAAATGGTTCAACTTTAGTTGGAATATTTTTATATAATGCAACTTTAATAATAATTTAGAGTTCAAGTAGGCAGGTGGTTAAGCCCATTATTTCTTATTGTAGGTTGGCTGTGGCTCAAACTTAGTGTTGGTAATACTCTATAATTGTGTTTTTATAGTTTTATAGTTTAGTTTTCTTCCGTAGACACATGATCTCCCTCTTGTCCAGTGGCTTTAGAATCCTTATTTTCATTTTCTAGGCCAGCAGTAAGGGCTTGAATTTGGATTTCACAACAGTTTTAAGTTAATTGGTGTGCCTTTTTGCTGCCAAGACTGATCCTCCAGAATGGAGAGCAGATGTTGTCAATGGTTCTGTCTTAGTTTATTTGGGCTGCTATAACAAATACCATAAACTGGGTGGCTTATGAACAACAAAAGTTTATTTTTCACAGGTATGGAGGCTGGGAACTCCAAGATCAAGGAGTTTCCACATTCAGTCTCTGGTGAAGGGCCACTTCCTGGTTCACAGACCATCTTTGTCACATGGCAGATAGAGCAAGGGAGTTCTCTGAATCCTTTTAATAAGATCACTAATTCTATTCATGAGCATTCCATCCTCATGATCTAAGAATGTCTCAAATATCCCACCTGAAAATGCCATCTTGAGAACTGGATTTCAACATATGAATTGGAATGTAGTTGGTGGTGAAAATATTCATTCTGTAGCAGCTTGTTACTCCAAATTCCCAATTCCCGATTGAGTAATGAAAAAGTTGATGCTATGTTTGGCTTCAAACTACACATCAATACACAAAAGTGGAAGGTCTAGTTGTTATTATCAGTCTACTGTTTCCCATCATGATGCTCTTATTGGTTATGCCTTTGTCCTACTTTTCAATGATTATCTTGTCATTCTTTTCAGCCATATATTCAGGTATTCTACTTAAAGAGCTCTTTGCCACATCATGACAGGTATTTGAGTACTGAGTTTATTCTTTGAAAATACGTGTCAAAATTTAGCATCTCCAAAATAGCAGAGGAGATCTTTCCAACATTACTTCTAAGGCCTTAACATCAATGATCTTAGGGCCAAAAGTAGACACAAAATGTACCCAAATCCAACTGAACATCACTTAAACGTACCTGAAAATTTTGTAGGTGCCAGATAGAAAAATTTGAAAAGGAGTCAGGAGAGAACTAGGCAGTAAATAACAAACTCAATCAAGAAGTAAAACATCATATGGTAGGACTTAAGAATTAAACATTCAACTTAGAGAGAGGTAATGTATTTATAACTTAAATCTAGAGGATTTGTTAAATAAATTTAATTAAATAAAAATAGAATTCATGAGATTTATAAATGCAGTTATATTGTTTATAATCGTTTCATTGACTGTGTTTGTAAATGAAAAATGTCAAAGTTTTCCTACAGTTCATCCAATGTTACCATGAAAATAAAATTTGCCAGATTAATAAAATCTTTAAGCTGGCTTTATATGTCTTTTCTGCTGCTGGAATAACAACTTACCATAAATTCAGTGGCTTAATAAACACAATTGTATCATCTTACAGTTTTCAAGATCAGAATTCTGAAATGTGTCTTAGAGTCTAAAAACAAGGTATTGGGAGGACTTCATTCTTTTTGGAGGCCATGATGGTTAATTTTGAGTGCCAACCAGATTGGACTGAAGGACTGGATTGAACAATACAAAGTACTGTTCCTGGATTTGCCTGTGAGAGTGCTGCCAAAGAAGGTTAACATTTGAGTGAGTAGACTGGGAGAGGCAGACCCACCCTCAGTCAGCGTGGGCTCCATCTAATCAACTGCCAGTATGGCTAGAATAAAGCAGGCAGAAGAGGGTGGAAGGAGCCAGCTCGCGAGTCTTCCGGCGTTGATCTTTCTCTTGTGCTAGTTGCTTCTTGCTCTCGAAAATCGGACTCCAAGTTCTTCAGTTTTTGGACTCTTAGACTTACACCAGTGATTTGCCAGAGTATCTCAGGCCTTTGGCCACAGACTAAAGGCTGTACTTTTGGCTTTTTTACTTTCGATGTTTTGGGACTCCTACTGGCTTCCTTGATCCTCAACTTGCAAGCAACTTATTGTGAGACCTCACCTTGTGATCTGATTCAATACTCCTTAATAAACTCCCCTTTATATATACATCTTTCCTATTAGTTCTGTCCTTCTGGAGAACTGTGACAAATACAGAGGCCCTAGGGGCTCGCCCATTTCATTGAGCTTTCCAGCTTCTAGAAGTCATTTACACCTTGGCTCATAGCTGCTGTCCATTTGTCCAGCTATCAGTGTAGCATCCTCAAATCTTTCTCTTTGATTGCAAACCCTGCTTCTGTTATCATATCTCCTTTGACTCTTATCCTCTTGCCCCCTTCTTATAAGAACCTCGTGATCACATTGGGCCCACCAAATGATGCAGGATAATTTTTTTTTTAAGATTCTTTAATTACACCTGCAAACACCTTCATTTTGGTATGTAATTCTAGAAATATTCACAGGTTCTGGGGATTAGAATATATATATGTATCTCTTATATATATATCTTATATATATAATATATATCATATATATAATATATATATCATATATATATCATATATCATATATATATCATATATATCACATATATATCATATATCATATATATATCATATATATCATATATATCATATATATCATATATATATCTTATATATCATATATATCTTATATATCTTATATATATATCTTATATATCTATCTTATATATCTATCTTATATATCTGTCTTATATATCTATCTTATATATCTATCTTATATATATCTTATATATATATATCTTATATGTATATATCTTATATATATCTTATATATATCTTATATATATATCTTATATATATATCTTATATATATATCTTATATATATATCTTATATATATATCTTATATATATATCTTATATATATATCTTTTATATATATATCTTATATATATATCTTATATATATATCTTATATATATATCTTATATATATCTTATATATATATCTTATATATATCTTATATATATATCTTATATATATATCTTATATATATATCTTATATATATATCTTATATATATATATCTTATATATATATATCTTATATATATATCTTATATATATATATCTTATATATATATATCTTATATATATATCTTATATATATATATCTTATATATATATATCTTATATATATATCTTATATATATATATCTTATATATATATCTTATATATATATCTTATATATATATCTTATATATATATCTTATATATATATCTTATATATATATCTTATATATATATCTTAATTTCTTACCCAAGATATATATATATATATATATATATATATCTTGGGTAAGAAATTATTCAGGTTATCACAGCCTTAAACAGATGAGAAGAAAAAGCCTTTTGAATGTAGAATTATAATACATTTCATATTCATTCTTATAACTCAGTTAACTTCAAATTTTCTTTCTGTGCTCGTAAGGCATTCTCAAGGCCACCAGAAAATATAACTGGAACAGCAGCCCTTAGTTCGCCAGACCGTTTACCTTTCACTTGGGTGATTATCTGTTATTATTTTCTTATGCTGCTGCTATTTGTTTATAGTAAGGTTTAGATCCCTTTTCTTGAGTTCTGTGAAACCTGAAGTACAGGATCATCTTTTCCAGCAGTTCATTGATGAGTGAACCATTACTCTTGATGTTCATGGACCCTGGCAAAATTTGTAACTTATAGTAGAATTCCAAGGCCTTATAAGCACTGAAATTAATTTTATCCATATTTTTATTTTTATTATTTAACCTCAGTTTTTGGTGAATCTCATAGCATTACCTCATTTTTTAAGACAAGTGGGGCATAATAAATAAAAACGGACACATTTTATAAAGAAAAACTTTTAAAAACTTGTAAAAAGACTCAATTTGTTAGTTGTTCTAGAAATAGGGAATTTAAGCCCTTATATATGTTAAAAGTAGAAAAGTAGTGGGATGGTTAATTTTATGTGCTGATTTGACTAGACTACAAGATGCCCAGATATCTGATTAAACATTATTTCTTGGTTTGTCTGTGAAACTGTTTCCATAAGAGATTAGCGTTTGAATTGGTGAATTGAGCCAAGCAGATGTCCCTCCCAAAAGTGGGTGTATATCATCCAGTCTGTTGAGGACTTGAATAAAACCAAAGGCGGATGATATTTGAATTCTCTCTCTGCCTGACTGCTTCAGGTGGAGCTTCAATTTCCTTCCGTCCTCGGCACTCCTAGTTCTCAAGCCTTCAGATTAAAAATGGAATCCACACTACTGGATCTCCAACTCTCACGACTTGGAACTGCATCACTAGCTTTCCGGTCTCTGGCTTGCAGATAATGGGGATTCAGTCACCGTAATCATGTGAGCCAATACCCTATAACAAATCTCCATAGAAATAGATTTATTATAAGGTATAGAAAATTATGTATATATTCCTTATTGGTTCTGTCTCTCTAGAGAATCCTCACTAATGCAAATATATTATTGCTTACTTCCGTAATTTTATTTGACAAATTCTGATTTTTGTATCTCCTTGATGTTCCTGGTGTTTTCTGGTTTTTACTGTTTAGAACTGAACTTGCCAACTGATAGCCAAAAGGTAAAACCTATTCCTTTAAAAAATTTACTTATTTATTTCTATGTATTTATTAATTTTGATGAAAACTCTGGTCTATATATTTCTTCTTGAATTTATAAGTTTCGCATAAAAAATTCAACATTCTGTCTTCTCTAGATAAACTGTGAGATCTGGAAATACCTTGTGTGAAGCTGAAAGATTACTGCTGCTTTGGAGGGACAGGGCAGTACAAATGTGACTACAGTAAATTTAGCCTTCATCAGGCACAATACAAAATTTAAAATGCCCTTGTCTCACCTTCCTGCAAGACACTTCATACTTTGCTATTAAGATCAGATCATAGAGACAATTACTGTAATAATTTTCTATTGTCTTTCCAACACCTTATAATCTGTTCCCTATGTAACTCCAAAGGTATCCTTTTCAAAGCTAAGCTAGATAATATTAGTCCCCTGTTTACAATTCTCCATTGGTTTTCCAACTGCCATAGATTAATATCCAAATTCCTATGTGAGTAAATTGCCCAATATTAAGTGGACCCTGAGTAGTTTGCCACTGACAACATCTTTCACTCTCCCTCTCGCTGAGTTTCTGTCACAGTGGCCTCCCAGTTCTTCCTGGAACCATGACAAGCTCACTCTCACCTCAGGTACTTGACACTTTCCAAAATCTCTTCAGTAAGACTTTTAAAAGCCTCATTCCCTCATTTCAGTCAGTTTCCTGTTCCTTAAAAAGGCCTCCTGGAAGCCCCCTATCTAAAATTGCAGCCATGTTTTATTTCATGGCCCTCTTCTATGTTTTTCATAGTACTGATCACTATGTGACATTCTTTGGTGTTTAACTCCTCTCTCATCTGACATAATGCATCTCCAGCAAAGGAGGACACAGTGTGCTTTGTTTTCTCTTATTTCCTCTATATTTACAAGAGTAGATGCTCAGCAACTTTGCTGAAGGCTGTTTGGATTCGTATCAAATTGTGTTAATTTAATATCTTTAAGTAGTGTTAGTGCTCATCACCAGTACTTTTATTTTGATTTATATTTTTATCATTTGAATTGTATCAGTGATTCTTTTTTTTTCCAGAAGAATATTTGGCTGCAATATTTTCCAAGTCCTTACAACCTAGGAATGCCTTCTGTTGCTTTAATATTAGAACAATAAATTGGTTGATGTGGAATTTTCAGGTCACACACTTTTTCCATTAAAATTCTGTAGACATTCTGTGTTGTCCTCTGGCATTCAGTTATGTAGAAGAGAAATTTGAGGACAGCCCAACTTCTGTTCTTTTATAGGTAGCTTTTCTTCCTTCTCTCTCTTTGTGTCTAGGTGCTAACACTTCATATTAAGTCCTTTTTTTTTCATTATGTTTTCTGGGTTCATTAAGCTAGTTCTTTTGATTCATAGGCTTGAATAATATTTCTACTCAAGTATTATTTTTCTATTTAAGGTTTGGTTATTGCCTGATCTCAGTTATTTAGATTTCTCGCCTGAGTGAAATATGTTCATATTTCTCAGGCCTATTAACTGTCATCTATCCTGTATAGCACCTTTTATAGCCCCCCCACCACCACCCCATAGGGAGAAAACCACTGATTTAGGTTTCTGCAGTATCAATTCTGCTTTTTTAGGTCTTCGTATGAATATTGATTTGCCTATTGATTTTTAAATTCCATCTTTCATTATTTTGGCCAATTCCACTTTAACTTTTTGTCTATTTTTTCTTTATTAAACTCAGTATGTCTTTCACAGAGGCATATCTTTTGCATATTTTTCAGTGGTCTGAGTAGATATTTTCTATCATATTCCTTTTCTATAGGTTACTATAATTTTAAGAAATATATATTTATTTGGAATGTTTAGAATAAGGTTCCTTTTCCATTATGCTACAAAACTTTTATAAATCTTCACATTTTTTAAAAAATTTAGACTTAAATAGAGAAAGATATATCCTGAGAAATAGATTCTAGTATCTGCACAATGTAAGAATGACTTAGATCCTCTTACCATGTCTTTGTTCTAGAAGCTGTTACATGGTTTTCTCTTAGAACCCCAGGTGGACAGCAAGTTGACATCATACATCCCACCTCAATAACTAATTCATATCATGGATTTTTCTAGCTGGTTCTTCTACACTGAAAGTTTCTTCTTTCCTTTGCTTAATGTTGAATCCCTTACCTACATTATAACTTAAGATGGAAGAACAGTTATTTACATGTGTAGTATTTAAAGGTCATAACAAATATTGATTTGTCCTGACACAAATACATTCCTTCCTAACTCTTCTCATTTAAGTAAATAACAATTGCTTAAGCCAAAACCCAGGAGTTGTCACTGACTCTACCTCACATTCAATCTATTTCCCTTTTGTTCATTCTATCAAAGCTATTTTTGCTCCCTTTCTATTTCTTGAGTTTAGAGCCTCAGAGGTGAAATGCTTTCCCCCTTGATCTTCACAGATCTGTCTCCTTGTCATTCTGAACTCAGTTTTGTTTTGTAGTTTTTGTCACCTCCAAGCAACTTCCCCTGATCACTCCAGCTAAAGCAATGTTTCCTCCTCAGTCATTCCCTACCTTATTATCTTGATTTCATTGTCTTCATTAGAATTATTTAAAAATATTTATTTGTATATTTATTGTCTGTCTTCTCCCAAAAGAAAGTAGGCAAAATCTTATCCAGTATTATTACCCCAAGTGTCAAGAACTGTGCCTAAAATTTAGTAAACACTCTATATTTGTTGAATGTCTATACATTTTTCTCTTTTTGTGTGAAGGTCCCTCCCCTGCCCCAGGGAGGATAAAATGAAAATACAGTTGATGAGACTTCATGCCACTGATTAGATTACATTTATTAGAGTTCAAGGTTATTTGTGAGTCAAAACATAGACAATCACATGAGAATAGCATTGTCTTCCATATTTTCCTTCTCTGAAGATAGATTAGAAATTGACTCATCCCTGCTGCTCAGGCAAGCTAGCCAACTTGGTCTCTTCCCTCTTTTTTATTTCCCAAATGAAGGCCACTCCAAGGTTTAGCAATTGGTGCTCAATTTTCTTTTTCTCTTTTTTTCTGCTCTTACATGCTATAGTACGCCCATTCTTCCTGGCTTGGTGGCTGACAGGTGGCAAGCTTGGGAATTACGTGAAGAATTTCTTTGCCTGAGCTTTGACTCCGTGGCACACTCCAACCCAGTTACTTACCTGTGCCTCCTACATAATTCGCTATTATTATTTGAGGATATATTGCTGAGAAAATCTTTGGATTAACCATGACTGCAAAGAGGATGTGTACATTGCTAGGTCTCTGGTCATTATCTTAGCTAAAACCCTTTACATCCTCAGATTTTCTCTAATGCTTTTGTCTCCCTGCTTAAAGCATTTTTTTCTGTGTTTTCTGTGCACCTCAAGATATAAAGAATCTGACCTTTTTACTGACTTTGTACACCTGGAGCACGTGTACAAAAAGGGAAACAGATTCTGATTTGTTCAGAGAAAGCATGGTAACAGTCTCTGATGTCCAGATTCAGGCACATTCTGAGTATGAAGCAAAATCTTTACTTTTTGATAATTGTCTTTCGTCCGAGTTTAGAGGATGTAGTGTAGATCTAGACTACATTCCTCAGCCCATCTTTTTTGGTTGATGAACTTGCCCCTGGACTTTGGTATATGGCTTATTCCCTTCAGTCTTTTGAATTTGTGAAATAATAAGATATATATATATATATGTATATATATATATATATATATATATATATATATATATATATGTATATATATGTTTCTGTCCTAAGTCTCTGGTACAGTGCTCTGAAAGCCCTTATAATTTCCTGAGTG
The DNA here is from genome assembly GCF_000001405.40 of Homo sapiens. Taxonomy (NCBI): domain Eukaryota; kingdom Metazoa; phylum Chordata; class Mammalia; order Primates; family Hominidae; genus Homo; species Homo sapiens. Next base: position 103,345,419 of record NC_000001.11, on the reverse strand, counting down.
ATGGGGTAATAGGAGAATCTTTTCTTCCAGTATTTGGTCTATTTCCCAGTTTCCAAGACAGAGCTTTTAATGATGCCCTTGTAAGGTACTAAGAGAATCCTTCATTCTAATATTTGGTCTTAGATCTCAGTTCTTGACACAGAGGTCCTAAGTTCCTTGGAATTTCCTGGGTGATAGGAGTGTCTTTTGTTCTAATGAGGTGACTCTTGGCGGAGTGCTGAATGGTGCTGGTTACCAGATCGACCAAGCCATGATTATGAGCTTGGATGTTTCAGCCACACCTCCCATTCTTTGGAGAGAAAGAGGGGCTGGAAATGGAACTGATCATTAATCATGCCTGTGTGATGAAGCCTCCATAAAAATCCCTGAACAATGGAGTTTAGAGAGTTTCTGAGTTGGCGAACACATCAGTATGCTGGATGAATGGTCTGCCACACCTTTACAAGATCCTTCCAGATCTTTCCCTATGTATCCCTTTATCTTGTTGTTTATCTATATCCTTTATTAATAAACCAGTAAATGTAAATTGTATTCCCCTAAGTTCTCTGAGCCTCTCCAGAAAGTTAATTGAACCCAAGGAGGGGTATTGGGAACCCTGATTTATAGCTGGTTGGTCAGAAGTATAGGTGAAAACCTATTACTTGCTATTACATCTGAAGTTGGGGGCGGTCTTGTGGGACTGATCCCTTAATATGTGGAATCCAGTCCTATCTCCAGGCAGTGTTGGAGTTGAGTTGAATTACAGGACGTCCAGCTGGTGTTGACAGAATAATTACTTGGTGGAAATACCCCTACACAACTAGTGTCAGAAGTGTTATGTTTGCTAGGCACAGTGGCACATGCCAGTAATGCCAGCACTTTGGGAGGCTAAGGCAGGAGGAATGCTTAAGTCCAGCAGTTTGAGACCAACCTAGACAACATAGCATAACATTTTTTAAATTTTCCTTACAAAAAATAAAAAAAACAGTTGGCTGGGTGTGGTGGTACAAACTTGTTGTCCCAGCTACTAAGGAGGCTGAGGTGGGAGGAATGCTTGAAACCCTGAAGTCGAGGATGCAGTGAACTGTGATTTCCATCACTGCACTTAGGCCTGGGTGACAGAGCAAGCCCCTGTCTCAAAAAAAAAAAAAATAGTGTTTTGTTGAGTGACTGTATAAGAGAGTAGATTAGGAGGAACATTTTTTTGCTCTCTCTCTCATAGGACTTTTGTAAATTGTTTTTGTTCTCTTCATGTATTTTAATGTTAATGTTTAGGATTCAGTTCAAAGACTACATATCAGTACCCATTTATATTGTCTTGATCTTGCTTTTTTCAAGGCATTGTAATTGTATCATTAAAAACAATAATTAACTTAAAATATGATACTCAATTTTGCATTCTGGGGTGTACAATTTTTATCATGATCTCCCTAAAATTTGCTAGCATAGTAAATACAGTGTGCTATTATAGAAGAACTCAATCTAGCAAAAATCAATTCTGCTTGATTGCCTTTACACATATGCTTAATAATCTTGCAGTTATAAAACTTCACTCTCGTAGTCTCATATTTTTTGATATAATAATTTCACTTAAAAATAATAAATAAATCCACTAGCTATAAAATGGCTTCTGTGCTGTGAATTCTATTTTCAAATTTATGAGAGAATTTTATTTTACACTCAACTCTGCTATTGACTGTGTTAATGAGTATTAACTTGATAAATGCTATGTCTAATATAATTTCAGAAAAAGCTAAGCTTTCATGCTGGATTGTAGTTTCAATACCAAATTGACCAGGCAATTTGCTGCCCACATTATTGTGTTCAAATTACCCATCCAACTTTTCCATATCTGCTAAAGCTTTGTAGATGACAGGAAGTGTGGTTAAAAATAAAAGGTGCTGTTTTTCCAGCAAATATAGATATGCCAATAAAATTAAAACTCCTGTCTTGCCTCAGCATGTAGATTTTAAGGAATGTTTGTAGCTAACATATCAAAAACAAAGAAGATTATGAAACATAAGGTTTTATTATTTAATATCTATTAACTTAGCCATATGCAAGGAATAGTAATTAGCAGGCTAATACAGTATCACATACAGTAATTTCCAAGTTAATGAAGGGATAAGACTATGAAACCATATGGTATATATATTATAAGCTACTCTGCTCTATTCTTTTAAGTTGCTATTACTGCTTTTGACACAGCTACAGGAAATAAAAAGGCTACTGGAATGCAGACCAGGGAAATGTATTCTCACAAGGCTTTGCAAAATGCAAGTTAGAATCCCTGAGTGGAAACAGATTTCTAAACCATCAGCTTTCTTTAAGTTGAATTCTGAGGATCCATAAAGGAAAAAAATAAAATAATAAAATTAAAAATTAGCTTTCAGTTCTCTATAGCAAAGATGATTTTGGTAAAAAATGAAATACATTTTATGCATTGTATCACATTATTGTAGTTTTTAAAATATGACAGAGAAAAATTATTGCCACAGAAGTCGGGATGCAGTACCTGGAACTCAATGTGAAAAACAATAGTGACATGACACTATAACATAGTAGTGGCAGTTGAGGTTGAACTGCTTTATTATATTGTACATAACGTTCACCATGCTCACTTCTTTCTTGTCATTTTTAAGAAAAAGAAAATTCCTAGTTCTTCTGGATATCTATAGCTGTGTAACAAATCACCCCAACATGTAATGGCTTAAAACAATAGTCATTTTATTTACGCATGGTTTTGTGGGTCAGGAATTCAGACATGGCACAGCAGGAAGAGCTTGTCTCTGCCCTGTGTGATATCTGCTAGGGTTAGAAGGTCCAAAGTGCGTCTCATGACATATCTTACATATCTTAGCCTCAGCCTGGAGGGCTTAAAAAGCTGGAGCTCTCTGGAACTGTGCATCCAGGGTCATATGTTTAGGCTCTCTGCACTGTCAGCTGAGTTTCTTGGTTCACCTTCATGTAATTTCTTTCTTTGTTTGTCTGTATGTTTGTTGGTTTGTTTGTTTGTTTTGTGATGGAGTCTCACTCTGTCGCCCAGGCTGGAGTGCAGTGGTGTGATCTTGGTTCACTTCAAACTCCACTTCCTGGGTTCAAGCGATTCTCCTGCCTCAGCCTCCCGAGCAGCTGGAATTACAGTCACCTGCCACCACGCCTGGCTAATTTTTTTTTTTTTTCTGTTTTTAGTAGAGATGGGGTTTCACCATGTTGGCCAGGCTGGTCTCAAACTCCTGACCTCAAGTAATCCACCTGCCTCTGCCTCCCAAAGTGTTGGGATTACAGGCGTGAGCCACTACGTCTGGCCACTTCATGTAATTTCAAGGCCATGCTCTTTCCACCTGCCTTCTTCAAGATCTACATTGTCTCTCCAGCTGGATGGCTGAACTTACATCACAGCTCAGGGTGAGTTCAAAAGCAGAAGCTATATTAGGCATGAAACTGGCAAAGTGTTACTTTTACTACATTCTATTGGTGGGAGCAATAGAAAATCATGGAGTCCAGATTCAGGGGGAAGGGACTAAACAAGGAATACCATGAAGTGTGTGTTTTTTTTTTTTTTTTTGAGAGACCATCACAGGATTAGTCTTCCACAATTCACTTTTTTTAATGTTAAAATTTCATTTACAAAGCTTTTTTGTTGTACAGAAAATAAAAATACTGTTACATTCTTGGTGTAACTGGTAGCCACAGACGGTTGACTCATCAATCACACTACCCATGCTACAGCAAGAGTCTTACATAAAAACCTAACAATACTTACAATTTTGTTGGGGTGAAGTCCCAAGCTTGGTGGGAAATTACCAGAGGGACTAAATGAAGAAGATTAAGATGAGTATGCGGATGAAGAGGAGGAAGAAAGCAGGAAAGGTGAAAAGAGGAAGAGAGAAACAGATGATGAAGGAGAAAATGAATAAGACTGCAGATGACCTGAAGAAACAGAACTATTCAGTATTGATTGGACTGCTCATGGATTTGATAGTTGTTGAAAAATTAAAAAAAAGGTAGCTGTGATACAAACCCCAGGACACCCATGCATCCAAATAACCAAAGAATAGTTCCTGTGATATTCTGCCTTCCTCTGCAATTCACTTTTTTGACCCTAAGAGTTCACAATCCAAGCACAACCAAAATGTCCTCTCCCAAGATACCCAAAAACTCTTCCAATTTTGGTATCAGATTCAGTCTAGTAGTCCAGGATTTCATCATCATAACAGGAACAGGTATAGATAAAAAGTCTTTGGCATATCTTCTCTCATTCTGAAGACCTGTGAATTAAAGAGACAATTTATCTGTCCACTATACTCTCAATACACAATGAGAAGTTTGGGGCAGGAAAATTGCAATATTCATTTCCACTATAAAAGGGGATAAAATGGGGCTAGAATTATAATAGAACTAAGACTGTAGTAGATGAGATTGATGCCCCTTTGAAATCCCTTTTACTGATCCAGTGTTTTCGTCTTCAAATTACTGTGACTATTGACACAGGTATCAAACACTATTGGACTGGTACCTTTAGAAAGTACAATACATATCAGAACCAGTGGACCTCATGGTCATGTGTTTTGGGGAAATTGTGCTTCCTGTCCCTGCAACTATAAGCTTTGTGGTTTTAAATTTGGTTACTGGAAGGGGGACACTTCTTTTTACTAAGGTACAGAGCAGGAGTGTCACTACACTTAAAACTATAGCTTCTACCTGTTGACTTTGGGCTCCTGGCACAGATAGAATAGAAGAGACAGAAAAGGAATTATTACTGGCAGGAGTAATCATACTTGATTATCATGAGAAGGTAAGATTCCTGCAACATAATGGGTGCAGGGAGAAATACATTTGATACTCAGATGATCCACCCAGCATCTCTTTCTAGATTTCACTGTAAATAAATGAATACAGCAAGCAAGCTCTGGTAAGGGTACCTGGGGCCTAAGATCCCTCAGAAAGAAGGGAGGGTCTGTGCCACTGAAGTTGATATTATTGTCTCTCCCACATCCTGCCTCTCTCATTTCCTCTTCTCCTGTGTGTGCCCTAAATAAAGCACTTCTGTAAGAGTCCTGTTCTCAGGCTCTCAGTGTTATTAGTTATTAGTTAGATAATCTTGTATAATTCACTGGATATCCTTAAGCCTGTATTATCTTCCTCAATTTACGAGAGTAATTTTGTAATAAAGTTTTTGTGAAGAGTAAATACATTCATTCAAATAATTTTGCTGGGCAATGGTACAATTGGAACAATGGCATGCAGATTAAGTATTCACATATTTTACTTAATTTTACTCTTATTCCCTTTTCTTCTCCCTTGACATGCATTGGGCCATGCTTCTTTTAGGGATTACATATCAAACGTTAATTTCACATAGAACTGTTTCTTCAAGGAAAAGTGCTAAAGCTGATTCTCTTTCACCACCCAACCAAAACACTAATCAACAAATAGAAATTAGATAAGTGTATTCTAAAGAAATACAATTATATTCTTGTTATTGGTATATATATCTATCTCTTTCGTCAGGCTGTGTTGAGGAAAGAACCATGTTTGTTTTTTATCATTTTAGCTCTAACGTATTTGTTGAAATAAAATGCTTCACATCTGTCATATTTAGCCTTTTGATTTTGATTTTCATGCATGTCTCTCCAGACATATATTTTTATATGGTTGATGATTTTATAGTTTAGTTTGCTTATTGGATCGTATAATTATCTTTTCTATTATTTTATCATAATTTTAGCTGTCTCAGCTTGACTTAATCTAGTATATCTATCAAAGAATGCTCATACATTTAAATCTCAACTGACTTATTATTATTGAAATACTTGACAGTAATGATTTGACATGTGTCCCATATGAGGCATTACAACTTGGTAGGTAACTTTTGGCAATAAATAGTTTTACAGCTTACTGTGAAATCAGACAAATAATAATAAAAACAGAAATTTTAGCTAAATAATGGAAACATGACATACTATTCAGTTCATGCCTACCACAAGGCAGAATCTGGACAGATTTTTATGTTAATTAATTTAGGCTCTACTCCTCCATTCCAGTTTAAACAAAATATTTTTAAAAGAAATAGGTAACTCTTGTATACTATGGTAAGCTGAGTGAATCACAGGCCATTAAAACTACCTACTTCAAATACACTAGTTTATATAGAATGGTCAGTTTTTCCAAGTGGCTCAGCCAATTTTTGGGAGTGTCACTGGGTTCTTTTGGAAGCTGTAGTAGACTTAATATTAAATCATCACTTCACTGTAGCAAATGGTATTACTGTGGAAAAGTTATTTTAAAATTATTATTAATTACCTCAAAATGGTCTCTAACAAACCAGAAGAAATTGCTTAACAGTTTATTGATTAAATATAATGTACAGTGTTAGATGCAGTATATGGTCTTTGATTATAATTAATTTGTGAATAAATACACATGAATACAATTAAGCAAAATTTTATGTATTATAAACTAAATATATATTTTGACAATTTGAAGATAATGGAATAGTCAAACTAAGATTGAAGGAATTGTTATAGTGCAATGAGGATCCTACAAATCCATCAAAAAATAGAAAATGAGCAAACTACATATATGAACATGTAATACAGAGTAAAGTAAATGTGTAGTCAACAGAAAGATGTTTGAGTTTTTAGGGAAATGCAAATTTGAAAAAAGTGACACCACAAAACATAAAATTAAAAGGACAAATGATCTATGGCTAGATAGTTTTCAGAAAAATGGGTACTCTTATACATTACTCATAGGGTTATGAATTGCTTTATTCTTCAGGAAAGTAAACTGGCAGTATCTATTAAAATTAAAATTTCTGGGCTTCCACTCCAAGCTGACATGATAATTGTTACATCATTAGACTCCCACCATAAACTATAAACTGAATAATCTATGTTAAGCAACTATTTATAGACATTGGAAAACAGGCAACCTAGTATTTTGATCTTTTAGAGAAGAAAAAGACACAGGCCATGCATATATGGTTTTTGTCTGGAAACAATTTTTCAAACCATGATACATGGAGGTGGAGCCCAAGTAAAGCACAGAGGTCTCACTGAGGCAGAGATTGCATTTCAGAGCTGCTGAGCAGCTGGAATTTGTGAGGTAAGAGAGGAGAGATCTCCAAAGACAACACCCTACAATGCCTCCTTGAGTGGCTGAATACTGAAAGTCACAATGACAGAGATGTTGGAATTAACAGACAAGGACTTGAAGACAGTTATACAACATTTCTTAAGGATTTAAGGGAAAGGTGGAAATATGAGTGAAAAAGATGAGGAATATCAGTAAATAAATGGAATCTACAAAAGAATCAAAAGGAAATTTTGGAACTGAAAGAAAAACAATACCTAAAATGAAACAAAACAAAACTAAACTAAAAAACAGCAAGAAAAAACAATGAGTGAGCTAAAAACATACTGGACAGTACAAAAACGAAAACAAAAACTAAAACAAAAAGCATAAACAAAATTCAGTAGAGACTGTCCAAGGTGAAGAAAAAAATAGACTTTAAAATAAGTAAAGCCACGATGGCCTGGGACAAATATTAGGCGGCCTAAGTTACGTGTACTTGGAGTCCCAGAGGAAGAGGTGGAAATAACCTAGAACAGGCCATTTGTCATTACTTTAGAAACCTAACATGAAAATTGATTGTAATGTTTTTGTGTTCTAGAAGAAAAAAGGAATAAATCATCTCTTGGCTATGTGAAAAATAAAATAGTTTATGAAACTGTACCAAGGCCTCTAATCATACAAAATGCTTGTGGTTTCAAAACAACCCAACCATTTTTATTTCTTTGTACTGTTGAATATTATCCTCTCAGAGAAATTTATTTGTATTTCAAGACAGTTGTAAATACTGAAAAAATTAATGGTTGAAAATTCAGCATGTTTTACTAATTATATTATTGAGATAAAATTTGCTAAAAAAAAAAAAAATGTCCAAAACGAACAGTAATTGGCATTTATGTAAGTGAAACTGTTGCAAATGGCCATGAACACAGGATCTTTGGAAAAGTACAAAAAGTGTCTGTAGGGGAAGCCATGAGTCCCTTGGAGGTATTTAGCTCTAAATTTTAAAATTCAGCATATCTGAGTTATTTACTTGTTTTACTAAGGGTTAAATAATCACTTGGTTGGAATGAAGAAAGAAAAACAGAGAATGATAAACAAAATAAAGTTAAATTTAGGGAAAAGACCCCAGACTAATATTTCCATTTCCTTTTTTTTAAATAACAAATAATTATAAACCAATTCAAGTGTCACACATGTATATTTAAATAAGGAACCCCTTTTAAAATGTTACTTCAGGTTTTAAAGTAATTTGATAACACACATCTGAATTTGTCCATCCTTTTAGGAAAAAAAGTTGTTCAGAATTTTGTAGAATTGTTATACCATAGCAGATGACAGACCTCTGTATTCTACAAAAATTCCAAAATATTGTCAACAAATGAATTTTTGCAAGAAAGAAATACCTGGCCCAGTTTAAAGTCTCAAAACCATATATTTAAATGAATGAATTACGAATTCAACTGTCAGTTTTAACTCTCTCAATTGCTGCTTTTAGCCTTGTCTGGGAGTGTGCTAACCATGATGTTTATTTTCATATGGAGGGCAAGCTAAATATTCAAACTACTATCATTTCCCAGAAAAAAAATGAATATGAAATTGTGAATAATGAATAAGAGTCTAAATGCAGTAAACCTTTGGACAGAAAGATTTGCACTCCACAAATAAAGACTGTAAATGTGGTAGAATATGTATACATGGTACAACAGTTCTTTCAAAGTTTGCATAGCTCCTTCTCTACTTCCATGAATAGCTCCATTCATTTCGGTTTGACCTGTTTGTATGTGTGCATGTGTGTGTGGGTTCTTAAAAGCTAGTCTGGGCTACACAAGTCCAGCTGCATGTAGCAAATGTTTGGAGATGGCTAAATTTGTATGATTCCATTTAGGACTTGTAATGAAATAATTTAGCCCAATTTGTGAAAACAGGAGTAAAAGTTGAAAAAAAGAGAAAAATAAACTGTGATAGGAATCATATTCAAAGTAAAATATAAAATAATATAAAATAACAAGTGAGAGAAACATTAAGCCTAATGCTTTATTTTCATTTTAATAAAATAAATAAAGTATCACACCCATTTCAACACTTCAGACCAGAAAGACCTGTGGGGAAGTGAGCAGAGAAACCATGTATTTTTCAGGTCAGATATTTTATCATGAGACTTAAAGCTCATGTTTAAGCAACCTGATTTGTTTCTTTTTACAATGTGATACATTAGCCATCATTATTAAGCTTTGAAATTCCATTTTAATTTTATAATTATATTTGAAAAGAGTAAACGGTATGAAGAGTAATATAAATACAATAGATTAGGCAAATTATGAATAATATTTCAGTTATTTAGATTTTTGGAATTTTTGTTAGGTTTATATGATAATAATCTTCAAAATTACAATATATTAGTAAAAAAGAATTTTAAATTAAGTATCAGAATTTTTGAAGCTTAATGGATAGAAGTAAAGGTCAGGTCATCAATGTTCTAGTTATGACAGCTACATATTAATTTTGGTTTTTTGGTGAGGCACTTCTTATCATTAGAACTCAGGTTTTCAGTTGTAAATTGAAGCTACTGAACTATATTACTTCAGTATTCTTTCTTGGTTGCTATTTTGTGTACTAGGATTTATTTCTAATTATTTTAAATGAAATATACAAGAATTTTATTGGAAAATAGATTTTCAAAGAAATAGTCAAAGTTTCATATATTTGGTTTATTTAAATTTTTATGTGCACAGTATTTTAATCATTTTTTTTGTTTTTGTTTTTACCAGGTTCTGAAAGATAATTCTATTCTGCCTGGTGTTCCAAATTATTTAATAGAGATATCTATGTTTAATTTGGAAGCTAATTTAAGAAAACAGAAACACAAAACAGAATGGATGAGGCAAATTAGAAAATATATATAGCATTAGATTGAAGTTTGATGCCTTAACAGATATTCTCATTAAAATGTATACACTCATGGCTGTGTAAGTGTAGTTAGATATGTAGGTCCCAAATTTTTGAAGAATAGCTAGCATAAAATGATGTTTGAGTTTACTTTAAGGGAAGAGAAACTAGGGTCAGAAAGGACTTTAACTTGAATCCACAGTAAGAAATATGTTTTATACTATGATATAGAATACACATGTTATATGTGTGTTTATGTTTGTATGTATGTTTATCTCTTTATATGGCTATATATAAAATACCATATTTTGCTGATTATACTATGTACTTAAAAAAAATTTAACAGTTTTGAAATCAGGATATTCTTTACAGAATAGATCACAGAGCGATTGTGAAATTGTTGTGATTGCCAAGGAATGAATATCAAAGCTTGCAGAATGTACGTCAGTTGCTTGGAGGAGCATCCTAGGGACAATAGTGGAGGGTTCATTATGTAATGTTGCATGAACAGTGGTCCTGAAGATACAGAGAATGATGTTCTTTTGGGAAAATTGAGACACCCATGCCTCAGTTGAAAACTAATTGAAAAGATGAGGACTATGCAATGGAATATTATTCAGCCGTAAAAAGAAATGAAGCATTAGTACACGCAACAATGTGAATGACCCTCAAAAACATTTTGCCAAGTAAAGAAGCCAGTCTCAAAGCCGGTCGCCAAAGGTCACATATTGTAGATAAATCCACAGAGGTGGGAAGCAGGAACATGAGGTGGTCGGAATGGATAGTGACTGTTTAATGGGTCTGGGTGCTATCTTAGGGATGAAGACAGCATTTTGGGACTTCACAGAGGTGAGGATTGTATAACATGGTTAAAATACAAAATGTAAATTTTAAATTGTCAATTTTATGTTATGTGAATTTCACCTTAACTTAAAAACAAAACAGAAAGAGTAGAACTTCAAATGTGAAAAAGTCTTAAAAATACCTTAACCCATCGATTTTGCTTTTCACATTTATTTTATGTGGGCACAAGTAAAATACATGATAAAAATCTACATCTAAAGTTCAAAAGCCTCTATGAATAATTATTTAAAATATTTTATGTGATAAAAAATTATTGTGTCATTGTTAAGTTGGCAGTGTGTCTTAGAATGAAAGACATCTTAGATTGACTCAGTAAGGTAATAATTTCTGGCTGTTTTGGTGAAGAAAGATTGGGCAGGCAACAGGGAATAATGAATTTGGAGCTTCGCAGAGGGATCTCCATTCCTTCAGATCTATACCACAATATTGGCATTAACATCTTTGATGAGCAGGTCTAATAAGACTAGCTATAATTTATTAAGTACATATTAATTGTCAATCACTGTTGTAAGCAATTTCAAATTCATCATCTCACTTAATCTTTACCACAACTTGTTTATGGAGAACTCTTTTTAACTGACCATTGCAGATGAGAAAACTGAAAACTTAGGTTAAACACTTGATCTGACAGGGCATACAGTTTCAAAGCAGTAAAGGTGTGTGTTGTACTAGTGCAATTTGACTCCAGAGCCTATGCTTGCTATCATGTTATACTGCCAACCAGATGCATGCAGAAACATTTTTTTTAAAGAAAAATAGAGGAGGATAGAAGAAATGAGAAAGAAAAATGTGGTAGTTGATAATATTAATGAGTTATCCCCAGGAGCTTCCAGAAATAGCCTGAGGAAAAATTTTCTGAATTTCAGGTTGAGATAAAGTGACAAAAAATATAAATTTATATTGTGTAACATTCCCAGGAATTTTAACCATTCCATAACTTTCAGTGTTATTTGACGTGCTAAACAAACAAGTAATTCACATATATAATAAATATTAATAGAAGACTATAAAAATACTTTATAAGTTATGCATTTCAATGTAATTTCTAATCAAGGCTTATTCTGCTGGAATATTGGAAAAATAAATTCAGTCGTTATAAGTGTTAGCCATATCAGTCTTGCCATCGCCCCAATTACAAAACTTGTGCTAAGGTTCAGGAAAAGAAGATATGCCCTATAATTAGGTGTTGTGAGGATAGTGCACGTAGCTGGTCTTTGATTGACATAGAGAAGCTGAGAGGTTTTCCTGTTCCTTGCCTAAAAGGCCCTTTCAGTTTCAGAAGTTCTATTGGCTTCTCTTGGGCTATGAACAGAGAACACAGGGCTCTTTTTTCAATTTCTACATTCTTTCATACAAATCTATTTATAATCCCATCTACAATGATTCCTTCTCTAGGGCTGTGCTGCGTCCTCGGTAGCTCTGCTTGGGAAGGTCTTTTATTCTTGGAGGAAATTCAGCTCTCTTATCCTCCTTCTCCCAAACTTATAGCAAGTAAATCTAAAGGTTTAGGCCTAAACTGTTTGACTGGGTAGTCACTAGCTCATGTCTTTCAAATGCGGCTGATATGAATTAAGATGTTCTGTAGGGGTAAAGTATACCCCAGATTTCAAAGGCTTAGTAAAAAAAGAATGCAAAATATCTCATTGTTTTTTAAAATATGAATTTGTGTTGAAATGCTAATGATAATATTGTATATATTTGAATTACATAAATGTATTATCAAAAATAATTTCACTTGCTTTTACTTGTTTAAATGTGACTATGATATATTTATTTTTAATTTATTTAATTGATAAATTATAATTGTATATTTATGGGATACAATGTGATGTTTCGATCTATGTATACATTGTAGAAAGATTCAACAAAGCTAATTAACATATCCATCACCACAACAACTTATTTTTAGTGGTGAGAACATTTAAATTACATATATGGCTAGCACTGCATTATTTTTGCGTGGTGTTTGCTCATAGGCTTTGATCACAACAGTCAGGGTGATTATGGGCTATTTGTACTTTTCAATATGTCTGGTCTTTCCCAGAGTTGACAACTATAGGTGAGAATCTGTTGGGGGTAAAAGAACAGAAAAAAATAGTTTAATTATCTCAAAGTCATTATTCACCTCTACTGTTCACACATTGATAGGTATCCCGTGTTAACATGACACTTGCTACGCAAAAACTAGGTCTATGTAGAGAGGTTGAACAAAGGTAGGAGTCTAGAATCTTGGAGGGCTGTGCTAATTTATGAAAGCTGACACTGGAAATTAATGACAAACTTACATAGGCAAATCAACAAATAGCATGCAAAAAAATAGATTTGAATAGGTGTTATGGGTCTTGGGAGTTACCTGGACCCATTGGCTTGCAGATGTTTAGACATGAAATAGTATTCAAAATTAGCACATTTATTAAATAATTCTTGCCCCAAAGAAGTACTGATAAATGAATAATTCTGATAAAATAAGTTCCCATATGGTTCTAAAGTACTACATTTTAGAACCTGTTTCAGCATGGAAAGAAATGGATTCCAGAAAAAAAAAATGATACAAATAGTTCTTTCAGAGGAAATGTGCATTTTATGTTTTAGGAAAATAGTGCCTTCAAAACAGATACCCTAAAGTATTTTGGAGTGTTTTCATGTCATGATACATGTCTAGTCAATGGCAAGGAACAAATTTGTGCAGCATTGACATGCAGGTAAGGTAAATTTAGTTGCTTATTTTTACTAGTGTGTTATAATTGTAGAATATAATAGAACTATATAGAAAGTATCAACAGAGTATAGGAGAGAGAGATCCACAAATCCACACTTTCTTTACAAAATCCGTGTCTTATTCCGTGAAAATCTAAATGCATGATTAAATGTAATAATTATTTTAATGCAACTTTGGCTTGGAATGAGATTTTTTCTAGTGTGCATGGAAGTTTGTAAAACATATTAATTTAGTGGAGCTATTGCATTTATTGATGAAATCACTTCTACCATATGTATTTCTCTATTTTACATTTCCTTAAAACTTTCCTTTGTAAGAACTGCAAATCCTTCTACTTTTCTTACTATTAAAATAAGAAAGCCTTCTTCTATGTTTAAAGGTGTCAGTTGCCCTAAGTCAGATAAATATGTAATACATCTATAGACAAAGACATTATTTAAACAAAATGACAAACTGTTCTGGTAGTATATTTATGTCTAATGAAGATTTGAATGTATCTTGCTATCTTTAATCTCCTCACCAAATTATGATGTTTTGTGTAATTTATACTATAATAAATGTCAAATAACACCTAGTTAAATAAAAAGTAAATAATCATCGTTAGTTAAACAATCATTTAACTGAATGTATTAGAAGATTTAGTTTACTGCCTAAAAGTTTTGAAATAACACTCTGAGTGTACAAATATTCATAACTGTTAGTAAATAAATTACTGAACCTGAAGAAGATAACTTTTTAACTGTGACCTAAGTCTATCACAGTCAATTTATAGTCTATCAGACTCAAATTGTAAATGGAAATCTAAACTACTGAAAATGAAGAGTAATTTGTTATATTTATAAACTGGTTAAAATCGAAAGGCTATTCTCAGAAAATCAGAAGTATTGAATGATAGAAAAAATTAATTTCAAACATTATAAGCAACATAAAATGATTTTCACACCTAATAATTAGTCTTTTTTTCTAACTCACTAAATTCATTTATATAACCTCTGTTAAAGGCAATGCCAAAGTTTTACTCAAGTATCTCAGTCTAAAATATATATATAATATTTTAGTTTATATATTATATATCAGTCTACCATAAACTTACAGTGATGGAAATATTCTCTTAAATTGCCATTTCGTTTTCACTCTATCATGAGCCAGTTTTACACACACACAAAAAGTCATTTTAGGTTTTCTCTACTCAGAATTAAAAGATGTATTAGAAAACCTGCACGTATGTCTGTTTCATTCCTCCTAGTGAATCTGTGTGACTTAACGGAGAAAAATTATGTCAGGCCAGGCACGGTGGCTCATGCCTGTAATCCCAGCACTTTGGGAGGCCAAGGCGGGTGGATCACAAGGTCAGGAGTTCGAGACCAGCCTGACGAACATGCTGAAACCCTGTCTCTACTAAAAATACAAAGATTAGCCGAGCTTGGTAGCGGGAGCCTGTAGTCCCAGCTACTCGGGAGGCTGAGGCAGGAGAATGGCGTGAACCTGGGAGGCAGAGCTTGCAGTGAGCAGAGATCGCACCACTGCACTCCAGCCTGGGCAACAGAGTGAGACTCTGTCTCAAAAAACAAAAAAACTATGTCAAAGAGATGAGCACACTTCTTGAAGCTCTGGCACATGGTCAAATGTCTTCCCTTTTTACTTTATTCAATATCTCTTCACCAGTTAATAGTTTACTATACCTGGTAGTGTGTTAGACTTTATTAATATAGGATGACTAGGCATAAGCTCCAAGATATCAAAGACCTTTTATCATTTTCCCCCTTTATTATCTCTATGGTCTCAGAATGAGCTCAATAACAATGCATTAAATTATTAAGCAAATAAATGAATGCAGGAAATTTAGAAGAATATTAGCAATATGATATAATATCAAATGAGATAATCTTCTTAAAATAATTAGAAGAGAGCGTGGGCATAGTATAAATACTTTATCACTGTTAACAATTGTTTTGTTCTCACTTTTCTTCTTTTTTGCAAATGGCCTCTCTTCATGCTTTGAGTACCTTTTATTTACTGCTTAGCTTCTGTTTATGTTTTTTCCTGGCTTGCCATAACTCCTCTTGCCTCCTGGACCCTTTGTGTGCATCCTTGCAGCCCTAGCTATTATAATGATTTGTGTTTATCTGTTTTTATTTTTTAATTAAAATTCTGAAAAAGAGTTGATTACTGGCTAGGCTGTTTGGCCAGAGACCTCTCCCTTGTATGCCATCTGAAATTTATCTACTTTAGATTGCCCATAAGACAGATTTCCACCTAGTCTAGTCAGTAGAGATCACGGGGTTGTATGTGTTGTTTGATATGGAATACTCAGTCTCTATCCTGTTTGTAGTGTCCTCTGGGTCAGTTACATTGTCAGGTATCTATGTAGCCGTAGAAATACTCCTTGAAAATTTTGGGCTTACACAATCCTTTAGCCTCAAATAATTTACAGCTTGTTGTACTAGTGTAAGAAAGCCTTTTGTCTCATACTTACAACTGAAATCTTAGGAAAAGTTTGATTGAGCTATCTTGACCCACTGCCCATTCCTGAATAAATGAGTAATTGAGACCAGGGTGTGGAACAGGATGGAATACCCCAATTAGAGAGACCTAGATCTTGTATTCAACCTGTGAGCCAAGAGATTGGGTCAAATTTACTTGAACCATGTAGACTGGAGTAGAATGGGAGTTGTCCTTCAATAAACAGTGGGCAAGGTTAACACTTGACTTAGTAAATTTCACATTAAAGAGTATGAAATATAGTTTGTCATAGTCAAAACATAATCCTATTAACAATTAGTTTACCAGTCTTTGATATAGTTTAAAAAATAATTCCTCCATTATTTATCATAGCAAACAGCTTTCCTGAGGTAATTTAAATTAAACAAACTTTTAGGGAAACTCTACTAAATGACTGAATCTCTGTGTGGGATACAAAACTGAATAGTATGTAATCCTTGACACTGAATAGTTTACAGACTAGAGAGAAATACAGAATGTCAAGAAAAATTCAACACAGGGCTATGAATTCAATGACAGGGATACATTTTGCAGGGGCAGAGGTGGTGGGGGAGGGGAATGGCGTGATGTAATGCAGGGAACAGATATAGAGACAGGTCTTTCTGATAGGTGGAAGGATTAGTTTGGGGTCAGGGAAGGGTCCATGATAAGAAGACCCTTAAGGTCAGTGAGACTTGAAACATAAACAGAAGTTGGTTAAGGAAAAGAACAAATTTGGATGAAGAAAAGTGTGAGATGAGAAACAGAGGGTTGTTTTTCAGCTCTGAAGTGTGCCGCGTAAGTGAAGAGATGAAGCTATTGAGGCAGACATGGCTTGGTGATGTACCCTATACAAAAATGCTGTGCTTTATTCATAGGTAAATTGGAATATTTAAAAGTATTTTTTACTGGGTAATATAATTTCTTTACCTCACTTGAGCTGAAAAACAACTCGGATATTTCAAGGAAGTCTGTTTTATGCAGATTGCACAGAATCTCGAAAAATGCTTTTCTCATAGTAAAATATATCAATTATAGACCACTAGACTCTTTAGTGGCATATGAATTTAGTGTGATAAAGAGTATAAAATACAGTATCAGTATTTCTAAGATTTTAGCAGAGTCCTCAATACCTTTCAGCTTGTAAATTTTTAATAATAAATGCCAAGGTAGTAAGCTCAGAAGAATATGTTCATTGAAGTAAAGTAGATGACTGCTTTGAACCTCACTTGTTACTTTCATGATGGCTTCCAAGGCCCCAATTTTTATTTTTTTAATATGTGAAACACTAATGACAGTTCAAGCTAAGAAAACAAGATCAGATTGTTTTCTTTGATCAGGATTCAAGTAAAAGGCTATAAAACCATTAATTTGGCATATGTTTGCAGCAGAAAAGTTGTCAAATGCAAACTATGAAAACCACGGACACACTGCAACTGATAAGAGTTTGTACTTCATTGAATCATTGTGTTATGTTCAGTCTAATCACTAGACTAATGCATTTTCTTGACAAATCAGGGAAAATTTTGCTCCCATTAAATAGAACATTAAAATTTAGTATTTTTGTATTAAGGAATTTAATATTTAGTCATAATGCATTATTTTCTATATCTGCCAATAGGATTCTTCAAAATATTCTTTTGAAATATGAAGAAGGTGGATTTTACATTTTTGGAAGGAGGTGGAGCAAGATGGCAAAATAAAAGGTTCCACCCATTGTTATCCCTGGCCAGGACACCAAGTAAACAATCATCTACAAAGAAAAAAAACACCCTCATAAGAACCAAAAATCAGGGGAGCACTCAAAGTATCTGGTTTTAACTTCATATCACTGAAAGAGAAACTGGATAGAAAAAACAGTTCTGAATCACCAACAACACTCATCTCCCACCCCCAGCAGCAGCTACCTGGTGCAGAGAGCAAATCTGGGCCTTGGTGGATGGAGAACACAGCAACAGCGAAGCACTGAACAAAGTGCTGTTCTGTTGGAGCAGAAAGGAAAACCTGATCAAACTCACCTGCCCACAGGGGGATCATTTAAACCAGCCCTAGCCAGAGGGGAATTGCAGATCTCAGCATCTGAACTGAGATGCCTGTAAACCTCACCACTGAGAGCTACAGCACTCTGTCTCCAAGTAAAACTGAAGGGCAGTCTAGGCTGTAAGGACTGAAACTCTTACGTGAGTCCTAGTGCTGAATTAGGTCCAGAGACAATGGGCGGGACTGGCAGGGGAACAGGAGAGCCACATACCGAGACACCAGCTGGCATCACCCTCCCCTAGTCCCAAACTAGACAGTTCATGGCTCCAAAAGACACCATTCCTTCCACTTGACAGGAGAGGGTAAGTGAAGACTTTGTCTTGCATCTAGGATACCAGCTCAGCCACAGCAGTATAGGGCACTAGTCAGAGTCAGGAGGCCCCCATTCTAGGCCCTAGCTCAGAGATATTTCTAGAAACACCCTGGGCCAGAAGGGAACCTGATGCCTTGAAGGAAAGGACCCAGTCCTGGCAGCATTCACCATTTGATAACTTAAAAACCCTTGGGCTCTGAATAACCAATGGCAATACCCAGGTACTACACTGAGTTCCTTGGGTAAGCCTCTGAGACTTGCTTGCTTCAAGTGAGACTCAGCACATTATCAGCTGTTGTGGCTACAGGGCAAAATTTCTTCTGCTTGAGTAAACAAAGGGAAAAGCAAAGATAACTTTGTCTTGCATGTTAGGTACCAGCATGGCCACAGGAGATTAGAGCACCAAGTGGGCTCTTGTGGTCCCCAATTCCATGACTTGACCCTTGAACAGCATTACCAGACCTGCTCTGGGCCAGAGGGAACCTCACTGCTCTGAAGGGTGAGTCCCAGGCCAGGTAACATTCTTGACAAGCTGATTTAAGAGTGCTTGGGCCTTAAGGGAACATCAGCAGTAGTCTGGCAGTACTCTTCGTGGCCTGGGGTGATGGTGACTATGGGGTGAGCCTCATCTGCCTTTGGAAAGGGGAAGGAAGGGTGGGAAGGGCTATGCCTTGTGGTTTAAGTGCCAGCTCAGCAACAATACAATAGAATACCAGGTAGATTTCTGAGGTTTTTGACTCTAGATCTTGACTCTCAGATGGCATCTTTGGACCCACCCAGGGCCTGGGGGGCCTTGCCACATTGAAGGAAAGGACGTCAGCCTTACTGGCTTTGCCACCTGCTAATTGTAGAGCCCCAGGGCCTTGAGGCCTTGAGCAAACATGGGCATTAGCCAAGGATTGGTGACGGCAGGCCTTGGGCAAGACCCAGAGCTGTGTTGGCTTCATGTCTGGTAACCCAGAAAATTCTCCTTGATCTTCTCTAAGACTACCTAGGCAGTAACTCTACAAATCTGCCAGAAGGATAGCATTGCTGGGCTTGGGATGCCCCCTAAAGCAGATACAACTTAGATCACAATACCCAGGTCCTTTCAAATATCTGGAAAGCCTTTCCAAGAAGGATGGCTATAAATAAAGCCAGACACTAAAGATTATAATAAATACTTAACTCATCAATGCTCAGACCCCAAAGAACACCTACTAGCACCAACATCTTCCAGGAAAACATGACCTCACCAAATGAACTAAATAAGCCACCAGGGACCAATCCTGGAGAAACAGAGATATGTGTCCTTTCAGACAAAGAATTCAAAATGGCTGTGTTGAGGAAAGCCAAGAAATTCAAGATAACACAGAGAAGGAATGCAGAATTCTATCAGATAAATTTAACTAAGAGATTGAAATAATTAAAAAGAATCAAGCCGATATTCTGGAGCTGAAAAATGCAATTGGCATACTGAAGAATGCATCAGAGTCCTTTAACAGAAGAATGGATCAAGCAGAAGAAAGAGTTGGTGAACTTGAAGACAGCCTATTTGAAAATACATAGTCAGAGGAGACAAAAGAAAAAAAGAATAAAAAACAATGAAGCATGCCTACCGGATCTAGAAAATAGCCTCAAAGGAGCAAATCTGAGTTATTGGTCTTAAAGAGGAGGTAGAGAAAGGGATAGGGGTGAAAGTTTATTCAAAGGGATAATAGCAGAGAACTCCCCAAACCTAGAGAAAGATATCAATATCAAGTACAAGAAGGTTATAGGACACCAAGCAGATTTAACCCAAAGACTACCTCAAGACATTTAATAACCAAACTCCCAAAAGTCAAGAATAAAGAAGGGATCCTAAAAGCAACAAGAGATAAGAAACAAATAACATACAATGGAGGTCCAGTACGTTTGGCAGCAGACTTTTCAGTGGAAACCTTACAGGCTAGGAGACAGTGGCATAACATATTTAAAGTGCTGAAGGAAAAATATATTTTTTCCCTAGAATAGTATATCCAGCAAAAATATTCCATGAAAGAGAAATAAGGCTGGGAGCGGTGACCCACGCTTGTAATCTCAGCACTTTGGGAGGCCAAGGTGGGCAGATCATGAGATCAGGAGATCGAGACCATCCCCGTTAACACAGTGAAACCCCATCTCTACTAAAAATATAAAAAATAAAATAAAATAAAATTAGCCAGGCGTGGTGGTGGGTGCCTGTAGTCCCAGCTACTCGGGAGGCTGAGGCTGAAGAATGGTGTGAACCCGGGAGGCGGAGCTTGCAGTGAGCCGAGATCGCGATCCTGCACTCCAGCCTGGGCGACAGAGCGAGACTCTGTCTCAAAAAAAAAAAAAAAAAAGAAAAGAAAAAAGAAAAAGAAATAAAGACTTTCCTAGACAAACAAAAGCTGAGGAACTTCATCAATACCAGACCCATCCTAAAAAACATTCTAAAGGGAGTATTTCAGTCACAAACAAAAGGACATTAATGGGCAATAAATAATTACCTGAAGGTACAAAACTTACTGCTAATTGTAAATACACAGAAAATCACAGAATATTGTATCACCGTAACTGTGGTGTGTCAACTATTCTTATCCTAAGTAGAGAGACTAAATGATGAACCAATCGAAAATAATGACAACAACTTTTCAAGATGTAGTCAGTAAAATAAAATATAAATAGAAACAACAAAAAATTAAAAAGCAGGGAGATGAAGTTAAGGTGTTGAAGTTAACAAGCAAGAAACTAAATCATAGCACCAGAGAAAATTACCTTCACTAGAGGAAGACAGGAAGGAAAACATAAATGAAGATAAGACTGCAAAACATCAGAAAACAAAGAACAAAATGGAAGATTTCAAGACAAAAACTGTAAGAGGAGACAAAGAAGGTCACTATCTAATGATAAAGGGATCAATTCAGCAAGAGGTTATAACAATTTTAAATGTATATGTGCCCGACACTGGAGGACACAGATACATAAAGGAAATATTGCTAGAGATAAAGAGAGATAGTGGCTGGAGACTTCAATACCCCACTTTCAGCATGGGACAGATATTCCAGACAGAAAATTAACAAAGAAACAATAGACATAATCTGCAGTCTAGAACAAATGCACTGATATTTACTTAAAAAACATTTCATCCAAAGGCTCCAGAATATCCATTCTTCTCCTCAGCACATGGATCATTCTCAAGAATAGACAATATGCTAGGTAACAAACAAATCTTAAAACATTCACAAAAATTGATATAATATCAAGAATCTTCTCTGACCAAAATAGAATAAAACTAGAAATTAATAACAAAGGGATTTTTGGAAACTATACAAATACATGGAAATTAAACAATATGCTCCTTAATGACTGCTGGTACATGAAGATTAAGAAGGAAATTGAAATATTTCTTGAAACAAATGATAATGTAAACACAACATACCAAAACCTATGGGATACAGCAAAAGAAGTAATAAGAGGAAAGTTTATAGCTATGAGTGCCTACATCAAAAAAGAGAAAAAACTTCAACTAACAATCTGATGATGTGTCTTGAAGGACTAGAAAAGCAAAAGCAAACTAAACCCAAAATTAGTAAAAGAAAAGCAACATAAAGATCAGAGTAGAAATACATGAAAATTAAAATTAAAAAATACAAAAGATCAATGAAACAAAGTTTTTTTAAAAAAAAGTTAAACAAAATTGACAAACCTTTAGCCAGACTAAGAAAAAAGGGAAAAGATCCAAATAAATACAATCAGAAAAGAAGACATTACAACTGATACTGTAGAAATTCAAATAACCATTAGAAGCTACTATGAGCAACTATATGCCAACAAATTGGAAAATCTTGAAAAATGGACAGATTTCTAGATACATACAACGTACCAAGATTGAACGAAGAAGAAATCTAAAACCTGAACAGACTAATAACAAGTAACAAGATTGAAGCAGTAACAAAAAGTCTCCTAGTAAAGAAAAACCCAGGATCTGATGGCTTCACTACTGAATTGTACCAAGCATTTAACGAAGAACTAATACCAGTCCTATTAAAACTATTCTGAAAGATAGAGGAGGAGAAAAGGCTTCCAAACTCATTTGAAAAGGCCAGTATTACCTTGGTACCAAAACCATACAAAGACACAACACATGTACATCGATGTGTGATGTACACATCGATATACATCAGATATTGTTTTGTAGGCCATACCTCAACATAATAAAAGCTATATATGACAGACCCACAGCTAGTATCATACTTAATGAGGAAAAACTGAAAGCCTTTCCACTGAGATCTGGAACACAAGAAGAATGCCCATTGTCACCACTGTTACTCAACATAGAACTGGAAGTCCTATCGAGCAATCAGATAAGAGAAAGAAATTAGGGGCATCCAAATAGAAAAGGAAGAAGTCAAATTATCCTTATTTACAGATAAAATGATCTTATATTTGAAAACAACCTAAAGACTCCACAAGAAAACTATTAGAACTGATGAGTAAATTCATTAAAGCTGCAGAATATGATATCAACACACAAAAATCAGAAGCATTTCTATATGCCAATAGTGAACAATGTGAAAAATAAAAAAGTAACCCCATTTACAATAGCCACATATAAAATTAAATACCTAAAAATTGACCAAAGAAGTAAAAGTTCTCTATAATAAAAATATAAAAACTGATGAAAGATATTGAAGAGGATAGCAAAATATATATAAAAAAGTTCCATGTTCATGGATTGGAAGAATCAATATTGTTAGGCAATCTACAGATTTACTGCCATTTCCATCAAAACATCATGATATTCTTAATTCTAAAATTTATATAGAATCACAAAAGACTCAGAATAGCTAAAGCTGTCTTAAACAAGAAGAACAAAACTGGAGGAATCACATTACCTGACTTCAAATTATACTACAATGCTATAGTAACCCAAACAACATGGTATTGGCATAAAAACAGGCACATAGACCAATGGAACAGAATGGAGAACCCGGAAACAAATTCACACACCTACAGTGAACTTATTTTTGATAAAGTTTTCAAGAACATACACTGGGGAGAAAATATTCTCTTTAATAAATGGTACTGGGAAAATGGGATATACATATGCAAAAGAATGAAATTAGACCCCTGCCTCTCCCAATATACAAAAATCAAATCAAAATGGATTAAAGACTTAAGTCTATGACCTCAGTCCATTAAACTACTGCAAGAAAATGTTAGGGAAACTCTCCAGGACATTGTCCTGGGCAAAAATTTATTGAGCAATACCCCACAGCACAGGCATCCAAAGCAAAAATGGACAAGTGAGATCACATCAAGTTAAAACTTCTGTACAGCAATGGATATGATCAACAAAGTAAAGATAAAACCTACACAATGGGAGAAAATATTTGCAAAGTACCCATCGGACAAGGAATTAATAACCAGAATATATAAGGAGCTCAAACAACTCTATAGAAAAAAATCTAATAATCTGATCAAAAAATGGCCAAAAGATTTGAAAAGACATTTCACAAAAGAAGACATGCAAATGGCACACAGGCATATAAAAAGGTGCTCCACATCACTGATCATCAGAGAATGAAAATGAAAATGGCAACAAAGCATCATCTCACCCCAATTAAAATGACTTATATCCAAAAGACAGGTAATAAGAAATGCTGGTGAGGATGGGGAGAAAAGGGAACCCTCGTACACTATTGGTGGTAATGTAAATTAGTACAACCACTATGGAAAACAGTTTGGAGGTTCCTCAAAAACTAAAAGTAGAACTACCATATGATCCAGCAAACCCACTGCTGGCTATATATCCGAAACAAAGTAAATCAGTATATTGAAGAGATATCTACCTTTCTATGAGCACTGTTTACAATAGCTGAGATTGGAAGCAACCTAAATGTCTATCAACAGATGAATGGATATAGAAAATGTAGTGCATGTACACAATGGAGTACTATACAGCCAGAAAAATTAAGGAGGTCCAGTCATTTGCAACAACATGGATGGAACTGGAGAGCATTATGTTAAGTGAAGTAAGCCAGGCACAGAAAGACAAACATCACATGTTCTCCCTTATTTGTGTGAACTAAAACTGAAAACAATTGAACTCGTGGACATAGAGAGTAGGAGGATGGTTACAATAGGCCGGAAAGGATAGTAGGGGGCTGGGGAGGAGCTGGCAATGGTTAGTGGGTACAAAAGAATAGAAAGAATGAATAAGATATACTATTTGATAGCACAACAGGGTGATTATAGTCAATAATAACTTAAATTTTGCATTTTAAAATAAAAAGTATAACTCAAAGGATAAATGCTTGAGGGGATGGATACTCCCTTCTCCATGGTGTGCTTATTTCACTTTGCATGCCTGTATCAAAACATCTCATGTATCCCATAAATATATACAACTAACATTTACCCACAAAAATAAAAAATAAAAAAGGAAAAAAATCATAGTAGATAAATCATTTTAGGGAACTTTCAGCAAAGGATGTCATCAATTTGTAGAACAGACGTGGTTGTATCAATACATAAACTAAGAAACTGTAACTGAAATATTTATCTATCAATAATTGCAATAGAAGAAGTATGGACATACCTATGTAGTCAAACTGAATCAAGAATTGGAGACTGGCTTTACAAATAATATTGTGGAAAACACATTCACACACACACGCACACACACACGCACACACACCCCTAAGTGCACATGTAGCTTATCTTCAGATGGAGCTTATAACAGGAAGAATGTCTTGATTATAGACTATTTTCAACTATTGTAGATACATAAACACAGATATACACACAAGCACACACACATATATATATACACACACATACACACACACACACACATATATATATATCTATGTAATTTATGGTAATATCCTACTACGATTAATAACTCATCATTTAAAACTTTCAATGCCCCCAATTGAAAAATGAAGGATTTCCTGGCTCCATTCCTGCTTTAATTCTCGTGGGCTACATAAGTGATCTCAGGTTAGTCTTTTCGTGTTCTTTTATTCTGGCCTGCTCTCAAAAACACTTGAACATGGTACCTCATCATCGTGGCTATTGAGAATGAAATCACAACGTCACTGACTATCCCAAGGGTTCTGCCTCCTGATGACGTTGAAAAGAGCAAACTGTTGAAGTGAAAAGAAGCACTATGAGTGAGGAATTTTGGATGTATCAAAGCCTAGCTGTTTTTAACAACAACAACAACAACAAAAGAAAGATGGTTCCTCTCTCTCATGTTGTGCCACTTTTTTGTGCATCTTGCTTGTGTCCCCATGACCACCGAGCAACATGAAATTAGCACACTTGGCATCTTGTTGTAGCCTTTGTCTCCCTATAGCACAGATATGAGTACCTGGGTATACTGCGGGATTCTAAATTTAGATAAACCCATATTATATATTATTTCTTTCTTTCCTTCTTCCCACCAAGAACTCAAATATTAGAGCAAAATAAAAATTCCCCCCAAAACAGATGAAATCCATTCTCGTATTTCTTAGGCAACTCCCAAGACCCTCTCAGAAATTGATTCCTTTTGTCTCTTTGTAGCAGTTCTATTAAAGTGCTAAAAAACATCCTAAATTATAGAATCAAACTGGAACTTCTGCTATATCCATAATTCCTGAACAAAACTGTAGACAAAACTTTTTTGGTATCTGTGTAAAACTTGTCTCCCCAGCGGAACCATAACCTCTTTGAAAGCAGATTCCTTATTTATTTTAACATTCTGAGTTCTTAGAAAATGATCAAGAATATAGTAGCCATTCAATAAATAAGTAATGAATTCAATATAGAGTCTAAGATATAATGAGAAGGTGGAAGATTTTGTGATTGATTCACACTTCTAGTTTGTCTGACAGAACAGACAATTGCTATATGACTGAACTAATTAAAGAATAAAGATGACTGTAAAATCAAATAAATTTTAGTTAGTTAGCAACTCCATGACCAAACCAGGCAGATTGCTTGGTTATCAGACGTTTGTGTTGCACTTGACTTTTGTGATGGTTAAATTCACAAATTGTTTATTTAACAACAGCCTAAATCATTAATATTATTTGAACAACCAGGTACACAGTGGATTCTAGGTTCTAATGCTTCTAAATCAAACATGTATGATATTTCATGTATCTGACATATTAACACTTCGATCAGTGAGAATACCCTTCTTTGTACTGAAAATTATAATTTTTCAAAGATGGCTACCTTGGAATCCAGATGGATTTTGAGGCAAAAAGCCTTTCACTTTTGGTATTTTAAACTGATTTTTTAATTTTTAATTTTGACATAAATTACAGTTAAATTGCAGGAAGAACACAAAGGACATTTTTTTAAAATCCTAAATTATTTAAGTACAAATTGTTGACATGATGCTCATCACTACGATCATTTTATACATAGTTTAAGAATTAGGAAATTCTCTATGTAATAAAAAACTATATCAGAAAATTAGCATGAATATCAGCAAATTAAGATTACTATAATTTAATCCATAAATGTAATTCAATTTTATTGGCTGTCCCAATAACTTCATTATTTCTTCTATATCTATTAGTTGTCATTCTTCCATAAGAAAAAGCTTTCAAAGCTTTCTCTTCTCATTTCTTCCCCCACCTTCCTCTCTCTATATAATAATCTAATAACCTATCATCTATATTAGCATGTTTTAGCATAGTTTTACCTAATAGGTTATATCCTGTTACTATAATGAATTATGCAAATGCTCAAATTGTCTCAGATTTTGGCCAATAGAAGCACTTTCAAGGTGGCATTTGTGTCCTTTTGACATTCCCCTCATTATATAAGCATTTCCTTCTGGCCCGACACAAATTTTGTGACTTACCTTATACTTTATCTGCTATACCTCTGGAATCAGCCACTTATCCAAGGAGTCTTGGTTCCTTTTAATGGAGAAAGATATTTAGAAACTAAGATATAGACACTAATTGTGTTCATTACTATAGTAATTTAGTAGCTCTCAGACCCTCTTAGTGCTAGAAAAATATATGAATGTATGCTCACACACACACCATACATATACATCTATATTTCTACATCTATCTCTGTGCATTAAAAACCATGAGTTTACAATAGTATACTAATTTCAATCCAATAGCAGCACAGTATATTGTAGTTATTTTCTCTTTCTTATTTGTAACTTCTTTTTTCAACGTTACACCTAGCTTTCTATTTTTACAGTACACATATATGATCAAGCCTCACTATGTGCAACCAAACTTCCATTGCCATCATTGCCACTCCATTCTCCTTCCACCCTCACCATCCCCATTTGGTTGTGCTCTGAAACTCTTTCAGGCTCTGACATTACATGCCAGGCTGCCAACAATAACTCCTTGTGTGAATATTATCCTCTTCCATTGCCGCTCCCTTCACAGATGTCTACCTTGTACAGATTTAATTAATGGCATTTGGATTAAATCATTATGTAAGAATAGAAATAAGAAAGAAAGGAAATAGAGAAGACAAGAGGAAGGGAGGAAAGAATAAATGAACAAATTAATACTTATAGAATCATTGAACTACGATTTTATATCCATTTCAAAATGTGTATTCAGAAAGACTATGCATTGGTTGCTTGCTTTTTTCTTATTCTCTAAATTGAAGGTCAAATACTTGTTTTTAAAGGTAAGAATAACAAAATAATATAAAATATTAAAATAATTAAATTATGGGATATGCAAATATAAATGTAAGCAAACATTAGTAATGTTTAATTTTAAGTTGATCTTCTGTTTACCAAAATGCTCTGTATAAATTACTATAATTACAGAACGTTTCTTACTTTTTCTTCTGCTGCAGAAATAATTTGAAAGTAAAGCTTAAGGATATATAAAAAGATTGGGAGAAATGCAATACTTTAATTTTTGCAGTTTGGCATTTCTAGAAAGCCAAACTAAATTTGATCTTTTTGAACAAAAGTAATCATTTTTCATCGTATCCCAACCACAACCAGCTATCTGTATACTGACAATTATATTTGATCTTCTTGATCTTCCTTACAAAAACAGTACACAACATTTTAAACCAAACTTTTATTGGATTGTCCACTCAAGAAACCTATACAGAGCTGCTACCATCTTAAAACACCTCATTAGGGGTTGTGACTTTTAAGAAAATACTTAAGGCATGTTTCATGGCTTCTAGGAGTGTACATTCTAGAAAAGACAATAATTGTGATAGAAGGCAGAATATGCTGTGTGCAGGCAACAAATGATTAAGCAGTTTAGAGGAAAGAAAGAGCACCAGTGATTTCAATGATATGGAAATCTTTCAGTAAATGTGGTATTAAAGCCTGGTCTAAATTGTTGATTTCTTTTTTTAAGTAATACATGTAATAGAAATCAATATATTTTTTAAATGAGACAAATAAAAGCTGAGAGATTATAAGTTAAAGCACTCACTTTGAGAGGCCTAGGTGGGAGGATGGCTTGAGCCCAGGAGTTTGAGACTAGCCTGGGCAACATAATGAGACCCCCATCTCTACAAAAAATAAAATAAAAAGACCATTCTAAATTATTCAAACTGTGTATAAATACTGCTTGTTTTATTCTTTGTAAAAAGTTGCTAACATAATTTGCTAGAAAAAATGTTTTTCAAACTATATATATTTATATTTATAATTATACATATATATGCATAAATGGGACATATATAGTCCATTTAAACAAATACACCTGAGATTCCTTATTAAATTTTAATTATTTATTTTCTGCCCAAACTGATAAACTACAGTCTGTTAGTGCTTGGCCATAATACCCAGAGAGTGATCCACTGGGAAAGATACTCTCACAAACTGTGGATTCAGAAGGAGAATGAAGTCTGGATGAATAATTACTATAGTATGATTCATGAAAATATATAGGATTATCAACAAATGTCTGTCCTATGTACAGGGCTGACTTCATGAATGTATGCATGACTCGTGCAGTCGCACAGGGGTCCTGCTCAGAAAAGTCCCAAGCTTGGTTTAAAGTACCACTGCTTCTAGAAATTCTTAAGAGTTTTTGTACAAACGACCCAGTATTTTTATTTTAAAGTGGAGCTCACAAATTATATAGCTTATTTTGCCTATATGTCTATTAAAATTGTCATTTTATTGCTACTTCCTTTTAATTTATAAAATAATAATTTTTAACCTCTGTTATTATATGTCCTTATGCTATTATCTTTTCTCCCTCTCTCTCCATTCCTTTCTCTCTCCATCCCTCTTTCTCCTTTCATCTCTCTCTTTATCTCTCCCTCTCTCTTTCCCCTGTTAGACTGTTAGATCATAAGCTTCCGAGGACAAGGGTGATTGCTTATAAGAAGTGATCGTCTTCAATAAGAATGAAAATAGATGCACTGAAAGAAATGGTAGCGGACATTTTTTATGCACAAGGCAATATATATAACATGACAATTTAGGCAGCATATTTACATATTAGTGTCAGGCAGCTAACTGTACATCTCAAAAACAAAATTACTTTCTTTAGACATTCTGAAAACTTCCCTAAAAAGATTAACTTTAGTATTACAAATAAGTTAGAGTGAAACTGGTCCTTTTTAGCAAATTTAATTACTTAAGCAAATTTTCTGATCTTCATAATCTTTTGAACTTTACTGATAATAAAAAATGGTGTATATTATATGACCAAATACTATTCTGACATCTGATTATGATAATGGTATACTAATATTCTTTTTAAATCTCCACAGTTATTTTTAATTGTTACAATTTTTTTTATCTCCTCTCACACTTTTAAATGTGTTCCAGTAATAATCATGACCAACTTTATTTTCTGACGTTAAAATAATTACCATTTTGGCTCTTTTTCTCTTTTGTGGTATGGGTTAATCCTAATTTTTCAGTCAGTATTTCAGAGGCATATAAAATGTTTAGCTGCAGGATCATGCTTCCACAAATGTGTGTTTGTGCAACATTTTTGTTTGAAGTCTATATGCAATATTTTTACTGGTAGAAAAGACAGATCAAAGAAATAGAGAATGATTTGAACAGAATAGAAGGTAGAAAGAATGGCAAAAGAAAGAAGACTGACTTTATCCATTTAGTGGTTAATCCATATTTTTTCAGTTAACATATCCATTCATATTAAGATGATATTAATTTAGTATGAGAAATTGCAACATTTATTTCACAGCATAGGGCAATGATTTTTACAGTATACCATTTGAGATAATACAATCATGAGATTTTTATAGAAATATTTTATAAATAAGTCTCAAAAAGTTACAGAGGTGATCTTATTGTTGTCTACCTTAAAAAATGAATAGAAGTGTAATGTTTTATCTTCTCATAAGGTATGTAATTGAATTTAGTAAAAAATTATTTTAGTGTTATATAAAGAGCTGTATTGATCTAACAGTTTTCTAAATAAACATGCCATTGTTAATGTACTCAATATTTGTCTAAAAGGGAAAATGTTTGACAATTATCTTGAAATTTATTGCTAGAGGAATCTTTACTTTTACAAACTGAGTTGTTAAACTTGAGTTTTGGGGTACTCCTTTTCTTTCATTCTGACTTAAAAAAATTGTTTCTGTTTCAGCCTCAGTGGGTCTTCTAGTCATATTTGACCCAGATACAAAAAACAACTCTATTTCTACTATTATAGAGCAACATATAAAATAGGAAACTCATTATCTGAAGCTCAAAACTGACTTCAAATTCTACATACCTTGGTTTGATTAAGGATCATCATGTGTCCAATCACTCTTTTTATTTTTAAAGTTACATTTCATCCTAAATAAATATGTGTTAAGTGTTATGTAACCTACATCCCATGATTTTCAAAAATGCAGTCAAAAATATGACAACTACTTATTTGAGTATGAGTCAGCACCTAACAGAACAAGAGAATGCTACTCAGTGCTCTTTGGATTATTTTTGAGGTAGACATACGCTTGGTTATTTTAATCAAAATTTATTAATTCCAATATTGAATTTGAAATAAAATATATAATGTTAACTACCGCAATAAAAAGATGGAAAATTGATGAGTTTGTTATCATTTATTCAGGGATAAACATCTATTTTCTTTAAACAGTCATCTTCCCATACTGTTTCTGATGCTTTCAAAAGAAGCAAACTACACTGTAGCTAATCTTTGGGTTATGAAGGGAATCCAAGAGGTGTAGGTTCAAATCTTACCTGTTGCCTATCAACTGTGTGTCTTTGGGTAAGTTGGCTTTTTTCTTTCTTTCCCTTTCCTTCATTTCACTTCTGTTCTTCCATCCTTCCTATGGCAGATCCTGGATAGCTGTTTACTGAACGTGTTGAAATGTGGTCAAAGTGATGTGTACCACATCCAGGAGTGTGTCATGAAAACTGTCCTCATGCTCTTCCCCACAGAAGCCACTTGCTGAGGATGGTAGGAACTACATGGAAAATGCCTGTGTTCTTGAATCAGCTCTAGGAAGAGCCTCTCGCTGATCAAGAACATCTATTTGGGACTTTTTACATGAGAGAAAGATAGACTTCTTTCTATTGTGTAAGCTACTGAGATTTTGAAACTTATCTGTTTTTTAGTAACTACCATTACCTTCTTAGTAAACATCCTACTTGCTTTTTTTCCTTCTTTCCTCCTTTCTTTCCTTCCTCTTGCTTTTCCTTTCCGTTCCTTTTTTATCTTTAGTTTTTTTTTTACTTGTTTCCCTTTTGTTTCATCTCATAAATATTTATTCACCAACTCCTAAGTATAGAAAAGATAGACACTAACATAAACGTGCTTCCCCTCTTTCTGAGCCTCAGTTTTTGTTTTCCAAAATGGGAATTAAATCTTTTCTCTAGATTAGCTTGAGAACATATATTTTTAACATAGCTTTTACTTTAGAAGGTAATGTATTTATTTCATATTTCAAATCCTTGCTTACCAAGTCACACAAACAAAACAAAAATAAAATGAAACATTCATAATCAATTACATGTCATCAGTGATGTCAGTTGATCTCAATATTATGTTGCATTTTTAAGAATTATCTAAATATGAATGTAAGTCCACTAAGAAGTAGGCCATTTTAGGCTGCATGGAAGGAAAGACATTCGAAATATTTGAAATATTACCACCAAATAAAAAACTTGAGCCCCCTCCCTTATTTTAAAACTATGTTACTAGGGTATAATTTTGTTTGCTTTTATTTTAGGTTCAGAGGTACATGTGCAGGTTTGTTATACAGGTAAATTGCTTGTCATAGGAGTTTGGTGTACAGATTATTTTGTTACCCAGGTAATAAGCACGGTATGTGATAGGTGGTTTTTCCATCCTCTCTCTCCTCCTAGCCCCACTCTCAAATACACGAGTACTCAATGTTTAGCTTCCACTTACAACTGATAATATATGGTATTTGATTTTCTGTTCCTACGTTAGTTCACTTAAGATAATGGCCTCTAGCT
Organism: Homo sapiens; assembly: GCF_000001405.40. Classification (NCBI taxonomy): domain Eukaryota; kingdom Metazoa; phylum Chordata; class Mammalia; order Primates; family Hominidae; genus Homo; species Homo sapiens. The sequence goes on along the minus strand of NC_000001.11, from coordinate 103,312,641 downwards.
TCATCCTTGTTGCTATAAAATACATGATTTCATTCAACCTGGACTCATATAATATTTTATGTATTAATCAAGTGAAATAAAGATTAATTTCCATTATTTCAACAGTAATAATCAATAAAGTTAAAATAGCAAAATTTGAAGTGATAAGACTAATGAAAATGTTGTGCTTTATCTTAAGAATAAGAGAAAAATGCAAGATTTTAGGTTAATGAATATTTGTATTAGTACAGTGTTTAAGATATTGAGATATGATGGTTCCAGTAGGAAATACAAAGATAAATGTTAGAAATCTCATTGATATGGAAATATTTATTTAAGGGAGCTCACAGATTGTTAGATACTGGTCATAAAAATACAAAAACAAATTCATAGACAGGAACATTATTTCCATGAAGATGTAATGTTCAGTGAATTAGAAAATTTCAAGGAATAGCTAAGTGCCTTTTTGTTTCTTCATCATGTTAAACTTCTTAACAAATTATTGCTATTGTTAATTGAGGAGATTTTTTGTGTGTATAGCTTGTGTCTCCAATAAGACTACAAGTTCCTTGGTGATTTGGACTTACACTTCTTTCTATTGTGCTTACTCATTGAAGTGGCTGAACATTTTTTTTTTATTATTATACTTTAAGTTCTGGGATACATGTGCAGAACGTGCAGGTTGGTTTCATAGGTATACACATGCCATGGTGGTTTGCTGCACACATCAACCTGTCATCTACATTAGGTATTTCTCCTAATGCTATCCCTTCCCTAGCCACCTACCCAAAACAGGCCCCAGTGTGTGATGTTCCCCTCCCTGTGTCCATGTGTTCTCATTGTTCAACTCCCACTTATGAGTGAGAACATGGCAGTGTTTGGTTTTCTGTTCCTGTGTTAGTTTTCTGGGAATGATGGATTCCAGTTTCATCCATGTCCCAGCAAAGGACATGAACTCATCCTTTTTTATGGCTGCATAGTATTCCATGATGTATATGTGCCACATTTTCTTTATTCAGTCTATCATTGATGGACATTTGGGTTGGTTCCAAGTCTTTGCTATTGTGAATAGTGCTGCAAGAAACATACATGTGCATGTATTTTTATAGTAGAATGATTTATAATCTTTTGGGTATATACCCAGTAATGGGATTGCTGGGTCAAATAGTATTTCTGGTTCTGGATCCTTGAGGAATCGCTACACTGTCTTCTACAATGGTCGAACTAATTTACACTCCCATCAACAGTGTAAAAGCATGCCTATTTCTGCACATCCTCTCTAGCATCTGGTGTTTCCTGATTTTTTAATGATTGCCATTCTAACTGGTGTGAGAAGGTATCTCACTGTGGTTTTGATTTGCATTTCTCTAATGACCAGTGACAATGAGCTTTTTTTCATATGTTGGTTGGCCGCATAAATGTCTTCTTTTGAGAAGTGTCTGTTCATATCCTTCGCCCACATTTTCTAACTGAATAAATTGCACAAGATAAGTTATATAGCATGTATGAAGCTTAGATTTATTATTTTGAAATATTATGGGTTATTAGATGAAATATAGATGTTAGATGTCATCTGGTCAATCTCTACATAATGATGGATTCACTCTAAAACTTTCCTAATGGATAGTTTTCATCTTTGGCTTAAACACCTTTATAAGGATGAGAAACAGACTAAATGAAAACCAATTATAATCATTAACATTATTAAATTATCATTTAGTAATTCAATTCTGGGGATGTGTGCCGAGGATATAACAACATGTAAGACATAGACCATTTTGTGAAAGAATTTTTAAGTTATTTAGATATACAAAACATAAATAAAAAATACAATTGACAGTATAAAGCAACATTTGTTAGGTACCATATAAGTGGGCAATAGAAGGAATAACCTTCAACATGTCTGAGGATAAAAATATTTTTGATGTCTGGCATTCTTAGAAAAGTTCAGTAAGAATTGACACTTGAAGTAGTCTTGAAAGAATTAATGAGATTTAAATCATTTGATAAATTATCAAAGTTTGCAGGTTTTGGGGGTGTGGGGTGAAGTGGAACAGAGGATGGTATATTGACCAGTTTAACAATAATGGAGGATTGTTTTAGGCGAGCAGGCAAATTTCCCCTCTCAAGATAAAGAATATGGATGTATTCAAATTGTATTCAAAATGTTCATTCTGGACATTGGGAAACAACTGAAGTTTTTTGAGCAAAGACTCTATTATACACTTTGTAGATTTCAGAAGATTTATTTATTAGTCTTGTATAGAATGCACCAAAGAGAAGAAAATTTTGAGGCAGAAAGACTCATTGAGATAGTATTGCAAAAATCCTAAATTGAGCTGACGAAGAATGGATTTACCAGAAACGTTGGTGGCAGATTGGAAATTGCAGGAGATAAGCATAAATTTATAGAAGTAAGTCCCCAAAATCCTGAAAACCGGTTTTCTGAGAGATAATATTATGATTAGTAAAAAATACAGAACAAAAACTTTTTGAGGTACTATGCATTTGACCTTCTGTGTTTGAAAACTTATTTAAGCCGCACACTGAGCAGCTTCCATGTTATGCTTTATATACTTACAGACTACTGCATGCTATTGTGACAATTCACTTTGAAGTTACTCTCAGCAGTGAATGGATTGATGAAAGAAAGTTCTGTAATCTTTCTGAGCAGGTCTGGGACATGGTAAAGCAAAGAGGAATCATGGGGAATAAGCCTGATCAGGTCTTCAAAAGGCCTTTTCTCTCCCTGCTAAAAAGTGTTCATTCTTAGTTACCACCCTCTCAGAAAAAACTGTGACCCTCAGGAATTTTATTTGGAACAACATGAATGGTTTTACTTTCAATAGTCACAAGGAAAATGACAGGTTACATTTAATTTTTTATAACTTTATTTACATAGACTTTAGTGATATCCCTGCTTGCTGTATAATTTGATTTATTTTGGGGCATCAAAAAGAATCCATTGAAGTTGCACATGGCAACTGCCTACTTGCACAGCAAAACATGTAGTGCAGAACAGATAATATTTAGTTAAAAAATCACAGATTACTTTAAAAAAGGAATTGTGGGATTATACTTATAAAAGTATACTTTATCCAATGCAAGAACACTAGTCGAAGAATAAACAAGTCTGTGTTTGAGAATATATTGCCTTCTAATTTATATAAAAGGCCGAACAAAGGAGCATTGGAGGATTTAAATTTCTTAAAGCTTCTGATGATAGATAAAGAAATGTGTAAACATAGGGTAAATCATACAAATTATTGTAGAAAAAAACACAGACTTAAAATATAAAATATTACCTTTTGTTTTCCTCTTTCCTATCTTTTCATGTCTTTCTTAATTATATCCGGCAGTGTATTTATGATTTACACCCTTTTCTGTATAATGTTATGTTTCAGTAAAATATTTTTAAAATCTAAAAATATTATATTATATTATATTATAACAGTGCTAAGAACACTTATTAAATATAGCCGTTAATGCATAGATTCTGGATTTCAATCTTGGTATTAAATTTTTCAGCTATACGACCATAAGGAAATTATTTCCTGTCCGTGGTATAATTTCTTCAACTGTAAAATGAAAATAATAATAGTTCCCAGTTCATACAGTTGTTGTGATGCTTGATGCCTTAGTATGTGTGAAAAGCTCTTAGATGAGGGTTTAGCACATAGTTAGTGCTATGTGTATACTATTAATGTCTATCTGTTGCTATTGTTTCTGTGAGAATTATGTAAGATAATTAATATAAACACCTTAGATGTCACCTGGAATATTCTAAGTGCCCAATAATTAATTGTCTTTTTTTCTGATATGGCATTATAACTCAAATTAGTCACTTTAAGTATTAGAAATTAATATATCTAATAATTAAGAAGAAATTATTCTCATTATTGGTTAAAACAAATAATAATAATAATTATTATTATTATTTTTTGAGACGGAGTCTCGCTCTGTTGCCCAGGCTGGAGTGCAGTGGCGCCATCTCGTCTCACTGCAACCTCCGCCTCCCGGGTTCAAGCAATTCTCCTGCTTTAGCCTCCCTAGTAGCCGGGTCTACAGGCACCCGCCACCACGCCTGGCTAATTTTTGTGTTTTTAGTAGAGACGGGGTCTCACCATGTTATCCAGGATTGTCTCAATCTCCTGAGCTCGTCATCCACCCACCTCAGCCTCCCAAAGTGCTGGGAATACAGGTGTTAAAACAAATAATTATTTTATTTTAAATGACTTTTATTATTATTTCCATAGACAGTATTCTTAATTTTAACAATTGCTACAGTCTGCTTTTTATTGTTTTCCCAAAAAAATTATAACCATAAGAACCTCTAATTGGTGATTTGTGGTCAAACTCATGGCTATTATATGCCATCATCATGTGCTTATACATGCAATTTCGAAACAAAATAAAATGTTAATTACCTCCAAATCTCTGATGAAAAGAACTTTAAGATTAAATATCCAAATGTAAACACTTAGATCCTCTATTTCATTTTGTTTCTTAGCCAAGTTACCTGTAGTAGTCATACATAGCAGTAGTATTAGTCTAAATAATTAAAACTAGTGATGATAAAAACAAAGGCAAGGTCGTGATACTTCTTTTAAAAACAGAGAAGGATTGCATCTCAAATTCCAATTTTATTTAACACAGCCATGAAGTGACTAATATGTGTTCAAATGGTTTGTCAGTTAATGCAAGCTATGCAAAATGAATAACAGACTCACGATTTAAGTGACTTAGAATGAAATGAATTTGCAAAAGAATATAAAATGAGGTTAAGTAAATGTAGTAAGGGAGGGAAATGTTCAGTGGACATCACAATGGTAAAATATTCTAAATGGTTGAGGATGGGGAATAAATGAAGTGGCATTAAGATAGGATTTGAGTGACTGTCAGAAATTTGACAGATGGAGATGGAGAAGGAATGATTTTATGCTAGTGACTGAGGGCATCTTTGGGCAGAGTAAATGGTTTATTTGTTTGTTTGTTTGTTTTTTAATTTTACTTTAAGTTCTGGGATACATTTGCGGAACATGTAGGTTTGTTACACAGGTATGCATGTTTGGATATTAAGGAACCCTTTTGAAGCTGTGGTCAGTATGGTTGGAAATATACATTAAGACCATTTTTAAGAACTAACAGGGTAGTGTTTTTCCATTTTGTAAGTATTTTCTTATTTTTCTAATCCTTAAAACTCTTTAAAACCCTAACTATTCTCCTCTAAAGCTTTGAAACCTCTTCTTCACTCTTTTTAAAATTACATTATTGTTTCAATTAATGTACTTACATGGTTTAATAAGTCAGATTGTAGCTAAAGTCTTATAATGAAAATAGGAGTACCTTGCCCTGGCCACAGCCCAACCCCAAGTTGCAATCCAAAAAGAGTGCTTTTAACTTTTGGCTAGAAACTAGTCTCCATCTACTGATTCTAAATAAATATATTTTGCTGCTATTTCTTAATACTTAAATTGGTGACTTCTACAGATTTCCTATTGTAAAGATGAGTAGTTAGCTTTCCAGTACAATCCGATGTGTTTTTAAAACACTGTTTCTCTCTCTCTGTATGATACATGGGTGCACACATGCACACACACACACACACAGACACTTCCCCTCCACAATACTCCCAATATAATGTATCAATTTTTTGCTGAAATAAGTATTCAGTGTTTACATAACTGTATGTAAATATTATGAAAACTAAACCACATGATGAACAATAGTGACATTTTTCTTTGAGTAGCTTTTAGTTTTCCTAGAATTAGTAATTCTTTCATTATTGCATTTGCTTAAGTGTCTTTGTATTAACTGGTAATTTTCCTCCAACTCGGAAAGAATCATAAAACTAATGACCAAATGGTCAAACACATTAAATAATCTCTCAGTGCATCTATCTGTCTATCTATCTGTCTATCAATCATCTATTTAACTGTATGTATCTACTTTTCTTTAATCTACATTATCATCACTTCTGGATAACTGTATGTATCTACTTTAATCTACATTATCATCACTTCTGGAAACTTTATCTCTCCTGATTCCACCTGGACTGATCTCTAAAACTATGCACAACTATTGTCCTTGTATTTTTATTCACCATCATTCTGAGAATCCTGCCTAACGTTTCTTATGATAAAGTTGTTTCTTTAATTACTTGTCTGCTGTTTTATTTTCTCATTCTATTTGCCTTTTTATTAACAGCTTTTCATTCCTTTGTAATAATTTTAGTGAATTTTTATATGGAAGTTATATTATATTTCTGTGTCCCATCCACCATGTTTCACTGTCTCTCCAACTTACAATAAATGATATTTTAGTTCACAGTGAAAAGAGATGATTTTAGATTTAAGCTTGATCAAATAGTTGCTTCCATATCTTTAAGTTTGATCTATATTGATGCCAAATCTCTTTTCAATCCAGATTTGGAGAATGGCTAATTCCCTTCTTGATTCTCTGCCTTCCCAAATCTAGCTGTTACCCCATTGTCTTTGCTTTACAGTAATGCTTACTGAGAATTTGTGTACATTTGTTGGCTATGTCACCACAACTCTCATCTTCAATTCATGGCAACGAAGTTTTAACTCTACTAACTTCCTGAAATGGTTTGTGTCAGTGTTACTCATGGTCCATTTTAAAACATTCTGGGGTGTTTTTTTTTTCTCCATGCATAATATCTTTGATGATAGATTTTGTAATAGGAGGTAAGTTTTGCATTTTCCTTTTCTAGCTTTTGACTAGAATGATAAAATGTGAAACAATAAAAACTAAGGAAATAATGGGAATAGATTGTGTGTGTACTGATTTATATTATCTAAGTTGTGAATCTCATCTATGATTCCCCACACATTTTTAGGTTGTGCTATAGTTTAGAAAAGCTCATAAAATATTCCCTTTGCTGACTTAACTGATAGATTTCATATAAACCACCAAGAATTGCTTTTACCCCAGGACAGTCTTATGACCTCTAATATTTTGAAGTGAACTGAATTCTGGACCCTATTCTTTGCTCTGTGGTAAACTGGTGTCCAGTGGGTTCAAATAAATAGCCCAAATGGATTGGAATACTCTCAAGAAATTACCAAAAAATAGCTGAATATTGGGGAGACTCTGGTTCATTTAATGAGCCCCACCAGCACAACAAATTATATCAACATAGGAAAATGTTTTTGTTGATAGTTTCCGTTTTATTGTTGTTTTTGTTTAATAAGAAGTTTGTTTTGGATGGTGAAATAATAGATGGGAAATTGCCCCAAAGTTGATTTTTTTCATAAGAATAAGTCACAAATGATTGGCCATATTCTGTTATTTCATTCACTTGTAATGGATGTAATGTATGATGGCTTTCACTGCATTTTTTCAATAATTGGCTTTAATTCTATTTTCAGAGGACATGTGTACATCAAATTGAAGATATTTTCATGACATTTACTTTAATAAGAGAAGTCTATTGCCATTTATGATCTATTATTACTCTTCTGCATGTCTACATTGTTTACTCCTTAATTCATAAGTTATTTGAAAATTGCCCTTTATTTTTTATAACTAAAGATCCCTTCCCTTCCTTTTCTATATAATCCTCAGGCATTTTGCATGGTCGAATATATTTTTGGTGTGTAAAAAGGGGGACCCTCCTGTACTAATTATTCTGTTGCTTAGGCTAGAGATTTGTACATTAAATTGTTAGTTAATAAATATTAAGTCTGGAACAAGATATGACACTTCAGATATGGCAAAGGTAAATTACGGCATATGGCAGTATTATAAGGTGTGCTACTATTTTTATAGTAACTTTACCCACTCTATAACCACAAATAAGTATTTGTCTAGTATGTGTGTAGTTTTAAGGAAATTATGTTGCAGCTTATAATTACTTGCACTGAAATCCATCTGCTCAAACTTAGACCTTACACTGCCTCAAATGTACTTGCCGGGCAGGGGGAAGTTGGATATGTTTTCTTAGTTGATTAAAGCCATAGTATTTACTTTAGTCCTTTAAGAATAAATTTGCTTTACTGTGGAATCAATATGTCTAGGTGTGTTTCCTTAAAAGTGAAGTACTAATGATGTGCCAATTTAGAGAAAGAGAGAAGATAAAGAAAATTTCAGCAAGGTCTTGGGTTTCCCCTCTAGATGCTTCCATATATACAAAGACAATATTTGACCAAAAAAAAAATGATATTTGTAAAGTAGGACTAGCTACCTGAACTGCTAGGAGGATTTTTTTCACCATTTATCTTTTTTCATTAAAATGAGACTTCCAAGTAAATTAACTTGACTTAAAATAATACTATTGAAGCTCTATATTTTTGCACACACTCTTCATTTTTTTCTATGTGTTCTACATACATTTCTGTCTCTGAGTTATTTGCTCTTTCATAGAACCAACCATACATTTCTGCTTGGAATATCCTTAAAATTTTTCCTATTAATCAAAATTTTGCTTATCTCTCATTTGTATATCATCTGTTCTATAAAACAATCTCTAATGTCTCACAAAATATTAATCTGTTTTCTCTTGATTTCATGTATTTTGTGGAGTTTCTTTTATAATATTTGTTATAGTTGGCCCCTCATAATGATTAAATGTCTTCTTGTCTGTATTTCTATCTGGACTGTGAAATTTATAAACTGCTTTCCAGTAAGAATCATGCCTTATTTGTGTGTTTGGAATGCTCACAGCATTAGCAGGTACCTGACACCCTGCACTTAATGTGTGTTTATTAATCACGGATTTCTGCTGTCATTGCTTTGGGAATGCTTTTATCTGTTTATCCAAAGCAGACATCCAAAGCAGATATATTTTCTGTCCTTCAGGAATTAGCTTAAGACCTAGTTCTTTCTTATGGTCATTTTTGGTGAAACTTACCCTCATTGGTTTCTCATTTTTCTAATCTGACAGTTGTTTGTATGTTCAAAGGAGCTAATACACAGGAGAGTGCCTGGCACAGAGTCAGCACTATCAGAGGATTAGCCATCTAAAAGTCATTTACAGTCTGTCATGCACAGAGAGGTGACACGTTCAAGAATATTCGGTGGATAAGTGGCAAAGTGGAGACTTGGAACTTCTGACCCTATCAGGGCTTGTGATGTCCTCTAAGTCATTGAATCTTCCCTAAGATCTGTGGCCCTGGCAGTCTCAGTAAGGAAATATGCATAAAAGGGACACACTGGAAGATGGACCATTCTTTATCAGCTAGAGCATTAGTTTGTGCTTTGAGAAGTAATTTTGACTTTCTAGACTCAAGTCTAAACTACAAAAGGATGGGCATGTTTCTTAGACCTTTACAGTACCCCTGACCTAATTCTCAGATGTCTTTTAAAGGCAGAGACACATCCTATAAGGATTGTGCTTATGTAAAACATCTCATATTGTAAGCATAATGTGGGAAGGACATGCATATTATTTTCAGTTAATGATTGCCTATTATTTACTAGACACTTACAAATATTTCTGTCACTTACCACAATGATGTGTGAGAGGGATTAGTATCCCTGCTTAACTGGTGAGAGAAAAAAAGCTCATAGAATGTACATGATTGACCTGCCCCAAAGGCAAAGCAAGTCGTTAAAGTCCACATAGCAGAGTATTAAAAATTCTTGGCTCTGGCCTCAGGTAACATGAATGCAAATTCTGAGCTTATCACCTATCACTTAAGTGACTTTGGGAAATTTGTTTCAGTACCTTAGTTAATTAATTACATATTTTAATTTCCTCATGTGTAAAATGAGATGATAATATTATCCACTGTATGATGTTGCTGTATTGACTAAATAAAACGTTGTGAAATGATCAAAAATAGATTTAAATGAGAAGTAAGACAATTTGGCTCCAAATTATTTATCCCTTATCTTCTCTAGGCATTGTGCCATATTCATTTATTTAATTCCAAAAATATGTATCGAGCAACTGTTCCAGGTTCTTGGAACAAATTAGTGAACAAAACAGACAAGGACTTCTGCCTGTGTGGAGCTTATATGTTAGATCAGGCAGAGACCGTCAATAAATAGAATAAACAAATGGACCATTTAACATTACTAAGAAAGTGACAAGTGCTATGGAAAAATAGAGTGTACAGTGAAGATTGATTGAAAATATCTGAGGTTGCAATTTTAAATGGATCATCAGAGTATGGTTTATTTTTTAAAAATTATAATTTGGCAAAGACTTGAAAATAGTCATAGAGTTGGGGAACTTTCCTGGCAAAGAGAAGAGCCAGAATATAGTTCCTAAGGTGGCTATTAACTGACATGTTTGAGTAGCAGCAAAAAGGCCACTGTGAAAAGGGGGACAGTAAAACGCAGGAGAGGTCAGAGAGGTAGCAGGGCTTGCAGAGCATTGTAGACCCTCATGGAGACTTTTACTTATGCTGAGCAGAGAAGTGACATTACCAGGCATGTTGTAAAAAGATAACACTGGCTACTGTCTTAAGAAGAGACTATAAAGGAACAGGGCAGAAGCATAATGACCAGTTAGGAAGTGACTTCAGTAGCACATGAGAGACGTGGTAGGAACCAAAGAGTGGTGAGAGTGGGAAGTAATCAGTCTGAAGATAATTCAGAGGTGGATCTAACAGGATTTCTTTTCAGAATAGATGTACATGTGAGAGAATTAATGGACTTGAAGACGGACCTAAGAGTTTTGGTATGAGCAAAGGAAAGATGAGCAGTCAGTAATTGAGGTAGCAAAAGTGGGAATAAGGGCAGATTTTGTTGGGGGTGGGGGCATTAGAGGAAAGATCAGAAATTCTGTTTTACACATCCTGAGTGTCCCACGTTAGTGGGAAAGTTTTAAAAGTTGCCGGTCTTCATCTTGGCTGTTTCAGCTTGTATACTTGCCAAGCAAGCAATCCAGTGCCTTTCCTTCAGCTTAGCATTGCCTCCTCAATTCTGCCATTTACTTTCTATTACTAGATTTTGAACTCTGATAAGGAGATTTTATTATATACTTACTCTGAATTCCTTGTAATGCTGAAAAAACATAACTAGGGCTTAAGAAATACTTGTTTCCCGATTGAGTCTTCCCAGATAATGAACTATTGAGTGCAATTTTGCACTGAAGAAAAGACAAGAAAGATAATTGTGCTGAGAAATAACAAAGGTATATTTATTGCCATTCTTTCATTGGCAAAATATAATTCTATGAACAAGGAAATCTGCTTTTGTATAAAATATATATTTATATATAATTGCAGTATGATAATTTTTGGTATGTATATATAAACAGAAGCCTTTCTTTATACATATTTTTCTTCATTAATAATCTATTCTAGGATATACGGTCGTGTCCCACATGACAACATTTTGGTCAATGATGGATTGCATGTATTATGGTGATCCTATAACATTACAATACCATATTTGTGCTGTATCTTTTTATGTTTAGATATTGATACAGTTTGAATGCTTGTCCCTTCAAATATCATGTTGAAATGTGATTGCCAATGTTGAAGGTGGGGCCTGGTGGGAGGTGATTGGATCATGGGGGCAGATCCCTCATGAACGGTTTAGCACCATCCCTTTGGTGGTAAGTTAGTTCTCTTAGTTCATACGAGATCTGGTTCAGTCTCTTCTCTCTCTGTTGCTCCCACTGTCACATGTGACATGCTGACTCCCCATTGCTTCTGCCATGATTGGAAGATTCCTGAGGCCTCACCAAAAGCAAATGCCAACACCACGCTTCCTGGAAAGCTTGCAGAACCAAGAGTCAGTTAAACTATTTTTTGTTGTTGTTGTTAATTACTCAGCTTCAGATATTCCTTTATAGCAAAGCAAGAACAGCCTAATGTAGATTTTTTTTTTTTTTTTTTGAGATGGAGTCTTGCACTGTCGCCTGGGCTGGCATGCAATGGCGTGATCTCAGCTCACTGCAACCTCTGCCTCCCGGGTTCAAGAGATTCCCCTGCCTCAGCCTCCCAAGTAGCTGGGATTACAGGGGCCCGCCACCACGCCCAGCTAATTTTGTATATTTTCAGTAGAGACGGGATTTCACCATGTCAGCCAGGATGGTCTGGAACTCCTGAACGCGTGATTTGCCCGCCTCGGCCTCCCAAAATGCTGGGATTAGGCTCATGAGCCACCGTGCGTGCCCAGACATGTTTAACTATACAAATACTTACCATTGTGTTATAATTGCCTACAGTTTTCAGTACAGTAACATGCTGTACAGGATTGTAGCCTAGGAACAATAGGTTATGCAGTATAGCCTGGGTGTACAGTAGACTACACTATGTTTGTTTAAGTACACTCTGTAATGTTCACAGAGACAAAATCACCGAATGATGCATTTCTCAGAATGGTATCTTTGTCCTTAAGCAATGTGTATGCACACACACACATTAAATTTCAAGCAAATGATTTACTTAAGCAAAAAAGTAGAGAATTACTTAAAAGAATACCAGTATTAAAAAAATAAAAGATCAATTGAAAATAACAGCCAGTTATTTTTGTCAAAAATGTAGACTTTGGTTTCACTTTTTAAAGAAAGTATCAAATGAAGTGTACCATATGTACTGATGATGCCAGTTACTCAAGCATTCATTTTCCTGCTCTTGATTCTGGTGTTTTATTCCCTGGAATTCTAATGGAAAAGACAAGACACAAATGAAGACATGGTCCTCTTTGGAAATGCCGAAACTCCCCAAAGAGGGAATATACTATTACCATTCCAGTAGTAATTTGTGGGCCTGTAAGAGAACACATGTCAAAGACAGACTTGCTATGGATTCAGAGGAAGATTACAATATAAAATAAATGTAATGATATAGTTTAGCATCTGCACATGCCCACAGAAGTATGACATGTACTTGGAAAGATCAGAAAGAAATAAAAAAAAAATCTCAACAGATGTTTGCCTTTTTAAAAATGGGCAAATATATATTTTTCATATATAATAAGATTGTAGCTGTCTAGGAAGCTATTTTCTTTCTTTTTTTTCTGTCTTCCTGATTTGTTTTTAAAGTAAGAAATTTAATTTTTGTAAATGCTTTTGTAAAGCAAGTGTTGTGGCTTTTTTAGTTGTCAGACAAGCATCTCCACCCAAATTATTTAAGTCCAAAGGGAATGTGTTCTCTCATGTTCTGAAAATCTGGAAGGAGACTTGAATTAGGGTTTCAAAGGATGTCATCAGGAACCAGGCTCAATCCACTTTTGGCATTACCTTTTGTTGGCTTGCCTTCATTTTTACCAACCACACCATACTAACTGCTGGTGAATCAATAGAAAAAGTGCTTTGTTTCCCAACTGTTTGAGCAAAACCTCATTTTGTAATATTGCCTCCAACTGGGTCATGTTTGCTCTGAATTAATCACTGGGCCCAAGGAAATGCAATGCTTTCCTTGGAAGACTGGTGATCTATCCTTATAGCTGGGGGAGGGGTCAGGTAAGGATGAAGGAGCAGTGGTTTCCCAAAGAAAAATGTACTTGCTCTTACCAGGTAAACGGTAATGGTGTAGAACAACAAATGCCAAGTTCAGGAATATTTAATGTTTTGAAAACAGAGCACATCATTTCTTGTCAAGAAACTTTAACAAATTTACTTCTCCATTTGATTTTTCTTATTCTGGTTGTAGTATGTACCACCATTCTCTCAGAGCCAAAACCTCAAGATAGTTTTCATATATCCCTCTCACTTGGCCCAGTCATTAAGTTCTGACAATTTATCTTTCATAATGTCTTTTGCATCTGCACTTTACTTTCCATTTTCACTGCCATCATTCAAATTTCAACTATTATGAAATCTTGCCTAGATAGTTGTTTAAGCCTCCTAACTGATCTTCCAGCCTTCAGTTGTTCTATTCTTTACTCATATACACCAAATTTTATCTGTGTTTCTCATTCACATTTCTATGATTGTTCAAAATTTTAATTTTGCTAATCAATGCTACAACATAAAGATGCTGACAATCCCATAATTTTTGTCTAGTATCCAGGACTTTAAATAAAATGTTTTTGTTAGCTTATTAAGTGTTAGCCTGACTCATGAGAAAAAGTTATCCCAAATTGAGTTGAATTTAGGGCAAACACTTTAAGCATCCCTATAGCTCTAAAATTCTGTAAGTAAATAAACATTATTGTTTTAAAACTTTAGAGCCATAGATGTTTATTTTTTTCTTAAGAGAAATGATATAGTAAAAAAAATTGTTTTAGAAAAATTAGTGTGACTGGTGTTAGATTGAAGGAAACACTGGAACCATAAAGACCAATTACAAGACTAATGCCGTAATATAAGCATAATGAGGTAAGATCTGGAGCACAGGGGAAAGGGCATAGTAGAAATAAGGAGGACAACGGCAGATTGAAAGGGAGAATTTGACCTCTTCATTTCACTATGAGACCTTTAAGATTTAGAATTTTCTCTTAATGTTTCCCTCTGTATTGAATAATCACTAGTAGCTAGGTCAGAGCAAACCTTGAGTAAAGTCTGTGAATGCTGTTGAACCAAATTTTGGGACTGATGGTATTAGGAAAGGTTTTTGGTTTGAGTAACTTGAGGCAGTATGGAAATTAATAGTCCAAATGGCATCTTATTTTATTTATTTTTTCCCTTTTGTTATGTTATGTTTTGTTTTGCAAAAGATAGACATTTTTTATATGCTTCCTGGAGATTGCTTTTTTCAAGGAAATCCCTATGACAGCTGATATGTTGATGCCCTAATGATATTTCTAATTGTTAAGATAACTTGCCTAATAGCATTTATAAAAATAATGGTGAGAAAACCATCGACTTCTTCCTGTTTCCGTATGAATGATTCACCTGTCTTAAAAATAAAGCTGGATGCTACCAAGATTTACGGCTCCAAACTTGTCACGGAAACTAAACCTAAGTTTTGTTTACTAAAGTATAGGATAGAAGACTCTAGGTTCTTGCCTAATTCTTAGTTAACCTTTTAGTACTTATTGGTAATATAAAAACATTGTAGATGAACGGGACTGAGAGAAGTTTCAATATCCTATGTGAGTGGTATTTAATACTTACTAGCTAAACTTCATAATTTGTAAAGCAATTTTGATGATATTATCATATGTAATACTTGAAAAAAAATTGTTAAGTGAATGTAATAAATATTTTGGACTGCATTTTATTAATTAGTAAACTAAAGCTCAGATGACATAGAAATGTATTATTTGCTTTGCTCAGTTTACTTTGTTGTTTCTGAGATCTGACCTTCTTACTTCGGGAGAATTATACTTTACCCTTTCTAACCATATTATCCAAATAAGAACTTCTATAATATTACATGACCTCACTTTCATGGCCACAAGTATCTCTCTAAGATGGTTGCATGTCCGTGTAAATGCAATAACTCTTTCTCTGGCCACAGTGATTATAGAAGAGGTAAGTTTTTTTAAAAAAAATCAAATCTAGCCAAGTAAAGTTCTTTCTTTACTGCCATTTAAAATTGAAACCATGAGCAAATGTGGGTGAAATTGTGAGGCTTAAAATCAAGAGTTGATAGAGGCAATATTGCCTACTACTACATGGAAGAAAATGAATCTGGCACACAAAGAAGAGATGTTAGAGAAAAGCATTGCTGGTTAGTACTGGTTAGTATCAGAGCCCTGATTCCTCTGATCCTTAAGGCAAAACTCTACCCTTAGCTAAGGTGGTGATTTAACTATATGAACAGATAAATTTTCATTTATTTGGCTAAAATGGGCTCATTTTGGCTTTTTATCATGCTGGCTTACATCAGAAGAAACCTGACAATATAACCTAATGTCCAATATTGCTCAGTTAATTAGTGACAATTGCCGAAATTGATCCTGATTGTCTGGTATCTAAAGTGTGTTTTTAAATACTTGACAATACTTGGTTACTTCTATAAAAACACCACCCATATACCCTAGTATCCCTGGACTATTTTCATGCACACAGGCTCCCAGTGGGTTTTCCTTCCCACCAGTTAGCATTAGTGTCTCATTCTTAAGGACTATCCTTAGGATGTTAGAACCACCACTACCTATGCTCCCTGATAATCATCAGTGACTGGGAATTACTGTTCCCTAGAGACAGCACTTAAAACAACTGACAGATAGGTCTTAATATTCTATCTTCTGGTAAGGACAACTCTGAGGTGTGATTGATCTAGGGTGTTTGCAGAGTTCCACTGCAGGATTGAGCCAAAGATATCTTCCATAGGACTTACTCGATATTGCACTGTTACATGGCCTCATTTTCTTCTCATTTCCCTAGTAGGTAGGTAGATATAGAGATAGATAGAGAGATAGATAGATAGATGATTGATAGATAGATAGATAGATAGATAGATAGATAGATAGATAGATGATATATAGATAGATACAGATTTTTTTTTCATATGGAATTCTGTCAGAGTGTGCATCAAGGGAATCCAACCTAAGACAATGGACTACCATATGATATGGGAATTCAAGGATTAAGAATGAGAGGCCTCAGGCTAAGAACCTAGGTTTATGATGTCAAAGGCAGGTGGAAGGAAGTGTTTGGGAGAGGTACATGAAAAAGCAGGTACCGAGATAAACCACTATACTTTCGTTATTCCTTACCTGGAAATGAGAATTAATCAGAAAATAATCTAAAAGTGTTATTCAGCTATACTTCCAGTGAATTAAAAGTATACACCTTCTTCACATGAGCCAAACATTACAGAGCAGTATTTTAAATGGGTGTGTATTTTGGCTTAGATTTTAAAGTTATAATTTATTCTTCTTGGGTTGTTTCCCAGTATTCACAGCAATGTCCAACATACCTGACTGAAGAGTACTGTTAGGAAGAATCTTAGTAAGAAATCTTTACTGAAACCGTTATAAAAAGGTTGGAATCATTTCCAAAAGTTCAAGATTAAAATTACTAAGCAGCTGATTTGTTGGTTCTCTGAGAAGTGTTCAACCTCTTCTTTCCAAAACAAATACCCAAACAACAATCTTTTCTGCAAGCACAGGCAAACACCTACCCAAGCTGTCCTTTACAGCTTTATTCAAGTTATTAGAGAGTTAAAAACATGGATAATTCACCCAGATAAAAATTACCAGAATTCTGAGACCTAAACCAGAAAAAAGAAGTTAAGGAAAATAGCCTTTGATTTGATTATTTAGGCATTTCAATGATTTATTTGGTTTCCATAATACTTCTGAGGATGCATTAAAAATTTTTCCAATACATTCACAAAATTTATTAGAAGGAGAAATATTTATTCAGCATTATTTAATTATACTTGTATATTTTATTTTGTCTTCCAGATATCACATATTTTATAGAACTGATCTAAGCCATTGAGAAGACTTAAAAGTTTCATAAGCATGAGGTTTTGCCTCTACAGTGCATTTCCTGCTTTTGAAACATACACCCATACTGAACGTGGGCTTATGAGTGGTATGTTTGTGCATGTGTATGCTTGTGTATTATTAACTCTTACTGCTCTTTTAATAGCATTTACCTTGCCTCTAGTCTGAATAGAGTTGCCTCTCTGTCCTGATAGTCCTTAGAGCAGTACTCTACTTAAATGGGTATTGTAGATAGTAGTCAGAAAAACACCTTAAAAATAATACATTTATTAACTTTTTTTTCTGATAGACTGTGAGCTACTTGGTGGCAGGAACCATGACTTATTAATCTTTGTATTTGCTGGTTAGAATGTGGGCATATAGAAGATGCTCAATAAATATTTGCAGAATGAATGAATGAATAAAAAGCCTATGTGTAGAAAGTTCCAAATAGCTGGTATTTCTCCCACAACCCATAACACTCCCAGGAGAAAGAAAGTTGAATTAAGACAGTGGGTTCTAAGACATCAGCTTCTCAATGTTGGACTTGTCTCCTTCCTGAGAATATTAGCAATATATCTTAGAGGAAAGTATACAGAAAAAAAGTGTCTTTTTCTCCTTTTTTTGACTATAGAGCACACTTTTTCCAATATAAAATGTGACATAATAACTTTTTAAGACAGTGCCTTATTTATTTTTTATTCCTCTTAATAATCTTCTCAGTAATTACAAAGTTATTGCTATTATTTATGGTTCATGTTGTAAAATGTTGTTTTATTTTTCATAGAAAGGAACTATGTAAATGAAATAAGTTGCTAAACCTAATAAGTTAATGAAATCAACATAAAACTGCAATAATTTAATAGTCATGATTTACATAGAGTTTTAGATAACATAAAGTATGTGCATTCAAAAATGTTTTCTAACTGATGCTCTAAGCAATCCATACAAATAATGCAAATATATTCTCTCCATCTTATAGATGAGAAAGTGAGGTTGAGAGATTTAAAGTGACTGTGAAAAGTTAAAAAAAAAAAACAGTCTAGGAAAGCTTTAAATAGAGAACTTCCGACTTGTGATTCTGTGGTCTTCTCAATAACCCTATACCCGAATTTGCTTCATATTTTGTGAATTAACTGCAGCAAAACAGATGATATGTGCTCTATGCCAATTCCACAATTACATTTGTAAGAAATTGTAATATATAAATTTTGGGGTTTACACAGGTTTCAAAAAAGTTATATAGTAACAATAGCAGTACTAAAGATGTATAGATCAAATGATTTTAATGCATACAACAATACCAACATTCATTGGTTAAATGAAGGAATGATTATTATGGTTATGTAATCTATATTTTTGGTAAAACAATACTATAGGCATTATTATAATAAATATGTGGAAATTTTTTTACATTAAGAGAAAGATTCTATCCTAAAATTACTAATTCACACAAATGGAAGCCTAAATTGAGCCATTTTATATCTATTGAAATCTATACTATTTTTCTTCCTGTGTTTTAAAAAGACAAATTTAACAAGAAATTAGAAAAATGTACAAAAAGTCTAGGATCTAACACACTGTATTAAGAGATTTCTTCACTCTTATCTCCTCATGTTCTGAGTGCAAAATCCATGCTTTGTTTACTAATATATTTCTAGTTCTCAAATATTGTCTGACATCTAACAGAAGCTCAATAGGTATTTGTTGAATGAATTAAGCTTAATATATAATTTTGATTATCTATGCTGCATTATACGTACCATACAATATAACTATGCTATCTGGAACAAATAACATTGCATAGAAAATTATGAGTTGAAATCATGAAGGCAAAATCTGGAGGCATGCAATGGCTGTTTTTCCATTTGTTTTGAATTGCTAAACTATATCTAACAAAAATTAACTTAGCTCTGTCTATGTGTGTACCTCTGTCCTCAGTGTTGAGTGGGCAGTCAGAGGAGGGATATAAAGTGAGAGCAGAATCCAACCTGCTTGAAGTAATTTATCATTGTCTCTTATCAAATGTTGTTTATTATTAATATGACATTCACTAAAGGTAATTTTCAATTATGTAGCCACATTAAAGAGAAATATATGAAGTTTCTCAGATGCTATAAATTATAAAGCCAGTCCTAAAATGAAGTTTAGAAAATTCCCTTTCATATAAAACTAAAATATTTATAATGTAAACATGAAATGCTTCAATTAAGCAGAAACAATATCATAAATCAGAAATTTTCAACACAACAAAATATGTCATTTTTCATATTGAGGATCTTGATGAGGCCCTGAAAACTGTACATAATTATATAAATATTTGTTCTGCTTAGAGATTTAGAGAATAGTTGTCCCTCTGGTTGCGTATATAGCTTATTTAATTAATTCTTGTAATCCACGAATCAAGGAACTTTATAGAGAGCTTAAACAGATTCAGAATGCTTTCGCAATTTTTAGAGTTTCCAACTTTTCTAAAATTCTGCATATTCACAGTGGTTGTATCCAAAATCATTTCAGGTTTAGTTTAATTTCAAGGTATTTTCTCATCTAATAAAGAAATGATGCAAACTAAAGGCTTTTCTCAAAAGGAGTCTTAAGTGAATTGATGAAAGTAGCTATGTTGCTCATACTTTTCAAATTATAATAATGCCTATTACCTGACCCCCTAAGCTTCTCATATGCCACCAGTCCTACCTTCAAGAATGGTTGAACTTAAGTGTTCATCCAATTTTCAGCTTATTCTTCCTCATTCCTATTTATAATTCCAAAAAAAAATAACTTCTCCTTGTTGCTGTACCATTAAATGTCAATGTACACCTTAGGGCTGAGTTTTCCAGGACATATGTTAGTGTCCATTTTGACAATTTTCCTGTCCATGCTCATTCTGTAGTCTGACTCATATTGCTTCTGCTTTCTTTTCAAACTATAAAAAAAAACTAGTTTTTTTTTTCCTTTTTATTATGCACCTCTTTGGTTTAATTAGGGAAACTTTATGCCAAAATCAAGATTTTTTTCTATTTTGATACATTTTATTCCTTTAGAATTGTGTGGGCAATTACAGATTTATGTGCTCCCTCTTTAAATTTTCTCCTTTAAAGTGTGCTAACAAGTATGAAGATTCTATTTCTTGAAGAGGACAGGCACAAGAATAAGTTGAAAATATATTTTATCTTATTGTTGTTAATAACCACCCAAAAGTGTCAATAATAAAAATTACATACATAATATAATATAATACATTGAACACAGTTTTCAGGTGCTTCTCTGGAAAAATGAAAATCTTCAAATTATAAATGATATAGGAAATTAGATAATTGATTTAGTTATAAAAAACTTTTAATATTGGATTTAGGGATACAGTATAGTGTATACTTAAAGACTTACGTAGGATCAAATTATATTCTAGCTACATGCTAGCTATTCAACCTTAATGTAGTGGCCCTCTGTTATTACTCTTTCATCTCATTACCTCTTCTTTTCAGTCAAAAACCGTGCTGTGGTCTGAATGTTTTCAAAATTCATATGTTAAATCCTAATCCCTAATGTGATGGTATTAAGAGATGAGGCCTTTGGGAGGCTCTGCCCTCGTGAATGGGATTAGTGCCTTTAAAAAGAAAAATGCCCAAAGAAGCTTGTTTCTCTCTTCCACCATGTGAAGACACAGGAAGAAGGTACCATCTATGAGAAAGTGGGTGTTCATCAGACTCTGGATCTGCTGGTGCCTTGATCTTGGACTTCTCAGCCTCTAGAACTGTGAAAAATAAACTTATGTTATTTATAAGATACTCAGTTTATGGTATTTTGCTATATTAGCCCAAAAGGACTAAACAATCTTCAACTTCACTTTTTTTTTTTAATCTCTCCCTTACTGTCTTCCCACACACTTGAATTATGTACCCTGTCTCTGGCTCAGAGTAAATGAACATGCGCAAAGTTAACTGTTCCATCATGATGCTTCAGATTCCAACATTTGGCGAAGGCGTGGGCATGAGACATAACCAAGGCAAGTAAGGGTGATGAGGTTTTTCTTGAAATGCTAGAGCAGAAGTGGTGTCCCATCTCCAGGCTCTTCCTGAGAGATTCCACATTTAGTGGGGCAGCAGCAACCTCGTTGCCACGATACCATTTGACACTGAAGCCTGTTCACAGAAGACATGGCCTGAAGAAAATGTAAAAGTGATTGCTAATGATGTTATTTGTGCCTAATGTTCATCTGTGCCAGAGGAATGCCCTATTTTAGTATTATCAGTTATACACATTAATACATTTCTTTTTCACTTAAGCAGTTTGAGGTTGGTTTTTATATTCAGTACTTCTAATAATTTTGATGTCAGAATATGGAAATGTTAGGAGTAATAGTTCCTAAAATTTTGAAATTGGATTAGTAGAAATAGTGTATACAGTGGCTAAGTGCCCTGTGTACTGGGCTGGGAGACTGGCAAGTCTTACTCACAGTAGTAAAACAGTTAAATAGAATACTGTTTGATGGGTTGTGGCGTTTAGACAATGAGTTGAGTGAGGCTAGAGGGACTAGGACTTCATAGAAAAAATTTAGAATGCTGGAATACGTTGGCTGTATTTTTCACTTAGTAAGGATCTATAAGAAACAGAAAAGCTTGGTTGCAACTAGCCTATCCGGAGGAAGGGAGACAAGAAAATATAATTTTTCTTAAAATGTCCATTTTGGTTAGGGTCTGCTATTTATGATAGTTGAGGGACTGGAAATCTGAGGCTTTGCGGGATGGCAATGCTACTATTCAAACTAACAATCAGAGGAAAGGTGGCAGGTAATAATCAAGGACCTCATGGTATGTACTTCCTTCATCACAAGGAGACAATTGTTTCTGCAGAGTTGTGGCCAGAAAAGAGAAGATTATATAGGGTTTTGTGTACCCAGGTTTTCAAATTACCCACTGAGCTTAAAAAGGGAAGATGTGAATTCCAGAGCTAATATAGCATTATATTGCTCAGTGAAGTCAGGCTGAAGATGAACGACAAGAGGCTTAGTTTTCTTCATTTTCTGTTGGCGTTTCTGATACTTGCAGTCTAACGTAGCTTTACATTTTATGTTACATTTAATCTCAGAGACCCTTGCTTTCTTATATAGGATGATACAGAATGTGATACAGGAATGACAGTAACTTTCTTCCAAGGTGGTATTAATGATTAAATTAGACCGTACAAATAAAAGATCTAGCACAAATGCCTGGTTCAGAGTTGAGATTTGATATGGCAACAAATATTAGTACAGATAGTTCAAACCTTGAGAAAAGAATGTTTAGGATAATTAAAAGTGTGAAAATTTATATAGTGAACATTAAACTTATGGCATGTATTATTTGAACAGACAGTACTGATGATGTATTAGTCCATTTTCACATTGCTGTAAGGAAATATCTGAGACTGGATAATTTATAAGGAAAAGAGGTTTAATTGGCTCACAGTTCTGCAGGCTATACAGGAAGCATGATGCTGCCTATCTGCTCAGCTTCCGGGGAGGCTTCAGGAAACTTACAATCATGGCAGAAGGCAAAGGAGAAGCAGGATCGTATTACATGGCTAAAGTAGGAGCGAGAGAGAGAGAGAGAGAGAGAGAGAGAGAGAGAGAGAGAGCAGGGAGGTGCCACATACTTCTAAACGACCAGATTTCATAAGAACTCACTCACTATCATAAGAACAGCACCAAGGAGATGGTGCTAAACCATGAAAAAACTGTCCCCATAATCCAGTCACCTCCCACCAGGCCCCACTTCGAACATTAAGTAGGTAATGACAATATAAAATGTTTTGTAAAGTGTTATGATGGTGAGAACACAGATAATAGGCACATAAACTATTAATATATTGGGAACAGGTAGGGAGAACTTGAAAAGTATTCTGAACTGAGCTCTTGAAGGAAGAGTCAGCCAGGTCTAGTGGAGTTGTGAGTGGGGTTGTGGTGGGAATCTGGAAATCGTTCTCAACAAAGAAGCTGCGATTAGTAAAGGC
This sequence comes from Homo sapiens, assembly GCF_000001405.40. Classification (NCBI taxonomy): domain Eukaryota; kingdom Metazoa; phylum Chordata; class Mammalia; order Primates; family Hominidae; genus Homo; species Homo sapiens. Next base: position 103,289,427 of record NC_000001.11, on the reverse strand, counting down.
CCATAGTTAAGAAGGAGAGCACTGGGCATTGGAGAATTCCAGGTAATTTGGTGTGACTGGAGTCAGATAAGGAGAAAGATGGGGTGGAGATCTCGCCAGTGGACAAATTATGAGAAGGCTCATATACCTGCTAAGGTTTGGACTTCATTTGTAAGGCTACCAGGAGCCATTTAATTACTTTATGAAGGTGAATATCACAAGATCCTCTTTGCTTTTTAAAAGAATCCCTCTGGGAATATGGAAAATGTATATAAAAGGGCCAAGAGCCTGGGACGGTGGCTCATGCCTGTAATCCCAGCACTTTAGTAGGCCAAGGCGGGCGGATCACCTGAGGTCAGGAGTTTGAATCCAGTCTGGCCAATATGGTGAAACCCTGTCTCTACTAAAAAAATACAAAAATTAGCCAGACATGGTGGCACACACCTATAGTCCCAGCTACTCTGGAGGCTGAGGCAGGAGAATCCTATGAACCTGGGAGGCGGAGGTTGCAGTGTGCCGAAATTGCACCCCTGCATTCCAGCCTGGGAGACAGAGCGAGAATCCATCTGAAAAAAGAAAAGAAAAGAAAAGAAAAGAAAAGAAAAGAAAAGAAAAGAAAAGAAAAGAAATAAAAGCCAAGATGAAAAGCAGGAAACCAATCTGGCAAGGAGTAGTAATCCAACCAAGAGAGAATATTTGCCTACACCAAGTTAATGACATAGGCATGAAAAGAACTGGACAGATTGAAAAATTATTAACAACCTAGAATCTTTACAATTTTTTGTCTGATTGAATGCGGGTAGTGAGGCACAAATTTTATCTCAGGAAATGAGTAAATGCAGGTGTCACATATTGAGATAGAGAACAAACAGAGAAATCAAGGTATAAAACAATGGGTTCAGCTTTTGCATATGTTAAATTTGATGGGCTTTTGGGACACTCAGGCAAAAATGTCAGGTAAGCTATTAAAGGTATTAGAAAAATAGGATTGGGATTATTTTAGTTTCTTTTTTTGACGATTGATTCAGGGTAGACTATGTATCAAGTTTTTATCAATTAAATGTAATGGGAATTGTGCTAGGGCCCTCTGGGAAAGATTTTCTCCCTTGATCAAAAGAGTTTTCTGTAGATAAGTCTTGCTCCTTCCTTCATCTTTCAACACTGATCTATAGGGTCCTCATGCTTGCAACTGCAGAAAGCTTCTTATGCCTGTGAAAAAAAAGCAAGGAGAAACACGGAGAAGTGGAGCCAGAGTCCTGATATTTCTAGGTCACCAGAATTACCAGTTCTGGAACCACCCAATCATAGGCTTATTTTAGATGAGGTAATAAAAACCCTTATTGTTAGATTAACTTTTTTATTTTTTTTTTTGGTAGCTGAAAGCATTCCAACCTGATGGTTGAGAAGTAACTTAAAGATTGCTTCAAAGAGAATAAAATACCTAGGAATCCAACTTACAAGGGATATGAAGGACCTCTTCAAGGAGAACTACAAACCACTGATCAAGGAAATAAAAGAGGATACAAACAAATGGAAGAACATTCCATGCTCATGGATAGGAAGAATCAATATCATGAAAATGACCATACTGCCCAAGGTCATTTACAGATTCATTGCCATCCCCATCAAGCTACCAATGACTTTCTTCACGGAATTGGAAAAAACTACTTTGAAATTCATATGGAACCAAAAAAGAGCCCACATTGCCAAGTCAATCCTAAGCCAAAAGAACAAAGCTGGAGGCATCATGCTCCCTGACTTCAAACTATACTACAAGGCTACAGTAACCAAAACAGCATGGTACTGGTACCAAAACAGAGATATAGACCAATGGAACAGAACAGAGCCCTCAGAAATAATACCACACATCTACAACTATCTGATCTTTGACAAACCTGACAAAAACAAGAAATGGGGAAAGGATTCCCTATTTAACGAATGGTGCTTAGAAAACTGGCTAGCCATATGTAGAAAACTGAAACTGGATCCCTTCCTTATACCTTATACAAAAATTAATTCAAGCTGGATTAAAGAGTTAAATGTTAGACCTAAAACCATAAAAACCCTAGAAGAAAACCTAGGCAGTACCATTCAGGACATAGGCATGGACAAGGACTTCATGTCTAAAACACCAAAAGCAATGGCAGCAAAACCCAAAATTGACAAATGGGATCTAATTAAACTAAAGAGCTCCTGCACAGCAAAAGAAACTACCATCAGAGTGAACAGGCAACCTACAGAATGGGAGAAAATTTTTGCCATCTACTCATCTGACAAAGAGCTAGTATCCAGAATCTACAAAGAACTCAAACAAATTTACAAGAAAAAAAACAACCTCATCAACAAGTGGGCGAAGGATATGAACAGACACTTCTCAAAAGAAGACATTTATGCAGCCAACAGACAAATGAAAAAATGCTCATCATCACTGGCCATCAGAGAAATGCAAATCAAAACCACAATGAGATACCATCTCACACCAGTTAGAATGGCGATCATTAAAAAGTCAAGAAACAACAGGTGCTGTAGAGGATGTGGAGAAATAGGAACAGTTTTACACAGTTGGTGGGACTGTCAACTAGTTCAACCATTGTGGAAGACAGTGTGGCGATTCCTCAGGGATCTAGAACTAGAAATACCATTTGACCCAGCCATCCCATTACTGGGTATATATGCAAAGGATTATAAATCATGCTGCTATACATGCACACGTATGTTTATTGTGGCACTATTGACAACAGCAAAGACTTGGAACCAACCCAAACGTCCAACAATGATAGACTGGATTAAGAAAATGTGGCACATATGCACCATGGAATACTATGCAGCCATAAAAAATGATGAGTTCATGTCCTTTGTAGGGACATGGATGAAGCTGGAAACCATCATTCTCAGCAAACTATCACAAGGACAAAAAGCCAAACACCGCATGTTCTCACTCATAGGTGGGAATCGAACAATGAGAACACTTGGACACAGGAAGGGGAACATCACACACCAGGGCCTGTTGTGGGGTAGGGGAAGGGGAGAGGGATAGCATTAGGAGATATATCTAATGTAAATGACGAGTTAATGGGTGCAGCACACCAACATCGCACATGTATACATAGGTAACAAATCTGCACATTGTGCACATGTACCCTAGATAGAACTTAAAGTATAATAAATATATATATAAAAGGAAAAAAAGAAAAATTAGAGATAGCAAATTAAAAGTTTTTTTAAGTCTGTTGAGAGTTTTTATAAGTGTAATATTATCAATATGTATAATAATTTTATAATTTTAGCACAAATGTATCACTGGCTAAAATAAAGTATGCTTACACTAAAAAAATGCAAAGGTAATTATTTATGGCATATCATAAAACTATGTAAGTTTCAGGGCCTAGTATTAATCTACATTTAATCAGCATGAAAATGTTCCAGTAAATTTTTTTACACTGATCGGATATTTGATGCTAACAAAGATTTATTAATCAAAAATTAATTTTTAGGTATGATAATGCTATTGTAGCCTGGTTTTTTATACAAAGAGTCATTTTCTGAAATACATACTGAAATGTTTATATTTAAACTGGTATGATACCTGGGATTTAAATATATGGGGTGGAGGGAGGTGCTAAGTGGATGTAGATGTGAATAGGGTCTGATTGACCAGGTATTGATTACTATTAGGGTAGGTAATTATCTTCGGATAAATTTGGATCTCTATAATAAAAAGTTTTTTAAAAAAATACTTAATTTGTTTAAGGTCAGCACATACTCTTCATTTATTTTCTATAGATTTACCTAACCAAGAGATGGTCCACTTGTTTAAAGAATCAGTGAGAAGATAATTGAGGCGGAAAGAATGAAACTCCTCCTGTCACTTAGGAAAGGGTCAAAAAGCAATCAATTGAAATAAAAGCATCCACTGCTTCCAGCCCCTCTTGGCCCCATGACAGTCTGAGACATAAGCAAAATACCTGATCAAGCTTTTACAAAGGAAAAGGGACGATTTACACATGAGAATTTTTTTGTAAGTAGTAATAGTCTATGATTAGGTAATGGGCTGCAAAATCTCGAGTTTCTAATCACTAACTTGAATTTATGCTAAAAAAAGATTTTTATTTTTAATTGGCTCCATTCACTACTTTCCTAAAATATGAATAATCTCCAATTCAATATTTCCTATCTCAGAAAACTTAAAATAAAATGCATGTGCCACCTTCAAAAAAAAAAATAAACATAACTCAGTGGAGTGATTTTAGGTGACTCTTCTAAAATGCTGTACTGTGAGGAAGAGAAAATTAGCTATTATTTGGATGGAGATGTGGCATCAAGGAAAGATTCTTTTTTTAACTGGAAGACACTTAACAATATCAAGTTAATAATAATTATTATTCAGAAGAATGAACACTAACATTAGAGAGGAAACTATAATTGAGAGAGAAATGTTAAGGTTATAGGCAAGAGAATATGGAGTTGATTGATTAGGAGAAAGCTTTGGAGAAAGAAGACCTCTTCCTTTCTGATAGGAGGCAATTTGGCAAAGGTGGATGAACGTAATGTTTAAGTGATAGGTAGAGTTCATGGCTCTTATTCAGTTCTGTCCCCAACTCTTTACTGTATTTATTTTGTTCAGCAACCAGAACAGAATGCTATGCTTTGAATCATCACTGAGTGAGAATATCAGGGATTTCTCTCAATAATCAGAAAAAATATGCCCACCAGAAAAAAATAAAAGTATCCTCAATATGTAATGTCTAGATGAGGGAGAGCCTGCATATTTTGAGCAGCACAAATAGCAGCTGATTAGGTCAGTAAATTGTCAAAAATCAGACTTGTGGCCAGCTGGCTTATAGAAGCACATAATGTTCTGGAGAACCCAGGAGTCAAATTGGTACCAGCTGAGGAGAGAGATATTGGGCAGAATGCCAAACTAAATAAAAAAGATATAAGGAAAGGAAAAATTCTGAGTAGAAAATAAAAAATGGAACATACCAAAGAGTTATTTGATAGTTGTTTTTAAAGATACAACTGAAGAGGTTTTCATTTGAAGCCTCAAAGCTCAAAAAGTGTTCTCTCATTACACTCAAGGGAGGAATGGAAGCATTTCAACTGGCTACAGTAGGAACATACCAGGAAACCTCAGACTGTTATGTACATGATTTCCATAAACTGACATTCTGAATTTAGCTCTTTCTTAACTGGATAGTACCAAGAAATGAAATCCAAGATCCATCACTGTAATTAACTTGATTATGCAATGGCAATACTTTCCTCCCCCAAAGTTACAATGGATATTAAATTGTTACTGAACATTGAAAACTTAGAATTGATTATTAAATTGAACAGCAATAGATTAAAGGTATGCTTTTTCATTTGAAAATATACCTCTCTTATAAGATTCTGCACATAGAAATTCATGCCTCTAACATTATTTCCAGATGTACTTCTGGCAAACTTTTAACTTTTTTAGCTAAACCTGCTTTTTAAACCATGTGACTGATTATATATTATAGAATAGAACCATTTTTAAGGCTGAAAGTCAAAATAGGAGATTCTAGTGATTACATATTTAGAGTGATTTCCCATTCCAGAATGATATAGAGTGCAAGAATAATAATGATCCCACACATAGCTTAATTTCTTTATATGCATGCCAAAAAATTTAAGAACTGAATTAATCTTTCTCTGATTTATGTATTCCAAGGGCAATGGGAAACCATTAATGAAATGCTGTGTCTTCCAAAAAGTGATTAACCAGGTACAGAGGAATTGGCAAGTGCTCAAAAAAAGAATCTTATTTAGTGTTTGGGCCAAAACTGTAAATTATTTTCAAATTATTTTCAGCAGACACTTCAATGCTCCAACGAACTAAGAAGAATCCTATTTTTTCAGCTGGAAGATGTTCCTCTTGGCATAATATCAAATCTACAAAAGCTCAAGCAAAAAAAAAATGGGAGAAAGTAAAAACATTTAAAATATTGTAAGTGTGAGGCTCTAATATATAATGGCAGAGTACATTTTTACAAAGAATTAAAATTCTTTTCTTTATTTTTATGTTTCTGAGAACACTATTCAAATTAGTTAATTAGCTAAATATTTGAAGAGCACTTGATTTTGTTTAAGTGAGGCACTAGTACTTATACATTGTAAATGCCTTTTCTACCACTTCTATTTTCCCCTTTCCCTTGTATCTCTATTTTTATAGCTTAAGTTAAAGATAGGTTAAATAAACTGGCATTAATAAATTAATGACACCAGGCTGTAAAATAAATAAATAAATAAAAACTTATGCAATACATTTTGGCATTAAAAGGAAAGCATTTGTAAATCATTTCTTCATATTCTCATTGTTTAAAAAGTATAGATATTAAAGAAAAAAATGCAAAATGAAGAATCGGATAATGAAAAGTAAATAAAACATCTTCCATTATCTCACTACCTAAAGATAACCAACAAAAATATTACTTTTTCTGGCCTGTAACTTGATGACCAGTCTTTAAAAAATTTATACTTTTAGAGTAATATTTAAAATGCAATGTGTATCACAGTATTTTTATAAAAAATATATTAAATTTTGTGTACAGAGAGATATATATTTTAAAAGATATATATATGTATATACCTATGTATGCATATATATACACACATCTCTTTTGAATGACTATGTAACAGTCTGTTGAGTGAATATCGAGATTGATTATAATCTTTCGTTATTATACGTAATATTGATGATTGTTTTATAGTAGAGGCACATTATTTCTAATAGTTGCCACAAATTACTGAAACAAATACTGCTGAACAGCTGTTTTGTGCTAATCACACTGCTGGGACACAGTAACACACAGGTAAATAAGACACAATTCCTGCCTTAAGAAGCGTAAAGCAGTGGAGGAAAGTCCAAAATAAACAGGTAGTTTATGTAAGATTTTGAAAGACTGACACGATAGTGAGCTAAGGCATTCATGATGTCAAGAAACTCAGACTACTGTACAACTAGAGCTGCCTTTATAAAGAATTTTGCACCAGGGAAGAGGTCTGCATCTTGGTGTTCACTTATTATAAGACAAATTTTACCCTAGTGTAAGACCGTGCTTTTTCTATTATCTAAGAATAAGTTGGGTTAGTGTAAATAGGCAGAGGCTCACAGATTCTTGGAAGTATTCGTCAAAATTTTTGAAGGAGTTTCTTCAAAAAAAGAGCTATGCTGGAGAAGTGAGGTTGTACTGCGAGGCATTTAGTCTATGACACTGGGTGGCACCGATGATCCTGTAGGACTATGAACTTTGGGGCATTTTCCTAATTTACCATCTATTAGTAAAATATAATATTTAGGAGAGCAATAATGGCTATTAAGAACCTTGACCTGTAATCCCAGCACTTTGGGAGGCCGAGGCGGGCGGATCACGAGGTCAGGAGATCGAGACCATCCCGGCTAAAACGGTGAAACCCCGTCTCTACTAAAAATACAAAAAAAAATTAGCCGGGCGTAGTGGCGGGCGCCTGTAGTCCCAGCTACTTGGGAGACTGAGGCAGGAGAATGGCGTGAACCCGGGAGGTGGAGCTTGCAGTGAGCCGAGATCCCGCCACTGCACTCCAGCCTGGGCGACAGAGCGAGACTCCGTCTCAAAAAAAAAAAAAAAAAAAAGAACCTTGAACAAGTCCTGGTGCAAAAATATTTAATAAATATATGCTGATTCAGTATGAAAAAAATCAGTCTCTTTTCAAATAAGCCATTTCAGACATTCAACCTCTGGGGTTTTGACTTCTATCTGTCTTTCAGTATTGCATAGAGGACATACATTATAATGGTTTAAATATAACGATACTACAAATACAGGAACTTACATGAGTGAAGGAACAGAAAGTAAGTAAAAGTGTGTTTAAATAGACTGGTATCTTTCTGACTGGCTCCAAGCTTAGTATATTGTGTAGGATTCTATTTGTAAGTCTTCCCCCAAATTCCCAGAATAGCAGGGTAGCCAAATGAATGATGATTCCAGGTGGTCTGCCCATTCTCCTAAAAGGCTGCTGCCTTTGCACAGTGGCTGTCCTTTTCTTTCCTGAGTCCCCTTCACGTTGCTATTAAAAGGACCACAAATTTTCATAAGGATTTAGGATAACAAAGAATTAAGTTATCAGTTAAACAGAATGCTGGGTGACTAGAATACTTACCTGAGGGAAAATTCTGGGGATCAGAATTTTCAGCTAATTTTTGTATTTTTAGTAGAGATGGGGTTTCACCATGTTGGCCAGGCTTGTCTCAAACTTCTGACCTCAGATGATCCACCTGCCTCAGCCTCCCAGAGTGCTGGGATTACAGGCATAAGCCACCGTGCCAGGCCAAAATAACAATTTTTTAAAGACTTCCTTGTCTCCCATCTAGAAATAATTCCCTATTTCATGTTCTAAAAGGTACCTCTATCAAAATATTTTTGTCATTTTGTTATAATTATTTGTCTGATGCCCTAGTTGGAGCACAGGTTCTGCAAGAACAAATACCTATAGAAAGTCACTGAATGAAAATAGTACAACAGCCTGCAAGCCTAAAATGTGATGCTTTGAATATGTATTGCTATGTTAATAACTCTAGACTTCAATTTGCTCATATCCTGGGCAAGAAGAGCAAAGCTGGAGGCATCATGCTCCCTGACTTTAAACTATACTACAAGGCTACAGTAACCAAAACAGCATGGTACTGGTACCAAAACAGATATATAGACCAATGGAGCAGAACAGAGGCCTCAGAAATAACACCACACATCTACAACCATCTGATCTTTGACAAAGCTGACAAAAACAAGAAATGGGGAAAGGATTCCCTATTTAATAAATGGTGTTGGGAAAACTGGCTAGCCATATGCAGAAAACTGAAACTGGACCCCTTCCTTACACCTTATACAAATATCAACTCAAGATGGATCAAAGACTTAAACTTAAGACGTAGGACCATAAAAATCCTAGAAGAAAACCTTGGCAATACCATTCAAGACATCGGCATGGGCAAAGACTTCATGTCTAAAACACTAAAAGCAATGACAACAAGAGCCCAAATTCACAAATGGAATCTAATTAAACCAAATAACTTCTGCACAGCAAAAGAAACTATCATCAGCATGAACAGGCAACATAAAGAATGGGAGACAATTTTTGCAATCTATCCATCTGACAAAGGGCTAATATCCAGAATCTACAAAGAACTTAAACAAATTTACAAGAAAAAAAATCAAAAAGTGGGCAAAGGATATGAACAGACTCTCCTCAAAAGAAGACATTTATGCAGCCAACAGCCATATGAAAAAATGCTCATCATCACTGGTCACTAGAGAAATGCAAATCAAAATCACAATGAGATACCATCTCACACCAGTTAGAATGACGATCATTAAAGAGTCAGGAAACAACAGATGCTGGAGAGGATGTGGAGAAATAGGGATGTTTTTTCACTGTTAGTGGGAGTGAAAATTAGTTCAACCATTGTGGAAGACAGTGTGGTGATTCCTCAAGGATCTAGAACTAGAAATACCATTTGACCCAGCCATCCCATTACTGGGTATATACTCAAAGGATTATAAATCATTCTACTATAAAGACACATGCACGCATATGTTTATTGCAGCACTATTCACAGGAGCAAAGTCTTGGAATCAACTCAAATATCCATCAATAATAGACTGGATAAAGAAAATGTGGCACATATGCACCATGGAATATTATGCAGCCATAATAAAGGATGCGTTCATGTCCTTTGCAGGGACATGGATGAATCTGAAAACCATCATTCTCAGCAAACCACCACAAGAACAGAAAACTGACCACTGCATGTTCTCACTTATAAGTAGGAGTTGCACAATGAGAACATGTGGACATAGGGAGGGGAACATCACACACTGGGGCCTGTCGGGGGGTGGGGGTTAGGGGAGGGATAACATTAAGAGAAATACCTAATGTAGGTGATGGGTTGATGGGTGCAGCAAACCACTATGGCATGTATATACCTATGCAGCAAAACTGCATGTTCTGCACATGTACCCCAGAACTTAAAGTATAATTAAAAAATAATAAAATAAAAAAGGTATATTTCAACTCTACTATTTTATATATACATAATGTATCTCTCTTCAGTTAAAACAAGTCACCCATTACTTTGAATTAGCAGAAGTCATGCTACCAGTTAATATCTGATAAACCTTTACATTATATTTGAAATAGGAAAAGATGTTATTTTTCTTTTCTTTGATGTTGACTCTAGTTGTAAAGCATTGCTTTTATTGCATTCTGCTTAAACTTTACTTTTTAGTTTTGTTATTTTTCTAGGTAAATTTCTTAATTTATATTAAAATATTACCAGATATTTTCATTTACTATCATTAATTATCCTGCAGCTACTACTCTCCTTTGAATGGAATTAAGTTACATTATTTAAGGCTTGGAAAATGTTATTGTTCTCAAGGTTCTACTTCCTTACCTTGGTTCCAAAGAAATCTTTTCCAGTTTTCCAAACACCTTTGTATATATGGAAGCTAGAAGAGCTTGTCTTTAAGGATTTTTGTTTGGCCTGACACTTTACTCAAAATTTTTCTGAAAACTCATTTTCATGATGTTGCCTTAAGTTCTGCAAGTCTAAACCTTAAAGAAAGCAAATGCAGCTAAAAGCAACTATATTTGTAGAAGAACATTGAGCTATTTAAGAGGTTGACCTATTGGATATATGTAAAATGCCATAGCAGTTGGTGATACTTAAGTAAGGCAATAATAGTAAATTAGAGCAGTTAGACTTATATATAATTTGGGGAAATTAGTAACTGATTATTACTAAATAAAATCCATGAAAAACAAGCTTGATTATATTTTCCTCCAGGAGCAAAACAGGATATATTTTAAAATACCATGGAAATTTCAGCAGGGGTGCCATGAAACTGATGAATTTGGCCTGGCACAATGGCTCATGCCTGTAATCCCGGCACTTTGGGAGGTCAGGAGGTTGAGATCAGCTTAGCCAACATGGGGAAACCCGTCTCTACTAAAAATAAAAAAAAATAAAAAAAATTAAAAAAAAAAAATTAGCCGGGTGTGGTGGCGCTTGCTTGTAGTCCCAGCTACTCTGGAGGCTGAGGCAGGGGAATCCGGGAGGGAGAGGTTGCAGTGAGCCAAGATCATGCCAGTCTGGGGGACAGAGCGAGACTTGGTCTCAAAAAAAAAAAAAAAAAAAGAGAGAGAGAAAGAAAGAAAAGAAAGAATCTGAGGAATTTTTATTATCGTCATATAAAAGGAATTAGTTCTAAGCAATTTTGCCAAGATATGTTGACAACATGGCTAGTGGATAAAATTAATTAAAAAATAAAAGTTAAAACAAGTAATAAATAGATAATAAATAATCTATTATGAATAATTCACATATTCTCTCCCTTTAAAGAGAAAAAAGAGAGAGACTGCTTTGAAAATGTTAAATACTAAAATTATTTTTTCTAGGCTTCTGACATTTTGCTGTGTATCCACTCCCTAATTTTTTTTTAATTTTTTTTTTTTTTTTTTTTTTTTTTTTTTTTGAGACGGAGTCTCGCTCTGTCGCCCAGGCTGGAGTGCAGTGGCGGGATCTCGGCTCACTGCAAGCTCCGCCTCCCGGGTTCACGCCATTCTCCTGCCTCAGCCTCCCAAGTAGCTGGGACTACAGGCGCCCACCACTACGCCCGGCTAATTTTTTGTATTTTTAGTAGAGACGGGGTTTCACCGTTTTAGCCGGGATGGTCTCGATCTCCTGACCTCGTGATCCGCCCGCCTCGGCCTCCCAAAGTGCTGGGATTACAGGCGTGAGCCACCGCGCCCGGCCTAATTTTTTAAATATTAAATTATTTTCCAGTGGAAGGACATTAAACAGCACAACATTTTCACACGTCCTAGAATGTTTTTATTTTAGTGTAAACCTTAACAACTTATTCCTTAATATGTACTTTGAACTTAATGCCTCTGGAAATATTCTTCTTTAAGAATAATTAAACATAGTTTTATAAATTTCTGGATTAAAATTAAGCCAGTAATTTCATATGCTAGAGATACATAGTAATCTCTTCTGAAAGGTGGAGCAAATATAGAAATGAAATAAGAAAATTCAGTGCTATTTTTGAACAAGCTGAAACCTTTTAACATTTATTTGCTGCATGAAGATAGTCAAGTTAATCCCTTTGAACTTCTATTTTCCCATCTTGATATAGGAAATACAACTATAATTACTCCCTAGGGTTCTTGTGAAGATTAAATGAATTAATTCTAACATTTTTCCTAGTCAAGATGTATTTGAGTATCGAGAGAAGCTTATGAGTTTTGGAGGTAAAAGGAGAGGGGCCTCAGAATCAGGGGCTATTCTCCTAGTTTTTGTTAGTTCTTGTTCTATCTTCTGCATTCTCATTGGCTTAGTGGTTACCGACTGTCTTTCTAGCATCTGATGTTGAAATCTGAGTTTGTGAAATTATGTTCTGTGAAGAAGAAACACTTAGCAGTAAACTTGGCCTTACCTTGGGTTTTGCTTGTGTGGCAGGTACTCTGAATTCAGTTTTATTTTCTATTGGCTTAGCTGTTTCTATTGTAAGGTAATCTTGTCTGTCAATATAGAGGCTCCATGGTGGACCAATTGTCTCTCAACTCTCAGACATCTCTGTGTTTTACAGTGGGACTCATGAGGAATTCTGGATTGCTGCTATGTCATGCACAATTAGTGGAGAACTAAGGTGTGGAATATCGTCTTTCTCATGCCCTACAAAAAACTCAATGAAGAAAGGTAAGTGAAATATTTTATATATACATAATATATAAATGTACAATAACAGTATATTTACTGTATATGAACAGTAAGTTAAATATATATAAAATATGTATTTATATATAAATATACATTGTGTATATATATTACATCATGTATAAATTATATCATATATTACATATATATTTAGGATGTAATTTATATAGATGTGTGTGTGCATGGCAGCTAATTATATATATATGCTTGGCAGCTAGTAATTAATTTAACCATCATGACGAAGTGAAGAAAGCTCTCTAATTGATATTTTTCATTAGAAACCAAGTTTAAGAAATAGTTGAAATTGATTGAATCTGTAGCCAAAATAGATTGATATAAAAATAACAAGACACAGCCTATTGAATCTACATTTAGTTTCATTATTAGTCCACATCCTTTTTTTCAGGTTTATTACTTTAGGATTAGTCATTGTATTCTCCAAATGCTCTAAATTATTTTAAGTGCTAATAAGTGTGAGAGACTTAACCATAAAATCTTCTCTACCTCACTTTTTTCCATAACGGTAAAATAAACTAAAAGCCTTGGGCAGTATTAAACATTTGTTAAATGAACACTTTGTCCAATGAATATTAGGATTTCCCTGAGTCTTGCTCAACACTTACATAGTATTGCAGGCTGAAAGATTTGTTTCCCCCAAAATTCACATGTTGAAACCCTAAACCTCAATGTAACTATAATTGGAGACTGGGCCTTTACAGAAGTAATTAAGATTAAGTGAGGTCATGACAGTGGGTCACTGACCCAATAGTATTAGTGTCGTAAAAAGAGACACCAGAGAGCTTGCCCTCTCTCTCTCTCTCTCTCTTTGTGAGCACAGAGGAAAGGCTTTGTGAGGACAACCAGAAGATGGCTATTTGTAAGCCAGGAAAATTATAGGCAACTGTAAGGTTGTCTATCATACACAAAGATTCACACTTGAAAAATGTTATTGCAGGTGGTTGATCATAGATATACCTAAACTCTTTCTGTACTTTATCTATTAGTTAACAGTTTTTTCTTTCTAGTCCTCATCCTTAAATTGTCCCAGGCTAAAACATACCTTAGGATTGTACGGATATTTCTGCTGGGCCCAGTGGCTCATGCCACAATCCCAGCCAGGCTGAGGCTGGAGGATCACTTGAGCCTAGCAGTTCAAGACTAGCCTGGGCAACATAGTGAGACCTGATCTCTACAAAAGGTTAAAACAAATTAGCTGGGTGTGGTGGCTTGCTCCTGTAGTTCTAGCTACTCGGGAGGCTAAGATGGGAGAATTGCTTGAGCCTGGCAGGTCAAGTGTGCAGTGAATCATGACGGCATCGCTGCACTCCTGCCTGGGCAACAGAGTGAGACCCGGTCAAAAAAACAAGAACAAAAACAAAATAAAACAAACAAGACAAAAAAACTTGTGTGGGTATTTTAATTGTCTTTACCATTATTAAGGAAAACAATCTGATCAGATAGTGGCAGGAAGTTGTGAAAGATTTAACACATTAGATTATACAGTGTTATTTGCACTTTATTTGACCTGCCTGAAAGAAGTAATGTTTACTCCAATAGCATACATTTTTATTGCAGAATTTCAACAATGTGGCCAGTAAGTAGTTCCTGCCTACCCCATATGTGTGCAAGTCCTAACCCAATAACATATTACAAAATGAACAAATTCATGACCTCAATCACAATTCTTGGCATTATTTTTTTAAAAAAGAAAGTGGTCTGGGAGAGACACAAGACATAAAATTTGCCCTAGTTTTTGAAGGTGTGGTAAAATAAGGCTAATCAGAGAAAAAAATAAAAGAAATCAAAGGCACCCAAGAATGAATGAGCAAGAAAAGTCTGCGGGTAGTCTTCAAGAATAATTTTAATAAGAAATATTAATTTCAGCAATACCTGTTGTCATACCTGGTTTTTCCCTAGAATGGTCATACCTGGTTTTCTCCCAGAATTTTCATAACTTTTTACTTAAAAAGGAGATACTTCTTTCTGGTAACTTTGTTAAAGTCTACTCCCTGCTCAAGGTGTGTGCTCAGAGTCAATCTGAATACTCACATTTGAACACTATCACTTTCATTTCCAAATACAGCATTTGATTCACTGGAATAAAACTAAGAACTTGGATTTTGAATATGGAAAACAAATTGCTGATCATGTTCTTAATTGAGTGTGTGACGGTCATGTACCTGAAAACCTATCAACTCAACAGAGAAGAAAAACAATGTCTGATGCTCTCATCTTCCTTTGAAACCCATTGCTTTGAAACCTAATGTTTTTTGCTCAGATCAGTGCACTCTAATTAGCTTCTGGAAATCCTTGAATTTGTATTTTATTAAAAAGGATACTCCAATTATATGTATAAAAGTTAAATCCAATATTTTAACAGTGTCATTTCTAATATCTTCATCTCTCTATTTGTAGTTGCCTATTCTTATTTTTTGAGATAGTAATATGTATCTCAAATGTGAAACTTAAAAAAATAGTTTTTCCAAATATTCCTTATAATACTCCTTTTTCCATCAGGGTTTAAATGTCCTCTATCCTGGCCTTTCAATTTCATGCTTTTAGTTTTGTCGAGATTCTCTTAATCCTTAGTTGATTATTCACATTTTTACCTAACGAATGAATGATGTTGCTCAGAATAGGACATTTTTATGTTTCCTGTGTAGTTGTACCTTTCACTGACTTCTTGCTTATTGGCTTTCTTCCCACTTCTTGTATGCATTGATCCCATTCTTGCTCCAGAGATGTTGCTCTAGCAGTTCCCTTTGACTGGAAAGTAATTCCTCTGCATGGCTCTCCTCTTTCCTTTAGGTTTCTGTTCAATGTCACCTCCTCAAGAGGCTTTTCCTGACCTCACTGTTTGTCACTACAACACTATTTCATCTGTAGGCCCTCTCTCCTGCCTTATTTTTATTTCTTTCACTTGGCTATATGTAATTAGAATATATCATTGGCTATATTTGTTCAAGGCAATTTCCCTACTAGGATGTAAAAGTTAAGGTCCTTGAGGGCAGAAACATTGCATTATCCACTACCATATTTCAAGTATCTAGAAATCTGATATGGTAGACACTTAACAAATATTTGTTTATTGAATAAGTTACAAATACATGTCCCTCGCCAAACACATACACACACACACACACACACACACACACACACACACACACTGAATGAGAACACTGAACTCTGAGCTTTTTGTAAATATGAGTATTATTAATAGGCAAGACTTTCTTTCCGGCCTTGTTTAGGGAAAGGGCATACTAGCTCAAGGTCACACTTATTTGAAAGTAAGGATTAAGGAGGGCATTGTTAGAATTCTCCTATCTCTTTCCTTCTTTCAGGACCCTTTGTGGTGGTTTAGAATTACCTCAAAATCTGCATTTCCTTGTATCTGTCCCTTTCCCTAGAGACAGGAAAATCTTCGAAAGAAAGGGATTGTCTTATTTGTTTTGTAAACAACTGTATTAGTCAGGGTTCACAGGGACAGAACTAACGGAATACACACACACACACACACACACACACATATATATAAAGGGGAGTTTATTAAGTTTTAACTCACAGATCACAAGGTCCCACAACAGGCCATATGCAGGCTGAGGAAGAAGGAGAGCCAGTTTGAGTTCCAAAGCTGAAGAACTTGGAGTCTGATGTTCAAGGGCAGGAAGGATCCAGCGTGGAAGAAAGATGTAGGCTGGAAGGCTAGGCCAGTCTCTGTTTTCACATTTTTCTGCCTGCTTACATTCTAGCCGGGCTGGCAGCTGATTAGATTGTGCCCACCCATATTAAGGGTGCATCTGCCTTTTCCAGCCCACTGACTCAAATGTTAATCTCCTTTGGCAACACCCTCACAGACACACCCAGGATCAATACTTTATATCGTTTAATACAATCAAGTTGACACTCAGTATTAACCATCACAAATCCAACCTTGTCAACTTGAACCCATACACATCTCCTGAGATCATACATAATCTTTAAATAAAGACAATAATAAGGTCATAATTATGTCTAACGTAATACAACTCTCCTTCCTACCACTGGGAACATGTCAATCCCCAACCCAAATACTGTTACATAAAGTTAACAATACTTAAACGCTGATATGAACTCAATAAATCTTACATCACATGAAAAAGGAGAAAGGATATAAAATGAAGATATTTTCTCAGTACAAGTGTATACATGCGCAAGCATGTTTTTAACAAAAGAAGGAGGAAATATTCATGACGATTACAGTCCTCGTTTCTGCAGCTGATCATGTGGTCATAGCCAACATCGATGATTACTTTCTACTACCCATTCTGTATTCCGTTTTCCTTTGGCAAGCACCTCAGTAGGTCGTGGGTTTTTTTCCTGGTGGGGTAACCCAAACCTTCATTACTGAATGGTCTGGGCCATTTGTAGTTCTGCCTGGATTGGGGGGTTGTAATTTCCCATTGAGGGAGATTGTCCAGGTCAATTGCCCCAGTCAACACTGTAACTCCCTTCTTAGCCTGTTGACTTAAAGGTAGGAGGAGCCTAAAGTGTCCAGGTGACAATCTTACCTTCTAGTTTAATGGAATCCTTGTTGTGTCTGTTGGTGGCAGCGTTCCTCCCTCTGGAACTAAGACATTTAGGCCAACAGAATGTAATGTCGCGGGAACAGAAAGCAAAAATTTTGCTAGTTGATCACTAGGGATGATGGTGAGTGGTGCCACTTTCACTTTCACCCCTTGATTCTTGGACCCATGAACCCTGGCTATAGGAGAAACAGTATCACATAGTGGACGCTGATTCAGAACATACATGGCCTTCTGGAGAAATTTGCCCCAGCCCTGCAAAGTATTGCCATCTGGTTGGTGTTGTAATTGTGACTTCAAAAGGCCATTCCACCATTCTATCAATCCAGCTGCTTCAGGATGCTGGGGAACATGGTAAGACCAATGGATTCCATGAGCATGAGCCCATTGCTCCACTTCTTTAGCCACAAAGTGAGTGCCTTGGTCAGAGGCAATGCTGTGTGGAATACCATGACAGTGAGTAAGGCATTCCGTGAATCCTTGGATAGCAGTCTTGGCAGAAGCATTGCATGCAGGATAGGCAAACCCATATAAGTTGTAAGTGTCTATTCCAGTGAGGACAAACCTCTGCTCTTTCCATGATGGAAGAGGTCCAATATGATAAATCTGCCACCAGGTAGTTGGCTGATCTCCCCGAGGAATGGTACCATATCAAGGGCTCAGTGTTGGTCTTTGCTGCTGACAAATTAGGCACTCAGCAGCGGCCATAGCTAGGTCAGCCTTGGTGAGTGGAAGTCCACGTTGCTGAGCCCATGCATAACTTCCATCCCTGCCACCATGGCCACTGTGTTCATGGGTCTATTGGGCGATGACAGGGGTGGCTGGGGAAAGAGCTGAGTGATGTCCACAGAACAGGTCATTCCATCCACTTGATTATTAAAATCCTCTTCTGCTGAGGTCACCCATTCATGAGCACTCACATGGGATACAAATATCTTCACAGTTTTTGACCACTCAGAGAGGTCCATCCACATGCCTCTTCCTCAAATTTCTTTGTCACCAATTTTCCAATCATGCTTCTTCCAAGTCCCAGAACATCCAGCCAAACCATTG
Source organism: Homo sapiens (assembly GCF_000001405.40). Taxonomy (NCBI): domain Eukaryota; kingdom Metazoa; phylum Chordata; class Mammalia; order Primates; family Hominidae; genus Homo; species Homo sapiens. The sequence goes on along the minus strand of NC_000001.11, from coordinate 103,271,052 downwards.
GCTATAGCCCATTAATCAGTATATAATCACACATCTGGCCATTTCTCCTTCCAGGCAAAGTGCACAACCAGGTGCACTTCTTGAAGTTCTGCCCACTGGAAAGATTTCCCTTCATCACTATCATTCAGACCTATCTTAGAAAAGGGCTGTAGTGCTGCAGCTGTCCACTACCAGGTGGTGTCTGAATATCATGCAGAATCATCTGTGAACCAGGCCCTAGTTTTCTCTTTCCCTGTCAATTGATCATAGGGAACCCCCCCAATGAGGCCACTGGTGCAGGCTGGGGTTGGGGAGAGAAGACAGGTTGGCAGGAAAGGAGACCATGGACATTTGAACCACTTCCTCATGTAACTTACTTGTTCCTTCAGGACCTACTCGAACCTGATCACGTATATACCACTTCCATTTGATGATGGAATGCTGCTGTGCATGACCCACTTTATGGCTAGATAGGTGAGAAAGCTCCCAGTTCATGATAGGCAATTCAGGTTGCATGGTGACTGGATGACCCATAGCATAGTCAAACGTTCAGTTTCCACCAAAGCTGAGTAGAAGGCCAAGAGCTGTCTCTCAAAAGGGGAGTAGTTATAGGCAGAAGATGGCAGGGCCCTGTTCCAAAATCCTAGAGGTCAAAATCCTGTGGGGGCCTGCAAAAGGCTCCAAACAGCATCCATATCTATCACCTGACACCTCAAACACCATTGGATCTGCTGGGTCATATGGCCCAAGTGGCAGAGCAGCTTCAACAGCAGCCTGGATCTGTTGCAGAGCCTTCTCCTATTCTGGACCCCACTCAAAACTGGGAACCTTTTGGGTCACTTAATAAATGGACTGGAGTAACACACACAAATGAGGAATGAGTTGCTTCCAAAATCCAAATAGGCCCACTAGGTGTTGTTCCTCTTTCTTGGTGGTAGGAGGGGCCAAATGCGGCAACTTATTCTTAACCTTAGAAGGAATATCTCAACAGTCCCCACACCAGTGGACCCCTAGAAATTTTACTGAGGTAGAAGGTCCCTGAATTTTAGTCAGATTTATTTCCCATCCTCTGGTATGCAAATGTCTCACCAATAAGTCCAGTGTGTTTGCTACTTCTTGCTCACTGGATCCAATCAGCATAATGTCATCAATGTAATGGACCAGTGTGATATCTTACGGAAGTGAAAAGTGATCGAGGTCTCTCCAAATAAGATTATGACACAAAGCCAGAGAGTTGATATACCCCTGAGGTAGGACAGTAAAGGTATATTGCTGGCCTTGTGAGCTGAAGGCAAATTGCTTCTGGCGGGCCTTATGGACAGGAATGGAGAAAAAATCATTTGCCAAGTATATGGCTGCACACCAGGTACCAGGAGATGTGTTAATTTGCTCAAGCAATGAGGCCACATCTGGTTTAGCAGCTGCAATTGGAGTAACCACTTGATTAAGCTTATGATAATCCATTGTCATTCTCCAAGATCTATCTGTCTTCTGCACAGGCCAAATGGGAGAGTTGAACAGGGAAGTGGCTTGAATCACCACCCCTGTCTTTCAAGTCCTTGATGGTGACACTAATCTCTGCAATCCCTCCAGGGATGTGATATTGTTTTTGGTTTACCATTTTTCTAGGTAGAGGCAGCCCTATGGGCTTCCATTTGGCCTTTTCAACCATAATAGCCCTCATCATTCCAGTTGGGGAGCCAATGTGGGTGTTCTGCCAGCTACTGATTTTATCTACGCCAATTATGCATTCTGGCACTGAGGAAATGATCACAGGATGAGTCCGGGGACCCACTGGACCCACTGTAAGTCAGACCTGAGCTAAAACTCCGTTAATTACCTGACCTCCATAAGCCCCTACTTTAACCACAATGATGTTTTGGGTCTTCTGGAATCAACGTCAGCTCAGAGCCAGTGTCCAGTATCCCCAATATGTCTGATCATTTCCCTTTCCCCATTGCATAGTTAACCCTGGTAAAAGGCCGAGAGCTTCTTGGGGAAGGTTGGGAGAAAGATTCACTGCATAAATTGTCTGTAATATAGTGAGGTCCTTCCTCAAGGAGACCTGGGCTCCCCTTCATTCAAGGGGTTCTGTGTCTGTAAACTGGCTCAAGTCTGGAAATTGATTGAGGGGCTGTGATTCTCTGGTTTTATAATTCAAATTAGCCTTTGTCCATACAACCTAGAAGTTTTCTGCTTATATAAATTAATTAGGAATGCAGTAGACTTCTTATAAATTTCACTTCTAGGAACACCATGATTAGCCAATGCCAGAGCTCTACAAGAGTCAGACTATTCTGATTGCTGCTTTACCTCTGCTGTCCATTACAGTAGCTATACCACCTTGCCTTTGATGGTTGATTGCCGCCACTTGGCACTTGCCACGAAAGGATCCAATTATTCCCATTGTATTTAAATTTTGTAGTTGAGTGACTATTGTTGTATCTGACATACAGAAAAGAGCAATTACAGGGCTCTTCAGAGATGCAGGTGCTGCCCCCACAAATCTATTTTGCAAGGCATTGGTCAAGGATATACCTTCTGGACCCTCCCAGCTGGGATGAGTAGGTCTAAAGTGACTAATCCACTCCACCCTCCCAATCTCCGTAAGCCTCTGAATCTCTTCCTCTACATTAAACCAAGGGAGATCACGCATTTCCAGCTCACTCACAGTGAGCCATCTTTTAATCCGTATTTCAGCTAACCAAGCAAATAAACTATTAGAACCTTTTTTTAACTCCCCGAGCTTCAACATTAAATGCAGAGTCGCTACTTAGTGGGCCCAAATCAATAAATTCAGACTGATCCAACTCTATGTTCCTTCCACCATTATCCCACACCCTTAATATCCATTCCCATGCTTGTTCTCCAGATTTTTGTTTATGTGAATTAGGAAATTCAAGCAGTTCCTTTTGAGTGCAGAACACCTCCTCATGGGTCACACTCTCAACCTCACCACTAGGGGCTCACTGGGACTTTAGCCTAGTTATAGGTCTAGAAGCAAATAGGGGTGTTGGGGGTGGCTCCTGAGAAGAATCAACATTATCATGCCTGGCAACTGCCTCAGCAGAAGCCATCACTGTTATCTCAGGTAGTGCAGGGTCTAACTCCTCTGGCAAAGGTGGAAAGGCTGATGGCAGCGTGGGTCAGGGAGGGGATGTTGCCACTACTGGGGATGGGGAAGCTGTTTCTTCTGGCAAAAAAGGTTTATCAGAGTTTACAAATTCAGTGTCCCCAGCTTCATCAGGGTCCTCCCACACATCCCCAGTCCAAGTTGCAGGGTCCCATTCTTTTCCAATCAATGCCCTCACTTTAACAGTAGATACCTGGTAAGGTTGTGCATGTACCTTTTGTTGCAGGTCAGCCACTCACATGATAAGAGCTTGTGTCTGTTTTTCCACAATTTCAGCTCTTTCTCTACAGGAGATAAGATTCTCACTCAGAGCAATCTGAGCAGATTTGAGGCTCAGTATCTGCTTCTGCAGCAGGGAGAAAAAAATCCCTGAGTTCATCATTATCTTTCATCATTTTGTGCACTGAACTTAGGAGCAAACAACCAGCTTCATTATGTTCCTTGTTTCTCCACATATGGTCAAAGGTATTACGTGTAGACTCACTGATCTCCTTGCTTCTCATGAGCAATGACTCAGGAGTCAAATGCATTTATTTTCCATAATGCTTTAAACAGTTCACACCAAGGACTATCAGTGTTCTCCATACTATTAGAAGTAGAATCCTTAGCATTTTTCAGTCTAATCCTATTAAACAGCCAACTCCAGAAACCCCAAAACAAACTAAAGAACTTCATCCTTAATATTCCGTTCCTCTGAAACCACTCCCAGTACCAAAATATCTGTATTAGTCAGGGTTCTCTAGAGGGAAAGAACTAATGGAATATATATATATATAAATATATATATATTTTATATTAAGTTTATTAAGTATTAACTCACACGATCAATCACAAGGTTCCACAATAGGTCTTCTGCAGACCGAGGAGCAAGGAGAACCAGTTTGAGTTCCAAAAACTGAAGAATTTAGAGTCAAACATTCGAAGGCAGGAAACATCCAGCACAGGAGAAAGATGTAGGCTGGGAGGCTAGGCCAGTCTCTCTTTTCACGTTTTTCTATCTGCTTATATTCTAGCTGTGCTGGAAGCTGATTATTGTGCCCACCCATAGTAAGGGTGGGTCTGCCTTTCCCAGCCCCACTGACTCAAATGTTAATGTTTGCCAAAACCCTGACAGACACACCCAGCATCAATACTTTGTATCTTTCAATCCAATCAAGTTGACACTCGTTACTAACCATCACAACCCTTTAGTTAATTATCCTAAATAAGGAAACAATACTCCTTTCTTTTATCCACACCAGCCAGCTCTGTGAATTCCCCTCCTGATCTTCAAGAGAGAGGGATTCCCATGCAGCCTTCTCCTGGCTATGCTTTGAGAAAAAAAATAGTATAATAAAAAGAATGATTCTCAATAACTGTTGTTTCAGTGTAGATGTATTAGCATTTTAAAGGGCTTTAGGGAGGGAGGGAAAAATATTTATGTCAATTATACCATCTTGTTCTTGAAATAATAATTCAATGAGGAGACTCTTGAGAACTTATTTTAATATAATTTTTCCTATGAATAATCCATACTATTTCAGAGTACTAAATTAATAGCATTATTGAGGTTTCTTTACTTTATGTATTATTTTTTCAATTCTTCCCATATAAGGTTACCAAAACATGGAATGCAGGAAAAATGCAAGTTAACCTCAAAAATGAAATTGTATCTTGTATAAAAAAGGAAACATTCAGCCAAAGGAGAATGAAAGCAAGCAGTACTCAGAGCTCTTAAACATCTCCAGAATTCTGCCTCTCCCCAGTAAGCCAAACCCCAACAAGCACATTTCTGAGGTATAAAAACCTTCCAAAGCTCTTTATATACCCCATCCATAAAGCCTAGGAAACTTCTCTGTAGTCATAAGTGTGATAAAATTATGAACCATTCTATCAAGCAGAGGGAAACAGTATATTTTGTCTCATCTACTCCATGTTGAAAAATGCTATTTTCCTTTCTTTAATGATGTAATTAATCCTACAAATTTAATAGTTCAACATTAAGTGGACTAAATTGTTCAAATCCCCTTTGTTTACTTCTATTTCTGGTAAAGCTTTCTTCTCTCCACTGGAATGCTGCAGTCATTGAGGAAGTCAGGCTAAGTGCAAGTGTGGAAAGACAAAGTACCAACAAACAAAAATTCCAGTGATTATCCTAGATAAAGGAGTGCCCACATACCAAAGCCTTCCTTCCAATAAAGGGACAGAAGAGTGTAGCCACTTTTCAAGTCCACCATACAATAGGACCCACTCCCCTGGGGGTGGGTTTCAAATGACCCAACCCTTGTGGGTGGATGATGAGTAATGTGGCATTTGCCTTATTTTTTGGCTTCTGCTCAAATGTAGGTGGTGTTCAGTTGATATGTTCTGTGATAGGCTCCTTTTAAAAGTCTCTTTTCTGCCTTATAATTTTATTTTCCTCCTAGGAGAAAATAAAGCTGGAAAGACATCAACATTTAAGATGTCAGGAGGTAACAGCTGGAAAGTCAGTCACATAATTCTTACTGGCAATAAGCAGCAAAATGTTACAATAAGCAGCAAAATGTCTGTTTTTAGTCTTCTTCAATACTATCTTCATAATTCAAAAAGAAGATAAGAAATGGCATAGAGGACTACATGTTATTAAAAAAGTTGACATATTTTTATTACATCACCAGAACTTAAGAACCTTCAACCCAAAACTAATGTCAGACATAAGCTGGACTAGATGGATTAGAACTAAGTAGTGGGCAGTGTAATACCGTTCACCAAATTAGGAAGATAGAAGGTAAATGGGATGAGTGCCTCCAAGAGCAAGATATTTTCACTCTGAAACCAAATGACCAAATCATTCAAACACACCTCAAATTGCAGGGTTTTTTTTTCTATACTTTAAGTTTTAGGGTACATGTGCACAACGTGCAGGTTTGTTACATATGTATACATGTGCCATGTTGGTGTGCTGCACCCATTAACTCGTCATTAAACATTAGGTATATCTCCTAATGCTATCCCTCCCCCCTGCCCCCACCCCACAACAGGCCCCAGTGTGTGATGTTCCCCTTTCTGTGTCCAAGTGTTCTCATTGTTCAATTCCCACCTATGAGTGAGAACATGCGGTGTTTGGTTTTCTGTTCTTGCCATAGTTTACTGAGAATGATGGTTTCCAACTTCATCCATGTCCCTACAAAGGACATGAACTCATCATCTTTTATTGCTGCATAGTATTCCTGGTGTATATGTGCCACTCTTTCTTAATCCAGTCTATCATTGATGGATATTTGGGTTGGATCCAAGTCTTTGCTATTGTGAATAGTGCCACAATAAACATACGTGTGCATGTGTCTTTATAGCAGCATGATTTATAATCCTTTGGATATATACCCAGTAATGGGATGGCTGGGTCAAATTGTATTTCTAGTTCTAGATCCTTGAGGAATCGCCACACTGTCTTCCACAATGGTTGAACTAGTTTAGAGTCCCACCAACCCTGTAGAAGTGTTCCTATTTCTCCACATCCTCTCCAGCACCTGTTGTTTCCTGACTTTTTAATGATCGCCATTCTAACTGGTATGAAATGGTATCTCACTGTGGTTTTGATTTGCATTTCTCTGATGGCCAGTGATGATGAGCATTTTTTCATATGTCTGTGGGCTTCATATCCTTTGCCCACATGTTGATGGGGTTGTTTGTTTTTTTCTTATAAATTTGTTTGAGTTCTTTGTAGATTCTGGATATTAGCCCTTTGTCAGATGAGTAGATTGCAAAAATTTTCTCCCATTCTGTAGGTTTCCTGTTCACTCTGATGGTAGTTTCTTTTGCTGTGCAGTAGCTCTTTAGTTTAATTAGATCCTATTTGTCAATTTTGGCTTTTGTTGCCATTGCTTTTGGTGTTTTAGACATGAAGTCCTTGCCCATGCCTATGTCCTGAATGGTATTGCCTAGGTTTTCTTCTAGGGTTTTTGTTGTTTTAGGTCTAACATTTAGGTCTTTCATCCATCTTGAATTAATTTTTGTATAAGGTGTAAGGAAGGGATCCAGTTTCAGCTTTCTACATATGGCTAGCCAGTTTTCCCAGCACCATTTGTTAAATAGGGAATCCTTTCCCCATTTCTTGTTTTCGTCAGGTTTGTCAAAGATCAAATGGTTGTAGATGTGTGGTATTATTTCTGATGGCTCTGTTCTGTTCCATTGGTCTTAATCTCTGTTTTGTTACTAGTACTATGCTGTTTTGGTTACTGTAGCCTTGTAGTATAGTTCGAAGTCAGGTAGCATGATGCCTCCAGCTTTGATCTTTTGGCTTAGGATTTTCTTGGCAATGTGGGCTATTTTTGGTTCTATATGAACTTTAAAGTAGTTTTTTTCAATTCTGTGAAGAAAGTCATTGGTAGCTTGATGGGGATGGCAGTGAATCTATAAATTACCTTGGGCAGTATGGCCATTTTCACGATATTGATTCCTCCTATCCATGAGCATGGAATGTTCTTCCATTTGTTTGTGTCCTCTTTTATTTCGTAGAGCAGTGGTTTGTAGTTCTCCTTGAAGAGGTCCTTCACATCCCTTGTAAGTTGGATTCCTAGGTATTTTATTCTCTTTGAAACAATTGTCAATGAGATTTAATTCATGATTTGGCTGTCATTGATGCAAAGATCCTCCATAAAATACTGGCAAACCGAATCCAGCAGCACATCAAAAAGCTTATACACCATGATCAAGTGGGCTTCATCCCTGGGATGCAAGGCTGGTTCAACATATGGAAATCAATAAACGTAATCCATCATATAAACAGAACCAAAGACAAAAACCACATGATTATCTCAATAGATGCAGAAAAGGCCTTTGACAAAATTCAACAGCCCTTCATGCTAAAAACTCTCAATAAATATGTATTGATGGGACGTATCTCAAAATAATAAGAACTATTTATGACAAACCCACAGCCAATAGCATACTGAATGGGCAAAAACTGGAAGCATTCCCTTTGAAAACTGGCACAAGACAGGGATGCCCTCTCTCACCACTCCTATTCAACTTAGTGTTGGAAGTTCTGGCCAGGGCAATCAGGCAGGAGAAAGAAATAAAGGGTATTCAATTGGGAAAAGAGGAAGTTAAATTGTCCCTGTTTGCAGATGACATGATTGTATATTTAGAAAACACCATCGTCTCAGCCCAAAATCTCCTTAAGCTGATAAGCAACTTCAGCAAAGTCTCAGGATACAAAATCAATGTGCAAAAATCACAAGCATTCTTATACACCAATAACAAACTGCAGGTTTTGGAGTTTGATAGACCTGAATGTGATTTCCAAGATAATCATTTTCTGAGGTGTGTCATCTCCAGATGTTAATTTTCTCATCTTAAAAAAATAAGAATAAGAAGACCTACCTCACAGAATATTATTGGGGTTAAATAAGATAATGTAGGTAGATTGTGCCATCTTAGCTAAAATGCCTATTTTATAAGGTCAGAGCTCACAGGTTAGTTTCGGGAGACCTGGGTTCAAGTATTAACTCCCCATTTTTGGGGGGCATTTTAAAAGTTTATTTACCTTCATTTTAATTTTTTTTCAATTTGTAAAATTAAACTTAAGGCTTCAGTTATTTTAACGATTAGTTAATAAAGCAAATTCATTCATTTAAACAATTGTTATTGTTCTCTACTCTTTGCCATGCCCTCTTTTATGCTCTTGGGATAAAACAGGGGACCCAACAGACAACAGTTCTTGCCCTAATGAAGCTGAGACTCTAGTAGTCTGACCAAAGCTTTGCATGCAGAAGTAATTTATGAATAAAGATCAAAACTACCCAAAGATAGAATTATGGCTCTGTTAATTTACTCTCTAAAAGAACAATATGAAAAAGAGAAAGATCCAAAAGGATCTTTTTTCTAGTTCCAAGGCTTGTCTTAAGCTATGAAACAGGATTGCATATTTTACAAAAAAAAGTTTTTTAAAGAAGTAATGGGAAAAGACAAAATAAATTATACAATATTAAAAATACATAAAATAAATTTAACTTGTTGGGACTATTTTGGTAGTTTCAGCATGCCGATTGCTTCCAAAAAGAAATCACTCTGGGAAAATATGACTATAAACCTCAAAAGGATTAATTATTTTTATTTATTTAAGTTTTCTGAAGCAGGTTTAGAAAGTTTGTTTGTTTGTTTCTTGTTTTCTTTCTTTCTCCAGGTCTAATTGCAGTGCTTGAGATTGTTGTAGAAAAAAAAAAAAAGACATTTTAATTGGCCATATTGTAACTTCTTTCTTTCACTGATACAATGATAATGTATTTGTAGTTTTTACAAAGATAACATATTTATAGCTTTTATCTTCTTAAAATCAAATAAACACACCTTGATAATAAGTGTAATTTTTCATGTATGCATACTAATTAATGAACCAAATACAAATTTCAAGGATTAGAGTTGATTAAATTTTGTCTTTTATATTGACAACTACTGTTTTAGCAATAACAGGCTTGCCAAGTTTCTTTTATTGTTCACTTCATAGTGAAAGTCATATGTATATTTTTTTACATTCAAGAAGAAGTCCACATTTTTCTGAATTTGCTGCTGTGTTGTAGGTTGGTGAATGCGCTATTTATTAACAAAACCACAGTATGAACAAGCCTAAAGGAAATTAGAAAAAATTCTAAGGGACGTTAGCCAAGGAGGTTTTATCAGGAAAAGAGGTGAAAAATGAAGGGAGGTTAAGGACACATATTTTTGTTTTAACATTACCTGTGATTATAATGACCAATAAGAAGGTGAGAGAAAGGGATTTTAAAATTTATGGAAACCATTGTATTAGTTTTGCTATTTCTGTAGATCAGTCATTGATTGGAAGTAAACTATATTGCCTGTGGGAGGATGGGCGAGTTTTTTTTCTTTCTTTTTTTTTTATATGATTTTGGTTGCCTAAATCAATCATCTACCTCCCTGCCCCCAATTCCTTAAGGTTTCTGTGACAGATACAACTACTTGTGCATAGGTATTAATTCTGACAATAGAGTTTTTTCCCCTTCTGATTGTACAAACACTGTCACTCTGAATTTAGCCTCCTCTTATATATTCTGTAATAACAATTCCTTTCCCTAGCTTAATTTTAATCTTTTAAGTTACATTTCAACACTACAGGAAAATAATTTATAATTCGGCTATTCTTTTTCATATCTATATTTTAAATCTCGCTTTGCATAGGTTCTTTAGGCATTCAAGCAACTGAAGAATCTCCTATTACAAAAAATCATGCATACACATGCACACACACATACACACTTTGATGCCTTATAGTTCTCTTCTCCTACACAGTTATACTTTTTGAAAGTATAATTTAAACTTCTTTTCTGTAATGTTTTACTTATTCCTTGACCCAGAACAATCTTCTATTTCTTAGCAAGTGACTACATCATGTGACTTATTTTATGACTAAAAATGTTTTCATGAACATAAGAAATGACTTTATTATAGGTGAAAGTAATGCATACTTTACTTTCTTATTTGTATTTACCTTACAGCAATATCTAACAATTTAACCATTTCTTTCTTCAATTAACTTCTTTTGCATCAGCATGCTTGTCACATTTATTTCCTATATCTATGATTTTCTGTCTCAGTTTCCTTTAAAGATTTCTCTGAGTGTGTTATTAGGCATCTCAGAGTTGTCTCTTAGGCTTTCTCCATCGCACTGTATGTACTTTCGTAGAAGATTGAATCAATTTATGTGGTTTCAATCATCATCTGATGTCATGATGCCTCTACTATCAAAGCTCTAGCCCAGACACATATGTCCCAATGCCTTCTGGGCATTTCCACTTGAATATCTCATAGGCCCCACAAGTTAAAATGTTCCAAACTGAACTTTTCACCTTCCCCTCACTCCTCTACTGACCAAATGACTCTTTTTCCTTTGTTGTCCACCTCTCTAAATAACATTAGCATCTATTCAGTTTCCAAAGTCAGAAATAAAGACATAATTCTAACTATTCACTTTCCTTTATTCTCAAATGGAAATAATTAGCAAATCGTGCCACTCTTATTCATAATTTTCTTTGCTGGGATGCTAGTCTCAGCTACGATGGCCTTTCACCTGAATACTACAGTACAACAGTTTCCTAACCCTAGTCTCATTAACTCTTGTCTTGCCTTCTCCAGTTAATTTTTATATCAGAGTTGCACTCCTTTTTAAAAATACAAATCTGGTCTTGCCATTTTTTTTTAAGAATTAATACTTTTTAATTGATTCTTGTTGTACTTAGAAAGAATTCAAGTATATCAGCATGGTTTGAAAGATTCTTCATTATCTAGGCCTTGATTACATTACTGGCTTTTATATCCTGCCCCCTCCTACTTATTCATACACATTCAATCCCTCTTAAATAACACAGACACACACAATTGGGAATTAGGCATTCCTTAATTCTTTCTGTCTAGGTTCAGTGTTTTTATGTTCCTGGACATCTTCTCTTATGTCACCTATCAGAGACAATCTTAGTTGCTTTTTCAATTGCCATATTCTCCCACTAGACTGTAAGCTATGGCTATCTTATTCACTGCTCCATTCAAGAACTAATCATAAAAACTGGGGCTCAGTACATTTTTAAAAAATAATGACTGAGTGGATCTATAATGCAAAATTAATTAGGGAATTGGACTTTTATTACTATTGCATACAAAATAACTTATAAAAATAACATTTTATCTCAAAGGCATTACATGCTTATTGTGGAGAATTTGGTAAATAAAATACAGATATAATGCTTAAAGTTATATTCCCTCATCACTATATCACATAACAATAACATTTTTGAAAATCCATCATCTACTTTATATTTACACAATTCAGAAAATTATATACTATTTTCTAAATTGCTTTCTGCACATCTTTATCATTACATTGAAAGTTATTTTATAATATATGTAAGTGTGATTTACCTTTTTTGTTTTATAGTCAATAATACTTATGTGTTTACTTCTTCTGATATAGACTTAGAAGTAATGAATAATTTCGTGAGACAGCCACTTTTCAAAAATGTCCAATATATTTCAATTTGTTTTAGATATTTTAAAAATAAAAAGAAGTTGACTCTTCTAAAATTTGTTTCTCCAAAAATAGCTTATTAACTGCTAAGAAATTTCCAGTTGAGAGAAGTAGGGATGCACTGTTGTATATGTAAAACACATTGGTCAATGATTTTTGTGGTGGCATATAAGTACTTGTGTACAGGTGATGTTATAAGATTTTCTCTAGCCTCATTGATTTTGTCCCCTAAGAGGTTGGCTCTAGCAGAGGAAATATCTTCAATCTCACATTTGGAGAAGGTAAAACAGGTGTCTGAAAAATCAACCAGGCTTAAATTTGGCATATATAAGGATCCTCTGGATAATTTGTCTATAATTCAGATTTCTCCACCCCATTCCCAGACATTCTAAACGAATAGGGTTGTGGTGGGGCCCAGGAATATTCATATTAGCAAGATATTGCTGTGATTCTGGTGGAAATACCCGGGCCACACTTTAAGAAACACTGACAAGGGATTTGTATTTAAACCACCTATGGACTTTTCATGAGTTCTTTACAGTTTTTAACTATGAAACAATAATATGTAATCCTCTTTTTTTAAAATAATACAAATCCGAGAGTAAAAAACATAAACTGTTCCTTCAAATGCATTATTTACCTTTAGAAACATTGTTTAATATGATGGTGTTTTTAATGTTTCTTTTACTTAAAAAGACATCAGTTTTTGAATATACACTGCTTTTTTACCCTGAGGCCTTCCTATAATGAAATCAGTTTTTCCACTGCAGAGCTACCATCTGAATTGGAGGCTCATGTAAAATAGAATGCGATTATGGCCATATTAAAAAATGCAGCTAGTGTCTGTATCTGTCATTTTAATCCCACTTGATAATTTACTACTAATAGGGAGTTTCAATTGAACTACATTTAGGTACATTTAAATATCATATTCATAAACTGATTCATGTAAAACATCTTTTTTAATACTATAATATCTAATTTGCTTAAACTCTGCTCTAACATTTTACTATAAAATCCATTATGAATTATAATTAGGGATTATTATGAGCATTTAGAATAGGGAAAAGTAATAAGGTAGAAAGCATATGTTTGAAAACAGAAGCTTCATTTCTGGTTTTACCACTCATATGACTTTACTAAATTCTTTCTCCTTCCAGGCCTCTTTATTATCATCAATTTACCAAACATTTATTGAGCACTTTCTTAGTTTCAAGAATAGTGGACTTAAAGATGAAACTACAAAGTCTCTGTGCATGCTCTGCCCTGACTTTATCTCAGTGTTTTCATGAAAGACAAATGAAAGAGCTCCGTGAACTGTAGATACACATCAATATAAACATTTTATTATTTGCTGAGATTGTATCGATTAAACATAAAAATCTGCCATTAAAAGTTTGTTTTATAAGCTTCCTAAAGATCGCATAATTAACAAATGTGTAGATAATTATTTTCTAAACTTTAAAAATTTGCCTATAATAAGAACTGGTCTACATATTGTTTGTCTCTATTAAGATGGGTGCTTAGAACTAATTTTTTCTTAAGTCCAAACTAGAATTATTTATCTTGGCAACGTATCTATTATGTCACTGCTAATAACTGCTTTCTTCTAGTTAAAATTTGCTACTAACTTCATTCAATAATACTCTGATTATTTTCCTCTAATACTTGTTATTCATTCCCTATAGGCTTCTCATCTTGAAATCAAAACAATTGAAGATGGTAAATGAATTGTAAAGCCTATTCAGATGTATTGCAGCATGCATGTGGGCATGTGTTCCCGTGTGTGTGTTAACACATCCATGCCTTTAAGTAGTAGCTTATACATGAGAATCTCATTTTCAAATATAAAAATGTAATTACGCATTTCCCTATACACATGACACTAGGCATCTATTACTTCTTGTCCCCCTTAACTAAAATTGCTCTCACCATATGCCCCTGATGATAAAATATCTTTAGGTAGTTCTGTTGACATATGTGACCATGTCTGAATTATGCTATTATAATTCTGACCCTAGCAATTTGGAGCAGATATGGCCACCCGTACAGTAGAATCTAATCTGTTCACTAATACATGAGGCTGCATGATTCCAAGACTGTGTGTTCAAAGAAAAATAATGGTGATCACCCAACCAATCTTTAGAATGCAAAATGGAGCTTAGAGTGAGATAGGGGAAAGTCATCAAATTGGTCATAAGAACAGAGTCAAAGCACAGATTTTAAAAAAATCAGAAAGAAGGAGAGAGAAGCTGAGTCACCAACATGTGATACTATGTTAGATATAAAGCCAACTCCTGTGCTTGAAGGAATTTCAAGAGGTTGTGCAAAAACTGTAATGAATCTTGACCTTCAACCTGAATGATTTTTCTTTTCTTTCTTTCTTTCTTTTTTTCTTTTTGTGGTAGGACTAATTACACTATATTTACCATATATCGTATATCATTACTATACTGTAATTACTTTTCTCAACAGGCCTAGTTGTTGAGCTTTTCTTGGGTTCTGTGAAGCCTCTACCCATGGCTGAAATATTTGTTTGTCATATTTCTACATATATCCCTGTACTATAACTTCCATTATTTGAGTTACCTGAAGTGCTTCATTGTTCCTTCAAACCGTAAGAGCACGGCTAACACAGATTCTTAGCTCTAGTAAGGAAAGAAATGTGGTCAAATCTTTTCTCAACTGGAAACTATTCCTCTTGTTTTTCAGATTCATGAAGAATCTCAAAGTAAAAATGCCTCATAAAATAAAGGATTTATAATTGTGTGAATTTTATTTATTCCAATTCAGCAGTGATGTTCCATTACCATTACTCATACTTTGGCAGTTTCATTTCTAATGATACTAAATGATCTCTAAATCTGGACTGGCTTGGATGACCTACCTATCTGTTTTAAGAAGGACATTTCAGTAGATGCATTATAACACATGTTTACACACATGCATGTGCCCACTCATTTATATTTTTGTCCAAAGACTAAACAGAAGCTTCTTTTCAGCAGTCTAACATGATTGGCTCAAGAGCAAAATAAACCTTAATTTGTGATTTATTATTCTATAATTGGTCAAGTAGTAGACACTATGGAACATCTCCTAGTCTCTCCCTCAAGACCTATTTATATGTATATATTCTAATACAGTTCCCCAGTAAGATTTCTTCATAAAATTCTCTATCTTTCTGTCACTTTACAGGGAGCTAAAGCTAATACAAAGAAAATTCAGGCCCTGCCATTTATAAGAATATAAACTAAAGGAATTTTCTTTCTTGAAATTAGGAAAGGGTGGTTTGGAAGAGCTTAAGAGTTTGAGGAAGCACCACCAAGAATTAGCTCATCTGGTTTATGGAAACTTATTATTTTCAATAGAATATTTGCAAGATGGAAGGGACATTGTTTTCAGAATATCCGAAATAGAGATTTAATTTGGACTTTCCCATATGAAGTTAGCTGGCGTTGCATGTAATAAAAAAGTGCCACATCTGGGGAGAATCTTCAGATTTAACTATTTAAAAGCCAGGACTGCATATAATTCTTACAGAAAACAGGATATGGATATTTTATGTATTTTTTTATTTTAAAAGCAGAAACATATCCCAGAGCAATGTCCATGATGTATTGCTAAGTGAGAAATACAAGTTGCATATATATGTGTAACATATTTTTTATATCTGGGAACAGTATCAGAATCCTCTAGGTACAAGTATATTTGTTTGCATATTTTTGTGGATAAGGAAGGACATACAACTGTTATTAGCATTAAATATAATAGGGTGGGACAGGTAGAGGGAGAGATTAGCATGATTGTGAATATAATGGGTTATAAAAACCATTATTCTTCTATACTATTCTAGTGTTTTCTTCTGGTTGAGACTAAAAGGTAGGCGGTTTGTAATATTGCAAGAGGCATTTAAGATTTAAAATAAAAAGGAATAGTGTCTTTACTTTAAAAACCGGACTACAGAGAATTCTTCTAAATTACAAAAAAATCGTTCTTTGTAATGTGATAGCAGCTAATGTTTATATTACTGAAAGAATGACTCCAAGTCTACAGTGGAATGTTCTATAAACAAAGGCAATTATTTCAAAGAACTGTGGTAAGAATAAATGAAATTGAATTATAATTGGTGACAGAATTTTTTGAAATTTATTTCTCAGAAATGCCTGTATTATGTCTGACTAGTAAGCCAGTTCTTTGAAGTTCTCTATTCAGAACTGTTTTAAAGAAGTAGTATAGAGAGGGTATGTCATGTTTAAATGCACTCAGAAGCTCCCCATAGTTTTCAAGAGAAAATTTAAGCTTATTAAAATGGAATGTAGGTCTCAGATGTAGATCCTTCTTGCTTCCCCCTTTAATTTCATCTCCCCCCACCTCTCTCCTGTCAGGCGTCTTCAGCCTTCATGAAGTATTTTATATTGTGGAAGGCTTCCAAAGTTATCTGCCTCTGTGTCTATGTACATTTTGCTTCCTCATAGTATGATGCCCTCTCAACTAACAAGTTCCACTTTTCCAGAAAACTTTTGTTCTTCCTTTAATGTTAAATTGCAGTGTCTTCTTTAAGTATCGTTTTTATGCCTCCAAGCATTAGCCTGGATTAGGTGCCTTCCCAGCACATCCCCAAAATATCTCAGGGTTTTTCTTTCTCATGGCATTCATCCCAGTGAATTCAATTTTTTCAGCTTTATTGAAATATAATTGATATACAATAAACAGCACATTTTAAAGTGTATAATTTAATGAGTTCTGACATATGTATACAGCCATGAAACCATCACCACAAATCAAGATAATGAACTTTTTTCATCACTCACAAAAATTTATTCATGTCCCTTTGTATTATTTCCTCCTATCCCTCCCCACACTCCCTGTGCAACCCTAGGCTATAATTGATCTGCTTTCTATCATGATAGATGATTTTGGATTGTACAGAATTTTATGTAAATGGGACCATATAGTATGTACTCTTTAATTTCTAGCTTTTTACACTCAGCATAATTATTTTAAGATCATTGATATTGGATGTCTCAATAGTTTATTTATTCTTTTATTTCTGAGTAGTATTCTATTGTGTGGTTATAACAAAAATTGTTATCTATTTGCATATTAGTAGACATTGCTCTTGTTTCCAGTTTTTGGCTATTACAAATAAAGCTGCTAAGCACATTTGTGCTCCAGGCTTTGTGTGCACATATGGCTTTTTTCCTCCTGTGTAAATACCTGGGAGTGTGCATTAGTGTGCTAAGACTGCAGTACAGTGGATGACTTTAAAACAATAGAAATTTATTTTTTTCAACAGTTTTGGAAGCTAGAAGTCCAAAATCAAGGTGTTGGCAGGGTCATGCTTCCTCCAAAGGCTTTAGGGAACAATCCTTCCTTGCCTTTTCTATGTTCTGGCATTTCTTGTCTTGTAGATAAATCACTCCAATCTCTGCCTCTGTCTTCACATAGATTTCACTCCTGTGTGTCTTTGTTTCTGTGTCCAAATTTCCCTCTCTTAAAGTAAACTTGAGGTTGCCCAGAAAAAAAGTGCTCAGAAAAACAAAAAGTGTTTATCTCTGGATGTATAGATCCAAATACAGATGTTCAGAGTAATCACTGCTTTTTCAAACTAATTATTGGAATACATATTTTTAAAGTGATAAATAAAATAACAGAGGTTGAGGACAGACCAGTATAGTTTTACTATTGTACTTTTTACAACTCTTATCATGTAAGGATGGATAGATAATGTCAAAAATGTTTGTAATTATAAATGAGCATACTTATGTTAAAAGGAAAATTTGAGCAAAAAACTTAGAAACTACACAATTTTAACAGCTTTAAGTTACTTTAAGATATTAACATGAAGATTTAATTCTAGATTACTTGAAACATTTTAATGTATTTTAAAATATTTTCTTCATTTTTTTTAAAATAATAACATCAAGAATGAAATACTGTTCAGAGATTAAGAGGCTAAGCACACTTACAATATTTAGTACAGTTACCTAAGCCATTTTTGAAAACCAAAGGCAACTTTGGGAAGAAATCAGTATTACTTTAAAGTGAGAACAGATACTCTTCAGAAAAACAAACATTAAGAGAATTTTGCTCTGTTGTTCGTTTCAGAGGTACTTATAGACTATTTGATATAAGGAATTTGAAACTAGATTAAGTGGAAATTTAAAAATTTCATTTAATATTTATAACCCCAAGCTTCACAGTAGATAAGTATAAGGTAAATATTATATCTAAGATAAACACTTTTTGTTCTCTGAACGCTTCATTGATACCTTTTATTTTTAAATATAGGGACCACGTTCAATATCCAAAATGCATTTTAATACCTAGTACCTGATTACACTATTGAAATGTTCAACAAATAACTTTCAGCTGATTGACTAAGTGTACTATTTACAATTGTTGTATTAGTCCATTTGCACACTGCTATAAAGAACTACCTGAGGCTGGGTAATTTATGAAGAAAGGAGATTTAGTTAACTCACAGCTCCATAGGCTTAACAGAAAGCACAGCTTGGAGGTCTCAGGAAATTTACCATCATGGTGGAAAGTGAAGGGGAAACAAGGACATTCTTCACATGGTGACAGGAGGGACAGAGAGCATGTGGGGGAAAGTGCCACACACTTTGAAACAACCAGATCTCCTGAGAGCTTTTTCATGAGACAGCATTAGGGGGATGGTGCTAAACCATTAGAAACCACCCCCATGATCCAATCACCTCCCACCGGGCCCCACCATCAGCACGTGGGGATTACAATTCAACATGAGATTTGGGTGGGGACACAGAGCCAAACCACATCAATTGTATTTGTCATATTAGGCTTCATGGAAAAGACTGTCTCAGATTACCTTCAATTACTGGGATTCATTGCAATGCAAATGTCGTTTAGTTTAATACACACCTTAGTTTCTAGTGTGTATTGGGTGAATTGTGTCCTCCCCCACATTCATTCCACTGGATCCCAGAATGTGACCTTATTTGGAAATAAGGTTTTTGCAGAGGTAATCAGGTTAAGATGAGGTCATACTGGTTTTGGGTGGGTTCTAGTCCAATAACTGATACCTCTATAAGAAGAAGGAAATTTGCACACTGAGATACCCAGAGCGACTACCACTGAAAGAAAGAGGCAGAGATTGGAGTGATGCCTCTACAAGTGAAGGAACACCAACAACTGCCAGCCACCATCAGAAGCTGGGAGACAGCAGTGGAATAGATTCTCCTTCGAAGAATCCAGAGGAAGTGTGGCCCTGCCAACACCTTGACTTCAGACTTCTTGCATCTAGAACTATGAGAATACTTTTCTGTTGTTCCAAGCCACTCAGTTTGTGGCACTGTGTTACAGCAGCCCTAAGAAATGAATACATGATGTTACAGTTTCAAGTTGTTAGCTTTATTTCTGAACTTCCTATTTTTCTTTTAAATTAACCATCCTGCCTCCCACAAATTTTGTGGATCAAGCTACCAGGAATGGGTTTTTGTTTCTTGGCCAGAAGAGCCGGGGGCAAGAGAATCCGATGTACAAACCCTGGAATAATACACTTGCAGCTGTTTTTTTTTATTATTATACTTTAAGTTTTAGGGTACATGTGCACAGCATGCAGGTTTGTTACATATGTATACATGTGTCATGTTGGTGTGCTGCACCCATTAACTCACCATTTAACATTAGGTATATCTCCTAATGCTATCCCTCCCCCCTCCCTCCACCCAACAACAGGCCCTGGTGTGTGATGATCCCCTTCCTGTGTCCATGTGTTCTCATTGTTCAATTCCTACCTATGAGTGAGAACATGCGGTGTTTGGTTTTTTGTCCTTGCGATAGTTTGCTGGTTTATGGAAGTATACATTTAAATCAAGAACACAGATACATTCTGTTAAAAACAGCTGCAATATTTAAATATTTGAATTCTTGATTTAAATGTATACCTCCTTAAACCAGCAACTTATTAATCCAGAAACACTAAGTATATTGTATATGTTATCAGTCAGAATTCATTCAGGAAACAAACAAAAACATCATTCGTCATTCATAGTCTTAAAAATAGAGGGCATTCAAAGCAGGAAATTCATCATATAGCTAATGGAAAATGCAGAGAAGCCAACCAGAGAGTGAGGGAACCTAGAGATTAAGAGCAACAGGAAGTTACTTTCATTCCTAGACCAGAGAACAAAGGGAGAAGGCAGAGTTATGGTAGCTCAGGACTGAGTTCCCAGGCAGAAGCTGGCATCACAACAGGCTTGTTCAGTGGGGGCTGGAGCCATAAAAGACAAGCGGCTCCTGTTGGAGACGCCAGTGCAAGAGGAAAGACATTTAGCCTCTGTTGATTTAGCACAGTTGGGAGTCCAGTGACATAGGAGTTCAGGAATTGGTGCCTGTAAGGGTCAGTCCTCTGCCTTCCAGAGCTGAGCAGGGGAGCTAAAAGGAATGTGGATCTAAGCGAGAAGATCTTTCATATCCATTACTTTTTGTTTATCTCTTCCATTATCACCCAGATCAGGCCCTAATCAGCATTCCTCTTGTATGTTATAAACTTCTAACAATTTTTTCTAACTCTAGTTGGAACTTCCTCTTAGCCATTGTGAATATAAGGCCATTTGCTTAACTCATGTAAAGAAATGAGTTTCCTTATTTGATAGATGGTAAAGTTTAAACTTATTAAAATGATGTTTTGGTTCCCTAAATATTGTTCAAAATTTCTTTTAAATTATCTCTAATATTTGCCTACTTAATTATGCTCCTGCCAGATATAACTATAATAGCATTTTTGGAGAAAAATGAACAAACAAAAATCCATACAAAGTTGTTGAATATTTATGATTAGTTTTAAAATTGCATAAGACATACTGCAAGTCCTACAGAACACTGAGCTATACAATTCAATGAGGTCTAGAGCAGTTCCTGAGTATCTGAACTTCAGTTTAAATACCTGCATGTGTCTACTCAATGTTGTATAGCAGCAATTCAATCAGAGCTCATCAATAATTGATACTCAATAAATACTTACTTTATGAGTAATATCATGAATAACAGCCCAGTTTTCTAAGGTCTGAAGTCTTTGGTTAAAGGTGTTACTAGCCTGATGCCAGATATATTTTTTTTGCATATAATCATTGGATAAAATATTCTGCTTTATTACACAAAGTCAATGAGCCTGGCTTTCCTAAATTGCATAAAGAAAATAATAAGAATTTAAAATATTTAGAAAAACTTAAATAATTATAAATAGCTTAAAATATACACATAGAGAAGTTTAATTTAAAAATTTTATATTATAGGGTACATGCTTAAAAACCTTTTTTAAATGTATGAATCAGTCAATCATCATTTAAGGACACAAAAAATCTACTTTATAACAGTCATATATTCATCTTTGCTATATATTGGATTCCTTCAGCTTATGGATCATTCAAATGTATTTTTAGCATTCTAAGGAATTATCTATAGCCATATTCTTGTCTGCATCTATTTTCAGTGAGCATGAAATGTTAAATTATTTTTTTTTGAGATTTGGTACTGATATGTAAAAGCTAGTAATAATGCAATTTGTTCAAATATACATCTTTTCACTATTGAAACAGATTTTCCCATTCCTTCAGTTATAAAGACAGATGTAAAGAAAATATGTTTATCCTTTTTTGAAAAGGGTATGTCAGGATGCTTGGGAACATCAGGAGACTAGAGTTCACATGCTGGTAGTGTATGGTTTTAGGCAGTACCCCTCTGTCAAGAGTATTTGCAGCCAAAATTTTGCCAAAGAGCCAAAAAGACTTCCCATTTTATGCAAAGTGGAACCATAGCCTTTCTTCCTGAGACTGAGAATTATTAAAATACCTTGAATACCAGGATGGGGCCCATTGAGGTTTGCCAGCAGGCAAGATCATCAGGCCCCATGTCCATAAGACACTGTCTGGTATGAAAGAAACATTCTGGACCGGTCACTTGCACCTGACATTGTCTTAGGGAGGGTTGCATTTGAGCACAATAAATGATTTATGCTGAAAAATACTCAGACCTGTGATTGTAGGTGAGCTTGAAAAACTGCAAAGCAAGCAAATTTAAAAATCTGTTCTTTAAAAGCTATCATAGTTAAGGCTCGAGGCATTTCTTTTTGTTGTGGGACCTCGTAAATGAACCTAATACAGGGAGGAATCCTTCTCCAAATAATGAGCATCTGCATTAAAAAAGTTGGTCTTATGGCCAACTTGACTTCTGGGCTTTCATTTATTTCTGTCTAACACAGAAGTTCAGCTTTGTGGCAATTTCTGTTGCTTATGGCCTTGCACCAGATATCTGAACGGCTCTGAACTTTAGCCAAGGGAGTGATTTCTGAACCGGAGAACGTTGACCCACAAAGAAAGGCTGTGAGAACGCCAACCATTGCATAAACTTGACTTAATGAAGTCCACCTGAGTTCGCAGTTTCTGACCATGCTAGCAGGCCATTAAAGAATAGGACAAATTGAACAAGCTAGGGCAAGTAAGGTTGGGGTCCTTATGAACAGCTTGAGATATTGAGGAAAGACTGAATTTCCTGCTATGAGAGGGAGATGAGGATCCAGATTGGTCATAATGTGAACATTATTTTAACTATGACACTCAAAACAAGGAAAATAATTATTATATTTCAAATATATGTACTGAATTTCAGATTTCATCTTTCAACTTGAGTCCTATATCTCTAATTTTTAAAGATAAGTTCCTTCAAATGAATATATCATTCTTTATTTGCTAACTTGCCATCAGAATTATTTCTTTTTACAGTCAATGTATTATTTTCATAAATATTTTTAATCTCATTTAAACAGAAACAACAAAAATTGAGCAAATTAATTATTCTGCTGTGGGTTTTTACTAAGTTGCATGCATTTATTATTATCATCGTTATTATTTTCTGGGCTTTTGAAAAGCTGAGCACAAGTAAACAATTTGAAAATTCAAACTGTTATGGCAAAAAGAAAAAACAAACACCCTAGGAATCAAGAGATTGGGAATTTATTCTTAGCTCTGCTACTAACTAGCTGGGTGGGACTCTGAATAAACCACCTTGCTTTATTGGATCTTTTATTGTTTTCCTTCCTAAAATGAAGAAAATGTACCACACGATTTCCAGGGACTCTTGCAGCTCTAAAAGCACTAAAATGTCATTCTTATGCATGTGCTACAGATACTTTATTGACACAATGACATCTCATTTTCTAAAATGTTGCCCAGCAGGATATGTCACACCTCCCAGATATTAAATCAATCAGGTAGTAAAAACAACTATTTTATTCAGAGTAGGGAATAGAACTGTCAAAACAATTGCACTTTCTTAATGTACTAAGATAGACATTTCGAAATTTATGACAATTTAATAACTGCCAGAATCTTGATTTTCCTATTTTTCCCTTATGAAAAAGAGAACTTAGACTGCTCATACACAATTAAAAGCAAGCGTTTCTTTTCAAACTCTTCAAAATTTATTTAAAAAATTTAATCATCAGCAGGATGTGGCTATCAAGTGAAACACTGAATTAAATCATGGCCTCAACATGAGTGTTATTTTTCAGTGAATACATATATTTCCTTTCAATAGTCTCATAACATTTCTCTGACTTTTTCCACAGAGACTTTTACGCTTCAGAAAGTTTTATCAGTTATTTAACTCTTTCCTTTTATAAAAAGTTTTTACTTTCAAATTTTATTTCATAAATGTGTGTTCAATAAATATTTGCTATTTTCAAAGTACTTGGTAGATATACTTATTGAAGTTTGTACTGTCATGAAATAATATAATTATGGGTAGGATGTTAAGGTACAACATAACCAGTAGTTACTCTTGATTTCTAGAACCTTTGCTAATCAAAGTGTGGACCACAGGGTAGCAGCCTTAGTACCACCTGGAAGCTTATTAGAAAAATAAAATTTCAGCCTCACCCCACCCCTTTTGATTCAAGGTTAAATCGTAAGCATACTCAAGTTTGAGAAGTGCTTGTCCAAAACAGATGCTTCTGCTTCTGTTCTGAGAGCCATGCTTCAAGTATCAAACCAGGAGACAAATTCGGGAGATTCTGCTGGTTTTTTGTTTGTTTGTTTGTTTGTTTGTTTTCACCTCATGGCTTTCCTGGGATAGCATTGAGATGATAGTTAATACTTATAGAGTGGCACATTTAAGCTGAAACTTAAGAATGGCTTTAGTTATAGAGAAGATTTTGATGTTGATTTTGGAGGAAGATATTTTCCTTGTAGTAGTGTAAATCACCTAGATGGTATATTAAATATACTTTTATTCCACCTTGAAAGTAAAATTATCATAGGCTGATTGCATTTGAATTAAGAATTGTTCATTTCTATGGAATTTCAAAGGGTTTTGATTATAAATTAATTGTTTCAAAGTGTTTTGTGCTTGGATACCCAACCATTAAAGATCCATAGAAATGTGTGACTACATCTAAGGGGTAGATTTGGCTCAAAATGTGCTGAATATAAACCTTACAAAGTAAAATATATAATTTTCCTACATCTATTTTCACTTCTGGTGGCCTCTTTTATCCAAAGATGTTCATGCTTTGGATGTAAAATCCTGTGATGTAATTTCAGGGAAAATTACGGTGTGAGTTTTGTTTATAAAAATGTAGTGGTCAGAAGAACCCACTCCACCTTGGCACTGGCGTAAAGTTTGGAAAATGTTCATGTTCATTTGTAATGCATCCAAAGGGCAGTTAAAAAGGAGATATTTGCAGGTGGAAATGGTTCATACAAATCAAAGTAAATGTTTTCTAAAAAGAGAGAACATACAGTAAGATATGACAAAACATAATACAATACACTAAGGCTCTTACAGAAAAAGGCTGAATCCAAAAGTAAATTGAAAGACACACAGAAAAATAAGGTAGGAAACAAGGACAATCCTAGTCTTCTTCACTTTCAATAGGGGATGTAAATTTGCAAAATGTTGGCAGAAAAGTCTCATTCACCTAATCAACAAATGTGTATCGTTTGCCTGTGTGCAAAATGCCGCATTAAATACTGCACTAGAATCTCAGAAAAGGGGGAAAAGTAACATTATAAAATACTTATTGATCAGCAGGAGTTGTAGAGTAGGGTCAATGTAAGAAAAAATCATGTAAAAATTATAGTATAAATTATAACTCAACTTTGAAATGGAATTTCACTTCAAGTTTGAAATGGAGACATAAGAAAAAGAAAGAGTGAAAATATAAGATTTATATTATATTAAAGAATATAATGGGAGGAGAATAAGAATGGAAGATTAAAAAGTATACGGAAGCCACTGAAATGAAGGAGAAAGGGACATATAGATGAATAACCAATATTTATTGGGAGTGGAAGAAACATAGGAATATGGGAAACTAAAATTTTTGGAGAGAGATGGGATTATTAACAGACTTTCTTAAAAGTTAGGTGTCCACTTCAGTCTGTTCCTTTCAGTCCAGAAAGTACAGATATAACAATAATAGTTAACATTAGTTCATTGCTTGTAGTTAGGCACTGCTATCAGCACTATACATGTATCAATTAATGTTCATAAGGAGCCAAAGAAGGAAATACTGTTATAGTCCCTTTTACAGATGAGAAAAAAAGAGGCAAAGAAGGGGTAAGTAATTGGCCTATGATGGAACAGCTAGTTAGTGGTGGAGCTAGAGCTCAGAATGTCTGACTACAGAATTTTTGCTATTAACCACAATGCTATTAAGTCTCATAGTGTATAAATGTCATCCTGCCTCTAGATATTGTATTTCTAGAAGAGAAAATTATGTTTTTCTTTTTTAGGAAGGGGTTTATTTTCCACCTTAAATTGTTGGCTATTTTTGAAAGGCAACGTAAGAAAGTAAAAAGGCCTGGGTTTTAGACAAACAGACCAAGATACAAACCCTGACACCACCACTGACTACTTTCCACATATTTGGTAAACTATTTAACCTTTTTTATGTCCCTGTCTCATTCGTACATAATTATGTCCAATGTTTGATGTGAGATCAATAAGATTGAAAATATGACACAATGCTTGACAAGGCAGACACTGTAAAATGGCAGTTAATATTTCTGACATTACTATTGCCTCTCTTACTGTTATTCTCAAGTGCTGTTAACTAACTGTTGTTAGTCATTTTCCTACATTTTCCCCACTAGAATATGAACTCTATAAGAGTATGGAATCTCCGACGTCTCCAGCCCTAATGCAGTGCCTGGTACAGAAGAAGAGCTTCTCAGTATGTGTGTAAATAGATGGCTGCTAAGCACATCCCTCTCTGCCTCTTCCTGCAATGTTTAGCACTATGAGATGCCTTTTAGCTGAATTCAGTACACCTCTCTATTCTTTTGAGTTTTGCGGATGCAGGTTCAGCCATCTGGTCTATCAACTATTTTTTTTTTTCAAGATTGTGGGTTATATTGTTTGTCCAAAAATGCCTTCTCTGTTTTCAGCCAACCAAAAGCAAAAAAGTTTTCCTTTGGATGACACTAGAATTTATTTGTGAGTTGATGGGGACAAAATAGCAGTCATGAAACAAATGTCTATTTAATATCCATGGGCATGACAGTCTTGAAGATTTTGCTTCTTGCATTCTGTGCTTTCTGTTACCAACAATGTGAAGTTAGCTGGGCAGTATAGCAGCATGTAGAACCATCTTCATTAATTCTAGTCCTTGGATTAACTTTAATAAAAGGAGGCAAAAATATAGGAATCTAGGGACTGACCATATTGGCTTTTAATCCAGAAAGATCAATGAAGAAAATTTCCTTTGGCAGGTGCAAACAATTGTAAAGAAGGATATACCCCCTGCCTCCCTCAAAAAAAAATCATGAAAGGTTTAAGCATTAAAATATCTATTTTGGCTTAGATTAATCCTTTCAGTTGGATGTCTAGCCTACACACTCAACCTTGATGTGAGTTGAAAAATAAGTTATTATCTGAATAATTTATAAATATTATTACTTCTAAAAAATTAAAAATACCACTGTCATTGACAATAAATTAGCTTAGCATTTGTAGAGCAATGAATTATATTCTCATGTACTTATTTAAATGGCCTTTAGAAGAGATTAAACTCAAAGATAAAAATAAATTTCAGAAGTTTTAAAAATAACTTTAGATGCTATATATTTGTTTTATGATTTTTTTAAAGTAGAAAAGTGCTAAAGCAATGATTTCACCGTAATGCAAATTCCATTTATACAGCACTCATATGTAGACTCTATATTTATCTACTTCCCACTTTCCCTAGAAATATATTGCATAATAAAATGGAATTTCCAGAGACAACTCAGTTTTTATGGCTTAATGTATGTCAGAGAAGCTGTCTCTTCTTTGTATCCATTGGTAATTACATAGCATTGCTTCAACATATGTCTGCATTTGGGTTTCCATTTTTATGTTTCCCTTTAAGCTATTTATAAATGTAGTCACTTGATAGCATGGTGCTTTATTATTTTTTTCCTGTGTTACAGACAGCATAAAAACTATACAATCTGGTAAATAGGAAAAGTATGCAATAAATGAATCAGATCAACTCCTGAAAAATAGAAGTTTGCATATATTATCTAATCAGAGCTTTCATTTACATAATTCCTCTGAGCAAAGTAATTTACTCATGAAAGTGAAATTGAAGAAAATCTAAACCCTTTTCCCAATTTGCCTAAATTTCTCTTTTATTTGTGGCCCATTGATAAACTCATTGAAAATTCAAGGATTTGATACCCACTATGTTCAGTACCCTGCATTTGGTGGTTATGGACTCTTGGCAGATATCTTTCCTTTAAGGCTTCTCCTTCAGGGAAGCGTACTGTCCACCTGCCATGAGATGAGTTCATGATAGGGCCTGGTAAGCAGCAGTAATAACGTTGGATTTTATTCCGAGTAATTGTGTTATATTAGATAAAGTCATATATTCTCACACATTTATTCAATACTTATTTGATGAGGATCCTCTATTCTCCAGTCATTGTTCTAGGTTCTGGGGATAAAAGAGTGAGTATCATAGATGAAGACTCTGCTTTTTCTCAGTTACTGATGTTTCAGTGGGGCTGCATTACAGTCAGTGAGTCTCTCTGTCTCTCAAATTAGTTAAACTATGGGTTTCTTAGAGTGTGGTGGGAAGGAACTGGATGACAAATATGAGACCCTAAGTAGTTAATGCACAGTGGAGCACAAATGCCAAAGAAACATTAGTGCTCATTCCACCAAATTCTATTCCCTATAAAATACATAAAATTCTTAGGTTAAGTAAGTTAAAAATCAATGAAAAGCTTCTACAGTCATAGAATGTTATGAATTTGTTGTAATGTCATTATAAATATTGCAGTTCTTAACCAAACATGATACATATTATAAAAAATACTGCCAAAGCATTGTTGAAAATGTTAATAATTTCATTTTGATGAAAATTCTTTGAATATTGCTAATGCCAAAGTATTCTAACTTTAAAGTCTTTGGGCATATAAAATATTAATATTCTTTTGGAAGTTTCAAAGTGGTTTCCTTCAGTAATAATCAAAATGATATTCATAATATTCTAATGTGAATTAAGCATTCTCTTGAACTTAAAAATCCTTGAATATTAAAATCTTAAGGTTGTAATTCTAAATTAAAAATTTTAGGTTTTAAATAAATTTTTATTTATATAATTGTAGACTTATATAAAGGTGGTGAAGATAGTACAGAGGATTTCTGTGTACCCCACACCAAGTTTCTTCTATAAATAGCATTTTATTTTAACATTGTCTGTATGTCACAATTAATAAATCAAAATTGATACATGATTATTAATTATAATCTACATTTTACTCATCTATCTTTAGGCTTGACCTAATGGTCTTTTTCTGTTTTACAATTTAATCAGGATACATTACATTTGGTTGTTATGTCTTAGACTGCTATTGGCTGTGACAGTCTCTCAAACTTTCTTCATTTTCATGTCTTTGACAGCTTTGAAGAGTCAGATACTTTGTAGACTGTCCCTTAATTGGGATTTTTCTGATGTTTTTCTCATGTGACTGGAGTTAAGGGCTTTTGGGGAGGAAGACCACAGAGAATAAGCATCATTCTCATCGTATCACATGAAGTTAACATACTATCAACATGACATCAATGCTGGTGTTAGCCTTGATCATCTGGCTGAGGTGGAATTTGCCAGCTTTCTCCACGCAAACTTATTTTTTCTCTTTTATCGTATTGTGTATTTGGAAGGAAGTCACTATGCGTATCCGACACCTAAGAGGTAGAAGTTATGCTCCACCACCTTGAGTATGGAGTGTCTATATAATATATTTGAAATTCTTCTGCAGAGGATATTTGTCTATTCTCTCTCATTTTATATCAGTATGAGTTCACAGATTTATATTCTTTGGGTTCTAATCCAATATAATATTATTTATTTCATTGTTGAAGTTGTTCCATCTTTGGCCCTTTGGCAGTCCTTCAGTTGGCTTATGCGCAAATTAGATATACCCCCACCATTGTTCGTGGGTTTTTGTTTTTATTGTTGTAATTTTACCTCCTGCACTACAAAATGGTTCAGGCTTATCTTGTCTTCAGTCTTAGAATCAGTCATTTCTAAGGGCTTCATTAGAAGCTCTGATTCATTTAATCAGAGAATGATATTAGAAACTAAGGTCTAGTGAATAGGTGTGCTTATGACTCCAGGGGTGTTATTGCTTTTGCAGCCTTTCAGAAAACAAAGTGTGTATATTACATACTCATATATAAAAATATTTTTTATATAAACATCTGCATCTATATTAATAAACTGAATTTTAAACATGCATTCATTTGAGCAGTCAAATCTGTTAATGGGAGCACAGGCTGCATATTGATGAACAGAAAATAATTCATTTGATAATTTAATCAACCTTTGCTGCTGCTACATTCCAGAAGAAAGTTATCAGTAGATGGAATGCATCTTACTTTGTGCTCTAAAACTGAGGTTTTTATATCCAATCGTATAATAATGCTATGATTTTGAGTTTGTTAGAATAGATTTGGGTGCACCTATTTATTCTGTACATTGTGTAAGAGTTGATATATTTAGTAAATTAGGAAAAAATTCCTGGAAGCAGAATTGGAGATGAAAATTTGGGTGTATATGGTTTACTAGGGGGTGCTCATCAGAAAAAAATCTGAGTAGAGAGAGTGAAGCAGTATAGGAAAGGAAAGGGGATTAACAAAGATATGATCTTAGAAAAAGACTTCCTGGCCTAAGCCAGAGAAGAAGGGCTGTAAAGCTTAAACTGCACCTTAGAATCATCTCTCTGAGGCAAAAGGCCTAACCTATTCTATTTATTTCCTACTAGTTACTAATAATAGTTATTGGCTGTGGGCAACTTCCTTAGGCATAATTTTCTTACGAAGATGATTCCCATTGGCTGAGGGCAAGTTTCTGAAAAATGTAGTGCAGCTGTGAGCATCTAAAAGCTAACCCAGCAGACACAGTAAGGGGAGCAGGCTGGGGCACCACCGTTCTCTTATAATACACAAGGAGGATCACCTTAGCTTCAGAGTTATGGAAGTTTATTAATGGTTAAAATGATACTGAATGCAGCTCAGCTAGATTGAAGAGTCTCACCATTAGCAGAGAGGAGATTTATGCAACAGTCATGTTATGGAACAATGTACAAAATATTAGCGGTTAAAGAAACTGAAGGGAGCAAAATCAACAACCAGCTCCCAATCATGTAGAGCCTCAAAAGGTTATTTGAGATGAAGGCCAAAATCAATAGGAATTTTGAAAAATATAAATAACAATTCATTCATGCAAAAAAAAAATTCTCATGGAGTACATATTTTATGCCAGGCATTGTTCTGGATGCAGCCGTGAAAGAAACAGAAAGTATCTTCTCTCATGAAGGTTACATTCTATTGAGAGGAGGTGGGAAAGAAACCAATGAAACATAGTATGTGGTTCCATGGCTCCACTGGTGATGAGCATTAGAGGAGAAAGAAAGCACTGTATGAGGATAGGGGTCATGGTTTCAGATGTGATAATAAGAGAAGACTTACTTTAAAAGGTGAAGGGAGCTAGCTATTCAAAGATTAGGAGAAAGCACATTCTAGGTGAAAAGCATAGCTTGTGCAAAGGCATTGTGATGGTATGTGCAAGGAACAGCAAAGAGGGCAGAGTAAATGGTGGTCCTTGAAGAGAGCAAATGTGGTAAAGTGAATGAAATCTATGGAGGAAAGTGCAGATCATGCAAATCAGGAGTTACCAAACTACAGCCTGTGGCCCACGTTTGACCCACCAGCTGTTTCTATATGGCTTCTGAGTTCAAAGAGTTTTTTCAATTTTAAATGTTTGGGATAAAATATAAAAAGTAAAACAATACTTTGTGACATATGGAAACTGCATGAAATTCAAATTTCAGCATTTATAAAGTTGTATCAGAATACAGCATGTTCCCTCGTTTTTGCATTATTTACAGCTGTTTTCACGCTACAAGAACAAAGTTGTTTGTTGCTATAGAACATATTTAATATCAAGCCTTTTACGGAACAAGTTTGCCAATTCCTGATATAGGCAATAACAAGTATTTTAGATTTTATACTGAGGGGATGGGAAGCCACTGGGTGTTTTAGAGCACAGGATTGATGTGATTTGACTTACTATTTTTTAATCTAAAAAGTTAATGGAGTCAATGATTTGCAGATGGGACTTTTCTCCACAGAGAGCCTTTGTATTATGTAGGATCTTTAATTTTATAAATGACAGATAATTTAGCTCAAAGTGGTCTAAACTGGAATTTCTCAGCCTCAGCACTATTGACATTCATTTTAGGCCAAGTAATTCTTTGTTGTCTGGGCCTGTCCTGGGCACTGCAGGAATTTTACCTGCATCCCTGATCATTACCCACTAGATACAAATAACAACTCCTTCACTGACCCCCACTCACATCCTCAGTTGTGAAAGTAAAAAATGTCTCCAAGGATGTCCCAATATTCCCTGGAGGACAAAATTACCTGCAATTGAGATCTACTAGATTAAACCAAAATTAATCTGTTACTTCATATTATTTAAAAGGTTGGTTGGCTACAGGGCTCAAATGCTGTTTTTTGATGCATCTCTTTGGACTCCATCCTCTGTTGTGTCTCCATTGTCAGACTTCCAGTTGCTCTGGGCTTACATTATCACAATGACCAATACAAAAAAATACAGAAGACTTCTCTTTCCCAAAAATCCCACAGATGACTTACCACATCTCATTGGCTCTGATTGGCTATGGGTCACTCCTAAGACAATCTTTTATTGGTTTATTCCAATCAGGGGGCTCTTGGAGCTGGGACCATTTGACTGAGAGAAGGGAAAGGTTGCATTTTTTATTCCAAAGGAAACTTAGAGTAGAACTGTCGGGAAAAGGAAGTAATGGATTTTATGAAAGCAAACAAAATACTTTTCACTATTGACCTGACGTGGAGATCTATTTGTATCGTGTTTAAGAGTACCTTGCCATGGTGATGATAGTTAAAATACTGTAGTGTATATGTGAAATTTGTTAAGAAGATAGATCTTTAAATCTTCTCAACAGACACATACAACACATATAGATACACACACAAAATAGCAACTATGTAGAGGTAATGGATACGTCAATTAACTTGATTATGGTAATTACTTCATAATGTATATGATATCAAAGCATCACATCATACAAGTTAAACATATACACATTTTATATTTCAATTATATATCAATACAGTTGTTTTAAAAAGAGGTACTTTCTAGGGAAAGCCTAGGGATAGTTGTAGAGAGGGAGTTAATATACTCTGTGATTTTGAATGCTTGTAAATGAAGATCATTACCCATCAGCACTCAATGACATTGTATGATGCCTACAGCTCAAATCAATGAAGTCCCACAAGGAAAAACAACAAAAAAGTGCCTATGCACAGCTAAGCTATAGAATGTTGGGGGAGACAAATGCATAAATACATATGGTTAACCATATAACTTGTTCAGATCAGAACGTTTTTGGGTATAAAAGTGCTATAGTTTGGATATGACTTGTTTGATCCCTCCAAATCTTGTTGAAATTTGACTCTCCATGTTGGAGTTGACAGCCTAATGAGAGGTGTTTGAGTCACGGAGGCAAATCCCTCATGAATGGCTTTGTGTAGTGCTCAAAGTAATGAGTGATTTCTTACTCTATTAGTTCCCACAAGAACTGATTGTTAAATAGAGCCTGATACCTTTCCCCCTTCTCTCTCTCACTCCATGTGATTCACCTTCAGCTATGAGGAAGAGCAGCTGAGGGCCTCACCAGAGGCAGATGGTAGCACCACACTTCTTGTACAACCTGCAGAACTGTGAGTCAAATAAACTTTTTTTCTTTATAAATTATCCATCCTCAAGTGTTCCTTTATAGCAACACAAAAATAGACTAAGACAGAAAGGTTATGCTATTGATAATCACTGTAGGAAAACATGCAAACCAAGATGTGTGACCACCTTACGTATCACCCATTGTATTATTTCATTTTCACGCTACTGATAAAGACACATCTGAAACTGGGAACAAAAAAATTTAATTGGACTTACAGTTGTATATGGCTGGGGAGGCCTCAGAATCATGGCAGGAGGTGAAAGGCACATCTTACATGGTGGCAGCAAGAGAAAAATGAGGAAGAAGCAAAAGCAGTAACCCTTGATAAACCCATCAGATCTCATGAGACTTATTCACTATCATGAGAATAGCATGGGAAAGACTGGCCCCCATGATTCAATTACCTCCCCCGGGGTCCCTCCCATAACGTGGGAATTCTGGGAGATACAATTCAAGTATTCATGTATGGAGACACAGCCAAACCATATCACTCTGCCTCTGTCCCCTCCAAATCTCTTGTCCTCACATTTCAAAACCAATCATGCCTTCCCAACAGTCCCCCAAACTCTTAACTCATTTCAGCATTAACCCAAAAGTCCACAGTCCAAAGTCTTATCTGAGGCAAGGCAAGTCCCTTCTACCTATGAGCCTGTGAAATAAAAAGCAAGTTAATTACTTCCTGGAAACAATGCGGGTACAGGCTTTGGGTAAATACAGCCATTCCAAATGAGAGAAATTGGCCAAAACAAAGGGGCTACTGGCCCCATGCAAGTCTGAAATCCAGCAGGACAGTCAAATCTTAAAGCTCCAAAATGATCTCCTTTGACTCTATGTCTTGCATCTGGGTCATGCTGATGCCAGAGGTGGGTTCCCATGGCCCTGGGTAGCTCTGCCTCTGTGGCATTGCAGGGTACAGCCTCCCTCCTAGCTGCTTTCATGGGCTGGTGTTGAATGCAGCTTTTCCAGGCACACAGTGCAAGCTGTCAGTGGATCTAACATTCTGGGGTCTGGAGGATGGTGGCCCTCTTCTCACAGCTCCACTAGGTGGTGCCCCAGTAGGGACTCTGTGTGGGTGCACTGACCCCACATTTCCCTTCTGCACTACCCTAGCACAAGTTTTCCCTGGAAGCCCCGCCCCTGCAGCAAACTTCTGTGTGCATCCAGGCATTTTCCATAAATCCTCTGAAATCTAGGTGGATATTCCCCTCAATTATTCTTGACTTCTGTGCACCCGAAGGCCTGAACACAGCACAGGGACCCTAGGCCTGGCCCATGAAACCATTTTTTCCTCCTAGGCTCTGGGCCTGTTATTGCAGGGGTTGCCATGAAGACTTCTGTCATGCCCTGGAGACATTTTCCCCATCGTCTTGGGGATTAACATTTGGCTCCTCATTACTTACACACATTTCTGCAACTGGCTTGAATTTCTCCTGAGAAAATGAGATTTTCTTTTCTATTGCATTGTCAGGCTGTAAATTTTTTTGAACTTTTATGCTGCTCTGTTTCCCTTATGAAACTGAATGCCTTCAACAGCACCCAAGTCATATAGATTACTTTGCTGCTTAGAAATTTCTTCTGCCAGATATCCTAAATCATCTCTCTCAAGTTCAAAGTTCCACAGATCTCTACACCAGGGGTGAAATGTTCCCAGTCTCTTTGCTAAAACATAACGAGAGTCACCTTTCCTCCACTTCCCAAGTTCCTCATCTCCATCTGAGACCACCTCAGCCTGGACCTTATTGTTCATATCACTATCAGCATTTTTGTGAAAGACATTCAACAAGCCTCTAGGAAGTTCCAAACTTTTCCACATTTTCCTGTCTCCTTCTGAGCCCTCCAAACTGCTCCAACCTCTGCCTGTTACCCAGTTCCAAAGTCGCTTCCATATTTTTGGGTATCTTCTCAACAATGTCTGACTCTACTAGTACCAATTTACTGAATTAGTCTGTTTTCATGCTGCTGACAAAGACATACCAGAGGCTGGACAATTTATACAAGAAAGAGGTGTAGTGAACCTCTTTCACTTGGCCAGGGAAGCCTCACAATCATGGTGGAAGGCAAGGAGGAGCAAATCACATCTTACATGGATTGCAGCAGGCAAAGAGAGCACTTGTGCAGGGAAACTCTGCCTTATAAAATCGTCAGATCTCATGAGACTTATTCACTATCACAAGAATAGCATTGGAAAGACCAGCCCCCATGATTTAATTACGTCCCCCTGGGTTCCTCCCACAACATGTGGGAATTCTGGGAGATAAAATTCAAGTGGATATATGAACGGGGACACAGTCAAACTATATCACCCATCTTGTTTAGCATCTGATGCTTCAGAGTTGTTCCTTTTAGTTCTATATTTCCTATTTCTACATATTTCTATAAATATTCCTATAAATATAGTCCTATAAAATCGTAGGTGTCTAAAAGATTAATACAAAGTTACTGAAAGAAACCAATATAAATATAATTATTGTCCTGTGATTTAAAAAAGATAAAATAAGAACCATGGAAATCCAATCTATGTATTATAAAATTATAACTTGTAGTTATGAGGTCACAGAGCCTATGGGGTCTTTGTAGAAACTTCTAAAGAAGCTGAGGAAGGACTTAGGTTTGAGAACTATGGAGAGAGAACACTAAGAATGTCATTAAACTGAGAACCACAAGTAAGTCCCAAATGTTCACATTGCACTCCTGGAGGCAAGGAGGTGACACTCAAGGAAAGCTTAAAAGATAACTTTAGAACCCTAACAAACAATCCTAGATTTATCCCCAGCTTGCCAACCAAAAGTTATTTAATTGTTATGTGCTGCTTTTAGCTGGACTCAATATGAAAATGTTTCTGGCATAAAATACACATTTTCTATAGATCAGAGCCTGTCCAAACTTTCAGCACCAGAAATCTTACTTGGTCTAGGCATTTGTGTTCTTTCTCCATTATGGCTTAAGCCTGAGCAGTTGTGCAGGATCTTGCAGCCTTGATAAGAAGGCTAGAGAAAAACTGGAGGTAAGGTCATAGAGATTGGGAATCCTTGCTGCAATTAAGAGGCAGTTACTTCTTTTGAAACATGCATTCAAGTTTCTTCCTGAGACATTTTTCTCAAGTGGCTCTCTGAGATAATATTTTACTGTTTACCTCTCTTTACCACATCAACTTTTCTTGTTCTTAATATATACCTTAATATGGACCTTAAGGACTGATGAAAATAGATCTTAAAATATAAGTTAATATAAATTATATTTTAATAAAATATAAATTAGGATTTAAGAGTGTATTAAATATAGGAAAAGTGTATTAAATATAGGAAAAGAACCAAGCTAAATAATAGCTACATTCAAGTTTTGTAAATCGGTAAGAGATTCCTGCACTATTTACATATGTCAAATGGGACTAAATGTTTAAATGGAATTCCTAAAACTCCTCAAGTTCTACCATCAATGATGAAATAGGAAGTCAGTTAAAATGAATACTACGTAAATAATTCTGAGTACACGTTGAGGCAGACACCTACTCTGGAAATGTAGGTATAATTTTGAAATACAAACTCTGAGCATGGCACCTGCACTTATATTACAGTAATTACAGAAAGGAACATTTAAACATAACTCATAATACCTAAGGAGTCTACTTGTTGATATTGTTGGGAAAAAGAGAAGAGAGGTTTTAGTCCAGAAACATTAATTGAAAGTAAAAATGCTACAACACCAGAAGTCATACAGAAATTAAAATATAAAATAAATATGAGTACCATAAGAAAACCTCAGGATAAGAGTTAAATAAAGTTCAAGAAAATGTAAAGGCATTTCGTTAGAAACTTCCAAGTCATTTGATATATAATTGTTTAAATGGATCTTTTTACTTGAGGAATGTAAGCTTAAGTGGAGACTGAATACTTTCAAAAAAACTGTGGTGGGTGCTGTTTAGATGACATGTACTCTGCTATATTTATTTCGTCTAGAAGCCAAAGAGCTTATTTGTAAATTCTGAAAAGACTGCAAAATTTTCATCTTGTTTTCCAACATTAAAATCTCAAGCACTCTTCATTGTGATTTTTTAAAAAAGATATATTCTGTAAGACTTCAGGCAGTCTAGAAAAATAGTTGGATAGATATTGATGATAGATATGATTTTACTGGCTGATATCTTTTTAAAATTTTATATAATGGATGGTACATTAAATTGAGAGATAGAGAAGACACTAGTGAAAATTATAGGGTATATAATTTTATGGGTAATTTTTTTGCAATACTTTTATAAAAATAATATTAAACAGGCATTATGTTGTGATCACAATAATTCTTATTTGTTTGCTTTATATAGCCTGTAAGTTGACTAGATGCTCTCCCAGTATTTTCTAGTTCTATAATTAAACCATCTCATTCAAAGTTTATTCTCAATTAAAAGTGAAATTTTCTACAGAGTATGGGAAAGTCTAAAAAAGGCATAAACTAGGACAGATCTCATTTTAAATTAACTGTACAAGCAAGCAGATATCCTCAAAGAGGAATGAAGTACTGATTCATGCTACAATATGGATACATCTTAAAAACATTGTGGTTAGTTAAAGAACAAAAGGATTACATATTAGATGATTCCATTTATATAAAAAGTACAAAATTAGCATACCTATATATACATACATTACAAAAAGTATATTACTGGTTGCCTTGAACTAGGAGGATGGAGAGAGGAGTACCTGTATTGGGTGTGAGTTTTCT
The DNA here is from genome assembly GCF_000001405.40 of Homo sapiens. Classification (NCBI taxonomy): domain Eukaryota; kingdom Metazoa; phylum Chordata; class Mammalia; order Primates; family Hominidae; genus Homo; species Homo sapiens. The sequence continues at coordinate 103,232,915 of NC_000001.11, read as the reverse complement.
TTTGTTGTTTTGTTTTGTTTTGTTTTGTTTGAGACTGAGTCTCACTCTGTTGCCCAGGCTGGAGTGCAGTGATGTAATCTCGGCTCACTGCAACCTCCGCCTCCCAGGTTCAAGTGATTCTCCTGCCTCAGCGTCCCAAGTAGCTGGGATTACAGGAGCCCACCACCATGCCCAGCTAATTTTTGTATTTTTAGTAGAGACGGAGTTTCCCCATGCTGGCCAGGCTGGTTTCGAACTCCTGACCTCAGGTGATCCTCCCATCTTGGACTCCCAAAGTGCTGGGATTTACAGGCATGAGCCACTGTGCCTGGCCAGTTTGCTTTTGAGGGTGACAAAAATGCTCTAAAATGAGGTTCTGATGATCCCCACAACTGTGAACATACTAAACACTATTAAATTGACCACTTTACATGGGCAAATTTTATGGTATGTAAAATATATCTCAGTTAAGCTTTAAAAAAAAGACAGCGACATCCTTGTATAAAACAAGCCTACAGCAAGACAAGATGAGCAGAATATAAGTATTATGAAAACAGGGATTTGCCTCTTTTTTACTGCTGAATTCTCTGTACCTAAAATCTATAACTAGCACCAGTTATATATTCAATAAATTTTTGTCTGAAGTCTTATATTAAGTTAAGAATAGAAAAGCAAAAATTTCAGCTTAAAATCATTTTCAAATTGTTATGTTTTTACTAACCCTTTTCTTCTCCATCTGTCAGCAGTGCAAGAGAAATAATCTTTCTTCTCATTCTTGTATACAAGGGCTATTGGTATCCTGTGGGCAGCAATCCAAACCTACAGCTGTTATTTTCAGCCAAGGTAGGGAATGTGCTAGCTGAAAGAAGACAGGGCCTGAAGACATCAGAAGCAATTCTGTGCTGGCTGGCCTATGAGGGAGGGTGTGCACAGATCTTGTTGTGAGGAACCCAACTGGAATACTGTCTTAGAGGCTTATACTAAGTCTGGAGAGTAAGATGTGCATGTCTACTTCCTGTCTTTGATTTATCTTTCTGTTTGTATGTTTTACCAGGTATGAAAAAAGAAATATATGCTTGTTTCCTGTCTGAAGTTGATCCCTCTGTTTGCAGCATAAGGGCTTTCTTTGAGTGGTTTGCCAGTAAGGTAGGTCTAAGAAGCTGGATCCTATCTCAAAAGACCTTAATCCCATGGCTCTCAGGACATTCTCTCATCAAGAAATTCTATTCCTATTATTGCAGATGCTAATTCGCTAGCAAGTCTGGTTACATTTTTTGGACACAGAATCTTTAGGTGTTTTTTGTTACTGTGGTTGTTTTGTTGCTTGATTCTCTTTTGATTTGTTTTTATTTATTTACTTATTTTTCTCTTATGTTTATTTTTGCAGACTATATGAACTGGACTTTCCAGATATAGATTCCTGTTTGGCTCAGGGGTGGATCCTCACGCTCTTCTTGTCTCAGAAGGTTTCCCCATTCCAATAAAGTAGATTATTAGCTACTTTCTATTTTCCCTACACAAAATCAGCATGGATATCCAAAACTGATGAAGATAGGTAGCTGCGCAATTAATATTCTTTATCAGTAATCAAGATCTGAGTTTGTTTAATAATTACGAACATATAATTTATGGGGCTACCCTAATATTTAACAAAGCTTTAAAGATACGTTCACTAAACAAAAAGCTAAATTAGAAAAAGAACAATGATGAATTGATATAATACTTCAACAATCCAGAGTTGTACACAGATAGTTCTATGAAGCACCATGGTATAATTGGAATTTAAGGTGACCAAAGTAACTAAATAGTTACATATTGGATATTGCTTTTGAAAAGGAAAGTAAAAGTTATGGTTTGACAAATATAATTTTGGAATACAAGAATACAAGAATTGTAATTAAATAACTTTGTCAATAATTTTGCTTCTATAAATGAATGTTACTAAAATTATGTGTGAATGAAAAAATATATAAAAGACTTTACATAAAAATAAAATATATAATACTTAATATTATATTTATAAATGATTAAAAATAGTTTCTTGCATTGTATAGCAAAAATAATTTTTGTTTTAGGCAAGTTTACTCAAATTGATTCTGGTTAAGTTGCTTGTTTTATGGGACTGCTAATTTAAGTATCTCAAAGCATTAAGTACCTTAGAATATTCATTTCTGTACTTTAGTATTTTACCCCAAAAAATATACTCTCCTAAAAGGGAAATACATTTTTCTAATTTGTATAAAATACAATTAAACACTTTTGCAAAAAATACATATATATAGTATATATATACATATATATGTATGTACATATATACATATATGTACATACATGGGTACATATATATGTATGTATGTACATATATATGTATGTATGTACGTATGTATGTACATATATATGTATGTATGTACATATATATGTATGTATGTACATATATGTACATATATGTGTGTATATATATATTAAACCCAAGTGAATGAGAAATCTGTTAGATTTACTATTCTCACTATAGAGTATAAGTTCAATGGAGAGCTTGATGACAACAGAAACTTATAAATAAACCACCGGGTGTTCTTTTTATGACAACTTTCTATGGATCTTTTTTCTGAAAAGTGTGGTTGACAGAATTTCGTGTGTATATGCATCATATCCTGTGTTCTGTTGCCCCAACTACAGTTTTGCGGCAAACGTTACCCTGTCATCAGAGTATTGAGCCATCAATAACTTGGTCTTATGTTTTGGTTAACTACATCACAATGACCACATTGATGAAAAATTTAAAACATAACCCTCATTATTTAAATATAATGGTAGAAGTTGAATGTGTTATAGTAGAAAAACTCAGGATGTTCAGGCAGTGATTAATGATGATGAGTTAATAAATAAATACTAGTTTTACAGTATCAAAAATGGAGAAATATTTTAAGTAGCTCATATTTTAAGGTCCCTTTAAACACCAGAATTTAAATGCTTGGGTTTAGAACATAATTCCTATTGTATGGGGGTGTCATAAGGTGAAATATTTATCAGTTTTAGGTTGAGGGAAACCTAAGTTTTAATTCTGACGCTGCTACATATTGGCGTCATTTCTTGACTCTACGTATATACTTAATTTTATTGAGATAAGTCAACAAAATAATATATGTAAAGTGCCTGATATGTTCTAGACACACAACAATAAGCATTCTTATTTAGTTGTTTGTTGTAGTTATTTGATAAGACCAGATCTATAAACCACTGTTATTAAGATCTGAAGCAATCTTTGTAGGTAAATAATTTCGAAAATGATGTTCCTCTATTTTAAATGCCTGTCTACCTCCTTTTGTATTTTAAAATGAGTAAAATAAACTAATCAATAAAACAATTATTCATTTGAAATTTCTTTTTTAAAGATATTAAATATTTGTTAAGCATGTGAATACCTCCTGAAATTGCCATTTGTTTTGTAACGAACTCTCCACTAAGACTATTTTCATCAAGAAGTATAAAAAATTTTTAACTCACTTTCCATTATCTCTATGTGTTGGTGTGCATTTTATGTGAAATATTAATATTCACAAACCATAATCAGCAGGAAATTTAATTTCCTAACCCAAGTAAGGATAAAATGCAAGTTGTAGATTATCCCACTCTCTAATCACTGAAATTTGAAATCTTTCAGAACATTGCATATAACTGAAGTACCTCCACCGATTCAATCGGAACTTTTCCAATTGACCTAAGAGGTACTACATAAAATAGAAAGGACCTCAGCATCTTTGTGCCTTAGTTTAGTTAGGCGTGGGGGGCATGGCTGCAGAGCTGCTGTGTTAAGGAAGTTTCCAAATTTGTTCTATCATTTCACAAGTGTGTGAAAAAAAAGTGTCATACAAATAATTTTTAAATTAAACTGATCTCTTGTATGCCAGAATAAATCTATGATGAGTTTTATATTGGTTCGGCCCTGAGCAATTGTTTAACCTAATTCCATTTAGTATCCTGGGAGAGGATAGGGTGGAAGAGACAGAAGCTAACTTCTCTGCCAGGAGTACTGAAAAAGTACTCCACCCACCAGGGCTTATACACAGCGTGTGGGCTATATGATTGTGTCAGTGCTGCCTTTGATAAGGAGCCATATATCCTAACTACAAATATCCACAGGAAAATAATGTGGCCTTAATAATTGAAAGAAATTTGAGTTAAAAAGATCACATAATTTAATAGGTAGGAAAAACAGTAATTTAACTGAAAAAAAAGTGTTACTTTTCACCCACATATTCTTGTGGAGCATGAAGTTCTGTAAGCAATATGGCCCACAGACCAGCAGCAGTATCTGGAAGTTTCATAGCAATTCAGAATCTTGGATCCTATCTCAGATCTACTGAGATTCAGGTTTGTGTTTTAACATGATGCTCAGGTGTACTGTATGCTCCCCAAAGTTTGAGAAATACTGAGCTCAAGAATCTGGTAGTTACTATGGGTACAAGAATCTAGACTGCAATAGTCAACAGCATCCACCCAATCCAGACTGTAATGAACCTGAAGTGATTTATTCACTGTTTACTTTGTCTTATTTCCTTGCATATTGAGATAATATTTACTAACTGCTAAGTAAACAAATCTAAGCCTATATTTCAATGAATTTTTATGTATAAACAATATCATTGTTCTTTCTCTTCCACATCCATTTTACTGAATGTCTATCTTTTTGGTACTCTCACATTCTGAGAGGGAAATCATATGATCTTGAAGAATGCTACTTTCCTTGGAATTTTAATTTTCAACCTCACTTGGACTTCTAACATTGCAAAGCAATTCTTGCCTTTGGCCTTATTCAGCTTAAACTTCCATTTTCTCAAAAGATATTTCCAACCTTTGTCATCATCCTTCAGGACTCTTCATTTCTGTTATATTTTTGCTTTCAGTGGATGACCTTTTCCCTTACCTCACCAAGAAAATTGAGGCAATCCAGAGAGAAATTTCTTACCTCCTACTTCCTCCCTTATTTGTCCTCAAGATTTAGAAACAGTCCCCACATCCATCCTTTCTTACTTGCCTCCTCCTTCTGCCTAAAGCATTGTCTTATCTCCTTCTTTTTACTTGGCTTCATCAGTTTCTTTCTTTCTTCCCCTTAATCATTCTATTAATTTACTCTTCTCATTATACATTTATATTTATAAATTATATATAGTATAAATATGTTAAATATTTCATGCATACATAATAAATATATATTAATGTAAATATATGCCATATATAAATACATCTATATATAAATATACATCATATATTCAAATATATATAATATAAATATATGTCATATATTTATATATATAATTGAGCCCCCAATTGAAAGAAAAATACCCAAAGATTTCCCTTGATTCTGTGCTGCTCTCTAGTTTCTACACCACCTTTCTCTTTAATCTCATTGTCACGCTTCTTGAGCTTCTTGATTCATCTCATTGGTTCAACATCTGCAACTTTCACATACTCTTCCTCAACTGTAGGTGTGCTTTTCCCACTCCTCTATTGAAACAATGTCTGCAGATATCATTTGTTGCATTTGCCAAATTCAGTATACACGTTTTTTCCTCATTTAATTTCAAATTGAGTTTTCTGAAGCAATTTCTTCACTTGCCCAGAGTTTAGTCTGCTTCTCACACTCTAAAACTAAGCTGTGCTTTCTCCATCTGTGCAAGACATGGTGAGAACATTGTATAGTTTATAAATGCAAGTGCATATTACATTGTTTTATAGCAGTTGTGTATAGTTTGTTTTTTCATTAACTTACAGAATGCAGTCAAAATGTTTTTCAGTCTTACTTACAATAGATTTTTTTTCTCTCATGCCATCATCAATTTGCTTTGGTTTATTAATATTTAACTTATGAAGACAGTGAAATGATTATTTGTAAATGACTATGCCAATACTATGGAATGAAATCTATATGTAGTTTGCTATTAAGAAAACAACTACCTAATTTAAAATGTTCTATATATGGTAAGGTTCTGATACTGATTTCCCATTTTTTAATCTTCCTACCTAAGAAAGTTTTCAAAATCTTTAGTCAAATATTGCAATACAATTGCCTCTCTTCTTGTATCACTTTGTGTTTTGTTTTGTTTTTCAGATTCTCTTCTATGTGTCCTGTATGTCCTTATCACAATTATCTATAAGGGTATGGTTACTTCCTTCTAGTAGGGCCACCATTCCTAACTGAACATTTTAGTACATATGTGTACTTGTTTAAAATTATTTTTAATGAGGCATTTTATTTAAAAGCAACAAACTCATCTTGGGAAACAAGGAGGTAAGAGTAGTCCCTGAGTATGTAATACTCCCTAAATTGGACTTACAAAACAGATATTAATTAACTTTAAAATATTGAAAAAAAAAAGATAGGAAAAAATATGCCATGCACACTGACCAAAATAAAGTTGCTCTAATTTTTTAGAAAGCTCAATGTGACCATTGGCAGTAATGGAGCAGTTCATAATAATGAAAATATCAATTTTCTATAATGGCATAACAATATAAACATTCATACACCTAATTATGGCTTCAGTATATGTGAAAAAAATAGGGCTAAAAGGAGAAATAGATAAATATACAATTAGTATTAGAAATTTTAAACATTTTTATGTAACTGGTAAATCATGTGGGCACAAAATCAGTAAGGATATTGAGGATTTAAATAACACTGAGATAACAATTTGACTATATTTTAGACTGTTTCAAATATATTATAATTGCTTGCATTCTTTTTGAGTATACATAGAATATATATGTATTGAAGTCAATGATATGCTGCACCATAAAGTAAGTAGCAATACATATCAAAGCACTAATATTATAGAGAATACCTTCTTTAACAAGTGTTCAATTAACCTAACATCTTAGTCTATTTTTTTGTTTCTGTAAAGGAATAGCTGAGTCTGAGAAATTTATAAAGAAAAGAGGTTTCTTTGGCTCATTGTTCTGCAGGCTGTATAAGAAGCATTATCCTGTCATCTGCTTCTGGTGAGGGCCTCTGGCTGCTTCCAGTCATGGAGGAAGGCAAAGCAGAACTGCCATTTGCAGAGATTACATGACAAAAGAAGAAGCAAGAAGGTGGGGGAGGTGCCAGGCCTTTTTTTTTTTTTTTTGGTTTTGAACAACCAGCTCTTGCACTAACTAATAGAGCAAGAATTCACTGCCCAGGGAGGGCATTAATCTATTCATAAAGAGTTTGTTCCCGTGACTCAAACACCTCCCTCAGGCCTCTATCTCCAATATTGGGGTTCAAATTTCAAAAGAAGATTTTGGGGAACAAACATCCAAACCATAGCATTCTTCCCCTGACCCTCCAAAGCTTATGTCTTTCTCACATACAAAACATAATCATTCCATCCTTATAGATCTCAAAAGTCTAAACTTGTTCCAGCATCAGCTCAAAAGTCCAAAGTCCAAAGTCTCATCTGAAACTCAAGGTATAATACATTTCTTCTAGCTATGACTCTGTAAAATCAAAATCTTAGATATTTTTTACTTCTAAGATACAATGGTTGTATAATCATTAGGTACACATTCCTTTCCTAAAAGGGAGAACTTTTCCAAAAGAAAGGGGTAACAGGCCCCACACAAGTCTAAAAACCAGCAGGGCAGACATTCACTCTTAAAGTTTTAGAATGATTCCCTTTGACTTCATGTCCCACATCCTAGTCACACTGGTTGGAGGGGTAGGCTCCTAAGGCCTAGGGATGTCATGGCCTCATGGCTTTGCTGGGTGCAGACCACATATTGCTCTCATAAGTTGAAGCTGAATGCTTCTGGCTTCTCTAGCCTGAAGGTGCATGTTGCCAGTGACTGTATCATTCTGAATCTGGAGGTCAATGGCCCTGCTACCACAGTTCTCCTAGGCACTGCCCTACTAGAAGCTCTCTGCTTGTAGCTCTGCCTTTGCTGTAGACTTCTCCATGGGTTCCCAGGATTTCTGATACATCCTCTAAAATTTAGTTGAAAGCCAATAAGTCCACTCCACTCTTCCATTCTAAATGCCTACAAACTTAACACCACATGGAAGCTGCAAAGATTTGCCACTTGCTCTCTCCAGATTGGTGGTCCAAGCAGTATATGGAACTTGATGAGCCCCTGCTGGAGCCAGAGTGGCTAAGATGTGGTGAATAGCATCCTGAGGTAGAAAGGGGCACCAATTGTCCTCTTAGGCCTCTGGGACTGTGAAGGGAGGGTTTGCATTTGAGATTTCCGAAATGCCTTTGGTGTCTATTTCCCACTGTTATGAGTATTTGCATATGGCTCCCTTTGAGTCACAGAAATCTCTTTAGCAAGGGGTTGTTCTATAGCACCTTTAGATTCCCCTCCTGGAAATACTCTTTCCTTGTCTACCAGCCAGGCTGTGAATTTTCCAAATTTTTATGCTGGGCTTCCCTTTAATTGTAATTTCCATCTTTAGGTCACTCTTTTGCTGCTATATCTGATCATAAGTTATTAAAAGCAGACACACCACTTCTTAATGCTTTACTAATTAGAAATTTCTTCTGCCCAGATTCCCTTAGGTCATCACTCCTAGGTTTGGCTTTCTACCAAGCCCTAGGGAATGGACACAATGGAGCCAAATTCTTTGCTAAAGCATAACACAGGTGATCTTTGCCTCCATTCCCAATAAGATCCTCTTTTCCATCCGAAACCTTGTTAGCATGGCCCTTAATATCTAATTTCCTATCAGCATGTTGGTTACAACCACTTAACAAATATCTAAGAAATTCTAAACTTTTCCTAGTGTTTTTGACTTCTTTTGAGCTCTCCAAACTCTTCCAACCTCTGCCCATTATCCAGTTCCAGAACTGCTTCCACATTTTCAGGTATCCTTGTAGTGACACCACACTCTTCAGTAACAATTGTTTAAGTCTATTTTGTATTGCTATAAAGGAATAACTGAGTCTGAGTAAATTATAAAGAAAAGAGATTTATTTCGCTCATGATTCTGCAGATTGTACAAGAAGCACGGAGCCAGCATCTGCTTCCGATGAGAGCTTCAGGCTGCTTCCACTCATGGAAGAAGATGAAGTGGAACAATCGTGTGCAAAAATCACATAGTAAGAGAAGCAGTAAGAGAGAGAAGGAAGGTGCCAGACTCTTTTAACAACCAGCTGTTGTGGGAATAAATAGAGAACTCACTCACCCATCCCCGTCTGCCTCTCAAGAAGGAAATTAATCTATTCATGAGGTGTCTACCCCCAAACCAAAATACCTCACATTAGGTCCCCATCTCCAACATTGTGACCATATTTTAACGTGAGATTTTTTGGGACAAATATCCAGACTATAGCACTTAATACATATTAGAAACCCCTGACAAAACAAAGGCATAAATAATCAAAATAAATGAGAAATTATCATCATTGCAAATCTTGTTAGCATTACATAGATAATGAAAGCATATTATGAAGCATATTTGAATGAATGGAATGATTTTGAAAATTTATATGAAGTTAACAATTGTCTACAAAATGCAAACTTTACTGTAAGGGACTTGAGTAAAATAGTGTGTCTATTAAATCCATCAAAGCAATATAATTCTAATTAAAAACCTTCATAACAAAAATCTTCAGTCTCAGATGGCATCACTGGTAAATTTTTCAAACACTGAAATAATGCGTAACTTAATTTACCTAAAATCTCCTAGGAAGGAAGGAAGGAAGGAAGGAAGGAGGGAGAAGAAGAAGAAGAAGAAGAAGGAGAAGAAGGAGAAGAAGAAGAGGAAGGAGAAGAAGAAGAAGAAACAGCAAACACTTTTTAACAAATTTTAATAAGTCAACATTATCTTGGTACTAAACTTCATATAAATATTACAAAACTGAGTAACTCATCTCTCTGATACAGACACAAAAATCTTAAGCAAAATGTTAACAAATGAAATTCAATACTGTTAAAATGATAATGTATTATAAAAATGTACAGCTTATTATAATAACGTAATGTTGAATTAACATTTTAAAAGTCAATCACTTTATCACATTAATAAAGAAAAATATATGAGTATCTTAACAGAGGTAGAAAAATCATTTGAACATAATTCACTTTTTTGGTCTAACGACTCTTAATAATCTAGGACTAGAAAGGAATATCTTATTCTGAAAACGGAATTTACCAAAATTATATTTAATGTTTAGACATTGAATCATATCTTTAAAATCAGAAAATATATAGAAATATTGGCTGCTACCACTTTTATTCAGCCTTGAAATGGAGGTCCTAAAAAGTGCACTTAGGCAGGATAAAGAAAAAAAAAGTATAAGTATAGGACAAAAAACTCTAATATTGGTTTTTAGAAAATGACTTGCTTGTGTTATTTAAAATTCAAAAAGTTATTTAGATAAAGTATTAGAATTAATATCTGAAACTACAGAAATCACTAAATTGTATAACTCTATACAAAATTAATCATATTTCCATTTAGTGAGACAAGCCATTTGGAAAACAAATTTTTAAAATATAATTAATTTACAATAGATTCAGGAAAAAAATACACAAAAATAACTCTAAGAAAAAATATGTAAGACTTCTATACCAAAAAACTTTGTAACATTTTTGAGATAAATTTAAAAACTCAACAAGATCAACATTTAACCTGCCAATAGCCTAGTTTTATGATAATGTAAATCCTACAAAAATTGATCTAAAGATTCAATACGATACTCATCAAAATTCCACCAAGCTGTTTGTCAAAAATTGAGGTGATTCTGAAATGAATATTCAAATGCAAAGAAATCTTACAGAACAAAATTAGAATTCTTATAGTTACAGATACAAGATTTATTACAATACTCTAAAAATTATGACATTGTGGTATATACTAATATACAAATAGAATAGAACAGAAAGGATAGAAACACACATACAACAGAATTTGATTTAAGATAAGAGTGGCACTGAAAAGCAATGTAGACATGTTGGGTTTTTAATTCAAAAAGTGATCCTGAGTTAACTAAATGTATATACAGAATAAAATGAATCTTTACCTCTCCTATACACAGAATCAATTGTTGGTAGAATGTGAGAGAATATCTTTAATATTTCGGTAAGCAAAGATTTCTTCGATAAAAATACAAAAGCTCTAACCTTAAAATATATTTCAAACATTTTGGCAAAATAAAATGATAGAGTTTTGTTAATCAACAGCTCACCACAAGATATAAATTTTCTGCAGTATATATGATCAGCAGAGAACTTGTATCCATTACCTAAAGAGCTACCCCCAAATAGAAACATACATATAATGAATCCAATTAAAATTAGGCAAATAAATGAACAAGCACTTTATAAATGAAGCTACCCAAAAGGCCAATAAACATATGAGTGATCAACCTCATAAGTCATCAAGGAAATGCAAATGAAAATCACAATCATTAAAATGAAAAAGATTGAAAAGTCTAACGTTGCCAAAGATGTGGCATGTCCTGGACATCATACAGTACTCAGGATGTAAATCGTTACACCCACCATTTTGGAAACATTTTCCAATAAGATAGCATATGACTCAGCAATTCATTCACAAGTATATACCCAATATAAATTCTTACATATATTCACAAAAAAACCAATAATGTGTTTCTCAAATGTGGATGAAACATAAATTTGTGGTTTCTGATACATAATCAATGTGAAAATATTGTCCATTAGAATTTGCATATTAATTTATTTTGAAAAGTCACGCTGAACTAGAAAAATATATCTGTAAGTATAGCAAAGGGAGAAAGGGCTTCAGCTAGGCAACAAATGCCATTAAAGATCAGAAAGTGCATATTGGCATCTATAGTTCCCCCTTGCCTAATATTTTTCATTCCCACCTCTGAAGTGCTATTAAACAAGCCTAATCCTAGACCTTTAATAAGGATCACTGACCAGCAGGACAAATGCCAAGAAAACATGCTAATGGCTCTTTAAATACAAGTCTATTTAAGGCACTATTTAACAGATTAGTCAAACTGATTTCTTGGCAGTTCCCACATTATTATGACTGAGACTGTGCCTCTGGAAACACTCTGTGTTATAACCTTTCAGAGAAACACATCCTTTACCCAGGCCTCAAAGAATTCCCACAAAGATCCAAGGAATGTGAGCTCCCAACTAAAAAATAAATCACAAAACCTTCTGCATGGAGAACTTGGTTTTGCAGAAATTGCTACTGCAACCACTAGAAAGACAGAGAGAGAGAGAGAGAGATAGACTGTTCCATGGTCCAAAGTTAAGCCTAAATTGAGTGCTTCTGATTCGTGAAGCTTGGGTCACATGGCTATTCCCTAGCTAGGAAAGCCAGAATTTTTAGCTTTTCTAAAGGGAGATGATCTTTTACCTCTACCAAGATTTATAAGGTAAAGAATTACCAAACATTAAAACGGGAGCTCAGTTGACGGTCACCAAAATATTGTAATTGTCTAATAAAAATGTAATATTCCTTCTGAATCTCAATTCTACCCCCGGTTTATTGCTTTACCACATACAGAGTGCCTGAAAAGTCATTACCACACCTTATAATACAGGACTAATTTGACACGTCATAAAGTTCTCAGAATGCTCTGGTACACTCCTGTTTTTTGTTTTCCTCCCTTTCTTCTTCCTTCCTTCCTCCATCCATCTCTTTTTTCCTTCCTTTCTTTCTTTTTGAATTATTCTCTTCTCCATCATTTTTACCCAAATGGTATAAAAATGATGTATAAAATATTGTATTGATTAGTAACTAAGTAGCCTTTAAAAATTTAATTTGGTCTGACTCTTACATATTTAATGGACTACTGTGTAATTGCTGACAATAAATTTGCAGAATATAAGCTGATCAAATTTAACACATACAAAACAAAACCAATCAGGGGAACACTTTTTTTGTTAAGAGGGAATTGTCATAACAAAAATTTGAAATTGTTTTAGATATTGATTTAAAACACCCAAGATGTGCCTATTCAGTTTGGCTCCAGCTAATACGCTGTGTCTGTATGAGTATGTTTGAAATTCCAGCTAATACGCTGTGTCTGTATGAGTATGTTTGAAATTCCAGCTAATACGCTGTGTCTGTATGAGTATGTTTGAAATTTCAAAAACTATGAAGGGTGTGACTTAAAACTGTAATTTTGTGTCCACCGAAAGATTCCTTGTCAGTTGACCATTCATGCACCACCTTTAATTTAATTAGTGTCATTTTGGTCTTGGGGATTTCCTGTGAAATTCAGCATTATTTGGTTTATTTTGCTTGTTTTGTTACGCTTTAGTAAATAACTTGAACTTTCCCAGGCTTGATTTAAAGTGTGAGATTGCCTGAGTTTGTGACATTGCTGAAGTGAGCTTTGGAACATTTATCTTTTACATTTTGTCTAATGCATAAAAATGTCAAAACCTCTCCTTTATAACTTGCTTTTTTATTGTTTCAAACCACCATGAACACCCATGGTTTCTACATAATTTCAGTATTAACACAGATGTAAAAGCAACACAAAGTGCTTGAAAAATCAGAAGCCAGACATTCTACTACTCCAGGACAAAATTTCACGTACACACCAATGTCCAGCTTTTATCTAATATTTCTAACCTTTTTTCTGCACCCATTTAGCTATTATAGGCACTACCAATGGCATAATTTGACAACAGGCATTTATTGAAAGCCTCAATCAGAAAAAATATAATTATACTCAATGAACATATGAATTCACTTCTTCTACTGCCATTAACTATATGGAAGTTCATTCAATTATGGTAAATTCAAACATATTCAACAACTGTCTTGTCTTAAAATTAAGTGATGGTTATCTATTTTAACTAGATTTTCATGAGATATTTATTTAGATGACATTTTCAATCTATTTTGTAATTTTGTTAATACCAGACTTGCCTGTATGGAATGCAAGATTAACAACATTCCTGAAAGCAGAGACGAAAGTTCTGGTTCATATGTTACTGTTATAAAAGCAGCAGATGTTACAAAGTTTCAGAACTTGCAATCCAGCTGATCATTTACCACTTCCTCATTCAATAATTCATTCATTAGTAGTTCTCATAATTGAGACCCACAAATATTCCTTTAGTCTAAGAAGAGATTATATGATATCATCTGTAAAAATATGATTGCTGTTTCCTGATTATAACAGACCAATATTGTGGGACCTCTCATTTTTTTACAACCCTGGGAACAAAGTATTATTTTTATTCTGACAGAAGAAAACAAGGTTCATGAGTTTTCAAGGCTCATCTTTTATTCTTTCAAAATAGCTCTTACTTGGGAAAAAAATCAAGAAGCAACAATTGAAAGGAGCATTGCATCAGGATGAAGAGACCATGGTGTTCTGCTGCTCCTTTGGCTAAGGATTATTTTCTGGTCCAGTTGGAGGCCCCAGAGAGTGAGCTATGGTAGACTCATTAAGAAGGATTATAGAAATCCAACTTGGAAAATGGGGTATAGCTTTACTGCCAGCTGGAGATGAAAGATATTTCTAGTTCTTACAGCAATCAAAGTTCAGAAACAGTAAAACAAACAAAAAATGTAGGACCAGTAGATTATTTTGCTCTGGAAACCAGTAGACAAAATTTCCTTTTACTGGAGAGGCTGCATTTTCTCGATAGTTTTGTAAATGGCTTTTCCCTAACAATTGTTAACATATCACTTTAGCCCAGGTAAAGCTTGATCCAGCTGAAGTCCATCCATATTTCTACACCTTTGGCTTGTTTGTTAGTAAGGACTTCCATCACCAAAAAGACACATATTCGGCTTAAAGGCTGTCTTCTCCATAGTCTTACACAATCTACCCTGGGCTTTGTTTTTATGTTTATTATGAAGCTTATTTTTTTAAGCTTTCATGTATTGTATGTCAATATTTGCTTTCTTATTTGAATTGTTTGCCACAACATACCTCTCTAGTTTATAAAATCCTTGAATATGAATACAATATCCAATCTTCTTTTATAATCAAATATTGCTTTTATACAGCACTCAGTAGAAGTTTATTGAATGAGTAAAGGTATATATGTATGCATGAAGAAATGAATGAGTGAATCTATTTAGATGTCTAGATTTTGTGCCAAGAGCGATTCGAAAACTCTACTTAAGGTAAATATTGATGTATCCACCCTGGTAGCATTTGATTACCACTTAAATGTATTTTTTCATACATGTTTAGTTTAACTCAAATTACTAACCAATGTGTGCCAGGAGAGTCACTATTTAATATTCTCATATAAATTACCAAAAAGGGTAAATTCAAATGCTGTCATAAGATTTAACAAGTTGATCTAGGTAGAACATTTAGAAGAGTGGCTGACACACAGCAAGTACTAGACAAGAGCTTGTAAAATAAAATTGATCACAGAATGATCTCTGAATGATCACAGAAGAGGTAATGTGTATAGATTCTGTGTACATAATTAAAAATGATAAAAGAAAGAAAGCATCTTACTTGACACATACCAGGTTTTCTATCATGCAAAAATAACAAATGTAAAATTTTAATTTATCTTCAATAAATCTACATTGAACTGAACTTTTTTTAATAGTGTAAAAATTTCAAATCTAGACTGGAAGCTTCTCCATTGATCTGAAATTCGATTTCCTCATTGATTATAGTAGTTGTTCAGTAAATGTTCAAAGGGAGTAACAATTAGGTCCTCCACTTATATTCTTATAAAAGATCACTTATCTTTTGACATCTGTTGAATTTCTAGCCAACTTTATATACCTCTTTGACCACTTCACCTTCTAAGCTTTCTCCTGTGCCAAAGCAGGTAATTCTTGGCTTTTAATAAGCTGCATAATTTAATTGTTTTGTTCCTTACTCATTTGTTATCCTTGTTGCCAGACCCAGTGTTGATCCAGTAGAAGAGCTAATCAAGCAGGATGCCTTTCCTCGAGCAGAGCTTCCGGGGCAATTTAAATCACATGGGGCAGGAAAGGAATCAGAATAGGATGCCCATCAAGAACAGAATTGCATCTAAGGATGATTGCAAAGGATCAGTAAAAAAGAAGTGCTGCAATGTTCAAGGAAAGGTAATTACAGCCCACAGAAAAGAAACAAATGATATGTAAAGAGCAGGACAGATGAAGGAGGAACATTTGAGGAAATGTAAGACAGAAGGAGGAAAAATAGTTTATTAGTTTGGTCATAACCAAACTGACTTTGCTGGAGTTGAAATAGGATGCTTTAACTACAATTAAATTCAACTAGGGTAGACTCTACTCAAACACATAGTGCTTTCAGGAAATAAAATACAGTTATTAAAACAAAAAATATTAGATAACCTCTATGTTGCAGATCTTGAATATATGTATACAAATGAATAAAAAGGAGGCTTCAGAGGCTTGCATTGTAGAGAGGAAGTAACAAATCCAAAAAAATTATACAAATGCAGGACACAATGAGAAGATACAGCAGGGATAATTAAACAACTACCAGAAGTTTGATCGATGAGGACTTACCTAGGGAAGAGACGCTCAGGATGATATCTAACTATCTTCTTCAGCTCAGTCTCAGCTAGGTCTCATAGCTACTTGGAAATACTTATATTCATCCCTAATTATATGCTTGCTGTATTCCCTATGGCAATTAATAAAAATGTTTCTCGCTCATCCTAAGGCTTTTATTTTCTCCTCACTCCTTTATCTTTGTGGAACTCTCTCCTCCCACAGTTCTGGGAGATGGAGATCTTCTAGCTTAGGCCCTCCAAATATTCTTTTTAATTTGATCACAATATTTATCTTCATTTCTTTCTCCTTTTAGCTCCCAGCTTCAGAAATGTTTGACATTCTTCATTTAATTTCCAAGGTGAAAGTTTCTGCATGAGTCTTCTTCTTTTCTGCATTAATTAGAACCTGGTTCTAGCAATTACCTAACCTTTCTCTTATATTTTCAATCTTTCTTCCTTGACTACTTTCCCTGTACCATTGACTGTGCTCAGGTCATCTCAATCTGACAAACATTGTTAAATGTAATAAACTTTTAATCTGTCTTTTGTGAGCTGACTTTTGAGGAAAGTAATCCATATTCGCTGCCTCTGTTTGTCCACTATCAACTCATGCAGCAAATGACTTGGTTTCTGGCATCTGCTTCTATCCATCCGATAGATCTATTCTCCAGAGGGTACCAATGATCTGCTAATTACCAATCCCGACATAGGTACCTGTTCTCAGTGTCAGGCCTTTACCTACAAGTTGTATTTAGTCCTGTGAACTAATTTATTTTGAGACTCACTTCATCTTGACTTGTACTGTCAAAGATTTCGTTTTTCCTATATATTTCTACTCAATATTTATCTCTTTCACTGTCTTAGAAGACCTTCAAGGTAGCAGCAAGCTGTAACTAATTACATGGCTCAGCATGCAACAGGGCTAGCCCGACTGTATTTATTTAATGTGATAAATACTTTGTAGTGCTTAACATGCAGTAGGCCATGTCCCAAGTATTTGTATTTGTCTCTTTGATTCCATCCCAGATATTACTACCATCACTCAAATGATGTCACATAAACACAGTTTCTCGAGTATGTGTTAAAATGGTAGCTGTTCTTTTCCCTCTAAAAGGTCAAGATCACTAAGTCCCTTTCTAGTGCTCCAGAGAGAGAAATGGAGAAAGAGACATATACTTGAGAGGTGTAAAAATGAGGCAAGTTTAGGAAGAACAGAGAAAAATAATATCTGCATTTTGCAGACACTGCAAATGGGAAGAAAGAGAAACCCTTCTGGTTTTTATATTTCCTACATCTCTATAAAAGTTAAAGCCTCTAAGATCACAGAATATGTAACTAAGTTCAATTAAGATTTATGTTTAAATATTTTGCAATTGCAGTCAAGAAAACTGAGAATTATATTTAACTGTTAAGCAATGTGTATACAGTTTATTCCATAATGCATTTTTATTCATTTTGTTTTTAGAGAAATATAAAATAAAGAATTATTTTAGATAAGAGCACTAGAAGTTAAAGTTCTGGCATTCAATGTGGGTAGAATAGATAAGCAATACCAACTACTGCTTTATTAAAGTTTCTTCCTATTTGCATCTATTACACATTTACAGATCTATTAGGCAATATAGTGCACCATGTAACTATTGCTAATTTCTGCTGACACTCTTCACAAATACAGGTGAACATATTATTATTAAAATATATCTCTTGATAGTTTCATTCTCTATAACAAACGGTACTAATTTTTGAAAAAAACTTCTAATTACCATATTATAATTTGATAGTATATTAATGAATTGAAAAAATACAGTAATGCACAGTATAACCTTTATTTAGTCCACAATAGGCTATATATATGATGGAGATCCCATAAGATTATAATACCTTTTCTATGTTTAGGTACAAACATAGGCAACTGTATCTTTTATACATTTAGATATATTTCGATATACAAATACTTACCATCGTGTTACTGTTGCCTACAGTATTCAGTATTGTAACATGCTGCACAGGTTTGTAGTCTGGAAACAATAGGCTACGTACCTAGGTTTGTAGTAGGCTATGCCATCCAGATTTGTGTAAGGGCACTCTTTGATGTTCACATAACAATGAAATCACCTAAAGCAATATTTCTCAGAATGTATCTTGTTGTTTGGGTAGCCATCACTGTAGCTGAATGTGGCCAAATATGTCCTCGAAATTGCCAAAGCATGAATGAGAAAAGCTCAACTTCAGTTCAACTAATACATACGAAATTAAGGAATAAATGTTGTAGGCTCAGATTAATATCTTTGAGAAGGAATGAAAGATTTTGTGGAGGGAGAATTCAGAAGAGAGAGAACTATGTAGTAAATGTTGTGTAAGGGCAATGGGGAAAGGGCGATTTGACAGTACTGCATCACAGCTGGAGCATGACTGAGGTGAAACATCGGAGAAACATGCTCAGCAAGCTCACATGCTAAAAGACACTTGGTGACATCTTTATTTGGATCAACTAAGAAGAATTTCACTGTACTAGTTCCAGTATATGTCATGTTTTCTGTTGATGTTGTGGTTGTTTGTTTTCTTTTTGTTTGTTTGGTTGTTACGATGTGCCAACAGATTGGCCTCTTCTATGAGTGAATACTCCTAGTTTCTCTGATTAACATTAGTTACTACTTATATTAAAGATTATGCATGATTTTAAATAATTTTCAGCCTTTCAGTAAAGGCAGCTATTATACAGGCAATGTAGAATTTTCTATGATAATGTAAACATTTATGAAGAGCAGGGCTTCCCTTGGGCCTATGAAGTATAAGAGAAACTCAAAAAGTCCGGTTGTTGTAGGTATATTCTCACTTATCTGGAGATACAGACTATAGTGGACACATTAGTTCCTTCCTTTCCCACCTTCAGACTCAGGAGGCCCCTAACGACACCACCTTCCTGATAAAAATGATAGGGAGAAAGGTTGTTGACATTTCTTGGAAATCTCATGGGATCATCTTTGTGGGTTTTTTCGTAACATGAAATGATTAGATGCTTTTCTCCCAAGTTTAGCTGACTGAGAATGATTTTTAAATAATCACCATAGTCAATGAAATATGACAACAACCAATAAGCATATGATGGCTAAATTGTAATATTGGTGGGTGGAAATTGTGTTTAAAAATCATAGTTATAACATTTTGTTTGAATTTCTGAGCATACATCAATCTGTTTCATTCATGTTAAAATTTGTTTCATGTTAAAAAATTAAAAAATTCTTACAGCTCTTATTAAGAGAAATGCTAAACAAATGTCACCTATTTTTGTATTTGTTTAATGGTTAAATAAATATGTTTGTTTTGACTCTGTTACAAGGACAAATGAGCAAAATCTGCTCCTGCGAAACTTGCAATGGACACACACTGGCTTCTCAAGAGTTTGATCACTGAACTCAATATGTGTTATATTTGACAAAAGTGAATTGTTAATTATATGTATAATAAGTAAGATAATGAATGAAAAAACAATATTTTAAAAATAGCTGTTCAGAATTACAGCAGCAAATACTTTGTTGGGCACAGCTAATTAGGGATGATTATCTTTGATGTATTCTTCATAGGTTTTATATATATATGTATGTGTATATATATATGTATATATGTATATAACTATCTAGTCTTATCTAATCTTCAACATTGATATTTTTTCCTTTGCTCTCACAGTCACAACTACCCATGTCTTTTCTATAAAAACCAGCCTCCTGTCTGTAAATGAGATTACATACTGCTAACATGGTTCTAACCATCTGTCCTAGACCAGTTCCCAGTCTTAATTCCTCCTGGTCAGCACTATCTAGCAACTGATCAACTTTTCTGAAAATTAACCAACATTTATTTTTGTTGCTGTAATTAAGTAGGTAAGTTACAGAGTTGGAAAGAAACATCAACGCTTCTAATTTATTGTTCACTTTTTTTCCAACTTAAAAAATTGTGATAAACCGTAGATAACAATGTAACATCTTAGCTATTATTAAGTGTATTTCAGGGGTATTAAGTACATTCATATTATTTGCATCATCACCATCCATCTTCAGAACTCTTTATATCTTGCAAAACTGAGACTCTACACACATAACAATAATTCCCCATTGTCCCCTTCCTTCAGTCCCTGGCAACTACCATTCTACCTTTGTGTCTAATAATTGGATTACTTTTGATAACTCCTGTAAATTGAATTATACAATATTTGTCTTTTGTGACAGCCTTATTTCACTTAGCTTAATATCCTCAATGTTCATCCATGTTGTAGCATGTATCAGAATTTCCTTTCCTTTTAAGCTTAACAAATATTCCATTGTAGTTATATATCAAATTTGGCTTGTTCCTTTATCCATCAATGGACATGGGCTGTTTCCACCTTTTAGCTATTGTGAATAATACTGCTATGAACGTGAATGTGCAAATACCTCTTTGAGATCCTGCCTTCATTTTTTTGGACATACACTCAGAAGTGGAATTGCTGGATATGGTAATTTCATTCTATTCTTAATTTTTCGAGGAAGTGCCACACTGTTTTCCACACCTGCTGCACCGTTTGCATCACCACCGACAGTGCAGAAGTATTCCAGTTTCTCCACATCCTCATCAACGCTAATCAGTTTCTCATTTTTTGTAGTAGCCATGCTGTCTTGTTCACTACCTCTCTATAAACTTACTCCTATACTTCTAGAGAAGGTATTCATAAATTATAGATTAAATAAACAAAGTAATATTTTTGGTAGTTTTAGAGCCTTAGAGTTTTTATTAGCAAAAATTATATCCAGTTTATTATAATAACAACCTACATATTCTACAGAGATTTTTTAAGTTTAAATAATCTTTTGCATATGCTGTCTCATTTAATCCTTACAACAGTGATAAGACTCATGATGAAAAAACTAAGTTGCAGAGAAAAATGTAGCAAAACATAGACATGGTAAGATTGTAGAATTAAGATTCAAGACAAATAATTTCTAATCATGATGATTTCTATCATTATAGTAGTTTATTAACAACCTAATAAATAAGAAAAACGTTCCTATTTTAGTAATTTTCTTTATCTGTTTCAAGACTTTGGCTGAAGCAAGACGAATACCATAGTATTCTTCATTTAATTTCTCTTAGCATTCTGCCAAGGTTGTTTCAGGCTGAATGAAAGCATCAAAAGTTCACAATAATAATAGAAAAAGAGACCACACATTCCAGTTGGCTGAGAGAATGCTTATTTGATGTCTAAAACAGGACATACTTGAAAGTGAAAGTGCTCTGCTTTAGAGAATAAATTATGTGATCACTTTAATAATAGCTAACATTTATTATGCAACAAACACATTATAAATCACTTTACATGTATTATTCTAACTTAATTATCACAGCAATCTTTTGACACACACACCATTATCATACTCATTTTAGCAATGGTGAAGCTGTAGACCAAAGAGGTTATGTCAGATGCTGAAGGTCATACAGACAGTAAATGTTGGAGACTGGGTACAAATCCAGACCAATGACTCCAGAAATCCCTGCTTTAATTCTACCACTACTGAAAGCCACTCATGATAAACTCTGATTTCATTTCTAAGCTCTCATCCTGCTCTTGTAAATGATGAACTGTCTTCTGTAGTCTCATAATGAGTTTCCTCTCCCAAATCGTATTTGCTGGCTGCTCTTCTTTTAATAATAACAAGACCACTCTTTCTTCCAGTCACTTACATTAGAGTCATTTTTGACTTCTCCCTTCTTGCCATATGCAAATGTTACCATTTCTTCATCAAAAGTAATGAAGGTAAAAATGTAATCAAATGGCTAGCATCAAAAAATGGAAAATAACAAGTGTTGACAAAGAGCTGAAGAAACTGAAACACTGATGCTGGTGGTAATATAGCATGTACAGCCCCTTTAGAAAATAGATTGGCAGTTCTTTGAAAATTTAAAACGTGGAGTTTCCATATGACCCAGAACTTTGACTGTTAAGTATATACACAAGAGAATTAAAAACACAAGTCCAAACAGAAATGTGTAAGTAAATATTTATAAAAACAGAAACAACCCAAATATTTATCAATGAATGAATGGATAAACAAAAGTGTGATGTATCCGTGCAAGAAAATATTCATCCATAAAAAGGAATGAAGTGATAGCATATTATATTAATTGGAAGAAACCAAACACAAAAGGCAACATATTGTAGAATTTCATTTACATGAAATATCCAGAGTAGCCAAATCCATAAAGACAAGAAGTAGATTAGTGGGTGCCAGGAGCTGGAGTGTGGGGAGACTGGGGTGACTGTTGTTGGATATGAGGTTTATTTTTCAAGTGATAAAAATATTCTTTATTAGATAGCAGCAATGGTTGCACAATCTTGTGAATGTACTAAAACCACTAAATTGTACACTTCAAAATTGTAAGTTTTATGGAATATGAAAAAAAATCATAGAAAATTATTTGATAGACTAAAATCACGTTTGTTTAAATTGTTGGGAGAAATAATCCATTATGTTTTTAAAAACTGTTTTTGCTAAGTAATCTAATATTTAAGTTAAGCATCACCATCTGTAAACTAGTTTTCAAAAATGTTTTATGAATCATGTCTATTGAGTTAATCGACCGATAATTGCCATTAATGTAAAAATAAGTCATTAAAAATGGATTAAAATCTCACAAACATGGAAAAGTCTGTAAAGAAACATTTAAATCAAATGTATTTATTCCTAAGTTAATTAACAGTTTGCAAGCAGTAAATATATACAAGATAAAATCTTTTTATATTAAAATTATATTGAAACTGGAGCATTCACAGTGTCTCTAATATTGTTGCTATTTTCTCATCTTACTTGGAGTAGGAGAATAAAATTATCTTATGAAATTATGTTGATTTCTACAATTGCCTTAGAACAATATAGTTTTTGTTTCTTGAGACATGTCAAAATTTCTAAGAAAATAGAAATACAAACCTAACGTTGAATAATCATTAAAAAACAGCAATTAGCTAATGAAAATTAAAGGTCCACTTGATTTAGAATGGAAACTTTAAAGCTTTTTAGTGTTTATTGTTTCACTATTTGTTTAAATCGTAACCAAATTTAGTATGATGCCAAAAAGCTTTAATGGGTGGGAATTTAAAGTGGACATTTTTAGTTCAACACAAAGGCCCTATTAAGTACAATCTAAAGAACAGTATTACATGATGAGATGTTGCTTTAATTTTTACGTGGTTGTGGGGGGGTGCGGGAGGAGGCGTTTCTTAGGCCTAACAGCAAACTCTTATGGTCACAGAAACACCCTGCCAAGTCCATGGTATAGGCATAGACAAAGGCTCATAAGAGCAGAAAGCTTTATTTTGGGTTTTCATAAGTACTTACATTGCACTCAGCCAAGGTAAGCAAAAATGTTCACTTTAACACTGTGTGCTCAGCCTAAACTGGCTCTGTTGCTCTCTGCCTCCCATATTTGTGGTCTATCATCCTTGTAGCTGCAGCTGGGCCTACTACTCCTAGCTAATAATAGGAGTCGGGTCATCTAAATTTTACTATTTGCAATGGAATCATCTTCTGCTAGCCCAAGGATTTATTTTTAAACAATTTCCCTTTTAACCATCTGTGATGAGGCTTTAGTGTCAACTAACATTAAAGATATATACCCTTGAGACATCTGTACCCCGGTTCTCCTTAGACCACACAATGAAGCATTGAACACAGTGCAAATGTTGGGAAGAGGACTTAGTGTGGCTCTGTCATCTCAGAGGGAAAGCCAGGAAAATTCCAGGATGCCAAGATACAAATTTGGCTTCAAGAAATTTATTATTTGTTTCATCATATATATGTATATTATATGTGTGCATATAAATATGACATATGTAATGTTTCAAAATATTTACAGCATTTCATATAAATAAATAAAATGTGTAAGAAATGTTTGAACTATAATGGTCCAATGAGAATGCACACACACACACACACACACGCATGTATTTAGAAAGAGGAGCATATGTTTCACTTCTCTTCACTCACTTACCACACGTATAGCAAACTACTTATACAGTCCCTAGGCCCACGAGGTAATCTTTAAGAGATGTCAGTTCAAGCCGGGCGCGGTGGCTCATGCCTGTAATCCCAACACTTTGGGAGGCCGAGGCAGGCGGATCAGGAGTTCAAGAGATGGAGACCATCCTGGCTAACATGGTGAAACCCCATCTCTACTAAAAATAAATAAATAAATAAATAAATTAGCCAGGCGTGGTGGTGGGCGCCTGTAGTCCCAGCTGCTTGGGAGGCTGAGGCAGGAGAATGGCGTGAACCCGGGAGGCGGGGCTTGCAGTGAGCCGAGATCACACCACTGTGCCGCTGCACTCCAGCCTGGGCGACAGAGCGAGATTCCGTCTCAAAAAAAAAAAAAAAAGTCACTTCAAAGTTTTTAATAGAAAGGGCCTTCTAGCAGTCCTGAGTGAGTGTTCTGTCTTCCATTTTCTGTGAAACTGGTGCAACAGCTTTCTGTTAGAATAAATAAGGAGGAATAGAAGTGGACTTCTCAGAGACACAGTCTCAGGCAGAAAAGAATCCTTCAAGAGCAATTCAGTCTTGCCAGAACAAAGTGTTTCAAGGTTGGGAAGAAATTGTTGTTATCTTTTCTGGAAACTGCAGATTTTACCAGCTGACTGGTGTCTTGCTCTGTAACTGGTCCTTGCTTGAGTCTAAATTTAATAGTTCTAGGATAAGAGAGTCATTTTTTGGTTTCTCTTTCATTGTGCTATTCTAAGCCTAAAGTATAATAATTAAAAAAATAAAATAATATAACATCACTAGGAAAAATTATAGACTGTAACTAAGTTTTCTATGTTTTAAATAATATTGAATTGAAACTAATATCAGATCCTACATTGTAGAATAAAAAAAAGAGAGAACTGGGCTTGAAGTTTAAAAAAAATGAATCTGTTTCTTGGTCTCAGTCATGCTACTTACAATTAGGCAATGTTGTGATCTCTTAACTTCTCTAAGCCTCTGTTCCCTCATATAAAATAGGAACAATAATATATACCTTGGTTTGAATAGTAAGTGTAGTAAAGTGGGTTAAAATAATTTTAAAAATTATTTTAATAATTCTAAATATTAATGTATTACTGTCCTTTGATCCTGTTTTCCTGTCTTAAACCAACTAGCCTCATTTTCCTTTCTTTGGCCTCCCACATCCTTAATTTTTACATTTTTCCCATAATTTCTGAAAGATAAAACCTAAATTTCATCCTCAGTTATGGTAACTACATAAATGTAGATTTTGGTCTTGGTTTCTTTTTTAAAAGTTATCTTTCAGTGGTTTTAACATGAGTATCTTCATTGTAAGTTGCCTCCTTATGTAAATCACTGAGATCTGAATTAAAGTGATACCACTCATGGTTATTTAATTAATGTCAGAATGATGATAATTTACAGGAACTAATTTTATAATTGCCTGGTGGCTTGGAGTTATTCTAGTTGGCTTGATAAAGTAATTAATTGTAAACTCATTTTATGACATTTGCTATTTCTAAAACCACCTATGTGTCTTATACCAAGCAAGTCTAAAACAAAATTTATTAAATAAATATAGATTTTTTTATACTCAACTTGTTCAAAAATATTTAAAGCATTTTATATAAATATATTTGATATTTAATAAATATTTTAACTGTAATGGTCCAGTGAGAAAAAAATAACCTTTTGAATCACTAAACAAATAACAATGAATTTACAAGTGTCAAAGTAAGAAACTTTAGGGATTGTTCAACATGATAAATACATTTCAATTTATTAAAAAATTTAGAAGAAAAATATAAAGTACTGCTATGCAAACTGCATTCATAATAAATAACTCTTTGACAGTAAAGCAGAGACCAAATCTACAATCAGTTTTATAGAAATCACTGACATATTTCTCAAAGCAATTTAAAATTATTTTATTAGCAGCCATGGCTGCATTTATACAAGTACATAACATGAAAGCTGAACAAGTCTTCATTTAACTCAAATTGTAGAAATCAACAATCTAATTCTTGATTTTCATTGTCTGTTTCTATGTGGATATTTACCATTTTGTTTATAAAGCTTAATTGCAAGAAAATAAAATAACTTTAGTTTTCTCTAATATTTCATATTTCTCCATCTGGCATAGCTGTAAATGTTTTGTCTGGGAGGTGAGTAGAGCATTAATAGAAATTATTTATAAACCAGTGTTTATATATTTATTACATACATAGAATCGGTCATTTCAAAATTAATTATTGTTTATTCTAATACACCATGACTCTTCCAAGATTCTGAGGATACAGCAGTGAACAAGTATTGTACTTCTTTGAAAAATTGTTTGTAATGAGAAAATGCAGGACTATATACAGGAATGCTTTTGTGTAACTTCTTTCTTTTAACTAACATGTTACTTTTTCACCACAGACTATAATCAGTTATAGACTTCCTAGTATCATTTACTTTTTGATTATTTTCTCTTATATCCATTCAGGCTTTGTTAGTGTTTCTCATATTTTTAACATTCCAGAAGTCTATCTCCCTCCTTTCACATTCAATCACTCTTAAAGTTAGTCTCCACTTGGCTAAACTGCTGTTAGGCTCACCTGTCTAAATTGTTTTTCTGGGATGTTTCATGGTTATAAAAATACAGTGACCATATAATGTGTTTTGGCACAACAAAGGGCCATTTTTTGTTTGTGGTGCTTCGTGTCCATTTAGAAAAACACAATTTTTATTTCAATATATTATTTTGAAGTATCATATAATTATTTCATTCTCTTACTCCATGACAACATAATTACAGGATTTTTAAACCTAACCTTATTTTAATCTAAATAAATCACATTATTTATCATAATAATAAGAAAGTAGAACAAGAGGATCACTTGGAAATGATTATATATTAGATTGGATGTTTTGAAGCCATTAAAATATTTATAATATTTATATACTTATGTAATAAAAATTTATCTTTATACTTTTGACATTTACAAATTTTCTTCAGCAGGCATATATTAATATTATTGTCTGGAACCTAGGATCATTTGCATAATAAGTAATAATCAAAAGGTCAAATTACTGAAAATAGGCTCTTTTATAATTAGTAGCACTTTTGAATAAGAAAAGTGCTACTTAGGTACCAATCTATAATGAGTACCACAATTTTGACTTAAAAATCAGTTGATCTTACACAAATACCTGTTCATTAACAATGAATGAATGTGACAGGCACTGACTGTGCTGAGTGCTGAAAATGCACTAGTAAATAAAATAAATGAAAATATTAATCTTTATAGAACCTATGTTCTGGTAGAGGGGAAGCACCAAGCAACAGCTGTTTAAAGTAAAATGCATAGTATATTCAATGATGGTGGGTGCTCAGGAGAAAACCAGGAGAGGGTATTAGAGGTGACTACCATGAGAAGAGGTTTTGAAAATTTAAACAGGGTAGTCTGGGAAAGCCTCAACTAAAAGTTAACATTTCGCATAAGACTTGAAGTAGATGTGAGGGTGAGAGCTATACAGCTCTTTGGAGGAAGACTATCCCAGATAGGGAGCAAAACTCCAAATCCTGTGGATGAAGCATTTCTGTTATATCGGCTAGCATGTTGGTTACTTGTGGATGGAGCAGAATGAGGGAGGGTGATAATAGGAGATGCAGTAAGAGCAATAACAAGAATCAGAGAAATTAGGACTTTGGTTCTCTGATCTTTGACTATTACTGCTAATTAGATGTGAGGACATAAGAAGGTTTAGAGTAGATAAGTGATATATCTGGCTTACTTATAAAAGGATAACTCTTTGGCTGCTCTATTGAGAATAACAGACTATGAAATTTTAAAGAACCTCACATCAGATAAAGAAATTGAACATACATTACAGCATGAATGGTGTGCTGTATATTGTTTACCTAGTATGTAGGTATTACATGTGCATAAATCATATGATTTAATGTTTTTATTTAAAAAATTGATATAATTATGATATGAATCTAACGTTATTTACTTAAGCTTTTTTTTTTTTTTTGAGATGGAGTCTCGCTCTGTTGCCCAGGCTGGAGTGCAGTGGCGAGATCTCGGCTCACTGCAAGCTCTGCCTCCTGGATTCATGCCATTCTCCTGCCTCAGCCTCCCCAGTAGCTGAGACTACAGGTGCCCACCACCATGCCCGGCTAATTTTTTGTATTTTTAGTAGATATGGGGTTTCACCATATTTGCCAGGATGGTCTCCATCTCCTGACCTCGTGATCCTCCTGCCTTGGCCTCCCAAAGTGCTGGGATTACAGGCGTGAGCTACCGCGCCTGGCCTACTTAAGCATTTTTGTAAGACTACGTGAGCTTTTTCTGTACCAGCTACAGTGTGTATACTAATTTTACCATAATTTTATTTCACTTATTAGTTTGCCTTCTGCTAACCACGCCTACATATATTTTTCTCTGATTTATCGTTTGTATATATTTGCAACAAAGATGATTAATAAACTGCCACAAATTGTCTTCCTCTCTGCAATTGTATCAGTCAGGATTCCCGCAGAAAAGATATAGTATTCTTAGAAGAGGCAACTAAAGAGAGTTTAATTAAGGGATCATTTTCAAATAGGAGCCAGTGTTAAGGGATTATCAGCCAGGAAGTTAAAGCACCCTGCAATATTGACAGTGAAGAACTTTTGCTATTCCTAGTCAGGAAGACATAAGGAGAAGCAGCAACTGTAACAGTAAGAAGCAGCAACTGTAGCTGTAAGAAAGGAATGATTTACAAGACTATAACCTTAGTAGACACATGCAGCTGACCCACAGGAACCCAGCACTTTCCTTATACCCTCCAATTTTTTGTTAGTTCATCCCCTGGTTTAATTTAAAGCTGCAAGAATGCAAGAAAATTTATCCAGCTAGTTCCATAACCAGTCTCCCAAAGCACAGAGGAGGGTAGGAAAAGGTAAAGTACAGATCTGGAAGAGAAAATTTAAAATATCCAGCATAAAAATTAAAGTTTCTAAAGAGTCTGTCTCCCTCAATTGCATTTTCAAACTCTAGGCAGTCTCCTTGTGCTGTTATAATACTTAATCTGTAAGGAAAGAAATAATATGCAGGTGGGAAAATAGTTGATACAGCTTTCCTTTCATTTGGATGCTACAAAGTGAGTTATGTGCTACATCATAACACATATCAGTTATATCAACTCTTTTCCCACCTGCATATGATTTGCAGGTGGGCTTGCATTCGTATTATGCAGCAGTGCCTTTTTTAGGATAAGGGTGAGAGAGATTTTTTTAAAACTTTGATTTTTGGAAAGACAGAAGCCATTTTCTAGTTTAGTACTACCAAAAGAATCTTTCTTGATTAATAAAAAAAAATTACTGTCTTATGAGACAACTTGTATATCTAGGCAACTTATATTAACTGCATTATACCATATGCATATGGGGATTATAGTCATAATATATATTTTAAAAATCATGATACTATTCTTTTCTGCTTAGCAGTTATATATATATATATGATACAAGGTCTAAATTTATTTTAATGTTTACTTATCAGAATGACTGCAAGCAAATATAATAGGAGAAAAACTAAGGGTGCATGAATAAGTGAAAGAGCTTATATTGCTAAAATATCTATAAATTATATAATTAAAATACAGGTTTTCTATTGAATTCTAGGAGCTCTAATTTTAGCAATAATTAATTTATTTATTTCATAAATATTTATTGAATTTCTATAATTAGGCTTTGTTCTATGCACATAAAATATATAACAGTATGATTAATACCTAGGATATATTAATAATTGTTAAAAGAAAGTTATCAGGTGGTATATGTACATGAACTAAAATTTTGGGATGATAAACGTGTTATGGAACCTGATTTAAACCCTGTACATTTATTATGCTATTTGGTTTCCATAACAACCTGAAGTAGATGGTATTTTTATCTATAAGTTACAGAAGAGAGAACTAAAACTTAGAGAAGTAAGATAAATTACATGAAATATTAAAGCTAATAAGATATGATGCTGAGATTCAAGTCCAACTGGTGTGATTTCAGAGTACATGTAGTATAATACCACCATATAGTAGAATCCATTTTTGTTAAAACAAAACAAACACAATATACACACAAAACAAAATGTATACCGAACCAAAGTATTTAAGCATATAGATATATTTTAAAGAGACAGAAACTGAGCCAAATTTTCTTAGATGAAAGTAGAGTTCTGAAAATATGCATATCAAACTTTCAATAATAAAATCTACAACGAGGAAAACAGGTTTTAAGTATCCAATAAATTTTATAAATTCATACACTAATGAAGTGGTATGCTTGTAAATAAGCTCTCTAAAAGAAATAAAACTGAATAAAGAAGGAAGTAAACCCTTGATTTGTAGTGTTTACCTGCTTTCAGGTACAACTCTCACTATATCTGATTTCAAGTTATCAATGGCTTAACAAGCAGCTCACAAAATTTCTGAATCTTTAATAATCAACTTTCATAAGCCAAGATGAGATAACTCAACCACACCACTGTTACTCTTTTAGCAATACCCCAGGTAAGATTCAGAATATTTGTATGACCACAAAAAGTTCCTGTATGTCCCCTTTTAGTCAATTCTGATCCCTTACTTAAAAAAAAAAAGAAAAGATTTCAATTTATATAACTAAAGATTAGTTTTGTTTGTTTTTGAATTTCATATAAATGGCATGCTCTAGTATGTACTCTTTTAAAATCTAGTTTCTTTCACTCAATATAAGGTTTTAAAAATGATTTTATTTTTCTGTGTGTTACATTGTTATTTTATTGTATTGTTGAGGGATATTGCATTTTGTGGACACATAACAGTTTATTTATACATTTTCTTGTTGTTGCACATGAAGTTTCAGGTTCTTACTATTAAGAATGATACTGCTATATCATATATAAACATATTTAAGTACATATTTATAAGACAATTTTTTTGGCATGTTGGTCTGCTAATTCCAACACCTTTCTCATCTCCTAGTCTAATGCTATTGACTTTTTTTTCTTCATTAAGAAAAAAATATCTTTCTGCCTCATTGTATGTCTGCTAATTATTTTATTGCAGGTTGGCCATTGTAGATTATACATTGTTGGACAACTAGATTATGTTGTTTTCTTTTAATGGGTGTTCATTTTTATGCTGGTTGGCCATTAAGTTACTGTGGATTTCCTGACTGTAACAAGCTTTATTTTCGTCTTTGGTAGGTTATTGTTATTTCACTTTTGCGCTTAGTATTAAAATGTGTCTCCTACTCTAGAGTGTTTCCTTAATCCAAAGATGAAGACTATTTCTAGGTTCCTGACTGAATGCCCATGATGCTCAGCAACATCTCTCCACTCTGGGAGGGCAAGATCTTCAATGTCTCCTGGTGCCACATAATCTTTGGTATTACCACCTAATTCTTAGCCCTGGATCAGATCTCTGCTAAACACATAACCTTGCCCTGTACATTGGCAATCTTGTCTGGATCACGCACTCCTAGTGAATCTCAATGCAGACTTCTGGGGCCACTCCTCTGAAGAGTTCTCTCTTGTCTGATGTCCTATTGTGCAAATTAGTCCAAAGTGGTACATCTAATTATTGACAGAATTTTCCTAAAATCAGCATTATTGCTTTTTCTATTTTATCACTGACTTACTAATTGTGATTCTGACATTTTTGACATTAGCACATAATTCAGTGCATTAATATAAGATGACTCATACTTTCACATTTATAAGGCATTTTCAGTGACAAATTCACAAAAGATGCTGTCCTTGTTATTTCTGGTTATTAGAAAGAAACAGCACAGGCTAACCTATCTATTTCTACAAAATTTGTGCTATTATCACTGCTATGAGTATGGCTTTAAGCTTTTATTTATTACTGGTATTATCAGAATGCCCATAATCTTTACCATCTATAGAATTTTTTTATTGTAAAATGATCTGTAATGCTATGAAGTCCATTCTCTAAAATCAAATGGTTTCAAGTGTATAGAACCTATGATGACTTTGAAAATTTTGTTAATTTAACAGAATTTATATTTTATTGAAATGACAATAGCAAGAAAGGCAAATTAAGATATTAACTTAAAAAAGCTAATTTCTTAAAGCTGGAAGCAAATATTTGATGTTTGTTTTTTCTTATAGTTTCTTCCATCAAAAACCAACATTATAACACTTGAACATTAGTTCAAGTGGCTGCTATTTTAAAGGAAGAAATTGCTTTTAATTATTTTATTGAATTTTTCTCTTTGTTTTGACCCTAAATGTCTGTGAGATATTATAATATTTTATTAATATTTGGAAAGTTAATATTTGATAATATTAAGCGATTAGGATATGAATTTAAAATTCTTTAATCCCAGCACTTTGGGAGGCCGACGCAGGTGGATCACAAGGTAAGGAGATCGAGACCATCTTGGCTAAAATAGTGAAACCCCATCTCTACTAAAAATACAAAAATAACGCTAATAGCCAGGTGTGGTGGCATGTGCCTGTAGTTCCAGCTACTCGGGAGGCTGAAGCAGGGGAATCACTTGAACCCGGGAGGCGGAGGTTGCAGTTAGCGGAGATCGCGCCACCGCACTCCAGCCTGGGCAACAGAGCAAGACTCTGTCTCAAAAAAAAAAAAAAAAAAAAAAATCTAATCTAATTTTTTCTCTACAGAATGTCTGCTAAAATAAGTGAGTTGGAGCTTGAGAATATTATGATCCACAGTTGAACTTACCTCCATTTGGTTGCATTTATTATCCATAGATCAATCATAGACTTATTCCTGATGCTAGTAGCAGCCTTTAGGTTTAAAGCTTAAGGATATTGTTTTCTTTTTTAAAAACTTTGTGCATATTCATTAAGCAATTTCTCTATGTCAGGCATTGCTCCAGATATTGGTGATACATCAATTAAAAAGATGCTAATCTCTGCACTGGTGAAGATTTTATTTTATCTAGAAGTTAAAGACTTCCAGAGATTTTTTTCATTATATATGTGTATGATATTTAGTCATAAAACATTCTGTAAAACTCCACAAAATAAATGTTCTCAATCTCAGGGTCTCCTCTTCTACTATTTGGGTTAATAGACTAATAATTTTTTCTTTTTCTTTTTTCAATCTTAGGAAGATATTTTTCCCTCAATGTTTACCATCCTTTTAAAACTGTAGAAGGTTAATTATACCCATCTCCCCATAGCCTATGTTGAAACATGTTCTGGTTTTTAATCTTTTCTCATAAATCCATCAACCTCAAGTCTTTAAGCATTCTCATTACTTTTCCCTGAACTCTATCCAGTTTTTCTACATACTTCTAATAATGACGACCTTAGAAATGAGTTCTGTAATCCAGGTGTGAGCTCAACATAGTTCTGCAGACAGAACCTTTCATTCCCAGACTTTATGACATGAGTTTTCTGCCAAAGGAAGAGGTTTTTTCACTTATAGTCAAACTTTAAATTTTGGGGCTCCACATGGCTTTGATCTGGGTCCTCTTTCTCTTCTTTTTTTTTTTTTTTTTTTTTTTTTTTTTTTTTTTTAACCATCAACTCCCTAGCACTATTGTCTGCTGTGGGTTCAAACACCATATGATGTTTGAAATCATAGTAGACATATGATGACCACTTTCAGATTTGCATCTCTGCAACAAAATCCCTCCCTATACTTCTTTTAATTGTAGCAATAATTAAAAAGAAGGGAATATAGAAGGAGAAAAAAAAGTTCTTAAAATTTCTTGGGTACTTACTGTGTTCTAACCACCTTTCTAGACAGTTTGTATTTTTTAAATTATTCTCAAAACAATCATGATGAAGGTAGTGTTATTATTTTTATTTCATAGATAAAGGAATTGATAGATGAATAATATTCTCTGGACTGTTTTCCCCCACAGTCATATACTTTTAAAAATCAATTTATCCAGAGTCATTTTTAAAAAATATAAACTATTTTCTTGACAGTAATAATTCAATGGTTTCCCTTTGCTATTAGACCAAACTCTAAAATTATTAACATTACATAAGGACCCTGGGAGCACCTTGAGGAAGGAACTTTGTATCTGTGGTTTATTCTTGTATTCCCAGAGCTTAGAATACGGTCTGACCACCTTCCTGATTTGCTATTTTCCCCTTTGGAAGTTCTGTTCCTTTAGCCTTTAAGTTTCAGTCACATTCTTCTTCTTTTGGTTCTTCAAACAAGCAAACTCTTCTGGGTTCAAGACCTTTGATATTTTGGCTGCTCTTCTGGAAAGCTTTTCATTCCCATTGTTGTTAGTTGAGTTAGAGTCATCTGTCTGCACTCAGTTTCACTGTTGCATATTTGGAGAAGCCTGGTGGTGTGCGGGCCTGTCTGCACCAAGTTGTAAAAGTTGATTGTGTTCATTTCTTCCCAACTCTGTGTTCAGTGATATTACATTAGTAATATCATATTAGTATCTTAAAATTGACCATTGTTGGGTAGTTATGCCAGAGAAAAAAGCGAATGCAACACATGGGGACTCACTTCTCTCCCTGCTGCCAAGAGCCCATTGTTAAACACCCACTGGCACACCAGTGAGAGAGCTTTTTTCTCATTACCCTGAAGCGGGCTGATCATTTGTTGTTCACTTAATACTTGTAATTATGTAATTATTTACACTTGTACTTATGTAATTATTCTATGACAATTTTAAATATCATTAATATGTCCCCCATTAGAGCTTATGAATTTTTGTCTTTTGTGTTCATGTCCCTAGTAACTGGAACAGTATTGTCACTAAATAAATATCTGTTGAATATAAAAATAAATTATTGCCTCATCTATAGAAATTACTTACTTAGACTTTAAGAAAGTTATTGCAGTATAGTTGGTTAATTAGTTATCTATAGATACATATCAAATTATTACAAATTTGGCAGCTTAAAACAACACACATTTATTATCTCAACATTTCTGTGAGTCAATAGTCCAGACACAGCTTAGCTGAGTTTTCAGAGGATTTCACAAGACTGCAATCTGGAATTTCATTTGGAGGTTTCAAGGGAAGAATCTACTTCCAGGCTTATTCATGTTGCTTGCAGAATTCATTTCCTTGTGGTTGTGGGTCTGCAATCTTAGGCTTTTTTCTGATTGTCAGCTAGAACCTCCTCCTCAGCAACTGGAGGCCTCCCGCAGTTCCTAGAAACCACCTAAGTTCCTGGCCACATAAGCGTTTCCTGCATAGTCCCATATTTCATCAAGGAAGCAAGAGAGTCTCCAGGGTGAGTCTACTATCAAGACAGAGTCTTCCATATAGTGAGGTAATCACAAGAGTGGCAGTCCATAAACTTTGCTGATTCAGTGGATTAGAAGCAGCCAGGTTTTGTGCACACTACAGGAGAGGAGATCTTACAAAGGTGTAAACACAGGAAGCAAAGATCATGAGGAGAATAATAAAGAGCTTGTTCGCTCAGGAAATATTAAAAAATCATTATAGATTGTATCTAATTACACAATAAATGGCTATAACATTAGAAGTAAACATGTAAAAATGTTGTAAATACCAATTATAGCAGAGCTACCTTTAGGAGTACATGATTACTTGCTCTTCTAAAAACAATAATGGACACACTTTATTAGTTTAGTTTGTTTTCCATTCAATAAATAGAAATATGTACTTCTAGAAATTTAACTCAAATCTCAGTTTCTTATAAAAGATGTTGCTATTATTTGTTTGTAGAATCTCTATTAGATTCAAGAACCCAATGCCACAACCTTAGTTTTAGTTTGTAAAGCTCTTCTATTGGATAAGGATTGCTAGTAACTAGAAGCTATCAATTGCAGAGATGCTATATCCATGTTGAAGGCTCATTATCTCCTTGATCTTAATTACGTTGGTCTATAAGAGATAATATGAAAATCTGAAGCTAGAACATTTGACAGAAAATATTTGTTTTCATTTTAAACGGTAGACAATGGGGTTGATTTTTATTCAAAGCTATGTCCCCTGTGCTTATCCACATTGGATGCTTTCACTGCATGTTTATTTAAATGTATTCAAACCCTGATTCCTTTGCTCTATCCTCAACCCTTCAACCTTGCCTGTCTCGAAGACTGTGCACAAACATAAGAAACCAAGGGAGCCGGGTGTGGTGGCTCACACCTGTAACCCCAGCATTTTGGGAGGCCGAAGCAGATGGGTCATTTGAGATCAGGCGTTCGAGACCAGCCTGACAAACATGGTGAAACCCCGTCTCTACCCAAAACACAAAATAAAATTAGCCTGGCAGTATGGCATTACATGGCACATGTCTGTAATCCCAGCTACTTGGGAGGTGGAGGCAGGAAAATCTCTTGAGCCTGAGAGGTGGAGGCTGCAGCAGTGAGCCAAGATTGTGCCACTGCACTCCACTCTGTGTGACGGGGTAAGACCCTGTCTCAAAAAAAAAAAAAAGAAAGAAAGAAAAAAGAAAGAAAAAGGAAGGAAGGAAAGAAGGAAGGAAGGAAGGAAGGAAGGAAGGAAGGAAGAAAGAAAGAAAGAAAGAAAGAAAGAGAAAGAAAGGAGAAAAAGAAAGAAAGAAAGAAAGAAAGAAAGAAAGAAAGAAAGAAAGAAAGAAAGAAAGAAAGAAAGAAAGGAGAAAGAAAGAAACCAAGGGAAAGAAAAGCAAAATAATGTAGGAAATAATACTTCTTTGTCTTGATTAGACTTGACTAAACATGTATCTTATATTTACTTTAAAATGACAAATATCCACTTCCTTCCTATACCAGAGACATAAAAAGATAAACTTTAACTATTAATAATTTAGTATAGAACAGTTTATGATATGATTCTAAATTCATTTTTGGCCTGTTTGAGCAATTCTATTTCTAGACAAACACAGTATAAAGATGCTCATTCTGCTCCACCCTGTTTATGCCAAGTAAATATTTTCACCTTATTAAAGTTGGCAAACCTGGAAGCAATAAGCTATTTTGTAGTGGTTACTGATTTAAACAGACAAGAGTAAAAAACCATGACAATTTCTGCAGTTCATGTCAGTAAAGCAAAAAAAGTTTGTAATAAGAAATAAGAAACTTGTACATAATACATTTTAAATCTCTTTGTCAAACTCTGTTAACATCTTGCCATGACTGCTAGATATTCATGAAATTTTCATTTGCTTGAGTAAGTTAATAACCATGTGGGAATAAATCTGTCAGCTGATGATACTATATTGATCAGGTAGATAAAAGAGCCTCTGCTTTCCAAAACTCAATTGCCAAGTTTTCTTTCCACGGTTGAATTAGCAAGGAACGTTTCCATTGTGATTTTTTTCAAGCTGAATATCATGACTGGTAATATAAATGCAAAGAAAGACATTGTTCAGAAAACGCCTCAGAGGGCTATGTTTAAGCTGTGACTCCTCTGCATTTCAGACAAGGTGTTGATTTTCATGTTCATTATTGGTGGCTATTGCATAGAAAAAAACATCTGTTCCAGTATGGACATTACAATTTCATGCGTCCAACTTAATGACATATATCCATGATATGTACTGGATATTGTGCTAAATGTCAGGGTATCTAAAGTGTATTAAGTACAGGATCTTTTCTAATGAAACTTCCCTTGTGGTGAGTGAGACAGATACACAGTTTCCATAAGGGAGGAACCCAGAAAACACAATTAAATTCTTACGAAATTTTCAACTCAAAGTATTTGCTAATCTATGAAAAGGAAGTATTATTGAAGGATAATTAAGAGAGCAGTTTTTCCAGAGACTAGTGTTGTGCTAACCAAATGTTCTCTTGTCCTATTTTTTAAATGTGGCAGCTTTTCATATTGAAATAAAAGATTGTTACTTTCTTAGGTAAAATTCAATATTTTGGTTAATGACGTATTTTTTCTTTTCTATCTTAAAAAGCTTATTTTATTAACAGGGTGCTTCTGGATTTTTGTACAAACTCTCAAGCAAGAAACTTTGATTAAAAAATGTTATTCGTCATTTTTCACTAGTCTATCCCCTTCTTATCTCTGTCCCACTTTCTTCTTTTTCCTTCTCATTCATGATCCTCTCCCCAAATGCATTTCTCCACCATGTTAATAGCAAACTCCTCACCCATGCATCTTACTCTGTAATTGCTAAAATCCCCTTTCAAAAACTCTAATAGAAGCATTTTGTTTAGAAAGTCATGTGAAAAATGTCAGGAACAACCCTTTGCCCTGTCTCTCTGGCATTCTGAAAGTTGCCAGTTAACCTCACTGTGGTTCCTTAACTGGACCACAGTTTCAAGAACTGAACTGTGGCCCCTTGTTCAGTATCCCCTGCTGAAAATCAGAGTAAACAGTTTAGATCAAATTGGGCTTTCTGAACTCACATTTCAGCATGTTGAGCCAGCACTATGGAATGTTTGGGATTCTATTAATACAGAAGCTTTATAGCTTTAAAAGAAAGTATGCATTCATGGCTGAAAAGGTAGCTGCCTTATTTTCAAGTGGCAAAAAATGGCATAGAAATTTGGTCTAGGATATAGTTAGTTGGAGTATCATAATTTTGTCATAAATAGGTGAAGTGTTATTTTATAAGCTGTAATTTGAAAATATGTATACTTTGGCCAAAAATTATAGGTTGGTAAATGTGAAATACTAAGGTATACAGGAGAGTACATATTTAAATGCCTATGAAATCAACACTATTTCATGATATCTAACATTCATTGCTCAGTACTTCCTAAAAGCTTAAAGAACAAAAGTAAATTTTATAGCAATCTCTACAGTTCTATAGAGTTATTGCAATTAAAAATAACAATCGTATTCTACTTTCTATAGCACTACCTACAACTCTATCATCACTAAAAGAATTCAGTAATGTATTTTGGCAATGAAGAGAAGTATTCCTATTTTCTACTTTTTAAGGTATCTGCCATTTAAAGTCATATTTCCCCAAAAAGTTATCATAACATTTTATGTATATAGCTTTTATCACATTTAATATAGAGATCATATTATTGTTACGCTAATATTTTCTCCCCTGCTATACTGCCAACTTATTAAGTGACAATAACACAGCTTATCAGTTTTTAAACTCTTATTGTCCAACACGGCACCTCACTTTCAGCTATTGCTTATTGTATAAATATTAGACCTGAATCAAGGATTGTACAGGATTTTAGCCAAGTTATTAACAGAAATGGGAATAGAGTCCTAATCTCCAATATCCCTCTTTCATTGCACAGAGCCATTGGCTATCTAGAAACAGTGGAAAGATAAATGAGGAGAATGCCAGGTACTATGACCAGATATATATCCCAGTAACATGTACAGTATTCGAGTTTCTACAACACTAGGAAGGGGAATTCAGAGCTATAGAACAAAATTCCTTGAAAATTCAGAATCTCTTAATAGTGGTCTATTTAAGAAAAAAAATACAGATAGCCATTTAGGAATAGTCTTGATTTTATATTTATACACACACGTAATTTTTAAAATAATATATTGACAGGGTGGTTGTTTTGTTTGCTAACATAAAATTTATGGCAAGGGTCTAAGCATTTTTCTAAATACAATTTCCCAATTATTGTGTAATAATAATATTGTATAATAATCTGTTATCATGTGGACATTATTTTATAGAACAGGAATAACTAAAAATATAGTATTGATCTCTTTGTAAGGCATTGGGTCTATATTAACACATGGATGTGACATATCCACTAAGTTTTCACAGACTTCTATTTTATAGATAGAGAAAGGGAAACACGGGGAGTGGCAACTAACCCAGTCTTCGTCTCCACACTCTTCTGAAGACGTCTTTGCATTGGTCTTCACTGACTACTCTTTTTCTGCTTTACATTAAGCATTAGTTTTATTTCGGATATTATCTTACCATTTCTGTAAATCGTTTTTATATTAAGGTAACTAATTTTAATAGTTTATTTTAAAGTCTTTGTCTGTGAACTCTTTGAGAGTAGATATGATGGCTTGTTCACTTTGATTTTATGGCTCATAGTAGATTTAATAGGCTATAATTGTGGGAATAAGTAAATTCATAGAATTTAAAACCAGACTTCAGACTGCCAACATGCCAACATAGGGCTTTTGAGGCCAATCATAAGTAAATTTAATAATTTGGCCCATCCATGGTCTAGTGATGGTTGAGGGACTAATGGGGGAGCCCCAAAGAGGATGTGACTTACATTAGTTTAGTCAGTGCTGAACTGGAATTGAATCACAACTTTAAGAAAAAGTGTGATGGGAGAAAGAATATAGATTTTGGAGTAAGTATCCTGAATTCTCCTGCTAGATCCTCACATCTCTGTGTAAGCTTGGGCATATTACTTAATGTCTCTGCATCTGAGGAAAAGAGAAGAGCTGAGACAGGGTTAGCCAGTCTACCTTTTCTTACCCCAGGAATCTAAATTTAGTAAGGCTAACTTCTTTGGTTGAAAACACACACAGCATATAGTTTGAAATATAGACTGATTTATTAGGCCAAACATTTGACCTTAAACTCTCTTGTTTCTCTGAAGTAGAATAACATAAGCCTGAGTGGCCCAGATTTGCTTCATACTGCAGCATATTATTATTCTGGGTATTATTACATAAATTAGATTTGAGAAGCATCATTTAGATATTTGTTTGTCCTGATGTTAGAGAACATGTAACTATAGCATTGCCATTTATTTCATGTTTCCTAAAAACTAGTTTGTTCTTTGCAGCAGTGGAAGAAATGGCTTTAGATCATTTTTTACACTGTAGCTTATTTGGTTATTCCACTGTATATTCTTGTCTTTGCTACTGTTTAGAATGTATACATATGCTACTGAATGTGCTTCCTTGACTTCTTGTTACCACACCAATTCAATTTTGTTATTTGACCATTGTTTCACCTTAAGTGATAGACTTAGACTTGTGAAGAGCCTATCTCTTATGGTGCTACACCCAAATTATGAAGGTGGCCAACTGTATTAATCTGTCACCTGAAATCTCCACCATAGTGAAAGCATGTGGAAGACATTCTTCTGTCTACGTCCATCACTGTGCCTTCAGGGTCACTGGTATGAGTCATTCCAACTAGGCTTTTCAGATAAGAAATATGAGTTTGTCTGGTCAGGAATTATAAACCTATTAGTGTTTTGCTATTATTAACCACAGCATATACGTTCTGTTTCAGAGTCTTATTTCAACAAACATGTGTGTTCATTCACTTTAATTTCCAATTTCCTTCCCAATTAAAATAAAGTGTCTAACACCAGAGACTAGCAGCTGGTTAAGGAAAGAGGAAGATGAGCCACATTTCCTTCTGCATCACTAACTTTTAGTGTGTCTGGCCTTCACGTCATATACTGAAACTATTTGTGCATGGGTTCATTTAATCACAAAGCCTCCAAGTCCACTCTTCTTCAAACACAACCTTTCGCATAAATTAAATAGATGAATTTCTAAATTCGGGATTCCCACCCATTTATTATTACTTTAAAATAACCCAGGCTTATAATTCTGCCCAGATTCACTCAAATTCCTGAGTGCAAAGGCCTAATTGGAATGTCTAGCCTTAGAAATTCACATTTTGAACAGTTATTTCTATCTCATATATTTAACCCACAAACTGAATATAGTTGAAAACAGCAGCAAGTCTGTTTCAAATTAGATGACGCACTTAGAGTATTAACAAAGACCATAGAAAAAGCACAGAGGCAGAGTATAAAGACATGGAAATAGAAAAACAATTAGTAAAAAAGGACAATACCTTAAGTTTCTAACCACCATTAATAAAATGTTTGCAGAAATTAGTAAATCTCAGGGTGTTTTTTAAAAGCTCACTCAAAAATAAGTTGAAACTCAAAGTTACATTTAATTTATGTGAATTATTCTTGAATAGTAAATATCAAGAAAATGTTTCTTATGGTTTCTCAGGAGACAATTTATAGTATGCTTAACAGAGCATGTAATATGTGTTCGTATGAGTGTATCCAGGTACTAGTGTAAAATACATAATAATTTTATTCCACAGTAGGGTTAAAGTAAAATAATCTGAAGAAAAGGAACTAGGGAGTTCAGGAATCCAATAATATAATTTGCTGTGACATCGCATGCCACTTAACAAATTAAATAGCTAAAATGTCATTGAATTTCTATCCTTTCTTTGGAGAAAACACCAGGGAGTTTTTCATAAATAAGAACCAATGAATCAAAACCAAAGGAAACTGACCACACCTGTCTTGGGTAATAGAGGAATAGGAGCTGGAATCAGAGATTTAGCCACTTAAAGTACGCTGATGTAAATACCACCAGTGACTTCCCATAACCTTGCAGCCACTGGCTGGTGGCTCCCTGCACCAGTTAAAAAATAACAGGAGAGGATGTGGGGGCACAGATCTCTGCAAGCTTCCTTCAGTGTGTACTCACACTGCTATAGGAACCATACGAATAAGACATGTATTTGTATAATGGAATGCGACTTT
Source organism: Homo sapiens (assembly GCF_000001405.40). Taxonomy (NCBI): domain Eukaryota; kingdom Metazoa; phylum Chordata; class Mammalia; order Primates; family Hominidae; genus Homo; species Homo sapiens. Next base: position 103,190,124 of record NC_000001.11, on the reverse strand, counting down.
TTTCTTTCTTTGTCTGTGGCTTCTTTGTGTAGGTGTTGACTTCCATTGCTCATAAGCGGCATATCACAAATGCAATAGTATTAAAGATATACAAGACTGGGCGCAGTGGCTCATGCCTGTATTCCCAGCACTTCGGGAGGTCTAGGTGAGCGGATCACGAAGTCAGGAGATCGAGACCACCCTGGCCAACAGGGTGAAACCCCGTCTCTACTAAAAATACAAAAATTAGCTGGAGGTGGTGGCGCATGCCTGCAATTCCAGCTATTCGGGAGGCTGAGGCAGGAGACTAGCTTGAACCAGGGAGTCGGAGGTGGCAATGAGGCAAGATTGTGCCACTGCCCTCCAGCCTGGCAACAGAGCGAGACTCCGTCTAAAAAAAAAAAAAAAAAAAAAAAGGCTATACAAATAAGTCTCACTTTGTTTGAACCAATACTCTGAATTTCTAGTCGGAAGAATCCCTTGGGCTATTTGAAAATAATCCAGAGATCTTTGCTGTTTATCCTCTAGATTTAACGTCTTAACTCTTGCCTTTTTTAACCATTTAAACCTTTCAACTCGTTATTTATTTTCTTTATCATAATCAGAATAACTCTTCTGTTGAATACCATATGTTTCATATAGGTGACTTAGTGAAAAGTTAAATGAGGCATACAGATAGCTAAATCAAATGGTTTGTTGTTTTCTACATGGAAAGCTCTGTTGTAATCTGAATTCTTCAAGATAAAAACAGATAAGACTGCCTTTTCACTCAAAATCAGATAATATAGTAATTTTGAGAAATAGCATTATGTTTCACGAAGTTATTAATGCATGTACTATTGATAACATATTCACACATTGGGTTAAAGGATAATGTGGCATTTTTAAGAATCCATGTGGCAGAGTTAAGTATTAATTTCTCAAAAGAAAATTCTGGAATTAATTTTAAAAAGTCTTCAAACTTCAACAGAATTATTTTCATGAACATCAGTACAGTTGACTACATTCACTGATCAGACTGCATTTTTTTCTAGAAATATCTTTTAAATTGAAAATTTAACAATAGGTTATTAAAGTACATGTCTGCAGACTAGAAAAGATAAAATTATACTTGCATATTTTGGGGGTTAACTTTGCGGAAATTATAATGGAAAAACAGACCCCACAAGAATAAATACTTGATTTCATTACACATTGTAGTTTTCTTCTTTTGCTAAGAATTTTCACAGCATTTTAATTAATGTTCATTTTTAGTTCTTTTTTTTCTTCAGTTGTGCTAAGAGGTATTCAGTGGTCTTTTTTTTCTTCAGTTGTGCTAAGAGGTATTCAGTAAATGTGTATATAAGAATATGAAAACAAACTGAAGATTAAAATTTTTAAAAGTGCTGGGCCCATATTCAAGTTCATATAAGATCCTTAAGAAACTATTAGAGTGATTATATATTGAACTCAGTTTTCTGTACTTTATATACAACATCTGTCTAAGCAAATACTTCATAGGTGTTTCCTTCTCTGTTATGAAAGCTATAAGTATACTTAAGGTATAAATTCAAAAGGAATGTGGTCAATTTCCAAAAAAAGAATGGAAGAAAGTATTGATTCTGTTGCTGCTTCCCAGTGATAAAGCATTATAGAAAAAGTTGATCAAAGTGAAAAAAATAGAAAAAATATTCGATATGGTTAGTGGTGATGGTTCATAAACATGAGAATATTTTTTCTAAGATTACATGTGAAGATTATTTTTAATTAACATATGCTGTAGTCATACATGATGTTGGTATAAAGAACAAAATTGGGGGCCTATCGTGGTGGCTCACACCTGTAATGACAGCAATTTGGGAGGCTATGGAGGGTGGATCACCTTAGTTCAGGAGTTCAAGACCAGCCTGGCCAACACGGTGAAACCTCGTCTCTGCTAAAAACACAAAAATTAGCAGGGTGTGGTGGTGCCCGCCTGTAATCCTAGTTACTCAAGAGGCTGACGTGGGAGAATTGCTTGAATCCAGGAGGCAGAGGTTGCAGTGAGTCAAGATCATGCCTTTGCACTCCAGCCTGGGTGGCAAGAGTGAATCTCCATCTCACACACAAAAAAAAGAACAAAATTGGAATTTGACTATTCCAGCGATTCTGATTATATTGCAATAATTAGTCCACAATTATTCTAGAAGGCCTAATGATATCTTACCATTCATTTATGGAGTCATTCATAAATTTATTCATTCTTATGCATTCATTATGTAAAGTATGTGTCTATATGAAAAATTGATGACTCAGGCATGTTCCTTTCCTTCAAGTCAGAAACTAGGGGAAATAAATCAACTTGCTAAAATAATAATATAATTTGATTAGATAAATGCTATAATGATGACACTAGGACTTTGTTGGAGATATAATGGAGAAAGCTGCTTTAAGCTGGGTGGTGAAGGATGTCCAGGAATTTTTCTAGATTGGGAAAAAATCATGTCAGGGAAATAATATAAACCAGCATTTATTAAAGTGTTTTTTAAGAAGAATTAGATGTCAGATAAAAAGGATGTACATAACTAAATATGTTTGACAAAGGTTGAGTTAAATAAAAGTAAAAAGGTTTCTTTACTGCAGAATTCTCAGAAACTTTAACAAGTGTTTCTCAAGTTTTCTTGATTATAAAAATAATCTATGTCACTTCGCAAAATACAGATTTCATGAACTCACCTCAGATATATGAATCAGTATCTTTCTTTAAATAGTCCTGAGAATCCATGACTTTTGTTTGTGTTTTGTTTTGTTTTGTTTCTGAAACAAGGTCTTTGTTACCCAGGCTGGAGTGCAGGGGTGTGATCACGGCTCACTGCAGCCTCTACATCCCGAGCTCAAGTGATCTTCCCACCTTATGCTCCCATACAGGCTCATGCTACCACATGCAGATAATTTATTATTATTGTTATTATTATTTATAAAAATGGAGTCTCACTATATTGCCCAGGCTGGTGTCAAACTTCTGGGCTCAAGTAATTCTCTTGTCTCTGCCTCCCAACATGATGTTAACAAATGCCCTAGGTGATTCTTATAATCTGCATGGTTGAGAAATACTTTCACTTAAGCAATTGTGTTTGGTATGACTTCAGTTCTTTTGCGTTTGCTGGTGATTGTTTTATGTCCGATTGTGTGGTCAATTTTAGAATATGTGCCATGTGAGGATTAGAAGAATGTATATTCTGTTGGTTTTGGGTGGAGAGTTCTGTAGAGATCTATCAGATCCCTTTGGTTCATGTTGAGTTCAGGTCCTGAATATCTTTATTAATTTTCTGTTTCAATGATCTGTCTAATACTATCAGTAGAGTGTTGAAGTTTCCCACTCTTATTGTGTGGGAGACTAAGTCTCTTTATAGGTCTCTCAGAACTTGCTTTATGAATCTGGGTGCTCATGTGTTGAGAGCATTATATAGTTAGAATAATGAAGTCTTATTGAATTTAACCATTTTGCAATGCCCTTCTTTGCCTTTTTTGATCTTTGTTGGTTTAAAGTATGTTTTGTTTGAAATTAGGGTTGCAACTGTTTCTTTTTTCTGATTTCCATTTGCTTGGTAGATTTTTCTCTATCCTTTTATTCTGTGCCTATGGGTGTCATTGCATGTGAGATAGGTCTCTTAAAGAGAGCATACCTTTGGGTCTTGCTTTTTTCTTCAGCTTGCCACTCTGAGCCTTTTAAATGGGGCAGTTAGCCCATTTACCTTCAAGGCTAGTATCAATATGTGTGTATCTGATCTTGTCACTGTGTTGGTATCTTGCTATTATGGCAGCTTATTTGTGTAGTTGTTTTATAGTGTCACTGGTCTGTGTAGTTAAGTGTGTTTTTGTATTGTCTGATAACGGTCTTTTCTTTCCATATTCTTACAAGATCTCTTGTCAGTTGGGTCTGGTGATAATGAACTCCCTCAACGTTGCTTATATGAAAAGCATCTTATTTCTCCTTTGCTTAGGAAGCTTAGTTTGGCTGGATATAAAATTATTTCTATTTTTTTAACCTTTCCTTTGGCACTTATGGATATGAAACTCTTGGTTGAAGAATTTTTTTTTTCATTTTCTTTAAGAGTGTTGAGTATAGGACCTCAATCTCTTCTGGTTTGCAGGGTTTCTGCTGAGAAGTCTGCTGTTAACCTGATGGGGTTCTCATTGTAAATGACCTGCCCTTTCTCTCTAGCTGATGATTATGTCTTGGAGATGATCCTCTTGTGAAGAATCTTCTAGGGGTTTCCCATATTTCCTGATTTTGACTGCTGGCCTTTCTAGCAAAGTTGGAGAAGTTTTCACAGATGATATCCTGAAATATGTTTTCCAAGTTGTTTGCTTTCTCCCTGTCCCTTTTAGAGCTGCAAATGGTTTGTAAGTTTGGCCTCTTTACATGAACACATGTTTCTCAGAGTTTTTCTTCATTCGTTTTTTTCTTTTTCCTTTATTTTTGTCTGATTGTCTTATTTCAGATAGCCAGTCTTCAAGTTCTGAGGTTCTTTTCTCAACTTCCTCTATTCTGTTGTTAATACCTGCAATTGCACTGTGAAAGTCTTGTAGTGTGTTTTTCAGCTCTATTAGGTCAGTTAGGTTCTTTTTTTATACTGGCTATTTCATTTGTCAGCTCCTGTATTTTTTTATTGTGATTCTTAATTTCCATGAAATGAGTTTTGCCATTCCCATGAATTTCATTTTCTTCATTTTTATCCATATTCTGAATAATATTTTTGTCATTCTGGCCAACTCAGCCTGGTTAAGAACCCTTGTTGAAGACACAATACAATCATTTGGAGGACATAAGACACTCTAGCTATTTGAGTTGCTAGAGTTCGTGTGGTGGTTCTTTCTCATCTCTGCATGTAGGTGTTCCTTTAACTGCAATGTGTGTTGAGTGCAGTCATTTGACTTCTTTTCTGGGTGTTTTCACAGGGCCAGGGCTTTGTGTAGGGTCTTCGTTTGTAGCTGACTTCTTGTTTTTGGTTTTACAGGGGGATATGTTAGTGAGGTGTTCTTGATGTGAAGTAATTGCAGAGTCGAGATATTCAGAAAAAAAATGTGGCATAGAACATATTTTCAAACTTACCCTATAACTTTTATATAAAGAATTCTTGCTTGCATGTTATAAAATTATTGTGGTTGTCAGAGTGGAGCGTGTTTGAAAATATCAACATAAATATAAAGATGTGCCAAGTTGAAAAGCTATGATTTATTTTATAAATCCTTGGATATCTTTGTGTGTGTGTGTGTGTGTGTGTGTGTGTGTGTGTGTGTGTGTGTCACCCAGGCTTGAGTGCAGTGATGTGATGGTGATCTTGGCTCACTGCAACCTCCACCTCCCGGGTTCAAGTGATTCTCCTGCCTCAGCCTCCCTAGCAGCTAGGATTACAACACCAGCCACCACACCTGGCTAATTTTTGTATTTTTAGTAGAGACATGGTTTTGCCATGTTGGCCAGGCTGGTCTCAAACTCCTGACCTCCAGTGATCTGCCTGCCTCAGCCTCCCAAAGTGCTGGGATTACAGGTGATATCAGTGTTCTTGATTTCACTCAAGAACTTGAGATTTGAGGCTGAAGAATTGTAGGGGCCAGATAATGTATCCATACCAAGGTGCTTATACCTTATCTTAAAGTTGATGAAGATCCCATGAAGATTTTTGAAGCCAGTAGGATGAGGTTTGGATATGTGCATGGATGACTTATATAGGGTTCATCTTATGGCATAACTTAATCATGATTATATAAATTATGCATAATACAAGACAATAATGAGAGCAAATAGAAAAAGAAAATAAGGAACGGTATATAAATGAAGTTAGCCCACAATTGCATTTGTGAGTGAATTTACACATTTGCAGTAGGTCAACTATGAATATGACTCACATTTGCTAATAGGCATCCTTAAAAGGAAAGCAATATTAAATTTAAGCTCATAGAAGTTGTTATACAAATATTTGTTGAATAAAAATAAAAGAGTAGCCAAGTGACTAAATAATTAAATGAAGATCTACTTTATAAGAAGATTATTCTAATAGTTGCATGAAAGATAGAAGGTTGAAGGAAAGTCTCATGACTAAAGCATTATAATAATCTGAGACATAGGTAAGTTTCAGTAAGACGACACTGGTACAGAGTGATAGGAAAAGTCAGTTTTAAGGAATAACTTTGAGATTGAATTGACAGCTTTTAGTATTGATTTGATGTTGAAGAAAAAAACAATTATGATGGGAGTCAAAGATAATCAAGGGCTTTCTAATAGATAGTATACAGTAGTTTTAAAAGAGAAGGGTTATAGAATAAGCAAAACTTGAGGAAACAGATGCTCAGAGTTGAAAGATAATGAGTGCAATTTGGGATCTATTAAGTTTGACGTCTCAGTAGCCTCTCAGAAATATATTTTCTAGAACTCGGAAGAGAGTGAATCAGCCATTGATTTTCAGCTAGGAGCCTTTCTTATGGTATCCCTACCCATGAGGATGCTAGGGAGATAAGAGTTGAGAATAGCAGACAGTTTCATGTAGCCTTTTCTAAGGCAAACGATGATTTTAGTAAGAATTTCTCTTCTTTCATTGATCTAAATTTATAATTAAAGGATATTAGAAAATGAAAATGTTTTCAAAATACCAGAATAAAAAATCTATCAATAATTATAATTACGAGTATTTTAAATCTTGCTTTTTTATTGTGAAAAGAATGGAAAACAAGTATTTGATGAATTTTGAAACCAGGAGGAATAAACCAAGCTAAAAATTTGAATTATTGTTTGAATTATTGTTTTGCATAATTTTCTTATAAAGGAAACAAGACACTAATAGGATATAATAGGATTTTTATACATTTTACTGTTTTACTGAGGTGTATTGTCCAGAAATCAAGAGGCAAGAAAAGATATGGCTTGTAAACAACATAGCAAGCAAGCACCAAATATTTGTTGCGAGGAAATGCAGAGGTGTAAATGTAAATGCAATTAATTAAAATTAGTTTTTTTCTAAACTAGCCTCAAGATTTCAGCAAAATATGTAATAAAATATATTAAAATTATTCTAAGTGAATTTTTAAATTAATACAAACCAGAAACTTTTACAAATATTTGATAGGGATTATTTGTCAATTTTATATAATATATAAAATTATATATATAATATATAAATATACAAAATACATAATTTAATATATATTATATGGTATATATAATTATATATAAATATACATTATATGGTATATATAATTATATATGAATATACATTATATGGTATATATAATTATACATGAATATACATTATATGGTATATATAATTATACATGAATATACATTATATGGTATATATAAATATACATGAATATACATTATATGGTATATATAATTATACATGAATATACATTATATGGTATATATAATTATACATGAATATACATTATATGGTATATATAATTATACATGAATATACATTATATGGTATATATAATTATACATGAATATACATTATATGGTATATATAATTATACATGAATATACATTATATGGTATATATAATTATACATGAATATACATTATATGGTATATACAATTATACATGAATATACATTATATGGTATATACAATTATACATAAATATACATTATATGGTATATACAATTATACATAAATATACATTATATGGTATATACAATTATACATAAATATACATTATATGGTATATACAATTATACATAAATATACATTATATAGTGTATACAATTATACATAAATATACATTATATAGTGTATACAATTATACATAAATATACATTATATAGTGTATACAATTATATATAAATATACATTATATAGTGTATACAATTATATATAAATACATATTATATAGTGTATATAATTATATATAAATACATATTATATAGTGTATATAATTATATATAAATACATATTATATAGTGTATATAATTATATATAAATACATATATAGTGTATATAAGTATATATAAATACATATTATATAGTGTATATAATTATATATAAATACATATTTGTATAAATATGTATATTTTATATATATATTTAAATGGGGACGTGCTACAACATTACTATTTGGGAACACTTCTTTGGAGACTATATATAGCTGTTAGATCACAGGAATAAAAGGGAAAGAGTTTTTTCTTCTCCCCTTCAGGGTCTATGGGGCATTCCTAGGTAAATCGCAGTCCTGGAACACACCTGTCAGATTCTCTCTGTTATTTTACACAAGCTGAAGTCCTGAGCTGTCTTTTCTTGGGCTATGGAGGGAGTGCGGGTGGGGAAGAGGTGCTTAACTGGTTTTGCCTGGTGCCATAATACAGGTCAACAAAATGGTTGATCCAAGGTACAATATTCAGAAGTAAAACCAAAACCAACATCTGAAATGAATATCAAAGTTATTTTTCAACTTCAAGAGAAAGAAAGAGAAGAATTCATGCATAAGGACCCTGGATAGAAACAAGAAGATACAGGTAGGGGGAGGAAGTTTTGAATCAGAGGGTAGAAGATGGATCCTTAAGGAATCTCTTGGTCTGTATAAATGTTGCTACTGCTATTTTTTGTACAGCACAAATAACCTTGAAGGATAAGGAATAAGAACAATGGGAGCAATTTTCCACTCAGTGATTGAAATAGAAAATCAGCGATTGCTTCTTCAACAGCACTCAACAAATCTGTTACGGCTAAAATGAATTCTAAAGCACTCCAAGATTAATTCATTCTATTACCACCCCAGAAGTAGCTTTGTGTGTGTGTGTGTGTGTGTGTGTGTGTGTGTGTGCGCCCACCAATTGCCAAGAGCTACAAATAAAACAATGGGTGGGCCAAATCTCAACTCTCATAGTTATTTTAAAGGTGTCATTGTCCAAAAAATAACTACAACACATTTAATTTAAGCATATATAATAAATATATTAATTAAAATATTTTGAAATAGATACAAAAGAATGTTGTAAAACTAAATTATCATAGTGATTTGTATCTCTGAAGAAGTTATTAAAGCTGAGCTCAAATGCTCAAATGCTATGCTTCTTCCGATGCTTTTTAAATCAAACAGGCTCGCATTTTTCTCCTTAGGAAAGTTCTTAGTGTGCAAGTACTCATTCCGACAGTAAGTGAGGTCTCATTTAATTAGCCTCATTATCTCTATTTTTGCTCCATCCTGGGTTCACTGTCTTTATTACAGAATCCATTTTGGAGGCATAGCTCTCTTCAAAGCAGTTGACTGATTTGATCCCTGGCCAACATACCAAACATTCTTCACAGGAGCTCATAATGTTTAAAACAAAAATCTTTGGAAGCATAGTGGATCACATGGGTTTTATCTGCTCTAAACTCCTACAGTCCTCATCTGGACCACACAGTTGAGCCGTTGGTTAGCTACCTATTAGCCACTCTATAAATATTTATTGACTCATCAACTGTGTGTGGGATTTTATTGTTTGCTAAGCATTTGCCTTCTGTAAGTCGTATTTCCCCTAATGAAATGTAAATGATGTGATGTTCAGAACATCGTTTTCTCTGTTGATATGTTATCCTTTAATTTTCTCTTCTAAAATATTCAGAAAAGTGGGAAAAACTTTACTTTTTTATTTTTCACCATGATAAAATTTATAGGAATATCTTGAGATCTCTTTTGAGATCTACAGAGAAATGTAGGGTTTATAAAAGTAGTCATCATGAGAAAAAATGCAATTTTAGTCAATGAAGCTAATTCTAGCTTATAATTTTAATATATTTTCTATTTTTTAAAAAGAATTATTGAAAAAAGAAAGAAGGGTGATGAAAGAAACACAGGCAAGATTTAGAACAGTTCAAGAGGATGACATAAATCACAACAAAAAAAAAATGATGTATACTTGAGGTGGAGAAAGAGAGAGAGGGAAGAAAGACCTTGTTATAAAATCTGTTTTAAATTAGAGTACGGCAAAACAGCCTTGTATACATGGGAAGGAATCTGACTTGCTTTATAAGCAAATACCTGCTATACTTAAATAATATAATATAGGATTATATATTGTACAATTAGAAAAAGTATTTTTATGATATTTAGAAAAATGTCAGAGTGAACCATCATCTAATTTATCAAAAAAAAAAAAGAAAAGAAACCGATGCTGAGAAGATTAAGTAGCTTGCCATATTAATTATTGGCCAGATTAGTAGCAGAATTGTGCCTAAAACTCGGGTCTTCTATTATTCAATTCAGTACATACATATGATTAGCTTTTGGTAGAAAGGATTGTTTTTAATCATATAGTAATTTACCAGGATAAAGCAGATAGTGATACACATCAATAAAACTGGGTGTGTGGCACTCACATATTTCAACATTTTGAAGCATAACCCCCCAAGAAGTAGTCGGCCAAAAACCATCCTTGTGTTTTCTTTCTATAATTTACTATAACAGGAAATATGAAGAGTTTTTTTTTGAATAACGGACTCTTTTTTAGAAGAATATTTAGAAAATAATTCCCCCCAAATAAATATAAATATTTTTCAACACTGAATTTAAAAAAAGACAAAGAAATTCAGGAGTAAGAGTAGGAAGAAAGCTAGCTCTTGCTTTTTTATGCTCTCTAAAGCAAAATACAACTCAAAAGCATTAAAGAAATTAACTATAAGTCTAAATATTTTTAAATTTTCCAATAAATCTAATTTAATATTGTTTTAATTCTCATAAAAGAGACACACTTTGAAGTAAATCTTTCAATTTCTTTCTTTTTGTTTTTTTTTTTTTTTTTTTGAGACGGAGTCTCGCTCTGTCGCCCAGGCTGGAGTGCAGTGGCGGGATCTCGGCTCACTGCAAGCTCCGCCTCCCGGGTTCACGCCATTCTCCTGCCTCAGCCTCCCAAGTAGCTGGGACTACAGGCGCCCGCCACTACGCCCGGCTAATTTTTTGTATTTTTAGTAGAGACGGGGTTTCACCGTTTTAGCCGGGATGGTCTCGATCTCCTGACCTCGTGATCCGCCCGCCTCGGCCTCCCAAAGTGCTGGGATTACAGGCGTGAGCCACCGCGCCCGGCCTCAATTTCTTTCTTACTCTTTGCCTATTTGTATCCTGTGACTTTTCTCTAACTTCCATCTTTTTTGGAGGGTTTGCTCTAATTCTATGGAAATAAAATCAACTCATGAGGAAAAAAAATTATGCAGCTCAGTTCTTTTGAAGTATTAATGTGTCATAAAGATATAAAATAGCAAATGGCAAAGTTTTTTTTAATTTATTTTTTGCCATCCAACGTGTCACTTTTTTCCCCCTTCTTCTTACTGGTTTACCAGAATTAATAACTAACATTTGTATAGTGCATTCCAGCTCACTAACTGCTTTTTCACCAGCATTGCTTCATTTAGTCTTCACAATAAGTCTTTGGGGTAGCTATTTCTATCATCACTATGCTGCAGACAAGGAAACTAAGATTCAAAGAGGCTAAGCAACTTGTAAATAGTTTTAGAATTCATTATATCAATTATGCAGCCATAAAAATCAAAATTTGGTTGATAATTTAATGACATGGGCAAATACTCATTGAAAAAAAAAATGTCAAGTTAACAAAAAATAGCAGGCCACAAACTACATTGAATGAATCCAGTTACCTTCTTTATGCACTTCAAATTTTCTTCAAAAACATGCACCAATTTTCACAATATGACTAGGCCTCAAATGATTTTTATTGTCTAGCAAAGTCAACATTAACTCCTTATACTATGTTCAGTTCCACCCATTGACCACCTATTTACAGGAAAAAAAAAATTGATGCTGTAGCTGTATAACCATAAACATACATTTTGGAAAGAATAAACTTGAGTTTGCATATGAACAGGTTAGTTGCTGAATAAAATTATCAATGCTTTCTCCTCCTCAATTATTTTTTCCCAAAAGTCATCTGATTAAGTGCTTGTCAACAGGGATGGACTAACCAGAGGGTATTCATTTTCTATAGGGAATCATATTTCCCTATTTTCCTGGGAAGTATGCAGGATTCAAAATAGCTAAGATTTACTGAGTAGTTAATTATTTTGTGGTAGGTATTTTATAAAACTCTGTGTATATATGTATATATGTGTGTGTATATATATATATATATATATATATATATATATATATATAGCACCAATAAATCTCATGGCACTACTACAAAAGTAATCTTATTTACTATCTGCTTTTATAGATGAGGAAATTGAGAATTGGAGATGCAAGATGAACAATCCATGTTTATGGCAAGAAAATGTCAGTGACACAAACCCAGATATTTTTTTCTCCATGTTCTCAAGCTACTAATCCTGCTTTCCATAAACTGAAGAATGTATGAGTGACCTTAACTTCTGTGGCCTGAATCTCGGCTAGTAATCTTTATCCACCAGCTCTACTTTGTAATTCTCCTTTGTTATTTATTTTAAATGTTTGAATCATTTTCAGTTCTTGGTTCTGTTATGAACTAGATCATTGTTATATACAGATAAACTGTGAATGCATATGTTTGGTGACATTCATTAACTAGTCATTTGGAGAGCAGCAGAATGGCCTGGGGATTAAAACAAATAAAACATTCACATAGTGATGCATTTACAATTCTTTGGGCTTAGTGAATCTTGAAATTTTAAGAGTCATTGCATTTTTACATCTTAATTAAATTCATACTGTGGAATGTATAAATAGAAAAAGAATTCTTCAGGCTAAAATATTCTTTTACTCATCAAATGCTGCAGATGGTCTTTTTATACCCTGTGAGTGGACCTTTTTGAAGATGTCCTGCATTCGAGTTTTTAAGGTTGGCGATAGGTTGCCTTGACATTTATCCAAACCATAGTTGAAGAACAATTATCTCCTTATTTTGTAACAGTGACGTTCGACTCTGCTAAACCCTCTCAAAGGGGATAGGTTTAAGACTGTAATGTGTGAAGATAAAAAATGTCAACTGTCATGCAGGAACTCAAACAGAGCAACCGAGGGGAAGTAACTAATCTAAGGAAGAGCATTTTCTTGGCCACTGTATTTTCCTTTCTGTTATTCATGCAAAAATATGTCTCATCGATTTAACTCATTCCATATTTTAATGAATAATTAATTGGCTTCATATAATAATATATTCTGTTATCTACATTAATTTGATATAACGTGACAAGAATAGCTTTAGAATTGATAACATTTTTCTAAATATTTTACTCATGTTTTTTCTCTGCCTTGGTGTGACTGGCTATGATCACACCTGTTGTTCCCTCATATGCATTCATTTAAGCAGAATAAGATAAGTTGCTCAATTTTATGCTTTATAGAAATTGTTTTACTTGCATAAAATAAAATGTTACACTATACCCTGGGACTATTGGGGATTTAAAAATGCAGATGCAGATGTACAAATGTATAAAGTTTCTCATATGTGAGCATTCTTTGGTTACAAAGTAATTCACTCTAGGTTCCATTAAAGAATTAAAGATAACGCTTTTTCTGTGTAGAGTTAATATTTTTGCAAACTAAACATTACAGGTCAAACCCAAAGAATGTGTAAAAGTAAAAATATTCATTGTAAAGAATTGCAAATTATTCATTGCAAGTATTTACTGTGAATAATTTCACTTTTATTACAATGAAAATATTCATTGCAAAGCTATGGAATGCCTTTAGGAGCCAGATATAATAGAAGGGTAGTGAAGTTAGGGCCAGAAAATATGGGTTACTATTTTTTCCATTTACTAAATGTAGGAACCCGGATTTCCTCTGCAGTGTGCATTCTAAAGGCATCTTGCAAATTTTAATAGGATTAATGAGACAATTTATTCATAAACCCTTTGTGAAATATAAGAACATCTAAAGGAAATTAAATATATGCTTTTTGTATAGTAAGTATCATTATTAAGAATAACACTCCAAATGAATACTTATTTGAAGTTTCTTATATTTGCTGAGTTGATATTACGTTTATTACTGAATGTACACTGTAGATCTGACTTCTTTTTCAAGAGAACAAATTTATGTCTAGCCTCAGAATTGTTATTTTGTTTACATAGCTTATTTAACCTTATGATGCTATAAGCATTATACTTATTCATATTATTCTCTTTGCATTGGTATCAAAGTATCCTGGAGTCACATTCCCTATTCACCTCTAGCCAGCCTACACTGTCTGGCATGAGTCTTGTATACTTCTATCTTGGCCTTATTGAGTTTGTCTTGGTACTAGTACTTGTAAATTTTTTTCTCATTAGTGGTTTTTTTTTGTTTTTCTTTTAAAATAATTATAAATTCAATGGAAGATCCAAAAATAGAAGAGAAGTCCCACGTACCCTTCACATTTCCCCAAATGGTAATATCTAACCTAACTGCAATACAGTACTAAAACCAGAAAAAATTTTCATTGGTACAATACTCAGACCTTATTCAGATTTTATCAGTTTTACATGCACTCTATTTTTTTCATATGTATAGTTTTATACACGTCAATTAAATATGTAGAATTATGTAACTACCACTAATATTAAAATATGAACCTATTTAGTTGCCACAAAAATTTCCCTCAAACTACCTTTTCAGAATTACAGCTCTTCTTCCCCTCTTTCGACACTAATCTGATTGTCTTCCTTACAGTTTTATTATTTTGAAAATGCTATGTAAGTTAAATCATACAGTATATAATGTGTTGAAGTTGACACTTTTCCTCAAAATAATTTCCTTAAGATTCATCTATGTTTTCTGAGTATGTTAATCGTTCATTCATTTTTATTTTTATTACTGAGTAGTATTCCATGGCATGGGTGCACCACAGTTTGAAAGATATTAGGGTTATTTGCAATTTTGGGTTATTTCAACTAAAACTGCTATAAGTGCTTGTGTGTACATTTTGGTGCAGATATAAGTTTCATTGCTCTGGGACAAATGTCTAGGAATGGGACTGTTAGGATGCATCATCAGTATATAGTTTTTCAAGAAAATTTCCAAAGCTAGGCTCTGGAATGAACCTGTATGGTCAGCCATTGGAAATGTGAGAAGATCACTTGAGCCCAATAGTTTGAGTTTAGCATAGAAAACATAGCAAGACCCTACCTCCTAAAAAAAGAAAGAAAGAAAAAAAAAAGGAAATGAAAATTCCCAAGTTATTTTCCAGTGTGGCTGTGCCATTTATATTCCCACCAGCAATTTCTGAGTAATTCGGTTTTTCCATATTCTCACCAGATTCGGTATTGTCACAAGTTTTTTTCTTAACTAATCTAATATTTGTGTTGTAATATCTCATTGTGGTGGTTTTTTTTTAACTCTTTTTTTTGGATTTTTTTTTATTATTATACTTCAAGTTTTAGGGTGCATGTGCACAATGTGCAGGTTTGTTACATATGTATACATGTGCCATGTTGGTGTGCTGCACCGATTAACTCATCGTTTAGCATTAGGTATATCTCCTAATGCTATCCCTCCCCCCTCCTCCCCATCATTCTCATTGTGGTTTTAATTTGCTTTAACCTAATGGTACATGTTGTTGAACGTTTTTTATGTGCTTATTGCTATCTATATGTTCTCTTTGGTGAAATGTTAGTTAAATATCTTTTGCCCATTTTCTAATTGAAGTGTGTGTGTGTGTGTGTGTGTGTGTGTGACATTTTAAAAGGTCCTTATACCTGATATGAAGCTGTTTTTCAGATATATGGTTTGAAAATATGTTCTCTAATGCTAGCTTGTATTTTTTATCTTTTTAATGTGATCTTTTCATTTTAAGTTTAATTTATCAATCATTTTCTTTTATGACCTGTGCTTCTGGTATAATGTTTAAGAACTCTTAAAATTTGTATTTCTGTGTGTCTATTTCTATTTCCTGTATTCAGCTCTATTGGTCTATGTATATATTATTTTTTTAGTGCCACTCTGTCTGATTTCTGTAGCCATATAGTAAACTTTAAAGTTGAGTAGAGATCCATACTACTTTGTTCGTTTTTTTTTTTTTTTTCAAAATTGCGTTAGCTGTTCTAGTTCTCTTGTCTTTGCATAGAAATATTAGAATAAGCTTATTAATATCTACAAAACACATCGTTCAGATTTTGAAAGAAGCTGCATTATACATATAAGTTAATTTGGGGTAAGTATCAACATCTTTATTGTATTGTCTTTTCTAAATCATAAAACCATATATCTCTTTATATAATATCTTCTTTGCTTTCTTTTGTCAGTGTTTTGTAATTTTCAGCACACAAATACTGCACGTGTTTTGTTAGATGTAATATCTATTTCATTTTTTGAGTAATTATAAAATAAATTGTTTTCAATTTTGGTTTCCCCGTGTTTATTTTTATTATATAGAAATATGATTGATTTTTTAATATTAATCTTGTTTCATGTGGCCTTACTAAACTCATTATTAGTTCTAAGAGATATTTGCTTGTGTTTTGTTTCTTTGAAGATTCCTTGGAATTTTCTATGTAGACTACAATGTCTTCTGCAAATAGGGAACGTTTTATTATTTCCTTTCTTATTGGAATACCTTTTATTTCCTTTTTATTTTTTTCTTCATTAACTGCCTAGGAATTCTAGAACTAGGTTAAATAAGAGTGATGCGAGCTGACATCCTTGCCTCACTCTTGGTTTTGGAAGTGATGCATTCACTCTTTCACTATTAAGTATGATGTTAGCTATGGGTTATTGGCTTTCTTTTTAAACTTAGTTTAGATTATTATTACTATGAATCTGTATGAATCTGTATGAATTTGTTTTATAACAAGAAAATGCTAAGAAATCTTAAGTTTCAAATTCAGGATAGTAGAGAGTCACTTGCTTCATGACAAAAATTCATTCACTTCCTGATACATGTTGATTTCCTAGTTTCTAAAGAAGCACGATAAAGTAGGTGGTTAAGAGTTTCCATCATAGAGTCAATCTGTCTGTACTTATTCTCAGCTCATATCACCCAGCTTCATCTCTCAAGAGGGATTAAGAATCAGTCTGTGATCCTGGGAAATATATATATATATATTATATATACTAGATATACACTATATATTATACATAATATATATTATATATACTATAGTATATTATATATACTATAGTATATATATAATATATAGTATATATATTATATATACACTATATATAATATATATACTATATATTATATATAATATAGTATATTATATAATATACTATATTATATAATATAGTATATATATACTATATATACTATATAGTATAGATATACTATATGTATGTATCTGTGTGTATACATATTCTACATATATCTGTGTATACATATATTACATATATATCTTAAAATTCACTAGGATTTTTGCTATTAGGTTCTTAATCTATAAAGTATAGAATTATAAAGTAAGAAATTCAGTAAAATATTTTAGTATTTTTTGTTTACAGTTTTTATTTAAGATTACAAAGATATGTATGGTTTAGGTGAGTGGTAAGAAAATCTAATTTATGTAAGTATCAAATATGGTTATGGTTGTAGAATCCCTTTTTCTTAGCAAGAAGCTACTGCTATTACTTGGCTCTAAATAAAGTGTCTTAAAAAGTTATGTTAACTTTTCTCTTGTTCTGTTTTTTTTAAATAGTTTTAGGATGTAATTTCAGGAAGCCAATTAATTATATTCATGAGAAAAGTTACTAACTTTCAATTGGCATATAATATTTGATTTATGATAATACAGACCTATATCCAAAATACCTTCTAGATAGTATATGATTGATTGCCTTTTGTCGATTATGAGCTATTCATTTGGCTAGAGGTCAACAGTAGAACACACAATCTGTCAGGTCTTCTTGCAAGACTTTTATTTTCTGATATGCACATATGATTTTTTTTCCTCAAGGCAAATAATCAGTGAATATGAATGGAATTAAACAATGCTTTTAATAATCTTGTAAAAATTTTGAAATATAGCAGAAAATATTATATGATCATTATAAAAACTATAATATTAAGTTGGTGCAAAGGTAATTGCAGGTTTTACTATTAAAAATAATGGCAAAACCACAATTACTTTTGCACCAATCCAATACTACATATACTATTGCTGTGTGGAACATTCTAGAAGGCTTAGAACTTTTTAGAACCAAAAAATGTTTGTGGTCATTCTGTTTCTCCCACCAACAATAAAGTAAGAGGATCTGGAGGAGGCCACTCTCCCCCTCCACCAGCAAACAATTGCATATCCTGGAGAAAGAAAATTAATTTTAGGGTCTAGTTATTTCAAAAAACTTTAAAAGATTGGATAAAATTTATTGTTTGATACTCTTCAATCAAATAATTTATTAAAACTGTTATATGACATTGTTTTCCTGACAGATTTAATAAATCTGAGAAATATCCAGTGTCTGTAAACTCATAAGTCTTTTGAATTTCTAACTAACTTTCTAACTCATGCCAGTTGGATAATTAGGACAAGTCATGGTAATGCCATTTTGAATATGTAAAAATGAAAAAGGACTTTTTTTCTACATTAAAAAAAAATTCACCAAAGAGAATTAACATAACATGAACTATAAAGTAAGCATTAAAAAATTCACCTCATAGTGATGTTTATCTCTCTTATTTGCTAATATCAATATTGTATGCTCAATAAAACACTTAATGAAGAATGTTTCCAGATATTTACCATATTTTATAAACACTATGCTAAAAACTTATGTAGATTACTAGTAAATTCTCAAAAACCCTTTGATAGTCTTTCATGCTACATCCAGGATTTTTGAATCTCTGGTTTCCAGAAGCATGGTAAGAATGCTTTTTTACATGCCACCAAGGTTGAGGTGGTGTCACATGATGAGTGCTGGTCAATGCTCTGTAAGTGGAAATGACGTGTTTCACTTCTGGACTGAAGTATTTACTTATGGGACATCTTCCCCTCTGCTGCAGCTCATTACAACTTTTGATAAAATGATTTCTCTATCAAGCTATGTCACAGAGTGAGAAGATAGTATGGAAAGCCCCAGCCAACTCATGACAAACAAGTACCCTGAGGGAAAAACAAACTTTCTTTTTTTAAGCCTGTAAGGTTTATGGGTTGTTTATTACTGCAATCTAAACTAGACTGGCATTAACTGTTCCACTTTGAAGACAAAAATAAATTCCACAGCTAGTAAGAGGAAGAACTGAGACAACCTCAGGTCTATTGCAAAAAATACATATTTTTCTCTACAACCTCTTTCCACTCCACGTGTTTTTGCACCAACCCGTGGACTTTCCATCATTAAGTTTTAGAGCCCATGGGAATACCTCAGTTCTTTTAGTATTGTTGTAGAACCCTAAGGGCATTTCTCTCAGAATGCATTAAAATGTGCTATTTATCTACAGCTTAAATTCATAACTCTGCTACTGTTACAATATTGCATAAGGAGAGCATTGGAAATTATGTAGAACATTTCATGGTTTTGATGTTGCGTAACTTCCAGCTGCTGACCATATGAAGGAGCCACATAAACAATTGCAAACACAAAATAGAGTTTTATTACAAAATGTGAACTCTGAGATTGTTCTATTGTGTGAATTCTCAAACTTTTTTGTTTGATTTAGAATACATAATAGGCCGGGCGCGGTGGCTCACGCCTGTAATCCCAGCACTTTGGGAGGCCGAGGCGGGCGGATCACGAGGTCAGGAGATCGAGACCATCCTGGCTAAAAAAAACGGTGAAACCCCGTCTCTACTAAAAATACAAAAAAAATTAGCCGGGCGTAGTGGCGGGCGCCTGTAGTCCCAGCTACTTGGGAGGCTGAGGCAGGAGAATGGCGTGAACCCGGGAGGCGGAGCTTGCAGTGAGCCGAGATCCCGCCACTGCACTCCAGCCTGGGCGACAGAGCGAGACTCCGTCTCAAAAAAAAAAAAAAAAAAAAAAAAAGAATACATAATAAACTTTGGCATCGAGTGCTAAGTTATAATGTACAATTCCACATTTTCAGTTTAAAATAATATTTTCATAATGCAAAGATGTTTCATTGCTCCTTTTATCCATTTTTTATTAAAATCAGAAGTTGGAAGAAAAAGTGATTCCTTGTATTGCATCAGTCAACCTAGTTTATACGTAGTCTTTATTCATTTTGCACTGAAATCCTACATTAAATAATGAACTTTTAGAGGTTACTTGGAATGAACAATGATCCAGTTTTCACCATATTTTATAAAACAGAAAATAAAGCTTGGGGCTTACTTTCATAGTTCTGACATAGATAAAGTGATCATTAAAATTATGCTGTTTGAGTTTTGTATTATACCTGTAAGTATAGATTTCACTGATTTGTAAAGTATTTTGGTTCCATGCAAAATTATTGATTTTACTTGTGGAAGTGCCAAAAGGACACCTTAATTCAAAATCTAGTCAACAAATTCAGTTAATGTGTTGAATATTCCAAGAAATAAACTAGTTGGATCCAGCCTTCAAACAAGAAGATATATTTATACTAAAAGGAAGTGCTGTAAAAATGGTGTGTTCTAAACCACTATCAAAAGCATGTCTGAGCCAGGCATGGTGGCTCACGCCTATAATCCCAGCATTTTGGACGGCTGAGGTGGGAGGATGGCTTGAGCCCAGGAGTTCAACACCAGCCTGGACAATATAGGGAGAACCCGTTGCTACAACAAAATTTAAAATATTAGCCAAGTGTGGTGGTGGTTGTGGTGTGTGCCTGTAGTCCAGCTACTCAAGAGGCTGAGATGAGAGGATTGCTTCAGCCTGGGAAGTCAAGGCTGCAGTGAGCTGTGATCACACCACTGTACTCCAGCCTGGGCAACAGAGTAAGACCCTGTCAAAAATAAATAAATAAATAAATAAATAACATAAAAAATAAATAAATAAGAAGCATTTCCTAGAAGGTAATTTGGATTTTACAAACAAAGCTGACTGACTTTGTGTCTTTTGCCTTGTGAGTGATTCTTTTTCTCCCTTAAAAATGCCATAAAATATTACAATAATAACATCCCTCTAGTATTATTGTATCAAATATAAATATTCTTGGGCAACTAAAAAGGACTATAATCACATGTTTTTTTCAGAAACTTTTAAATATTAAGGGAAAAAGACAGACATAACATAACCTAGGAGGAGACAACATCAAAACATATAACCAACAAGGGCTTAATATTCAGAATTTATAAAGGAAACGTACAAATCAATATGACAAAATACAGGAAACTCCCAAAAAGAGAAAATAGAAATGGTGCTAACATAGAAGAGACCACACAGGTCCAATAAACATAATCATAGAATTCCAAAATTAAACCACAACAGATATCATTTTACACTTACTAGCATGGGATCAAATTGAAAGATGAGCTAATATTATATATTCACAAAAATGTGACCAACAAGAATTCGTGTACATTATTGGTGGAGTGTAATTCATAACACTAACTTAAAAAACAATGTGTCATGATTTTGTAAAATCGAACATGTACATATCATACATTCAAACGATATCAGTTCCAGATATAAACCATAGAAATCCTCTTGCAATATGTTCCAGGAGACATGTACAAGAATATAGAATTGTTTATAATACTAAGGCATTGGAAACAACCCAAATGTATGTCAACCTGGGAAATAATAAATACAATGTGGTAGAGTTACGCATTATGATACAAAACAGCAATGAAAATAAATGAGCCTCATCTACATATATCAAGAACTGCATCTTATAAAATGTAAAGTAAAAAAAGATGCAGAGAATGCAAACATTCTGATGTGATTTAAATAAAATTACAACACAAGTAAATTAAGCTACATATAATTATGGGACACATATATGTGTTATTAAAAATACAAAGAAAAGCATTGGGAAGGAGAAAAAGTAGTTAAGGATTATGTTTTCAGCTGGGAGGAGACTGGGATATAGGAAATTTTAGAGCCATCAGTATGTTCAGGCTATGTATATATATATATACACATATATGTATATATATGTATATATATATATACACATATATGTATATATATGTGTATATATATAGTTTTTTTTTTCTTTTTTTTTTTTTTGAAGCAAGATCTTGCTCTGTCGCTGAGGCTAGAGTGCAGTGGTGTGATCACAGATCAATGCAGCTTCAATCTTCTGGGCTCTAGCAATCCTTCCACCTCAGCTTCCCAAGTAGCTGGCATTACAGGAGCACACCACTACACTTGCTATGTTATCATTCTTAGCACACACATAATCCCCAACCCGCACACACACACACAGACACCATGCTGCTTTCTAATAGCAGGATGGTAGAAGAGTTATCAATAATATTTAAAAACGTTTTAAGACCCAACATGTAATTGCACCCAATATAGATCCTGTTCTCTCTCAGAGTCATTTGCTCTTTTCTTGGCTCATTCCTTTTTATTTGCACCGGCCTTCTTTCTATGCTGCCAGTAGTGCTCACACTTTAGGGCTTTTACACATGCTGTTTTCCTCTGCTCAATATTTGCTTTCCATAGATGTTTCAAAGGTTTGCTACCTCATCTGCTTTGAGCATTTACTCCATTATCACCTTCTCAGCAAAGCCTTCACTGATCAATCCAACTAAAACTTCAACTCATTATTATGTGTATGTGGGTATAATTGTTTAAATTACCTATTTCATTTATTCATTGTCTTACTGCTAAACTTTTAGAATGTAAGCAGTATAAGGTCAAGGGCTCTTCTTACTTTTTTTTTTTTCTCCTGTATTACCAGTGCTTATGTCAGCACCAAACACATAGTAGCATTCCTTTTGAATGAATTATTCCTTAATTTCTTGTATTGGCTTAGGCATTAACTTCAAACAACTGCTGCAAAAAAGGAAAATATATAATGAAAAGGAAACTATATGAAATACTTAAAACCCATTGATATTTGTGATTTTAGGAGGAGAAAGGTCCTGTGGGAATGCTTTTATGTGGTGTACAAGCAAAAAGATTTCATCTGGCATATAGGGGCATATGGGGCAGAGGGGAAATGAGCAGCCTGCCAGTGTAGTGTGAAGACATTAAAAACCCATTTTGTCTAATTCATGATTGTATATATTACAATATATTCCATGTACTTTTGGGGATGTGCTTTTTGTAAAAGCAGAGCACATGGCCAGAATATTTAACACATATTTAACACAATTTAACACAATTGTGTACATATTTAAAGCATACTTAACACAAAAATATATTTCTCAATAAAAGCAATATATATTGTAATATATACAATAGGTAATATATATCTATATGTAACTTGCAGAAAGCTAAGGATTTCTAATAAACTTTAAAAAAAAATCTCCACACACTTCAGGAGACCCATCTCATGTGCAAAGACGCACATAGGCTCAAAATAAAGGGATGGAGGAATATTTACCAAGCAAATGGAAAGCAAAAAAAAGCAGAGGCTGCAATTCTAGTCTCTGCTAAAACAGACTTTAAACTGACAAAGATTTAAAAAGACAAAACAGGGCATTACATAATGGTAAAGGGATCAATGCAACAAGAAGAGCTAACTATCCTAAATATATATGCACCCAATACAGGAGCACCAAGATTCATAAAACAGGTTCTTAGAGACCTACGAACAGACTTAAACTCCCACATAATAATAATGGGAGATTTTAACACCCCACTTTCAATACTAGACAGATCAACAAGACAGAAAATTAACAAGGATATTCAGTACTTGAACTCAGCTCTGGACCAAGCAGACCTAATAGACATCTACAGAACTCTACACCCCAAATCAACAGAATATCCATTATTCACAGCACCACATATCACTTATTCTAAAATCGGAAGTAAAACACCCCTCGGCAATTGCGAAAGAACGGAAATCATAACAGTCTCTCAGACCACAGTACAATCTAATTAGAACTCAGGATTAAGAAACTCACTCAAAACTGCACAACTACATGGAAACTGAACAATAGGCTGCTGAATGACTCCTGGGTAAATAATGAAATTAAGGCAGAAATAAAGAAGTTCTTCGAAACCAATGAGAACAAAGAGACAACATACCAGAATATCTGAGACACAGCTAAAGCAGTGTTAAGAGGGAAATTTATAGCACTAAATGCCCACATCAGAAAGCAGGAAAGATCTAAATATTGACATCCTAAAATCACAAATAAAAGAACTAGTGAAGCAAGAGCAAACAAATTCAAAAGCTAGCAGAAGACAAGAAATAACTAAATCAGAGCAAAACTGAAGGAGATAGAGACATGAAAAAGCATTCAAAAAATCAATGAATCCAGGAACTGTTTTTTTAAAAAAATCAACAAAATATATAGACTGCTAGCCAGACTAATAAAGAAGAAAAGGGAGAAGAATCAAATAGACCCAATAAAAAAACGATAAACGGGATATCACCACTGATCCCACAGAAATTCTATGAAAATAAACTAGAAAATCTAGAAGAAACGGATACATTCCTGGACACATATACCCTTCCAAAATTAAACCAGGGAGAAGTCGAATCCCTGAATAGACCAATAACAAGTTCTGAAATTGAGGCAGCAATTAATAGTCTACTAACTAAAAAAAAGCCCAGGACCAGATGGATTCACAGCTGAATTCTACCAGAGGTACAAAGAGGAGCTGGTACCATTCCTTCTGTAACTATTCCAAAATATAGAAAAAGAGGGACTCCTTCCTGACTCATGTTCTGAGGCCAGCCTCATCCTGATACCAAAACCTGTCAGAGACACAGCAAGAAAAGAAAATTTCTGGTCAATATCCCTGATGAACATCGATGCAAAAACCCTCAATAAAATATGAGCAAACCGAATCCATATCAAAAAGCTTATCCACTACTATCAACCCAGCTTCATCCCTGGGATGCAACACTGGTTCATATGTATAAAGCAATAAATGTAATCCATCACATAAACAGAACCAATTTGAAAAAACCACATGATTACCTAATGCAAGCAGAAAAGGCCTTTGATAAAATTCAACACACCTTCATGCTAAAAACTCTCAGTAAACTAATTATTGAAGGAACATATCTCAAAATAATAAGAGCTATTCATGACAAACCCATAGCCAATATCATATTGAATGGGCAGAAGCTGGAAGCATTTTCTTTGAAAACTGGAACAAGACAAGGATGGCCTGTCTCACCACTCCTATTCAACATAGTATTGGAAGTTCTGGCCAGGGCAATCAGTCGAGAGAAATAAATACAGCGTATTCAAATAGGAAGAGGGGAAGACAAATTGTCTCTGTTTACAGATGACATGATTGTATATTTAGAAAACCCCATCATCTCAGCCCAAAAACTCCTGAAGCTGATAAGCAACTTCATCAAAGTCTCAGGATACAAAATCAATGTGCAAAACTCATAAGGGTTCTTATACACCAATAATAGACAAGCAGAGGGCCAAATTATGAGTGAAATCCCATTCACAATAGCTACAAATAGTATAAAATACCTAGGAATACAAGTTACAAGGAACATGAAGGGCATCTTCAAGGAGAACTACAAACCACTGCTTAAGGAAATAAGAAAGGACACAAACAAATGGAAAAAAAATTGCATTCGCATGGATAGGAAGAATCAATATAGTGAAAATGCCTATACTATCCAAAATAATTTATAGATTCAATGCTATTCCCATCAAACTACCATTGACTTTCTTCACAGAATGAGAAAAAAACTACTTAAATTTCATATGGAACCAAAAAACAGCCTGTATAGCCAAGACAATCCTAAGCAAAAAGAACAAAGCTGGAGGCATCACACTACCTGACTTCAAACTATACTACAAGGCTACAGTAACCAAAATAGCATGGTACTAGTACCAAAACAGTTATATAGATAAATGGAAAAGAACAGAGGCCTCAGAACACCACACATCTACAACCATCTGATCTTCAACAAACCTGACAAAAATAAGCAATGGGGAAAAGATTCCTTATTTAATAAATGGTGTTGGGAAAACTGGCTACCCATATGCAGAAAACAGAAACTGGACCCCTTCCTTACACCTTATAAAAAAATTAATTCAAGATGGATTAAAGATTTACACATAAAACCTAAAACCATAAAAACTCTAGAAGAAAACCTAGGCTACACCATTCAGGACATAGGTATGGGCTAAGACTCCATGACTAAAACACCAAAAGCAATTGCAAAAAATCTAAAAATTGACAAATGGGATCTAATTAAACTAAAAAGCTTCTGCATAGCAAAAGAAATTATCATCAAAATGAACAGGTAACCTACAGAATGGGAGAAAATGTTTGCAATCTATCCATCTGACAAAGGGCTAATATCCAGAATCTACAAGGAATTTAAACAAATTTACAAGAAAAAAACAACCCATTCAAAAAGTGGGCAAAGGATATGAACAGACATTTCTCAAAAGAAGACATTTACGTGGCCAACAAACATATGAAAAAAAAAAGGCTCATCATCACTGGTCATTAGAGAAATGCATATCAAAACCACAATGAGATACCATCTCACACCAATTAGAATGGCCATCATTAAAAGTCAGGAAACAACAGATGCTGGCTAGGGTGTGGAGAAATAGAAACACTTTTACACTGTTGGTGGGAGTTTAAATTAGTTTAACCATTGTGAAAGGCAGTATGGTGATTCTTCAAGGATCTAGAACCAGAAATACCGTTTGACCCAGCAATCCCATTACTTGGTATATACACAAAGGATTATAAATCTTTCTACTATAAAGACAGATGCACACGTATGTTTATTGCAGCACTATTTACAATAGCAAAGATTTGGAATCAACCCAAATGCCCATCAATGATAGACTGGATAAAGGAAATGTGGCACATATACACCATGGAATACTATGTAGCCCGCCTATAATCCCAGCACTTTGGGAGCCTGAGGCGGGCAGATCACCTGAGGTCGGGAGTTTGAGACCAGTCAGACCAACATGGAGAAATTGTGTCTCTACTAAAAATACAAAATTACCCGTGTGTGGTGGTGCATGCCTGTAATCCCAGCTACTCGGGAGACTGAGGCAGGAGAATCCCTTGAACCCAGGAGGCAGAGATTGTGGTGAGCCGAGATCTTGCCATTGCACTCTAGCCTGTGCAACAAGAGCGAAACTCCATCTCAAATAAATAAATAAATAAATAAATAAATAAATAAATAAATAAGTTAGTGTCATTTACAGGGACATGGATGAAGCTGGAAACCATCATTCTCAGGAAGCTAACTCAGGAACAGAAAGCTAAACATTGCATGTTCTCACTCATAAATTGGAGTTGAACGCATGGACACAGGGAGGGAAACATCACACACCGGGGACTGTTGGCGTGTAGGGGGCAAGCAGAGGGATAGCATTAGGACAAATACCTAATATATACAGGGCTTAAAACCTAGATGACAGGTTGATAGGTGCTGCAAACCACTATGACACATGTATACCTACGTAATAAACCTGCACATTCTGCACATGTATCCCAGAACTAAAAAAAAAAAAAAAAAAAAAAAAAAAAATCTCCACATACACAAAACCAAACATTTAGGTTTTGTGATTGATACCTTTCAAGGTTTTATTTGGATGAGCTGTTATAAGAGCAGGCCTCTCAGCTACTGTGAAATAAGCACAGGAAATGCAACATAATGATAAGGATCTAAATGCCGTAATGGTTATTCTTTTGCACCTAAATTATGTAGTCACTAGTCATTCATAGAGTCTGCATTCACACATGGCAAACCATAATTGAGAAGCTAGAAGGACTTGTTTTGAGGGTATAAGATGAATCATTTCAGGGCTGTAATGATTGAATTGCTGGGCTCAGCACCACCTGCTTCAGTTATCAGAGGAGTCGAGGTGAAGGCACAGTCAAATACAATCAACCTTCTGAAAATTAAATATATGTGAAAAATTACTGACCACAAAGCAGTCTGAACTGTGTATGTGTTATATAGTTATTGGTGTAGACTAGTGAAACTCTTTTTTTTAGTGACACAATAGTTCTCTTGTTGGAAAAGTTGCATTTTGCTACAATCATCTTCCAGCGGAGAACTGAGCTTCTGTCCTAAATTTTAAAATGCAATCTTGGAAACGATGTTATTACTTCTGTGTATACTAGTTAAAACTAACTCCAGCAACATTTCAATGACACAATGACTGTATCCACATAATTCTAATATCTACAAATAAATGAAAGCTCTTGATTAATGATTCATGCAGCTAGATACTCAATTTCCAAATATTTGTTGTAAAAATAAAGATAATTGATGATATTTTATTTCATTTTTGAGTCACTTGAACACAATCTAAAAAAAATAAAACTTCATAAAAAAAGACCATGATACAATTTTTAGTTAAGTGATTGGTAAGAAAGGATTTCAGGACCATATTGTTATTAAAAACTAGAAAGTAAAGGCCCTCTTCTGGTGCTGCTATAAGCCATTCTCATTTGGTGGGAAATTGAATTTCATATTCCTACATATATTTTTTCCTTTCTATTTAAACAAATATTGTATTTGAAGAAAAAAATCAAGTGTACAATTATTCTCAATGTAAAATTAAATATTTAAAATCAATTTTTAAATGTTGAAATGTAAAAACAAATATTTAAATATTGGCTTTTTAAAATTTATTATTTAAATAAGTTAATTTTTTTTCTTTTTTTTTTTTTTTTTTTGAGGAAGAGTTTTGCTGTTGTTGCTCTGGCTGGAGTGCAATGGTGCAATCTTGGCTCACCGCAACCTCCGCCTCCCAGGTTCAAGTGATTCTTCTGCCTTAGCCTCCGGAGTAGTTGGGATTACAGGAATGCACCACCATGCCCAGCTACTTTTTTATTTTTAGCAGAGACAGGGTTTCTCAATGTTGGTCATGTTGGTCAGGCTGGTCTCGAACTCCCGACCTCAGGTGATCTGCCTGCCTCGGCCTCCCAAAGTGCTGGGATTACAGGCATGACCCACCACGCCTGGCCTGAAATGTATTTTCTAAATTGAAACAATTCCATAAGCTATTGACCCATTTACTAAAGGAACAATTATATTTAATGATGTTTTCCTCTTACTTTGCCCTGATTATGGCATTAAGACTGTTTAACTTAATTCTCCTCTTTTCAAATTGACCTGCTAACTTATAAGATATTGCAACAAATGGCATATTACTTTCAATAGCAAATATTTTTAATTGTATATTTTTACTAAATTATCATCAAACTAGTTGATCATTTTGAAAATATAGAAAAAACTGATCCTGTCCTTGTTATTTTTTATTTTGACATCAACTTTCTGAGCTTTATTCTGCCCTTCTGTGCACTAATTTTTTCCCAAAAGGCTGATGCCAATGGGCTATATCATTTAGTCCCCTTTTCCTTTGGCTTCCAATTAGATTTGGTTAATTCAACCAAATCTCTCAACCTGGACACTATTGACATTTTCAGCTGAATAATTATTTGTCGGGTGGTGGGGGTGAGAGGTGGTTTATTCTGTGCATTGCAGGATGTTTATCAGCACCTCTGTCCTCAATCCACCAGATGCCAATGCTCTCATTCCTCCAGTTGCAGCAATTAGAAATGTCTCCAGACACTCCCAAAGATATCCCCATTATGAACCACTGGGTTAACAAATAGACGCAATGAAAAGGAGAGGTGGTCTATTGACCATACCCTAGCCCTTGCTAGGCAATAGCTTTTCAGTAGGTCCATTTGTGGCTTCCATCTGGAGATCCTCTTCCAGTGTTCTGTTTCTCTCTGGGTTCCTGTTAATAGCATTCTCTCCCCTTACCACATCAAGCCTAAGATGGTAGCAGCTTCCCACTGTTGCTACTCTCTGGGTGATTCACCAGCCCTTGTGGATTCCTTAAACCCCCACAATCCTGTAAATAGCTCCTTCATTAAATGCTCTTTAACTACATCCTGTGAATGAGCCACCTATTTCCTGCTGAATTCTCAACTAATAAAATAGACCTTTTAGGAGGTGCCTTATATGTCCAGTAAGTACAGTATCCTCTTATTGCTAATTTCAGATTTCTTTCTCTCTCTCTCTTTTAAAATGCACATTCAATAGAGAAAATAGTGCTTTAACATCATTTTTACTGCACTGCAGTCTGTACCAAGATTCCTTTTCAGCTTTATATCTTTTTTGTCTTAAGAAAATAGCCATCTTTCTATTCCTTATATATGTGCTAGTGTTCTTGCTCCACATGGTTAATTTCCTCCACTCTATTTATATCCACCTCAAAAGGCTTAGGGTTAATTCTCATGTCCAGAGGAGGTTCTTTTATACCCTCTAACCTACACTGATCTCTTGTTTATCTGAACCTCGAATTGGTGTACAGATAATTGTTATTTTAAACTTAGATATACATGTTACTCACATGGTTCCTTAGCTCCGTAGAGGCAGAAATAATTTCCTTTAACTTATTTATCTCCTTCCCAGGATCTAACAATGTACAAGGCAAAGATGTTTAATAAGTATTTGTTGATTTTGTCTTCTAAATGATAGCTATCTAAAATTTATTAATTCAGATAAGTACTTCTAAAATTATATTCTTTATTCTTTTTTGCTGAGCACATTGATAATATTGATTGCTTTATTCAAAACTTTATTAAGACTACTTAATATAAACTAAAATTGCCTGTTGAAAGTTTAAAATGAGTGTCGTTGATGGGAATGCTGAGAAAATAATATTATGAGCAGTGGATATAGGACTAAATAAAATTATAATAGCTTTTAGAAAACATAGCTTAAAATTAGAAATGCTAATTTCAATTAGCTGGAAGAGAATAACTTGAAGTTTTCTAATGTAAAGAAAGGACAAACATTTAAGGCCACAGATGTCACAATTACACTGATTTGATCTTTACTAATACATGAATGTATTAAATTATCACCTTTGTCTTGAAAATATGTGCATTTATTATGTGTCAGTAGAATAAAATAATTCAAAATAATCATGATTAATCTGAATTATTACTGAACAGAAAAATTAATGCTCTATCATATTGCATATCAGAGAAAAATTGCTAGAACAAAAAATGTTTAGTCGATGAACAAGCATTTATTGAATATATATTATAGCCCTAGCATAGTATTCAACAAATGGATTAAACAAAACAAGAAAATCATTGCTTTTGAAGAAGGTATTATCTAGGGAAAACTTTAAATACATTAAGTAATATAAAACACTGCATAATATCTAATAGGTTTCGTATGATGAGTAAGGTGTGGTAGTTGATATCCCTAGCAAGATAACAAACCAATCAGTTGCTAGAACAAAGTATGAGTATGAGCCTCTGTGGCAAGAAGATGGGGTTAGAATGAAGATCAAAAGTTCACTCATTAAGGTGGATCTCTGATCCTAGAAGGAACTTACTCATATGGACCTGATTTATGCAATGGAGGCTAAAGTAGAAATGTGCTGCTTAGATGGTTCAGGAGAGCTTAAAAGCAAATCACAGGCTTGTGGAGCACCTAGACAGGGGCTCAAGATTAATTCTAGACTCTACCTACTAATGAAGATGAAGCTTCTAATAAACTTCCAGATATGATCTGGGTTAGTTCAGAAAATGTGGTGTGAATGAGTTTAGTCATAGGATTAGCTGAAGTTGAAGACAGAAACAAAAATTAGTTTAATCACTCATTCATTTATTCACATATTTAACTTTTATCAATCAGTAATTTGCTAAATGACCAGCACTTTTCTGGGCACTAAACTTCAGCATCAAATACTTTGACGCTTACATGCTTATGCATATTGATAAGCATAATTCTTACATTCACTTCCACAGTGCTTTTCCTGTAAGAAAAATTAATTGAAGAAGACTTTAGCTAAAAATATCATATTGAAGTTTTTGATATGGCCTTAGTTTGCTCCTGAATAATCTGTGACTTCTGTTTATTTTTTATTATTCTTTTGAGTTTTGAGGGCTATATGAAATCACTATGGAAAATTCTAAAATAAGGCAAATTTGAGTTTTGGTGCTGTTTATTGCCATTTTAGTGGATCCTTGTCTCTATCTTCCATTGAGGCATTTTCCAGTGGGAAGACAGCATAATGTTAAAAACCTTACACAAATTAAATTTCACACAGTTTATTTTAGCAAAGAACAATTCATGAATCTGGCAGCACTCAGAACCAGAAGTTTAGTGAGCTCTACCCAGAAGCATGAGCAGAGAACTTTTACAAGCCAGCCATCAGGCAGAGTAGAGCAATCACCTGATTGGCTAAAGCTAGGCATTTGCCTTATTTGGGTGTGGTGTGATGAGGCATTTACCTTATTTGGTTATGATCTGATCAGTTTGTTGTCTATGATTGGATGAAGCTTACCTGTCTGTGATTGAAAACCTAGCTAATTTATATATATAATTTATTATATATAAAATTTATATATATATATATCCTCCTAAGTTAGGTTTTGATGTGTTTACATAATAAGTTAGTTACAGAGCTTTTATTGTTGGTTTGTTGTTGTTGTTATTTTCCCTATGGGAACTCAAAGCATAGAGACAGCCTTAGCCCAATTACTGCTTATTTAATTTAAAAATAAGAAATATAAATATTGCAATTTAGGGGTTAAGGTGTATTGGATTTGAATCTTGAGTCTGTCACTAATAACATATCTTGATACTTAAATGCCTAGAGAAATAGATTTGGAAGCTGAGACCATTGTTGAGGAGAAATAAGCATAAGAGTATGTTACTCTGCTCCTCCCAGCCTCTGGAGGCTGCTGGACTCCCTTGAGAAGTCCAAAGACATTAGGGAATCTTTGGGTACCAAGACAAATTTGAATTTTTAACAATAACTTTTTTTTTAATAGTGGAACATCCTTTTTTTTAGCTCTGTAATAGGAGCTTTAAAGAATGAAAAGGAAGACTATTGGGAAGAAAGTGTTTTTCTAGATTTTCCAGGAACTATTATGTATCTCTTCTTATTGTTACCCACCATACAACTTCATTGAGTTCTACTCAGCGCAGGCATCTCCGAAAAAGTTTGCAATGCATTAACAAAAATGAAAGTCCTCTTCTGAAGGTGAGGTTTTCCAGACTAGCTCATGTATTTTGTGGCAAAGATTATTATCACACGTCCAGGGCTTTGTTTGCCTAGAGTTAATTCCTGTGGTTCCTGTAATTGGAAGGCAATCAGAAGAAGTGGGAAAGAGAGATGTTGGTCAAGGCTAACCATTATTCAGCAGTAGCAGCAGCTTCATGTGTTTGAAATCACTTTGTGGTTTTTCCAGTTTGATTTTTATTTTCTGTTGGACTAAACACTTGCCACTCTTGTTTTGAAGTTAAGGATAATAAAGAGTAGCGTTCTTGGACATCACATTACTTTAATACCTCATTGTTATAATTAATGTCATCCAGAAATCTTTCAAAAGAAGAATATATTATAATAACACTCAGGAAAAGTTTACTGTTCCAGGGTCCATTGCAGATTTTTAAGAAGACCATCCTTAGAGTTTTGCTTGCTTTAAGGGAAGGTAAAGCTTCTTCTTCCGAAGTATTTATAGATAATTCTTAATAACCATGCCAATGAAAGCCCGATATATCCTATGTGAATGTGTTACACAGATAACTTCCCCCATCACTAAATCCTTTTTACTAAGATGTCTTGCTTATCAAATAGTTAACTCAAATAACATATCTGTTGGTGAAGTTGGAGTCATATAGGCAGGTTCATATCTGACCTTATGCTCTGTTAGTTATGTGACCTTGAACATATCACCTAACCTTGTGAGCCATGTTTTCTGATTTGTAAATATGTGACCATTAAGAATTATGAAGTGGCTGATATTTTGCCCTAATTGCAAGCTAGCACATTAACATGCCTCATTTTCATGAATGTTGGCAGAAAACACAAGACTAGAGGATCCAAGAAAAAAGGACATTTTATTGCTCATAGCAATAACAGTAGACAGAAGATCTTCATTTTCTTGTGCCTCATTTGGCACAAAGCAATGCAATTAGGAATATTGAGAATCCAGAGGTATAAGGGACTTCAATATTAAAATTTACTATTTTCCACTATTTTTCTTAAAAACCGTGTTTCATGCCCATTCTCTTTTATCCCTAAATACCGTTTGTCTTGTTCAGTCTTTCCATATTCTTTTGCCAGAGGTCGCCAGAAAATGTGTCTGTTTTTTCAAACAGAGGAAAGGCTTAGAGGATCTACATATTTCTTATAAACTTCAAAATTTATTAATGGTTATTTTCCAGAGGTACCTGGTGTCTCTAAGTACTAAGACTTAGTGGATTCTTTGACATGAAGGTCTTACTTGTTGGCTTGCTCTCTGAACACTTAGATTTTATTTTTTTACCATCTTCTAAATGAAAGTACCACTTTCCAACCATTTTCTGGCTTCTAGAATTTTATTGATATTAAATGTTTGTTATATCTACTCTGTTTCTTTTTTTCTTTGTAGGTGGATGTCTATTTTTTTCCTTCACTCTAATTTAAATAAATTTTCAATAGAATGCACAGATTAGGCCGGGCGCGGTGGCTCATGCCTGTAATTCCAGCACTTTGGGAGGCCAAGGCAGGCGGATCACCTGAGGTCCGGAGTTCCAGACCATCCTGACCAACATGGAGAAACCCCATCTCTACAAAAAATACAAAATTAGCTGGGCGTGGTAGTGCATGCCTGTAACCCCAGCTACTCGGGACGCTGAGGCAGGAGAATCGCTGAACCCCGGGAGGCGGAGGTTGCCGTGAGCCGAGATTGCGCCACTGCACTCCAGCCTGGGCCACAAAAGCGAAAGTCCGTCTAAAAAAAAAAAGAATGCACGGAATAATAAAAAGTTTCTACAAGCATGAGGTCTATGTTCTGAGACATTACTAGCATTTTTCTACCCTCTCAAGTTCCAAGGTATGTTTGTAACTACAAACCTAACACAAATGGCTCTGTGGTATTTAATTATTTTATCTTAACTTGTTCTTTCTTTTCTAGAGATAATAACAACAAAAAAACTTGTTTCTTTTGCTGTGGAGAACTTGTGACACAAATGTATTTTTTTCTAAAATTTTTAAAGGGCCATAATTACAATATTAAAATATTTAATTGATCTATATATGCACACCCACACACATATATATACACACACACATACATACACACACATATATGCACACCACAATTTCTTCATTCATCTGTCAGTGAACACTTAAGTAGTTTCCATGTCTTGTCTATTGTGAGTAATGCTGCAATGAACATGGGAGTGCACATATCTCTTCAAACTATTGATTTTGTTCCTTCAGATATATATCCAGAAGTGAGATTGTTGGGTTATACGGTAGTTCTATTTATAATTTTTTGAGGAAACTCCATACTGTTTTCCATAACAACTGTATCAATTTGCATCACCACCTTCTTCATAGTATACAAGCGTTCCCTTTTCTCTATCTCTTTGCCAAATTTGTTATATCTTAAACTTTTTCATAGCAGTCATCCTAACAGGTGTGAAGTAATAATTCATTCTGGGTTTGAATAACATTTCCTGGTGATTAGTTGAGCATCTTTTTCATGTACATGTTGGTCGTTTGTATACTTACTTTGGATAAATGTCTATTCAAGCGCTTTCTCCCGTTTTTAGTTGAATTATTTGTTTTTGATATTTGTTTGTTTGACTAATTTTTGCTATTGAGTTGTATGAGTTTCTTACATATTCTGGATATTAAAACCTTATTGGACATATGGCTTGCAGATTGTATTAGTCTGTTCTCACACTGCTATGAAGAAATACCTGAGATTAGGTAATTTATAAATGAAAGAGGCTTAATTGACTCACAGTTCCACATGGCTGGGGAAGCTTCAGGAAATTTACAATCATGTTGGAAGGTGAAAGGGAAGCAGGCGCCTTCTTTACAAGCCAGCAGAAGGGAGAAGTGTGAGTGAAGGAGGAACTTGCCAAACACTTACAAAACCATCAGATTTCACGATAACTCTCTAACCATCATGAGAACTGCATGGGGGAAACAGCCCCCATGACCCAATCACCTCCTACCTCTCAAAATATCTGTGATATGGTTTGGTTTTGTGTCCCTCCCAAATCTCATCTCTAATTGTAATCGAGGTGTTGAGAAAGGACTACAGTTTGAGATGAAATTTAGATGGGGACACAAAGCCAAACCATATAACGGATATTTTATTTTACTCTATAACAGTAAGATAAAATTTATTTACTTTTCATTTAGCTGATTGTTTCTTTGCCTCACAGAAACTTTAACTTGATATAGTCCCACTTACTTATTTTTGCTTTTGTTTCTTGTGCTTTTGGTGTTGTATCCAAAAAGTCATTGCAAAGAGCATTGTCAAAAGCTTTTACCTTATGTTCTTTTTCCCTGCTTTTATAGTTTCAGAGCTTGCATTTAAGTTTAATCTATTTCAAGTTAATTTTTATGAGTGATGTACAATAGCCATCTAATTTTATTTATTTTAATGAAGATAGCCAATTTCCCAACACCATTTATTGAAGAGATTATCATGTCCCCATTTTCTGTATTGTTGACACTCTTGTCAAATATTAGTTGACCATATACGCCTGAGTTTATTTCTGAGTTGTTCATTCTATTGCAATGGTCTATGTGTCTGTTTTTATGCAAGTACCACACTAGTTTGATTACTGTAGCATTGTAATGCACTTTGAAATTAGAAAGTGTGATTACTCCAGATTTGTTCTTCTTTCTCAAGATTGCTTTGGCTACCTTGAATCTTTCCTGATTCAATACAAATTTTGGAATTTTTTTCTTATTTCTCTGAAGAATGCCATTGGGATTTTGATAAGGATTGCACGGAGTCTATAGTTCTTTTTGAGTGGAATGGCCATTTTTATAATATTAATTATATTACAATGTTAATAATGAACACAAGCAATCATTCTATTTGTATCTTCTTCAATGTCTTTAATCAATATCTTATAGTTTCCAGAGTACAGATCTTACACCTCCTTGGTTAAATTTATTTCTAATTACATTATCTTGTTCTGAGTCTCTGCCCACAGTATCTCTGAGTTAAGATCCAGGTATTAGGTGGTCTGCCCAAATCTTAGAGCCAGAATGTGATAACAGTAATAACTTGATTCTGAATCTTTTTAATTTAAATTTCCTGCTTTTTATGTTATTAAAAAAAAAAAAACTATATCACAAAATCTCCTTACCTCATCTTTTTATCTACCTCTACCTCTTTCCATGTATTTTTTGACATATCTCTCAAATTACATGTGAATTCTGTCTGGGCTACCCTCCATATTGGTCCCAGGTTATATATCTAAAATCTTCCATTCTCCACGAACTACTGAAATTAAGATATTCTGGTAAATACGTATTCCCACAAAGATTCACTGCACAGAGTTTAAATTATATGTGTGATTCTTCTATCAACAGCTTCACTAACTTACAGAGTTAAAACTGTCAATTTTGCCTTCAAAACATCTCTTGAATCTATTCATTTATTTCCATTTTTACCACCCTTTATCTTTAGGCTCACATTATCTCTGCAATGGATACTTCAATTGCTCCTTAAATGGTCTCCAAACACCACTCTGACGCAACTCCAAACTGTTCTCCATACTATATCCAAGGCAAAGATTTTGAAATATAAGTATGATAATTGTTATATTCTGTCTAAAATATTTTGTTGGGTTCTCATTGCTGGTATAATAACTTGACCAAGAGGCTTTCACATAATTTATCCCTAAGTTATCTCCAAAGTCTTATTGCCCTTGTGCCTCCTCATTCTCTCTCAGTCAAGATACACCAGTCTTCTTTCAGTCTTTTCTACTTTTTTTCTCCCTCCATCTGTGTGTTGATCTCCCTTTCTGAAATATTATTCCTTGTTCTTTTTGCATTGATGATTCAGACTCTGAATTTCATTCATTCGAATATCACTTCCTAGGGACACTTACCCTGGCAAGTGGAAATGTTTCCATTTTTAGCTGTCACAATAGCTACATCTCTTGTGTAGCACTTACATTTATTATGTCATATTTTCAAGAGATCTGTTTTCTCTAACATACTGTAAGCCCCATGAAGACATCAGTAGTGTCTTTTGAACATTTGAAAGTACCCAGTGCCCAGGTGAATATATAGCTTAGAGTAGAAATTATTTGATTGCCAAAAAGTATTAATATTCCTTGTTGACACACCAATTCCAATCTCATGAAAGTGACGCTAATTATGTGGCTCTTGCTTCAGAATATTTGGAAGGTCCTCTCTAATTCTGTATAGTACAAGTTTGAGTTTTGACATTTCACAAGTTATCTCCGAAGCCTTTGAAATAACAGGAAAAAAATTCAAGACTTCCAATGCAGGGGATTTCTCCCAGAAGTAGCTTCTTTTAGAGGCTCTTACCCAAAGTTTCAGAGCTGTTTATTGTACTAGACAGTGGTCTAAATGTACAATTACCATTATCTACCATACTCAGTGTATAGAAAATGTACAGTTCATTTCAAGTTACATCACACCAAGCAACCCTACACTTTGAATAAAGTAGGAGATAAACCTGCCTATACCAACTATTAAATCTATTCTGTTCATTCTCTGATCACGTGCTTAAATAAATATCCAGTACCAAAAACAATAATGACAACAAGAATCAACAATCTTCAGACTCTGGACAAAAAGTATCTTAATTCAGACTTGTGGAAAGTAAATAAAACACATTTCTCCACTTTTCCAGGTCACAATTTTGGAAAAATAAATATATAACCAATGTGCACTTTAATAACATAAAACTACATGGAATCTGAATGTGGCTCCATAAGACTTTCAGGACTTCCAATGAATAAGCATTTGACTTGTATTTATATATTAAGAAATAATGAGAGAATCTGTTTCTCACAGACTCAGTCTTAAAAAGGCATGAATCCTCAAGGTTGTGCACTTAAATGACCCGGAGAATGAATGCCTCATTAAATTTTGCACTCTAGATGATTGCCTTGCTTCACACTAGTGCTGATGCTGCCTGAATGGCATCATCGAATGGTATTTTGAGGAGTTTATAAAAGCTAATTGATAGAATTAGTACACATAGGAATATTTACATTTGAAATTATTCTTGAAGATATAATTTTACTATGTTTGATGGTGAAAGTCAATGTGAACAAGCCTTTTAAAGATAGATAGTTTTAAAAGTCAATAGAATGATTTCTGCTTCCAATATAGATAGTGTAACAATGATTCAATCTACTCTACTACCTGAAACAATTAAAAACTTAAAAAAAATACATGAGGCAAAAGTTTTAAGACATAAAGCATCAGGCAAGAAAGGATAGTGATCGCTGAAAAGTGAAAAACAAATGAAATATGAGTTATTATTGTTTCTTATAATTGCTGGGAGAGTTTTTCTGAGCAATGCCATGAAAGTGTAAAGCCAGGTAGAATGAGGAAGACCCACTAAGTTGAGAAGAAAAAGCTGACAGTCCACAGAGAACATGACATTAGAGTTTACAGGACAGTACTGGAGATGAGAGATATGCAGAGAGAAAGTGTCTGTTCCTACTAGGGAAACGTAGATCCATGGGACATTGGGTAGAGCATCCAAGAGTGCCTTATCTTGGAAGTGGTACAGTGATCAACTATTGTATTGTGAGTGGAAGAGTTTCAGGGATATGAGATGTTTAATACTGAAAACAGGACAGTCACAGACAAACCGGGACACTTGGTCACTACAGTTGTGAGGGAATAATTTGCCCCCAACTAATGATAATATCTTATTGCTTAATACATTTTAAACACAACCCCAAATGGTTACACTGTTTCAAAATTACTGTGTCACAAATCAAATCTCAATAATAAATATATATGGAAATCCTATATCTGACAACATAAAATTTATAAAATTAGTAATTGGAAGCAATAATAACTGATTGTCCCCAAATAATTGTCCCCAAAACAATGTTAGATACCAAACTGCAGGTTGAGAATGCTCAGAGAACACTGAGCAGGATAAAAACAAACCAACAAAAACAGAAACAATGACAACAGCAAAAGTAAGACTACACCTAGGCATATCATATGCAAAGCACAGAAAATCTAAAGTAAATAAGTCTTGAAAGAAGAAAGAGGAAACAAAGCATTAGGTATAGGGAGTCAACAATGAGAATAACATCTGACTTCTGCTAATCATGTAAGCAAGAAGAGAAGAGAGCAAAATATTTAAAATGTTGAGAGACAAAAACAAACAACAAAAAAATCCACCTAGAATTCTGTATTCTGTGGAATTATCCTTCAAAAGTTAAGGAGAGATGAAATCTTTCTGAGACAAACATTGAGGGAATTTGTTATGAGTAGACTTATCTTGCAAGAAAATTTTAAAAAGTTCTTCAGGGATAAGAATAATAGGGAAGAAATATTTCTACATAAAGAGAGGAAGAGAATTAGAGAAGGAATAAGTGAAGGTAAAATGAAACTTTTTAAAATTCTTAATTGATCTAACAGATAACAGTGTTCACAATAATAATATTAATAGCAACAATGTTTTCAATGATTATACAATGTCAATGTATACAAATGACAGCAATGACACAAGGGATGAAAAGGAGGAATTGGGAATATTTGTACTTGCACTACATATGAAACCGTATGGTGTTTTTTGAAAGTAGATTCTCTTTAGTTGTAAATGTCTATTGTAAACTCCAGGGTAATATTTTTCATTTTTTTTGTTTTTCACTTTAAAAAGTAAAAAATAAAGTTTAATTGATATGCTGAGACTGGAGAGATAATGGAATGTTATAAAATGCTCTATTAAAACCACAAAAGGCAGGAAATGAGTGAAAAAAATAGAAACAAAGAAGGGCAACAAAGAAAACCATAACATATACGGAAGATATTATTCCACCTACATTAATCACCATTTTGAATGTCGATGAGCTTTACCAGTTAAAAGACAGAGATTTTTGGAGTGAAAAAAATAATGCCCAACTATATGTTGTCTAAAAGAAACCCATCTTAAATATAGATACACACAACGATAAAAAGGAAAGTAATGGACCAAGATATTAGGTAACGCAATTCAGGAGAAAGCTGGGTAGCTTTATTAATTTCAGAATTAAAGTTGTTATAGAAATGGAAGAGGCTGGACTCTTGTATTAATCTGTGGTTGGGTCTTTTCTAGAATGTTACAAAAAAAGCTAATTGAGTGATAGTGTTGAGAATAGTGGTGAGGAGGTGGTTCAGATAAAGAACTATGAAATTTAAGCTAGAAAAGGGAATATTGCATTGAACAAGAAAGGATTAATGGACACAAAATCAGACGATCTAGGGAATCAAGGTTGGTGTGAAGTAAAATAAGCTATAGGAAGAATAGCTTTAAGGAAGAGACAAAAAAACAGAAGCTAGTAGCTGAGATGTTTAAAGTTAACATTTCAAAAAGTGAGCAGTTTGAACATTGAGAAGATCAAGGATCTAGCCATGAAGTTAGTCTCCAGAGATTGAAAAAAAAGTAGTAAGATTTATTTTTGCCTATGTAGCAGGTGCAGTGCTGGATATATTTATTATATTTTTTCTATTCATGACAAATTTGTGAGTTTAGTATTACTATAATATTTTTAAAAATTTATTTTGAGGCAGGTTCTCACTCTGTTGTCCAGGTTGGACTGCAGTGGCACAAGCATGGCCCACTGTAGTCTTGACCTCCTGGGCTCCAGTGATGCTCCTGCCTCAGCCTCCTAAGTAGCTTGGACTATAGGAACATGTCACCATACTCAGCTAAATTTTTTTCGTTTTTGTACACACAGGGTCTTGCTATATTGTATAGGCTGTTCTTGAACTCCTGGGCTTAAGTTTCCTCCTGCCTCTGCCTCTGCCTCTCAAAGTGTGATTACAGCCATGAGCCACTGTGCCAAGGCTAATATAATATTTATACTTCATTAAAATAACATATGCTATATATTATTACATAACACTATACATTATATTAATTATGATAGTTATTATACTACCAAAGAAGAGAAAAACCAAAAACTGAGAGCAGTGTTTTAGATCGGCTGTTTATTTGGATATTACAATCCTCTAAGATGAAGGCAGAGAGTAAAGTGGAGAGAGAAATCCTAAATTAATTGTGAAATATTTGGTATTCAGGGTGTGTAGCAGTAAAACAAGGAGGAGAGATAGAAAACCAAGTTGCTAAAAAGTCTAACGCCTGAAATGTGTATGAGTTTTATGTAAGGATGGAGAAGTAATAATCCCTAAGCAGTGGTTGAGAAACAAATAGGAAGTTAACCTCACCTTTTGGTCCTAAGGTATGGAAACTTATTTTCAGTCAGGGAAAAAGAAGAGGACATTCTGTGAAGAGGTTGAGGATGAAGGGGAGTTCTTATATCATAAAATAGACTTCATAAGAGCACAATGTAAAGAATATGAAGGAGAGGAGGTTCTGCAAAGAAATGTGTAATGTTAGCATAACACTATGTGAATACAACTTGGAAAGTTAGCAGAGGATGCAGGAAGAGACAGTCAAACTCTCTGCAAGGTTGTAGAAGGGTTTCCGTAGTCCCTTAGTGTATGGGTTATCAGTGATATGGCTTCTAAAGTCTCAAGGAAACCAAATACACACCTTTTCTTATTAAAGCCTCCTTTACATTTATAATTGATCCGTGGACATGAGAAATAAACAATTTCCAGGTTTTGCCTTCTTTATTAAAAAATACAAAAGAAAAAACATAAAACAAAACAACAACAACAACAAAAATAGATTTAGCTCTTTTATAGAGCGAGTTCCTTCAGACTTCTTGTGATTATAAGGAAAAGATCTTGACATCATTCACAGAACTGCAGACCTAATGTGAATAGCCAAATACCTTTGGAATTCTTACTATGTTATTAAGAAAAAAAAGCTACCTTCCTTTGTTTAGTTTGTTTTTTTGTAACTTGCAACCTGAGGTAATTCTTTCCAGTAGAAAAAAACAGAAACAAACTTGCAACCTATATAATTGTATCCAGTATAATTTCCAGTATAATACTTTTTATCCAGTATAATTTCCATGCTCTTTTTAGGGAGTTAATTGTTCCCCCTTTTATACTTTTTCATCTCATATAATTATTTTTTCATACTTGTCTTAGAGTAGTTGTACAATGTATAGTTATTTATCTTCTTGCACAAATAGACCGGGCATTTTTCTAAGTCCTTATCATAGTATCTAGTAGGTTATAAGAAGCCTGTAGATTTGTTGAATGAGTAGATAAACGGTGAATATAATGGAGACCTATAGGTTGGTCTCCAAGACTCACTTTTGAGAATTGTCTTTCCTGTTACCCATATATGGCTACTATATCAGTTATTCTGCTAAGAAAATAATCTCAATCCTACACCTCAGATAACTAATCCAGAGATGAGACTCTTCATAGTTTCAGACCTATCATAGTACTTATCTGGGAATTTATAGCATGAAATTGAGACAAAAGGGCTTGTGGAATCGTAGATGCATGATCATACTACTGACGTTAACCCAGTGGAACAATTTGTGAATTCTTTCTACTAAGGATCAGAAACTAGCCTAATTCCCATGTTTCCTAGTGCTTGGCTGATTAATTTGTCTTGGGATTCGGTGAAATACTGATGAACCCTTTCAAGCAAATGTATTTGTGATCTAAGTTGGCCAAGAAGACATTCCTATTCTTCACAACCAAATGAAATTTAGTAATTAGGATAAAATGAGGTACAGTCTGAATATGGGAGAACATGTATAATTTCAATATCTAGTCGTTATTGCACATATTAAGTACAAGAGAACATTGTGAGTAGACATCTGGAAATAAAATATTTTAAGAATTGTATCTCAAGAAGTGGGGTCAGGTGACAAGTTTGAAATACAATCTTAGTTCTAGTTGGGTAAGGAATTTAATGCAAGACTCTACTTAACACCACTTCTTAGAAGTGGAGAGAACTCCCAACACCCAATCCTCAGATAGGCAAGCCCATATATGACCATATAAGCAACTATCACAAAACCACAGGATTTGCCAGGCATGAAACCCAAAATAGAACTCAAGAAATTGAGCTATGAGGCCCACACTCTAACCACTAACACCACTCCCTTCCTACAGTACATTTAGTGTGAAATAGTTTTTTGGTTTTCTTTCATGCTTGTAGTCAACTAAAGTAGGCTGGAAAAATTAAAAACAGCCCACACACTTAAAAAATGCACTTTTCCTTCCTTTTATGGACTTTGAAACTAAAAAAAAAAATAATTTAAGAAATTTCATGGAAATTAGAAACCAAAAATGTAGTTTTCTACTAATGGAGACCTATTATCTGTCCATGAAATTAGACTATTTTTCATCTCTTTGAAAAATAGCATCTTTTAGAGGTACTGTTCATAAGGAGCTTATTCAGATTCTCTGGCGAGACAGTGACAGGGTAAAATTATTAAAAAATATACAACTAACTTTTACATTTTAAGTTATCTCATACTATTAATGTGTAGCATAGTTTTTAGTTTTCAAGAGTAAAGGTAAATAAGCATTTTTCCAAGCAGAGAATTCAGAGGTTAAGGCAGTTTGGTGTCTAGAGATTCAGTAATTCATGAAAGAGCCTCTTTTTTCCCTTTCCATTTCCTGTTTTCAAACTCCTTCCACTAGCACCATTCAACCAAAGAGTAACACTGTGCTTCAGCACAAATAGCTAAAAGTGACATTAATTATTTTATTTATTTACTTTTTGTTTGTTTGGGCAGCCTGCCTGCAGACACAGGGACTTGGCGAGCTTCATTGCCTTGTAGATGTGCTAACTTTAATTTCTTTTTCTAACAGAGATGATAGCTTTAATGACACTGACTTAAGTTAAGCAAAAGATTTGACTCCCTGTGTATTAATTGAAAATATTTGTCTAACTCAAGGCTAAGAATTCCAAATAAAATTCTTTATGATCATTTATATATTTATCACATTTTAAAACCTTAGTAGGAAACAAGTGATTAAATATATATTTTTAAATTTCAACAAAATACCAACAACGAATAATTTTGTTTT
The DNA here is from genome assembly GCF_000001405.40 of Homo sapiens. Lineage (NCBI taxonomy): Eukaryota > Metazoa > Chordata > Mammalia > Primates > Hominidae > Homo > Homo sapiens. Next base: position 103,145,327 of record NC_000001.11, on the reverse strand, counting down.
AGTGTTCAAAAAGACTGTGATATTTTAAAATGCTGTTTAGCGCCCATCGTTGCTTTTATTTGTAAAATGTATATCATGTTCTTGTAAGTATACTTATGCTAATATTTAGTAGGATCAAGTGTTAGTAGTCAATTGTAATGCATTTCCTTACTGAAAAATAATGAAGTCTTTTCAAACTAAATATTTTCATCCAAATGGATTTTGTATAGTAGAAAAAGATGTGAATAAAAAGTAACAGATATAAAATTTAAGTTGAACAATCATAAGTAGTAATATTTAGTACATCCTAAACCTGAAAAGGGTCGTTCTAGGGTATGGTCTTTGATTTCCCAGAGTTCATGCCTAGAGTATTTGACTTTGGTGTTTCAAACCTCACATTCTTTTCCTCACCTCAGACCAGCTGAGCTTTCAAACTTTTGAATTCCTCTTTCATAATTTCAGCCTTTCATGGTGCTTTGAAATGCATATTTTCCAGAAATAGAGTATTTGTCACAAAGAAAGAAGTTAGTTTGGTTTCATGATCAGAATTTTTCCGCCATATTTAGACTGTCCTATAATAACTCATCCTTGAAGCAATGGAACTGAATTTCTAGACCCACTTCATCCTAGGTGGAATTTTCCATATCCCTTTGCCTGCTTAGATTCAATAGTTTTTGTAACAACTCTACTTTATTAATTTTAAGCCTTGCCCATTCATCAGGATACATTTAATTTTAAGATTACATAATTTTTCCATTGCAGTTTATGCTTTTATAATATTTTCCACTGTGTCATATTTTGACAAGAGTTTTTCTGAATATGGTAAAGTTAATTTGCCAAACTAGATATCAAAAAACTGAACACTTATTGACAGAGATTTTGTTTTCCTATTTCCTTTTTTAAGTCTAGGAGGTAATGTAATGTGTGGCACATAGTTGTATGTCCGCAATGAATATTTGTTCAATGCCTGAATTAATAGTAAAAAAAAATCTATGGTTTTTTTTAAAGTAAAATGTATTTTAAAATAAAATATAATTATTTTTAGTTAAATTTTATTATCTCCATTCCTGTAAATCAGTATCTTTCAATTTTTTCACTCCAAGATCCATGTATGAACTTTCCAAGGCAAATGTGAGAGGACAATTTTATTCCTCAATCTCATTAAAAGACAACTGTGGTATTGGTAGCTTCAGCTAAAACATATTGTACACATATAATCAACTCCATGTCCATCCTACGTGTCTCCAACATAGTTTACAGCTTGTTTTTCATTTCTCCTTCAAACACTGGCAAAAGATATGGGAAAAATACATAATGTCACTGTATAAGTACAGTTAGGAAGTACTTCAGTTATTAACCTAGAGATGTACTCTGATCAAAAGGGAAAAGATGATCCCAAATTACACCATAAGAATGCAGGAAATATTCTAAAATCTCTTCATTTAAAAGGAGCAGTGATACTGTTCTGAAAAATATAGTTAAATTTTCCACACATTTGATAATATTATCCAAGAAGCTATGCTTCTCAGCCTGATTCTCAAAGGCTTGATTTTGAGTGAGTTACTTGTCTAGCCTATAAAGTAAATGTCATTCTGCTTCTTTCCTGGAGGATTAGATGAGTTTTAATCATTCCAAGTATTCATATTCTTATAAAATGTTAAGCTTTTCAGCTGAAATGTATTATTTATTTAACATATAGTTGTATGTAGATTTTAATGTCACTTATTATTTTAAAGCGTGTTTGATACGCTTGGTATATCTAGATGAGACAGAATTCCTTCATGCATACTCTCATTATTATCTCCTCATTCAAATCGCAAGCCATGTGTCCTCCCCAAGGTAGTTGAAAAAAGCTTTTATAAAATAGTCTTTATGTCATATATATATAATATATATAATATAATTATCTTGTATTATCATATCTGTAGCTTAGTATTCAACAAACTTAATCAAGATGCCTTGATGATCCAAAGTCCTCATGTCTTCCAGGAGTGACCCTATATTTAAATATTCAAAAACATAAACAAGTACTGTCATCTTCCTTGCATATGGAGAAGGGCCTCCAAATATGTATATGGAGATCCCTCTGCAAATATTTTATTGGACAGAGAGGGAGTGTACATGGGATACCTCTTGTATCTAAGCAGCCCACTCTCAAACTCTTTTCTAAAGTTCTCTATATTCTCATCAGTACTCCAAGTTGTGTGGCTTTTTCCTTTTCTCCAGCTTACTTTCCAAGAACACATACCACCTCATTGCCTGCTATGATCAGCAATTTTTAATGTAATATTTCTTCCTTTTTAAAAAAATTATTAGGCATCTTTTTCTTCTCTCTCTCTCTCTCTCCCTCACTCTCTCTCTCTCTATCTCTCTCCCTCATTATACTTTAAGTTCTAGGCTACAAGTGCAAATCAAACAACCCCATCAAAAAATGGGCAAAGGATATGAACAGACACTTTTCAAAAGAAGACATTTATGCAGCCAACAGACACGTGAAAAAATGCTCATTATCACTGTCATCAGAGAAATGCAAATCTCTCTTTTTTTTTTTTAAGAGAAAAAGTTCTCACTGTGTTGCCCACGCTGGATTCCAGCTCCTGGGCTCAAGGGATCTTCCTGCCTCAGCCTCCCAAGTAGTTGGGACTATAGGCATGCACCACCACACCCAGCTGACATCCTTGTGGTTTTAAAGGTCCTAACCAGTTCCACCACAAAGAAATATCATGTTGCCTGTCATCACCTCATTCTTTGCCTATCATTATGTTGCTGAAGCCTCCACCACTTCTTCTTCTTTCAGGTATAAATCATAACCCCAATTCTTTACTTGATAAATATCTGAGGAAAACCTACTACCACATCTCTGTAGATTTATTAAGAAGACCAAATTAACTCTGTTTTTCTTTAGTCTAAATTGTGTCCAGAAACCTTGGTTTTCAAAATTACAATTTATGTTTATTGTTTTCCTTAAGAAAAGAAACAATCTTACCAGCAAAACTGTAAACTTATCAAGAGAAATATTTCTTATTAGATTATAGATATGGTTTGTTGAATGCCAGGTAGATAGTTATGAAGAATTTATAACATTCAACAATACTTTTTTGAGATAATGGCGCAAAATAAACGGAAACAAAGTAAGTAAAATTATAACTTAAATACACTGAAAGAATATGTTGTGTATTAATTTGCTTTCTTTCCATACTATGTCCAAATAATTTCTGAAATATATTTATTAAACCAATGTTTAATGATTGTCATTAAATATTTTATGTATTTTGATGTATTCCAGTATTTTACAACATTTATGTAAAATCATATCAAAATTGAAGTTTCTTATTTTGTAATTTGTGAATGTGGAGAACAATGGATCATTAATATTGATAAAATCATTCCATAAACCACTTCATCCTCAGAAAACTGCATTTTACTGAGTAAAATAGACTCAGTTTTTCAGTGTCTATATCTTACAGCAACCCAGAAAATCACTCTGATAATTGCCAAAGTAGTTTCTGGCATAGGGAAATAGACTTGGAATCAAACATTACTCTGTACACTAGAAGTATTGCCAAATTTGTGAGGAAATATTAATAACTGACAATATAAATTTAACGTATTTATTTGATACACACAGTCCCCAGAGGAAATAGATGACTTTTTTAAATATTTTGACTAATTTCACGTTCAAGGGTATATTGCAGGTTTGTTATATAGGTAAACTCATGACTCAGGGGTTTGGTGTACAGATTGTTTTATTACCTGGGTACTATGCATCTTACCTGACAGTTGCTTTCTTTTCTTTCTCAACCTCACCCTCCTCTCAACTTCCTCCCTCAAGTAGACCCTAGTGTCTGCTGTTCACTTCTTTCTCCATGCTTTCTCATAATTTAGCTCTCACTTATAAGTAAGAACATGCAGTATTTGATCTTCTTTTCCTGTGTTAGTTTGGTAAGGATAATGGCCTACAGTTCCATCCATGTTCCTGTAAAGGACATGATCTCATTGACTTGTATGGCTGCATAGTATTTCATGGTGTATAAGTACCACATTTTCTTTATCAAGTCTACCATTGAGTAAAGCAGTGAATTTATTTGCACTCCTGCCAGCAGTGTATAAGTGTTCCCTTTTTGCCACAACCTTACCAGCATCTGTTATTTTTTGACTTTTTTAATAATAGTCATTCTGACTCATGAAAGATGGCATCTAATTGTGATTTCCATTTGCATTTCTCTAATGATTCGTGATATTGAGCATTTTTCATATGTTTCTTTACCACATGTATGTCTTCTTTGGAAAAGTTTCTGTTCATGCTCTTTGTCTACTTTTGAATGGGTTGTTTATTTATTGCTTGTATGTTTGTTTAAGTTCCTTGTAGATTCTGGATATTACACCTTGGTCAGATATATAATTTGCAAATATTTTCTCCCATTCTTCAAGTTGCCTATTTTACTCTGCTGATAGTTTCTTTTGCTGTGCAGAAGCTCTTTAGTTTAATTCAGTTGCATTTGCCCATTTTTGCTTGTGTTGCAATTGCTTTTGGCATTTTCATCATGAAATCTTTGCCAGTTCCTATGTCCAAAATGGTATTTCCTAGGTTATCTTCCAAGGTTTTTATAGGATTAGATTTTATAATTAAGCCGTTGATCCATATTGAGTTGATTTTTGCATAAGTTTTAAAGGAAGGGACCAGGTTCAATCTCCTGCATATAGCTAGCCAGTTATCCCAACAGCATTTATTGAATAGGAACTTCTTTCCCTGTTGCTTATTTTTATCAGTTTTGTCAAAGATCAGATGGTTGTAGGTGTGTGGATTAATTTTAAGGTTCTCCATTCTGTTCCATTGGTCTATGTGTCTGTTTTTGTACCAGTACCATGCTGTTTTGGTTACTGTTGCCTTGTAGTTCAGTTTGAAGTCAGGCAATGTGATTCCTACAGCTGTGACACCATTTCTTAGGACTGACTTGGCTATTTGTGCTCTTTCTTTTTTTGGTTCCATATGAATTTTAGAATAGTTTTTTTTTTTTTTGTAGTTCTGTGAAGAGTGTCATTGGTAGTTTGATAGGAAGAGCTTTGAATCTATAGATTACTTTAGGCAGTATGGACATTTTAAGGATATTAATTCTTCCTATCCATGAGCATGAAATCTTCTTTCACTCGTTCGTGTCATCACTGATTTGTTTGATCAGTTTTTTGCAATTTTCATTATAGAGATCTTTCACCTCCCTGGTTTTCTGTATTCCTAGGTACTTTATTCTTTTTGTGGCAGTTGTGAATGAGATTGCATCCCTGATTTGGCTCTAGACTTGGGTTCTGTTAGTGTATAGGAATGCTACTGATTTTTGTACACAGATTCTGTATCCCAAAATTTTGCTCAAGTTGCTTTTGGGCTGAGACTCTGAGGTTTTCTAAATATAAAATCATGTTGTCTGAAAGCAGAGATAGTTTTACTTTCTCTCTTCCTATTTGGATGCCTTCTATTTTCTTTCTTTTGCCTGATTGCTCTGGCCAGGACTTTCAATACTATATTGAAGAGAAGTGATGGGAGTGGTTATCCTTGTCTGGTTCCAGTTTTCAAGGGGAATGCTTTAAGCTTTGGCCCATTCAGCAAGATGTTGGCTGTGGGTTTGTCATAAAAGGTTGTTATTATTTTGAAGTATGCTCCTTCAGTGCCTGGTTTATTGGGAGTTTTAACATGAAGGAATGCTGAATTTTATTGAAAGCCTTTTCTGCATCTACTGAGATAATCATGTAGGTTTTGTCTTTAGTTCTGTATAAGTGACAAATCACATTTAGTGATTTGTGTATGTTGACCCAACTTTGCATCCCAGTGATAAATCCTACTTCATCATTGTCAGTATTTTGCTGAGGATTTTTGCATCTATGTTCATCAAGGTTATTGGCCTGAAGTTTTCTTTTTCTGTTGTTGTTGTGTCTCTGCCAGGTTTTGCTTTAAGGATGATGCTGGCCTCATAGATAGAATGAAATGGGGAGGAGTCCCTCCTTTTCAATTTTTTTGAATAGCTTCAGTAGGAATGCTATCAGCTCTTCTTTGTTCATCTGGTAGAATTTGGGTGTGTATCCATCTGGTCTTCGGCTTTTTTTTTGTTTTTTGTGTTTTTTCTGGTTGGTAGTCTATTTATTACTAATTCAACTTCAGAGCTCATTATTGGTGTCTTCAGGGATTCAATTTCTTCCTGGTTCAGTCTTGGGAGGATGTATGTGTCCAGGAATTTATCCATTTCTCTTTGATTTTCTAGTTTGTGGGCATAGAGATTTTCATAGTAGTCTCTGGTATTTATTTGCATCTCTTTGGGGTCAAGGGTAACGTCCCCTTTGTCATTTCTAATTGTGTTTATTTGGACCTTCTCTCTTTTCTTCTTTATTAGTCTAGCTAGTGGTCTATCACTTATTAATTTTTTCAAAAAACAAGCTTCTGGATTCATTGATCTTTTATATAGTTTTCATATCTCTAGCTCCATTAGTTCAGCTCTGATTTTGGTTATTTCTTACATTCTGTTAGTTTGGAGTTGGAATTTTTTTTTTTTTATGCTTAAACTTTATCTTCATTTAGTTCTTTATTATAACATTTCATTTGTTTCATTTGCTTTTTTGTTTTCTATATTTAGTTTTCAACTGAAAATCTAACATGCTTATTGCATAAGAGATATACAATTTGCATGCATTTTTTCCTAGGATGTATCTCATGTGTTGTTTACTGTCTACATCACAAAATTGCCTACATTTGCTATCACTGTATTTTTTGTCTAACCTTGCTGGTGGATTTTCTACTTTCCAGATAAGAATAAACCTTAGGTTTCATCAATAAGCTCTTTACTCTCTACTTATAGAAGGTGTTTAGTCACTTATATTTAGAATTTAAATAAAAATCTTCAACTTTAATGTCTAAATCATGTATTAATAATTTCTGAGGCATTTATGACATGATTGAATAACTTTATATTGAGCAAAATTTAATCAATTCATGAGTGATTTGACAGGAACCACCTATGTCGCTTAAAGCAGTGTTTTGCTTTATATTTTGGCTGTTTTTAAACAGGACCGGAGGCACCAAATGCACTCCTAAGTATTTACGTATTTCACTTAATTTTTTTGTAAACTTAGCATGGGTGGAACTTCATTTGTCAATATCAGTATTGACATTAAAATCAGTATAATTTTAAATTTGTAAGGGTGGAAGATCTGTGAAGCTCAATAGGCACCCCAGAGATTGGCAGCCATTCATGGTACTGTCTCTAATGCCAGGGGTACCAGCAGAGAGGGGAGAAAAGATACACTGGAGTCTCCCTATAGTTTATCTCTCAAGCTCTACTAATACCTATCATTGGCTATACCAGCCAAAAGCTGTTTAATACAGGAGCTTGAAAAATGATGCCTACAGGGGTCATTTACCACATGAAAGAAAGAGCAGCCAAAGGAACGGATCTGTAAGCAAACATGCCAGAACCAGCACAAACAGAAAGAAGAATTACAGATTTGGAAAGGATGAAATAATGTCATACCTTCATAAAACCCAAGATATCAGTTGAAAACCCATTAAAACTTATAAAACAGTTCTATATTGATGAAGGTTAATAACTGTTGTTTTGTTAATGAATACTAATCAGGGCAATCAGGCAAGAGAAAGAAATAAAGGATATTCAATTAGGAAAAGAGGAAGTCAAATTGTCCCTGTTTGCAGATGACATGATTGTATATTTAGGAAACTCCATTGTCTCAGCCCCAAATCTCCTTAAGCTGATAAGCAACTTCAGCAAAGTCTCAGGAGACAAAAGAATGTGCAAAAATCACAAGCATTCCTATACACCAATAACAGACAAACAGAGGGCCAAATCATGAGTGAACTCCCATTCACAATTGCTACAAAGAGAATAAAATACATACAAATCTAACTTACAAGGGATGTGAAGGACCTCTTCAAGGAGAACTACAAACCACTGCTCAATGAAATAAAAACGATGCAAACAAATGGAAGAACATTCCATGCTCATGGATAAGAAGAATCAATATCGTGAAAATGGCCATACTGCCCAAGGTAATTTATACATTCAATGCTATCTGCCCAAGGTAATTTACACATTCAATGCCATCCCCATCAAGCTACCAATGACTTTCTTCACAGAATTGGAAAAAAAACTACCTTAAAGTTCATATGGAACCAAAAAAGAGCCTGTATTGCCAAGACAATCCTACGCAAAAAGAACAAAGCTGGAGGCATCATGCTACCTGACTTCAAACTATACGACAAGGCTACAGTAACCAAAATAGCATGGCACTGCTACCAAAACAGATATATAGACCTATGGAACAGAACAGAGGCCTCAAAAATAACACCACACATCTACAACCATCTGATCTTTGACAAACCTGACAAAAACAAGAAATGGTGAAAAGATTCCCTATTTAATAAATGGTGCTGGGAAAACTGGCTAGCCATATGTAGAAAGCTGAAACTGGATGCCTTCCTTACACCTTATACAAAAATTAATTCAAGATGGATTAAAAACTTAAATGTTAGATGTAAAACCATAAAAACCCTAGAATAAAACCTAGGCAATACCATTCAGGACATAGGCATGGGCAAGGACTTCATAACTAAAACACCAAAAGCAAAGGCAACAAAAGCCAAAATTGACAAATGGGATCTAATTAAACTAAAGAGCTTCTGCACAGCAAAAGAAACTACCATCAGAGTGAGCAGGCAACCTACAGAATGGGAGAAAATGTTTGCAAACTACCCATCTGACAAAGGGCTAATATCCAGAATGTACAGAGAACTTAAACAAATTTACAAGAAAAAAACAACCCCATCAACAAGTGGGGAAAGGACATGAACAGACACTTCTCAAAAGAAGACATTTATGCAGCCAAAAGACACATGAAAAAATGCTCATCATCACTGGCCATCAGAGTAATGCAAATCAAAACCACAATGAGATATCATCTCACACCAGTTAGAATGACAATCATTAAAAACTCAGGAAACAACAGGTGCTGGGGAGGATGTGGAGAAATAGGAACACTTTTACACGGTTGGTGGAAGTGTAAACTTGTTCAACCATTGTGGAAGACAGTGTGGCAATTCCTCAAGGATCTATAACTAGAAATGCCATTTGACCCAGCCATCTCATTACTGGGTATATACCCAAAGGATTATAAATCATGCTACTATAAAGACACATGCACATGTATGTTTATTGTGGCACTATTCACAATAGCAAAGACTTGGAACCAACCCAAATGTCCATCAATGGTAGACTGGATTAAGAAAATGTGGCACATATGCACCATGGAATACTAAGCAGCCAGAAAAAATGATGAGTTCATGTCCTTTGCAGGGACATGGATGCCGCTAGAAACCATAATTCTGAACAAACTATCACAAGGACAGAAATCCAAACACTGCATGCTCTCACTCATAGGTGGGAATTGAACAATGAGAACACTTGGACACAGGGTGGGGAACATCACACCCCAGGGCCTGTAATGGGGCGGGGGGTAGGGGAAGCGATAGCATTAGGAGAAAAACCTAATGTAAATGACAAGTTAATGGGTGCAGCAAACTAACATCGCACATGTATACCTATGTAACAAAACTGTACATTGTGCACATGTACCCTAGAACATAAAGTATAATAAATAAAATAAACCTCCAAAAAAAGAAAAAAAAATTGGAAGAGGAAATTCCATTACATGGCAATAACTCCTACTGCTTCCATGCTAATTCCAGCACTTACGACTTTTATTCCTAATCCAACTTTACTCTTACTTCTTGTTTTAATACTACCACATGAGTGCGACTACTGCTTCTCTTACCACTAGTCAATGATGGCAATAAAGAGCAAGGGGTGATGAATGAAAAAAGCCTCAATGAAAAAAAACAGAAAATCACCTAAAAATTAGAAAAAAATAAAATACATTAAAAACATATCATGTTCTTGGATTTTAAAAACTAAATTTTGCAAAACAAAAATCTAAACTAAATTAGTTTTATTTACTATAATTTCAAGCAAACTTGAGCAAAATGATACCAAAATTTATATGGAAGAATAAAGGAGTAAAAATTCAAGACACATTTGTTTTAAATGGTGCTGGGATAAGTGGCTAGCCACATGTAGGAGAATGAAACTGGATCCTCATCTCTCACCTTATACAAAAACCAACTCAAGTTGGATTAAGGACTTAAATCTAAGACATGAAATAGATAAAATTCTAGAAGATAACATTTGAAAAACCCTTTTAGACATTGGCTTAGGCAAGGATTTCATGACCAAGAACACAAAAGCAAATGCAATAAAAACAAAGATAAACAGGTGGGACTTAATTAAACTACAGAGATTTTCCACAGCAAAAGGAACAGTTGGCAGAGTAAACAGACAACCCACGGAGTGGGAGAAAATCTTCACAATCTATACACTTGACAAATAACTAATTTCCAGAATCTACAATGAACTCAAACAAATCAGTAAGAAGAAAACAATCAATTCCATCAAAAAGTGGGCTATGAAAATGAATAGACAATTCTCAAAAGAATATACAAATGGCCAACAAACTTAGGAAAAAATGCTCAACATCACTAATGATCAGGGAAATGCAAATAAAAACCAACATGTGATGTCACCTTACTCCTGCAAGAACGACCATAATGAAAAAACAAAAACATAAATGTCTTCTTTTGACAGGTATCTGTTCATATCCTTCACCCACTTTTTGATGGGGTTGTTTGTTTTTTTCTTGTAAACTTGTTGGAGTTCATTGTAGATTCTGGATATTAGCCCTTTGTCAGATGAGTAGATTGCAAAAATTCTCTCCCATTTTGTAGGTTGCCTGTTCACTCTGATGGTAGTTTCTTTTGCTGTGCAGAAGCTCTTTAGTTTAATTAAATCAGATTTGTCAATTTTGGCTTTTGTTGCCATTGCTTTTGCTGTTTTAGACATGAAGTCCTTGCCCATGCCTATGTCCTGAATGGTATTGCCTAGGTTTTCTTCTGTGGTTTTTATGGTTTTAGGTCCAACATTTAAGTCTTTAATCCATCTTGAATTGATTTTTGTATTAGGTGTAAGGAAGGCATCCAGTTTCAGCTTTCTACGTATGGCTAGCCAGTTTTCCCAGCACCATTTATTAAATAGAGAATCCTTTCCCCATTTCCTGTTTTTGTCAGATTTGTCAAAGATCAGATAGTTGTAGATATGCGGCATTATTTCTGAGGGTTCTGTTCTGTTCAATTGGTCTATATTTCTGTTTTGGTACCAGTACCATGCTGTTTTGGTTACTGTAGCCTTGTAGTATAGTTTGAATTCAGGTAGCGTGATGCCTCCAGTTTTGTTCTTTTGGCTTAGGATTGACTTGGCAATGCGGGCCTTTTTTTGGTTCCATATGAACTTTAAAGTATTTTTTTCCCATTCTGTGAAGAAAGTCATTGGTAGCTTGGTGGTGATGGCATTGAATCTATGAATTACCTTGGGCAGTATGGCCATTTTCATGATATTGATTCTTCCTACCCATGAGCATGGAATGTTCTTCCATTTGTTTGTATCCTCTTTTATTTCATTGAGCAGTGGTTGTAGTTCTCCTTGAAGAGGTCCTTCATGTCCCTTGTAAGTTGGATTCCTAGGTATTTTATTCTCTTTGAAGCAATTGTCAATGGGCGTTCACTCATGATTTGGCTCTCTGTTTGTCTGTTATTGGTGTATAAGAACGCTTGTGATGTTTGCACATTGATTTTGTATCCTGAGACTTTGCTGAAGTTGCTTATCAGCTTAAGGGGATTTTGGGCTGAGAGGACAAGGTTTTCTAGATATACAATCATGTCATCTGCAAACAGAGACAATTTGACTTCCTCTTTTCCTAATTGACTACCCTATATTTCCTTCTCCTGCCTGATTTCCCTGGCCAGAACTTCCAACACTATGTTGAATAGGAGTAGTGAGAGAGGGCATCCCTGTCTTGTGCCAGTTTTCAAAGGGAATGCTTCCAGTTTTTGCGCATTCAGTATGATATTGGCTGTGGGTTTGTCATAGATAGCTCTTATTATTTTGAGATACGTCCCATCAATACCTAATTTATTGAGAGTTTTTAGCATGAAGGGTTGTTCACTTCTCAAAAGAAGACATTTATGCAGCCAAAAGACACATGAAAAAATGCTCATCATCACTAGCCATCAGAGAAGTGCAAATCAAAACCACAATGAGATACCATCTCACACCAGTTAGAGTGGTGATCATTAAAAAGTCAGGAAACAACAGGTGCTGGAGAGGATGTGGAGAAATAGGAACACTTTTACACTGTTGGTGGGACTGTATACTAGTTCAACCATTGTGGAAGTCAGTGTGGCGATTCCTCAGGGATCTATAACTAGAAGTAGAAATACCATTTGATCCAGCCGTGCAATTACTGGGTATATACCCAAAGGATTGCAAAACATGCTGCTATAAAGACACATGCACACGTATGTTTATTGCGGCACTATTCACAATAGCAAAGACTTGGAACCAACCCAAATGTCCAACAGTGATAGACTGGATAAGAAAATGTGGCACATATGCACCATGGAATACTATGCAGCCATAAAAAATGATGAGTTCATGTCCTTTGTAGGGGCATGTCTGAAGCTGGAAACCATCATTCTCAGCAAACTATCGCAAGGACAAAAAAACAAACACCGCATGTTCTCACTCATAGGTGGGAATTGAACAAGGAGAACACATGGACACAGGAAGGGGAACATCACACACCAGGTCCTGTTGTGGGGTGGGGGGAGGGGGCAGGGATAGCATTTGGAGATATACCTAATGTTAAATGACGAGTTACTGGGTGCAGCACACTAGCATGGCACATGTATACATATGTAACTAACCTGCACGTTGTGCACATATACCCTAAAACTAATAAAAAAATAAATTAAACAAAAGAAAAAAACAAAAACAAAACACAACAAAACAACAACATAGATGTTGGCATGGATGCAGTGAACAGGGGACACTTCTACACTGCTGGTGGGTATGTAAACTAATACAGCCGCTATGGAAAACAGTGTGAATATTCCTTAAAGAAATAAAAGTAGAACTAACTTCGATCCAGCAATTCCACTGCTGGGTATTTACCCAGAGGAAAAGAAGTCATCATATGAAAAAGATTCCCATGCTTGTTTACAGCAGCCCAATTTGCAATTGCAAAAATATGGAACCAACCCAAATGTCCATCAATCAATGAGTAGATGAACAAACTGTGAGAGAGACATATATATATGCATATATACGATGGCATACTAATCAGCCATAAAAAGGAATTAATTAATGGCATTCACAGTGACCTGGATGAAATTGGAGACTATTATTCTAAGTGAAGTAAATCTGGAATGGAAAACCAAACATCATGTGTTCTCACTCATAAGTGGGAGCTAAGCTATGAAGAAGAAAAGGCGTAAGAATGACATAATGGACTTGGGGGACTCAGAGGAAAGGGTGGGAAGGGTGTGAGGGGTAAAAGACTACAAATAGAGTGCAGTTGTATACTGCTCGAGTGATGGGTGCACCAAAATCTCACAAATCACCACTAAAGAACTTACTCATGTAACCAAATACCACATGTTCCCCAAAAACCTATGGATTTTTTTTTCAAATAAAGACACAATTTGTTTTAATTGACTAAGTATATTAGGGACTTATTCCAAATGAGACTAAAATGGAATATTTATTCATTCATTTATAAAATATTCAATGAGCCTCTTATTATATGATGGGCAGTCATGACATAGCAAAAGACAGGAAGTTTCTTCTTTTCATGAATCTTGCAATCTGACAAGATAGAAAATAGGCAAGTCAAGGAAAAGTGAATAGTATAATTACAGATTATGATAATTTCTATGGAGTAGATTGTATGACTCTACTTTAGATAGAATGATCAGGACATGTCTTTTGAAGTAAGTGACATTTGAACAGAGACATCAAGATGAGAATTGAGAATTAGCCAGCCGTTTGCATAACCAAGGGAACAGCATTTTCTTAGTTTTAGCTACATAGTCTCAGACAAATTTCTCAATCTCTCTGTGTTATTCGCCATCTAGAAAGTGAGGATGCTATAGTATAGTAACTACCTCTTAGAAATCTTAGGAAAATGCATTATGATATGTGGGGCACATAAAGCATCAAAATAAACACATTGAATATTCAAAAATTATTAACAAGATTTGATAAGAAAATCTCTGAAATGCCACTAAAAATGAAGACATATATGAAAATATACCAAAAAGAAGGAATTAAAAATTATACTTTATATACAATTTATTCTCATTTAGCCATTAAGTATTTAGTTTCAAATGTTGTCAGAATAATTGAATGGGATTATCTCAAATTTTGGAGCAATTGATATTTTGTAAAAGAATTCAATTTTTATCAAGGCATGTTGGAAATCAGAGAAATCCAGTTTTTGGAACATACAGATTGGAAGCAGGTATCTGGGGTCTATTATGATCCTTAACACTGAATTTCTCTGCCTATCACCTTGAAATTCATTGAAGCATTCATTATCTTATCTGCAGAAAAAAAAAATATGCTGGAAGACAATATTTAGAAACTTGTAACATTTCTCAGTTTTAAATTATTTTGCATACCTCAAGTCTGAATTAGTATCTGATTTGTTAATAAATTTTTTTATGGTTTGCCAAAAAGTATTATGATATATACACTTGGAGAAACTAGAATAGGTTATTTTAATGGGAGGTGGAAAAACAAATGTCACCATGTTTCAAGGAATGCTGATATTATTTGAGACATTATTTTGAGATTTTTTTCTTTGAAGTTGCTAAAATAATAATAATTAAAGGAAAATAATAATATTATATATCCTCTTAATTACAGCTGAGAAATCAAACACCAAAAGTAATATACACACAATTCATATATCATTAGGGATTTTTAAGACCCCAGGTCCAGAATGAGGCTTTATGGCATGCCGTTTGCAAGATTTCTGCCAATTTCTGAGGGTCTTTGGCTAGCATGATTTCTCTGACACCCAGAAAAGAATTTCTTCTTCCCGTGGGCAACCTGAATCCAATAACATTGATACCGAAGGGATGCAAATGTCATACTATGTCAATTCTGGGCAGTTCACAAAGTCTGAGCCAGCTCCAGAGCTCCCTGGAGAATCATCTGAGTTCTTTACTGCAGTTGCAGAGTAGTTTAACAACTTTGTCAGCCCAATCTCATGGCCTTCATTCTCCCACAGGTGTCTATCCTGAAGGTAGTCTCCAATAAACATGGTATAAGCAAATTTGTTTCAATCTGTTGCCTAGGAACTTTAAGAAGGCTGAAATCAGAAGTGGTTCAAGGAAGTGGAAACTAAAAAGGGATTTTGGAGTTGAATCATCAGATAGTCATCTGGAAATGAGTACTTTATTACTAGTGGTATGGAAGGCATGATCAATCTCTGGCATGAGAGATATAATTGTTAAAACTTTCACTTGTGATAAACTGAAATTTGAAACTGATGGAAGCAAATACACAGGCAGGTGCAATATCTCCGGTATATCAGATATTCAGGATATGTAAGAACTGTGAAATTGGATGGTTATTGCTGATATAATGGATGTATTAGGAAAAAAAGTAAGTCTAAGTGTGAAATGATTAATCACACATTAACCAATTAGGCACAAAAGCCAGAAGGCCTCCTTAGTAATAAATAAAATACTACTATCTCTTTCAAGTTTATGGCAGAAAAAACTGAGCATCAAAACCACAATTGCAAGAGCAGCAGAGTTCCAGAGGAGGTTGAATACTCAATCTGGGAAAGTCTGTTATGCCAGACAGGGCCCTGATTGAGAAAATGAGAAGTGATGAGACATGGGATGGGTATGACTGACTCAATATACCAGATAATTGTGAATCCTCAGATTCCTGCAAATCCTGGCAAAAACTCAAAGAAATGGTGCTGGGTGGATCCTGGAAGCATGAAGAAATATCATCCACATTAAGTGAAATAGAAATGCTAGAACATCTAGTCTTTGTGGAAGACGGTACAAGAATGTACCAAAAGGCTCAGAGAAATGGAATACTGAAATAGATATACTGCCTGAGACTGGAATACACACCAGATAATCATGTTCTATGTAAAGACACAAGGGACATTCCGTTTACCAAAGCAGTAAGAAATGTACTGCTAAGAAGGGCATCGGTATTGCTGAAAAGCTCAACGATAGCAGTCTTCCTTTCAAAAATTTATTTATTTTTTTAACTTTTAAGTTGAGGGGTACATGTGTAGATTTGCTACCTAGGTAAACTTGTGTCATGGGGGGTTGTTGTACAGATTATTTAATCAGCCAGGTATTAAGCCTAGTACCCATTAGTTATTTTTCCTGATCCCCTTCCTCCTTCCACCCTCCACCCTTCAACAGGCCCCAGTGAAAAGCATACTTTCTTAATATGGAAAATACTACATTCTTCATGCTTCCAGGACCCATAACAACACCATTTCTTTGAATTTTTGTGCCCCTCTATGTGTTCAGGTGTTCTTATCATCTAGCTTCCACTTATAAGTGAGAACATGCGATATTCAGTTTTCTTTTCCTGTGTTAGTTTGCTAAGGATAATGGCCTCCAGCTCCATCCATGTGCAGCTTCTCTCAAAGGACATAATCTCATTTTTTTTATAGCTTTGGTGTATATGTGCCATATTTTCTTTATCTAATCTATCATTGATGGGCATTTAGGTTTATTCCATGTCTTTGCTATTGTGAATAGTGCTGCAATGAACATACGTGTGTGCATGTGTCTTTATAATAGAATGATTTATATTATTTGAGGGCATATACCTAGTAATGAGATTGCTGAGTCAAATGGTATTTATGTCTTTTGGTATTTGAGGAATTGCCACACTGTCTTCCAAAACAGTTGAACAAATTCGCCCTCTTCAACAGTGTATAAGCATTCCTTTTTCTCCACAATCTTGCCAGCCTTCTGTTATTTTTTGACTTTTTAATAATAGTCATTCTGACTGGTGTGAGATGGTATCTCATTGTGATTTTTATTTGCATTTCTCTAATCAGTGATTTTAAGTTTTTTTAATGATTGTTGGCTGCATGTATGTCTTCTTTTGGGAGTGTCTGTTCATGTCCTTTGCTCACTTTTTAATGCGGCTGTTTGGTTGTTTTATTGTAACTTTGTCTTTTTTTTTTTTTTTTTTTTTTGAGACGGAGTCTCGCTCTGTCGCCCAGGCTGGAGTGCAGTGGCAGGATCTCGGCTCACTGCAAGCTCCGCCTCCCGGGTTCACGCCATTCTCCTGCCTCAGCCTCCCAAGTAGCTGGGACTACAGGCGCCCGCCACTACGCCCGGCTAATTTTTTGTATTTTTAGTAGAGACGGGGTTTCACCGTTTTAGCCGGGATGGTCTCGATCTCCTGACCTCGTGATCCGCCCGCCTCGGCCTCCCAAAGTGCTGGGATTACAGGCGTGAGCCACCGCGCCCGGCCTGTAACTTTGTCTTAAGTGCCTTGTAAATGCTCTATATTAGACTCTGTCAGATGCATGGTTGCAAAAACTTTCTTCCATTCTGTAGGTTTTCTGTTTACTCTGTTGATAGTTTATTTTACTGTGCAGAAGCTCTTCAGTTTAATTAGATCCCATATGCCAATTTTTGCTTTTGTTGCAATTGCTTTTGGTGTCTTTATCATGCAGTATTTGCCCATGCCTGTGTCCTGAATGGTAACCGAATGATGGCAGTCTTCTATAGTCCCGTACTGATAGCAAAAGATGCTATTACAGATAGTTTTTGAGCTGAGTTCCTTAATACCAGTTTGGTAAGATGTGAAGATAATAGAGGGGAGGTAGTTGTATCTAACTATGAAAAGCAAGGTGAGTACAATTTTGTGACAAGTGGCATAGTTGGAGTTTCTAGTAGAGGTCTGGCCTGAAGAAAGCTATGGAGATGATTAATAAAATATAGCATCCCTAGAGTCGAGACAGAAGGGTTTCCAACAAGTTTATTACCCAATCTATAACAACAACAAAAATCAAGGACGGATGAATGATGACCTCGAGACTAACAACAGCCCTCTCAATAATTCCTTGGCTGGGTTACAGAATGAAACCAATCCACAGACTTAAAATCTCATTAATTCATGAATAGATCAGGACCCCAGGAGGAGAACCATGCAGCACCATATGGAGAAAATAAAATATTGAAAATATTAAAAATATTTATACCTTGGAAACCAAAGTCAAGGATTCCTCCTGCCCCCCTTTAAGGGTGGGAGTATATAGGAGCTAGGTGGTATATGGATATGTGGCCCAGGTCTGAATCCCCCTGAAAGCACTCTGGTAGCCAGTTACTCCATCCTTGAACATGTAATTGTAATGTATATACTTGATCCTTGGCACAACCTCCATATAGGTTCCTTATTCTGTGGTACAAGAGCTGTTATAGTAGGAAAAGTCAAGCCCAAGACTAGGAAACTAATACCCTCACAGTCAAGATTATAAAACAAAAGCAATATCGCATCTTGGTCATGGGGCTGAGGTGGTTGTAGATGTCCCAAAGCATGCAGTTAGATCTTGGAGAAGGATACAAACGCAGGCTGCAACTGCTGTTTCAGATAGGCATTTTTGTTACAGTAGATTAGTGTGAACCTCAGATACATGGTATGCAGTCATTGATTTTGTGAATTCATTTTTTCCATCCCTATCAGGAAGAGGATTAGGAACATTTCAAATTCATTTTGGACAGAAAGTAATATATATTTACAGCCTAGACCTAGGGCTTTATGAACTCTCATAACTTCTGTCATAATATAGCCAGCCAGATGATGCTGTAAAATCTGACCATTCTGCAGAATTATGCATTTGTCCACTATACTGATAACACCATATTAAACTGAGTAACCATAGTGTTAACTATGCTGGAGATCTTGACAAGTCATATGTGCTACAGAGGGTGAGGGATAAAAATATGGAGATTCAGGGCCTGCTGTATCAGTAAAGATTTTATGGGTCTATTTGCCTGTTTCATGCCTGGACATTTCCTCCAAAGTAAAAGAAAAATCATTTCATGTCATATCTTCCACCACTAAGAAGAAAAGATAACACTTGGTAGGTCTCTTCAAATTTTAGAGGCAGTATATTCCACACTTATGAATGCTGTCCTGGTCTATTCACTGGGTGATTAAAAAAAAAAAAAAAGGGCTGCTAGCTTTGGATAGGGCTCAGAGCAGGATAGGGCTCTTCAGTACATCTAGGCTGTGGAGTAAGCAGCTCTGATGTTTCAGCTATAGTAACCAGAAGCCCTTATGGTATTAGAATATCAGTAGTGGCAAAAAAAAAGTCTGACTTACACAGAAAGCTTTAGTTGAAGAATCTGGAGCCATTTGTGTAGGAATGCAGTTTAAAGATCTTTGTATTACATGTTAATATGTTCAAGAGAACATTCACAGTGAGAGAGACACTAACCTAATTAGACAAAATGATTTGGCTAGTTGACAAAAGCCAGCATCTATAATTGGCTACCCCAGTGCTGGCACAATGAGCCTAATAATAGAAGTACCATGATGACAGAAATTGGGGCTATGTATGGGCCCAAGAGTGGACTCCCACTAAAAAAAAAAAGCAGATAAATTACTTCCACTGATGGTATTCAACCAAAAGCATGACCAGCACTGAGTCTCTCGTATAGAATCATCTTTGAAAGAAACCAACCAGCCACTTGGTGGTAAGTTGATAACAAACCATCAGAGTGGCAGCAATTCATCTTGACTGTATGAAATCACATCCATAGGTATAAGTTATTCTTTCCTGTCTACATGGACTCGGCTAGATTACAGAGTATTTAATTTACCAACACAGTATGCATAACATTACATCAGACACAGAAATCCACTTTTCAGCAACAAAGGAGGCTTAGCAATAAACACATGGCAGTGGAATCCACCAGTTCTACTAGATATTGCATCACTAAAAGTTGCTGGCCTAAGAGAGTGATGGAATACCCTTTCAAACTAAGGTACCAACTTGGAATTGACATTTACTGAGTCATAGTAGCATATATACAAAAAAAAACCTAGTAATGTGTGTATGTATACACATACACACGAATATTAATACATAAATCTTAATGCTATATATTCATGTATTTTACTCTAAATATATTAAAATATATACAAAAATAAACCTGGAAAAATAGATAAACATAGACTAAACAATAAAATTAAACCTTATTATTATTTCTTAATGGTAAATTTCTTTCCTATTGTATTGACATTTGTTCTCTAAAATATAAAAAATGGACAATATTGTCAGTGAGAAATATGTGGTAGAAATTGGTTCATTATTTTTGAAAATCTTGACTTTACTTACTGATATATGAAACATCAAAGATACTGCTCCACATTTAATTTATCTTGATTTCAGTTGTTGTAAGTGGACAAGATCTACTCTCCATAATCAATCAATCACGATTGTCATTTCTTAGTCTTTCATGACCTAATTGTTTTTCTTAAAGTTGGAAATGATCTTGAAAATTTTAGGAAGTTTTGATTGGTATTTTTTTAAAAATGATTTCCAATCCACTAAAAATATTTATTTGGAAGATTTTAGATAGCTAAAAAATCGCTTTCCATTTTTGGGGGAATAGCAATATGAGAATTTTGTAAATAACATGTATTTTGGGCCATTAAGATTGCATAATAGCAGAAACATTTCCAAAATTCTGTTTTCAAAATGCTCTCTCCATAGTATAACTTTCTTTCTATTGAAAAGCTATTGCTTTCTTAGTCATTATTAAAATGTCCTTTTTACCTTGAAGGGATATTTCAATATGTAAAAATTGATTAAAAATTTTCTTAGATTAAACAGTAATGACAACTTATCATCAAAAAAGTTCAGTAAATTTGAGATGATTTGGGGTGCGTGATAACAGAAAATTATAATTTTAATTGTGCTCATCAATCTCTTAAATACTTTAATACTTCCAATCTTATGAAATATCATATCAGGTATATTTTTTGTATGTTCAAATAAAACCTTATAAAAACAGGTGGCCTATTGTTTTATTATCCCTCCATATTTGGATGATTCAACATGTTTGTTTTGCATACATTGCAATCAAAGGAGAGGAAGAGATGGTATATTATAGTTCACTATATTTAAACATATTTAAAAAGTAACATTATTCTCATTGATGACATCCTTGTGCCTTTCATTTACTACTGCTTAACTGCAATGGTTTCTTTGTGAATAATTTGGCAAACGAGTATTTCATATAATAATATTTCTGAATGTAACTTCAGAATCTTTCTTTTTCTTTATTGATTTCATAACAGGCACACTAAAACAGTTAAACTGTTTTGTTAATAAACATTATTTTATTAAAGATTATTTTAAATTGTTTCCAGTACATCTTGCTTTTATTGACCACACCCACAAAATTCATCCTTGCTGTTTTATTATTGAGGCAGTTCATCTACCAAAATCATAACCTGAGACATGTTAGAAACATCTGTTCTTTCTTTCAACAGAAAACCTCTGGTACTATGCAATTTGTCTATTTTTTTCTCCAAATCTCTGGCAATATTTTATGTTTTTTTTAAAGTACTTTCTGTTAAATAAGTACATGTTAGTCTTTGTGCCATATGTTTTCCTAGAAAAATTTGAGCCATTTTTACAAAGTGAGAAAAAAGTTGTACCCAATAGTAAGAGACTTTTAAAAAATTGAAATAAGATTCATATAACATTCAATCATTTATTTTAAAATGAACAATTCAGTGGCATTTAGTACAATCACAGTGTTGTGCAACCACCATATCTATCTAGCTATAAAACATTTTCCTTGCCACAAAAGAACATCCCACACTCATTAAGCAGTTACTTCTTACTCCTCTCTCTCTCCAGCCCTTGCCGACACATTTGCTTTTTGTCTCCATGGACCTAACTATTATAGATACTTCATATAAATGAATCATATAGCATGCAATCTTTTGTGTTTGGATTCTTTCAACTTAGCATAATATATTCAATATTCATCCATACCGTAATATATTGGGATTTAATTCCATTTTATGGTTGAATAATGTTCTATTTTATGTATGTGTCACAATTTGTTTATCCATTCCTTTGTTGATAGACATTTGGATTATTTTCACCTTTTGGCTATTGTGAATATTGCTGCTATGAATATATGTATACATGTTTTTTTAGTACTTCTTTCAATTCTTTTGTGCATATCCTTGAGGGTGAAATTACTGGCTCATATGTGAATTCTATGTTCAACTATTTTAGAAACCAGCTCCACAGCAGCTAAAAAATTTTAAATTCTCACCAGTTAAGAAAGAAGCTCCCCATTTCTTCACACTGCTGCCAATATTAGTTGTTTTCATTAAAAAAATTATCTGGACAGGCATACACTTTGGGAAGCTGAAGAGGAAGAATTGCTTGAGTTCAGGAGATAGAGACAGCCTGGGCAACATAGCAAGACCTTATCTCTACTGAAAAAAAAAAAGCCAGGTGTGGTGGCACACCTGTAGTCCCAGCTACTTGGGAGGCTGAGGTGGGAAGATAACTTGAGCCCAGGAGGTTGAAGCTGCAGTGAGTTATGATTGTGCCACTGCAGTGTGATTGACACAGCAAGATCCTGTCTCAAAATAAAATAAAAATAAAAATAAAAATTATCACCATTCTAGTGGTTGTGAAGTGGCATCTCATCAGAGTTTTGATTTGCATTTCCCTGAATGTCAATAATGTTGGACATACTTATTTGTTCTTCTTGGCCATTTGTACCTATTCTTAAGAGAAACGTATACTCAGGTTATTTGTCCATTTTAAAATTGGTTGTTTTAAAATGGGTTGCCCATTCAAAATGGGTGAAAACTGGGTTGTTTATCTTTGTTGTTGAATGTAAGAGCTCTTTATATATTCTATATTAGATGACAATCAGATACATGATTTGCAGATATTTTTGCTTATTTTGTAGGTCGTCTTTTCACTTTCTTGATAATGTATCTTTTGATAAACAAAATTTTTTATTTTGACAAAGTCATATTTATTTATTTTTTGTTTTGCTGTTCCTGGTTTTGGTGCCATACCTAAGAATGCCTTGGCAAATTCAAGATCCTGAAGCCTACCCTTATGTTTTCTTCTAAGAATTTTTATTATTTTAGCTGTTATATTTACTTGATCCATTTCAAGTTAATGTTAGCATATGATGTGAGGTAAGAATCCAATTTCATTCTTTTGCACATGGATATCCAATCATTTCAGCACCATTTGTTGAAGATAGTACTTTTTCCCTAATGAATGATCTTGTCATCCTTGTCAAAATTAACTGTTTATAAAATATATGGATCAGTTTCTTGATGATCAATTTTATTCCATTGATCAATATGTCTAATATCACACTGTTTTGATTAGCAAGTTCTGAAGTTGGGAAGATTTTGAGCCCTCCAACACTGCTTTTTCCATATTGTTTTGGCTATTTAAAACCCCTTGCAGTTCTGTATGAAATCCGAGTACCAACCTTTCCATTTCTGCAAAAGAGGCCATTGGAATTTGGACAGGGATATTTGTTTAGTGTCTTTTCTAAACTATTTTTAAAGGTCTGTAACTTCTTTATGTTTTGCCTCTTAAATCCCTGTTTCTTTAGTTTGTGTACAGCTAGTGTTTTGTCAAAGACTTTCTGATAAACCAAGAGGAGACAGAGAGAAATAAAGAGAGGAAGAAGGAAAGGGAGCCAGAGAGATTGTCATCCCAGTCTTTGCAGATTTCTTCTGTGCTGGGATACTCTTTTATTGCTTAGCCAGTCCATTTAAAACTCTACCTTAGCCTTCCCTTCCTTCAAACACTTAGATGTCAGCCAGGGATAAATGATTTGGGTCTTCTCTGGTCTTTTTCTGAGTAAATGTTTTGCCCAAATTATGTGCTGTTGCTTTCTAAATTTCCCCCACAATATAGAGCTGCTTAAGATTGTTATAATTATTCAAAGAAACACTTTCCTTAGCTTTTCCTTCCAGACTTTGGGCACTCTTATTATATTTTCTTCAACCTTAATCTTTTGCCCTAGGCAGCTGCAGTTTTTTATTGTTCATTTTCTTTGTTTGTTTATTTGTTTACCTTACGATATGCTTGAGGAATGCCTGCTGTTTTTCAGTCCAGTGCGAGTTCTGAGTTAGATAAAATAAAGACAAACACTTCTCATTAATCCTTCAGGTAGCTCCCATACAGGATAACATTCTTTGAGAATGAGATCTGCTTTGCTCCCTCTGCCAGGCACATTGGGAATAGAGGCTGTGCCAGTGGGAGATGAAGCAAATGCAAATAAAAATGCTACACATCCTTCTTTTAATTTTTATGTTTCCTTTCTCTTGATTCAGCATTCTCCTGTTTCTGTAAACCTTTATTTTTCAGTTCTAACAAAGTTGATTCCAACAGTTCTGCTTGGTTTTTTTATCTCTCTCTAGAGAGATAGGCCATTAGATCTGTTTACTCTGCCTTATTTGCTATCATCTTCTAATTCTTCTATGAGTTTTTGTCTTGAGCTATTAAATTTGAAATGTCAAAAGTAGTTTTTAAATATGAGGTTTTTTGAACTTTTGGTAATTACATAATTATCACTAGAAGTTAAACATCTTTGACAGAATTGGAGGTTTTTCTTCCCACTACAGATGCTTAACTTACCATGCTTTGAAAATTGCAATAACTTAAGATTTTAGTTCGCAAGGATCATTATTTAAAAGCAGGAGACACAGGCTTCAATTTATTTGAATGATACATAGTCTACAGGATATTTTACAAGAGAACCAAAATATGACTTGGTTTACTTTGCTGTCTAATAGGTGTAAAAAAATAACAGTTTTCTGGCCGGGCAGGGTGGCTCATGCCTGTAATCCCAGCACTTTGGGAGGCCTAAGAGGGTGGATCACTTGAGGTCAGGAATTCAAGACCAGCCTAGCCAACATAGTGAAACCCCGTCTCTACTAAAAATACAACAATTAGCCAGATGTAGTGGCAGGTGCCTGTAACCCCAGCTACTCAGGAGGCTGAGGCAGGAGAATCGCTTGACTCCAGGAGGCGGAGGTGCAGTGAGCTGAGATTATGCCACTACACTCCAGCCTGGGTGACAGAGTGAGACTCCGACTCAAAAAAAAAAAAGTTTTCGCTAAACCATACTATTGCTGTTCTACTTGGAGTTGTACACATATGCATGACTCTTGTATTTGCAAATAAAAAGTGTTCTCATTCCTAAGCTTAGCTTGTCACTACTTTTCTTATTAATGTTAGAACAGATCTATCACATGGATCTATTGTTACATCTATATCATACAGATATGCATCACTCTTAAAATGCCACGTTAGAAGCCAGGCGCAGTGGCTGATGCCTGTAAAACCAGCACTTTGGGAGGCCAAGGCGGGTGGATCACTTGAGGTCAGGAGTTTGAGACCAGGCTGACCAACATGGTGAAACCTGTCTCTACTAAAAATACAAAAATTAGCTGGGCATGGTGGTGCATGCCGGTAATGCCAGCTACTTGGGAGGCTGAGGCACAAGAATCACTTGGACCTGGGAGGCGGAGGTTGCAGTGAGCCGAGATTACACCATTGCACTCCATCATGGGCAACAAGAATGAAACTCCATCTCAAAAACAAAACAAAACAAAACAAAAACTACGTTAGAGAGTAGAGTATCTGTTTATTGTACTAAATTGGCCAACGTAAAATTTTCTTTGTGTTTTATTGTCATCATAGTTTAATTATATGTGGAAGATTAATAATTTCATGAATTTTTTTTTTGACAGAGTTTTGCTCCATTGCCCAGGCTGGAGTGCAGTGGGATGATCTCGGCTCACTGCAACCTCTGCTTCCTGGGTTCCACCGTGTTGGCCAGGCTCATCTCAAACTCCTGGCCTCAAGTGATCCCCCTACCGCAGCCTCCTATAATGCTGGGATTACCGGCACGAGCCACTGTGCCCAGCTCATGATTCTAATATTTGTTATATAAATATTGATATCTCTGCATGGGCTCTTTAATTCTTTTTTTGCATCATTTAACAAATATTGGTTATAATTCAGTCTTTTTTTAAAAGCAAATATTTTGGGTAGTATGTAGAAAGAGAATACTAAATCTGTTTGAAAGAGCTTCCAGAGCAGCTGAATAGATTAAAAGTTTAAAATGTAACCAGAATCACCAAAAAATTGGTTTTGCTTCAAGTGGGAGATTGCCATAGTGTTGAGAGAAATGAAATTGAAAATAGTTAATAGGGAGGCATAACAAATTTTAAGTTTTTGTTGATTTTTAGCCTTATATTTAGCTACAATTGGACACTGTCAGTGATGAGTTTAACCCTCTTGAATAAGGTAGACATACTCAGATGCAATTATTATTATTTATTATTATTTTTGAACTATGAACCAAGAAGCCAGTCTTGAGAGCTCAGTCCCACAAGAGTACCCCTCACCTGTAGATGCTGACCACAAGCCTAAAACTATGACCCATGCTTCTGGTTAAACAGCTAAAAATTGGGGTTCCCGTGGCCCCTTCCTCAGTTTTGATTAATTTGCAAGAGTGGCTCAACAGAGCTCAGGAAAACACTTTAATTTACACACTTATTATACAGGATATTATAAAGGATACAGATAAACAGCCAGAAGGAAGAAATGCACAAGGCAAGGTATGCATCAAGAGGCATGGAGCTTCCATTTCCTATCTGGGGTGCTACTCTCTAGGCACCTGAGTTAAATGAAGTTATCTGAAAGCTCCACTGCTCCCCAAACTCAGTCCTTTTGAATTTTTATGGAGGCTAAATGTAGGAGGCTTAATGAAGAAGTCATAATTGATTATGTCATTGTCCACTGGCAATCAACACAATCTTCAACTCTTCTTTCCTCTCCAGAGGTTGGGGAATGAGAGTAAAAGTTCCAATCCTCTACTGACATGGATGTTTTCCCTGCCTCACTATCCCCCATTGTGAGTCTAAGAACCCTAGTCCCCACAACCAGTTATCTCATTAGCATATATAAAGGAACTTATCACTTAAGAGATTTCAAGGGTTTTAGAAGGTGTGTGCCAAGAAATGGAGATGAAGAACAAATATGTATTTCACAATATCAAAATTGGTTAATGAGATTTTCATTAGAATATTGATACTGGCATTTGATTCCATTGTTTTCTGTTTAACAGTATATTTTAAGAGAGACATAAACTAACTAAAACACTATTTTATTTCAAACAGAATTCAGAGGAAATATAGATGGCCTAGGAAACATAGATGGCTTCAGCAAAAAGATTTTCAAGATAAGAGAGGACCTCAAGGAAAAAATCAAATCAATAATTCAGCCAATTGCATGGACCTCAGAGTGAATCAAGAAAAAGTCAAGGCTATACCTGTAAAAAAACTTTCTGAAAATCTCATAAACATTTAGGATATGTTTTATATAACCCCTCAGCTAAACAAAACACTTCCTAAGGGCATGGTTTCAGAAAGTTGAATTGCCAAAATTAGGTAAATGTTTGTCTTAGAAGAATTGTGGATATGGCTTTGAGTGAATCAAATGAACTCCAAAAATATTCATAGGAAATCCACAAAGGTTTCAAGAACACTTTATTAACAAATGTAACATCAGTTGATTAAAAGGCAGAAATATAGGTCAAAATGAAAAAAGGCCATTAAAAGTCTCAACTATTTATGAATAGGAGGAAAGCTCTGAAAGCTACTGAGCTATAAACACAGACCTTTTCTTATGGAAGAAGTTCATCTCACAGGGCATATACGGAACCCAGAAGGTTGAACCAATAACTGTAAAGAATAACAAATTATCAAACAACTCTAAGATAGCATAATTTGGTTGTAATAAAAAAAAATCTCCAGCTCCCATAGAGAACTGGCAAAAGTATCAGGCTGAATTTCGTAACTTATATGGACTGTGATTTCTGTGCCTTCCAGTTCCTCCCTTTTTGAATGAGATTGTCTATTGTGGATGACAGATAACTTGTCATTTTAGTTCACAGATTTCTAGATTAAGAGGAGATGTACCTCCACATCTCATCTACATCTGGATCTTATTCAATCATGAGACACTGTACTCTGAGGCTGATGACATAATTGAATGAAGTTTGGGGGAATTATGAGGAGGTAAGTGTACTTTGCATAGGCTGTGTTAAATTATGTCCAAAAAAGGCTGCTGATAATTCTTGCCATGCCTGTAATTGTATATTACTCTTTTCCTCCTACTAAATCTGGGTTTTCATCATTATTGGTTTTGACCTATGAAATGCTGCAGAAGTGAGATTATACTTCTTCTGAGCTTAGCATTAAACAGGTCTCCTGCTTCTGCTTCGGATTATACTCTCTTGCAGCCCTGAACTAACATTTAGCAAGCCAAACTAGCCTAATAGAGAGATGGGTTCAGTCAGAGTTCAGCACTTCCAGCATTTCCAGCCACCTCGGCTGAGGCACTAGACATGTGAATGTACCTGTCTTTTATGTATCAGGACTAGCCAATCTCCCCCAAGTTCAATGCAATTAATTGCTCGAGTGCTTGGATGATCCTGGCTGACACACAGTGAACAGCAGGACAACTTAGCTGAGCCTAAAAAATCCACAGAATTATGAGAATTTTTTTAAATGTTAGAAACCCAGAACATACATGCTGAGTGTCATGCTTCTTAGATAAATGACACAGAATTTTATTGGTTACACACACACACACACACACTGAGATGCCGGGAATTTCTCACCTGTAATTCCTTTGTGATGGGTGATAGTTATCCATTGGCTGTTTATAGACCCCCACTCCCCAGCTGAGCTTTTGTATTTTATGGTACATCTCCAGATAGTTTTAGTCAAGGTTACCTGTCTCCAGCAGGAAGACCTCAAGTTCTGTAGTGGCCAAACTACTAAGCAATTAAATGGTTCTCCTTGAAGCAAGAAAATAGATATACTTAAGAAAATGAATCATAGAGCAGCACTCCATTCCTTCAATATTTCTCACTTATAAAGACTGCTAAGAGTGTTTTCTTTCCTATTCCCATATACCTTCTGCTCATCTTTCTCTTCTACCAATGTCCTAGCATTTTCCCTTGAGAGGTGCAATTTTCTCCCATGTTGATTAGTTTTCTTGAAAAAACATTCATATTTTTATCCCTGTTTTAACCTCTAAGATTTTGAACAATAATGTTGTCTGGCAACAATATTCAGGAAAATGTCTTGGCAATAGATTTGGAATAAAAATAGAATAAAAATATCTATAAATGATGAGAATAGAAAGTAGCAAAGGCATTTATACTGAATATTCCTCAGAAATATTGCTACAAAGTAGGTTGGAGTAAAGACTGAACCAGGTTTTAAAAAATAACAAGTATCATTTATGTTCTGTGGTTAGAGACTAAAATGTTATTTAAAAACAATAAAAAAGTACTATACATTTGTTCCCAACACTATAATATATATCATTAAATTTTTGGATGATGTTTACATTTCAGTAAAGTATTTATTTATGTTATCTAGTTAAGTGTTTCTGTGTGTGTGTTTAAAATATTTTCTATCATCACATGATTATTTTTTTTTTCTTTTGAGACAGAGTCTCACTCTGTCGCCCAGGCTGGAGTGTAGTGGCGCGATCTCGGCTCACTGCAAGCTCCACCTCCCAGGTTCATGCCATTCTCCTGCCTCAGCCTCCCAAGTAGCTGGGACTACAAGCGCCCGCCACCACACCTGGCTAGTTTTCTGTATTTTTTAGTAGAGATGGTGTTTCACCGTGTTAGCCAGGATGATCTTGATCTCCTGATCTTGTGATCTGCCCGCCTTGGCCTCCCAAAGTGCTGGGATTACAGGGGTGAGCCACCACGCCTGGCCGATTAAATTTTATTTAAGTTATAATCTCAAAGATCTGTTGAAGACAGTACTGAAGAATGTAGATTTTATTTTAAAAGTCGTCTTCTGTAAGAAATCACAATTTGCAAGCGATTTCTTACAGCAAGTGATTTTTCCTATGTAATTAATTCACTTATTAATACATTTCTTACATAATTGATTTATTAATATATTTTTTTCCTGTGCTAGAATATAAGGTTCTAGAATTTAGGACAATGTCCTATTCAAATATTTATGAAATCACTATCCATGCATATATATGACTTTTTAGTATAACTATTTTTACTGTTACTACAACATAAATATGTTTACATATAAAATATACACTTTTGAGTTATTATTTGTAACTCCAAAATTTGAAATTCTAAAATGAATTTCTTGATATTTTTTCTATTGTTATCCACTTATCAAAATGTATTCAGATATCCTGTTGCGGAATTATTGTGTAGAAATAACAAGGGAAGACAACGGAGAACACGGGAAGTAGTGCTTTTTGGTTGTCAATATCAGAGCTCATGTAAGTTTACACACAAACTATACAGGATCCTTATTTTCATGAGATGGTGGAGATGAGGAGGAGACCTACATTTAATACATCCTATCAACAGAATTGATCCTTAAGTTTTCAACTGTGACTTAGTAAAATATTGCAATGAACTCCACCCCATGAAATATGTCAAACTTTGTCTTGATAGTTTCACAGGTGGTATAGATGTTTAGTCTTCCTTCTAAATTGGTAGAAGCCCCATGGTATTACCAGTAACATCCTGGAGTTTCAATCCAAGCTTGGGTCTTAGGTACATAGTAATTCATATCTGAAGATCTAATGCTTTAAAATGATGGACAAAATCATTTTAATTGGCACTTTTGTGTTTTAAATATAAATGAAAATTAAAGTGAGCAACTAAGATAAATGTTACCAAATTCATATGGAGCACAATAAGAAGGGGAAACCAAGACATTGAAAATATAGTATAGAATGAGGATTTCTGCTCTCAAAGAATTTATGGTATACAAAAACAGTTATGTAATACTTGATATGTTTTCCAATTTAGAGAGTTATGCTTTGCAATAGAAGTCCCTGCTTAGTACTTACGGCTTTCAAGATGTTCATGTATTTACAAAATATTGATATAATTATGATTTTATTTCACCTCTTTAACACATTGAATTCCTTTTTTTTCTTTTTCTTCTTGGAAAATAAAACATGACTTTGGGTTAATTCCAGCAGTATTTTATCTTTGGAAATGCATATAAAGCTATAAAGTGATTTTAAAATCCTAAGAGAAAGAGAAACCTGAGGTTTGGCATCAGGATAAAAATTGCTCATTATTATTTATCTTTTTTATTCATAAAAATTCATCCACAGATATAACTCGATATTTTGAAAGCTTTAGGTACAATCAATGGCATTATCTTTTAATTTTAAGCTTTATTTAAGAGATTTAAAGAGATTTCATTCATTTTAATATTTAACTTATAAAAATATAAATCAAATTCTAAAATGCATAATTTATAAGAGCAGAATTAATAATGAGAGCAGATGTGTAAAAATATAAATGTTTTCACATATAAAATCTGTTTCGGTATTCCTAGTTTGAACTTTAAGTATCCCAGACCTCAACATTAAAATGAAATCATTAAAATTGCTACATTCCTATCTCATGAAGATGTTATGAAGACTAACAAAAAACCATTAAGTATTTTAAATAAAAGGAATTTTCCTATGCTGGAAAATGCATTTTGTTTTTAACAAAATACTCTTATACTAAATGTTTTTTTTTGGAACCCAACCATTTATATTCATATGTAATTTTCCAGTCTTTGTAAATTAGACTGTGAAAGCTTTTGAAATAGTATCTATTGTTTGTCCAGCATTTGAAAGTGCAATAATTTCACCATACCACTACTGGCAAAAAGCATAATATTGGGAGGGTTACTAAACACTGAAAATCTGCAAAACAAATTAAGTTGAAGTTATTTAATACAGATGTTTTAAAAATCAGATCTATTTCAATATTTAACCATATTTGCCGGCCTTAAATCTTGTATTTGGCATTTGTTGTGGAATGTATAAGACTCATATAAAAATAACAGAAATATTGCATATGTTTCAGAAAAGTATCTGGTGTGAGTCTTCAGATTTTTGATGCAGATGCATTTGGTTTCAGACTTAAATGATTAGGTGCGAATGGTGGAGGCATAAAACAATTACATACGATCACTAGAAATAATATTCACTTCAAGTCAAGAATACTGTCAAATGGTATCAGGGTGGATCAATCTGTGAAGAAATGATAGAGGTGAGAAAGAGGATCCTACTTATTTTAGAAATAATGTAATGATGTATTTGGTATCTTGTTGCCTTTTGTTATTTATAAAGTAATGTCAAAGGAAAATTAGTGGTACATTCTCATTTAACTATGAAAATTAAATTTAAAAAATTATGAAATTGTTATGAATAAATTCTTAAATTATCCCTTTAAAGATGCTAACATCTCTACCTTCAGCAAACTTATTTTGTTAGGAATAACCAATGTGGATCAAGTCAATACTACTCAAGTGATAGTTGGAACACTATAGAAAGTAAAATATCTTGGTTATACATTAGTAGTGTTGTGGTACACTTCCTTTAGTTAACCATTTAGAAAATGGTTTACTAAAACATGTAAAATCCATTCTTCCACATCTAATAATAGAGGTATTCCTGCTGCCCTACACAACTTGGTAAAAAGCCATGTTACATTTTTTGCTGACACACATTCCCAGGATGCCCTAAGAGCTTAGTAAATGCCAAATGCATTCATTTGAGAAAAAAAGAGATACAGAGAGTAAAGGTATGTTGACAAAAGTCCAAAATATATCTAAGTTTTTACCTTGAATTACTCCATTCTCTGTTTCTTCCTTCTATCTTTGATTGGAAAATTATGAAAAGGAACTCTGATAGCTTCCTGTGAATATAGCTAACTAAAATATCTTTTTAACAGAAATAACATGAACATACAAGGCCATATTCCTTGTTTGTTTGGTGTTCATTTAGATCCAATTTTATTTTAGGTCCTTTTAAACAGGATACATCTGTCATCTCTGAGATGTCTCTTTCAACACTCCAACAGAAGAAGGTAAAAATCTTCTTCATCTGAAGATATTGTTGTATAATGGAAATTGGGCTAAATTTGGATTCCTCTAATGTTCTATAAGTTATTTCAGAGTAATGTTGCCAAAAATTACCCAACCCTTACTGTAAGGTTTTTGTGAGCTAGGCTAGACTATGGAAATAAATTTCTCTGTCCCTCTTCCACCACCACGCTACAATACAATGGCCCATCTGTGAGGTCAGAGAGACTAACTTTACTTTTAAACAGAGACTAATTTCTAGCCACTCATGTATTAGAAAAACTATAAAATGAATGTCAGACTGCTTAGTCATTTCCTTCTCAAAATAATTGACCTAAAGTTTAGAAAAGGGCAAGAAAGGCAAACCTTTAGGCACAGTAAGAGAGGGATTACATGCAAAAGCAATTTTGTTTTAAACATTTTAAGTATTTCTGGTGTGTGCAAGAGCCCTCACCCCATAATTTCTCATTCAACAAATCATATTTGATGATATAATTTTAATTAAAGTAAAATGTTTAGAGAAAATACCTAATTTATATCTATCTATCTATCTATCTATCTATCTATCTATATCAAAAATAGGGGGATGAAACATCAGTATGAGAAAAGGGGAATACATGCCAAGTGACTTAAAAGATGATGCACTGTTTATAAAATCGTGTTACCTAATATACTTCTTCTTTCCCCTAATTCTAGCTGTAGTAATTTAAGGATTGTTATAGAGTTCTGTCAATATTTTAATACTATTTGTATTAGGGGCATCCAGCTATTGTCAAGGTGTCTTCAGTCTCCCTTTGGTTGTAGAGGTCTTAATGTTTCAAACACTGGTTCTGAGTCCAGCTCCCCTGATTCCTAGAGATTTGTGAAGATGTGAAGGATGGTTTATGAGCTTTTTACAATGTTTCATAAAGTTCTGTGGGCTCTGAAGATTGTTTAGAACTTTAAGTTTCCTTACTTTGACCTCCCAATCCATTGTCGAATTATTATCTCAGTTTCTCTGACAAGCCAATATGGACGAATGGTTAATTTAAAATGCTGCTACAGAAAAATTACTATTTTTTCTCTACTTTTCAAATCCTGTTTTTGAAAATCTTGCCAATAATAACTAATTCTACAAAGCTGAAAAAATAACTTTAAACATCATTATTTGTAAATGTGACAAAATAGGAAAATATCACCGATTGTGCTTCAAACTAAAGACTTATGTCAGGAAAACTGCCTGTTTTATTATATTTTGAATCTACACGTAAACAATTAGCAAGGACTGGTTGAAAGATGGCCCAGGAAATGATGCCATTGGAAGTTCCCCTGTGTGAAGTTGAAGTTAGCTAAGGTGCCTCTCTTCTGGCTTTCCCCTGCTCCCATTGTTGTTTAGTATTATCCTTTCTTTCACTGAGTTAATCTCCTGTAAATCCATGGGCTGGTTCCTAGGGAGGCTCTAGATCTGGCATCTAGCAACAGACTACAGGGCTTAGATATAATTATTCCTCACCATGAATTTGCTATGTTTCCTTCTAGAGGCATTCATTGAGACCCAGATTATGCCTAGCTGGGCAGTGGCCAGAGGAATTCAGACCACAACGTACAGAGAGCATAAGGTGGTAATAACTCTATTCACCCAAGATGCTTTGCCTGAAAGGACCCTTTCACAGCAGTGAGAAGGTCTGAGTTGTGACCAGAAAGTAGGGACTGCTAGATTGACTGCATCATTTCTCACCTTCTAGAACAGTATCAGGCCCCAGAACTCTCAATAAATTTGAGAGCTATTAAGAGACAATTTGGAACACCATTTGTACATGTTGCTACAAGCACCGTAACTCTCTCTGGCTATTGAATTGATTTAGAATTCTGGCAGCTTCACAAATACGTATTTCTAAACTTGCATTCATTTCACTATTTTACATTTGAGAGAAGATGTAAAAAGTAATTTTTAAAATATCTGAAGAGTCGACAGAAAAATCAGTTTGTACACAAGTTTGGAAACAGCCAATATATACAAATTTTCCATCTGTGAGACGATGAGGGATAATGAAGATGGTAAATACATATATTTTTACTGTAAGGGTCTTAATTTGTAATTGTGCATTTCAGGTTCAAATGCAATATGATATTAAATTATTTTAACCAACAGTTTAAGGTTGTAATCTGAAGAACTAGTTGATGATATTTCTCTGCAGCTGATATGAGGCATCCCAAACATTCTGCCAACAGCATTACAAATGTCAAGTATTTTTTTACCTGTGATCTAAGAGATAGCTTCTTGATAAAGGAGTAGTTCTTTGTTATGGAGAGTGATATTTATATTGAAGGTATTTTCTAGTTGCTTTCTTCAGTTTATATGTCTCTGTTCATGCTGTTATACCCCTATAAGGGCTCAATCTAGTCTTTGATCACCTTTCTTCCAATTTTAAACTGCATGAAGAGATTTGATGTAATCTGATAGATCATGAGGCATATTTTGATGACTAATAGAAAACTGAGTTCCTAAAGATTAGTGGCAGCTGTAGAATTGAACATATGTACCCAGTAAACTTAGTTGAGGGCCTTTAAGCATTTAAATGACTTAAATACTCAAAGTAGGCCCTGGCCAATGCTTCTAGTCTTTGTCAACAGAAAAATGTGTTCATTCATCCAACCCATCTCTATTGAGTGGCTAATGTATGCTGGCACCCTGATGGGCACTGTTCCAGAAAATCTTTGAGAGAAACATCTTAGGAATTATTAACGAACAAAAAGGAGTCAATAGAATGGAATGATTTTAACGTGGAAAAAGTGACTTGGGAATCTATATTCCAGGTGTAAGAGGATTACTTTGAGGATGGGTTAAGTAGAGAGGGAATTTAGAAACCTGCCCTCTTCATTACTCTCACTGTGGAGTGACCACGTTTTTGGCTCCCGAGGCTGAGGGCCAGGGCCAGGCCCTTAATGAGGAGCTGTGGGCCGAGCCTCTTGGAGATTTCTGCTAGTTGCTTTCCTCGCCTTTTCTACACACTCCTCAGTACCCCCTCATCCAGGATCAGAACAGAATCAGCTGGAAAATTAAATTACTCACCCTCTTAATGTCAGCTCCCATAAATTTTTTCCTCCTTCTCCCTCAGAGTACAGTTCAACTCTTTTAAGAGGAAAGCCACTGAATGAACCTAGTGCTGAATTTAAACGTTTAAGAGATAAACCTGTCAGTTTCAGATCTCCAAAGAGGACTTCCCTACATGCTCTAGGTTTTGACTTCTAGGGTCCCTCCATTCTATCTTCATTCCTTTCTTCTAATTATTGGGTTAAAAAAATAAAAATAAAAACACTTTTCAGAGTAGGCAGCGCAATGAGTCCACTGGTTCCACGTCTGCCATACGAAGCAGATTTTTGCACAAGGATAAGGTTACCGCTGCCAGCCCAGGACTCCAGCGGTGTGGCCGATCAGGCGCTGGCCTCCTCCCCTCTCCCGCCGACCAGCGAGAGGCTAACAGACGGGTGCAAGTAGACAAGTAGCTGTTTTTATTGAATACAGAAGCTCCTTGAAAACTCCGTGTGCTCCGGGGCTCTCCTGCAATTCCTTTCATTCCCAAAGTGCTGGAGCCAAGCACGCGTCCCCCGTAACTCCCTCCCATTTTTTCTCGGGGATTTGGTAGGCGAGGAGGGAGGAGAGGAGTGGGGAGATGGGGGGTGGTTGGTGGGCTGGGCCTGCTCGGAGTCCTCATTCTTGGGCTGAGGGAGGCGGGGGCGGGCTTGGGGCCGCCCCAGAGTCGTGTGATTGGGTCTGACCCTCAGCCTGCTTGTCAGTTTCGCCCTGGGAGGGGGAGCTGGGAGCAGGGAGGGGAGTGGGCGGAGGAGGGGGCTGCCCGGAGCCACTCGTCCAGCCCACTGACGGCATGAAGCCTTTAGGGGCACACAGTACTCTCAGCTTGTTGGTGGAAGCCCCTCATCTGCCTTCATTCTGAAGGCAGGGCCCGGCAGAGGAAGGATCAGAGGGTCGCGGCCGGAGGGTCCCGGCCGGTGGGGCCAACTCAGAGGGAGAGGAAAGGGCTAGAGACACGAAGAACGCAAACCATCAAATTTAGAAGAAAAAGCCCTTTGACTTTTTCCCCCTCTCCCTCCCCAATGGCTGTGTAGCAAACATCCCTGGCGATACCTTGGAAAGGACGAAGTTGGTCTGCAGTCGCAATTTCGTGGGTTGAGTTCACAGTTGTGAGTGCGGGGCTCGGAGATGGAGCCGTGGTCCTCTAGGTGGAAAACGAAACGGTGGCTCTGGGATTTCACCGTAACAACCCTCGCATTGACCTTCCTCTTCCAAGCTAGAGAGGTCAGAGGAGGTAAGAAAAAATGGATTTGGGGAGGTGGGAGATTGCCGTCGGTCCTACTGCTTCTGCGCCCCTCCCCCCACTTTACCCTTCCTCCCCGCTCTTCAAGAAAAAAAAAAAAAAGCAATTCCCTTAAATACAATCCAGATTGTAGCTGCTACCAGGTTGGAATTGGAAACTGGAGAAAGAGATGAATGTAGGCGGGACAATAAAGGGAGACGAGGTAGGTAGCAGGAAAAAAAGATCTGTCAGGAGGAGAGCCTGCTGAAAATGCCCTTCACCACTTTCCAGCCTCTTTGAAAAGAGGAAAAATATTACCTTGAACACAAGGGCAGTTATACAAAGCTTTTGTTTGAGGCACAGTCTTTAGACTGCCCTTGGAACACATCTGGTTTCTTCAGATTCTAACTAATGGGAATATCTTTTTAAGGGTGAGCTGAGGAGAAAATATAAAGGGTATAAAATGAACCTTGAT
This sequence comes from Homo sapiens, assembly GCF_000001405.40. Classification (NCBI taxonomy): domain Eukaryota; kingdom Metazoa; phylum Chordata; class Mammalia; order Primates; family Hominidae; genus Homo; species Homo sapiens. The sequence goes on along the minus strand of NC_000001.11, from coordinate 103,107,609 downwards.
AAAGTTCTTTGTCTGCAACCAAGTGAGAAGCAGGCTGTTTTAGTTTTGGGGATATAAGAGAAACCAGGGGGGTGAATCTAGAAGATTAGGAACACTCTGTGTGTTTGGGGGGCGGGGGAGGGTCAATCTATTTTAAGTGGACAAAAATTGGCAGATTATTAGGAATAGGTTCAAGATAGGGAGAACACTTTCCCCTGAATTTCAGTGACTCCCCCCACCCCACCCCTCCGCTTCTTCTTGCAGGTTGGACGTGCAGTTCTCTTGGAGAATGATGAAAGTCGCCAAGCAAATGGGGTGGGGGCGGAGGACTAGGGATTGGGAGGGAAGGGGAGGGGGTGTGGGTAGGGTGGGAGGAGAGAGGTAAGGAACAGTTCCTACGTGGCACCACCAAATATTCAATGGCCAGACCTGCTCGGAAGTCTGCAACCCTGTCAGTACCCACGGAGGGAGAGCGACTTCACTCCTCCCCTCCGCCTTCTCCCTCCCTCTTTCCCCCGCCCTTTCCCGAAAAGGCATCTGGCTGGAGCGGTCCGTTAGGTGCCTTAGAATCGACTGGCAGGCGAAAGCCTTTGGAGGTCAGGGAGCCCAGACAGCTTAGAGTAGAAAGCAAGCTTTGTGAGGAGTGCAGAAAGAAGCTGGGGGATAGGAAGGAGGGTGACTGACGAGGTTGGGTCAAGGGAGATAAAAATGGTCAAGCCCAAATGCGTAGGCTTTAGCAGAAACTTGAGTGTGGCCCTGGGTCTAGATGCCAAGATCTGAGCTCTCCCTAATGAGAGTCAGCCCTCCCGGAGGCCGATCTCTGAGACCAGGTTATTCCTTCCACACGCTTAGTGGCTTTCAGCTTCCCGAGTAGCAGGCAGCGCTAGATTATTCCCTTGGGTGACTTTTCCTGCTAAATACAGTGAAAGTCCTATTAGGACTATATTTGAATTTTGAAAGGAGTTATTATGTTGATTAATTATGTTGATTCATTCATTTCCACATTTTCAAGGATAGATAAGAGTGTCTTTGAAAGTGAAATCCATCAAAAAGTTTGTATTTTACTTTTGGTACCTGGTCACCGGTTGGATTGGTCAATTCTGTCAGCAGTTCTGCCCTCTGCTGGTTTTGTTTATTATTTAGAATTCCTGCGTCTACCGTGGGACATGAGGCCTCTGTAAGTCCCTCTTAACTACAGTGGTACTGGAAAAGGACCTTTGATTAAGGAAAAATGGATATGCCATTTCTTTTTCAGCATGTCACACACGCATGTAAATGAGAATATTGTAATGGCAGCTATTTATTGAAAATTATAGGAACTGAGAATTTCTTCGGTGATGGATGAAATACAAGCTCCGAGAGACACTTTTGCATGGATTCAGGGATTATTTTACTGAAGCTATTTATTTTTATTTTCCACATTGAGCCTTTCTGTGGCGATATGTGAATATTTTTTAATATCAAATTTCTGTACTTTTCATGCATAAATTTTCTATTTTCAGTCTAGCAACATACCTGAAACACTTTTAAACAGCATCCCAGTACCACATCAAATAAATGGTGGGAAAACAACTTTCCCTATTTTTATGAAGCCAAGTAATGATAGAAATAGCAAAGTATAAGGATTAGATTTTGTTGGGTTTCTTCTTCATGAAATGCCCTGAAAGTTAAGTGGTAGTTTAGATATTTATATTTTAAGATTTTGTTATGTGTTTTATCAAGCTGTTTAGTGCTCATTTTTCCTGGGAGGCCACATATTAACATAAATCCACTTTTGTAGGCATTCTTATCCCTTAATTAACTTCAAAAAGGGAATAATAGTATATTAATGCTTAAAAAGAAAACATTGGCTACAAATCCTGAATCACCACACAAGGGAAAAATAAACCCAGTGTCCACTTCTGATAATAACCTTTAGATTTGTGGTTGAAGTAAGATTTTATACCAATTTCTAAATAAAGATATTATATCCCAGCATCATACTATGACATTGATTTCATTGAGGTACAGTGATAAGATTTGGATATTAAGCACAAAGATAATTTAAAACAGATACTACTTTTATATAAAATTAAAACATTAAAACCTTAAAACATCTGAGTTCAAAACAAAGTTAGACTCTAAAGAAAATAATATAGAGAAATTTCTTGGAAGTGAATGGATTAAAGAAAATTTATGACTTCATACCTAGTCATATTATTTTACTTTGAAAAATCAAACTATAACTTGGAAATATTTATTATACTCATTAAAAATCAATCCTTGCTGTGATTTAGAATAACAAGGTTAAGTGTGATTTTTATAAATATTTATTTACATTAACTTCAATTTTATGTTTCATATATATGTTTATTTTTAAAGTAAATGATGTATCTCAGCGATTTATTGATATTCTTTGGCAGTTAGTCCATTACTTACTATTCACAGGAGGTGGGGTTTACCTGGAATTCATAGTGACCACACTATGATTATCTTAAGATAGATGAGTTTATGTAAGGGTTTTAAGTAAGAGTTAGACTTAGCTATAATGAAGCACTAAAAAAAAAAAATCTAATTGAATCACTTTTTACTAATTAAAATTACATTTAACCTTTGGCAGTTAAGCCAATACTGTATCTTGTAAAAGGCTGATCAAACTGGGAACTTTGGAAGCTTGTCAGGAATCGATAGTGAGCCCTGAAGAAGTGTAGTTTTGAGTGCCCAGGATCAGCAGGTGAAATGGTCCTGGCTTCCAGAGTATGTGCTAGTCCAACAGTGCAAAGAGATCGAATTTGTCCATTTGGTTCCTTAATCAGAAATCAGAAACTCAGATATGCTTCTGATAAGAAATGCAGTGTTTGCTAAACTCATTAATATTATGTCTTTCCATTTGTTTTTTAAATTCAAAATTGATCAGGACTATAATAGAGAAAGAATATAGACTAAAGAGAAACACCTTTCTGCATGCTTTACACACATAGCTTCAGTTTAGGTGGCACAGATTCTTTTACCTAGTTGTCCATTAGTTTTGAAATTAAGTTTCTTAATATCTTAAAGTGACAATTTGCTTCATAATTAATACTTAACTGAGGGGATACTTTATAGAAGTTATTCTCTAAAAGGTATTTGTATAGTTTTAAACAAAGTTATGCAGTAGCAAAGTGAGAAATGTATTTGCATAACATAATTGGTAAAAAATTAATATTTTTTCGGTTTTTTATTTTCTTCAATTTGTGACTAAAATAGAACCACATGGTTGTTCATGTTAAGTTATCCTTAAAATACAGCAAAGCAAACATCTCTTTTCAAATTTATGGGTTGGCTTTCTAGCTAAGAAAATTGTATAAAGAGTCACCTTTCTTTTCTAAAAATTTGCTTTTTCCTAGGATAAATTCTCTTCACTCTGATTAATTTAGTGAGATGCTGGCTATTTCATGATAACAAGGATTTAAATCAAGTTTGGTTGAGAGTCTCTGTGTAATACAAGCTGAATTTTTAAAAGGTTAAAAAAAGGTGTTTATATAAGATTTTTAAAAGAGAATGCTAGCACTAGAAATTATAGAAATTGCTAATCAATCTTACCTTCTCAATAAATGAGGAAACTAAGACACAAAAAGTTGTCAGCTGAATACTCTTCCTCATAAAAAATATTCTTGTAATATTCAAGGTTTTTCTGAGTAGAGTGAAGATCTGTAATGGTGATCAAAAGAATTTTAAATAATAGAAGTCTGAGACAATGGAATGAGAGGAGAGAACTTAGTAGTGCAAGTTCTAATTAAAGTTTTATTTTGGATTGTCAAAACACCTGAAACTAATGTAAGTACCTTTTAGCTCAGGAAAAAATTGACATTTAATTTATGGGAAGTACTCACTCTCAATGGACTACCATGATATCTGTTGTGCAATCAACAACTATTACAAATTTAATTACCATATGTGAAATTACAAGGAAGTAAAAGAGAAAGAATTCGATATATTATCGCTATATTTATTTCCAGAAGTCTGAAATTATTAGACCATATATTTGCTAGAGTTTAGATTAGTGAGAAGGTAGATATAGTGAAAATGTCTTATATAAAGAAATTTAAATAGAAAATAGTTACAGAATGAATTTTTTAAATACTCTATTTACTACCTTTGAAGAAAGGTAATTTTTGATCATTTGTATTCTTAATTATGTCATTTTATAAGATTACATCAAAGTAGAAGGCGTAATACTCTATTCATTGCTGGATTAAGAACATAGTTTTGTATGCTCTCTAAAGTTGTTAATAGAAGACTAGGTCCAACTTTGAATTTCTAAGAAGCTTAGAAAATTATATATTTATTTCAAATAAAAAATGGCAAATTTCTGATATTTTCAGGTTAATTTCAATTGATTGGATGACATATATTTTATGTATACATATAGTATGACTTTTATTAATGTCAGATAATCATTATGACACACTTGTGTGTTGTTTGTTTAACAGTTTTTTTTTAAACAAGTGGCAAACTGAAGAAAAAAATAGGAGAGAACGTAGTAGTGCAAATTCTAATAAAGGTTTTTATTTTGGATTGTCAAAGTATCTGAAATTACATAAGTATCTGTTAGCTTAGGCATAAATGGGCAGTTAATGTATAGGAAGTAGTCACTCTTAGTAGGCTACCATGATATCTGTTGTGTTGTCAACAACTATTACAAATTTAATTACCACATGTGAAATTGCAGGGATGTAAGGGAGGAAAATTTTGATTTTCTATCTCAAAATTTATTTCTAGAAGTCCAGTCTTCAACTAGTATTCCCACCAAATTAAGAGTCTTTCTGTTTTTAGGGAAAAGCAATACATGGCCATAGGGTCCTGAAGATTATACTGTGAAAGCATTTATCATGAGTTTTTATACTCACAATTAACTATACCATTTTATGTAAATATGGAGTTTAAAAAATGCTGAGATATCTCCATCATTGTATACAATTTTTAATGATTATGTTTAGGTATTTAAAAGCCAGAATTTTATTAGATACACTTTTATTTTCTCCTTACTTTTGGAGAAGTAATCAAGCATGGATGGCGTGATCATTAGGAATTCAAGGCAACTGCAAGTGGGGACTGAGCGTTGGTCAGCATTTCTGCTTTTACTCCTTCACTTCCCTCATGTAATACTGGGGAAATGTGACCTGAGTTGGGAGTGGTGAGAGGAAACCAAACTTTTTCTTTTTTGACCATTCAAGTTTTGTTCCTTAGCAAAGAAGAGAGATAAACGCTGATGTTATAAAAAGTTGCAATGTTCCCTAAGTTCTTTCACTAAAGAGTCAACTTTAAATGCAGTTTTCAGTGTAGCTTTCAGTATACACTAACGCACTTTCTACATGAGGACATATTCCTTCTAAATTCTCTTGCAATTTAATTCAAAACCTAAAGGTATTTTTTTTCCATTTTAAAATACTTTCTGTTTTAGAATGCATCTAATGTATTTCTTTCTCCTTCCTTCAAAACCCTAATATGGTTTTATTGATATAGGTAAGTGTATTCTTTTATATGTTCACTTGTGTCAGAACTCAACATGAATAATACTAGCTTGTAGCAAAGATGAAAGACAATTTTAAAGTGATTTAGTGAGTAATATCTATTTATCAGTTGCAGTCTTTGGCCTACTACTAACTTGGCTAGTGGTTCTTTAGACATTGGCTGATCACCAGACCTACTGTTATCTGGTAAAATAAACTCTTTGCTTGCTGCGCATGGAATTAGAGACAGTGCTATTAATTTAGGAGAAAGAACTTAGAGAAAGGAAAGGTTATCATATTTCAGAGTAAGAGACCAGCTTAAATACGACTTGACAATTGAGAACTAAAACAAACCTGTGTAAAAGTGCTTTAGCACAATTAACTTTTGCAATCCCCTCAAATCTTCTTTTTTTTTTTTCTTAAAAAGCATTTCTTTCTTATTTTAACCAAATTTAATTGCTCTTGAATGGCTCTGTACTGTACAGGCAAATGAAGCTCCCTATTCATAGAACTTGAGTGCACAGAGTATCAGGGGAAGCTTCCTTCCTCTGTTTGACTGGTAAACTGACATCCGGGCTTAAAGGAGTGAACCTTAGACTGTGTGAGGTAGTTGGCTTTCCTTCCTCACTCAGATTTTCACATAGACTCCCTGAAAGGATGACTGCCAGAAAGAGCAGTAGCTTGCTAATAAGAACTCTAGTGCATTTTCATACTTGGTGCTCTTAGGTAGCTCTGCACAGAAAGAAAAAAATGTAAATATTGAAGTGGTGTCTGTCTTTCCTTTACTTCTGTCTTTAGAGTCTAAGAGTGGAGCTCAACCTACTGCTGACTGTTACTCTTCCTTTTGCATGCAAATGAAACTTCAATTATTTCACTGGCTTTTAGGATAAGTTTGTTGTCTAATTGGGTTAGAGTGCCCTTCAGGATGTGGCATATCTTTATGTCCAGGCTCAAGACCAGCCATTTCCCACCTCCCCAAGCCCATTTCCATTTACCTTGCACTTTAGTGATGTTAAACCTCTTGCCTGTGTTCTCCCCTATCTTTGAACACTCACCCTGGAATGTCTATCTCATTCTCTTCCATCAGCAAACACCTTCTCCTACTTTATACTTCGAAATTTAAGTAAAATATCATAGCTCCAGAAAACTTTTCCTTATATCTCCAGGTGAGCCCTAATACCAAATACATGCTCAGTATGTACAAGGTTCTGTCATATGCACTTTCATAGAGAATCTTATTTAATTGAGACAGTTTTCCTGGAAGTAAGCTGATATCAAAATACTGATTTTACCCATGAGATAACTGAAAAACAGAGAAGTGAAAGATTTTGCCTAAAGTCACACAGCTAGTAAGTAGTAGACCCAGAATTTGAATGCTGCCAAGCTTTCTCCAAGGCCCTTGCTTTTGGCCACTTGTCCATGTTGACTTTGCTGGGTGTTCTAATGCTTCTATACAGCCTCCTAGGCTTATCTTATTATTATGGTGCCCTGGGGCCTAATATTAATGTACACATCATGCAGCTAAACCACAGAAAATACCAGGTCATTGGGTGAATAACTTGACTGCCTTCAAGGAGAAATAAAAAGAGGTTCTGGTAAAAGGTGATGTTAGAATCCAGATAGCTCTTCAGCCTGCACTTAAGTTCAGTGGTAGAGACCATATTACTCTTACCATTTTATGGACAAACCTCAGCCTCAGTGGTAGTGGAGGATTGAAAGGGGAGTTTCTGGGAGCCATCAAATATTAGTTTTGTTCCTTTGATTAACTTAAGGAGAAGCTGACAGATGTATCTGTTAGTATTCAAAGTTCCAGTTGTGGTTGGCTTGGTTTCATTAAGTAAAAGAACTCTTATAGATCATTGCTTGTCCTAATCAGGATCCATTATAAAGGTCATCAGGACTTATTCTACTTTTGGGGATTGGTGTATGGAAGTTCTCTTAACTGTCTTCAGCATAAAAAATGTCAGAGTTGATTATCCAAAAGCTTTTTTGGAGTGTAATCAACTGAGAGAATGTAACATCATTATTTTAAAAATTACTCACTTATGTCAGTCTTCTTCTAGGAGTTCCTGGGTGGGTAGTGACTGTGATCTAGTTTTATTTGTGTCCCCAGTGTCTACCATGGTGACAAAATACACAGCATTGATATAGTAACTATTTAGGTTAATTATATTCTTTTTTTACCCAGAAGACTGGAACAAGATTAAAATTGAGTTAGCTTGGAATGGTGTGAACTGAAAGTTTGAGGACCTCCTCAGATTATGCTGTTGGTAGTGACATGAGTAGTGACTCCTCTTTTTTAAATTCATTTGCTAAAAGTAAATAAATTTCAATTTACCTCTAGCTTTTTCATATGGAAAACAGTTCTGCATTCTCTCCAAAGGTGCCACTGAATATTTGTAGCTACAGAGTGACTATATTACCTCCAAAACTTTGTTTTGTTAATACCTTAAGATATGTAGTGGTATTGACCGTAGCATAAATCATCATTTTACTTTTCTACTAGTGAACAAGAAAGTTTAATCTGAGAATAATATCAATCTGTAAAATCGATCATTGGAAATAGTCCTCTCATATATTCATTATTGAACCTTTCATCTCAGATTGGTATGCTATTGGGGATTAGTTGTCTGACTTTGCTTATTAGCTATTAGAAATAGCAGTTTATCCATATATAATATATATATATATATCCATATATATAATGTATGGATGTGTGTGGGTACATGTGCATGTGTGTATAAATAAAGTGCTTTATGTTTATTTCAATAAACTCATTCTTCAAGTTAGAAAGTAAATTATATGTTTTATGTATATTGGAATTATTATATTATGAAGTACCATCTCCAAACAAGAAATATATAGAGCTTCAAAATGCTTAATAAGATTAATAGACAATAGTTGTAAAATTCTTTTGGAATATAGTTACATAGTTTTTATACTATATTGCTATCCATGGTATATTTTAGTTACACTAAAATCACTGGTATAGGTATGTTTATCTGATTTATTTCATCTAGAACAGAATCCATCTAGAACAGAAAGCATCTAGAACAGAATCCACCACATAGTAGGCATTTGGTAAAACTTTGCTGAATGAAGTGAGGGCGTTGTTGACATTGCTAATGACTTGATTGTCCATAACCTAACCACCTGAGATGTGATATATAGCTATGTGTATCACCTACTCTCAATGTCTATGGAAGTATCTTGAACCAATTTCTGCTGATATTATTGTGATTTCCTGAGACTATCAGTCTCTATTTTGGTTCTAGGCCAACCTATGACCTCTACCCTAAGCACTCTCCCACTTTGTTATTTCTGAAAGTAAAAATCCTCTTTGCTTGAGATTTAGATATTGTCTCCCTCTAGAAATAACTTTCTTCAAGCATTGAAGATTGGGGTAGTTAGCCTGGCATAACATTATAAAGCACACTATACTTATCCAAAACTCAAATACTTATCTCAAAATATTTTTGATGGTATAATGAAAGCAGGAAATACATCTTTTTCACTGATGCAAAACATTCTGGCATCTGTCACCATATCTAGAGGAAAATAGATAGCCAGTAAATATTTTTTGAATGAATGAACTCATAAGCAAGATATTTTCAATAAAGTCAAGAGGACTGGGGTCCGTGGCTTAGTATCATAATTATTTCCAATCCTAACGCTGGAAATTTTGATGAAATAGATTTTGTATGACATCAAAGCATAGATGCTTTATAAAGTTTCATAGATAATGTTGATGCAGAAGCAGGGGTTTACAAACCTTCTGTAACAGGAAACCAATATATAAATAAATAGAAATGTATCTGGCTTGTATAACTAGGCACTGGAAGTCGAGTGAAAGGCTATTCATCATAATGTACAAATTATTTGATAAATATGCTATTGCTAAGCAGTAGTGGCTCTGCAATAACTGAGTTGAGGAGATCAACTAATTACAATATAGAAAATGCTTTCTTTTAATCCTTCTCTCCAGAGCATGTAATAAACTAAATGCCAATAAATATTGCTCTTCTCAGTATTAAAGTCAAATGGTTATATTGGAAGTATAATTTTAGTTTTATAATACATCTTTTTTTTAACAGCCTTGGCTATTTGTAAATTAGAAATGCTGTACTTTTAAAATGTCATACTCTCAACTAGTTTTTGTTCTTTTCTTCACCATACTCAGAGTTGTGATGCCATTTTTGCTTTCCACTTTCAGGTCAAGCTTTTATGATATAAAAAAGTTCAGGATTGAGTCTGTTCAATAACTGTAAAAGTTAAATGACTATCTTCTATGTTAATCACTGTGTTAAGTGCTGTGGCTACACAGACAATATGATGATCTCTATTCTCATGGAGTGAAAAGCTAATTAATACCTGCAATCATTCATTTACTTATTCAACAAATATCTATTAAATCCCTATTAAATGCTCTTCCTGAATTCTAAACTAATTCATTCATTTCATTGCCACGTTCGACAAGTACAGGTTAAAAGCTCATTATATGCTAAAGGTAGTTGGTGGGCAAAGATAGTTATAATCCTGCCTCGTAGTGATTATGGTCTACTTGAGGAGACAGTAATTAATCAAATAGTGGTACAAGTAAATATAAAACTACAGCTATGCTAGATGCTTTGAAGGAGAGGTGTATGGTTCCTGGAGAATACAAAACAGAAGTTTAGTAAAGTCGAAGAAAACTTCCCTGAGAAAGTACCAATTGAGCATTGATTAATTAACTAAAGTGAAGAGGAAAGAGCATTCCAGGAAGTGATGTGAAGGCCTTTATGAAGGGAGGATGACACCATAAGGGACTTGAAGAAAGGACTTGAAAAATGGCAGTATGTCTGGAGAAGAAGCAGTGGGGATAAAACGTGAGATGGTGCTGGGGAAGAAGGCGGGGGACACATAACACAAGATCATAAAGATAGATTTTTCTGCATAGCATGGAAACATGTCACTAATTAAAAAGTACAAGGAAACTGCCAAGTTAGCAGGGTCAGTGCATACTTCGATATCAACACATAACTAGGTTGTCCCAGTTGATTCCTACCATTGGATCCTCTGACAGTCAGTGAACTGGGGCCATGTTGTTTTTTCTGGAATAGCCAACCCTACTGTCAAATCACTTGGGGTTCTCAACAGTAATTAGTACATTTAAGTCACACTTTATATGGAGCTATGGTCATGTAGTCTTGCAAAATATATAAGTAAACTTCCACTTCATAAGGGAGTATGAGAAAAATGTTAAAATAAAATCTGCTATAAGACAAAAACATAACTTAGCATTTCTAAACCTTATGTGACTGTTCTTGTTATTAACCAAAGTATATCAGCTTTTAGAACAAAAATTGCAAACAATGATTTTTGTTTCTTAAGATTAATATATGAGGTCATGATCTCTATTTTGATTATTTGAGATGACCAATTGTTTATTGTCAGCATTTTTTTAAGTCTTAAAGTTCTCTTTCAGTGGAAATTATTCAAATAGAATTTTAAAGTAATCATGTCATTGATTGATTAATTGTAGCTCTGGATAGCATTGGTAGGCTGTCAACTCCTAAAGTTTTATTTCTATCCTGCTTTACCCTGAACTTCAGACTTGCATACTTGACTGCCTACTCAATGATTTCTAACAGTATTTATTAAGTCATCTCACATTTAGTATACCCAAAACTGAATTGCAGAACTCCTCTCCTGAAACCTGTTCTTCTCACAGCCTTCTCCATCTCACTTAATGGCAACCCAATCAATCATGATGTTCCAGCTACAAATCTTGAACTAAGCTTTACTCATTTTCTCTCTTATCTCCTTTTCTACCTATCAGCAACTCCTATCTGCTCCACTTTCAGAATATATGTAGAATCTGACCCTTACTTTCTGTCTCAGTCTAAGAAAGCAACATTTTATATCTGGAAAATTGCAGTTACTTCCTCACTGCCGCCTGATTCCACTCGAGTGAGCCTAGAGTTTCTTCTCAACACAGCAGACCCAGTGGTCTGAAAGCATAAAATGAATGGAAACTATCTGCACCTTCCTCTCAATTTTTCTGTAAACCTAAAACTGGTCTAAAAAAAAAAGTTGATTCAAGTCATCCTTCTCCCCTAACCTTCCAATGGTTTTTAAATCTCATTTAGAATAAAATCCAGTCTCCCTGAACATTCCACAGGACCTATACAGCTTGTTATCAGTGTATCCTCACTTTTACTTCTCTGACCACAGCTCTTTCACTCTTGTTTTGTCCATGCAGTCAATCTTTTTTATAGCAGTATTCACATATTCACATAGAGTACATAGAAAGATTTTGGCTTTTATATAATACAGAGTTTAAAATAACTTTACAGGGAACTAAATTTCTTCAATCTGAAGTTCAGCTATCTTTTTTTTTTGTTAACTTTCCATGCTCTCTATCCAAACTGAACAATATTTTCTGTTACACAAATTTACATGAGAAAATATCCAATGTACAAATGAAGGGACCTGAGCAGGAAAGAGAGCCAAAATATTAGGAAGTGGGTATGGGGGATAATTTTTTGAAAAAAGATCCCTTTGTTGAGACATATTTGTCTCCTTGCATTTCTTTCAACATTCTGGGCCAACTATTGTCTCGGGTTCTTTGCACTTATTTTTCCTTTTGCTTAGAATTCTGTTCTGCAAGAATAGCAGGATAGAGGAACTTCCTATGACTTTCTAGACTTTGCCCAAATATCATTTTCTTATTGAGGCCTTGCCTGTTCTTTTTATTTGATATTATTTTCCAGGCCTTTGCAACCCTCCCTATAATCTTTTTATGATTCATTTTTTCCTTAGTACTAATCAAATATTTTTCATATAGAAAATGATGGTGCATTTAAAGATACTGAGTTTGTGTTAATTTTCTATGTAAAATGTAAAATTAGATAATTTTAGAGTATAAATGTTGCCTTAAATTATTTAAGCTTTTAGATGTTAGCAGCATCTAGGTCATCTATATCCAATAATTCCCATAGTTTGTTATTCCATTTTATGCAGTATTGACATACATACATAGTATAGTCAATATAAGAGCCAAATTCTACACAGTAAAGCATTTTTTCTTATTTGATGGACACTATGCATGTTAATTCAGGTGTTCTGAGAAATGACAGCTGTGTAGAAATGGTAACGGCATTTTGTACTTTGTTTTGTTGGTTTAAGAGAGCCATGGTGATGGCTACCTAGAAAGTAGTATTGCCCTTAATCAAAGATAAATTCAGAATCATGTATTTTATGTAGAGTTGACTTTTGACCAACATAAGAGTAAGAGGAGCCAACTCCCTGTGCATTGAAAATCCATGTATAACTTTTGGCTCCCCTAAGACTTCATTACTAATGCCTACCATTCATGGGAAGCCTTATTGACAAAATAAACAGTTGATTAATACATATTTTGTATGTTATATATATTTTATGCTGTATTCTTACAATAGAGAACAGAAAATGTTCTTAAGAAACATAAGGATGAGAAAATATATTTAGTATTCATTAAATGTAAGTGAATCATCATAAAGATTTTCCTTATCATCATCATCATCTTCATGTTGAGGAGGAGGAGGAAGACAAGGGGCTGATCTTTTCTCAGGGATGGCAGAGGCAGAAGAAGTGGAAGGGGAGGCAGGAGACGCAGACACACCTGTGCAACTTTAGGGCTATACATTGTAATTGGTGTCTGACTTTTTGCTTTTTTGTATCTCTAAAAAATGTTTTCATATGGTACCAATCCTTCCTCCACTGTTTGCTTTAATTTTAGTTACCATATCATAGAAGGGTCTATGTGATAAAAGAAGGCAAAAGCAGTCTTGAATAATCAGACCACTTCTGCCAGATTGTCTAATGTCAATTTGTTTTCTGACACTGCCTCTTCTATTTCTTCTTCCCCATCTTCTGACACTGGTTTGGAAGCATTCATCCTCATCAAGTTGTCTTCTGCTAATTACTCTTGTGTGGTGTCTATTAGCTCTTGAATTTTTCCAAGATCCATATCTTGAAACCCTTTGCCCCCACACCTCCACATTTTTTTTCCATATCCACAATCTCTTTCCTGATTTCCTTTATTGGCTCTGCTGCAAATCCTGTGAAGCCATGGATAACATATGGCCACAGTTTTCTTCAGGAGGAATTTATTGCTTCAGGCTTGATGGCTTTCAAGGCTTTCTCTGTAACAATGATGACATCTTCAATGGTGTAACCCTTCCAGACTTTCATGATGTTCTTTCTATCAGCGTTCTCTTCCATAGCATTGACAGTGCTTTCCATACAGTACCATGTGAGTGAGCCTTAAAAATCCTTATGACCCCATGACACAGAGGTTGAATTAGAGATGTACTTTGGACAAGTAGACCACTTGAACACCTTTGTCATTGAATTCATGGGGTTATGGGTGGCCAGGGGCATTGTCCAATATCAAAAGAACTTTAAAAGGCGGTTTATTACTGGCAATGTATTTTCCAACTTCAAGGACAAAATATCGACAGAACCACTCCAGAAAAAGGGTTCTTGTCCAAGCCTTCTTGTTGTACTACCGAAAGACAGGCATTCCTGTTTATCTTTTCCCTTCAAGGCTTGGGGTTAGCAACTTTATAGATAAGGGATGCCTTCCTCATAAACCTGACTGAATTTGCACAACTGTAGAATTTGCCTGTTTCTTCTTACCTTAAATCCTGGTGCTCACTTTTCTTTCTTACTAATAAATATCCTTTGTGGATTTTTTTTTCCAGAATAGGGCTGTTTCATATGCATGAAAAAACCTGTTCAGGCAGCTATTCTTTCTCCTCAGTGGTTTTTCTAATGGTATCTGGGAAATGGTTTGCTGCCTGTTCATCAACGAAAGGTGCTTCTCCTGTTATCTTGACATTTTTAAAGCAGACCTCTTTCTAAAATTATCGAACCACCCTTTTTGGCATTAAATTCTTCAGCTTTAGATTCTTCACCTTGCTTTTGCTTTAAGTTGTCATATAATGACTTCACTTTTTCTTGAATCATATTGAACTTCATAGCTATATAATGGCTTTCTCATAGCCACCCTCACCCACATAAAGCTGCATTTTCAATATAAGATTTTAAAAAAGATGTTTTGCAAAAGTTCAAGGCTTTTGCACTTACTGGCATAGATGCAGTGATGGATTCATGGATTTCCTTTCTTTTCTTTTGTCTTTTTCTGTTTTTTTTTGTTTGTTTGTTTTTGGAACAATGATCCTTATGCTGGACTCATTTATCTTGAAATGGCAGGCAACCACAGCAGACCTCAATCTACAGTACATATCAAGCAATTCAACTTTGTGTATGTATGTATGTGTGTGTCATGACTTTTCTCTGCTTCTTGGGAGTATGTGAAACATTAATGGTACTTCAGATAGGTTCCCTGGTGCTTTTCAAGGTTTACAATATCGCACTAAATGTGATGAAAAGCACACAAGAAACATGAGAGATCACTTTTTACAGAGATAGGCAATTTACTAGAGAGATCCACTGCTCATGTGGAAATGATATTTAAGCAGATACTTGCCACATTTGGGTTCACCACAATAGCAACAGGAGGTGGCTAACAAATGATTACAGTAGTACAGAATGCACTACACTTAATCTTATGCAGTTTTCATTTATTGCTGCATCTTTATGTTTGTTTACATTTCTCTCCACTATGAATGGTGCCATGTGTAATGGTGCCATGTATGATCTGTGTTTGTGTGCATAAGATTTGACAAATTTTGACTTTTTATACTTTATTTGTGCCTATTTTATGGTAGTAAACCATAAAAGACTTGTATCTACATATATTTTGTGCATTCATGACATACTTAACTTTTTCTTAATGTTTTTGATATTTTTAGCCTACTTTGTTCTTCTGGAAGGTTTCTCAAATTGTCACAAATCTCCAAAAATGTGTTTTAAATTTATGTATTGAACCATATTCATACATAACTGGACCTATACATTTCAAATTAGTATTGTTCAAGGGTCAACTATTTCTCTCAATCCCTAAATAGGTTAGAATTATAAATAGGCAACAATGGGATGCTGATACAATTGATTTTGCTGGAAGTCACACTTTTTCATTAATTACACTTCAGAATATTTTACTATGTATTTTTATTGACCTTTCTAATTATGAATTTCACTATGCAGTTCATTTTGTTTTAAACTGGAATTTTCCTGGAATTGTAAGAAAATACATTTACATTTGTTCACTGGATTTCTATTTTCTGAAAAGATAGTACTAATAGGCTTGTTATGTGTTTGGTTTGATGAAATTAACTCTAAAATTCCTAAAACTCCAGGTTACTGATATATATTGTCTTTCTTATGTCATTCTCAGTTTGGTGCTCTTCACTGTTTGAATATGAAATACGCAGTTTTTTTCAAGGTGCCTATCAAAATCTTAAGCCATTTTATGCCAACATTTGTTTATTTATAGTATTCGTGTGTATATTAGTGTATATGTGGAGAAATATATTAAGTAAACAGAGCATTATTAATGACAACACATCTTAGTTGATTATAAAACCCTTCGGGGAAAATTGAACTCTAAATAATATTGTGGAACACTTCCCATGTCCTGTAGTAATTAATGTAAACTATACAACTGTAAGGGCTTCATATATAATCTTACAATTTACTAATGTATTTTAGTAGTTTATTTCTTTAATTTTGCACTTGTGTTGACTACAAAGATTAGATTGTAGCATACAAGTCAAACATCTGGTAATTTCATCCAAAAAGGGTTCTATTGAGGGTAGGAAGTTTATGTAATTTTTATTGGCATTATTTGTGTGACATCATCATTTAAATATGAACTTCTGTATCTTTTCAAATATGGGAGTATTTAAGTCAATGTGCTTAATTTTCTAATATTTTATATTCATATATAATTCATGGTTGGTATGTGGAATATATGTATTTACAATAAATGAAAGAACAGTGTCAGAGGAAAGGGTCTACAATATTACATTTTTAAATCTTTAATAAATAGCTTAGATGAGGCCCGCTGTGTTTAAGCTATAGTTATATCAATTTCTATGCAATGCAAAGAAAAAATAATGAAAAGAGAAAAATGCTAATGATATCAGTGTATTAATGTCCATTTGTACTACTAGGGGGTAATGAAGTGCTGAGCATGAAAATATAGATTTAAGATCTATTTGGTTGCTTAAGCTAAATTCCAGGAAACCTCCTGAGGTTGTTTGCATCTGGAATACAATATGAACATGCTGAAGAGATTGCTAAGCAGTACATAATTTTTATGGATGATTTTGAATGGACATTTAGAGATCAAAACTGTTTAGTATTCTACTCAACTGCAGAGAACTTTCCCAAGGTAGTCTGAGGAAGCAGATAACAGGAATCAATTTAATTATAGCTCTAGGGAAATGTGGATGGTATTAAAGATGTTCAGAAAGGTAGACATTTTCATGGAATAATAATTTTAGATAATATTTTTATTGAATATGTATTATGCATTAGACACCATTCTATGTTTAAAATTCCTTACAGCGTTTAATTCTCAAAATGAGACTAAATTGAGAAAACTAAGTCTTGGAGAGGTAAATAGCTTATCCAAAGTCATAGAAATAATAACTACTGAATTTGGATTAGTTGTTGGGCAGTTCTTACTGTGGAAACTAGTTATCAATTGTTGTTTATAGGCTTGGCATGTCCCAGTTTTTAGACTCTTTCTTAAGAGCCATCATGATTTTGAAATATAGCAGAATATTAGTAGTAGGAAAATTATAAGAAATAATCAATTTTCTATCCTTTTCTCTTTTGTCAGTCCTACATCTCACTACCACATGCTCATAGTAGCAATACTGGTTTTTTGACTGAGTGGAAGATGGCTGAGAACTTTCTTCTGTATTATTTTATTTTTATTAGTTCCATAATGGTATGCCTCACATATAGTCTGTGATGTGAGGTATGGGTTGAGAATAAGTGACTCTCAAGAAGTTGGGAAAATATCTACATTAGGAAGGCTACTTTATTATTGTTACTTATTTTATTTTATTTTATTATTTATTTATTTATTTATTTATTTTGAGACAAAGCCTCGTTCTGTCCCAGGCTGGAGTGCAGTGGTGTGATCTCGGCTCGCTGCAACCTCTGCCTCCAAGGTTCAAGAGATTCTCCTGCCTCAGCCTTTGGAGTAGCTGGGATTACAGGTGCATGCCACCATGCCAGGCTAATTTTTGTATTTTTAGTAGAGACAGGGTTTCGCCATGTTGGCCAGGCTGGACTTGAACTCCTGACCTCGTGATCCACCCACCTCGGCCTCCCAAAGTGCTGAGATTACAGGCGTGGGCCACCACGCTGCTTCACACCTATATTCTTCCCACACCTGAATCAAACAATGGCAACAAACAAACTTGGAAACCTCTTCAAGTTCTTGGTAAAGGTCACTTCCAATCCTCTTCCTTTCCCATCTCAAACTGGTAGGAAAAATGCTTCAACTATGAGACAGCTTGTGGCTACTCATTTATTCATCCATTAAACATTTCTCCATTGATTATTTACTGTGCTTCAGCTGCTATGTCTTTGCAATTTGATAGTGAATATCAATAGCACTGATGTTCACTGTCAGAGGGTTTACAGTGTATCAAGGGAGGCAGATGTTAAACAATAAATTACATGCTTAACAGAGAGAGAAAAATATTAGCTGATGTGAGTATGTAACAAGAAAATCATGACCATAATTTAGACAGATGCTGTGCCTGAGAGCATACAGCCTAGAGCCAAAGACATAATTAAGCAAGCGAACAAAATAGTGTAGGGTGATCTAAGGGGAAATACAAGACACTGGGATCATATAAAGAGGTCACATCATCCTCTTGGATGAGCTAAGAATAAATCTCCTAGAATAAGTCATGCTTAGGTTTACACTAAAAGGTTGACTAGGTCTGAAGCCACCGAGTTTCAACCCTGGCTGCACATTAAACTCATCTGGGAAACTTAAAAAATATGGATGTCTGTACCCAATCATTCTAGTTTATTAGTTCTGGGGTGGGTTCCAGGCATTCATAGGTTTTATAAACTCTTCAGATGATTCTATTGACAGGATTGAAAAATAAGTCAACTGTCCTTAACCAATTGAGGAAGGACTGGAAAAAATCTACAGATAAAGACAGCAAGGTACATTTTAGAAACTGAAAATTATTCCAGTTCTAGTAATAAATGTCAGGATGGGCGAGTCGATAGTTTTTATTGGAGATGGCTCTTGGAGTTTGTGGCAGTGAATGCATGATGAAGATATGATTTTTCTCCAGTGGTCCTCAGCAGCCATGGTGCATCCAGGGATAATCTGGAGAGCTAAATTTTCTCCGTGTCCATGTCTCCTTGGGCAAGCATGGCTGGTTTCCTTGAACTCTTTACTCTCTTTGTATCTGTGCTACCATATCTGCTGTTTCTTTCCTTCTCTTCTTCACTGAGGAACTCCTATTTATCCCTAGGGACTCAGCTTAAAAGGGCTAGGTAGTAGATATTTTAGTTGTTGTGAGCACACAGTCTCTGTTGCAGCTACGCAACTCTGTTGCAGTACAAAAGCAGCTATGGACAATATATAAATGAACGGGTGTGACTATGTTCCAATAAAAACTTTCTTTATGAAAGCTGAAATTTCATATAGTTTTCATGTGTCACAAAATATTGTCCTTTTATTTTTCAACATTTAAAATGTACAATTATTCTTACATCATGTACCATATAAAAATAGGCAGCAAGGAGGTCTATGGGAGGTCTATACCCACAGGCACAGATTTCCCCACCATCATTCGAAGGCATTGTTACAAAAACCAATTTAGTTCTGACAAAAAAAAACTCTTTGAAGTAAATATTTTTGTTATTCTCATTGTACTGATATAGAAACGGAGGCCCAGAGTAATTAAGTAATCTGTCCAAGTCACACAGATGCTAAGAGGCAGAGGTGGACTTAAGAAGCAGTTTTGCTCTTTAACACTGTAATGATGCGGTTCACTACTGGTCATGGGAGTGTGCAAAGAAGCTTAGAGAAGGAATTAGAGATGAAACAATCAAAGTATTATGAGATGTTTCATCAGTAATCTATATGGATGGTGAAGGCAACAAGGGAGAAAGGATCAAAGACTTGGGATCAAACTGATCAGTGAAAGGGTGGTGGTGTTTAAGAGGTCAATAGACTACAATAAAAAGTACATATTAGGACCTAAAAAAATTTAATTTCGACACTAGATAGCCTGAGGATTTCAGAGGAAGTTCCTTCCATATATTTTCACATTATCGTGTTTCACATTCAACCAACATTTTCATAATCTCTGTGTGTTTGTGTGTGTATACCTGTTCCTTACTAGTTTGCAAAAATTGGCAAAGACAAGGCAAATAATTTTAAAAAAGTATGAAAGGTGCTATAATAGAGGTTAGCAGATCTAACCCAGCTTAGGGAGACAGAGAATGTTTTCTGCAGAAGATGCATTACCAGGTATATTCTTATCCTTCAGGTGAGGTGGAGCTAAGTGTTTGAAACAGAGAGTAGGGTTTATAAAGGCCCAGAAGCAAGCCAGAGAACATGGTGGATTCTGGAAAGACTGAGTTTAGTATGGTAGAACACTGAATGAGGACAGAATGAGGGACTCATGAGAGCTAAGACTGTACATTCAGTGAGCTTAGAGTGGTAGGATAAGTGGGAGTGTCCAGATATCCAAGTTGTATATTCAAGGAATGTGGAAATCATCTGAGAGCCAGTGGGGTTCTTTGAAGGAATTTAAACATCAGAGTGACATGAGACATGGATTTTTGGAAGCTTAATCAAGTTGGTGGAATGAAGATTGATGGGAAAAAGTATGGAACCCAGTTAAGTGGCTATTTTAGTAGCACATTGGGCTCTGATATTCTATTCTCCCGTTTAATAAACCTATAGGTATTCAATAAAGGACAGGAAAATATAATTGAACAAAACATTGTGCTGAATTGGATACATCTGAATTGCATACACATGGTTTGTGCCAGCAGTTGGCAACATAGAGATAATTAAAATATTAAGGTCATTTAAGAATTGCTTTGAATATGGACATTTTACTTTTTTCATATATCATATTTAGCCATAAAATTACTTCTTTTAATCTTTGAACAGTTGCAGTTAGCAAAATATAAAGAATAGCTTTCCCACATATATGTATGTATGCGTATAAAACAGTAGAATCCATTTAATGACAATTTATTAAACGCAATATCTATGAGGATTATGAGATCAAATAACAGGCAGAATTTCAAAGTAGCTTAATTCATTATTTAGTTCACTTGAAATAAAATAAACTTAAGGACTTAATTAATGGAGTTTTACTTTTTTGTAACTTGAAATGCCTTTTTGGGAAAAAAAAAAAGGCTTGGTTGATACCTTTATTATATGTCTCTACTTGTATTGTTTTTTGAGGAGTGAACACTTGGATAAGGTCATGGTGTTAAAAGATACGTTGTTGCCGGGCGCGGTGGCTCACGCCTGTAATCCCAGCACTTTGGGAGGCCGAGGCGGGCGGATCAGGAAGTCAGGAGATCAAGACCATCCTGGCTAACACTGTGAAACCCCGTCTCTACTAAAAATACAAAAAATTAGCCGGGCGTGGTGGCGGGCGCCTGGAGTCCCAGCTACTCAGGAGGCTGAGGCAGGAGAGTGGCGTGAACCTGGGAGGCGGGGCTTGCAGCGAGCCGAGATCGCGCCACTGCACTCCAGCCTGGGCAACAGAGCAAGACTCCGTCTCAAAAACAAACAAACAAACAAACAAAATAGATACGTTGTGGACTTTGCAGTCCATTTTATGTATTATTTACCTCTGCCCAATTGTGATTATGACAGTGGGGATGCATTTTGTTTTCCTTTTCAGAAAAATTACAGCCTTCATAGATGTGTTCATGTCTATCCTCAAGTCTTTATTCAGTTCTACTTTGGAGAATGGCTTCAGAGCAAAAATATAAGATAATTTAAGCAGATAAAATGCTGTGGTTTTCAGAAACATTCTTCTTCAGAGTCATTTATATACTAGAACAAGTAATGAGTTTAGTTTAAAATAAATATGAACATCAGGAATCAATTAGCTGGCCCAAATAACATAAACATATTATATGTATGTTTTAAGTTTATTTTTGCAGAGTTTTTATTTTGGGGTATAGCAGGGTGAGTGGTGAAGTGGAAGGAGCATAGAGTTGGTATTTACACAGATCTTAAGAGTAATCTTAGTTTGTTCTCTGGTTCTTAAATCTCAATCTGCACAGGACGGATAAGAACATATGGTTTGTGAGGGTTAATCCCTGTAAAGAACTTAGTCCAGAGACTGGCACATATTAGGCTCTCCCTGGCAGTTATTATGATTAGCATTTTCTTAGTTATGAGGTAAGAGAAAATAACACATATAAAACAGATATCCTATTGGCTTAAAAACATAGCCGTTGCAAGCAGGACTAGTGCAAAAAAATGTTCTCAAACATCATTATAATTTTTATATCTCAGGCATGCTGAATGATATTTGGCCAGCATATGGTCTACTCTGAATGTTTTGCTTGTTTTTGAATATAGGTATGAAGCCAATAGAATATAAGTCAAGCAGGTCCTCAAATACTGTTGTTTTGTTCAACTCGTTCAGTGATAATGTTGATAAGAAAAAAAAAAAGTCCGTTCCCAGTCAGGGCCACTATGTGGCGATTACATGTTCTCCCTGTGCCTCCGTGGGATTTCACTGGGCACTCTGGTTTCCTTCCACATCCCCAAAATGTGTACAGAGAATTGCTGTCTCTAAATGGTCCCAGTCTGGTTGAGTGGGTATATGTGCCCTACCATGAGATGGTGTCCTGTCCAGGACTGGTTCCCGCCCTGCGTCCTGAATGTTTGGGTTGGGCTCCAGCCATTTGGGGCCCTGAACTGGGATAAGCAGGTTGGAAATGAATGAACAAATGAATGAATGAATACAAATTGTTATCAAATAAAAATCTGTAAACTCTACCATAATTATCCAAATGCACATAATAAATAATGCAGTACAAAAGCACTCAGAGCTCATCATATTTGTGATTGATTCTGAACTGCATGGTGGGAGGACATGCTCCTTACAATTTTCACTTTTCAAACGTTTATACCTTAATTTAACCCAGCACTACTATGACCACCGTCATTCACTGATTCACCAAAAATTGGATAAATAATTATTTCATTTTTCATTAATCTTTCTTAAATGTATGTGTAGCTCACATTTAGTTCAATGTTCAGTATGAAACGTGTTTTCAGTCTTTATTTAGAAGTTTGGTGGTGTATTTGTGATCAGAAATAGACTGTAGGAACTTAACTCTGGTTTATATCAGTGAGCCTATGGTCAAATTGGTTTCATTAAAGTTGATTTGCTCAATGTAGAAGTTTCCAAGAGCCTATCGAGGATATTAAGTGAGGACTTACTGTACATTGAGTAATATGGGTTCTAAAGTCTGTTTTTAAAATAATACTTGAACTGCATTATTCATGTCCTGACTTGCTTAGTGACTTAAATATATATGTAATTATGGACCAGACAACTTGAAGATCTAAAAAAGATAAAGTGTTTTTTTTTTTTTTTCTAAATGGCATATTTCATGTAGTGTACTGTTTTGAAGGTTGATCCGTGTTATAGCCTGTATCAGGACTTCTTTCCTTTTTATGGCTGGATACTTTTGGTTAATCCATTCATCTGTTGAAAGAAACTTGGATTGTTTCCACCTTTTGGCTATTGTGAATAATGCTGCAGTGAACATTGTGTTCAAATTTTTGATTGAGTCCCAGCTTTCAATTATTTTAGGCATATATGTGGGAGTGGAATTGCTGGGTCATATGGCACTTCTGTATGAGTCTACTTAAATGAAAATTCTCGAATGAGTAACTAGAGACAGAAAGTATATAAGAGGTTGTCAGGGGGTAGGAGGTTGAAGGAGTGAAGAGTTATTGCATAATGGTGATGAAGTTTGAGTTGATGAAAAATGTTCAGAAATAGATAATTATAGTTGTACAATATTGTGAGTGTAATTAATGCTACTGAATTGTACACTTAAAAAATCTAAAATGGCAAATTTAATGTTATATGTATTGATCACAATTAAAGATAATAATAGTACAATATACCAAAAACCACTGTTTGCTTTTAAGTGGGTGTTTTGTATGGTATGTGAATTATAACCCGATAAAGCTGTTTATACAAATGGGTCACACTTACAAAGGGAAAGTTTAAGGTTCCAAACATATTTTATATTGACCACGTCACAGTAACTACCAAGTACCTGGAATGAATTAGATTTGGGAAATTTATGCTTCCACTAAAAAGTAGCCTAGTTTTACATACCCTAAGACTACAAAAAAAATGTGAAGGGGCACAATTACTAAATTACTCATCTCCAGGGACTTTCAGCCTAAATAATGAAGTATGGAGTAATATCCATGAAGTGACTGGTAAGTTGAGATAATAAAAATCGATAAATTACATATAGATAGATACATACATACACCTTTGTGTGCATATATAAGTACCTGTATATAATTTGTAAATAACTAACTCAGGAAAGCACTGAAAAAGGCATTGTATTGTGCTACCTATTTTTTTAACACCTTTCTTTCAACTTCTCTTGTGTATACAAAATGACTAAGTAGGTGCACATTTTACAGAGTTTACATATAACATCCATTGTACATTTGAATCTTCAAAATCACCTCTGTTTAGATTATGAATAGTTTATTAGTAACTGTTGGAAAATGAAATATTTACAAATGCTGGCTTTCACTTTAATTCTACATAATGTTATTACTTGGAATTATTAAATATTTTATAAATTATAATTGAGATACATATGAATGTTTATAAATCATATATAGGAAACTTTAAATTCCAGATGCACATATGCCTATGTACACACACACGCACACACACACACACACAGACACAGACACACACACACACACAGACACCCCTTCTGTGTTGCTTAACCATAATTTGATTCCAGATTTGAGATATTTTGAATTTGAGAATGTTGTTATGGTTTATATTACTACCTGCTGCCCCACTCTCCAAACTCCCACCTAAATGTTAGGGAAGCATGGCAAGTGATAAATAGATTCAAGGTATGAAATGACATACTATCCTGTGTTAAAAATACTCATTGTTATATCAGATCGTTGTTCAATTCTGGTTTTTTATTGTTTGCTTATTTTTCAGCTGCTCCAGTTGATGTACTAAAAGCACTAGATTTTCACAATTCTCCAGAGGGAATATCAAAAACAACGGGATTTTGCACAAACAGAAAGAATTCTAAAGGCTCAGATACTGCTTACAGAGTTTCAAAGCAAGCACAACTCAGTGCCCCAACAAAACAGTTATTTCCAGGTATATTCACTTTATTATTATTATTGTTATTATTACTAAAAGTTATTACACTTTTGTTACTACTAAAACTACTTTTAGTATTTCTTTACTAATTAGTATTTTTATCAGGTTAGATAATGTGCAATTATATGGTAAAATGCAATTCTTTCTTATATCAGACACCAAATACCTTGTGGTCACCAAAGTAATGTAATGAAAATAACAAAAAATTTGATAATTGCCAGTCTTAATTCAACACAATCACATTTCTGTGAAAATATTCTTATTTGAACATTTAGTACTTCATTATTTGTACATAATATATGGAGACAACATTTTATATCTAGCCTATTTCTACTTGTAATTAGGTAGAGCTTATTCATCGTGACTGGGGTATAGGAGGGAATCTTTCCCCTTAATGACTTTCTAAGTTAATTTAATGGGCATTTGAATGTAAACATACTTAGTGCATGTTTTCCTAACATTAAGGTAAATGTTTCTGTTGAAAGAGATACTTTTTCTTTGCAAATAATTTTGCATTATTTTTTCATGCCGCTCTTATCTAAAATATAAGAAAAGTTAGTCACATCTCACAGTTATCCCTCCTGAAACTAGAGATTTTTTTAAAATATCAGCTGGCAGTTTTTCATAATGGTACTGAAAAGTACTTGCTGAATATTTGTTTTTCCTTCCATGAGAGCACTAATTGACCTAATAACACTAATTATCTAGAAATCATGATAATGTGGAGAAAGGGAATTGAGTGGTGAAATGACAATTTTCGAGCCTCATATTTTCAAAGCAGGTAACTTGTTAACTGTGCTTGCCTCCATTTGATACATACCAGTTATCTATTGATTGGTCAGTTGATGGGTGTTCTCATCCTTATTTAACAGAGGAGGAAACTGAATTTCACAGAGGCTCTCTGACTTGACCAAGTTATGTGCAGTCAATATTTAATCTAGGTCTGTTCTGCTCTATATATTTTATATGTCATCAAATGGTCCTTTCTGGCACTTTGGGATCTTCTCAGCAGCAATTTATCATTTAAATTCTTCATATTATCCTATATTATCTCTGCTTGAGGAAATTTGAGTTTCCTATCTTCATATGAAACTGTTTTCTAACAAGAGAAAACAAGTATAAATCAAGGGATTAAAACATTACAAAACAGCACAGTACACTTTTCATAGAAGGACATTTTAAAATATATTGAAATACATTTATTTTGATTGTTCACTGATTCTTCCAATATATTTTCTGTTTTGCAATACTTTGTGGTGAACAAGAACAAACTGAAAATATAAAGAATAAAATGAACTTTTTTTCTGACTTTGAAAATAAAAAAGTTAAAGTGATTATTAAATCCATAAAACATTTTAAAAATAGATTTAAAAAAATTAAAAGTAAAAAGGTAAGCTGCTTTTTCTATTTATGTGCACTCTGCTGCATTTCCTAAAGCATCCTTAATAGAAAAAGGGATGGGAATTTTGAAGAGAGTAAAACAAAGAAAAATATACCAATTAAAAACCTTTAGAACTACTCAGATTACAGGTTACAATTTTTATACTTTAGCTCATTATCTCAGGGTCAGTGTGTTCTGCATTCCAATGTGGTAGTTACTTAAAATCATTAATTTTATATAACTAATTTTAAATACTATATATTTAAGTGATAAGAGCCATATAATCAACATTATCTGACTGCTTTCTTTATGATACAGTCTCATATAATTTCCACAATAGTTCCATGGGACAGATTAAATTATTAGCCCAGCCAATGGATGGGAAGGGCAAGTAGGATTTTATTTGCCAAGAACACATAGCTAGGAGATGGTGGGTTGATTCCATATATTGGCTATTATGAATAATATTGCAATAAATATTGGACTGCAGATATCCCTTCAACATCCTGATGTCATTTACTTGGGACATATACCCAGTAGTAGGGTTGATGGATAATATAACATAGGAGTGCAGGTATCTCTTTGACATACTGATTGCATTTCCTTTGTATGTATACTCAGTAGTGCGATTGATGGCACTAGCTCTAATTTTTTGAGGAAATTTTTTACTATTTTCTATATGGCTGTATTAATTTACATTTTCACCAATAGTATGAAACAGTTCCTTTTTCTCTACATCTGCACCAACACTTATCTTTTGACTTTTTGATAGTTGCCATTCATACTGGAGTGGGGTAATAGCTCATTGCAGTTTTGATTTACATATTCCTAATGATTAACGATGTTGAGCATTTTTTTCATATACCCGTTAGCCATTTGTATGTCTTCTTCAAGATATGTTTATTCAGACATCTTGTCCATTTTTAATTGGATTACTTGTTTTTTTCTATTGAGTTGTTTGAGTTCCTTACATGTTTTTAATATTAACCCCTTATCAGATGTATAGTTTGCAAATATTTTCTCCTGTTCTAAAGGTTGTCTCTTCACTTTGTTAATTTTTTCTTTTGCTTTGTAAATACTTTTTAGTTAAATGTAATCCTATTTGGATGTGGTAGGGCTGGGATTTGAGCCAAATGATCTGACAAGATTCAGAACTTTCAATTGAGATACTGTACTGTCTTCCACTTAACTAGTCTATGCATACATTTATAGCATAAAAATGTATTCATGCCTCTTGCTGTTTTTTCTTTTGTAATATGTTTTAATAATTTCCACTTCATAAAACATCTTTCTGCTACATTAAGTGGCTGCATACGATTCTATTACATACCATACATATTTGTATTTTATTTAATCAGTTTCAATCATTGCAGCTTATTATAAAATTTTATTATTATAAATAGTACTTTGGTGATTTGAAAGTACAATACATTTACACATAAGCATCCTCTCCCCATACATTCTTAGAAGTAGAATTGCTGATCTCCTACAATTGTTTGAACTTGAATCCAAGCCAGACATAATCATATTTCTTTTATAGATTTATACTACTGCCTGTAATAGAATTTGGAATGAATGGATTGAAAAAGGAAGGCCTTGATATTAGGCTAGATATTGTTGATTACACATGCACATACACAATGGTTTTGCAAAAAGACAACTTTTCAACTAAAGGCATCTCATTTCTCAAATAATAATGCTTGCTTTATTTATATGCCAGAGTAGTAAGAGGCTCAAATAAGATATATTTGTAAAACTATTTTGAAAAATAAAACCCGCAACTTAATATACATTGTTTTATAAAAATATAAGTACTCATTACTTAATTATTTGAGATATACTTAGGGTAATTGTTTAACTGATATATTTATATAACAGATGCTTAGTAAGGACCAATGTAGATCAGACTGTATGCTAGATATTTGGCATATGATTGAGAGAGAGAAGAAAAGAAAAAGAGTCTGCCTTCTTGAATTTAAAATCAAGTTAGCCAATTACCTAATAGTTCTGGCTCATAATGACATATGCTTCTTTAATAAGAAGCAATATACAGTGAAACTGCATTGTTTGATATTAAGAACTAATCGAAAACTCTTAAGCTTTTAAAGAAACAACAGAAAGAATACGTTTGTAAATTGGGTCATTACAATGCCTCTTTAAAGTGGGCATGTATGGCTACGGACTAGACAAAGACAAAAAATACAAACTTTAGGCCAAAATTAGCACTTAAATAAATGTTTTAAGAGTGGTGGTTATGTGTTTGATATTTACTGGTATCATAATCCTGTTGCCTAAACCAAATTTAATTTCACATAAACATTGTGCTTTAAGTACTTTAAGTGAGTGTCTTTAAAGTTTGACTATAGCTTGGATAAAAATTGAAGAGAAACCTTAATGGAGGACCCCTATTTATTTATTAATCTGTTTACTATTCAAAGTTAGTTGATTTATAAAGGCCATGTAGAAATTTCAAAAATACCACAGTGATCTAGGAATAAAGTAGAAATTGGAAATTGGAAATTTCTAACTCTTTGGCCTTTTCTTCTCAGGTGGAACTTTCCCAGAAGACTTTTCAATACTATTTACAGTAAAACCAAAAAAAGGAATTCAGTCTTTCCTTTTATCTATATATAATGAGCATGGTATTCAGCAAATTGGTGTTGAGGTTGGGAGATCACCTGTTTTTCTGTTTGAAGACCACACTGGAAAACCTGCCCCAGAAGACTATCCCCTCTTCAGAACTGTTAACATCGCTGACGGGAAGTAAGTAACAAAATAATACAATGTTTTAGCTATGCCAAAATCATTTTTTTTATTCAGTCACTTAACAAATATTTATGAAGTGTGATAAGGTTTTTCTAGAGGCTGGTGATAAATAAATGAGCAAAAAATACATAAAGACATAATTTATAGTGTGTACAGGGAAACAATAAACAATGTTTTCAAAATAAATTACTAATAAGTAGTATAGCAGGTGGTAATAAGTGTGAAAGAAAAAGAGAGCAGTAAAGAGGTTAGGGTGTGGCAGTGGGGTGGGTAGTTTTAAGAAGTGACATCAAGCCAAATCCCACTAAGAAAGTGATATGTAAAGAAGGTAAAGTGCATGCCATGCTGTTCATTAAAAGACTAGTGTTCCAGGAGAAGCAGGAAGCCAATACAGTCTCTGATTCCAGGGTGTGGCCAGTTTGTTCCAAGCAACATCAAGGATACCAGCATGGCAGGAGAAGAGTGGGATGATGAGGATGGAGAAGCAGAGGGAGGCCAGATGGTATAACACATTGTAGGAGGTCGTAAGCACTTTGGATTCTACTCTGAGAGAAACAGGAAGTTACTGGAGGCTTTTTGAGCAGAAGAATGATCTAATTTGACTTACGTTTTACTAATAATATTAATATTGGAGATCAGAGGAAGCATTATAGAGTGCTGATATGTGCCATGTACTAAGGTCTTTATACATTGTTAACTCATTTAGTTTTATTGATTCCTTTAAGAAAGTAATGTTAACAAACTAATTTTCCTGGTAAGGGAACTGAGGCTCAGAGAGTTTAAGTAATTTGCCTAAGTTCGTATAGTTGGAAAGTGATAGAGATGGGGTTTGAACTCAGGAAGTCAGGCTTGCACTGCGCTCTTTTGCAAATCATGTCGAATTCTGAATTATGTATTGTGGTTGTTTCCTTTCACTTATGGAGCAGCTAAATAGAAATTAATGCTTATTAAATTTACTCAATATTTTATCACTGAATCCAGACCTCTAAAAACAGCTTTATCCAAAATAGCACATTTGGTTATAGCTATAAGAAGGAAGTAGCAGTGATCATTGACACTCATTATATTTTTGTCAGGACCACAGAGAAACTCTCAAGTCTCAGTTTTACTGAGACTTTACAACTTTAGGCTTTTACAACTAATTTACATTATTATCCTATAAACAAATTAGATATAATAGCACGTTGTGTTTCTTTTTTTGACTGTTAGCAAACTCCATGCTAAGGTTTTAATCTATATTTGGTAAATGTAGAAAATATTTTGAATTCATCTTATTATTCACACCTTATTTTTCCTTAATCCTGCTTTCCTAACTGAAGAAAAAAAAACAAAAACATCAATTTATTGCAGCCCAGCCCACATCCTATTCAAAACTAGCAGGTAGTGTTTACTATGAATGTATCCTTAAAGTAAAACATGAAAAAATAAAAATAAAAAAATGGAGAATGTTCAATAAATATTTTTAATTGATTATCAAACAGAAGTTATATTTACATATATCACAGTAGTAAAATATTATCTTGATAATATGTTGAATACAGTTAATACCTAGTAGTATTAATTTTTTTCATTTGTATATTCCTTCAATAACAATTTATTAAATGCTTACTGTGTGCTAGGTAGGTCCTATACTTTTACTTGAGACAGTTAAAAAGTGACATACTTGTTGAGCTCAACTGCCATAATAATTTAGATGCAAAAATATTGGTATTTAAGCACACTGTGATGTTTTTAAAGAACAATCATGACATTCATCATGAGTGAACATTCATTCCATAAGTATTTATCTATTAGCCACCGCTTGGCTGGCAGTCTGTAGAGCACAGCAGTTGTAGCAATGAACAACCCAGGTGAAGTTCCTCCACTCCTGGAGCTTAAATATGCGAAGTGCTGATAGTTCTTTGAACGAAAATAAATCAAGATAAGAGATGTAGAGTGTACTATTTTAGATAGGACAGTTTAATATGAATGAATCCTCAAAGTAAAACATGAGGTTTCACTCATGTTTTTTTGAGTGAGGTTGCATTGAGCAAAATCACAAAGGAAGTGAGAGAATAGCCATGTAGGGATGTGGAGAAAGAACAATCCTGCCTGGGTGAAGAACATGTGCAAGGGGCAAAAAAGAGGCAGCCTTGTGGCTGGGATGCCAGGAGTCCAGGGGGCGTCTGAGCTCATGAGGTCATAGAAGGATAGGGGACCCTCCTGTGAAGCAGAATAATGGCTTCAGCTTTTACTGTGAGTATTGTATTTGATAGTTTTAAGAATGCAGATCCTTGATCTGACTTAGATTTTTAAAAGGTGGCTCTGGATGCATAAGAGTAGAAGCAGAGGCCAGTTAGGAGTCTAGCTGTGAGAGATGGCAGCTTGTACTAAATTGAGAGATATTGGATTCTGTTTATACTTTTGAATATATGAACTGATAGAATTTTCTGACTATAGGAGTGTGTAGTATGAGAAAAAGAGAATAATTAAGAATGCCTCTAAGGCTAAATGTTAATTTGGTATTTTGAATATTATATATGACACCATGATTATGACATATCATTATCATAGCCTACATTAATTAAACAAAAATATCAAGTTTAGAGTTCTAATCAGTTTTAATTATTGAAATTGTTTTTATTTTCTGTTAATGAAAAGCACATACCTATAATACTGGGAATGGCTTAAGTGAAGACCCAGATTTCTTGGCATGAAGTATGTGTAAATTTTACTCTCACTATATTAAGTAGCTCCTTATATAAATCTTTGCTCAATTCAAACCAAGCAGACACCTATGCCAGTTGAATGTTCTAGTGGAAAGACCAAAGATTAAGTGTATATGGAAATACACTTGGTCACCATGCCAAGTCACATGAAACAGACATTTTACGAGGGCTCCTGCAACTTTTTGGGTATTTTATTTTATGGATCTAGTCCTAGACACTTCTGGAATATTAATCTAGCACTTTTCATTTGGAAAAAAAATAAAATATAAACCAGACTGGCTTGCAGAATTGAGTGGGCTTCATTTAATGGTTTATGTTAGCACTATACATTGTTAATAAAACCCACCATTTTACAGTATGGTTAGGGAATGTGCATTTCCAAAGGGCTGGCCATGTCTCCCCAGCCAAGCCTGTCATCACTGCTCTAAATTAGCTGGAGCAGTAGCTGCAGAGTGAATTGAGAGTCTCATTCCACACATGCGTTGACTATGTTTTCTTTCAGTTTTCCACATCTGCCAACCCTGGAAAGAAGGAAAGATATTGTGTCTCAGTCTTGGATCCTGCCTACAGTAGTGATCTATAACTGTCTTGAAATTAAAGTGGAAAAATAATGAAAGCACTTGAAATAAATGTGAATAAAGACAGAGAAGCACATTGTGTTTTACAATTAGGACGTTGACTTGCTCTAGATGGAGCGCTCATTCAATTAGTAGACATACCCTGTTACAGTCAATCTCAGGGGATCACTAGAGCGGAGTTTTTTTAAATGGAATTCCACTTTGGAAGAAAGCATTTATGTACTTGGAAACTATTACTTACCCCATATCCCACCCTAATCTCTATCAAATACCTTCATCAGGACACAGTGAGATTAAGCTTTTGTTACTACAACACAAAGTGAAGCAAAGGATGGGCACTTCCTTATCAGCACAGACAGCTAATTCTACTGTGCATTTTATGCTGCTTGTGTCCTTTTGGGTACCTAGTACTGTTGGGTAACGAGTAAGTAGTCATCTGTTAACTGGCTGCTTAATAAATGAGCCTACATTTTTTGTATGATTTTAGCTCATTTTTATAATTTAAAATACACAGCATTTTTATGTGAATACTGCTTTGGCAACCACTGTTTCTTTGAAGCTTACAAAAGAATTACTTGTCTTTTTTAGGTGGCATCGGGTAGCAATCAGCGTGGAGAAGAAAACTGTGACAATGATTGTTGATTGTAAGAAGAAAACCACGAAACCACTTGATAGAAGTGAGAGAGCAATTGTTGATACCAATGGAATCACGGTTTTTGGAACAAGGATTTTGGATGAAGAAGTTTTTGAGGTAAAAATAAATCCAACTCTAAGCTGAATATTGACAAATCAGATGAACTGGGTTAACAACAGTAAAAATATCGCTTTATAGCAATACGTTATAAAGCAAAGTTGAAAACTCTAAAGGGTGACCTAGTTTCTTCCTCTGTGAGTATAGTGGTGATGTTTTCTATTGTTCAGTAAGAGAATGACCAGACAATGGTGACCGTAACGCCTGGGAAACATTTACAGGGATTGGTTGATTTGAACACAGACATGCTATTCTCCTGGGAAGGACAAACGGCTTAACTCTTAGTAGTTTGTATTATTTTCTTTGCAGAAAAGAACATTTTCTTCATTTCATTCTATGGGAGGTTAATTTAGAGAGATGCGCAAGTCATATATTTTGCCTTCCTCTGTTCTTTGTGAATGTTTTTTAAGGTAAAATAGAGATCATATTGCAAAATATAAATTTTAAGTGTTTAAATCACTTTAAAAAATATGTAAAGATCATGGTAAGATATTTCCATCAAATTATATTTCACTAATTATGATAATCACATTCTTTTAGTCCTCCAATCATTGGATATGACAACTTATGCTTTAACTTTCATTTAGTCACTTTTTAAAAGAACAAATGACCTGAATTCTGACACCATTAAAGGATGCACTCTCGAGACATTATTTATTATTTCTGTGATTGTTTTTAAACAATTTGAGTCGTTTCTTTGTCAAGGTGTAACAAAGTAAAGCTGTGTAATATATTACAAATTAATAGACAGTTTCACCTGGAGATTTGCTATATTTTTTGATGTGTGACTATACATACACAGATGTGTACACACACATATATATATACAAACATACAGACAGTATGTATTTTCATAAACAGAACAATGTTCATTCAGAGCATCAGCTAGACTATTTCATTCCTGTACTTATAAATATATCCTACAGTGTAGTTTTATTTAAAATTATTATTATAATAAACATTTGTGAAAGTTCCATATTATTTATTTGAGATGCTATCGTTTCTGACTTTTATCCACTAGTGTGTACCAAAGCCTTTAATTCTACATAAAATATTTTAAACTATCATATCATGCTAGATTATGTAAATAATAAACTGATTCAGGTAGTTTATAATGGTAATATACTCTCAGATATCCCAATATCCAACACTGATTGCATGCACATTATGATAAACAATTATTTATTCATTAGGCAAATAAATATTAATATAATTTCTAATCTTGAAAAGCATTATTTTAAAAATAAAACTATTCATAAACATAAGTTGCATGTGAATTATGAATAAATTATAATTTATTTTTGTAACCCACACCTTATTTTCCAGGAACATAAATGTGTAAGACAAAAGCACAGTATCAGTGGAATTTCTTTCCTTTTTTAAAAATTGATGCTTAACTTTGTAAAACTATATCCCACATTCTGAATCCTGGAGTAACTTCAGCTCTTTAGTTGGAGAAGCTATTAAAACATTAAGAAAAGTAATGTTGAAAGGATTCTTTAATGAAACCCTTAGTGAATATGACAGTGAGTAGTGAAAAATAAGTTTATTAAGCTACTTCGCATCCTAGAGTTTCATGAAACCCTATGAAGTTTTAAATAAAACATTTATTTACTATTAAGTGTAGTTAGTTTTTAAAATGTTAATGAATAAAGAACTTACTCTCTCAGTTTATCTTTTACAATCTTTGACCAGTTAAAGGGGAAACAATTTTTACTTAATAAAATATTTAGAAGTCTGTAGAGTAGGAATCTTTGAATTGGATGAAATTTAGTATTTATCTAATTCATATACTCAAACAGCCATCAGATATAAGATTCAGGTCTTACTTTCTAAATTATATTATTGTATGTATATATGAAATTTCAAAAACAATTTGGTCTCTTTCCACTTGAAAATAGTGCATGAAGAAAATAAGTAATTCAAATATATGGATGTTTAGTCCAAATTTAGAAATTTCCACCATTTTGTAAAATTAGTTCATTCTACCTGATGTTAATATCTCTTTTCTTAAAAACTTATTCGAGTATGTTTTTCCTTTTATTTTTGGTTTATATTATAATACCTATATACTTATGAATCTTTGCAAGTAAACACATAGAATTTAAACTGAAAATGACAGGAGATAGAAATTGTACTGTCTATATATTATGTTAGTGTTTTATAAATAGTTGTGATGATGAAGATAATATGATAATACCAGTGATTCATTAGTCTGAAAACTAGAAATGTCACTTTTTCAGGCATAGCATAAGTCAGATTTAGTTGCAGATTTGTTTGGTATATGTAATTTCATGTATACACTGCCCTACATTAATAGAATGGTACTACTATGGTAAAAATATTAAACATGGTCATATTTGAATTTCAATCTAATGACTTTTTAGAATTCAACTTTATACAGCTAAATGCAAAACTGAAGATGATTTTAAAGTTGGAACAATTATAGTTTACATATTATGCTCATCATATGCTCACCACAAGAAGAGCATATAGACTCATAATTCAGATTTTATAATTTCAGCATAGCAGAGTGAGTATATGAATTGATTTGGGGATGACAAAAATCCGATTTTGAATCCCAGCATATAGCTTAATATTCAACCTTCTCTATATAATTACTCTATATCAGTTTCAAATGGGAAATATAACAGAATCTTCCTCATAAGGATTTATAGAAAAAAAATGAGCTGATGTATGTACAGTCTTTAAGATACTAGTATAAATATATATATATATATATATATACAAACACATATGTAATATAAATGTGGTTGTATGTTAACTTAATTATCCATTAATGTGTAGTTTTACAAACATTATTATTACTTCTTTTTCTTATGATTTTACAACCATGACATTTCAACTTTTGATATGGGCAACTAACAGTGACCCATCTGTCAGTCAGAAGTCCTCGTGGGTCCCTCTGTCTGTCTGCTAAAAGTCCTCATGGGTCCGTCTGTCTGTGTTCTAAATGAAGTACTTCTTTTCTGGCCTACTGCAATTTTACAAATTACCTTGTAGAGATTAGATACATTTGTCCCCTCTAGACAGAGGTAACACCTGAGTACAGACCTTAATAAATGGAGTGTGGTCTGATTGAATGAATATTTCCATGCAGGCAAAAAAAAAAAAAAAAAAAAAAAAAAAGTCCTACCAACACAAATCAACAGCCTTGATTTTTTTTTCCTGCTAAATAAGATTCAAAGATGTGAGGAAAATTAAATTAGAAAAGTTGTATTGCTTGTATTTATTGTCAATACAATTATTTTTGGAGTCTTTTAAACAGGAAAATTTCCTTATTAAATAGCAAGTTATAGCCATTGCTCAAGTTTTCAAAACATCATTATTTCTGTTTCCTAATTTTTTAAAATAATCAAAACAGATTATTGCAGGTCTTTCATATTTTTTAACAAATAGCCATCTTTGGGGAGATTATTTATTTCGTGGAAGCAATGAGTAGAATATGACATATGATGGCTATTTGAGTAGAAAAGCTTTGTGATGGACATTTTGCATTTTTTTAAACTCCTCAGAAAATATTTTGAATTCAATTTTCTGTGGAGAAATCAATGAATAATAATTTATAACAACTATGCTATTTGATAACTGTACAAGGCCTGAAAAAAGTAAGATTAGCAAACTTTTTTGAGATGGCGTTTGAGATGGCCAATACTAAAGCCATCTCAAAAGCCATTAAGAGCTTGATTATTGCTTTATGGTGTCCATATATCTTTTTAATGCATATATTATCCAATATACACACTTAAAAGTTGAATTTTAGTAGACATGGTTTTCCTATAGAACAATGTTATAAGATGGAGATAACCTTTCCATTTATCCACTTTACCCAGTCTAGATGCATTTAGTTCTTGGTCCTTGTGATTTTTTTTCTAAATTTATTGAGTTACAATTGAATCACAATAAACTGCAAATATTAAAAGTATACCATTTGATCAGTTGTGACTTATGTATACAGCTGTGAAACCATCATCATAATCAAGAAAATAAACATTGCCATCTCACCCAAGAGATTCCTTATCATCTTTTTTAATTCATTCCTTCTTCCATCCTAACCCCAGACAATCATGAAGTAGCTTTTTATCACTGTAGCTTTTCTGGGACTTTTACAAATGGAATTATACTGGGTGCACTCATTTTAACTTAACTCGTTTTAACTCGTTTTTTTTCCCTTGTTATTAATAGTATGTCGAATTATGTTGATTGGTTTTTCAAATATTTAAAAACAACTTTTCAATCTTTAGAGGTCTATAGACTGTACTGGTGATGTAGTATGTTGTCTTATTTATATTACATACAATTCAGTTCTTACTTAGTATAATGATCTTAAGAATTACCCATGTTTATTGTATTTAATATTATTATTATTATTATTATTATTATTATTTTGCTGAGTAGGATTTTAACACATAGCTACACCAAAATTTTTTCATCCATTCACCCTATTAGTGGGCATTTGTGTTACTTCCAGGTTATGGCATCTATAAAGCCACTATAAACATTCATGTCTACATTTTGGTTTGTTTGGTTGAATACCTAGATGTGGAATGCATGGGTTATTTGGTAGGTTCATGATTAACATTAAAAAAAAAGAAAATTATCAAACTATTTTTCAAAGTGGCATTAACCATTTTATACTCCCTTCAGCAGTGTATGAGAGTTCCAGTCATTATGTCTCCTTGCCAACCTCTGATATGCTCAGTCTTTTTCATTTTAGGCATTCTAACTAGACGCATTGTAGTGTTACATTGTGGTTTTAATTTACGCTTCTCCCTTGACTGATGATGTCTGCATTTTGCCAGGTTCTTGTGGGCCATTTATGCATATTGTTTTGTGAGGTGTCTTTTCAAATTTTTTGCCCATTTAAAAAATTGAGCTGTTTGTTTTAGTTTAAGGAGTTTTAAGAGTATATAAAACTTTATCCTGCATAAAGATTTTTTGTCTGATATATGTTTGCAAATATTTTTTCCAGTATGTGACTTGCCTTTTTTTTGTTTTCTTATTGGTGTCTTTCCAAGTGTAAATGCTTTTAATTTTGATAAAGTTTAATTTATCAATTTTGTTGTTATGTTTGACACTCTTTGTGTTCTAAGAAACTTTTACTCCAAGATCACAAAGATTTTCTTCTATTTTTAGTATCAGAACGTTGTTGTTTCAGGATTTGCACATGGGTCATGACCCATTTTGAGTTAATATTTGTGTATGATGTAAGGTAAAGGTCAATGTTCACTGTTTTCTACATAATCATATCCAGTTCATTCAGCACATTTTTCTGAAACGACTTTCTTTTCATGATTTATATTGCCTTGGTCTTTAAATCAGAAATTAATTGACTACCAATTAGTGCACCTATTACTGAACTCTCTACCTTATTATTTATTCATTTTTTTTACTACTACCATAATATCTTGATTACTGTAGTTTTAGAAAACATTTTAAAATCATGTGGGTAAATACTCCTACTTTTTATTCTTTGTAAAACATTGTTGTAGCAATTTTGGGTCATTTTCATTTCTACACACATGTTAGAATAAGCTTATTAACTTCTACAAGAAGTTGTGGTTTTAATGGGGATTTCATTTAACCTACAGATCATAATGAAGACAATTGAAATTTTTAAAAATCATGGAGTTTTCTATTTCCTGTACATAATATAACTCCATTTATTTTGGTCTTGTTTAATTTTTTTTTACAATGTTTTCTAGTTTTCAGGGTAAATGTCTTGGACATCTTTTATTTAATTTTTTCCTAAGTATTTTTTTTTAGTGCTAGAGTAAATGAATTTGTTTCTAATGTCATATTTGAATATTTTCTTCCTAATATAGAAAACACGATTTTTTATATTAACCTTGTATCCTATAGCCTTGTTAAATTCATTTATTAGTTCAGGGTTTTTTTTTAGTGTAAAAAGTTATATAATCTGAAAGTAGGGACCATTTTGCAAGTTTTCTATCTTTATGCTTTTTACTTATTTTTCTTACGGCAATGAATGGGATATACATCGAATATAACTTTTATATATATTGAATATATCTTGTGTAAGCAGGTATTCTTACTTTTTTTTCTGACCTCATGTGGAAAATAATTCAGTCTTTCAGCATTAAGTATGATGTTGGCTGAAAGTTTTCATTGGATTCTGTTTATCAGTTTGAAATTTACTGTTTGTCTTAGTTTCCTAAATATTTGTTATCAAGAACATGTACTAAATTTTATAAAACGCTTTTTCTACACCTATTGAAATGATCATGCGGGTTTTTTTTCCTGTTAGTATGTTGAATTACATTGATTGATTTTTCAAATATTTAGAAATAACTTTGCATTCCTTAAAGGTGTATAGATTCCACTGTAGTCATGCAGTATGT
Organism: Homo sapiens; assembly: GCF_000001405.40. NCBI lineage: Eukaryota > Metazoa > Chordata > Mammalia > Primates > Hominidae > Homo > Homo sapiens. Next base: position 103,068,234 of record NC_000001.11, on the reverse strand, counting down.
TATCTTATTAATGTAACATATAATTCCATTTTGTAAAATATCTTTAAAAAGTTTTAGTCTATATTAATGAGGAATACTAGTCTATGAATCTCTGTATTTATAATGTCTTTGTCAGGTTTTGATAGGGTTATACTGGCTTCATAAACTCATCTGTGCAGTGATCTCTCCTTATCTATTTTCTGAAAACTTTCTTATATTACTGATGTTATTTCCTTCTTGAATACTGGATAGAATTAACCAGTGAAAATTTCAGGGCCCTGAGTTTTCTTTTTAGAATTGTTTTAACATATTCAATTTCTTTACTCGATACAGGTTAATTCGGTTTTTCTGTTTCTTCTTGTGTTGATCATGTTAAGTTTTATTTTTCAAGAAATTTTTCTAGTTCAACTAAGTTGTTGGATTTGTTCATATAAAGCTGTTTGTAGCATTTCATTATTTTAAATTTTAATATCTTTAAAATTTCTACTGAAAACTACTTTTTATTCTTTATATTAATAATTTGTATTTTCCCCCCAGATCAATAATTTGAACAGGTACTTGAAACTTTTGTTGATATTCTCAACAAACCAGTTTCAGGCTCTGTTAATTGTCACTCTTAACAGACTCTTTTCTATTTCATAATTATTTTTTCCTATCATAGATTTGAAAAAGAAAAATTGTTTCTCTAGCCTCTCAAAGTATAGGGTTATTACTTCGAGATTTGCTTTTTTCCCAGTATAAAAATTTAAAATTACACATTTCTCTCTAAACACAGTTTTAGCTGCGTAACACAATTTTACTATGTCATTTTTGATGGTTATTTAGTTAAAATAATTTTCAATTTCTTTTTTTATTTTATTTCCAGCCCACTAATTATACAGTGATGTTTAATATCTAGATACTTGAGCTTTTCTTAGAGAGCTTATTGGTATTGGTGTCTAATTCTGTTGTCTTCTGAGAATAAATTTGGTATGATCTCAATCCATTTAGATTTATTGAGGTTTGATATATGGTCTAACATGTAGTCTATCTCAGTTAATGTAATAATGCCCTTAAAAAGAAAGTGCATTGTGAAATTGTTCGATGCAGACTTTTATAAATGTCACTTAGATCTTTCCTTATATTTCTTATTTTTTTGTCTACTTGTTCTATCAGTTGTTGAGGAGTGTTAAAATTTTCTACCATAATTGTGTAATTGGGTATCTTCCTTTTCATTTTGCCATTTTTTGCGGCATGTATTGCATTCTCAGGCATGTGCACATTTATCATTGTTAGATCTTTCTGCTTGTCACTTTTTACTGTGAAATAGCTCTCTATCTCCACTAGTATTTTTTGCCTTGACGTCTACTTTATGTGATATTAGAATGGCCACTCCTTTTCTTGTTAACCTACAATTTGAATGCTATATATATTTTTATGTCCATTTATTTTCAAATTATGTGTCTGCATAGTTAAAGTGTGCCTGTTAGAGTCAGGTTACTGGGGGGCCTTTTTTTATCCCCTCTATAAATTTCTGCCTTTTAATTGGTGTCATGAAACTAATAACATAATTTACATTAAATGTTATGCTAAATGTCATTGATTTGTTATTGATGTGGCTGGATTTAAGTCTGCATCTTATTATTTGTATTTTCTTTGTACTCTCTGTTTTCTGATTCTTTGTTCTTCCTTTCCTGCCTCCAGTCTTTTTTTTTTTTTTTGGTGCTGAGGGTTTATTTGAATATTTTGTAGTATTCCATTTTGTTTTACTTATTGGATTTTTGCTATTTTTTTATTTAAGAAATACTTTTTATAATAATTGTAAAATTTGTACCAAAATGTTATGATATATTTCTTGCTAATATTGTATCATTGTATGTATGTAATGCAGAAACATTTCAATCTCCTTGTCATACTGATCTTTGTGGTACAGTTGTCATACTTATTAGACCTGTATATATTGAACATACCACCAAATGTTATTTTTGCTTTAAATAATCGTATATTTTAAAGCTTTTAAGATAAAAATATAATTTTATATCTAAGTAAATATTTGTTATTTCTGTTTATCTTTTATTTCTGAAGCTCCATATTTTTCTAGGATACACTTTTCCATCAGTCTAAAAAGTTTTCTTTAACATTTCTTATACAACAGATATGCTACTGATGTATCTCTTAGTTTTCTTATATGTGAGAATGTTGTTCTTTTGCCTTCATTACAGAAGGATATTTTCACTGACCATAGAATTCTGGGTTGACAGTTTTATTATTTTAGGACTGTAAAAATGTTTTGTCTCTGGTCCCTGTGTTTTCTGATGCACAACTCACATTCACATTGTTGTTATCATGTACTTGATGTACCACTTTAGCTGCTATTAAGATTTTTTTTTTCTCCGTGTTTGCTTTTCAGTAGATTGACTTCAGTAGATTGTCATAATTTTGTTTTAATTTATTCTGTTTCGGGTTTATTAAGCATCTTACATCTGTAAATGAATATTTTTCAACAAATTTAGGAAGCCTTCACTCTTTAAAGTTTCTACTTTGCTGCTAAATATTCTTATATTTTCATTCTTTTCAATAGTGTATCACTTGCTTCTTGGAGGAGAGTTATAATAGCTGTTTTAAAAACTCTTCCTGAGAGTTTCAATGTCCACCCTATCTCAGGGTTGGCATCTGTTTATTGCCTTTGTTGCTATTTTTTTTGTTTGTTTGTTTGTTTGTTTGCTTTCTTTTTTTTTTTTTTTTTTTTTTTTTGAGACGGAGTCTCGCTCTTCTGTCGCCCAGGCTGGAGTGTAGTGGCGCGATCTGGGCTCATTGCAAGCTCCGCCTCCCGGGTTCATGCCATTCTCCTGCCTCAGCCTCCTGAGTAGCTGGGACTACAGGCGCCTGCCAACACGCCCGGCTAATTTTTTGTATTTTTAGTAGAGACGGGGTTTCACCGTGTTAGCCGGGATGGTCTTGGTCTCCTGACCTCGTGATCCTCCCGCCTCGGCCTCCCAAAGTGCTGGGATTATAGGCGTGAGCCACCGTGCCCGGCCAATTGCTGTTGTTGTTAATAAACAATCTTTATTTTAGAGTAGGTGTAGGTTCCAAAGTTGAGCAGAAAGGACGGGGAGTTCCCATATACTATTTGCCCCACCCCAACATATAACCTTCCCTATTATCAATATCCCATATGAGAGTAGGAATTTATTACAACAGATGAAACTACATTGACTCATCATTATCACCCAAAGTCTATAGTTTACATGTTCACTCTTGGTGTTGTACATTCTAAGAGTGTAGACAAATATGTAATGACATGTACTCACCATATTAGTACCTAAAAGAATAATTTTACTGCACTAAAAATCTTTCTTTCTCTACCTAATCTTCCTTTCTCTACCTATTCATCCTTCTCTCCCTGATTAACCCCTGGAAGTTGCGATTTTTTTTTTTTTTACTGCCTCTATAATTTTGACTTTTCCAGGATGTATTAGTTGCAGTCATACAGTATGCAGCCTTTTCAGTTTAGCCCCTTTCGCCAAGTAATATGCATTTAAGGTTCTTCTATGTATTCTCTTTTTTTTTTTTTTTCTTTTTTTTTTGAGATGGAGTCTGGCTCTGTCTCCCAGGCTGAGTGCAGTGGCGCAACCTAGGCTCACTGCAAGCTCCGCCTCCCGGGTTCACACCATTCTCCTGCCTCAGCCTCCCAAATAGCTGGGACTACAGGCACCCACCACCACGCCTGGCTAATTTTTTTTGTGTTTTTAGTGAAGACAGGTTTTCACCGTGTTAGCCACGATGGTCTTGATCTCCTGACCTCGTGATCCACCCGCCTCAGCCCCCAAAGTGCTGGGATTACAGGCATGAGCCACCGCGCCTGGCCCTCTTCTATGTATTTTCATGACTGGTAGGCTCATTTCTTCTTACTGCTGAATAACATTCTACTAGCCGGATGTGGTACATATTTATCAGTTTACCTACTAAAAGACATCTTGGTTGCTTCTAAATTTTGGAAACTATGAATAAAGCTACTAGATAATTATGTGCAGTTTTCATGTAGGCATAAATTTTCAAATCATTTGGATAAATACCAAGAAGTGTGATTGTTGTATGAATATGCTTTGTTTTATGAGAAACTGCCAAACTGTCTTGCTAAATAAACCCTTTTGGATTCCCGCCAGCAAGGAACGAGAGTTTGTTTTGCTTCACAGCTTTTCCAGGAGTTTTTGTCATCACTGTTTTGAATTTGCCCCAAAACAGCCCTATTTTCTTTTGGTATGTTGTGGTTTCTCATTGTTGTTTTAATTTGCAATTCTCTAATGACATATGATGTTGAACATATTTTCATAGGCTTACTTTCCATCTGTATATCTTCCTTGTTGAGGTGTTCAACATATTTGTGCATTTTTAAGTCAGATTGTTAGCTTTTTTATTGTTGAATATTGAACTTTTTGTATGTTTTGGATAACAGTCCTTTATCAGGTATGTCTTTTGCAAACACATGCACCTGCTGTGTGGTGTATTTTCTGATTCTCTTGATATTGTCTTTTCAGAATAGAAGTTTTAAATTTTAATAAAGCCTAGATTATCAATAAATTCTTTCATGGAATATATCTTTGGTGTTGTGTCTGAAGAGTCATCACCATACCCAAGGTTATTTAGGTTTTCTCCTATATTGTCTTCTAGGAGTTTCATGGTTTTGTGTTTTACATTTATGAACCATTATGACTTAATTTTTCTGAACAATTTAAGGTTTGTATTTAGATATTTTTTTGCATGTGGCTGTCCAGTTGTTCCAGCACTATTAGTTGAAAAGATTATCATTGCTCCATTGTATTTCATTTGCTCCTTTTGTCAAAGATCAGTTTAGTATATTTATATGGATCTTTTTCTAGGATCTTTATTCTATTCCATTGATCTACTTATCAGTTCTTCCACCAATACTACGTTGTATTCATTATTGTAATATTATATTAAGTCTTAAAGTCAGATAATGTCAGTTCTCTGTCTTTGTTCTTTACCTTTAATATTGAGTTAATTGACTATTCTGGATGTTTTTCTTCTTATGAATTTGGAATATGTTTGGAAAGATCCACAAAATAACATGCTGGGAAATTAATTGTGAGTGTATTGAATCTATAGATCAAGTTGAGGAGAACTGACATCTTGACAGTATTGAGTCATTCTATCCATGAACATAGAATATTTTTATTTTTAAAGTTGTTCGATATCCTTCATCAGAGTTTTGTAGTTTTCTTCATATAGATCTTATATTTATTTTGTTACATTTATACATATGTATTTCTTTTTTGAGTGCTCATGTAAATAGTGTTGAGTGATAAATTTCAAATTCTTCTTAAGAAAATGATTGATGTTTTATATACCTTGTATACACAACCTTGTAACAATCATTTATTATTTCCAATTTTTTTGTCAATTATTTTGGATTTTTTACCTAGACAATTATGTAATCTGTGGAAAAGTTTAATTTTTCTCTTCCCCATCTGAATACATTTTATTTCCTTTTCTTGTCTTACTGCATCAACTAGGACTCCCAGTATGATGTAGAAATGCAATATTAACAGAGGACATCCTTGCCTTCTTTCTGATCAGTTTGAGAAAATGTCCTTCTGTTCCTAGTTTTCAGAACATGTTTTAAAATCATGAATGAATGCTGTATTTTGTCAAATGCTTTCCTGCATCTATGATATGATAATTTATTTATTTTTTCTTTAGCTTGTTGATGGTGATACTAATTTATTTTCAAATATTGAAACAGCCTGGCATACCTGGGATAAATTCCACTTGACTATGGCATTTACTTATTTTATATACCTTGGGATTCAATTTGATAATATTTTGTTAAGGATTTTTGCATTTATGTTCATGAGAGATATTGGTCTGTAGTATTATTTTCTTTTAATGTTTTCACCTGGTTTTGATATTAGGGTGATGTGACCTCATAAGATCAGTTAGTAATATTCCTTTCGCTTCTATATTCTGAAAAAGGTTGCAGAGAATTGGTATATCTTTTTCCTTAAATGTTTGATAGACTTCAACAGTGAACCCATCTTGTTCTGATGCTTTCTCTTTAGAAAGTTTATTAATTTTTGATTCAATCTTCTTATTGGACCTTTTCAGATTTTCTAATTCTTTATTTATGAGTTTTTACAGATTGGATCTACCAAGGAATTGACTTATTTCATCTAATTTATCAAATTTGTGGGCACAGAGTTTTTCATAATATTCTTTTATCATCCTTTTAATGTCCATGGGATCTGTGGTGATATCTCCTCTTTTTCCTGCCAATAATAATTTGTAACTTATCTCTTACTTAGTTGGCTTAGCTAGAGGCTTATAAATTTTATTAACATTCTGAAAGAATCAGGTTTTGGTTTGGATGCTAATTCTATGGTGACTTTCTGCTGTCTGTTTTATTACTTCTGGTGTAATTTAATTTTCTTTTGTTCTGTTTATTTCAGATTTATTTTCCTCTTTTTTGTTTAGATTCTTAGGATAGAAGCTTAGACAGTTGATTTTAGATCTTTCCTCTTTTCTAATATATTCATTCAATGCTATAGATTTCCCTCAAAGAAAAGTTATATTTTGATTTTTATTTTGTTTATAATATTTTTAAATTATTCCTGAGATTTTGTCTTCAATCCATGTATTAGTTAGAAGTATGTTTTTACATTTCCAATTATTTTGGGATTTCCCAGTTATCTTTCTGTTACGGTTTGAGAGCAGTTATTGGATTATGTATATTTGTTCAAATTTTTAAGAGTTTTCTTTTTGGCCATGAATGTAGTATATCTTGAGGAATGTCCATGTGAACTTTAGAACGATAAGTAATCTGCTGTTATTGGTTATAGGAGTATATATATGAAAATTATCTTTTTTGATTAATAGTGTTTTTAGTTCAACTTTGTCCTTACTAATTTCTGCCTGCTGTATATTTTCATTTCTGTTAGAATGGTGTTTACCATTTAAATGTAATAGTGGATTCATCTATTTTTCCTTCCATATCTATTAGATTTTGCTTCATGTATTTTGTTAGGTGCATATGCATTAAAGATTTATGTCTTTTTGGTGCACTGACCTTTTTACCCTTATTATCATGTAATGCCTCACTTTATCTCTAATAATTTTCCCTGCTCCAAAGTTTGCACTGTGTGAAATTAATTTAGCTACTCCTGTTTTCTTTTTATTAGTTTTAGAATGTTATACCTTTATACCCTTCCTTTTACTTTGTATGTGTTTTTATATTTAAAGTGTGTCTCTTGTAGACAACATGTAATTGAGCCTTGGTTTTTTTTTGATCCACTCTGACAACCTGTCTTTAATGAGTGTATTTAAATCATTCATATTTAAGGCAATTATATATATAGTTAGAATAATATTCACCATATATGTTATTATGTTCCATTTATTACCCTGGGCTCAGGTGATCCTTCCAGTACCACCATGCCTGGCTGATTCTTTTCTATTTTTTTGTAGAGATAGGGTCTCACTGTGTTGCCCAGGCTTGTCTCAAACTCCTGGGTTCAATAAATCCACCAGCCTTGGCCTCCCAAAATGCTGGGATTAAATGCATGTGCCGCCTCACCTGGCTAGGTTTTTAAATATGAACTTACACCTATTCCAAGTCAACTTTTAAATAACACTATACTGATTTATGAGTAATGCAAGCAAGTATCTTATAAAATATTTCAAATTCCTCTCTCCTGCCTTTTCTGTCATTGCAATCATTCATTTTACTTATACATAAGCATATATGCAGTGAAATCCATTATTGCTATTATTATTTTGAAAAAACTCATACCTTAGATCAATTAATAATAATAAAAAATATTTTACCTTCACTTATTCATTCTCTGAATAGTTTATGTAGATTTAAGCTTCTCACTTATATAATTTTTATTATTTCTGAAAAGCTTATTTTAACATTGCTTGCAAGGCAGGCCTACTGGCAGCAAATTCCTCAATTTTTGTTTGTCTGAGAAAGTCTATATTTCTCCTTCACTTTTGAAGAATGATTTCTCAGGGTACAGAATTCTAGTTTGGTGGTATTTTTCTCTCAACACTATATATTTCACTTTAGTCTCTCTTTCTTGTATGATTTCTGATAAGTCAGATGTAATTCTTATCTTCGCTTGTATAGGTAAGTTGGTTTTTTTCCCCTCTGGGTTCTTTTAATATTTTTAAATTTATCTTAGATTTTCTGATATTTGAAAATGATATTCCCAGATTTTTGGTCTGATATTTGAATATTATACTTCTGGAATTTTGGTTTGATGTCTGACATTAATTTGGGCAAATTCTCAGTCACTATTGCTTCAAATGTTGGTTCTATTCTTTTCTCTCTTTCTCCTTGTATTCCTATTGTGTGTAATTACATATTTTGTTGTTGTCCCAAAGCTTTTAGATATCCTGTTTAGTTTTGTATTTCCCAGCTTTTTTTCTCTTTGCTTTTAGTTTTGGAAGTTTTGATTATCACCTCCTCAAACTCAGATTCTTTCCTTAGCAGTGTCTAATTTACTAATGAGCCCATCAAATGTATGCTTCATTTCAATTATGGTGTTTTTTATCTACAGCATTTATTTTTGATTCTTTGTTACAGTTATCATCTTTCTGCTTACATTAGCCATTCTGTTCCTGCCTGTTGTCTACTTTTTTATTAAAGTTCTTAGCACGGGAATCATAGTTTGAAAAATTCCTAGAATGATAATTCCAACCTTTCTGCCATATCTGACTCTGGTTTGATGCTTATTCAGTCTCTTTAAACTGTAGTTTCTTTTCCTTGCAGTATGCCTTTTAATTTTGTGTTGAAAGGTGAACATGATGCACTGGGTAAAAGAAACTATGTTTTGTTTTTTTTTAATAAGCCCTTAGCTATGTGTTGGTAAGGTGAAACGGGAAGGACTCATTCTATGATTAGGTCTCAGATTTTGGTGAGCCTGAGCCCTGGACTGTGAATTTTATCAGTGCTTCACAGTCCCTCACCCCATGACCTTAGGTGGAACAGGATGGCTGAAGGTGGCTGGGGTTATTTTCCTTCTTCCACATGGAAGACCAGAGGGAGCTGTAGTAGGGAATTTCCTTTCTTTCACACTGAAGGATAATGCTGCACTGCAGTTAGGCACAACATACATTGTTATATCATGCTTTTCTTTATGCTTTGTGGATATTGCTCTTGTTACAAATTGAAAGTTTGTGGCAACCTTGAATCAAGCAAGTCTGTTGGCATCATTTTTTTCCAGCAGCATGTGCTCACATCATGACTGTGTCACATTTCAATAATTCTCACAATATTTTAAACTTTTTATTATTATTATAAGTATGGTTTATGAGACCCCAAAACAATTACAACTGTAACATTAAAGATCCCTGATCACAGATCACCATAGCAGTTATAAAAATGAAAAGATTTGAAATGTCATGAGAATTACCAAAATAAGTTACAGAGACATGAAATGAGCATATACCATCTTATATATAATAATAATGTACACAATAAGATGGTAAACTTAAGTGATAAATGTTTTGTGTGTTCTGACTGCTCAACTGGCTCAACTGACCAGCTATTCTCAAATTCTCTCCTCCTTGAGGCTCTCTATTGCCTGAGACACAGCAATATTGAAATTAGGTCATTTAGTAACCCCACAATGACCTATGTGTGTTCAAGGGAAAGGAAGAGTCACAGGTTCAAGTGTTCAAGAGTCACTTGAGATCAAAAGCTAGAAATGATTAAGCTTAGTGAGGAAGGAATGTTGAAAGCTGAGATAAGCCAAAGGCCAGGCCTTTTGTGCCCTGTGAATCCAAGAGTTATGAATGCAAAGGAAAATATTTTTAAAGAAATTAAAAGTACTACTCTAGTGAACATATGAATGGTAAGGAAGCAAAACAGTCTTATTGCTGATATGGAGAAAGTTTGAGTAGTCTAATAGAAGATCAAACCAGCCACAACATTCTCTTATGCCGCAGCTTAATCCAGAACAAGGCCTTAACTCTCTTCAATTCTGTGAAAGCTCAGAGAAGTGAGGAAGCTTCAGAAGAAAAGATCAAATCTAGCAGAAGCCAGTTCATGATGTTTAAGAAAATAAGTTGTCTTCACAATATAAAGTGCAAAGTGAAACAGCAAGTGCTGATATAGAAGCTGTAGACAATTATCCAGAAGATCTAGCTAAGGTAAATTGTTGAAAGCTGCTACACTAAACAACAGATTTCCAATGTAAACAAAACAGCCTTCTGTTGGAAGAAGATACCATCTAAGATGTTCCTAGAGAACAGAAATCAATGCCTGGCTTTAAAGCTTCAAAGGACAGCTTCAAACTCTCTTGTTAGGGGATAATGCAGCTGGCTACTTTAAGTTGAAGCCAGTGCTCACTTACCATTTTAAAAATCCTGGGACCCTTAAGAATTATACTAAATCAATCCTGCTGTACTCTATAAATGGAACCACAAAGTCTGAATGGCAGCACATTCATTTGCATCATGGTTTACTGAATATTTTAAGCCTACAGTTGTGACCTACTGCTGAGAAAAAAAATGATTCTTTTCAAAATATTACTGCTCATTGACAATAAACCTGGTCACCCAAGATCTCTGATGTAGATGTGTAAGGAGATTAATGTTGTTTTCATGCTTGCTAACACAACATCAATAGCCCATGGATCAATAGTAATTTCAACTTTCAAGCCTTCCTATTTAAGAAATACTTTTCATAATGCTATGGCTGCCATACATAGTGATTCCTATGATGAATCTGGACACAGTAAATTAGAAACTTTCTAGAAAAGATTCACCATTCCAGATGTCAATAAGAACATTTGTGATTCATAGGAGGAGAAGTTTGTTTCAAAATGAGTTTGAAGCATTCAAGATGTCAGTAGGGAAGTCAATGCCGATGCGGCAGAAATAGCAAGAGAACTAGAATTGGAAATGGAGCTCAAGGATGTAACTGAACTGCTGTAACCTCATGATAAAACTTGAACAGATGAGTTGCTTCTTATGGATAAGGAAATAAAGTGTTTTTTTCTGAGATGGAATCTACTTCTGGTGAAGAGGTTGTGAATATTGTTAAATGACATCAAAGGATTTAGAATATTATATAAAGTTAGTTGATAAAGCAGCAACAGAGTTTGAAAATACTCCAGTTTTGGAAGAAGTTCTATTGTGGGTAAAATGCTATCAAAAAGCATCACATGCTACAGAGAAATCTTTTATGAAAGGAAGAGTCAATTGATGTGGCAAACTTCATCATTGCCTTATTTTAAGAAATTGATACAGCAACCTCAAACCTCAGCAACCACCACCCTAAGCAGTTATAGACACAGAGGTGAGACCCTCCACCAGCAAAAATATTACAGTTTGCTGAAGGTTCAAATAATCGTTAGTATTTTTTAGCAGTAAAGTATTTTTATATTAAGATACATACATTTATTTTACACTGAATGTTTTTGTACATTTAATAGACAACAGAATAGTGTAAACATAACTTTTATATGTACTGAGAAACTGAAAAAAATCTTGGCAATATTTTCTTTATTGTGGTGGTCTGGAACTGAACATGCGATATCTTCAAGTTATGCTTGTATTTCCCTTTCTCAAGTTAGGTTAAACTATGATGAAATCCCAGCAGGTTACTCTGAGGGCATGCTTTTTTTAAGAAGAACAGAATGTTCTGGTGTTTTCAACATGATTCCTTTTCTCCTCCCACTTCCAGAAGCATGAGAGGAAGTCTTTATGATATTCACTTACAGGCCTTATAGAGCTCTTCCAAGTAAAACTCACAAAAGTGCAGGATTCCCCCATGACTGAGTCTCCTTGGTGTTTTTAACTCTTGGAAGTTTTAACTGTCAGAATATTGGTATTTTCTCTCTCACATAACATAAATTCAGAAGCTATTAGGAGACCTCATATAGGTAGTTTTAATTTCAGTTCAATTCCTTAAGTTTTTCCTCAATTGGTTTGGGTCTGTTACACATGCTTAATTCTGGAGATAGCCTGAGGTTTTTATGGTTCATACAAAAATTAGGCAATTCCCCTCTTCATTTTTCTCATCTCAGATTCCCGTACACTTTCTAACCTGCATTTTTCCCCTAGTTCCTATGTCCAAAAACACAGGGTTTCTTTCAAAGTTTTAGGCAGACAACAGTTGTTCTGCTCAGCTACTGGATTCCACCCTTGGGACAAAACCTTGATAAAATATGAAACAAAAACAAAAACAAAACAAAATAAAACACAAGTAAGTTATACCTGTAGGCTAATTTCTCCAAATTTTGACTCTCTTCTATAATCTGCATAATTTACAGAATTGTCAGCTAGTTGTTTATTGCATTTTGTTCAGAGTTTATAGTTTTCAACAGCAAGAGAGTTGGGCTGTAGCGGGCTCACACAGTCATAGGAGTATTGGCTTTCCCAAGATACGAACGTTTGAAAAGTGTTCATTTCTTATGAAAAATGTATACCAGAGGTGTCCAATCGTTTGGCTTTCCTGGGCCACATTGGAAGAGAAGAATTGTCTTGGGGCACACATAAAATACACTAAGACTAATGAAAGCTAGTATTTTAAGAAAGTTTATGAATTTGTTTTGGGCCACATTCAAAGCCTCCTGGGCCTCATGTGGATGTGGTTCATGGGTTGGACAAGCTTAATGTATACCATTAAAGAGATAAGCATGGTACTTGCTCTTGCCTCATCTTCCAAATCCCTAAAATTGGTACAATTCTATTATCTCACAGTTAAGTCTGAATCCTCCTTGCTCTGTCTTCTCTGTGGAACTTCTTTAATTAAGAAAGAAAACAAAATAAGCTATCACTATTTAAAAAAATTAACATTATATGTTTTCTATCTGGATTTTAAAATATAAAGGTGTGTTCACTAATTATTTCTCTAAATACTATCTTTGTAAATGTGTAGAAGGTCTTCCATAAAATATGAACTTAAGCAGAATGTTGGATGTGAGTAGGCACAGATGATAACATAATATTTATTGTTTAATTGAGAAATAAAAGATGAAGGTAAGGGTATCATACAGTATCTAACAAGTACAGGTATGGTTGAATGAAAAAGATTATAATAATGATGAAATGATGATAATTTAAGTATTTGCATTTTAAAATCACACACATGGTAGTTAACAATGTTGACTCTGGAGTCAGACAGCCCTGGCTTGAATTTTGGTTTTGGAAATTAACCAGCTCTGAGATTACAGACAAGATATCCAGTCTCCCTGTTTCCTTCCTCATCTGTAAAATGGAATAACAGTGCTATGCATCCTATAGAGCCGTTTGGAAATTAAATTAATGTTTGTAAAATACTTTAATCTGTGTGTTGCAGTATTGAGTGTTTTATGAGTGTTTGCTTTTTTTCTTTTTAATTTTTTTTGAGACAGAGTTTCACTTTTGTTGCCCAGGCTGGAGTGCAATGGCATGATCTTGGCTCACTGCAACCTCTGCCTCCCATGTTCAAGTGATTCTCCTGCCTCATAGTCCAGAGTATCTGGGATTACAGGCATGCACCACCATGCCTGGCTAATTTTGTAATTTTAGTAGAGACAAGGTTTTACCACGTTGGCGAGGCTGGTCTCGAACTCCCGACCTCAGGCAATCCATCCACCTCGGCCTCCCAAAGTGCTGAGATTACAGACATGAGCCACCGTGCCTGACCTGTTGGCTTTTTTTTTCTTTTTTTTAGAAACAACAACAACAACAACAAAACACCCTTTTTTCATTTATTATTGCTGAATTTAAGTGAAAAACACAGATATGGTTAACATAGGAGCCACATTTGGCTTTGTAAAAGACTCAGGTTTATAGTTTATTATTTTAAAGAAGCCTTCAATACCTGAAGGCAAAAGCAAAATGCCATTTGAACGTGGTACTTTATCATTTACTCTTGTTAGAGTAGCATAGAGTCAGCAAAAGAGAAAAGCAAGGAAGCTTTGAGTTTACTTATGGGTGTTAAGTTTAATTCTTGTCTGTAGATCTTTGGTTCGCATGTGCATTTCGCAATGTAGCTGTGGCTTTTTAATTATTGAAAATATTGTCTGGAATCTGTTTCATGATTCATTTTTTGTATAATGTATTAAAACAACAAAATTACTTTCTAAAATCAGAAATTAATGTACAATTTTAACAGAAATAAACTGTGGACAACAAACATTAGGTAAAAATGTGGTAGACTTGATATTCAAAAACAATCCAATTCCAAATTCAGTGTGACACACAAATTCAATGCACATTAGTGTGAAAATCTCAGGGGATACCACACACCCAGGTAAATTAGAGTTTTGTAACAAAAATAATATAAAGCCTCACTGCATTCACAAACATGTTGAATTTCTTTAATATAGAACAATATATGCAGTTGTTCTTTCTAAAAGGAGGTTTTATAGTTTTCGTGAAGAAATAGTCAAATGTATTTACATGATAGTATCTTTTAGCAGTATTTAAAATGTAAGATGTTTTTATGGCAATAAGTTGAGCATTTGTTAGATTTTATTAGACTATTATTAACAAATTGAGATTCCACATAAAAATTTTTCTCTTTTGATTTTTGTTTTTAGGAGATATTTAAGTTCCACTACTGACCACTTGTATAAGAGTAGACAGAGCCACAACTTTGATGTAATTCTTTTTTGAGAGTTATCCTTAGCCAAGACTCAAAAGCGCATCTGTTTTTGGCTGTTTTATGTATAATTACATTCTTTATTGCTGCACACTGAATTTGTCTGTCAAGTGTAGTGAAAAACAACAAACAAAAATGTGCCACATTATTTATGACCAAGCTTCAGTGATTCTGTAGGGCTGAATTTGAAATGGATTTTCTCAGTTCTCCTTTCTAGATGCTACTGTACTTTACTATACAACAGCCTCAAGGTATCCTGTTGCCAGTCAGACCATCTGGAATCAGATCAGCACCATTGTATTGTGATATGCAAATAAAGTCCCATATTTTGGGACTTTATTGACCTTTTGTTATAATTTTATATTTAGTAGGATTTGTGGCTAAAACTGTTTCAAGAAGCTCAATGACGCATTTAAGGCAAATTTAGATTTCTGAGCTCTATAGAGATCCAAAGTACCACAGTTTATATAGGATGCTACTTGTCCTCTAAAAGGGGCATTGCCCTGTTTAATTTGGATTTCTATTTTGCTGATTAGTGCGTCATTGGATTAGCTACTGCCGGCAATGCACAATAGTGTTTCATACATTTTATGTTTCCTCTTTTACAAATATTGTCTCTGTATTGATGACCTTAGTTTTATTTCCCCCTTTTAAGGTCTATTATTAGCCTGCAGTACTTTATTAACTTTTTAAAGAAGAAATCATCTTACATTTGCATTCTTGTTTGTCTGTAATTACCAGGTTGTTTTAGAATTACCTATTAATGTACAGCTTCCTTATTGGACTACGTATTTCTTGAGTGCTAGATTTTTATATTCCATTACTTTACCATTCCAGGAGCAACATCAATCCCAAAGTTTGTCACGGTGTTTATAGTTAATAAAGATTAGTAAATGCATGAATGAATGCTTTACCCAGAAATGGCTAAGGCTTTGTTAGAAGTATCAGGGAGAATAAAGGGTTGGGAAAGCTGTAAGATAGCATATGTTATTCAAAAGCTAGGTGTTCACTTAAGTTGATTATTCTCTGTTGAAATAAAATAAACATTATGTGTCAATTGTTGTGCTTAAGTAAGGGATATAGAAACATAGTTGTAATAAAAGACTTGTGTTACATAATAAAGACATAAAAATATTCAAGGGGGGAATAATAACTAAACCTAGAGTAGTAAAAATAAAAGGACATTTAAAGGTGAGAACACATGTAAAAGATGAAGATTTGTAATAAGCCCAGCAGTTCTGAGAAATGTAATGTGGTTTGGGGGCATTTGGGAGGAGACCTGGGTTAGTGTGTAAAAGCCCATTTGTCTTTTATACCATACTAAGGTGGTTGAACTTTAAACTATAGGCTATGAGAACATTCCTTAAGTAGAGGAATTAAACATTAAGGTTTTTTTTAGAATTCTTTTTGTGACAGTGAAGGAGCTAGTTTAGAATTGGAAGAATCTGACTTAAAAAAAAGAAAACATGAATTGTTGAATATTGGTTCAAATAAAAGGTACTTAGAGTAGAGACAAGGCCATAGCAGAATAAATGGAGAAAAGGGTCTTATTTTCAATATGGAATAGAACTGGTAGGTCTTGGGGACTGTTAGGATATGAGAGGTAATGGGAGGGAGGAACTTAATATTTTTGGCCTTTAGCACATAGGTAACAAATAGGTGATATTTACTTTTTACATATACAAACTGTTTAAATTTGAGCTGAATGTAGAGGACTTTAACTATCTTTCATATTACTTATGAACTATGTGTTTTAAACCATGCTTTAAACTAGTAAAAGGCTGTGGAACTATCCTGAGCCAAAGAATCATTTCACCATCTTTTCTATACTTCTTGAGTTTTATAGTAAACACACAGTTAATGTGAGATTGTTATTAGCTAAAAGAAGTGTAATAAGAATATTGATATAGGGAGGAGCCAAGATGGCCAAATGGGAACAGCTCCAGTCTACAGCTCCCAGCGTGAGCGATGCAGAAGACAGGTGATTTCTGCATTTCCAACTGAGGTACCGGGTTCATCTCACTGGGGTGTGCCAGACAGTGGGTGCAGGACAGTGGGTGCAGTGCACCATGCATAAGCCGAAGCAAGGCGAGGCATCACCTTACCCGGGAAGCACAAGGGGTCAGGGAATTCCCTTTCCTAGTCAAAGAAAGGGGTGACAGATGGCACCTGGAAAATCAGGTCACTCCCACCCTAATACTGTGCTTTCCCAATGGGCTTAAAAAATGGCACACCAGGAGATTATATCCCGCACATGGCTCAGAGGGTCCTACGTGCCCACGGAGTCTCACTGATTGCTAGCACAGCAGTCTGAGATCAAACTGCAAGGTGGCAGCGAGGCTGGGGGAGGGGCACCCGCCATTGCCAAGACTTGATTAGGTAAACAAAGCGGCCAGGAAGCTCAAACTGGGTGGAGACCACCACAGCTCAAGGAGGCCTGCCTGCCTCTGTAGGCTCCACCTCTGGGGGCAGGGCACAGACAAACAAAAAGACAGCAGTAACCTCTGCAGACTTAAATGTCCCTGTCTGACAGCTTTGAAGAGAGTAATGGTTCACCCAGCACGCAGCTTGAGATCTGAGAATGGGCAGACTGCCTCCTCAAGTGGGTCCCTGACCCCCGAGTAGCCTAACTGGGAGGCATCCCCCAGTAGGGGCAGACTGACACCTCACAGGGCCAGGTACTCCTCTGAGACAAAACTTCCAGAGGAACAATCAGGCCGCAGCATTTGTGGTTCACCAATATCCACTGTTCTGCAGCCTCTGCTGCTGATACCCAGGCAAACAGTGTCTGGAGTGGACCTCTAGCAAACTCCAACAGACCTGCAGCTGACGGACCTGTCTGTTAGAAGGAAAACTAACAAACAGGAAGGACATCCACACCAAAAACCCATCTGTACGTCACCATCATCAAAGACCAAAGGTAGATAAAACCACAAAGATGGGGAAAAAACAGAGCAGAAAAACTGGAAACTCTAAAAATCAGAGGACCTCTCCTCCTCCAAAGGAACACAGCTCCTCACCAGCAATGGAAAAAAGCTGGATGGAGAATGACTTTGACGAGTTGAGAGAAGAAGGCTTCAGACGATCAAACTACTCCGAGCCACAGGAGGAAGTTCGAACCAATGGCAAAGAAGTTAAAAACTTTGAAAAAAAATTAGACGAATGGATAACTAGAATAACCAATGCAGAGAAGTCCTTAAAGGACCTGATGGAACTGAAAACCAAGGCACGAGAACTACGTGATGAATGCAGAATCCTCAGTAGCCGATGCGATCAACTGGAAGAAAGGGTATCAGTGATGGAAGATGAAATGAATGAAATGAAGTGAGAAGAGAAGTTTAGAGAAAAAAGAATAAAAAGAAATGAACAAAGCCTCCAAGAAATATGGGACTATGTGAAAAGACCAAATCTACCTCTGACTGGTGTACCTGAAAGTGACGGGGAGAATGGAACCAAGTTGGAAAACACTCTGCAGGATATTATCCAGGAGAACTTCCCCAATCTAGCAAGGCAGGGCCAACATTCAAATTTAGGAAATACAGAGAACCTCACAAAGATAGTCCTTGAGAAGAGCAACTCCAAGAAACATAATTGTCAGATTCACCAAAGTTGAAATGAAGGAAAAAATGTTAAGGGCAGCCAGAGAGAAAGGTCGGGTTACCCACAAAGGGAAGCCCATCAGATTAACAGCTGATCTCTCGGCAGAAACTCTACAAGCCAGAAGAGAGTGGGGGCCAATATTCAACATTCTTAAAGAAAAGAATTTTCAGCCCAGGATTTCATTTCCAGCGAATCAAAGCTTCATAAGTGAAGGAGAAATAAAATACTTTACAGACAAGCAAATGCTGAGAGATTTTGTCACCACCAGGCCTACCCTACAAGAGCTCCTGAAGGAAGCACTAAACATGTAAAGGAAAAATCGGTATCAGCCACTGCAAAAACATGCCAAATTGTAAAGACCATCAAGGCTAGGAAGAAACTGCATCAACTAATGAGCAAAATAGCCAGCTGACATCATAATGGCAGGATCAAATTAACACATAACGATATTAACTTTGAATGTAAATGGGCTAAATGCTCCAATTAAAAGACACAGACTGGCAAATTGGATAAAGAGTCAAGACCCATCAGTGTGCTGTATTCAGGAAACCCATCTCACCTGCAGAGATACACATAGGCTCAAAATAAAAGGATGGAGGAAGATCTACCAAGCAAATCGAAAACAGAAAAAGGCAGGGGTTGCAATGCTAGTCTCTGATAAAACAGACTTTAAACCAACAAAGATCAAAAGAGACAAAGAAGGCCATTACATAATGGTAAAGGGATCAATTCAACAAGAAGAGCTAACTATCCTAAGTATATATGCACCCAATACAGGAGCACCCAGATTCATAAAGGAAGTCCTTAGTGACCTACAAAGAGACTTAGACTCCCACACAATAATAATGGGAGACTTTAACACCCCACTGTCAACATTAGACAGATCAACGAGACAGAAGGTTAACAAGGATACCCAGGAATTGAACTCAGCTCTGCACCAAGTGGACCTAATAGACATCTGCAGAACTCTCCACCCCAAATCAACAGCATATACATTCTTCTCAGCACCACACCACACCTATTCCAAAATTGACCACATATTTGGAAGTAAAGCACTCCTCAGCAAATGTAAAAGAACAGAAATTATACCAAACTGTCTCTCAGACCACAGTGCAATCAAACTAGAACCCAGGATTAAGAAACTCACTCAAAACCGCTCAACTACATGGAAACTGAACAACCTGCTCCTGAGTCACTACTGGGTACATAACGAAATGAAGGCAGAAATAAAGATATTCTTAGAAACCAACAAGAAAAAAGACACAACATACCAGAATCTCTAGGACATATTCAAAGCAGTGTGTAGAGGGAAATTTATAGCACTAAAAGCCCACAAGAGAAAGCAGGAAAGATCCAAAATTGACACCCTAACATCACAATTAAAAGAACTAGAGAAGCAAGAGCAAACACATTCAAAAGCTAGCATAAAGCAAGAAATAACTAAGATTAGAGCAGAACTGAAGGAAATAGAGACACACAAAACCCTTCAAAAAATCAGTGAGTCCAGGAGCTGGTTTTCTGAAAAGATCAACAAAATAGATAGACTGCTAGCAAGACTAATAAAGAAGAAAAGAGAGAAGAATAGACGCAATAAAAAATGATAAAGGGGATATCACCACCGATCCCACAGAAATACAAACTACCATCAGAAAATACTATAAACACCTCTATGCAAATAAACTAGAAAATCTAGAAGAAATGGATAAATTCCTCGACACATACATCCTCCCAAGAATAAACCAGGAAGAAGTTGAATCTCTGAATAGACCAATAACAGGCTCTGAAATTAAGGCAATAATCAATAGCTTAACAACCAAAAAAAGTCCAGGACCAGATGGATTCACAGCCAAATTCTACCAGAGGTACAAGGAGGAGCTGGTACCATTCCTTCTGAAACTATTCCAATCAATAGAAAAAGAGGGAATCCTCCCTAACTCATTTTATGAGGCCAGCATCATCCTGATACCAAAGCCTGGCAGAGACACAATCAAAAATGAGAATTTTAGACCAATATCCTTGATGAACATTGATGCAAAAATCCTCAATAAAATACTGGCAAACTGAATCCAGCAGCACATAAAAAAGCTTATCCACCATGATCAAGTGGGCTTCATCCCTGGGATGCAAGGCTTGTTCAACAGACGCAAATCAATAAAGGTAATCCAGCATATAAACAGAATCAAAGACAAAAACTACATGATTATCTCAATAGATGCTGAAAAGGCCTTTGACAAAATTCAACAACCCTTCATGCTAAAAACTCTCAATAAATTAGGTATTGATGGGTCATATCTCAAAATAATAAGAGCTATCTATGACAAACCACAGCCAATATCATACTGAATGGGCAAAAACTGGAAGCATTCTCTTTGAAAACTGGAACAAGACAGGGATGCCCTCTCTCACCACTCCTATTCAACATAGCGTTGGAAGTTCTGCCTAGGGCAATCAGGCAGGAGAAGGAAATAAAGGGTATTCAATTAGGAAAAGAGGAAGTCAAATTGTCCCTGTTTGCAGATGACATGATTGTATATCCAGAAAACCCCATCGTCTCAGCCCAAAATCTCCTTAAGCTGATAAGCAACCTCAGCAAAGTCTCAGGATACAAAATCAATGTGCAAAAATCACAAACATTCTTATACACCAATAACAGACAGAGAGCCAAATCATGAGTGAATTCCCACTCACAATTTTTACAAAGAGAATAAAATACCTAGGAATCCAACTTACAAGGGATGTGAAGGACCTCTTCAAGGATAACTACAAACCACTGCTCAATGAAATAAAAGAGGATACAAACAAATGGAAGAACATTCCATGCTCATGGGTAGGAAAAATCAATATCGTGAAATTGGCCATACTGCCCAAGGTAATTTACAGATTCAATGCCGTCCCCATTGGGCTACCAATGACTTTCTACACAGAATTGGAAGAAAACTACTTTAAAGTTCATATGGAACCAAAAAAGAGCCCGCATCACCAAGTCAATCCCAAGCCAAAATAACAAAGCTGGAGGCATCCCACTACCTGACTTCAAACTATACTACAAGGCTACAGTAACCAAAACAACATGGTACTTGTACCAAAATAGAGATATAGACCAATGGAACAGAACAGAGCCCTCAGAAATAATGCCGCATATCTACAGCTATCTGATCTTTGACAAACCTGACAAAAACAAGCAATGGGGAAAGGATTCCCTATTTAATAAATGGTGCTGGGAAAACTGGCTAGCCATATGTAGAAAGCTGAAACTGGATCCCTTCCTTACACCTTATACAAAAATCAATTCAAGATGGATTAAAGACTTAAACGTTAGACCTAAAACCATAAAAACCCTAGAAGAAAACCTAGGCATTACCATTCAGGACATAGGCACGGGCAAGGACTTCATGTCTAAAACACCAAAAGCAATGGCAACAAAAGACAAAATTGACAAATGGGATCTAATTAAACTAAAGAGCTTCTGCACAGCAAAAGAAACTACCATCAGAGTGAACAGGCAACCTACAGAATGGGAGAAAATTTTTGCAACCTATTCATCTGACAAAGGGCTAATATCCAGAATCTACAATGAACTCAAACAAATTTACAAGAAAAAAACTAACAACCCCATCAAAAAGTGGGCAAAGGATATGAACAGACACTTCTCAAAACAAGACATTTATGCAGCCAAAAAACACATGAAAAAATGTTCATAATCACTGGCCATCAGAGAAATGCAAATCAAAACCACAATGAGATACCATCTCACACCAGTTAGAATGGCAATCATTAAAAAGGTGCTGGAGAGGATGTGGAGAAATAGGAACACTTTTACACTGTTGGTGGGACTGTAAACTAGTTCAACCATTGTGGAAGTCAGTGTGGCAGTTCCTCAGGGATCTAGAACTAGAAATACCATTTGACCCAGTCATCCCATTAGTGGGTGTATACCTAAAGGATTATAAATCATGCTGCTATAAAGACACATGCACACGTATGTTTATTGCAGCACTATTCAAAATAGCAAAGACTTGGAACCAACCCAAATGTCCAACAACGATAGACTGGATTAAGAAAAATGTGGCACATATACACCATGGAATACTATGCAGCCATAAAAAAATGATGAGTTCATGTCCTTTGTAGGGACATGGATGAAGCTGGAAACCATCGTTCTCAGCAAACTGTCACAAGGACAAAAAACCAAACACTGCATTTTCTCACTCAGGTGGGAATTGAATAATAAGAACACATGGACACAGGAAGGGGAACGTCACACACCGGGGACTGTTGTGGGGTGGGGGTAGGGGGGAGGGATAGCATTAGGAGATATACCTAATGCTAAATGAGGAGTTAGTGGGTGCAGCACACCAATATGGCACACGTCTACATACGTAACAAACCTGCACGTTGTGCACATGTACCCTAAAACTTAAAGTATAATAATAATAAAATTAAAAAAAGAATATTGATATATTATTTAAATTATTGTTTAAGTAAGTTTTTTAAGACCTTGATGTTTTTAAAGCATAAACTACTCTATTTCTGTTTATGATTTGACTGTATATAGTTCTTAGAAGAGTGGCAGGTATATAGTGAGTGCCAACTAAGTATTGTCTATTATTATAACTATCAGTATTACTTGTTCCTTGGATAATTGCAAGAGCCTTTAATTGATCTTTCTGCTTTTGCCATTTCATCTGTTCTCTAAGCAGCATAACTAGAAAAGCAAGTCTATTTCTTTCAAGTAGCACCTGGCCAAAAGAACAAATGAATGAATGAAGTGTGCCACCTCTTTGCTCATAATCTTCCAGTGGCATTTCATTTCATTTGTAAAGTTATTCCAATAGTCTGCAGGACCTTATGTGACCCATACCACACCCTCTGCCTCTCCTGTTAGAGTTTATCAGTGTCTCCTCTCCATGTTGCTACCTGTGGATTGTTGGTTCACAAGGTGTCCCTCACTTGAATATATTAATTAATCTCTTGCCTTGGGGCTGCTTGTGCCATGGGGCCTGGACATTCATTAGTCCTTCTGCCTGGAAAGCTCTCTCTTAGATATAGCATTTTTTATTTCCTCAGTTCCTCAAGTGTCTCTGTCTCAGTGTCTCTTAATCAGTGAAACTTTCCATGATTGCACTTTATAATAGAGTATCCTACTTTCTGACATATATTCGCTATCCTTTCTTACTTTATGTTCTTTACAGCATTTATTACTTTCTGGCATACTACATTATTCTTATTTTGTTTCTCCCTCTGGAATATAAACTCCTAGAATGCAGGAGCTTTGTGCTGTGTCCACAAAATCTAAAATAGTACCTGACATGTAATACTAGTATTTTTTAGTGAATGAATAAATATATTTTCTAGCACTTATTAATTCAAAGGGTATAGGTCATCTATAGCAGACAAGGAAGTGGGAAGCAAGATCTGTTACCTTTTTATAACCTTTTAATTAATTAAATTTATTTGATGCAATAGAGCCATATTGGTAGTTATGCTTTAGTAAGAATCCTTGTTTAACATTGATAACCTAGAAAGTATAAGATAAACGTACAGTTTTTTCATAGTGTTTTATCCAACTTTTGGCATTTTCTGTAGTACTTGGTAAGCAGATGTTGAATTAGAAGTACATTCAAGTAATATAAGACACTGCTAATTTTCTCAAAGCTGGTTTCTTAAGTTAGTTTTGGGATTCTGCGCAATACAAGGGCTGTGTGGGAAGTAGTTATGTCTGTGATTATATGGTTTCCCTCATTTTTTCCTTTGAATTATGGTTCAAATGCAATCTCTGATGCGTTTTTCAATTACACTAAAATTCTAAGCATTTTGGCAACTTTCCTTTACCACAGAAAACAGTTGAGAAAAAAAAATCATTAACTGTATGGGGTGTTTGAAAAAAAAAAAAACTGGTGAGAGTTAATGCCTTGGCAAATTCAGAATTCTAAGTAGACAGGAAGCATAGGTTTTCATTAATCTTCTGATTATGGTAGTTACTTCTTAAGAATTTTATGCCACATTTAAGATTTAATTTCAGCCTTGTATATGCAATCAAAAACTCTGCCAAGAGCCACCAGACTTTTCCTGAAAGCTCTAATATCAAATGTGAGCAGAAGTTTTAGGGTCTAGGGGCTATCTTATGAAAATATTATAGAATGTTGTTAGGCTATTTATTTTACACTGGCACATACAAGGCTACTTACCTAAATGTATTTTTATTTTCTTTCTATTACATTTTTCCTCATGTGTTTGATTTATAGAATAATGACTTTAAGACTCCTGAAACTGGAACTTATTTTTAGAAAAATTATAACTAGAAGTCTGCCACTTAAAGGTTTGTTTTCCTTTAATTGACTCCAAACACTGGAATAAAATATCTTATATTTGTATATACTTTACAGTTTATAAACAGCTTAAATCTATATTAGTTGTGTTTAGAATTTCTGAGGAAATACAAGTAATAGTATTCTTCATTTACAGGTGTTGAAATAAAGTCTTTCAATGGTGAATAAATTATTGGCCAGGAGATCCATTTATTGATCATTTATTGAGTACTCACTATGAGAAGGCCTAGTCCAGGAATTGTGAAAATCTCTGACAACAAAACTGAAAAGTCCCTGCTCTCATGAAGTTTATATTCCAGTGAATTTAATTGAACAAAATAGATTGACTGGTTAAGTAAGGAGCCCAGGCTGTAAACTATGCCTTTTATTGTCTTGTAGAGATGCTATACCTTCCTGACATGTGACACACATACTGGTTATTCAAATCCTTAAACTTACTGTTTGGTCATCCAGATATACATATAAAATATATATTTCATATATATGATGTATTTCATATATACATTATATATATATTTCATATATATGATGTATTTCATATATACATTATATATATTTCATATATATGATGTATTTCAGGTATTCATTATATATATTTCATATATATGATGTATTTCAGGTATTCATTATATATATTTCATATATATGATGTATTTCATGTATTCATTATATATGTTTCATATATATGATGTATTTAATATATATCATATATATTTCATATATATGATGTATTTAATATATATCATATATATTTCACATATATGATCTATTTCATATATATGATGTATTTCATATATATATATATTTATATACATGATACCAATTTCTATATTAGGTCTTCAAGTAGATGGTGTTTCCCCAACTTCTCATATTCTTTTGGGTTCACTCTGAGTTCCCACAGAAAACAGAACTCTCTTCAGGTAGTTTCAGAAGTTTGAGCAGGGAGGCTGGGAAATCTAGTAATTAGCATTACCTTCCTGAGGACTAAAGGGGCAAGGGGCATAAATACTGATACAGTGCTCAGTGAGGAGCTGTAGTTCTGTAGAAGTACTTTCTAGCAGTGTCAATAGTGATAAGGGTCCCAGACTACTGTGACAAGCTAGGAAAGTATGGGGGTAAACAATGCCAACCTTTTTCCCTTCCCAACTTCCAAACTCCTGGTGGTAGCTTCCATGTCTGTCCCGGAAACCAACCTGCGGGAGAGTCTGGTGATGCAGACTTTAGGGGTCAGATTCTTGCAGGCACAGAGTAAGAGACAGAAATGTTAGTAATAGGAATTGGGGTGCCAACAGTGAATAACAAGTATTCCTTTATTTAAAAGAAAAACTGACCACTTTCACATAAATTATGCCAGGAAATTCTAGATAAATCCTCTAATTTTCTCAGGTGAAAGTTATTTCAAATTTCTTATATCTTCATAATTGGAATATAGCAGGTAGTAAAGAAATATGTGTCTCATATCTTATTTATTTGTGTATAATAATCTGAATAACCAGTCTATAAGTATTTGAGAGGAGGTTTATTTTCCTCCTATTCATAGTGTCGGCATGATACTTTGCCTCCATAAATATTTATTGAATTAATTGATAGATGAATGATTGGTAAACAGTCAAAGACAAATATTCTCAAAGTAACCTGGCTGTTAAAATCCTTGTACAAGTTAGAATTAAAAGTTATAGGAGAAATATAATTACTATCTTATTTATAATATATCTTAGCCTATTAACTTGTTATAATACACACAAAAGAAAACATTTTGTTTTGGGAACAAAATATAGCTTTTCCTAAAATAACGAACCTATATTGTTATACAACAATGTTGTATAACAGATTGTTTTTGCCTTCAACCAAAATACAGTTTTTCCAAAATATACCCATATCAGTAGGGAATTCTCGCTTTCAATTTTGAGCAAGCCTTCCATCGTTTACTGTTCAACAGATATTGCATGTTCAAGGCACAAACTGACTATATTTTGTAGAGGAAACAGGTTTTCACATTTGACACCAAAACATAATTTTTGTTTCAGAATTTGAAAAAATAAAGGTATGCTGATTATATTATATATATGCATACTTTAAAAGTCCTCTCCGAATTACATACTTTATAAAGTAGCCGATTTAGATTTAAAGAGACTTCAATTCTCTAAAGAATGAATGTATCATTCATTGTTATAGAGGATTGCAACAGAGCAAAAATAAGGGACTATTTTTAAAAGACCTGTTATTTCTGGGATAGTACCACTTTATATAAAATTAAAATAATAAATATATAGAAATGCAATTACCAATTATTTATTTTTATTCTCTGACAGGTATTTTCTCTGAGGGACTTAGAACAGGCACCAAAAAAAAAGGATGATGCTAAAAATTGATATGTAAAAAGCTGATACCCAAATATCTGGTATTGTGTTGGAGGAATAAACGTGTCAGTTCAACTGTTAACTCTTTATGAAATAGTGAAAATAGTCTATAATTTCTTTCATATTCCAAAAATAACAATTACTTTAAAAATAAATCTAAAATTTACTGCCAAGTTAAATACTATGAAATAAAATGTAAATGTCAAATTCTAATGCTAACTCTGTGAAACAGGCAGTGAAAGTACTACCTAATGCAAAGGCCATATTTGACCTTCACAATGATATTAATTATATGAACTTGTCTTTTGAGTCTAAGTGTTAAAATAAAAGTTAATCATTATGTGTCAATTCAAAATAAAAATATAAAAATTAAAAAGCACATTAAAAATAAATACTGATTAAGAATTTATCATTAATAATTAGCATTCAAATTGAGATGTGCTCTAAATGTAAAATATACATAATCTTTCAAAAACATGGTAGGAATAATAATTAATAGCTTTTATGTTAAATACAAATTGAAATTATATGTTTTGAATATATTATGTAAAATGTATGATAAAAGTTAAAGAAAAATAAAAATATTACATACTTGTTTCCTTACATATGAATAATTTTTCTCAAATTGATTTTTTAAAAAGAGGTCTCAAAATGATTTTCATTTTGTTTTAAAATCCTCTTTAGTATTTTAAATGTTAATTTCAATCATATTATTTTGGACAACAAATGTTTTTAAAATGTATCAGATGAATTTATTTTGGGAGGGGGATCAAACTGTGGTAACATTTTAAATGTTAATCATTTAAAGAAACATTGATATGAAGAATCCTTTTGTAATCTGAGAATCATCTCTAAGTATTTTTTAGAATTGTAATTTAAATTTTTACATAAGAGTTTCCTTAAATCAACAAGGAACTAAACATGTTTAGTCTTGATTCATGTTAACATAAACTGATAAAATGAAACAAAGAATACAAAAAAGTATATAATCTGAGATTATCAGAACATATACTTTAATATATATTTTGAGATTAATATGAGAATATGTACTTTTTGAACTATATATTTGAACTCTGTCTATATATAATATATATAATTGGAATATATATAAATGTATACACACATAGTTCAAATATTAGGGGTATGTTTTTCTAGCATTTTTTGTTTTCTATTGTCGACATGAAGTAGGATTACAATATAACTTTATTAAGATGGAATTAATGATACAAACAAAATTATTTTAATCTTTTACTAGCACAATAAAATGTATTTTAAAAATAAGACTATTTTATGGATATTTCTTAAAAATTTGTCCTCTTTAAATTCTTTATTTGTAGTTGGAATGATGCTTTTTTACATTTCTTATTTTCTATTTTCTTCAGTGGACTGAGGGGTGTCTATGATGATGATACTGTCAGGTGTATAACTTCTGATTACCCTGTATTCTAGCTACTTGCCAAATTAAATCAGCCAATATTTCTACAGCATCTACTTAATACCGGACCCTGGATATAGTCAGTTATTACTTTTGTTATAAATAAACAAATATCCATTTTGTATTTTTTTTCAATTGAAATGACCTTTGCTCTGTTACAAAGACAGAACTTCAGACGAATAAAAAAAAAACCCTAGTATTAACTGATTTATATTAGTTTTTTAGGGCTGCCATAATAAATTGCCACAGCCTCAGTGGCTTAAATAACAGAAACTTATTTTTTCAAAGTTCTGGAGGCTACCAGTCCAAGATCCAGGTGTTGACAGAGTCGTTTTCTTCTGTCCGAGCGTTCTTGCCTTGGCTTGGAAATGGTTGTCTTCTCCCTGTGTCTTTACATGGTCTTTCCTCTGTGTGTGTTTGTGTCTTACTCCTTTCTTAAAGGAGACCAGTCAGATTCAATCAGGACCATACTAGTGGCTTCGTTTAACCTTAATTACCTTCTTAAAGACCCTGTCTCCAAATACAGTCACAATGTGAGGTATTGGGAATTAGGATTTCAACATACAAATTCGAGGGGACACAATTTAACCCTTAGCACTCAGTCTGGGCAAGCTCATCCTGTTCTTGATAAACAATGAAAAAAATAGGTATAAGATTGCTACAGAAAGAAGTACGGACTGTCATATCAAAGGGAAATTTTCTGCCAATTATTATTGATTCTTGAAACTTGGTTTGGTTTCAATGATGCAGTCTGATAGTCTGCAGGTATAGGAGAGATACAGTTCAAAAATAAATAAAAGTCACTGTCTTAAGTGATAAACTGACCTTACTCCAGAAATGACTGTTAGTTATTATTCTACTTCTTAGACTTAAGAGATTGACCCTCCAATTTTTTCCTTTTATTGTAGTTCTATTTGAGTAAATGGCTTTGCCATCCTACCATTGCTTACTTGAGAAACTGCAGAATTGCTCTACGTTCCTCTGTTAACACTTTGCTCCATATTTCCTTATCATTCTCGTCTCACTCCATCATCAGCATCCAGTCAGTTTCCAAATCTCACAGATATATTTTTTACTAATATATGTACTGTCTGTTCCATCTATTCCATTCCTAGTATGGCTGACTTGGCTTCAATTCTCAACACTTTTATTGAAATCAACTCCTAATTGATTTATCTGACTCCAAACTGGCTGCTTCCAAATTATCCTCCCTTTTGCTGTCAAAGTGATTTTTTTAAAATACAACATTGATCAATCTATTTCATTTATCAGAGTCCTCAAATGACACTCAAATGACATCTTTTGAGTTTCAGTTCACATGCAAGGCTTTTCTTAAATTGGTTCCTAACTTAAAAATAAATATCTACTCTTTACCCTCACTCTTTATCATCACCATGTAAGTCCTTCCCTCTAATGTGCTGCACTATATATACTTCTCTCTCTCTCTCTCGCTCTCTCTCTTTTTGGAGAAAGAGTCTCGCTTTGTCGAGCAGGCTGAGTGCAGTGGCAGTGGCGCGATCTTGGCTCACTGTAACCTCCACCTCCCGGGTTCAAGCGATTTTCCTGACTCAGCCTCCCAAGTAGCTAGGACTACAAGCATGCGCCACCATGCCCAGCTAACTTTCGTATTTTTTTGGTGGAGAATGGGTTTCACCATGTTGGTCAGGCTGGCTTTGAAGTCCTGACCTCAGGTGATCCACCCACCTCAGCCTCCCGAAGTGCTAGTATTACTGGTGTGAGCCACTACACCTGACCTACGTCTCTGAATTCGTCATACAGTTTCATCCCTCAAAAGTTTTGTTTAAGATGCTTTTTATGTTTAATGCTATTTTACCTCCATCCCCTTCATTAGGCTAACTCCTATTTGCTTTTAACAAATCATCAAGATTTTTCCAAGAACCGTTTCATGAAAATGTTCATTCTCATTGAGATACCTGTATGTTGCAAGTTAATGGAGACAAGAATGAACTATAAGAAATTTGGAATCTAGATGATTTTATGGAACAAAATTATAGCTGTGTGATTTACTCTAGCATTTAGGGAGATGAAATATCTAATCTTAGATATTTCTGTAGTTCAATAAGGTATATAGTCAATCGTTACAGTGTTATTTTCCAGATCTTACAAAAAATTGCTCTCTTAGAATAAAAAACTTTAAATGTTAATATTAAAAGTTTAGATCTTGTGAGATTCAGAGTAGAATTGAAAGCCTTGTGGAATTGTGCAGTCACCAGTTGTTAGATTAAAATTTAAGAGAGAAGATCATTTTTCAATTATAATTGAGCACTGATTCAACATCTGCATTAACTGTTTTAGTTATATCTAAATTTCTTCTGCCTTTTTTGTGATCCTATTAAGGTCCAAACACATAATCCATCTACAAGTCACATTATTCAATCAGATGGAATTGAACAAGACAGTATCACAGGCTGGTTTTTCATTGCTCATTCTCTAGAGGCAGCTGCTTTGCTGTGCAATTCAGTGGATGCTCAGGCTGAGAACTAACATAAACCAATCACTGGTTGGCTTCACATAAGACAAGGAGTTCAATCTGAAATTCAGATCCTTAGCACTAACACATTGACATGTGACCTTAAGACATTAGACCAATATTATTTACCATACTTTTCCAATAAATGTGATTCTTTACACACACACACACACACACACACACACACACACAATCTAAATGTATCTTTACTTGTGTATTTCATAGACCATTATGTAATTACATTCATAGCACAGAAAATTGAAACAGCTATGCCTTATATAGACTTTATATATATATATATAAAATTATATATATGCAAACCAAAGTAAAAAAATGAACAAAAAAAGTTAGCATATGTGCATTATTTGTTTGGTTTTAAAAGTATGCTATTACTTATATAATTTGATTTTGATAAAAAAAATAGTGAGATCCTTTTGCAATGCATGTGACATTCACAAGAACATCATCTGTGTAGACAGTTTCTATTTAGTTTTCTTACATTTTATTTGCTTTCACTCTATACCCATACTGTCTATAGGCAAACACTATAGTATAAACCCAGTTGACACAGCTGGAGATCACAAAGTAATTGCATCAACTGTACCTTAATCTTGGTTTTGTGGACCATTAAAGGAGGAGGATGCCTTGTATGCTAAAGATGCCAGTTTTACTCAATAACTTTACCTTTTTTAGCTGTGAAAATTTTTATGGCACTATTGAATCTAAATATTTATAGTTCATTCAATCTGTAACAATGAGCTTGTTTACAGAGTGTCTTAAAACATGTCATACGATTAACATAAAACACTGTAAAATGCCTTCTGGGAAAAAATAGGACTGTAAGTTTTTTATTGAATTTTTCCAGTTTCTTTCTAGTATATTTTATGACTATTAAACACCTGAAATAAGAATTTATATTGGAAAAGTTGGCAGGATTCCATTTAGTCAAGTTAGGACTGTAAATAGAATAGTAACTACTTAAACCAGCATTATTTAAAAATATATATTATTTAAAAGTACTATAAACATACATGATGCATATATAGATATATATTTATATTATATATAATATATATTTATATACATAAGTATCATATATATATATATATATATATATATATACGATAGCAACTTTTTTGTTTTTCAGCAATAGATTCACTTGATTCATTATAATTTGTATATAATTAAGTATGGCATTCTAGAATTTCTATCCCTGGAAAGGAACTTAGCTATTATCTCTCAGTGCATTCATTTTACAAATGATAAATTAAGTGATGCACAATTCCAAGTAGTTAATGGCAAAGCTAGGAGAAAATTTAGGAAGCAGAGTTTGTAATCAAAACCCTCAGTGATTCCATTACTCAGTCATATTGTCATGTACTCAATAGTGCCTCCTTATTTGTTTTAAATATTAATAATTTTGTATTCAAATTTCTCTTTGCTTTTTTTCATTTATAACAATTCAGGTATGGTTACTCAGTGTTCTGAATTGTTCAGTTGGAATTTGAGAAATACTATCAGTATATTTTAAGAACTTGTATTTATTTGCTATGTGTCTATTTAAAATTAGTAGGTATTAGGCAATATTAGAGATGCTCCTACTTAAAAATAATTTACAAAAAAACTCAGAAACTAATTTTATTATCAGTTATTTATATTATTTCATGACATGTAAAAATAAATATTTTCAAGTTTAGAAGTACTAATAATACTTATGATGATTTTAAATATGGTTGTCTAGATGAATATTTTCTACTTCTGCTTTATGTTATGCTTCATCATAAATTAAAGAAGATGTTTCCTTATTTGGGTGTTACTAGGACATACTAGCATATTACATGTATTTTTAAAGCACTATTTGAGAGAGTGAATGAATTAAAAACGATTAAATAAAATGAGTAAAAAACTTGCATAAATATAGCACAATCTGAGATATCAGTGGAGATATTTCTGAAGTCCACAAAATTTATCGTGAAGATGAATAAACATAATATTTCATTTATGTCAGCACAATTTTTATTAGTGGATGTGTGTTTTTGAGTCATTTTTGTGATGTAATGTTGCTCATTTTTGTGGTGATAATGAGACATTCTAGATGAAGATTAACAGGTAGTTGGCAATAAGAAATTAAATGTCAAAATATGGATCAAAAGGGGATCAGCTTAAAACACTAAAAAGAAGATTTAAAATGAGATGCCCAAAAGGAGACTTGAAAGGCTCAAACATTAATCTGATCATCTAGGATACCTGTGTGACTGTCCAGGAAAGACCTGAGGAGAAGGCCCTGCTATTTCAAATATGGTTGACTTTGAGGATCTACCTAGCAAAAAGTGAGAGCTAAGACAGTGTTGTAAACTGTAGGAGTGTTGAAAGTGTTTGCCAAGGCACACAGAAAGTCTCTTGGGATACTAATTGGTTCCATTCAATTCCAAGATTTAAGGAAATCTCACTCTAATCATTTACTGATCATTAACCTAACCAGAGACCTCATTGGCCACAGGCAGCAAAGACTACTTACTTAGAGAATTACTTCAAGGAAATCACTAAATGAACAAGCACCAACAACTACAAAGAAAAATAACAGTAGGCCTGGCGGAAGGGGAGGATAGTATCTGATTTCAGGGTTGTTATTTAATATGTTCAACTTTCAACAAAAATACTTTCAACATCATGAGACAACAAAAAAAAATGAAAATTAAGTGCCATACAAAGTAAAAAGCAAAGCAAAACAGTTAAGAGGATCTGTCCTTGAAGAAGCACAGACATTGGACTTCCCCAACAAAGACATTAAATGAACAATTATGGTTATGTTAAAAAAAACGTAAAAAACATGACTAAATAACTAACAGCAAGTATGACAATGTTGTCTTACCAAATAGAAAGTAGCAATAAAGATATATACTACTAAAAATACTAAATTGTAGTACTGTAGTTGAAAAGTATAACATACAATGAAAAATTGACTAGAGAAGTTCAACAAAGAATTTGAGCTGACAAAATAAAGAATCAGTGTACTTGAAGACAAATCAGTTGATATTATCTACAATGAGAATAAGGGGGAAAAATACATTAAAAAAAGTTGACAGCCTCAGTGCGGGACACCACCGAACATTCCAAAATAGGCATAATAGGAGTCCCAGAAAAAGTAAGGGCAGAAAACATATTTAACAAAGTAATGACTGAACACTTCTCAAAGTTGATGAAACACCTTAATCTACATGGTCAAGACTCTCAACAACTTAATCTGATAAACTTGTAAAATCTACATCCAGATACATCATAATCAAACATCAAAAAACAAAGACTATGAGAGAATCTTCAAAACTTCAAGAGTGAAGTGACTGATAACATATAAAGGATTCTCATTTAGATTAATAGCTGATTCCCTACCATATACTGTGGAGGGCATGAAGTAGTAGGGTAACATATTCATAGTTCTGGGGGGTAGGGGGAAAGACTTCATCTAAAAATTTTATAGCCAGCAAAACTGACTCTCAAATGCAAAGGAAACAGCCAGGTGCAGTGGCATGCACTTATAGACCCAGCTAATTAGGAGGCTGAAGTCGGAAGATAGCTGGAGTCCAGGATTTCAATACCAGCTTTGGGCAACATAATAAGACACCACTCTTAAAACAAAGAAAAATTAAGACATTCCCATATTTAAAAGAATGTTCACTAATAAAGTTCCCTTTCAAGAAATATAAAGTCTCTCAGATTGAAATGGAAGATTACTGGACACTAACTCAAATAAAGAACACTGGTACAGTTATCTGGGAAAGGTAAATATAAAAGATTGTTCTTGTTTATAATATTTCTCTTTTTAGATTAAAAACAAAATTGCATAAAACAATAATTATAAAACTGTGTTGATAGGCTCATAGTATGTAAAGATGTAATTTATACAACAATAATAGCTACAAGGTGGGAGGAGGGATTAGAGCTACATAAGATAACATTTTTGTGTAGGATTGACATGAAGTTAGTATTAATTTGAAAAAGGTTGTAATAAAGTAATAATAATTCTAAGAGTAACCACTAACGAAACCTATAAGGCTATAGTAAAAACATAAGATAAGTCAAATTTTAAAATAGTAAATATCTATTCAACTCAAAAAAGGCAGTAATGGAAGAATAACGTAATATTAATACAAAGGCAGAAAACGTAGAAAACAAATAGCAAAATAATAAATAAAAACAACTCAAATTTCCAGAAACTGATAGATAAACTGCGGCATGTCCATAAAAGGGAATGTTACTTGAAAAGAGGAATGAAGTACTAACACATGGTACAACGTGCATCAATCTTGAAGACATTATGATAAATGAAAGAAGCCAATTGAAAAAGGCCACATGTTGTATGGTTGAATTTAGGTGAAATGCCCAATTTTTACAAGGGGCCAGGAAAAGGGAAGGATAGAGAGTGACTGCCACTGGTTGCAGGGTAACTTTTAGGTGTCATGAAATTTTTCTGCAATTAGTAGTGATGGTTGGACAAGGCTGTGGCTGTACTAAGCCCACTGTATTGTAAATTTTAAAAGAATGGATTTTATATGTGAATTAATTAAATCCATTATAATTGATTTTATATGTGAACGGTGTGAACAGCTCAATAACTGTTATTTTTAAAGAAGAGAAATGTAAGCATAGAAATATAAATTTTTGAACCTTAAAAATAAATCCTAATTCTAAGGGTGAGAATGAACACAGTTTTAGACAGAAGAAAGAATGATACAAATAAAAATAAGTGCCAACCACACCACAGGTAGTAACCACAGTATTTACTAAGAAATTGCCTGCTAGGATTAAATATCTTAATTCTTATTAAATAACTTATACTCAATTCTAATTAACTAATTAACTTATTCCTTTCTTGGCACTTCTTACACTATTTGATTATATCTTTTCAAGTTATTAATTTTATTCCACCTTATGCTAGAGTTTAAATATTCTTAACCACTAATTTGCACTCTCCAAAGTGCAAAGATTATATCAAATATGTGTTTCTACACCCACAGGTTCAATATTTTGTGTATAATACTTTCTCAATAAGTATCTGTTAATAAAAAAATGAATATTGTGGTATAAATGTAGAATGAATTATTTCCACATTCTTTAATTTTTAAAGATTTTTGTAATTTAATTTCCATATTTTTATCAAGTTCTAAATAATCCCTGTTGATAAGATGCAAAGAAAGCTAGCATGACTTTTAAGTTATTAAATATGGAGTCGGGAGTTTTATGAATCAGATTTATGTGCTCAAACTTACAGGGAATTGAATGCTCAAGTTAAATGGCTATCAGCCCAGATATTACTCTAGGCCTGAGTGTAATTCTGAATTAATATGGTCATGACACACAGATTTATATTAAATTAGTTTCATGATGAAATAAAGTCCAGATGGAAGTAGCCACATTACATCAAGAGCAGAATATTTGGATTTTTCTCTTGTTTGCAGTTTCCAAAAGCTCTTGAAATTAAAACTCTTTAGGTAATTCTATTATTAAATATTACTAATGTTTTGATTTTATTGAAATCATACAAATTTATTGATAGGTGATGTTTAATGTATCCTTAGGAACACTTTTTTTTTTCTTAATATAAATGCATCAAACTCATGCTTTTTTTATTTTTAATCTGGATTTTTCTGGTGTCTTCATTTCTCATTCATCTTTGTAGGTAGGGATTTCTTTTGATACTAATTTTTCTAACAGAACATAATAGTTGGATCTATATATTTACTCTAAAAATTTCATATAAATTTCCTAACAATAATTCCTTTTAAGCTTATTGAGCTTTTTACTTATTTAGTATTACTATTACATTACTGTCTTTATATATGCACAGTTTTTAAAATGTGTTGACTTTTAAAATTAGCCTTTTGCTCACATTTTATTTGTTCTTTACCATGCAGTATAAATTACCAGTGGAGTAAAATTGAGTTTTGAAAAATGAATGAATGTAGTATAGATTTCCTGAGCCAGAAGATAACATAGAATAACAGCCTAATATTTACAGCCGATTTGTAAAATAGGTGTTTCTCTTTCAATCCTATAAGACTCTTCTTAACATTGAAATATAAGTAGGTCATTTTTCTTCTTCAAATATTTAAAAATAAACCACATCTCGCTTTGGTATATGTGTACTTTAATATGCTAACTGAATCTGTGTCTGTTTGTTTTTGTTTTTTTTTTTTTCCCAGGGGGACATTCAGCAGTTTTTGATCACAGGTGATCCCAAGGCAGCATATGACTACTGTGAGCATTATAGTCCAGACTGTGACTCTTCAGCACCCAAGGCTGCTCAAGCTCAGGAACCTCAGATAGATGAGGTGAGGAGCACAAGACCAGAGAAGGTCTTCGTATTTCAGTGATATGGACATCGCAGTGCAGTTTTTGAACTTATACTTATTTATTCCATTTTAATTAAGCTATGCTTTGTATTTTAATTGTGTTGTAATATTTCCAGGAAAAAGTGACTTGAATATATTTGGTACTTGTTTTCTTGCTGTTTAAGCATTTGATTACATAAATTTATTAGCAATAATGGTGCTTCACTTGTATACTGTGTATATGC
Organism: Homo sapiens; assembly: GCF_000001405.40. Lineage (NCBI taxonomy): Eukaryota > Metazoa > Chordata > Mammalia > Primates > Hominidae > Homo > Homo sapiens. The sequence goes on along the minus strand of NC_000001.11, from coordinate 103,030,870 downwards.
ACATATTCCATTTTGGAGGGGGTGAGAAGAAGATAATATGTAATAGCGATATTTCGACCATTAGCATTTAAATAATTAACAGCCTCAAGATAGAATAACATATTTTCTGGTGTACATGCCATCTCCCTAGGCCTTTGGCAATGCATACAAATGAGAAAGTGACATTAGAACTATCTTAAAGTTTTCAGGCTGTGTTGAACAATTAGAGGGTTTTTAAAAAAAATTTTCTCATAGGAAAATTTAAAAGCATGTGAAATGGAAGGAATTTAAGCCTCAGTTGGGAGCAAAACTATATTTTTGGATTTTTTTTTTTTGGATTTTGAATTTTTAAGACTTAGAGTTTTAAAAAGGAAGTAGAAATTTGAAAATATCAAAACTGTTCTAAAAATGAATCAGGTAGTATTTTTCTTCCCTTTTAAATGTACTATTAGGTGCCACCATTTGAGTTTTACTGTTTACAATGGGTCAAAATCTTTTATCTTAATTGTTAGTTCTGCATGTGAATTCAGGTCGGATTTTTCACTTTCAATGCTAGAAGTATGTTTTTGACACTACTTTACTTTTTAAGGTTTAATAATGAATTCTGTTGCACTGATATTTTCCATGACTTAATGTTAGTTTTTGTTTAAAAAACAGGGTAAAATTTTAAGAACCTAACAGGAAGGCAAATATGAGAGTGTAAAGATAAATTACTGGGATATTTTATTTACCTGTTTCACAGTTATCATGTACTTCATTCTTTTTATTCTCTCATGATTCACCAAATATGTTTTCTGTGAATTCTGAAGTGATAGATAAAATAATTATCAGGTTTAGTGTTTTTATATCTAAGAGGTTATGTGCTGACTTAATATTAAAATTTATAGCATTTACTGTATATTTTCAAGGTTGATGAGATCTGTTTTGCTCCTTTATAAAGAAAGATAAGGCATATTATTCTTTTTAGCAACAGATATGGCTCTGATTTTTGGAAGAAGGGAGGTTTGCATTCTTAATATATCACTTTGAGGTGTTTTGTTCCCATGTTGTAATGCTATTATGTCAGGTAAGCTGTTATTTTATCAAGGTAATTTGTATCCATCTTCTTAAGTTCATTTAAAAATGAACTTGCCATTTACTATTTTAGTTGTTGACATGTATATTTAACATTCTGTTGAGATGTCAAACTTGGTTTTACTAGAAGCATTTGATGAGAAAAACAGCACATTGTTACAGTAGAAACTGCATGACAATCTTGTTGGGTAATGCAATAATATATAGCATTTTTACCTTTTTTTAGATTGAGTAAGTCATAATGAAAAAGTTTTTTCTTTAAGAAAGAATTAGCTTTCCCTTTTTTCTCTAACTCTAAATTATGTTGATCCTTCAATAATAAGATAAGCATCTATACCAGCATCAAAAACTACTTAATTGAATTAGTAAGTAGTGCTTATATTAATTTTAAACTATATCTATTAATATGTCATTATATGATAACGCATATAAATAATTCATCTTCAGAAGTTCTACCTATATAAATTAATAATGCAATGTTGGTTGCCAATGAATAAAGAACATAAAGTGCAATATGGAGCATCAGCCATACATGTACTTTATATTACTTACTTGTTCACTAATAAACTTCTGGCATTGCATGTTTATTATTCTAATTTGGATTAATAAATATGTCAATTTATTTTATAAGTCAACCGATATGCTTTTTTCAGCTTATAATTTTGTCTACTTAGTATCCTCTAAGTAGCATATCCTAATCTATTCTTAAGATTCACATTGTTATATGCTTGACATAACTTTACAACCATCACCATGGAGAAAGAGATCTATAATGTAGACAGATTTTAATTTAATCATAATATCATCACATTTTAATTTTATTTGAACCTACACAGTGCCATTTAAATAGGTGACAAGCTAATATTAAAATTATGATGGAGTTGGGATTTTCTTATCAAGTGAAATTATCTTCCTATCTTATAAAAAATTAGATGTTAAATCTATATGATTCCTTTTGATATTCTTTCTTAAAAAAGGATGAAAACAGAAAATGAAGTGACAATCTTTTATAAAGGAATTTACAAAACAATTAGCTTTTCAAAATATATTATCTTTTCACTTAATATGTATCATACATTCATTAGATGCACAGGTTTTTACTGATGTCACCAGTTTTCTTACAAATTATGTAAGAACAGACATTATGACATTTCTGGAAGATCCTTTCTCCTAACCTACTCTAATTTCTGTTAGAATACCGACAAAGTTGAAATTATTCCATTACTGCCTGTCTTTTTGCATATATTTGTCTGATTGATTATAACTAGTTCTTTTTTCTCTACTTGTCTCAAGCCATCCTTAGAATTCCATAATGAGGGGAGAGAATTATCTCCAAAAATATGTTATGAGGCTTTACGTAGCAATGTATATATATTGCGAATATACTAAGCAATGTCTTGAGTATATTCATGACCACCACACGGAGGAAGCTGTGCAGATAAAGGAGAACCAGGAGTGAATAAGCTCTAAAAGAAAGATGTGCCGGCTGGGCGCAGTGACTCACGCCTGTAATCCCAACAATTTGGGAGGCCGAAGCGGGCGGATCACCTGAGGTCAGGAGTTCAAGAGCAGCCTGGCCAACTTGGTGAAACCCTCTCTCTACTAAAAATGTTTAAAAAATTAGCCGGGCATGGTGTCAGGCGCCTGTAATCCTAGCTACTCAGGAGGCTGAAGCAAGAGAATCGCTTGAACCCGGGAGGTGGAGGTTGCAGTGAGCCGAGATCATGCCACTTGCACTCCAGCCTGGGCGACAGAGCGCGACTCCATCTCAAAAACAAAACAAAACAAAACAAAAAACAAACAAACAAAAAACAGAAAGATGTGCTGTAGTGTCTAGGGCAGTTAACATGTTATTTCCTCCATTATTTCAAAACCAGCCTGGTTAGTCAACATTTGGAGAGTTTAAATAAAGGACAGAATTATGAAAGTTAGAAGATAATTTGTCCTATAAGAGAAAAAATGATATAAAATTGACTACTTTGGTACAGGTCTGTATATATCCTTGAATAGCAGATTTCAATTAAAATACGTTTAAGTTGTCCAGGTTTAAAATTGGCCCTTTATGCATTTACTTATTGTTTTTGTAATTCATAACTCCTCTTAAGCTACTAGAGCTTATTATTAGAAGGCACTGTGATCACAATTTTCTAAAACATTTGTGGTCAACAGTTCTTTTGCTGGAAGATTAAAAGGGAATGGTTAAAATGCAAAGAGAGATCCAGTTGAGACATAATTGGAATCGTATCAAATACACTACTTAAGGAATTATGTGTAGATTGCCCCTGGAAAATATATATTAAGTATACATATTATATGTATTATCATATATGTTTGCCCTAGGCAATTATATATAAATTGCCCCGGCATGCATGCATATATATATATATATATATATATATATATATATATATATATATATATTAGAGTTTTAACTTGTTGAGTTTACTGCTTTTTATGCTACATATGACTTAGTGTATTTAGTTATTTTTATTAAAAACTGAATTTAACTTATGTTTAATAATATCTATATCTTGATTGAAAATTAAAATTTTTATAAAGATATTGAGCTTTGGATTTGAGCACACTATTTTGCTCATTATTTAATATGTACAATTGTCTTTTAACTCCCTCTATTAAGAAACATATCTCTCCTTAATTAAAATCTTTTAATACAGAAGAAATTAGTATAAAATACTATTTCCAGTGTGAATTTATTATAAGTATTTTAAGAAAGCTAAGTGTTATGCCTTTTTTAATAGAGAAAAAGGCAGTGATTTTAAATATTAAAATTATGTATTAATTATAAGCACATCTAATTTTGAATCTTTTAATGTCTCACAAGGATTTTGTGCTCTTTTTGATCTTAGGAAAGTCTAAAGGAAATTAGGAATTTCTTAATACATTTTAGATTTTATTTTCCCATTGGTTACAGTATTTTAATACAGTATATACTTATTTCATATTCTTTGTATTCCCTTTCCCTCCTCCCCTCTTTCCCGTCTCTCAATAGATATGAAAATCCTTTCATACTTAGGAAGACTACTCTCTACATTTTTATTTTTAGATATGTAGCTTAATTTAAAATTCCCATTGAAATTACTGTAGCGCTCTTATAGAGAAACATTGCATAGCAATTTTTACAAATCAAAATTAATGAATATTTGACATCTATGTCCAAGTACATAATTACTGTGTTTCAATTAACATTCCATAATTAAGAGTTTGAATTATTATTCCAAATTTTTTGTTTTCTCGTGATACTAACTACTATTCTGCTCATAGGAAATGTGCTTTGTCACTCCTATGTTATTATACTCTGTATAAGACAGTATAATACTTCTATGTAATACAAAAATAACTCATCAATAACATTAATTTCTTATCTCTTAACATTTACACTATGTAAAAGTTAAGATGGTTCTCACTTTGTGAATAGTATTTTGCCACTAACACAATTGCCTGATATTTTTTCCTTTGCAATGTAGTATGCACCAGAGGATATAATCGAATATGACTATGAGTATGGGGAAGCAGAGTATAAAGAGGCTGAAAGTGTAACAGAGGGACCCACTGTAACTGAGGAGACAATAGCACAGACGGAGGTAAAAACAAAGCAGTGCCTGTGTATGTGGTGTCCTGCTGTTCGTCATCCTGTGGTTCCTTATGTTGACTGTTCCTCAAACTTACCATAAACCTTTCATTCATCTTATTTCTCTGAACCAATAACTGTGATTTTTATTTGACAGTAGCCGTTTTGAAGAATGATGTCCATTTCACTTTTGCTTAGCCTTCCTTTCATCTGTGCTCTATATTTCCCTCCTCGTTTATTTATGTTTTCCATTCCATCTTTCACCACATTTTACAGAAAAAGAAATCCAATTTCAAAAAGAAGATGAGGACAGTGGCTACTAAATCAAAGGAAAAATCCAAAAAGTTTACACCCCCCAAATCTGAAAAATTTTCATCCAAGAAGAAGAAAAGTTATCAAGCATCAGCAAAAGCCAAACTAGGGGTAAAGGTAGCGAAGAAAAAGCAATCAAGATCTATCCTAGATAAGCTGGAAGATCTCTGATCATGAATCATAGTCTTAACCCAACTAGATAAATACTCACTTGGCTAATACTATAACCCAATTAAATCATGATTTCCATACATTTGGGATCACCTTACATGTTTACTAATTCTCTTCTGAATTTACCATTAGGCAAACATCGTTGATGATTTTCAAGAATACAACTATGGAACAATGGAAAGTTACCAGACAGAAGCTCCTAGGCATGTTTCTGGGACAAATGAGGTAATACGTATAGACAGTATTAAATCACAGTCCCACTTTTTAAATATGTAATTTATTTTGATATACTTCACTCTGGAAGAATCTATAATTTCTCAAACATCTGATGTTTTTATTCTTTTACTAAAGTAAGAGAAACAATAGCAATGGTTCACTATTACTAAAAGCAGTTCATCTGAAATCAATGCCAATTCAGGTTTTGCGTGACTCTTTGCTTCATGCAGATGCTAAATTGATCAAACTGAATTGGCCGCTATTATTTTCTTAATTGCTCCTGGAATTGAGCAAGCTTTTCAACATGTTGTGACTAAGGGTATTCACAACATGTTTCTTCTGTGAGAAGAATCCTCTAAAGTGAAAATTGTATCATCGAAGGATACAATTAGAATTTTACTCCCTCTGATGAATAATCATGCATTTTATGACAGCAAGCATTTTGAGAAAATGTAGTCTTAGTGGACTTAAATAACTATTTACATTTTCAAACTTGTTAGGAATGTAATATTAATTCTTATTAAACTAATATATCTTAATCTTTCCATTATTTTCTATGAAAATATTTAAGTACATGTAGGTAAAAATTAATCTTCCTGAAATTCATATTTCACATGCATTCTGATCATGAAGAATACAACATACAATTCAGTTTAACTTTGTTAAATATCTGGTATACATTTTGGTATAATTTTATCAGGAAATGAATATAAGAAATGTAATTTAGTTTTAAGAAAATTTATGTAAAATGTCTCTCAATTAGGCAAATAGATTTATGTGAAAACACAAAATTGTGAATAATAAATGTTTAGGGTGAGAATGGATTTTAACTTTCTTTTAGATGAAATTAATAATTTTCAAAAAAAATGAGTATTTTGATTCAAGATGTCCATTTACCTAACCAAATTCATCCAGCATTTTAGTTCAGAGCTATGATTATAGCAATATTCTCACCATAGATATTATGCAGTCTCTGTAGACAGCATATACTCCTTATCTAAGAATACAAAAAAAATTACGGTTATTGGACATTTAATTTTAGTGAAAAATTACTCATCATTTATCTACATATTTTCATTCACAAGATTGTGTAATACTATTATCTAATATTACTCTATCATCTAGATTTACTATGGAATAGAAAATGAGTTACTTAAAAATGAAATTTACAAATTGGCAAGATAAGCCTAGGCAATACAATAAGATCCTGTCTTTACAAATAAATCAATCAATGAATAAGCTGGGCATGCTGGTGCATGCCTGTAGTCCCAGCTACACAGGAGGCTGAGGCAGGATGATCATGTAAGCCCAGGAGTCCCAGGCTGCAGTGAGGTATGATTGTACCACTCAACTCCAGCCTGGGTGACAGATTGAGACCCCATCTCAAAAAATAAAAAGTAGCAAGATAAGTTATTTAATTTGAGCCTCATCATGATCATAATAAAACCAAATATTCACATGATAAGTCGGATTCAGGTTTATTCTACTAGTAAGGAATTATGAGAAAAAAAGGTATCAGTTTTTGTCTATGTCTCTGAGGAAGTATTATTGACATAATTCTTACTTGTAAGTATTAATTAATATTTATTCCTTACTCTTCTTGAGAATTGTACAGTGATATTTTATATTTCATTGTCCTAAATGTTGCTAGCTATCATTTATTTTATTTGCTTTAAAGAACTCTTTGGTGTAATACTACTTCCCTACATATGAGATACTCTACATAATCATTGTAATGATACATCTCTATTTATACTGATATTGGCATATTATTATTTTATTTATGGGATGAGACTCAAACTTATATGGCTTATCCTTTTAGCAAATGTATTTCATAATGATGTTCTGTAAGATTTAAAAATTAGGCAAAGCTGCCAGGGTGTGGAGGCTCGCACATGTAATCCCAACACTTTGGGAGACCAAGGCGGGTGGATCACCTCAGGTCGGGAGTTCGAGACCAGCCTGATCAACATGGAGAAAACCCGTCTCTACCAAATATACAAAATTACCCAGGCATGGTGGTGCATGCCTGTAATCCTAGCTACTCGGGAGGCTGAGGCAGGAGAATCACTTGAACCCAGGAGGTGGAGGTTGCTGTGAACCAAGATTGCGCCCTTGCACAACAAGAGTGAAACTCCATCCATCTCAAAAAAAAAAAAGAAAGAAAAAAACATTAAGCAAAGCTTTAACTCCATACCTTTTTTATTGTTCAAATCTTAAACTGTGAAGTAAATATGAAATTGACTAACATGTTTTTTCCAATGGAACAAGCAAATACACATGTTAATTCCATGTGAATATTTGCAGTTTATTGGAGAAAGTGCTTTGAAAGCAATATCTCTTTGTACATAGCAATGTACAAATATATTTCTTTCAATGATACTGAAAGCCTACTTTCCAGGTGTTTAGAGTTGCTTGAGTAGTAACAAAATCGCATCCCATCACACGCTATCAAATTGTAATTTAAATGCTTACCTTGCTTTACTAACAATAAACTTCATGTTCCTCAATTCCTTGCAATTTAAATTAATAGCCAAATCCAGTTGAAGAAATATTTACTGAAGAATATCTAACGGGAGAGGATTATGATTCCCAGAGGAAAAATTCTGAGGATACACTATATGAAAACAAAGAAATAGACGGCAGGGATTCTGATCTTCTGGTAGATGGAGATTTAGGCGAATATGATTTTTATGAATATAAAGAATATGAAGATAAACCAACAAGCCCCCCTAATGAAGAATTTGGTCCAGGTGTACCAGCAGAAACTGATATTACAGAAACAAGCGTAAGTTGATACTATGCACTGTGTCATTGTATGTCTTATTTATGGGATATTTTTATGTCCATGTCCATCTTAATGTCTTTTCAGGTTTAAAATGCAGGTTGAATTTTTATGTAAATTATGAATGCCTATTACCACTAGGACACCTTGTTAGATTCTTTCACATGGGAATCTTCAGCAGTTGTATCTTTGGCCATACTTTTGGAGTCATTATTTGAAAGTAAAATCTTGAATAGAATTGCATCAGAAATTTTGTCATTGATAAGATTAAACCATAGTTGTTTTTATTCCAAGTAGCAAGTCTGATTTTTTATTTCTGATTTTTAGACTATTTTTTAAATTTAATTTGATGACATTTCTTAATGCCTGGGAATAATAACTGACATCTATAGATGTCATTATAAAACATGTTTATAAGAGGCAATCGTTCAATCTCATTTTAAGATTCAGTATTAATGCTTCTTATGCCTCTCTTTTAATTTTTGCCATATTTAAGCCTTCAATAGGTCTTCATATTTAAAAATATATTTTAATAGGTTGTTTTAAATGTGTTTAGTTTACTAAATTATCTTTTTAAAAACAAATGGCCGGCCGGGTGCTTTGGTTCACGCCTGTAATCCTAGCACTTTGGGAGGCAGAGGCGGGCGGATTACCTGAGCTCAGGCATTCTAAACCAGCTTGGGCAACACGGCGAAAACCGATCTCTACTAAAAATACAAAAAAAAAAAAAATTAGCTAGGTGTGGTGGCGGGCGCCTGTAGTCTCAGCTACTCGGGAGGCTGAGGCAGGAGAATGGCGTGAACCCGGCAGGCGAGCTTGCAGTGAGCGGAGATCGAGCCACTGCACTCTAACCTGGGCAACAGAGGGAGACTCCGTCTTCAAAAAAGAAAGAAAGAAAAAAAAAAAGAAGAAAAGAAAGAAAGAAAGAAATGGTCTTACAGACATTTAGGCTGTTTTGAATATTTCATTCAACAGATAAATGGCCATGGTGCATATGGAGAGAAAGGACAGAAAGGAGAACCAGCAGTGGTTGAGCCTGTAAGTAGTAGTGTGAATACACTTTAAAGGTTGGTAAAATTGCTTATGAGCCACGATTATGTTAAATTATTATGTATGTTCGTGTTTTACCAATGATAATCTTGATGTCCAGATGTTTGCAATTCACCACAAATAAGTAAGTTAATAAGGTCTTGTCTAGAAAGGAGAATTTCAATAAAACAAAACATTATAGAGCTGCAGAAATTCAGAATTTGAAAGTAGCTGAAATTTGTCTTGTCTAATTCTCTCATTTTAAAACTAAAGAACCAGAGATCTAAAGGACTTAAGTAATTTTCCTGAGGTATCAAATGTTTGATCAATGAGATATAATAGGACTTTTAGCTTTCCTACTTTCCAATCCAATGATATTTTTCTCTAATCTCTATGACTTCACATTATTTGAAATATATAACATATATTTGTTACATATCCAAATTGTGTCATATGATATTTTTTACTTCCTTTTCATCTACAGAAGAATCTCTAATTCACTCCAAATTAATCTTTTAAAATTTATATCAATATTATTACTAATAATATTGCTAAGAAACAGATTCTTACTTGGAAGCGGTTTTGCCATTGTTTCCTGCTAATAAACAATTCAGAAAAACTAATGTATTAGAACTGAAGGTAGAACAACACGAAAATCATTTCAGAAATTGTAAGGACATAAAAATTTCAAAAAAAAACAGAGAAAGAAAAATGATAAAGAATAAAAAGATAGTTGTAGATATGCAGCGTTATTTCTGAGGGCTCTGTTCTGTTCCATTGACAGAACAGAGCCCTCAGAAATAACGCTGCATATCTACAACTATCTGACCTTTGACAAACCTGACAAAAACAAGCAATGGGGAAAGGATTCCCTATTTAATAAATGGTGCTGGGAAAACTGGCTAGCCATATATAGAAAGCTGAAACTGGATCCCTTCCTTACACCTTATACAAAAATCAATTCAAGATGGATTAAAGACTTAAACGTTAGACCTAAAACCATAAAAACCCTAGAAGAAAACCTAGGCATTACCATTCAGGACATAGGCATGGGCAAGGACTTCATGTCTAAAACACCAAAAGCAATGGCAACAAAAGACAAAATTGACAAATGGGATCTAATTAAACTAAAGAGCTTCTGCACAGCAAAAGAAACTACCATCAGAGTGAACAGGCAACCTACAAAATGGGAGAAAATTTTCGCAACCTACTCATCTGACAAAGGGCTAATATCCAGAATCTACAATGAACTCAAACAAATTTACAAGAAAAAAACAAACAACCCCATCAAAAAGTGGGCGAAGGACATGAACAGACACTTCTCAAAAGAAGACATCTATGCAGCCAAAAAACACATGAAAAAATGCTCATCATCACTGGCCATCAGAGAAATGCAAATCAAAACCACAATGAGATACCATCTCACACCAGTTAGAATGGCAATCATTAAAAAGTCAGGAAACAACAGGTGCTGGAGAGGATGTGGAGAAATAGGAACACTTTTACACTGTTGGTGGGACTGTAAACTATTTCAACCATTGTGGAAGTCAGTGTGGCAATTCCTCAGGGATCTAAAACTAGAAATACCATTTGACCCACCCATCCCATTACTGAGTATATACCCAAAGGACTATAAATCATGCTGCTATAAAGATACATGCACATGTATGTTTATTGCGGCATTATTCACAATAGCAAAGACTTGGAACCAACCCAAATGTCCAACAAGGATAGACTGGATTAAGAAAATGTGGCACATATACACCATGGAATACTATGCAGCCATAAAAAATGATGAGTTCATGTCCTTTGTAGGGACATGGATGAAATTGGAAACCATCATTCTCGGTAAACTATCACAAGAACAAAAAACCAAACACTGCGTATTCTCACTCATAGGTGGGAATTGAACAATGAGATCACATGGACACAGGAAGGGGAACATCACACTCTGGGGACTGTTGTGGGGTGGGGGGAGGGGGGAGGGATAGCATTGGGAGATATACCTAATGCTAGATGACGAGTTAGTGGATGCAGCACACCAACATGGCACATGTATACATATGTAACTAACCTGCACATTGTGCACATGTACCCTAAAACTTAAAGTATAATAATAAAAAAAAGGAATAAAAAGAGACAATTTTAAGGACCTTGTTGGCCATCTACTCATTACTCCAAAATCATGCAACATGCTCACAAAAAGTGTTGAAAATATTTTTTTCAGAATGAATCAGTCCTTATTATAAAAAGTTTTAACCCCCTTTTTAAATGACATTATAGCTTTTCAGCAGTCCAAAGATGGAGTGGAATCATAAATGTTTTAGAACTGAGTTCTTATTCTGAATAGCTCTTTATTCCTTTGCTTATAAAGAGCTTATATCATATTTATTCATTTTCCTTTTGCCTGGATTTTTCTGTAATTTCCCTGAATTAAAGTGCTTATTTTCCATTCTTTCATTTACACAGCAAATATTTACTAAGTTTCTGTTTTATGCCAGGTATTATTCTGTGGGCTACAAACAAACGAAAAACAAAAAATAAAAAACCTTGGTAGATTGTTTTGTCTGTACTCTTCCTGGGAGCACTTAGCATATTCTCCTTTGTAATATTATTCATCTAAATATTCATTTCCACTCCACTTAATTCACACATTCTCTGAGGGCACAGTCTATATCTTCTATAATTTTGAATTTCTTTCCTTCCCTGTGCAAAAACATTTGTAATTAATTTAAGTGGTATGAATAGATAATTCACTATTTAATATGCAATGATATAGTGTTCTCTTATATTCATGTAATTAAGAGGTTGGGGGTTATATTTCCCTGGTAGAGATGTTCTCTTTTCCTGTTATAGGGTATGCTTGTCGAAGGACCACCAGGACCAGCAGGACCTGCAGTATGTAAATGTTTTAAGATTATTTTTGTCTATTTAAAGTAATCATATATAAGATTTCTATTAATTACTGAATGAGAACATTTTAGACTAATTAGAATATTGAATTATAGAGAAAAACATTTGTTCAGAGGAGCTGGTGCCTTTGAACTGCCTTCTGATTTGTCTATCCAAGTAATACTCTTTAAATTTTGTTTTAAATATTTTTGTGGCTTAGATACCTCTGCATCTTCTAAACTCATTTTCGTCTTTCTACTGAAATATATGAAAGTAAAGAAAAGTCATCCTTATTTTCATTGCAGAGGTATAATTGTATCTTAACAAATGGAATCTCAACTTCTAGGTAGACTGCAGCTGCCTTATCTATACCTCTGTGTGGAGTAATTATCAGATTCCATTGTGGTATCCTGATAAGGCTGATGTTACTCAGTGTGTTTATTCTCAGGTGATTGCACTGATAAGACCTTGTAATAAATCCTCTGTCTTTTGTGGAATTAATTAAACTCTTGTCGTCTAAAATAATATATGATACTGATGCATTTAAATATGTTTACCCATAAAAGGAAACATAATTGCCTCTAACCTAAATGATTTCTACATGTTCAACTTGGCTATCAAATTTTTGAGATCTAATTTTATGAGTGTTCCATTTCTTCAGTTAGAACTGGGACCAAATATGACCTTAGAGACTTTACATTGGCATATTCTTCTTTCCTGTTTTTCCTTGAAATGTTTGCCTCCACCCTGAGAGCAGCTGAACTAGCTACAAATTGGTTTCTATATGTTGTCTTTTCACAGGAAGATAAATAGGGCAACTGTTTAGAACTCTAGTGTATATTTATAAAATATAAACGAACTCTTCGATAGGACTAGAGTGAATTCATCTAAATATTAATGAGATTAGGAATCTGATTAAGATATGGTGTGTTTCTCTATAGGGTATTATGGGTCCTCCAGGTCTACAAGGCCCCACTGGACCCCCTGGTGACCCTGGCGATAGGGTAAGTGAATGGACATGATATCTCATTACAAATGCATGTCATACAGACTTAAATAATTAAAATGTATTCTACAAGTATAACATGTTATCTTACTGCGTGTGGGAGGGGTAAAGGCAGCATGAATTCAGTGCTGCACAACATTTTAGTTAACATTTTAAATATTATTTTGAAGTGAGGAAAACAATGTGCATTTATCTATGGCATAATTAGTAAGAAAACTTTTATTTCACCCAACATCCATATTGATATGAACTCATTACATTAGGGATTCTGGTCTTCAAATTTGAATTCCAGTCATATTTTCCAGATATTTCCATTTATATTTATTTGGATGCTGACAGAATAAGTTAATAAATCTAAATTCTACTTTGAGGATCAAACCCTGGGTTACATGCTGAAATATCTCATTTGTGTTAAGTCTCTCCAAACTCTTCTCATAAAATAACCTTCCCTTTTTTCCCCACATCCTTGAGTAGCCAATAACTTTGTACTTTCTTTCTTTTGTTCTTTAGAGGATCAGAGATGCAAATAACTTATACTTTTCATATAATTACAATTTAAATAATGTAAAAACTTTTTAATTTAAATTTAATGAAGGAAGATTTTTAACTATTTCAGAAATTCTGGACTGAGTAACAGCTATTTAAGGTCAGAGGACATAAGAAGTGTATTATGCAAACATTATGAAACTTTTTATTTAAAATAAAGTTCATAAAGTTAGTTCTTACATGCTCTGCTTACTTAATTTGATATGTCCAGTTTCTTGGAGACATTTATGTGTAATAGTCATTTTAGTTAATATTTTTAAATCCCACCATATTTTCATAAGACCTTTTTATATTCTGTAATTTACTCACCTTAAACTCTATATCAGGTGAGAAATTCATCTCTTTACACTGTGCCTTATAAATAGAGACATATAAATGATCTAAAAATGTAGGAAATATTTTAGTAATAGGAAATTATACCATTCAAGCTAGATTTGTTAGGATTTTAAAAAATTATTTCTTTATAGAAGCCATTATTTGAACTTACTTTAACAGTTCCTTGAAACTTGTACAGAATCTATTGAAATAATATTCTAAATAAAATATAATTTTGCCAATCTAGAATCAATGTTAACACTTTCCTAGGAGTTAACTTTTTATGAGAAATTCACATTTGAAAAGTGCTGCTGCATTTTTTTATATATTGGTTGGGCGCTTTGAGTTATAGCATTTTGTATCTAGTTATTTATTAATTTTTGAATTTACTTGCTTCCCTGACAAGTATGACATGGCTATGTAGAAATGTCTCCTTATATTGAAAGCTTATGGACATATACCTTATATCTATGAGTCACATACTTATCAACAGATGTATATATTACATATTTAATATTTTCTATATTCATATCCATATCTTGGATTTCTGGACAGCATAGTCACACCTAAACTTCTAAATGTACATGTATGTATGCATGCACACATACATACACTGAGTATATTTAATCAGTAAACATTTAAAATAAATTAGTGATTATGATTAACATTAACATGCTAAAATTAGTCATTATCTATGTTAAAAAGTATCTCTCTTGAAGATAGTATCTATTGTCTATTAAAATATAGTATGTAGTTAAGTATTCTACAAAATAAATACTATTTATGTATCTGTTAAAGAATACTAAAATATACCTTAAACCTAGTAATTTTTAAATAAAACTTTCATTATTTACTTAAATCTGTTTTTATCTAACTGTAAGAACCAGGCTTGTACTACTTGTTTTTCTCACATTACTTTCCCTTAAAATATATGTGAACTCTTCATCTTACACAGTTTTAGGCTGTGAACAAAGTTTGAGCAAAATTTATAGCTTAATTGGATTATATATTAATAACCGAACATTATTAAAATCATCTAAAACTAGTGCAACAGAATAGAATTCTGTCTAGGTATACTTACTAAAAACAGACTAAATAAGGTGGAAAGGGCAAATGCAAATTAGATAAAGTAGACTTACGTTATAAGTTATTCTAGTTCTAGTAAATATTATTTTGATATTTATTTATTTTGGTTATTTCATTTATTTTTCTAGGGCCCCCCAGGACGTCCTGGCTTACCAGGGGCTGATGGTCTACCTGGTCCTCCTGGTACTATGTTGATGTTACCGGTATGTTCTTTTTTATGTTATAGAGATGACTTGATATCTTGTCATCTTTTTTCTGAAGTTTATTGTTGAACCATATTGAAGAGCAATCAACTAAAAACCATTGTACAAGGTAGAAATACTTGAAATTAAGCAGCATTTGGAAATTCAGGGAAATTTTACAAAACAAAATTATGGTATCAATCTCTGCATTAAAACTAAGAATTCATTATTTGATTACACTCTTAGCAACAGAGTTTTTGACAATATTTCCAATTGTGGTTTATCCTGAGTCACAGTATTAACATGTTTTTCATATGTTATTTAACATAACATTAATATACTATTTACCATCTATTATCTATATAGTCATAAATAGTATTTATTTGTAGTGTTATTATTCATTGCTCAAAAATTATTTGCTTTACTGTAAGATTCCTTTGTAAAGTTTTTGTTGCCCTGGTGTTTTGGGAAAAAAATGCATATTTTATTTATCAATTTCAATGTAATGAACAAAGTTTCAAGAAATAATTACTTAGAATGAAAAATTGACTCCTACTGCATTTTGAGTTAAAATGGAGCAAATTTTATAGAGGAATATTACAGAAGATCTGTTTTATAACATAAGTACTTAAGAATGGGTGAACAAAATAAATAAATCACAAGGAAAATTTCCTGTGTATTAATGGATATTCCAAAAATTTTGACAAACAAAATAGAGATTGAGCTGTAACTGTCACTGAACTTGGTATATTTGGAATTTTATACAAATGAATCAATAAAATGGGTAACATTTGTGCTTAAAAAAAAGTCACAATGGTTTATTCCAGAGGTATAGAAATTATAGCATTTAAAATTGAAACAGAGTTTCTAGTTTCTTCTTCTACAAATGGTAACCTGTAGTGTAAAGAACTTCCAGAAGAAATGGAAAGAGCAAAAACAATACAAACTAGATCTCATGATTCATTACGGAGTTACTTTGTAATTTTGTAAAATCCCACCATTTTAATAAGTGGTTTTTATCTAATGATCAAAGCACGTAATTCAACATGTTTGACAAAGCTAATTTTGAATTTCTTAATGTTATCTCTTCCAAGTTCCGTTATGGTGGTGATGGTTCCAAAGGACCAACCATCTCTGCTCAGGAAGCTCAGGCTCAAGCTATTCTTCAGCAGGCTCGGGTAAGACAGGATAAACTTGCATTCCCACAAGATGACTGACTCTGTATCAAGTATATATGTGTGTACATACGGAAGATGCTACCATTATTAATAGAATATTTACTTCCGAATACTGTGTTAAACTTACTTGGAAAACTGCTAAAATTTTATTTGTTTTTCTAGTAGTAATGTTTATTAATTGAAAATTATAGTTAGGTAGTTGACCAATGCAATGTTGCCATTATATAATTCTAGCAGTTTCCCACCATAACACGCAAGATTTCTATTTTTTTTTCCCAAGAGTATTGATATATTTACACCTAGTGCACCTTATCTTTCACATCCAGTTTTACTCTGCTAACTTATAAGTCAATGATTGGTTATAATTAAGAGAATAAAATTTGAAATACATTTGTTCTTAATTTTCTGGATTATTTAACATATCATGGATAACACAGAAAATTAAATTTTTTGGGCATCATATATAAAAAAGAAACCTTCAAATTTCTTACCAACCCTAATCTTTATAATCTGTAGTATTTTTAAAATTTCAATTTATGTTTTTTAGTTTAAAGCTTCCACTACTTGTAGACTTATAAAATATAGAATTACATTTATGTTTTTTAATTAGTTTCATTGAAATTAGAATATACACAAGAAAATCAAAAGGATAGACCAGGAAGGAAATGGAATTCATATAACATTTTTATTCATAGTATTGGTTTTCTTTTTAAGGAAGAAGGAAATAAAGGATTTTTGTTTGGTATGGATATGGTTACCCACTTTCTAACCAATATAAATCACTTCTGTGATAAAATTTTTATGCATCATGATGAATTTATGCAGCATGTGTAAAAATATCTGAAAACATGAGTAAAAATTGTAATTCATCCTCAATATTTGTTTATGTCTTTCCTAAGTCTATTAATCTGAAAATATATCATTATTTGATTGTATCATGTTTAAAGATAATGAAAAATTAAAATATTTGTTTATTAGATTTTGGCATAATGCAAATCTAAAATTATTTAAAATAATTTACTAAAGATTTCTATAACTTATTTTATAAAATATATTCTTTTGAACGATTTTAAGGTAATTATTTGAACTTAAATATTTTATGAGGTCATTGAATTCCTCACTTTATTAGTCCTCTTAACCTACTTGAAAAATAGGTAGCAAGCATTATAATTCAATTTTTCAGATATTTAATCTCAAGGATTAAGAAGTATATTGTCAAAAATCTCATGGTGAGTCAGTAGTGATTTTGGAGATCCTACTGTTTTCATCTCGTGCACTTTTCTAATATGATTTTGCATTTATTTCTGTTGTATTATTTTTGATATCTTTGTGATAAATCTAAGTGTTCATCTGTTGAGCTCTCTAATATTCAAAAGTAGCACACAATACTAATTTAACATCTATCAAATTTTTATCTTTTGTACTGTATGTGTTTCAGCTTTTCAAGTATGCTAATTTCACATTTCTAATATTCAGTGTAACAATAGTGCATGTAATCAGTTTATTATGCGTATGATTATACAAAATAAAACATTCTTCTCTATAGCATTATATCTGAGATTTGTTAAAAGGCACATATTATCATAACACTTCCTGACCAGTTTTGTTTTATGGTGTCTGGCTTTGGTTATCATAATTTTTCCTAAAATATTGCTAAAAGAATTTTATTTAAAGCCTCTCAAATTGTGCCTACACATTTAAGAGAAAAAGGCTATGCATTATTCTTGAGTAAATTCAGAATAGTAAATTATCAGATATTAGTTGTTCTAAAATCTAGTTTAACTTTTATTTTTGATTAAGTCATAGCAATATATATTACAAGATTTTATATGTTAAAAAGTTTTTAAAATGTCTGATATTTACCTCTTTTGTCATTCTAGAAATTTGCAGTTCTTCAGTAACCTGACACTCTTTCTAGCATGTAGTTATTAAATCTGTGTTGATCATGTATTACTTAAGGGCAGCTTGTGCAGATTCATATTGTACTTTAATGTGCTCTTCCAGGAGAATATTACTGAATTTGATATATTTTGTTTTCTAGATTGCTCTGAGAGGCCCACCTGGCCCAATGGGTCTAACTGGAAGACCAGGTCCTGTGGTAGGTTACCCCAACAAAGATAATATATGTTAAAATTTTCAAATTAGCAGTTCCCTGTGCAACTTCTTCCAGGGATTGTGCATATCTATGGTTGGTGACAATAGGGTATGTTTTCATGCTTGCTGTTGTTTCCATTAAAAAAATCCTTCTCAATTCAGTTTTCTGTACATTTTGATCAAAAGGTCTCAGTAAAAAATTTTAAATTGAATAAATAAAATTAAAAATGTAATTGAGTCATATCCAACTATTAATTTCTTAAACTATAAGTATCATTCATTTGCCTAATATTCAGCTTCCAAAATTATGTTTTACATTAAATCCTTGAGCCTTAATTTTATATTAAACAAAATGTTTGTTAAAAAAGAAAAATTTATTTGAGGCCAATGAAAATTATGACACAATCTTAGGGCAAGCAAGATACTTTTTAAACCGCAGGTTGCCTCAGTATTCCACAAGGTGCTTCAACTATTAGAGAGAGTATTTTCTCTTGTAGAAATTCTTGGAAATAACAAAGTATTATTTTTTTCTCACTAGCGTGATAGCAAGCTAAGATATTTCAAATATTTTTGTCTAAAAAATCTTCAAATACACTAGAATATACTAATGTTAAGTGGTGTAGCAGTTCACAGGATTCAAACCAGGATTCTCATTAATTTTAGAATAGATGGATAAATAATTTATATTTTAAATATTTGTTTTTTGTATAAATTTTTTCTGCTATTTACAGAACGTATTATTCTGAAAGTTAAAATCTTATCTGTATTGTACATAGTAGACACTTGCAGCAAAACTATTGTATTCAAATTTAAATCAAGTACTTTGCCTTCTAATTATTTAGTCTGTTTTACTGATTATATTAGGATAATAGTTTTTCTTCATGTATTTTATCGAAGATTTTATTATGTAGATTTCCTTATATTTATATTTACCATAATTTAGTCATAAAATTTTATATATATTTTGCAGGAATATACATTCAATCATATAAGCTCACGGGGAACACATATTCTGATACTATGTTTCATAGAATTTAAATTATATAATTTAACACATTATTAAATGTTTATCATGTATTTTATCATGCTTTGCCTTTCCAAAATACAGTAATATGGCAGATTCTATATCACTTAACCAATGAAATAGAGTTAATTTTTAATTATTTGTTAATGACTCAAATTTACATAACAGGAAAGTAAGTAGTATGTTAGTGTATTATGAAATTTGGGGTCAGAAGAATTAACCTAGGTATTTTATTAAAAATAAAACTTTCTGGGACTCTGAACTTAAGACTGTAATGTTGTAGATTCAGGATTGGAACCAGCGACTGTAATTTTAATACGTGCACCAGGTTGATTCCTATGGCCAAAGATATTTGAGAAACAGTGCCATATTTGATTTAATTTACAAATATCAGGCTGGGCGCGGTGGCTCGCACCTGTAATCCCAGCACTTTGGGAGGCCAAGGCGGGCGGATCACCTAAGGTTGGGAGTTCGAGACCAGCCTGACCAACATGGAGAAACCCCGTTTCTACTAAAAATAGAAAATTCGCCGGGTGTGGTGGCACATGCCTGTAATCCCAGCTACTCGGGAGGCTGAGGCAGGAGAATGGCTTGAACCCGGGATGTGGAGGTTGCTGTGAGCTGAGATTGTGCCACTGCACTCCAGCCTTGGCGACAGAGCTAGACTCCGTCTCAAAAAAAAAAAAAAATTTACAAATATCAGTCCTAGGATATCTAAAACTCTATTATTCAAATAAATTTCATTTATTATCTTGAAAAACACAAGGAAATGGATTCATAGAGGCTAACGGCAGCAATGAGCAGAAACAAGGGAGGCACATTATATTAGCAGTTCTTATTTTCATTAAACAACCATTAAGAGCCAGCCAATTTTCCAGAGACTGTTGGCAAAGAGAAAATATTGACACCCATAAACACATTCTCAAAGTCATAGGCAAAATTAATTAATTTTATCTACTTATCACTTTGATATGAAAGTTTTAGCTTCCTTAATTATTGAAGGTAGGTATTGAGAGAAAAAAATCATATTGTTTCTTTTTACCATTTCAAAACATGCAAATTTGATGTTTGCATCAAAACATTAAATTATTAGTCTTCCAAATATCTCTTAATTCTATAGTCTAAAAAAGTATTCACTAGATTAAGATTTAGAAAAGAAAGTCTACATCGATATTTTGACATCTGTACATTTTTCCTATGAAAATTATTTTAACCAATTGTTTACATCTAGTTATCTTTATAGACAAATGGAGGACTGTATCATAAAACATTCAGGAAGTGTAGAAAATCTGTTTTTTCCCTATTATTTTATAGTCAATGACTGTGTGACATTTTTTAGAATAAATGTTGGAGCAAAAGAATTATAATCTGTTGAGTAGGTAGTGCTTATATACAGAGAATGTAATACAGTCGATTAATTAAAAATAGTCCATTCTATAATTGCATAATTGCATTCAATTCAGTGATTAATAATCTGATTTAATGTAGAACCCCAGTTTTTTTCTTGCAGAAGTTTATTTGCAATAATTCTTCATTGGAAGCTTGAAAGTCATTATTCTCTTAATTTTAAAGATTAGAAAATTCATGTTACTTGACTTTTTGTATTTTGTGGGCATCGTTAATATTTCTTTTACTTTGGAGTCACCAGGAGACTATAAATTGCTACCATTTTTCAGATTTAGCATAATTTAAATCTCTGTCATACTTTATACGATGTAGTATTTAATGGAATGTGTATGGATTTAAATAAATTAGAATCTTTTAGAACACACAGTATTTCAGCATGAAGTAACTATAATCACCATGTTTATTTTTAATGTTCTGAAAGTTTTTGGGGATATGTGTTGCCTAGTGTTTAATTTTAAACCTCACAACTTGTTTATAAAGCAATTTTATGTTTTGTTTATTTATTTTAGTACACATGCCAGGTTGTTGTTACACCTTTTACATTTTAGTTATTTTTATTTATTTATTTTTTGAGATGGAGTTTTGCTCTTGGCACCTAGGCTGGAATGCAGTGGTGCTATCTTGGCTCTCTGCAAGCTCTGCCTGTCCGTTTCAAGCAATTCTTCTGTCTCAGCCTCCTGAGTAGCTGGGATTACAGGCACCCGATGCCATGCCCAGCCAATTTTTGTATTTTTAGTAGAGACGGAGTTTCACTATATTGGCCAGTCTGGTCTCGAACTCCTGACCTCAGGTGATCTACCTGCCTTGGCCTCCCAAAGTGCTGGGATTACAGGCGTGAGCCACCATGCCTGGTCACCTTCTTAATTATGTAAATGTATTTAAGAGATGTTTGTTATACAGACTTATTCTCATGGGAAAAAACAAACCAACCTGGGAAAAATGTGTTAACACTATTTCACGGCAATTATAATAGTATCAATAACACCAGGTTCTTGCCATTTTATTATCATACAATTCAGAGTCTAAAAAAATCTGAATATAAAAGCAGTAACATTTTGTCAAGTCCTTACAGTATAAATGGATTACATGTATATCTGATTTGGTAATAATGGGTTACTCTACTACTACATCACAGTGTAGTCATAAATAATGCTTTGTGTGTCATCATATGAGTTCTGATAGTGCACACACAAAAGACAATTTCAATGTGATTTCATGAGGTTAGCTTCTGTGTAGTGCTACATAAAATATAGACCTTTATTGCTCACAAATTGGAATGTAATCAACATTGAGAAGAGATATATTTCAATGCAAGTGCTGGAAAATTTTACTGTGTTAATTAATAAGTTAATGCTAATATGATTAAATATATTTTGAATAATGTTTAATTATTTCAGGTGCAATTGGCAGGATAAAAGTAGTTAGGAAATTGCTAAATTAAGTGAAATATCTTCACTTTTTCTCTATAGGGGGGGCCTGGTTCATCTGGGGCCAAAGGTGAGAGTGGTGATCCAGGTCCTCAGGTAAAAAATAAAAATTTGACTTTTTATTCTTGACTGGCTTCTTTGATACAGCATAATTCCTTCGAGAATGCATCAATAGTTAATTTTTTTTTTGTTCCTGAGTAGTATTCCATTGATGTATGAGGGTTTATTTTGAAATTAAAAAATTCAGAGAAAACTGATTACGATATTTGGGTGATTCAAGATATAGTAGCCTTCTTTTTTATGTTGGGTTAACTTTGCCATTAAAAGGATGGAAAATGCAGCTTAACTGGGAATCGTGTAAAAATACTGATATTAGACTATATGAAAATGTAGAGAGTTTATTTTTTCCCAAAGTTTGTGAACTTTTTGCTCAACACTTTCTTTTTATAAAATAGATGAAGCTGAAAACATATTGCAGTAATTGTTTTGGATTTTAGTTTTCCTTGACTCCTTTAATCCAAAAAGAGAAATGTGTTATCAAAGGAAGGATTATTTTCATTTAAAAACTAAAAAAAAATTTGTACTGTTATTGTTGGCCCATGCCTTCAGACTGGAGTTCAGAGTACAGTCTTCTCATTACAAAGCTACATACTCTTTAACCTGTAGACAATCTTTTTTTTTTTTTTTTTTTTGAGACAGAGTCTCACTCTGCTCTGTTGCCCAGGCTGGAGTGTGCAGTGGCATAATCTTGGCTCACTGCAACCTCTGCCTCCTGGGTTCAAAGGATCCTCCTACTTTAGCCTCCCAAGTAGCTGGGACTACAGGCATGCGCCACCATGCCCGGCAAATTTTTTTGCATTTTTTCTAGAGTTGGGGTTTCACCATGTTGCCCAGTCTGGTCTCAAACTCCTGAGCTCAAGCAATCTGCCCTCCTGGGCCTCCGAAAGTGCTAGGATTATAGGAATGATTCACCGCGCTGGGTCTTTAGACAGTCTTAATTTTATATTTCTAGAATGAACATTTCACAGTGATTATAAAAATTATTTATATTTTCAAATTTGGGTTTCATTTTTTTCTACCATGTTTATTATATGCATATTGTTTCAATTAACTTTAAATAGTATATGTAGTTAGTTAAATATGAAGGCCTATGTAATATTTATAGTGAAACTACATTTGACCTATTATTAGCTGTACACTTTTATTTTAAAATATGTATATCGATCCCCACGAAAAGTATATATTGACACATTATGGTGTACTGCTACTGAAGAAAAAGATAATGAGAATTTTAAACCTTTAATCTGACATAGTATGGTGCCAGTCAATAATTTGCTTCAGGGATTGGCAAATTGTCCTCCAAAATTTTGTAGCTAATTAAAAGAGATGTGTACCAGGCACTGTGCTAAATTTTAGGAGTATAGTGGGGAAAAATAGGTTAAAGACTTTAGCAGTTCACAATCTAAATGGGAGATTCAAACATGAGAAAAGACCATTACAATCCAACATTATAAGCGCAATGAAAGGAGAAATATCTAGTAAAGAACATCCAACAAATGAGAGAAAGTGAAAGAAAGGGGATTGGAAAGAGAAGAGAAATGGAATGGATAGTTAAGAGTGTGTTCCATCAAGGGAAATGTAAAACCCCAAGGTTTGGGGAATAAAATGTGTAATTATTTCTTTTATTTAAATGTAACCTCATGTCTACATATATAATTAATAAGTGATAAGGGCCGGGCGCGGTGGCTCACGCCTGTAATCCCAGCATTTTGGGAGGCCGAGATGGGTGGATCACAAGGTCAGGAGACCGAGACCATGCTGGTGAAACCCCATCTCTACTAAAAATACAAAAAATTAGCCGGGCATAGTGGCGGGCGCCTGTAGTCCCAGCTACTTGGGAGGCTGAGGCAGGAGAATGGTGTGAACCTGGGAGGCAGAGCTTGCAGTGAGCCGAGATCGCGCCGCTGGGCTCCAGCCTAGGCGACAGAGCTAGACTCCGTCTCAAAAAAAAAAAAAAAAAAAAAAAAAAAAATGGAGCCATTTAGAAAAAATAGGTATTTATTTGATATGAACCTTTTGTCTTCTGCTTTATCTGAACTTTTACATGGAAATAATTTTCTTGTGTTTGAATGATTAAGGTAACGCTAAGAGGATATTAGTTTCTGAAACCATCTCTCTTGATGCTATTGAGTTTATTGATCAAGAATTCTATAATATGGTTTAATTATGATGTCTTGATATAGGGCCCTCGAGGCGTCCAGGGTCCCCCTGGTCCAACGGGAAAACCTGGAAAAAGGGTATGGCTTATTTTCATTGTGCATTTTGAAGGCATCTGCCATGATCATTAGTTTTATTTATTTATTTATTTATTTATTTATTTTACTTCCTTGCTAGTAATAAAAGTCACTTCGCTTAATCATGCTGTTGGCATTATTAGGGTCGTCCAGGTGCAGATGGAGGAAGAGGAATGCCAGGAGAACCTGGGGCAAAGGTCAGGAGCTCACATATTTTTATATTCACATCCTGTGTCAGTTCACTCTGGAAAATTTTATATTTAAAAATCCATTTTCTGAATCTGAGAGAATATTTCGCATTTAAATTGCAGTACATATCTAGACTGGAATTGTGATGATGATGATGATGATGATGATGATGATGGTTTTACAGGGAGATCGAGGGTTTGATGGACTTCCGGGTCTGCCAGGTGACAAAGGTCACAGGGTAAGATACATCTATTCCTTTTTTTCCAGGGAATGTTATAAAATATTTTAGAATTGATAACAATTTGCAAAATCAGAAAAAGAAGAAAAATTAATTTTAACGTTTGTGAATCCACTTAATAATCTAATAGATACTAGAAGGAAAATAGGTAAAATTACACATGTGGTATCAGTGTAAGTTCTTTGAATATTTTTAGACATTATAATATTCCTTTTATGCAAACATAAATTGAATCAGAATCTTTATATACATTTACCTGGAAAATATCACATAAACAGAAGAGCAATGTGGACATTTAATTTTACCTCTAATTTTTTAATAATTCCTTCAACCTTTTCATTGCTTTTTGCCTGTGGACATATACTCAAAAGAAGACATCTGTAGGTGGTTTGTCATTAATACAGTAATATACTAGGCACTATATTATTTTTTGGTGATGGTAAAAACTTTCAGTACAAGGCAAGAACTTGTAATTTGTGAAGGCTAAAGAAACCATGATTCTGAACAGTATTCCAGTAGATAATTTTAGTAGGAAACTATGCAGACAATCTCTCAGAAAAAGATCAGCTTTAGATCTTCACATCTTTCTTTAACAGCATTAATAATGAGAATAAGATAAGCTTTAAGTAAATTGGAGAAGAAAAAAATAGTAAAAGGAAAGAAAACCCTATGAATGTCTGACAGAACATATAGTATGTGTCTAACATGTTAAGATCAAGACATAATTGTATCCATTTAAAAAATACCAGATTTCTTTAGTCACCTGAGTTATGCTGATTTAATATAAATTACTTAGAAGTAGAAAATATTTAAGTCAAAATCACCAAAATATATCCATATTTAATACAATCATCAGCAAAATAAGTTTCTGAACAATTTAGCTTAAAATAATTAAATGTCTGAAAACGATTTAAGATACTTATTTTACATAACTCTTTTGTATTGAAAATTGAGAGAAAATATTATAATTATAAAATATTATTAGCATACTAACATGTAAAGCCAGTTAAAGTTGTTAAATTATGATTTATCTGCAAAATTTTTTGAGGAGGGTAAATAAAGCATATATTTTCCCTGCCAAATGTCCTGTTTTATTTGGTTTGGATAGCTACCTGATAGACTTGTAAACATTCTACTTCTTTCCATATGCTAATCTTATTTGTATTGATTTAACAGGGTGAACGAGGTCCTCAAGGTCCTCCAGGTCCTCCTGGTGATGATGGAATGAGGGTATGTTAATACTTCTTTTCTTAAGAAATATTTAAAATTAAAACATAATAAAACAAAATCATGTTGAAATGATACATTGTCCAAATGTTCTATACTCTCATTCATTTTGTCAATGACAGGGAGAAGATGGAGAAATTGGACCAAGAGGTCTTCCAGGTGAAGCTGTAAGCAACTTACTTTTTATTTTTAAGTAATATTTCTAGTTTTTAGGACTAGTGACTGGTGTTACACATATAAAAACAATGATAAACCCAGGTAAACATTGCAGTCTTAGCTAAGCTAACCAGATAATTGCCATGCGAAAAAAATTAAAAAGGATATATAGAGCTCCTTTTGTTACAGAGAAAATCTTAGACAATTGAGGGAAAAATCTGTGGAATGTAACATTTCCAGCCAAAAAAGTTACCTTACCTAGTTTTTGTTGCTGTTTCTTTGTTTTGTTTTTTGTGCTGTCATCAATAGCTCCGAAATTTATGTACTGAGAAGAAATGAATCCTATTACCAGAAGAAAAAAAATAATATGTCACTTGGAATATACCAGACATATGGAATATATCACTTTTCTCCACCAAATATTACAAATGAGGAAACTGATCTGGGAAGGTTTACTTGAAGCTAGCTAACAAAATAACTAAACTGGAAATAGGCCTCCTAATTTTGGTTTTAAATTGCTGCATTCTACCTTGCGCCACATTTTAGATCCTTGTCAAGTAAGTTCAAGCAAATGGGAGAGAAATTAGATTATTTTATTGGCTTTTCTAAAGAAGGAAAAGAAGGTGAGCAGGTGCAGGAGGGGGAAAAAGAAGAGAAGGAGAAATCAAGTGTGAATAATAATAATTTAAGAAACCTCGAAAAATGGTTTCTGTAATCTGCATATATAGTTACACAGATGATCGTTTTCTTTCCTCAGTGAATGCTGTCTTAAGATGAAATTTACCTAAATGTACAATAAATGAGAATCAAGACTCTTCTATTTATGTAGTATATCTGATTGAATAATAATGTTCGATGCTGTCACTGAAATCAAAAAATGACACAAAAGTGTCTTATAGAAAATATTAAACTGTTTCCTATTTTAAAAATTCCCCAAGTGATTCATATGTAATATTATAGAATCAAAGAAACACAGTTTCTGTACTAAAAACTGTTATTTATTCTGGCTTTTGGATCAGTATAAACACTAGATATTTATGTTATGGACATCACTTTCAGTGTGTTAATAAAAGATGTCCAAATATTTTTATTCTAAAAATAACCTTAGGATTTCTTCATTGAAAGAGGCATGTTATTAGGACATTTTTTTTTTTTAATAAAGGCGTGCTTTTTCTTTTTCTCCTAGGGCCCACGAGGTTTGCTGGGTCCAAGGGGAACTCCAGGAGCTCCAGGGCAGCCTGTATGTATTGCTGGAAACATTGAAGATTTTCTAGGGAAAGCTTGTTGCCAACCTTTTAGAGGCCATAAAAGCCCTCAGTAGAGAGCCAAGAGTTTATTGCCTTGTTATGTTTGAAGATCTATTGTTGCTGCCTTTCACTTTAACTCATCATTCCCTCCTTTTCTTCTATCTTCCTTTTGATTATCTATCTTAGTGTTTTCATGATACATCCCCAGCATGCAGAGGAAAATGTTGCTAGATTGTCTCCAATGTGGACATGGAAAAGAAAGTATAGGTCTTGTCTCTTCTTCGTTTCCATTAAATCCTAAAATGATTTTTAGTTGCTTAGGGTAGTGAATATCATGATATTAGATTAGTCTTTTTGATTTTCTGTTTTAGCATCAAAACATATAAACAACCATAAATACTTTTTCTTCATTGCAGGGTATGGCAGGTGTAGATGGCCCCCCAGGACCAAAAGGGAACATGGTATGTAGCAAATAGTGATAAAATAACTCATATTTGAATATAAGCCCTAAGAAACCATTTTTTGTTGTTAAATCTAAAATATAATGATTTATTACATTTTGCTAAGTATATTAGATACAGCTTGCATTAATATTTTGAAATATTTTCCAGAATCTCATGAGGGAAAACTGTTTGAGGGTGGGTAGAGGTATTTTCCAATTGAGAAGAACAAAAATCTATTGTGTAATATAGCCCATTAAAAACTTTTTATATTTTCCTCTGGCAGGGTCCCCAAGGGGAGCCTGGGCCTCCAGGTCAACAAGGGAATCCAGGACCTCAGGTAAGTCTAAGCCACTGCAGCTCCTTTGAAATAATGGGGGGAAGATGCTATCTTTCTATAAGAAAATCGACAGTCTCACAATTTTCTATGTAGTCCTAGCAATATTTAAAATGTGAATGTAGGAAAATACATACTTTTCTTTTTTTAAAAAAATTTGAGCAAACTTGCAGAAGCCCCTCTCTTCC
This sequence comes from Homo sapiens, assembly GCF_000001405.40. NCBI lineage: Eukaryota > Metazoa > Chordata > Mammalia > Primates > Hominidae > Homo > Homo sapiens. The sequence continues at coordinate 103,002,242 of NC_000001.11, read as the reverse complement.
CAGGGAAAAATGACTCATTCAATGTTTAGGGAATGCCAGGACTAATAGCCACCTGCAGGAGGGTTCTGAATAGGATCGCATTATAGTCCCTTTGCAAAAAAGAGCAGCTTGTGTAAAACTCCTCATCGTGTTCTAAAATTCCTTGGGGTGTATGGGAATATATACAGATTCTTATAACTCACTGTGTACTATAGTGAGCTAATAATTTGCTGTTTTAAAAGCATATTACTGTGATTTGATATCTGATATATGAAATAAATTCTTTTAAAATAGGGTCTTCCTGGTCCACAAGGTCCAATTGGTCCTCCTGGTGAAAAAGTAAGTTACTCTGTTGTTCTCGTAAAGCCTGGTGAACATGTTTGTTTTAGCAATCTTAGGCAGGTATAAGGTCTGCCTTCTGTTTTTGTTAAGATATCTAGATAGCTCAGCACATAAGGAATTAATCTGGAGTCGACATGGAAATATAGTGTGGGGAGATTTCATTCATGTGTTCTTAAACTGAGAATGATAAAACTTCAGTTACCATTTAAACAGCTTCCAAATGTGGCATTCTCAGCTATGTTAATTTCAGGAACATAACGGTATGAGTGAATATTTTCTCTTTATTTTAGGTCTCCTTTTCTTTCTCATTATTTTACAAAAAAGTAATTAAGTTTGCTTGTGACAAAAGATTTGTAGGAAGACATGATGAAAGGAAAGTTGTGAAGTTGTCATTGCCATTATATCTCATATATGAATAGCAAATGATGTTCTTGTTAATAACTCAATGTCTGGATCAAAACAAGAATAAATCTATAATTAAACACATGTCTTTTTCCCTGATCTCCACTGTGAGATTCCTTGAGTAATATTTTGTCCCCTGTAGTCATAGCACATTTCTATCTGGCTCTTTCCAACACCTTTTTTCTTTCATTATTTTTGTTGATTTCTACAAACATATTAATTAAAAAAAACTAATAGCTTTATCGAAGTGTAATTTAAATACTATAAATATTCCCTTGTTTTAAGTGTACAAGTGAATTATTTTTACTAAATTTACAGATGTGCTGCAATCTAAGTTTCGGAATACTTATACCACTCCAGAAATAATCCTCGTGTTAATATTCAGTCCATGTTTCCACCCCCTCAGACCTAGCTAACAATTAATTTGCTTTCTGTCTCTGTAGATTTGAGTTTTCTGAATATTTCATGTGAATGAAACTTATGAATAAATTTATGATTTAATCATATGAATGTGTATGTGACCTTTATGTCTGACTTCTTTCATTTTAGGTTCATCCATGCTGTAGCATACATATATTAGTACTTTGCTCCTTATTTTGTTCTCATAGTATTCCATTGATTGGGTATACCAGGTTCTGTTTACTTTTACTTGGCAGTTGATAGAATAGGTGTAGTTTATACTTTTTCGCTATTCTCCATACCGGTGCTGTAGTGAATAATTGCATACAAGTCTTTGTATAGATGTGTTTTCATTCTTTTTGGTATATACTTAGAAGCAGAATTCTTGTGTTATGGTAAACTTATATTCAATATTTTGTGAATTCCACTCTTTTCCATATCGATTGTACCATTTTCCCTTCCAAGTAACCATGTATGAGGATAGTCATTTCTGCACATTCTCACTAATGCTTGTTATTGTCTGTCTTCTTGATTACGATCATTCTCGTTGGTGTGAAATGTTATCTCATTGTGGTTGTAATTTGCATTTTCCTAATCACTACTTTTGTTGAACATCTTTTCACATGCTTATTGGCCATTTCTATAACTTCTTTGATAAAATAGCTGTTAAACTCTTTTGGTTAATATTCTAATTGGATTATTTATCTTAATATTGAGTTGTAAGAGCAGACATATCAGATTTAAGTGGTTTTGAAAGTACTTTTTTCTGTGGATGTTTTAGACATAGCTGCACAGCACTATTGGAAAATGTCCTATTAGTTATGTTAGGTTCTAAAGGTTATTTTTAATATTTAGATCAGGGAGTTTAATCTGGGTCACTCATATTTTAGATTAGTGCATTAAAAATATACTATATTTATTTTGTATTGCACTTGACACATGCACCTATTAAATTTTCTACCATGATTTTATCATGTATGTACTAGATTATTAAGAGGAATTTGCTCTTAGGAAAAGTTGTTATATCTGAATTACCTGTGCCAAGCCAGATAAAATGTATAATCTAGTTTACTGCATTTCCGGTGGTAAGAAGAGAGCTGTTTTATGTAATACTGCTTCTGCCTCTGATCTGAATATATCCAGCCTGTAGGTTCAAAATCAATCTCTTACCATCAAAAGGAGAAAGGTACTCAAAAATATGAGGAAAACACTTTTTAATGATAATGTATTTACAATATAAATGTTGTATTACATCTATATTAAAAAAGTAGAAGCTATTACTTTTGTTTTTAATGATAACTATGATTTATTTATTCTGGCTCAAGAGCCTTCGCTTCGAAAATTTGGTAAATAGTAATGTTTAATTGTATCATGGTATAATTTAACATTTTAATACAATTTAACTAATGTCATATGTTTTTACAATCCAAGAGCAATTTTTTGTACTAACTTATCATAGCCTGTGCTTTTATTTTTGGTAAAAATATTTCATAAAATTTAAGTTAATTAACTAAAATAGATAATATATTATATTTTTCTGACATTTTTGATAAATATACCAAATACATCCTATGATAAATTGTGATATCTCCTAAATATTTCCTGTGATTTAATTTCCGAGTTCACTCATATATTAATTGCTTAGTAGCAATTGATGTTACATAACTCTCTGAGTCCAGTATAAAATAACAAGACACAAAATAAATATTAGTTAAAGGGAGGAACTTTGAAGACGTGGATAGGAACCTAAGTTCATCCAGATTGCAACGCTGCCACATTTGGTTAAAAAATCTTCACTTTTCAATTTAAAGGTTACTTTTAATTCATTTTTGTTCTATGCTGATTTGGTTGAAATTTTCTTGTAAAACTGCAATGGCAGGCAATATGAATACAATGATTGTACTTTACTCCCTGAGAATGGAAAAAGCCCAAAAATATGTCCAGCATTTAGGCTTGCTGATATGTCCTTGACCTTCTCATTGATTCTGAATCCTGGACAATAACTTGATGTGTCAATAACGATGACCTGGGCTCTGGGAACTTGATAAATTTAATATTCTTAGAAGAATGTCTACTTTTCTCCCAAGAAAAGGTCTGATTCTTGTAGTAGTGATTCTTACCATGTTCCAAATTTAGAAATGGTCATGTTCAATGTGATTTGAAACTCTGTGTGGTTAAACAGGGATTAATCTGTTGAATTATTACTTTATTATTATCTTATTGGGTACCTATTAGGATATGTTCTTTTTACATTAAAATCGATTTACTTTCCTTCATTTCCTATGAATAACTATCATACCATAACATTGCACAAAATATTTTAATAATGGTGTTTCATCAATGTTACTATGTAATTTTTTGAATTAGTACTTACTAATATTATTGAGGGAAATAATACAATCTTTACCTCTTTAATGATATGAATCAATATATTTCTGGCCTATATTGCTTTCCTTTTTGTTCTCTAAGCTTCAGTTTATTGTGGTATTCAAAAACTAATTTGCTAATTTAAAAAAAGACCTATCTAAGATTATAAGCAGGCTAAAACCTAGCATACCTTTGACATGTTAAATTTAGTTTTAATTTATCTTTACATGGCATTTCCTCCAAATAATATATTTAAAAGTTATTTAAATGGTTATTACTTATGAATTGAAGCCAGTGACTCAGGATAAGAATTTCATTCATAGTATATGTACACGTTAAAGCTTTTTAAAATTATTTTTATCTTTTTAATATTTTTTTTTTCTCTATAAGGGACCACAAGGAAAACCAGGACTTGCTGGACTTCCTGGTGCTGATGGGCCTCCTGTAAGTAACAGCTACCTGGTCATTAAAATTTCTTTACATTATCTTTAAAAATAGATTTTACATGTGTTTTAGAAATGATTATATGAGGTTAGTAATAAAAATAAATTGAGCCAGTAATTAAACATTGATCTCTCTAAAATACCTTTCATCATATCACTTCCATATTGCAAAATCTTTAATGAGCTCACGGTGGCTTTTGTGGAAACTCATTTGGCACTCCAAGCCAGAACCTCCCCAGAATCTCATATTTTTTTTCATTTCCTCCTTAACCATTAGCTCCAGGTAAGCAGGTCCACTCACATATTCTTGCATGATCTAAATTTTCTATCACCTTACCTTTCCCAAGCTGTTTCCTCTCCTAGAAAGCCCTTCCATCTTCTCCTCCTTTTCAAAGTATCTGTTTCTATGAGTCCAGGTGAAGTTCCTCACCATTCATAAATTTTCTCAGACATCTTTCATGAAAATATCTCAGCCTTCACAGATTTCTTTCTTTTCTAGAAATATAGTAATATTTATTATTTCCCTTTAAATAGTAATAAACAATGAAATTATGTAATCTCTACAGTTATTATATTAAAACATTTGTTATTTACAGATTTTTTTCCTCTTTAAACTACATATGCAGATTTTGTAGTACTAGGATATAAGATTTCTCATCCTACCTTTCCTTGTTATTGGGTATAATTGTGATATGGCTATACATTTTTATTTACTGAATCTCAATAAGTTGATTATTAACACTGTTAGCATTTATGATCTCGCTGTATTTTCAGATGTCTCATCCACATGTCTTAGTGCCCCTTTGAAGGTGCATGTATGATCATTTGATTAATTTGCTAAATATAAGGCAGATTTAAATACCTTTATGTAAGGCTTTAATTGAGGCTGGGGTTGAATTGTTAATGAATGATATGTATTATTTTATGTGCTTTTTCTAAGCTCTCTCAAATGCATTATGTATTTGAAGAAACTTACATCCATCAAATATAAGCTTGTCATGTTTACTTCCAAATGCCATAGTTTCCAATTTATTTAAAGCCATACACACTGATGCAAAAGTGTTCAATGTTTTTGAAACTTAAAGAGTAAGATCTTAGTAGATTTAATAACAAAAGAAATACTTTCGTAGTATTATCAACTATGTTTATATTACATCTTATCAGTGTATGTTTTTGCTAAATATAGGGTCATCCTGGGAAAGAAGGCCAGTCTGGAGAAAAGGGGGCTCTGGTAGGTTCCAAAGTATCCATTTAAATGTCCTATTAATAAATTTCCAAGAGAAAATGCCTTAATTTGGTCATCTCATATATATAAATCACGTTCATATAGTTATTTTGGGTATAAAAAAGATATCTTAGACTACTTTTAATTTTATATCAGTAATTTTAGAAATTAGACTATGTTCTCTCTTTTTAAAAAATATTCCCATGGCTAGGAATACGTGCATATTTTTCATGTGTATTATATATGGAGTAAATGATAATAATATAAACAATGAAATTGGGCAAGAATTACTCAATATTACTGAACTGCTTATGTAACCCCAATTTTATTATTACTTATTACTTTCTGGTAACCATTATCTAATTAAATGTTAAATTAAGACCAATGGCTATTAAAATATCAAAGTGAAATGTAATATGTGCATATTCAATGTTAGTACTTTAGATTACAGTAGCAGGGGTAGGATCATTTTGTTTACAGTTGTTTTTAATTATTTTAAAACAGCATTAAAATTTCAGCATTACTGAGGAAATTATAAATTATGATTGATAGAACATTTTATCTAGATAGACTAGAGAAAAAACCAGCTTTTGGAAGATATATAATTTTGATTATATTCTTGATGAAGTGAATGCTACTAATTTATAATTTTCTATTTGAAATTATCAATCTTGTTAGTTTTTCAATAACTGTCTTTTATAGACATTAGTATAGCATATTTTAGGTTAAAAATCTAGTTATTAATTTTTGAATTGTTTACATTATTTTACATGCTTGTAAGATTTGCCTTATTAGTCCATTTCAATATTGTATTTTTAGTATGAATATATGACATAATAAATTTGGAGTGAGTAGTGCTAGTTACATGTTTTTCTCATCATATCTGTTTCTAGAAATAAAGAGTAAACTACCAAAAAGTCTTTATCAAATATTAGCAGTAGAAAAAAACCATATCCTTGTAGATTAGTTGGTAAAATTATAGTATGTAAATGAGTAGCACTTTCAATTTATTACACGTATAAGTGGTAATTCATCTATTTCAGGGTCCCCCTGGTCCACAAGGTCCTATTGGATACCCGGGCCCCCGGGGAGTAAAGGTAACGTTAAATTGTTTTCACATTATTTACTTTCAAAGTGAAATGTTATATTCACTTAATACTTCTAATTTATTCCACAGGGAGCAGATGGTGTCAGAGGTCTCAAGGGATCTAAAGGTGAAAAGGTAAAATTTAATTGTTTAGATGGTATTAATTTCTGTGTATTATGTTAACATTTAAATTTATTCAACAGACATTTTATTTCTTGAATATATGAGTGATTACTACATACTACGCAATGCTAGTATAATTTTGTATTCTTTATCCTCACAACTTAAAAACAATGTCTTATATCTTGTGATAAGGGTTAAATACCAGAACAGAAACTAAATTATGTTACCTAAGAGAATTAATTCTGCATCCTTTTTCTTTTTTTTTTTTTACATGTGCTTAAGTTTTGTTAATCATAGGGTTGGCCTTACGAATGGATTTGCTGCAGGATTTAGATGTTATCTAGTTAGATGCATAACATATGAATATTTATTCCTTTTTTCCCTACTGAAATCCCCAAAATGTTTAAACAAATTCAGCACAAAACAGGAAAGTTAGAAGTACACTAAATTAATTGGGGAAAGAGGAAGTCTTTCTATATAGTATTACACACAAATCAATAGTGTTAATGAGAGAGATAAAAATTACAACCAGACAGAAGTGAATGAAAAAATGTACCTAAAACTATGAATGCATATGGCATCTTTTATAGGGCATTTATAGGTAATTGGCTTTTGCTGAAGAACATGACATTCAGATTTTTTTCAAGGATACATTTAGCAGGCCTGCAAAGCCCCAAATCCTTCAAAGATTATGATGAAATGCAAAGGGAATGACATTACTCAGTGATAGAGTTTAGCTGTATGCCCACCCAAATCTCATCTTGAATTCTAATCCAAATTGTAATTCCCACCTGTCCAGGGAGGCACATGGTGGGAGGTGATGAGATCATGGGGGCGGTTTCCCTCATGATGTTCTCCTGATAGTGAGTGTGTTCTTAACAAGATCTGGTTGTTTGATAAGTGCCTGGTACTTCCCCTTTCTCTCTTTCTTTTTCTCCTCCACCTTGTAAAGAAGGTACTTGTTTCTCCTTTGCCTTCTACCATGATTGTAAGTTTCTTGAGGATTCCCCAGCCATGCAGAACTGTGAGTCAATTAAACCTCTTTCCCTTATAAATTACGCAGTCTCAGGTAGTATCTTTATAGCAATGTAAAAGCGGACTAATACACTCAGAATCAGTATTGAATTAATTCTTACTACAAAATTTCATACAAAGTTAAAACAACACATAGTTGCATAGCATAAATATTGGTAGGTTTGGTAAGATATACATGGATATTAACTATTGTTAATATCATACTCATAAGAACATACTCTATTAGACTGTCCTTGCACTGCTATAAGAAATACCTGAGACTGGGTAATTTATAAAAAAGAGGTTTAATTGGCTTATGGTTGTGCAGGCTGTACAGGAAGCATAGTGGCATCTGCTTCTTGGAAGGCCTCAGGGAGCTTCCAGTGGAAGGCAAAGAGGGCACAGGCATCCTATGTGCTGGGAGCAGGAGCAGGAGGGGGTGAAGAAGGTGCCACATGCTTTTAAACAATCAAATCTCCTGAGAAGGCACTCACTATCAGGAGGACAGCATCAAGGAGATGGTGCTAAACCATTCAATGGAAATCCACCCCCGTGATCCTATCACCCCCCACCAGGTCCCACTTTCAACATTGGGGATTACGTTTCAACATGAGATTTGGGTGGGTAAATATCCAAATTATATCACATGCTAATATTTTTTCAAGGACAGTCATTTATTTTCATGGTTACAATATTATCAAAAGGCTTATGTGTGGATTTGATACCAATAGGGAATGGATAACAAAAAGGGATGGATTTATTATATCCATTATACTTTATCTGGAAAAAGCTACTGTTATATACTAAAAGTAAACAACTATGTTGTCAGATTTATTACATGAAAAAGGCCATGCATTTCACATTAGCTCACCTACTTAACGGTAATCTCAGTTCATCCTGATCACCTAGATGAACTTCAGAGTACCAGTTGGCTCTCCCTATGGGTTCTGCATCCATGGATTCAATAAACCATAGATCAAAGATACTAGAAAAACAAAAAATTAAATTAAAAAATTATAATATGACTGGGCACAGTGGCACATGCCTATAATCCCAACACTTTGGGTGGCTAAGGCAGTAGAATTGTTTGAGCCCAGTAGTTCAAGACCAGCCTGGGCAAAGTAGTGAGACGTCATCTCTACAAAATACTTTTAAAATTAGCCAGGTACTGTGATGCGCACCTGTGGTCCCAGCTACTTGGGAGGCTAAGGAGGGAGAGTTGCTTGAGCTCAGGAGGTCAAGGCTGCAATAAGCCATGACTAAGCTACTGTACTCCAGCCAGGGTGACAGACTGAGACCCTGTCAAAAAAAGTTATAGTACAACAATATACAATAATACAAATGAAAAAATAACAACTATTTATATAGCATTTAGATTTTCTTAGGTATTATCAGTATTCTAGAGGTGATTTAAAGTATAAAGGAGAAGGATGTGGGTAGGCTATAAATAAATACTATAGCCTTTTATATCAAGAACTGGAGCATCCACAGATTTTGATATAGGAAGTTGGGTTGGGGTCCTGGAACCAATCACCCCTAGATACCAAGAGAAGACTGTATAGTGTCTCACTGAATTGACAAAGGAGCACAGTGGTGAGTCAGGTAGGGTTTAACATGTAATTTGTAGGTTGCCTATACGAAAAATAATGTCTCTGTTTAGAATTTTTCTTGTTAAGAAATGTAAGTAAAAATGCAAATGTTTTTCTCTGGAATTAGTATCCATCAAGGATTTTTAGAGGGGCTAGGCAGTGTTTAAAAGAAAATTGCCTGACTGGGGTGGGGATGTTGTTAACTGCTGAAACTTGCTAGGAGAGTTGTAAAGTGACAGAGGCAAATAAAATTATAAATGACTAGATATATATGAGGACAAAGCCATACAGGAAAAAAAAATAAGATACATTTTTTGTACATAGGAAAGCTTATTAACAATTGCTCATTGTTTTTAGGGTGTATGGTCTCAGAAGATGCAAGTATGTATAGAGGAAAATAAGTAAAATTTTAAATTGGGAACCAAAAGTTCTGGGTTATTATTCTAGTTTTTCTAGTTACTTTTTCTGAGCCTCATTTGAAGTCTGTAAAATAAAGAAAATTCCCTAAAAAAATTTAAAGGTATTTTTCAGCTATAGCTTTTATTCTATCTAATATACCAATCAAGTAGTAAATTATGTTTTATTATAGATTACAATTTAGTTTTCTAAATTATAGATTTAGAGAAACTTTGTATAAATATTTGTAGAATTTTTAATGGTAAGAATTCTCCATATTTTCAAACTCTGTGAAGGATTAAGCCCTGATGACTTTTTAATATGCCTTATTTATTTCATTTTTCTGAGTATGCAAGATAATTGATCATTTATCTCTTACGAGATAGAAGAAAATGGAAAATATTTTATATATAATGATGTTAATTGTTAACCAAAGGTGATATAGCAAGTTAGTACTCTAATTATGACTAAAATTCTCTCTTTTTTAGCCTTAGATTTGTCGCTTAAGTCTGGAGCAACACAGCTCAATAAATTAGGTGGCATAGATGAATTCCACTTTTATACATCTTCTAAAACTATGTTTTCTTCTTTTTTTCTTTATCTGATAATTTTAATACTAGAAATCTTAATAACTTGATACGTCACTTGCTAAAAAATGACATTTGTTATAAGGAAATACCTAATTAAATCATCTAATTGTTTTTTAAACGTGAATATGCTGAAAACTAAAACATGAGAAAAATAGCCTCCCTGTAGACTGAATTCTCACTTTAAAAATAATTTAAAAATAAAATTCTGTCTATAGTCAGAGTCTATAAGTGATTTTTAGACATAGAGTGCAGTGTTCTTTAAACTAAGCATGGCAGCTGTGTAATTATGTTTTTCTCTAGGGAGGAGGTAATGAAGACGTTGTCAATAGCAAGTTCAGTGGTCATTTACAGCTCTTAAGCCTCTGCCATTGCCCAATCACATTCAGTACAGAGAGCATCCTGGGCAGGATGGTGAAAATGGCATGACTTTCTCTTGAAAAAAAAAAAAAAAATTCCTGGCATGCTAGAGTTCTTTGAGTATGCAAGATAACAGTTTGAATCTCTTTCCAGGGTTAGGTCTCATATTCACAAGTACCCAGTATTTGGTATTTTCTGGACTTTAATATACCTTGCTAAACTCACACTGAGGCATTTAGTAAATGTTTATTGAACATTGTGGTTACTGAAGGTCCAAAACATGTTTGACACTGGAGACTCACAGGTTAATTAGGCAGGATTCTTGTGTTCGGCCATTTAGCAGAAGGAAAACAACCTATGATCTAGAAAATGCAGGACGGCATATTGTTGCAATAATAATTATTCAGTGAAGGCCACAAGATGGAGAGGTTAATTTTAGGAGGAGTTCAAGACAAAAGACTGAAGAAGTGAAGAAGGGCTAGATCACGTGGTGAAGGGAGGTGCCTTATATTGATTATTAGCAATTTGATACGATTAGGATATTTTAAAGTAAAAATTGATGTGACCAGTTTTGTATTTTAAAGAGATCATTTTGGCAGCGAGATGTGGAAGCATTTGTGCCTATCCTTCCTAGCTTTGTTTTCATACACAGCCCAAAATGTTCTTTTCTGAAATTATCAAATCAAATTCATTTCTACCAACTGAAATAAAAACCCCTCCATCAAACCCTCCCTATTAACCTCCTGCCTCACCACCTCCTCCACAAGCACCATACATCATCATCATTATCATTATTTTGGCATTCTTCTCCAGACACCCTTTCTACTTCATCTGTACCAAAATAACTGCAAATGTCCCACTTTCAGTTGTTTGTTTGTTTTGTTTTGTTTTGTTTTTGAGATGGAGTCTCCCTCTGTTGCCAAGCCTGGAGTGCAGCGGAGTGATCTTGGTTCGCTGCAACCTCTACCTCCTAGGTTCAAGCAATTCTCCTGCCTCAGCCTCCCGAGTAGCTGGGATAATAGGCACCCACAACCATGCCTGGCTAATTTTTCTATTTTTAGTAGAGACAGGGTTTCACCATGTTGGCCAGGCTGGTCTCGAACTCCTTACCTCAGATGATCCACCTGCCTCAGCCTCCCAAACTGCTGGGATTACAGGCATGAGCCACTGTGCCTGGCCCACTTTTAGATTTTACTGGTAAAACAAAAACCTCAAAATACTCCGCAGCACTTTGAATGAGTAATTGCTCAATTAATTTTATTGAACACATGAATGACTATTTCTTAGTAATTTAATTTTTTTTTCTTGAACTTAAGAGATAATAAGGTTGTTTATGCAACTTACTTAAAAATCTAGGTTTCAATAAGAATGATAGAAAATATTTCCGTAGCCCAAATCGTTCCTCTCTTCATTAAATGACTTCATTTTCAGCATTGTTGCTCTGTGTGTATAGTGCTACAATTAGCAATTCTACCTGTAAAGGATATTATTAATTCCTATTTTATATAATTAATTTTACCTGAAAGAAGATTGTAAGATACAGAACCCATTGAGCTAGAAGGCATTTATCTAATGGACATGATTTTAAAAAAAAATACAATATAAAATTTATAGGCATAAATTAGTAAATTAAGGGAAAATCATTTTATTCATTCTGTGTGCTACTCCAGAGCTCTTGTAATACAAAGTTAAAATGATAATTAAGTGTTTCCTTTTGTTGTTGTTGTTCTTGTTGTTGTTGTTGGGGGGAGAAGTTCTTGCTCTGTCACCAGGCTTGAGTACAGTAGCACAATCACGGCTCACTGCAGCCTTGACCTCCTGGGCTTAAGCAATCCTCCCACCTCAGCTTTTTTAGTGGCTGAGATTACAGTCATGCACCCACACACCTGGCTAATTTTTGTATTTTTTGTAGAGATGGGTTTTGCCATGTGGCCCAGGTTGGCCTCAAACTCCTGGGCTCGAATAATCTGCCCGCCTCCGCCTACCAAAGTGTGGGGATTACAGGTGTGAACCACCACACCTGGCTAAATATTTACTTTTTATTTGTTTAACCAGTATAGAATACATGTTGTTATGGGAGAATGGTTATTTCCCTCATAAAATAAGATTTAATGAACATATTTGTGAAAAATGTCCTAGGGTAATTTATAGCCAATAAATGTGAAAATATGAGATGATATTGGGGATCAGAATCTGTGGCTGGAGTTGGAAAAGGGAGGAGGAAGTTTCACAACTACCATGCACATTTCTCAAAAATAATTTTCCCTCGTTATCAGCACATAAATTTTTATAGCAATATTTTAGGTTACTCCAAAGGACTGATTAAACTCCTATTTAATTCCTTTTATAATGTTTTAGGGTGAAGATGGTTTTCCAGGATTCAAAGGTGACATGGGTCTAAAAGGTGACAGAGTAAGTATAGAGAAAATGTACACCAGTACACAAAATTTAATATATATATATATTTTTTCCTTTGCTTATCTTTAAATATAGTAAGCATATGATAAATAAAATGTTTGTACTACCTAAGTCTTTACTCATTTAAGTTTTTATACAAAGATTTAAGGATTTTAATTTTTGTGGAGATAGTGTAGTATCAATTGTCTTTTAGATGTTATATTTCCATAGGTTCCATAATAAACATGAGCATGCACGCGTGCACACACACACACACACATGCACACACACGTGTTAGTATTTATACACAGGACATTAGAAAGTTAGATCAAATTACTAGAAGTAATTTGATAAGTTTGCTCTAAATTTTGTTCATATATAATGAGCTATGCTGCCTGGAAAGTATACGTCTGTAACTTTCATGAATTTTCATTATATGGTGGTGTTCAATTTTTGAATGTAAAAATAGTAGTTTTTTCTAGTAATACATTATAGAAAACAAACAGAAATATTAGTTATCTAAAGCAAATTAAATGCTTTATTGGGAAGATTTATTTTTAAGTAATATACTAGTACCTAATACATCTGAATAAAGAAGCATTCTATAGAAAATATTTCTTTTCCTAAAATTCAAATGAAGTCTGCATGCAGGATTGGGGGCAATAACATCCATATACAAGTTCTTAAACGTTAAAGATAAAAGCCACGTACAAAAGAGAGACATTTTTCTTGTGTTCCAAACAGTAATTTCCAAAGCTGCTGAACAATCTTTATTATTATTTTTCCCTCTCTCTATAACACAGGTGCATTAAAAGCAATTTAATGTCATATATGATATGATTCAGCTTTTGTAGATTTTCAAATATCAGACTATATTCAGTTGTTTATTAAATATGAAAAGATTGATTAAGTCAAACACTTTCAAGCCTCTTTTTCATGAACAAAAACATGAGTAAACACACCAAAGTTGAAAACTCTGACTTTCAACAGACTGTAATTTATGCCTTTCAATCTCCAAATATATTTTTGTAACTGCCTGATGGGTTTATCTTGCCTGCTGCCCAGACAGGGCCTATTTATCCAGACAGGGGAATTGCAAACTCTTTCTCTATGCATACAGTTAGCTGAATAGGAGACTAGAGTTTTATTATTACTCAAATTAGCCTCCACAAAAATTTGGAGGATAGGGTTTTTTAAAGATAGTTTGGTGAGCAGGAGGCTAGGAAATGAGAACTGCTGCTTGGTTGAGGATGCAATCATAGGGGTATGGAAAATGGTCCTTGTGTGCTGATTCAGCTTCTGGCTGGGGAACATGAGGCCAGTTAAATCACGAATCATGGGTCTGAGTGGAGTCAGCTGGTTGTCAGAAATGCAAAAGTCTGAAAAGACATCTCAAAAGGCTAATCTTATGTTCTACGTAGTGATGTTATTTACAGGAGTAATTGGGGAAGTTATAAACATTGTAACTTTCGGAACAATGGCTGGTAATTTTTTACTATGACTACATTTTAGTGGAATTCACACCCCTCTCATAATTCTAACCTTGTGGCTTTGTATTAGTTTTTATAAAGGCAGATTTGTTTGGGGAAAGACTATCATCATTTAAACTATAAAGTACATTTCTCCCAATGTTAGCTTGCTCCATGCCCAGGAACGATCAAGGGCAGTTTGAAGGTAAAAGGCAAGATGGAGTTTATTATATCAGATCTCTTTCACTGTCATAATTTTTTCCCTGTTACAATTTTTGTAAAGGACGTTTCACTCATAAGAATGTTGTTATTCTGTGCCTCAGGGAGAAGTTGGTCAAATTGGCCCAAGAGGGGAAGATGGCCCTGAAGGACCCAAAGGTCGAGCAGGCCCAACTGGAGACCCAGGTCCTTCAGGTCAAGCAGGAGAAAAGGTTGGTAAATGACTTTAAATTCACTGGTACTCTTGCAGCTGATGTTTCATTATCATTTAAATTTCTTTCAATAACTGGTGTCAGAAATTGAGTTCTTACTACATTAAAGATAAAATGTTTCATTATCATTTTAAATTTGCAACCATTACATTTACGTTTCAGTGTAATATTAGGCAACATTAAAATTTGCCTCCAGAAAGTATTTAGTGACACCTTAAATTTTCTATAATGTACTGTGAAGTTAAATTTAAAAAAAAAAAAGCAAGAAATGTCTATGACAAGTGTTATCACATTATATACACTAAAGCAAAATATAATATCTTATGGATAGAATTAAAATGATTCCTTTTCTTTCATATACATACATATATATATATATCCTACATGTATATGTCTATATTAAATAGGGAATTCTGTTAAATTCCTATTAAATACTCCTAAGAGGTATAATTATGAGATGAACACTTCTTTTGTCACTTCTCCTTATTTTCTAGTCTTCTATGCCCTCCTCGGCCATGTGGAATCAGCTACTCTTAGAGTTCTTCCACATTAGATGTTGAGAATTAAAGGATGTGTGATTAAAGGATGAAAGAATCAATGAAAGAGGTTCTACTTAAGGTTTTACACCAAGTAGAATCATCTTTTATTTTTTCCACTTAAACATGCATTTCACATAATAAGTCTATTAAAAAATACTGGTATTCAGGCCCAACTTCAAGAGATTTTAATTTTAATCTGGGCTTGACACAATATCAATATGTTTTAAAACATCCCCAGATAATTATCATATTCATTGTTTGAGAGACACGGGGCATTATGTGTTGCGTCAAAAAGATTTGCAACCATTACATTTATATTTCAATATAATATTAGGCAACATTGAAATTTGACTTCATGTTATAATGTAATAACATTTGTCTATGATGACAAGCAAGAACTGTCTATGACAAGTGTTATTACATTATATACACTAAAGCAAAATATCAGTAATCTCTTGCTGGTATAATTCAAATGTTTCCTTTTCTATATGTATATGTCTATATTTTCTACAACAAACATTCCATAATTTCTTTATTTTATTTTTTACTATACTTTAATGCACAACGTGCAGGTTAGTTACATATGTATACATGTGCCATGTTGGTGTGCTGCACCCATTAACTCTTCATTTACATTAGGTATATCTCCTAATGCTATCCCTCCCCCCTCCCCCCACCCCACAACAGGCCCTGGTGTGTGACGTTCCCCTTCCTGTGTCCATGTGTTCTCATTGTTCAATTCCCACCTGTGAGTGAGAACATGCGGTGCTTGGTTTTTTGTCCTTGCGATAGTTTGCTGAGAAGGATGGTTTCCAGCTTCATCCATGTCCCTACAAAGGACATGAACTCATCATTTTTATGGCTGCATAGTATTCCATGGTGTATATGTGCCACATTTTCTTAATCCAGTCTATCATTGTTGAACATTTGGGTTGGTTCCAAGTCTTTGCTATTGTGAATAGTGCCGCAATAATGCTATTTAAGAAAATTACAAATAGAAGCCCCCACCGTTCTATCTCAGAAAGAAAATATATGATATAGGTATTAGATAGAGAGTGTGAATAGTCAAAAAGAAAATTCCTCATGTCCTTATGAATCATCTAATGTGACAGTTCTTATCGGGTTTCATACTTTGCAACTTCTACAGTTTCACACTTTGAAAAAACATTGCTAATTGTAAATTAATGAGCAATGTTATAGTGATTTGGCAGCAAAAGAAAAAGATCAGGGGAAAACAAGGCCTTATGGGGCGTTTAAACCCTTTCCCTTAAAATGCTCAAGGCCAGTGGTTAAAAGGGTATCCTGGGACCTTCCTGTCTTCTTAGGCTCTATCATGTGTAAACAGTCACACAAGCTATTGTGATAAATCAGGAGCTTAAACTACCCCACAGTTCTTTTCTTCTTTAACATTTCATTAGTATATGTTAGTTTATTGAAGTTGCCTATCATCCTGTTGAAAATACAAACTTTCTGCCAGAATTTATTTTAAAATGACTCTAAAATGAATTAGAGTATATACATACATTCTAATGTGGTAATTACCAAAGAAAACAAATAGCTTGTGATCAGAATTAGATAATTTTACTTATCCTGAAATTGATGGTGTAAAACAAGCTGTGATAACTTAATATATCCAAGGGAACATCATTATAAGTATGCTTCTTAGGGTTTGTTTGATATTTTCCATCTGAAGACTACTTATCTATGTAATGCTGATCATGACTTGGACAACTCTTTAGTTCAATCTGTACTAACAAGGTCATAAACCATGTTCTTAATTTTTTGCCTTATTTCATCCAGTAAAATACTTATTTTTATTTATAAGCTTCTGTTCATCTTTTATCAATGCACATACAAATTTGAACTTGTGTTTGTTTTCCATTTTTAGTTGTTCAATGTACATTGAAAATAATGATACATTATGCTTTCTAATGTTTAAGACATTAGTAAATAATATTTTATAAATGAAGTGTGCTTTTGTAAGTATCTTATTAGGTAAATGGATGCACAGTAAAATTCCACATACATATTTTATTCAATTCTTTTTTTATCTTTTTACCTGTGTTTTTTTTTAATTAATGTTTTGTTCAGATAGAAATCATAGGGAAGTAAATTGTTTAGGATAATATTTGAAACCATCTGGTATTTGTTACACATTGTTGGACTTCATTATAACTTAAATTTTGTTTTAGCACTTTCAGATTGAAAGGTAACCTTATTGCACTGGAACAAAATAGTATATTCAGTTCCCTGCTTGGAGGAATAAACACTCCACAAAAACCATCATTATTAGCTAAAGCTCTCAACACATATTATATTTATTAGTCCAGATATTTCAGCATGTTAGAGTGAAAGAAGAAATTTGTCTTAAAATTTAATTCTGAATTTCTTTGCATATCTAGGTTTACTTACTCATTGAGAAAAGTTAAGTAACTCATGATCCCTTGTTTTATATTTAGACTGGGGTAAATGAAATAACTGTATCAAAAAGATTTACTCTGGTTGAAGGGATAAAATCTAAATATTGTGCCAGTTACATCACTAATTTAAAATAGTATTTAATGTTGAAAAAGCTTAGAAGTATTTTTAACCATGCTTTAGAATTCACAAAGAAGTGCAGAGTTCTCTTTAAAACCTCAGGGTTCATGTACCTAAAGAAGGCACTACCACTTATATAATAAAGGTTAAGTTAGGCAACATTATAACATTAGAAATATGTTCAAAGCAACAATTTTCTTATTCACGTGAAGAAATATAATGAAGGTAAATAATGACAAAAATCTGCAAATCTTCCTTTTGAGTGTACAATATGTGATTCTAATATTTAAAAAAAATTGAAATCATTATTTAAGCTTAATTCAACTTAAAATATTACTTTGATTATTATATATTTTAACTGTAGGGAAAACTTGGAGTTCCAGGATTACCAGGATATCCAGGAAGACAAGGTCCAAAGGTAAAACAGCTTGATATTTATAGTTTATTAACATTTCGTGAAGATAATATTAATCACTTATGATTACCTTACAATTTGTAACATCTCTATATTATCATGAGTACTTAAAAATAATTTCACAAGGAAAATCATAGAGTGTGTGGACGCCTGGAGTGCAGGGAGCTCAAAGAGCTTAGGTGATTATGGATTGCAGTATTTTAGGAGAAGGAATCATGAAACGAAGGCATAATCGGTAATTCTTTGTAATTGGAACAAGAAATATCCTAGTATATCTGGAAGTTTTAACATGGAAGACATTTGATGCATAACGGCTTTTGATTTCCTTTCTATTATCCTAAGGGTTTAAATTACCACTTGAGTTTTTAAAATTAATACACCTTTCACACTATTACCCTCATTTCCATGAGTATTTTTTTTCCAGGGTTGCTATGACAAATCTCCACAAACGTATTAACTTAAAACAACAGAAATTCACTGCCTTACAGTTCTGGAGGACAGAAGTATGAAATCATGGTGTCATAGGGCCATGCTCCCTCCAGAGTTTCTAGTAAAGAATCTGTCCTTGCCTCTCCCAGCTTCTGGTGGCCCCAGGCATTCCTTGGCTTGTGACTTCATGACTCCAATCTCTGTTCCCTTCTTAACTGGCCTTTTTTCTGTGTGTCTTATTCTCTTCTGTCTCTTGTAAGAACACTCGCCATTGGATTTAGGGACCACCTAGGCAATCCAGGTGGATCCCATTTCCTTAATTTAATAGCATTTGGCAAGACTTTTTTTTCTTTTCCAAGTAAGGTAACATTCACAGATTCCATAGATTTGTATATGGATATAAATTTTCAGGAGCCACCATTCAATTCGCTGCATCACTCAAATCTCATTTTTGGCTATTTGAAATATACATGTTTTAAGCATAAAAAATATGGTTTTCAAAATGCATATTTACCTCGGTGTACTAATTTTTCTCAAACCTATCATAAAACTTTGTTAAGGATGCACTTGATGCATTCAGTAGTTAAGTGAATGCACTTGATGCATTCAGTAGTTAAGCCTGTTAAGTGAATTAATATATAAATGTTGATTATTAATTACAGAATGGTTATGATACAGGAGGGAGACAGAGAAGTGCGGGATAGTTTCAGTTTTATCATTCTTTTAGTTATATGTACATGAGATTATATCAATCTATCAGTTTATTGAGTTTGACCCATTCAGGCATAACAGAAACAATAGGTATGGCAAATCCTGTTTCTGTAACATTCTTAAACGTGTGTCTATTCATAAGTTTCACATGTAATTATGGGAGACAAAAATATCCTTCTCCCTGAATATGTAAACTGCATGTCATTGTGTTCCCTCATTGCCACGTGATAACACTGTCTTAGGCTTGCTATACAGCTTTGTCTTACAATTTTTTCATTGAGTTTCCCCAAAAATACTTCCTTGAGTAGCAGGGGATAAATATAATGCTTTTGAACCCTTCTAAAATAAGATTTACGGCATCTGTGATTTAAAAATAATACAGGCATAATTTAAATATTTTCTGGCTGTACTCAGGACACTGATTAATACTTTTTATCATTTAAATATTATCTCTAATATACTGCTCTGTCTCCCAGTTAGCTTCCTTTCAAATGTCAAGCATTTTCACAAATATTATCAGTAAAAGAAGCCATTCACTGCATAATCCAGGACCTCAAGCTATCCTTACATCACTTCATGCATTCTTGATCTATTTATTAAGTTAAATTGCAATTGTTTTGTTTTGATTTAAAAATATAGGAATCTGTCACAATATTACATGAATGAGTAGAATTTTATTTTATGAATTTATTTAAAATCCCGTTTTTTCCCTAAGTTCTCTGATCAATAATCTTTGAATTGTTTTTATTAACAAAATGCAACAGAATAACAACAGAAATGTTTCCTCCTAGAGGTATCCAACATTTTTTAATCCTTTTACTGAAATGTCTGGAATTTTATTCTTTATTTCTTCATATTGCTTCTCTTCATAACTCATTTATTATTTCTATGATCAAAAAGCTTTAAAGTTTCTCTGTTCTAAAATGAAAAACTGGGACATCAAAAATGAAAAACTGGGACATCCAAAATGAAAGATAGCTTCGTATTTTTTCCTATGTGTAAGCTGATGAATTTTGAATAAATTTAAATTTTTTTTTTACTAAAATGAAATGCCTTTACCAGTCTCTTTCAAGCAGATTAAGGCCTGTAATTTGACATCTTATTAATTGCTTAGTAGCAATATAAACCATAAAGGTATTAAAAAGATGTAGCACCACATGTGCTATAAAATGATAGCTGTTTCTAAAATAAAATCTATTTTAAGGTAGGATACCTTTATATTTCAGACAGCATTTTAAAAATTTCACATTTTTAGTTTCACATTTATTGACTGAGCCAATTTCACAATTAATCTTTGACTTTATGGCCTTTGTGTGTTTCCATATAAAAACGGGTAATACTGTTTCATAGAAATTATATATTTTGGTGATAATTCCTTATATGGGAAGCAAAAAATAACATTTCCATATATTCAACTGATTAATTGGGTAGGTTGGTCATTTTTCTGTGTTTTCTATCAATTTCCTAGAGTAGAAACTCTACGTAAGTATATACATTTATGAAAAACAAAATTGGTGCATAATATCTCTTTGCTTAAATGAAGTATCTATAAATATGCTGTTACCTCTTCTAGTCAGGACAGAAC
This sequence comes from Homo sapiens, assembly GCF_000001405.40. Lineage (NCBI taxonomy): Eukaryota > Metazoa > Chordata > Mammalia > Primates > Hominidae > Homo > Homo sapiens. The sequence continues at coordinate 102,981,415 of NC_000001.11, read as the reverse complement.
TGAATATTTGTCCCCCCCCTCAAAATTTTTATTTTCATACTGTATTATAATCATTTGTCCAATTCCTGTAATAGTCACATAGTAATACTGTGCTAGACGTAGCTAACTGATTCTGTGTAGAGAAAGAAAAGAGATTTTGAAAGCTCTTCAAAATGTAATGTGCAGAGATTTTTTTCCCCAGTACGTGAATATTACACATCCTAATAATTGTTCTCAGGTTGATCACAAGTTAGCTGTATAGGCATGTATTGAAACATACAGGAAAACATGTTATAAAAAACAGCTTAGCAGTGCATCCTTCAGGTTATTATTTTGACTATCAGCTGCCATAGGGCATCACATACAATTTTATTGACCTGCTTTAATAGCATCATGTAGGAAATACAAATTGCTAGCATCTTACCTTCCTGATAAGTGTGTAATATTCACTGCTTTCAAATTGGGAATAGGGCCAAATAGTTACCTCCTGTGAGTAGGTAATACTCTACACCTGGCTATTCCAACTGTACATGCCTGAGAATACAGCTTCAAGACTTCTAAGATTTCACAGTACATGTGACCCCGAGAGGTTGGTAAAAATTCAGATTCCTGGACCTCACTGCCAGAGAGTCTGTTTCAGTTTCAGTAGATGTGGAGTGTGCCTTAGCAATCCATATTTTTAGCAACTACTCTAGATTATTCTGATACAGAGGAGCCATGTATCACTTGGAGAAACATTATTTTTAGGGGTATTTCAATGCAAGTGAGTGGATTAAAAAAAGAAAGGTGTATTCAAGTCAAACAAGGCTTTGTTATATTTCCCTTAATATATGGGGAAGTTTGTAAAATTTGATGTCTAGTATTCTCACAGAGGCTAGACATTTTACGTATTATTGCACTTAATCCATACAGTGATCTAAACAGGAAAACTCTCCACTTCTTCCTTTTCAGGGTCTCATAATTAACAAGTTGAGCAGCAAGGATGTGAACACTAATCTTCTCTATTTTATGATACAGTGATGAGGGAAGCTAATCACAATCATGATCAACTAAATGAGAAGATAAAAATTTAGATATATGTGCAAGATCATATGGGAAATTTGGTTATTGGGGATTATATTGTATTCCATCTGTAAAATGTGGCCATTTGTAAATGAAATAGTGTTTTTATAAACATTTCATTTTAAAATAATTATTAATTATACATTATTATTATTTTTATACCAAGCATTCTTTTTTTCAGTCCCACAAATTTCAAATTACCTGTAAGGTGTGTATTACTGCCCTCACTTTGCAGAAGAAAAATCTATACTTGATGCGCATAAGTAATGTACCAAACTTACTTAGCTGATACATTTAGCTGATGCATAACTAACATAAATCTCAAAATTATGTCTTCAGAATTCTAAAAAACAGAGTTTTAATGCTTGGGTGCCTGAAATAGACTTTCAGCTAGATATAGTTGTATTCAAATACCAAATCGAAAAAGTGGAGGAAGGTTTTTAGTCTATGAATTGATCCAGTTTTAAAAGTGTAAAAATACTCAACTCAAAAGTGGTAACTATAGACATATGATAATATTAATTCAGGAAAAACATTTTCTAAAATTCCTATTTTAATATTTGACTATTCCTGTTTGTGAAAATAGGATTTTTCTTTAGAGTTGAAGCAAATACAAAGAATTTTACATTGCAATACATTTTCTATAAAATGTCCTATAATTACTGTTTTATAACAAGAGATGAAATAATACTTGATTAATTCATTTACTCAGAAGGTTAAAAACTAAAATGTTTTATCAATTTGTGCTTTCAATGCTTCCAGGATTTCAGATGTCATTGTAAGTTCATTTTCAATTACTTCGATGATATCTTAAAATTTCTATATTTGATTTAAATATTAACAGCTGTGTGAAAATCACTCTGTTCCAAAATAAATTACATCTTGTGACTGAAAATGTTAATTGCCATGTTTATTCATTATTTACTTTTATTATTGTAGGGTTCCACTGGATTCCCTGGGTTTCCAGGTGCCAATGGAGAGAAAGGTGCACGGGTATGATATATAAATATGTTTTGAACTATGTATATAAGTGTTCTTAGCTGGACATAGTGGTGTGTGCCTGTATTCCCAGATATTTGTGAGGCTCAGGTGGAGGATTGCTTGAATCCCGGAGTTCCAGGCCAGCCTGGGCAGCATAGCAAGTCTGTCTCTAAATGAATACGAATGAATGAATGAATGAATGATGTTCTTGCATGACTACTCAGTCTCAGCACCAGGCTCATAATTTACTGTGATATACTGCATATTGAAATTGAACTGTCTTTGCTAGGGAGTAGCTGGCAAACCAGGCCCTCGGGGTCAGCGTGGTCCAACGGTAGGTGCCTTGATTTAAAATGATGTACATTTTTCATATTGAATTTAGTGTATCAAGATAATTTATTTTTCAAAAATAAAAATTGATTTAGTGTCTTTGGATTTGTCTGGCATTAGTTTGGGTTCATCTTTTGTTCTCATCTGCAGGGTCCTCGAGGTTCAAGAGGTGCAAGAGGTCCCACTGGGAAACCTGGGCCAAAGGTATCACCTGTACTTTTTCTGTTTGGATGTTACTGTAGATTTTTTTTCCAGGCAGATGCTATGAGAAAGAATTCAAACTGATTTTTCTTTTCTTTTCTTGGTGCCAGGGCACTTCAGGTGGCGATGGCCCTCCTGGCCCTCCAGGTGAAAGAGTACGTATGATACAGCCACATAATATAAAATGAAAATTAGTATTTCTGCAAGTATTTAGATTTCAGAGAAAAGATATATGTCTGCTAATACATGTGCATGTCTATCCACAAAATCTAGTCTGAATTTAAAAACGCTTATTTTTTAATTTATTCCTCTTCACCAATAAAAAAGCTTAATCAATATGTTCTACTAATTTTGTTATAGAAATGAGAAAAATGTGTGTAACTGGACTAAGATATCACTCTTATAGTCAAGACAAAAATAGATATTTTTTAAATTTTAAATACACTTGAAACATCTTTGCCCTCTTCTCCAATCAGCTTGCTTTCCATATTGATACTCATTTTGTTCACAGAGCTGGCAGCAAAATTATGCTGGTAAAAAACAAGCTACTAGTAGCCATTAAGCCAGAATCAATATACATTCAACTCAAGATAAAACATCTATTCCAGTAAATAGAATAGCTATTTAGTAAATTGATTTTTAATTGATGTAAGATGTAGCCAAATACATATGAACAAGCATGCCCTTTGTTTGGATTTTTTGGCAAAATATAACATTTTTGTAGCCAGATTTTTAAAAAAGCTATCCTCCTGATATAAGTTTAAGTATTATAATCTGTATTCCTTTAAAAAATTAGAATCATTTCTTCATATTCTATAATAATTTTCAGTATTATGGAGTCAGGTTAATATATTTTTGTATATTATGATTTGAAATGTATAATAGGCATTTTACACAAGACAGAAATACCTTGCAATGCATAACCTAAAATTGAAAATGAATAATTTTTATTTGAGTAGGAGCAATGAGCAAAACTTGAGTTTTTATTTGTGACGAAAATGGGAGTAGATAACACACAAGAATAAACATTTAATTAGAGTTGTGTTAAGTCTTTGGCTCATATTTAATTAATTTTCCGCTAAATGTTTCTCACTCTCGATGAACTGTTCCCAAATTAAGTCTATCCTGTAATTTTTGAGCTCATAAATAATACATTCATTTGAAGTATTTTATGGTCAGTCATTTTAATAAGGGACATTTAAATTAATTAAAAAGGCTAAATAATTAAATGGAGTAGAACAATTTAACAAAAATTAGCACAACTGTGAGTTTTGTTTTTAGAGCACCACTGATTCTCTCATGCATTTGGTTTTGTCTTCCAAAATGTTATGATCAATAATATTTCCTTACAAGTGAATATGCTTTTGCTGATACTGCATTTTAATTTGAAAAACAGCAATACTGTCATCCAACAGTATGATTACTTTTAAAAACACTTTGAGAGTGAGACAAGTACCTCTTGGGAATTTTTGTTTTGTTTTGTTGTTTTAGTAATCTAGGTGGATTCATTTTCAATAACTATTCATATATGTTTTCAATGTCTATACAGGAAGAACATATTTCCTATGTTCCTTGTGGTTGATGAGACATTTCATCCCAAGTATGCCTTCATTTTCTGCCAAGAATTTTTAATTATCTTAAACTATTTAGTTCACGTCTTGAGCACACAGTTGAAAAATGGCAAAAGTAATGCCATAAAATATTTTCCTCAAAATATATGAGTTGGGGAAAGTTCAGGGAATTAGTTCTGTAGTACCATTGGATTAGAAAATGAAATAACTATTTTTGCCCATTTCAAAGGACTCTCTCATGATCATTATATTTATATTTAACTATACAGTTATACATGGCATGCATATATATATGTATACATAAACTTTTATTAAAGTATTCTACAAATTAAATGTAATCCCTCATAATCATAATTTGCAGATCATGGATGCTGGTTATTAAAGGTTAAATATATCTTTTAGTTAGGTCTAAGGTTACCAAATTAAGTGAAAACAAAACAAAAATGGAACAACAGAACCAAGACACCTGGATAAATTTGAATTTTATATAAAGAATAAGTCATTTTTGTCACAACTATGTCTCATGATATTTAGGACATATTAAAATTATTCATTATTTATTTAAAGCTCAAATTTAGGCACTGGATATTTTATCTAGTCATCTGGTTTCAACACCATCTGTACACTGAGTCATTATGGATTTCTTAAAATCCCACCTGGAAACTATTTTGATTATTAGGAAAAGAATACGCCAGCCAGGCGCGATGGCTCACACCTGTAATCCCAGCACTTTGGGAGGCAGAGGTGGGCAGATTACCTGAGGTCAGGAGTTCGAGACCAGCCTGGCCAACATGGTGAAACCCTGCCTCTACTAAAAGCACAAAAATTAGCTGGGCATGGTGGTGGGTGCCTGTAATCCCAGCTACTCAGGAGGCTGAAGCAGGAGAATTGCTTGAACCCAGGAGGCGGAGGTTGCAGTGAGCCAAGATCGTGCCACCGCACTCCAGCCTGGGCAACAGAGCAAGACTCTGTCTCAAAAAAAAAAAAAAAAAAAAAAAAAAAGCCAACGTTTTCTGTGAAATTTTATAAAGACTCAATTTTTCATTTTTATTTTAAAGTAATGATTTTTGGAATGTTTCTTTCTTAAAAGATTTTAAATTCAAATTGCATTTGAAAGGCAGCAAAATTTTAGGAAGCAAAAACATGACATTTTAATAAATCAGGAAAATAGTTTGCTACATAACCAAAAGAATACTATTTTTAAAAATTTGTACTTAAAATGGATTTTTATTTAGGAATCATAGTGTCATAGTTTAATAAGAGTTTAAAATTTTGTAAGTTCCTAAGATTTGCCCAGTAGTTTTGGTAGTTTCATGTGAAATCTATTTTTGTTAACTTTATATATAACTTTGAAGTTACTTTTTAAATATAAGATGCTGGTAATAATAAAAACTTGTGATGATTTCTGAACTAACATTGGCTTATGAATGGTAATGAGATTTTTCTTGGGAAGGCTAGATTGATAAATAGAAAGAGTAAATTCTATTGAAGGCCAACTTCAGTAAACTCTATTTTTGATTAGAAAAATACATAAATCCTACCCTAAATGTATTACTTAAGACATTTTACTTATGTTATCTTTCATAAATCTTCTTAAATAAATGTAACTATTACGTTCTGGGCATATAGAGGATTATCTCTTACCAATTACTTTTTCTGCCAACAATGGAGTCACTGTAATGGGACTTTATGCACTTTTTAAAAATAGGTAAATTTGAGAGATGAATAATATAGTTAATTAAAAATCAAGCCAAGAATGATATTATAATTTTTATTTGGACTGAACGTTAATAACTACACAATAAAGTTATTTTTACCTTATCTACAAAAGAAATTTATACATGAGTAAAAAATATATTGACATCATCCAAAATAAATATATTTTAGATATGGAGAATAAAGGCATCTTCTGTGGTCTTTTTGAGATAGTCACATACTTTCTCTTTTAGTTTTGGAATATACGGCTAGATACAGAACAGGGATAGAAGATAGAATAAGTTTTAAAACAGTTTTTTTTTTTTTTTTTAAGCGGGGCTGTGGAATTGAATTGAATCAAAATATCTTCCTTGTATGAATGTTTCTAGCCAATGTTAAAAGTAAAGACACTGCAGAACTTCTCAATACTTACATGTTCTATTCACTTTTAATTGATATGAATTCTAAATATTTACAGTGTTCCTGAGGTAACATTGATGTGATGTGTAGTTTTGAGTAGAAATAGTGTGAAAATGTATCCATTTTACTTTTAGATTAGCACTTACTATCGTGTTGTATTACCATAGTTCTGTCACTGTGATGAAGAAGCTGTATGATACATTGTATTTTGTCTATGTAAATAAACCTCAAAGTATAAAGATGCATCTTCTAAGGCATATTGTTAACTTCTCCCCACTGCTTTTTATTTCCAGGGTCCTCAAGGACCTCAGGGTCCAGTTGGATTCCCTGGACCAAAAGGCCCTCCTGTAAGTGTCAGAGCTTCTCTTTCTCTTTCTTCATTTGATATTTTTACATTTTTGAGAGTCACAGCTTACATTTATATATTTGTTAGATATAATATTGATAAAATCTCTGTAAAATTACAATTGATGTCAAAGAAAGTAGACATTTTTAATTTATAAGGTTCATAGATCGTTTCTGAATATAATTTCAACATCTCTTATTAAGTATTTTTTGACAGTATACCGAAGACTAGAAAAACATGAATATCATTCTCTCAGCTGCTCCTTTACTGCAATGAATATAATTGATGACATTACAAATTGTTATCAACTCTTAAATATTTGGTATATTCGAATTTATCTTTATCTTCCATCATCAAAATAACCTTCTTCAAATATCACTTCCTAAATCCCTCCAACATTGTGATATTACTTAAGTCATGCTAAAATCTATTTATATTAATATTATATCTGTCTCTATAATCCCTTCTTTTTAGAAAATGTAATGAGAATTCTCATTAAATCTTAACCCTTTTATGAAATGTGTTTAGAGCAACACTTGAATGTTCATCAAGCATCTTCATAAAGTTAATTGAAATACTTTGTTTTCATATTTAAATATTTGTGGGGACATAGAACATACTGGGGTCTTTTTTGTTTTTGTTTGTTTGTTTTGCAACCTCCTCAGTTTCTTTAAGAGAGTGGGAGTCAGCTTACCCACCTGTCTAGGACAGTGGTTCTCAAATGTAGTCCCTGGCCCAGCAGCATCCACAGCTCTTGGGATATTGTTAGAAATGTTCCACTGACCAAATCACAATTCTGGAGAGGGGCAGGGGCCAAGTCTATATTTTAAAACACCCTCTAGACAGTTCTGATGCATGTTAAAGTGTGTGAACCTCTGTGCTAGTCCAGATGAACAATACTACCCATACTTTAATGTGCACACAAGTCATATTGGTGAATTATTTATTTTGAAATAATTAAACATCAAATATTAAGACAATCCTTAACTTTTTACAATAATTTTTAGACCCTGCTTAAATTATTATTTACCACTGAAGAGTTTTGCATTATTACTGCAAAGATATTAGGAAAGTATTGTTATCTGTATTACAAGGTTATAGAAAGATCGATACATATGGCTAGTGTTAAATATAAAGTAACCTTGGTACTACCTGCATATAATGCTTACCTACTATGTCAGTTTTGCTCCAAATGTAACATGAAGACTCTGCAAAGTTTCACAGAGAAATGAAAACAGTTTCAAAAGTCACTGTATGTATATTTTTATAAACATTCTTATAATTATTTTAAGCTGTATATTAGATTATTGTTTAGGAACATAAAGTTTAGTGACGTATATAACCTCAGTATTGTACCATTTATGTTTGTATGTATTGTTGAGAACTGCTTGGCTCATGTAATATTGTTTCATTGTCAAAGAAACCCATTTGACTCATTTTTTTATCAGACTTTTTCAGCCCATTGTGTTATGTGTCTTTCAACATGTTTTGAGCCATTGATCGTGCATGCATTTTGTCTGTAAGAGGTATCAGAAGCATAATAAATGCCTACACTTGAGAAGCATGCATTCTAGTAGGAGAGACAAGAAGGAGTATTTCTTTCACTGATAAACAAAGTGATTTTTATACTATGTTTCTCTAACAAGTGAAACATTAGAGCATGAAATAAAAATACCCCATTTCTCTAGTATGCAGTTTTATGCAGTTTGGGACAGAATTGGCTTCATCTGTTTGATATAGAAAGAAGAAGTTGGGGTAGAGAGATAGAAAAAACCTCTTCCTGTAAATTAATTGGTTCATCTCCTTCATCATAGCAGGAAAAAATTTTATATATATATGATGTATATTCACACAGACATATATATATATGGATCTAAATATTCCCTTCAGATTCTGTTAATATCATGCCCATATCGGCATATTTTGGGAATATGCAGCCATCCATTTAAAAAACACATTAACTTGAAATGATTAAGAATTATAGCATGACTAGTATGAGAAACATTCTATTTAGAATAGAAAAAGTCAAAACTCAGTGCCAATGAGAAGTGAGAAAACATCCTTAAACAATTACCTACAAGTTTTCACAGATTTTCTCGCCAAATCTGCATACCCTCATTTAGATGAATTTGTTCTCTCTGTCCTGTACCAGCTAGATCAAAGGGGAAGCCTGGGAAGCCTATTTTGATGAAAAAATTATTACTTTTACATAGATACCGTGAAATTATTTGGTAATTAGTCTGCTTATTTCATTGGTTAATAGTTTGTGGCCTTTATATTTATTTAGGGCTAATTGCTTGATATTAGAAGTACATACTTAAATCAAGAAAAATGATAATGACACCAATTCTTAATGCAGTATATTAACACTACTCCCTCAGTCTATCTAGGAAAGCCATTAAATATTATGTTGCATTCTTCCCAGGATGTGATCGCTTAGACCTAAGATCGCTATTTTAAAGTATTATAATATTTTGCAATGAATGTGTTATCTATGTCAGCAAATATGAGATATTTAATCTTATATTTACAGCTTTGTTAAAAAAAAGTAAGTCTTGTATTAGTGGCAAAGTACATCATTTAAGAAGCACTTTAGTATGGTGGAAAAAAAAGCCAGACATAATTGATATCCTTCAGCTGTCATCCTCTCTATAAAACTTTTATTATTGCCCAGAATTGAAAGCAAGTTTATTGCCAAATATATCAAACCAGTGATAAGGCACAGAAATTGTTTTATTTGCTATTTTGTAAAACTGGACCTCAATGAAGTCTACTACCAATCAACTAAATACTTATTTCTGTATGTCACCTCCAAACTGAGGGCAAAACTAAGTCTTAGCATTAGTATACACCTAGTAAATGATACGTGGGTATGTAATATATGTTTTTTAAAGAAGCCATGGTTAAATGACATCCAAGAATGTTTTGGGTCCTTGGTTAAAAACACTCCAGTTTTGTTTTTTGAAGAAGAGGATGGCAGTAGTAGCCCTGGAAAACCTGAAGAAGTCACTGAGCAAGCCATGATGTTGTGAAGTAGCATAACGGATTTTAATTAGAGTTGTTAATTTACAGGGCACCCAGGATGTCAATACACATGACTTAAGGGAGCAAAGATGGTTCTGGCACCACCAAGAACCTTTCTCCTGAAGTAACTAGCCAACCTGGAAAAAGTCTCCCTCAGTTGGAAGAAAGCTATTTGAGAAAATAACATTTTGGAACAAAGCCTGTTTTTCATACTCACTCTATAAGAACATATATTAAAAATAGATGTTCAAAAACAATTTTATTTAAATAATTAACATACAATGAGAGGTGTACCTGTTATAATTTAAAATATTATTATTAAAAGAATCATTTCTCTTCATTCATCTAGAAGGGTGATAGTATTTTTATCTCTACCCGTTGACCATGTTTTGAAATTTGAACTTGATACGTAATGGTTACTGAGTAGAATGAATAATCCATAAGGCAGTCTAAAGAAGCAGTTTCTTTCTACTAAGTATTTAAAATATAGGACCCTCACAGAGTTGTTCACTTTGTTTGTAGTTAATTGCTTCATTTATTTCTTAAGCCATGACAAAGACAGCATCCTTTATACAAAGTGATAGCAGCAGATTTGCTCTGTGGTACTTCACAAACATTATGCTTCCAAGAGGACATTTAAGAAAATCTACTGGGAAAAATTTGTCCTGATGACTTCTAGAATTGAGTATAACGTATTGTTTCCTTTACTTGAAAAAATTTGAGAGATAAAATGCCATTTTTTATGAGTTTGTATTTATTTTGCATTCTTGGTTTTTTTTTGTTTGTTTTGTTTTGTTTTTTGTTTTTTGAGACGGTCTCGCTCGGAGTGCAGTGGCGCCATCTCAGCTCACTGCAACCTCCGCCTCCCAGGTTCAAGGGATTCCCCTGCCTCAGCCTCCCGAGTAGCTGCGACTACAGGCGTGTGCCACCACGCCCGGCTACTTTTTTGTTTTTTAGTAGAGACGGGGTTTCAGCATGTTGGTCAGAATGGTCTTGATCCTCTGACCTCTTGATCCTCCCGCCTCGACCTCCCAAAGTGCTGGGATTACAGGTGTCAGCCACCCTGCCCGGCCTTCTTTTGCCTTCTTGTCAGTTAGAAGCTCGGATTACCACTAGAGGGCACTATTTCTCTCTGTTATCCAAGTTTTGATGCACCGGGAATTGAATTAGGAACAAATCACCAAAAAGGGGGAAATACTCATTTGTGAAGTGCTAAAGAAGTAATATTTTTCACAAAAACGAAAATACAAACCTTTGCAAATATTATTTTACAAATGATTGATGCAAATGAAATATATTTAAATGTAAAATATTCAGAAAAGAGTTCAACTATTTTATTTTGGTTTCAGCTATAGCTACAGAATTATATTGAAGAGATATATGTGCATATTATCATATATAAAATCAACAGAAGAGCAAAGTAAAATAGCTAATGGAAATATAAAAAGAAAAGAAAATTTTCTAACATGTCACATTTAGACTATAAAATAATTAAATATTTATGACATGTGGTATTTAATATTTGTAATTTCAGGGACCACCTGGGAAGGATGGGCTGCCAGGACACCCTGGGCAACGTGGGGAGACTGTAAGTGACCTTGTTACTCTTATTAAAAATTTCCATCTCTAGCACCTCATCAGTTCATACATAGAAAGCTACTTTATTATGAACATTTCAATTACTAGGTTGAGAAAAATGGAAAAATTAATTCCATTAAGCCTTTTATTGAAATATACATATATATATAAATACAAAAATAGATACAAGAAATATACTTCAGGAAATAGGATGTTAGTTGATATGATTGTTTTTATTGTCAATAGCAGCATTTTAAGGATGAGCTGATGGAGAAGACACCATTATTTTTTGGACATCTCCTCAAGATTTTCCCTCTCACTCTTTTCACTGAAGACTGTTTATAGATACATTCCACTCAAACCCATCATCTCTCCACTCTAAAGGCAACAGATTACGAATAGCCATGATCATAATACCACATTCTTTTATCTAGAACTAAGGGATTAAATACTTGCTGATATTGGACCCATCGGCTATAACTGGTTGGGAACTATGTCAAAAGCATCTTTCCATGTGAAATAGGAAAAAGTAAATCAAAAACGGTCACTAAATTTTACTTAAAACCTATAAAGAATATAACAGTAAACAAATTGACTGAACAACTTACCATGTGTATAACAATTTGGGCAGAGAGGAAACTGGCAGCTCAGTGATGGTTTAAGAATCCTGGTGAGTTTATTTATTTTGCCCCTTTCAAAATCAGACATCTGGCTATCCCAGTGGATTGTCATTCTAATCAGAAATCATCATGGATTGGCATATTTCCATGGAATCAATTCTTGCTTCTCACCAATGATTACTTTTATCCAGACTTCTCAAGGAAACCACAAATGCAGACTACCTTTGACTATGTGGTTGAAAATCATGTTAGGGTAGGGGGCACCCTGAATACATATTGGAGTTGCATAGCAATGTACTATAATAAATCTGAAATCTGAAAAAAATATGATTTTTCTGCTATGGAGGAAACAATTTGTCAGCAGCCACCCAATTTTGCCTTGCTTACCATGTGGCAATTCTTAGTTTCACCATTTCTTAGTTTTAGCCAGATGAGAAACTTTGGAGTCTTGGATTTCAAAAGCAAAATTGAAATATGATTTAGTGAGACAAAAGAAAAAACTGTTTGGATATCCTCTTGGGAAAGATATCTGTATGAGGAGCAGAAATAAACTTTCTAAAGGAGAGTCAACACTCAATTTGCAAATGCATTATCATTCAAATCTTTCAGCCAAATCATTTTTAATGAAGTCATTGTATAACTTTCTGGGAATAACTATAGAATATTCCAAAATGTCTTGTGGGGAAAGGATACCCAGAGAATTACTGTTATAAAGTCCTTTATGTCTATGATTTAATCTGGAGCTTCCACTTCTAACAAAAATAATTATATCACATATAACATTGAGATTTAAACATAGAAGAAAAACAGCATAATGTTTCTAGAATGAATGTTTCTGTTTTGTAGCTTTTCACAGATAAAAGCCAGGATTATTTCTGAAAAAATTATATTCCCGATTTCACATCCACTTTAAGGGAATAGTGAATCGTCCTATAGCCTCAAAGCTTTCTTTCTCACTTTGTTCTCTGCTGACCCAGATTCAAAGGATCACCTTGTACAGGAGTCACAATCTAGAGTGGGCATTCTTTGCCATATATTTATTATCTTATTTAAATGGATAAATTTTTGAATTATATTTGAGATTTGTCTCCAGCCAGAAATCCATTAATTAAATGTTTGTTCTGACATCTTACATTCATTTGGGTTGTTTCAGTATAATAGAAACTATTCCCAATTTTTCCTGGTGGCCTTAAACAGCTTCAGAAATGGTTTCTATTATATTGAAATGACCCAAATTTGTCTCAGAAACATAGTGCCAAATGCTGTATTGGTCCTAAAATTGGCTTAGTCTTTTAAAGATTATCAGAATAGGAATCACATTTCTGTTGGATTGTAACAGCATATTTTTCAAACTACCCATGAATATGTCCAATTAATTTCCATTTTCAGCAACTTTGAAAAACATAATTTGACTAGCTACTCTGAAATTAAGTGGCAAGTGTAGTCTTATTACATGACAATATTGAACAAGCACAACTTGTTGTGAACTGTAAAAGTTTTCCTGTGTAGTTTGTTTGTAAGATCCCCAAGATCAAATGTATTAGATACTTGCAAACACTCTGAATGGATTGAATGAGCAGACATATGGGCAATGCTGTCTTCCAGCTTTCCCAAATCCATCACTCACACAAATGGGCTAGCAGCCAAGACTTCCTCTCTCCCCTTAGGATGTATGAGTGCAAGTCTATGTTGTAATTTTGTCGAGACTTTCTGCAATTAAGTATTGATTTTTAATCTATTACATTTAATTATTATTGCAATATTTTGTGTGTGATTCTTGCTCTCACAGTTAGTAAGACAAAATGCTTTATAAGACTTTTTTAAAAAGTTTGGAATTGCCTTTATATCTTCCTGTTGAATTTAATGATTAAAAATTGGAGGAAGAATAACCCAGACAGAGGAAACAGGTCATACAAATATATGGTGTGTGGCTATTCAGAAAAAGGTAGGAAGATCAGCATGGCTAGAATTTAGGATACATTATCAAAGCAAAGGAAGTAACTGAATTTGCATACTGGGCCCCTATTGGCTAGAACTTTGTCATCTATATGTTTAAAAATGAATTTATTGGCTGGGCGTGGTGGCTCACGCCTGTAATCCCAGCACTTTGGGAGGCCGAGGCGGGCGGATCACGAAGTCAGGAGATCGAGACCATCCTTTCTAACACGGTGAAACCCCGTCTCTACTAAAACTACAAAAAATTAGCCGGGCTTGGTGGCGGGTGCCTGTAGTCCCAGCTACTCTGGAGGCTGAAGCAGGAGAATGGCGTGAACCTGGGAGGCGGAGCTTGCAGTGAGCCGAGATCGCGCCACTGCACTCCAGCCTGGGCGACAGAGCGAGACTCCGTCTCAAAAAAAAAAAAAAAAAAAAAAAAAAAAAAAGAATTTATTATGTTTGGTTTTGTGGGTGATGATTCTGCCTAATGTAAACAAGTTAGTAAACCTTATTTGAAAACTCAACAATGGTGAAGGAAAGAGATGATTATAGTTTGAATAAGACAGGTCTACTAGGATAAGAGAGAAGAAGCTGTATTTGAGGGACCTTCTCACGTGACACATTCAGATAAAATAACTGATTAAGCATGGGCACTGAAGAAAAGTCTGGAATCTGAAGACACGCCATTAAAAAGGGGAAGAACATAGAAGGAAAATCAAAGGAGAAGATACATTCAGCAAGTTCCATGTTAGGAATGTTGAAGAGAGAGCATGATATACAACTGGAAATTTCTAGTAGGCACTTACTGAGAGAGTTTTAGGGCTCATACTGATTAGAGGTTTATAAATAGTTGGGAATGGAGGAGTTCATCAGCATAGAGATGGCAATTGTGGTGATGGAGGTTGTTGAGATAATCCAGGGACACACATACACATATGCACACATGTATATATGTGTTTAGGTATGTGTGTATGTAAATCTGACAACAGATTTCCAAACCAACTGGTTGATGAAAAAATTAAGCGACTAATATGCTTATAAAATGCTAAATAAATTTTATGACATTTCCCCCCAGAAATGATTGCTTTTGCTATTCATAATGATAGCTCAAATAGAACCCTGAAAGTCTGAATTAATAGATTTTTAAAATAGAACTCTATTTTCTTTCCCTGTAGCATCAATTGCAATAATTACAGACTCTTTACCTACTTATACAATTTTATTATTGTAAATAATTCATTCATAGTTATTGGGAACATTGTGATACTAACGTGAGACTGCTAGTTCCTACCCATTTTTTTTCTAATCTTATTATTTTCAGTCTGACCAGATGTTGTAGGGAATAAAATATTCAGTTCTTTCGAAACTTCTCCCAATATTTTCTATCTACTTCTCCAGCTGTTAAAAGTAACTTAACTCTCATGGGTAAGAAATTTACCTATATTCACACAATTATGTGGAATGAATAACCCACAGCCTAGAGAAAAATAAATACCAGAATATATGCCCAGAAGTTTTATTTAGTGAGTATATTCTGCTCAAATCAACCAGATGATATTTTAATGACTGAATTATTTTCAAAATGCATTTATGACTATATCTCTTGAGTTTCTTACAAGAAAGAATATTGATAAACGCTAAAATAATTACTAACTATGCAAAGCATTATTTTAGTAGATCTATTTTTATATCTTGTTTTATGAGATTTTTGGAATACAATAGAGAGAAATGTATTAATATCACAGGCTGTGAATTTACCTTTGTATAAACAATCAGTAAACTGTTTCAAAGAATGTCTAAATCATCATTTACTTCATCCATAAACATTACTGGGTTAAAATTCTGTATGTTGTTTGACCTAGTGGAATGGGGCTAAGAACACATTTTTACTCTAGCTTCATTTATTAAAGGTAATTATTGCCCTACCATGTGAAATATTGAAATGGCAAGTTTTGAATTTTAATGAAAACTGAAATAAGTTTAACATATTAAACATATTTAAGCATTTGAAAATAAATATTTTTAGTCAATAGGTGACTTTCTTTTAATGTGACTTATTCAGCTATCTCATAGAATTTTGATTTATGCTTTGTGTTGTATGTAGCTTTTACAAATAATACTTTGCCTCCTTAGGGATTTCAAGGCAAGACCGGCCCTCCTGGGCCAGGGGGAGTGGTTGGACCACAGGTATGTTCCTTTGCTTTATTTCCCAAGCAAGATTTATTTTTTGTTTACATTTTAACCTTCCTAAGTTGTGTAAAATCTTCTAAATTTATTATGATTCAAAATGATGTATTTTTTATTTCAGATTGCATTTAAATATATGCAGCTTTCGTACATCAAATGAAACCAACAAACTATTACCTAACTAAAGCAACTTTTCAATTGCCTGTAAGAATAAAAGAGAAGAATAAAATAAATGAAAGTAAATCAGAAAGTTCACACTGAATTTAACACTAAAGCCTGACTATGACACCATCTACTAATAAAAATACAAAGTTCTTTGTAAATAGGTGGGCCATTATCTTTTTCTAGAATTTTAAATTATAAAATGACTTCATGGTTTTGAGTATAAATTAGATTTAGAAATATACATTCTAAAATTTTAATATTTGTAACATATTAGGTGTTTCTTAAGATTTTTGCCTTCATAATAATGAATATCAGAAATAAAATATTAATTATCTTTGAGGATATACAAAATAGTGGAAAAGACAAGTATTTATTTCAAGATAGGTGGCAGAAGAAGTCTCAAAAATTGGTGCAGTATCCTGAGTTATAGTATAAAATAACTACAAAGAGTAATTCATGGTAATAGAAAATAATGTTTTTCTTCCCTGGCAAAGCATATTGAATGGGCAGAACACATTTAGTTTCTGGACTGGAATTTAGCCCCTGCTAATACCAAATTATAACAAAGGAGCAAAAGCAGGTGAATACGTATTTTAATTATTTAATTGGTTTAGTCTTTTCTCTGTCTCTAAATAGTTCTCAACACTGTAACTCACACACATACACACACACATGCGCACACGGACACACACATGCACATCCAAACACATACACACACACACACACACACACACCCCTAGAGAAACAACAAAACTGCATCTTGTTTTTAGGAATATGTATAACAGAAGCAAAAATGAAGAATCATTGGATTTATTGATTATTTTATTTCAGAGGTTAACCCTGAGGCAAGGGAAATACGATGTTATTTTATAGAGTGTGTAAACATGACTACTTACTTGTGCTGAAGGCTTCTTTTTAACTGCTTATCAGTTTTAGTTAAAACATTATATATACTTTCTCAGTAATTAGAAAGCTTCCTCCAAAAATACTTTCATTTTTCCTGTTTAAAACAACTTTATAACTATTTTCTGTGAGAAAATTTAACTAGAAAAATTATTCCTATTATACTTAATATCCATAAACAGAAATGGAATTAGACTCTTAACTAAAATATAAACATCATGGAATGTAACTAAATATTTTAGGACCTCACATCTTTCAAAAATACAATTCTGTTCAATGTGGTCATCTAAAACTTCTGAGACTTGTGTTCTTTTTTCGTTCCCCTCTTTACATGAAGGCATAAAAATACTGGTGTTTTACTGAAGATGCACCTTCCTTGAATTACATTTTTTATTGGTCCTTTTTAAGAGAAAAAAAACCAACAGCCTATTTTAAATGTAGCCATACTTTCATGTGAAGACAAAAGATTTGGTTTAATGGGAATAATATAGATTGCAATACTGAATATGCACCCTTTTCTTTAAACAGTTATGTGAATCTCTGATCATTTTTGTCTCGGTGATCGCTGTTCAATTATGGTTAATTCTGTATTCCTTACTGTTCAAATTCTGGTGTTCAGATAGTTAAGAAAACATCATGTTTTGGATAAATGTTTACACATTAATGTTAAGTTGAGAAATTACAGCAATTGTATAATTAAAGAAATTTAAACCTAGAAATGTATACCCAAATTGGGACAGGTGTATACCTTATCCAAGATAAATAGTTAAGACTATGTTGCATTTTTAGGAAAAAAATATTTATACTTCATAAGCAAGTGCAGGAACACATTCTCCTGTTTAACAACCTTAGCATCTAAAAATTTTCTCTTTGTTTAACTTAAACCCTTCATTTTGCTTTTTATTAAGATAGAGAGCAACTGATCACCATCCTCTATTTATACATGAAAGCCTGCTATACTCAAGCACCACAAAACAGCACCACTCAGGGGACACGTAAATGACCTGATATTGTTCACTTTGGCATTTGCTGCAATTTAAGGCAGCTGACCATTTGTTACAGCCTTTGGCCGAGAGGAACTGCTGACCCATACTCACTGCCTTCAGGATCCCATGCCACATTCCCTAGACTTTGTCAAATGAATATAGATTAATAGTAGAGAAATTTTCAGTCCATGGAAATTCCAGGGAGAACCACTGGCTTTTTGGGTTCTCATGGCCCTAAGTTTATTTTCAAGCAGTGATTCATTGAGTGGCTACCAATGTGGTTTCTATGCCTCTTTACTACTAAGCTGATTTGACACCTCATATGAAAAGAAGGAATGGGATAAAACTGTAATTAAAAATCATAGTTTTCATAATACTTGGACTGGCCACACTCTGCAGAAATTATTGTATTAAGCAAAGAAAACATCTTTTTGGACTTTATTTATGTACTTTCCTTTTACACTCAGATTCTAACCAAGATTATATAAAATCTTTTTAGACTCTTACTTGATATGCTACTTTCAGTGCTTTATGTGAAGTGTTTTGTAGGACATCATGAGAATAAGTGAGGATGATAAACTTTTGTAAATGTAATAATACTGTTTTTGAGTTTGTGTTATCTTTGCCAAAAATAAAAGAGCAATCTAAAGTGATTTTGCTTATCTAATTTAGGGACCAACCGGTGAGACTGGTCCAATAGGGGAACGTGGGCATCCTGGCCCTCCTGGCCCTCCTGGTGAGCAAGGTCTTCCTGGTGCTGCAGGAAAAGAAGGTGCAAAGGTACAACATGCTTCAGAAAACTTTTTTTGGCCCAAAACTTTAATTTATGTTTAACTATACTCACCCCTTGTCTACAGATTCCATTTAAATGAATGTCAGAAGATGTGTCAGGAAAATATTTAATGTGCGTTTATTGTACTCCAAGATATTGCTCAACATTTATATAAGACCGTTAGCTCCGTTGACCATAAAATCTTTAATATATATGTAACGTTAAATGTAGGTAGTGGGTAGTTCATTTTAATGCATATGGCATTCCACCCAATATTCTCATCATTAAATAATATTCACATTTTACTTACAGTAGTTTAGAGGTAATCACAATTTTGTTTGTAGAAAGATGTGTAGAAATTAATCTGTCTTGACGATGTTTATTATATTCTTTAGGGTGATCCAGGTCCTCAAGGTATCTCAGGGAAAGATGGACCAGCAGGATTACGTGGTTTCCCAGGGGAAAGAGGTCTTCCTGGAGCTCAGGTATAATCAATATCTATATAGATAAAGCAAGTGATTCCAATTGTTTATTAGAAGCATTTTTTCTCAGAACTTAAGAAGTGATGATTAAGGGAAGATATATAAACATATATATTTGATTATCATTACATATATGTGTATATATGTAGTTATGTCTATAAACATTACCTGACATCCTTATTTTACTAATCAGATATCTCCTCCTATTGGTATTCAATTCATATGGATTCATTTTCTTTATTTTTTTCACTTTTCCCAGGGTGCACCTGGACTGAAAGGAGGGGAAGGTCCCCAGGGCCCACCAGGTCCAGTTGTAAGTATGATGATAATAAATAGCCAGACAATCATGGTTGTGAATTACAGCTCTTCTTTCATTACTCTCATGCTGTGATTCCACAGTGTGTGGGAGAGAAAATAAACACATGTCAATCAAATCAGTCAATGCCTAGTTCCCACTAATTGCATGCACTAATGAATGCAGAAACAGAAGGGTTTGGATGATTGGAAATATTTGCTTCTGCTGCTGTCAGGAGGTAAAAGGAGATATCTTGCTTCTTACGGTTCCCAAGGAAATAAATCCTCATTATGAGTAATAGAAGCTCATAGTCACGGAATGCCTGGAGAGGCTGTAGTTTGAAATTTTTACTTCATTTACATCTATTATTTTAGAAGTACTTATAAAATAAGATTTGATTTCTTATAAATTATATTCTATCATTCATTTATTATAAAACATATTTAATTTGTTTATAAGTACTTGATGAGACTTGAATTTGTCAATGATACAAAAAACATAAGCATAAAAGCATAAAACCCATAAGCACAATCTTATATATTATGCATATTGCTTTATTTAATCAAAACATTATGAAATAATTGGCAAATTAGTAAATATCAGATTTTTACCTCATTTTTTTCTTGAGATACATATCAATCCCTCAGAAAACAATTGAATGTATGCTTCATTTTTTAATAAATTCACCTTTATTCTTATCTGCACACTGAAATTTCACTATAACAGCCAAACTGCCATATTTAGTGTCTTCTTCTCATTTTCTTATTTCACCAATCTAAAAAGCTGAAAGTTGCCTTAAAGGCCCTCTCAACTTCCTTTCACACAATATTCATTAGTTTTGCTTCCAAAATATTTTACTAATTTTTCCGCTTTCTTCATTTCTACCACCACCATTTTGTTCAGACTCTTTCCTCTTCCTTTCTCTTTGACTAATAACATCTTATCTTTTGATTCATTTTCTTATCCCCTTCAGTCAGTTTCACCTATAGAATACTAGTTTAACATACATCCTTAACTATGGCATTCCTCTATCATACCCATCCTATAGTTCCACACTGCCTTTGGAAACCAAGCTCCTTATCCTAGCCAGCAAGTCATCTTCATAGTTCAACCCCAATTGCTATAGTCCTTTTTTTTTCCCTTCATGCCTCCCTTTTAATTCTACCCAACTTAATGCATTGAATGTTGTCTTGCTTCTCAAAACCATGACCTTTTCTATTTTGAGAAGAGTATACTGTACACCTTTCCCCTTTCTCCAGGAAACTCCAGTTTTTCTTTCTCTACTTGACAAAGATCCTACCCAACCATAAAGATAACTCTTAAATGTTAAATCTCTATAAAGTCATCTTTGGATAATTTGCCTCCATTTCATGTATTTGTAAAAATTCCCCCCCCCACACACACACCCAGTGACCTTTATTATATCTCCATTTTTAGAAATTACATTGGAATATAGTTGGCTGTCTCTCGCATTAGGCTGTGAGTTACCAGTATTATTTTGGTTACTCAAAATACGGTGCCTGAAGCACAGTAATCATCTCACACTTACCCATTTGAATTATTATGAATACCTAATATTGGAATAAATTTTATATAGCATTACTTAATACTGGGAATACAACAAGTGTATCATTTTTCAGATTGATTCACATGATACTTACTCTTTACTTCACTCACATCATATAACAACCATTGACATAATTATGGAAATGTGGCAAAGATATTTTTTAAAGAAAATATATTTTGATAACT
Organism: Homo sapiens; assembly: GCF_000001405.40. Classification (NCBI taxonomy): domain Eukaryota; kingdom Metazoa; phylum Chordata; class Mammalia; order Primates; family Hominidae; genus Homo; species Homo sapiens. The sequence continues at coordinate 102,960,131 of NC_000001.11, read as the reverse complement.
GTATTAGACTTACACTGGAGTTCATAAAATTATGAACATTTTCTAATGTCCTCAAAAGTTAGTGACAGTAGCATTAGCAGCAACAACAACTTAATAAGACAAAAGTTCTTATTTAGATATAGAATCTTCTAAAATTTCAGTAAAATGCAATCCATTTAACCAGACCTTCAGATTCTAAAGATATCTTCTAGGAATAAATGATGTTTTAAGAAAAATGCACACTGAACTAATCATCTGAGCTGTGACTATAAGGATTAAATTGTTTTAAGTTATTTTTTAGGAACCAAGCACTGAAGCTCTCTCAAGGGTTGGGAACAGTTGAAACCAGTGTATTTGTAGGCTGCATACTATGTCCAGGGGATACAATTTTCAAAATGTTAATTGAAATATGTATAGTTACATGTAGAATAACATTAAATGTACTTTTATTTATTTGGCTTCAACTGTGTATTTGAGAATTATTACTTACTTTGTTATATGCAACTGAACATCACAGTAGATATTCTTTGAGATAAAATAGGATAAACAATTTTGAAAAGAAATACACCAAAGACTAAATAGCACTGTAAGTTGGTTGGTGATTAAATGCCTAATGACATACAAACAATAAATGTTAATTCTATGAGGGAGGTAGAAAGAGAATATAAATAAGGGGAAGGGCCATGTGGAAAAGGTGACCCTCGAACTTGGCTTCACAGAGTGCAGATTACAAAATCGTTGAAGAGCGAGAAAATACTAGGAAAGAGATGTGATGTTTAATTAGTATCTGTTTTTGCCCAAGTGGGACAAAATTTGGGAGATGGACTAACATTTGTTGAATTCTTGCTAGCATCTAAGCACTCTGCTATTTTACATAATAAAAAACTAAATCACTAATACAACATATAATTACTGAAGCTCTGAAATTGCAAGATGTAGTCATTTGAATATTTGAAATGTACAGAACAAGTGGAGTAAACAAATTGAAGTTTTAAGAAAACAAATCTGTCATTAATGTTTAATATCTAACAGAGATAGGAGAGAATAGATCACAAAAGTCCAGTGACCAATGTCAACATTGGAGTGAGCCGATGACTTGGGCAACGTGGAATCCAAGGACATTGCAGATGTAGCAAACACGGAGGGGGCGAGGTAGTAGGATTTATGACTAAGATTTGATGTGGGCAGTGAGGACAAATGAAAACTGAACAATGACCTCAAGCTTATGTCCTTGAGAGAATGACAGTTTGGTGACGCCTTCCATGCCTAGAGCAATTTTACCTCATCAAGAGCAAGAACAAACAAAAACCAGAAATATTCACACACAAAAACTTTTAAAACCTCTTGGCAGTCACAAAAAATTACAAAGGATTTTATACTTTGCTAATAGATATGCTTGATAGATGCTCACTGTGTTTATTTGAAATTAATAACCATTCTTATATTTGCAAATCAAATATGCAAACATCAACCAATTAAAATTATTCCTTAAAGTTGTTGGAAAAGGATTCACTAAAAGGAAGACACCATACACATTTATTAGTTCCTAACACTATTGTTTTAATTGCTGCAGAATCTAGTGAAGCGGTGCATGATGATGACTCAGTTCATAACAAGTGCTGAGCGAGCCTTAGTTTACTCCATTTAAAGTGATTACATCACATAAAATTTGATTTTGAATTTTTTAATTCCAAATGACAGATAAAACAAAAACTGGATGGTTTTCTAGATGTGAAGTATAATTTATCTAGAAAATTAATAATGTCAATTCTTATTTTTTGAGGTTCAAAACTTACTATGAGTTTCCCTTGCAATTAATATTGAAAAAAAAAAGAATCAGGAGTAGGGATTTCTTTAAAAGGTAACAAGTTCTGCTTTGCAATGTTAATAGAAAAGGTGATGGCAAAATATTAAAGGGGAAGTATTTGATCAGTTGGTGAGAAATGATAAAATTCTGAGTCATAAGGAATAAAGGCATAAGAACATCTTCTAAAAATTCATTTTATAATGTATATGTCTGAGTTTATATCAATCTTATGTTAACTTTACCTTTAGAATATTGACCAAATAATTGTAAGTGCAAGACAGGAATTCACAGAAACAGAGTGATGAGTATTCAGTGGTTATTTGTATTAAGGAAAAAGCAAAGCAAAGTGATGAGTTCTGAGGAAGAGAATGTGAAGTCTAAAGGAAATAGAAAAGGGAAATGAAGTAATATTGAGTGTTTATTCTTTCAACTCTTATGCTAGGTATTTTATATCTGTTATTCTTATTCTTGCAACTTGGAATGGTAGATTTTTTTTTTCTATTTTACCATTCCATATTTAAAGACAAAAGATCTGAGGCTTGAAGAAGTATAGAGCTTGCCCAAATTATCTGGGCAAATATCCATGATAGCACTTTACATAAACTCATTTTCAAGTCATCTTGACCCTTCTAAATCTCTGTGAACAATTTTGTCAAAAGAGAGTGAGAAGAGTTAGTATTTCAACTACCTAGGCTTTAATATTACTACATATTCTCTATAACTATTGCTTATTTTGAATGAATCGAAGATGAAACTGATTAAACTAATATACAGGTTGATTTTTTAATGACAAGATGTTTGTCAGAATGCCATTGAACTCTTAGTTTCTTTCACCTATAATGCAATTCATAAGGAATGTAGTTGTGCTGTGTATTTCTGGATTGCTAGGGAAATAATAAATTCCCTCATTGCACAGGATACTGATGAACTAAAACTAAAAGTCCTAAGCAGAGCTTTAATCAGCTAACCTTATTGCTCACAGTGATATTTGCAAAGTTTGTATGTGTCCCAATTATGTAGCTTATGCACTATATCCTTACTATATGACTCTAATCTGCAAAAAGAACAAATATAATATTTAATTCTAATGTATCCATTCAAGTGTTCTATCTATTCATTTATAAGTATATTTAGCATCTATTCTCTTTATTTATAATCCATTTAGTCTGAAACATAGGTCGTTATTATGACACTCCATAGAAGTGGATTTACTGTACTCAGGTAGGTCTAGGTGTATGTCATTGACTTATATTTAGAGAAACTTTATTTGTAAAACAAATAAACTAAAAAAATCTGTTTGAAGATATGGGATATTGCTTTATACAGGGTCATCTTTATGAATATCCTTGGAAGAAATCTCTTGCTAACCATAGCTTTAAAAATATTTGCAATTTCTTTTTTTCAAGTATGCTTTTTATAGAATATTTAAAATTTTTTTAAATATTAACTGACTTGGTTTTTTTTTTAGTCAGTTTGAATTACAAAACTTAGAATTCTTTTCACTTTGGCTTACAGAAATAATGGAGTCAAAATAGAGACGGTACAGAAGATAATGTTTGATAACTATTGTAAAAACTTTTTGAACACAACTTACTATCAAAAGTACCTATGATATACTTTAATATTTTCTATTATATTTTGTTATAGTTAATATTTTTAAATACTGGGCAAGACCTGTGAAATTTACCTCATAACCTACTCATGGAGCATAACCTACAGTTAGAAAAATCCTTGGTCTTGGTATGCATTTTTAGTTTACTACTACTACTGGCTCCATTTTACTTCAATAAAAAGTTATTTGCTTACCTGTTTTCCTTGCTTACCTATTTTAAAATTTATATTGTCTAATATTTTATGCATACTATTTAAGCTGCTATAAGTCTTTTTCTGTGAAAGTACCATAAAGAAATAAATACCAGAAAATATCAGACAATCTATTAAACTGAAGTTATATTGATTCATAAAATGGACCTTCCTGCAAAGAGCTTATGGTTTACTGAGGAGGACAAAGAGCAGATAAAATAACATAGTAAATAATAAGAATATACTAAAAGAACAGAAAACACAAAGGTGAGAACAATGTTTTTTGCCTAAGGAAATTATGTTTGAATTGAAGCTGTAAATAAAAACCAGTTTTATCTATGAAAAGCAGCCTTTTTGTGTGCTAAATTTAGTCTTGAACTGCTCATCACTTTTTGTCCTCTTAGTAAAGAACTAGTATTTCAAGGTTAGGGTTATCTAAAGGTTTTGGTCCTGGGAGTTATTGTATACTGAGGAACGTTCTGTCGTGCTACCACTTATGACAAAATTATACCAATAGGGTGCTGTGACGTTGGGATTTTAAAGTCTAGGAAAACCAAGTGTTCCCTGTATACGTGATGTTGTATCCAAGAACTGGTAACAGATGCCAATCAAATCCAGGGCATGTCTTCTGATCTCAGGGGATGTAGTCACTAAATGGATGTCTTGATGCACACACAAGGCAGAAAGTAGCAAGAGACTGAACATCAAGAGAGTAAGGCAGTGCAGCATTTTTCTGCATGATGAATATAAACTGAGTAAATGTTTTCTATGTATGTAAACAGATATATGTAAATATATCATGCAACAAATTCTCAGATTTCACCTACTGCATATATTTTTATAAAACAAAATCAAGGAAAATAATATTTAGGGAAAATATATTTTCCCTAAATAATCTCTCCTCCAGATATTCTTTATGGTAGAGAACAATCTCATTAACAACAGTTATTTATCTAAAAATGAGATTAAAACAAATATAGTAGTATGTTTTGTAAAAGCCTTCTATCTTTACAATCACATGTATATTTTATCCCTAGGAGTTGTGGAAGTTAACATGCAGAAAGTATATGAGAGGAGCCAGATAGCTGGTACAGAATATATGTCCAATATTTCAAAATTGTGCGGTATAGCAGTCTTTGCTGTTTTCCTGTGACTCCTATTATGTGACCATCCCCCCATGATTCTGACTTTATTTTCCTCTTTATTTATTATTTCTTCTTCTTCTCTTGCTTCTCTAAGAGTTCACATTCTCTTCCTATCATAATTCCTATTCCTCTTATTTTTTTTTCTTCATCCTATTTCTGAGAACCTTCTTTTCCTTGGCTTTTACTTATTCTTCCAGCAAGGGAATAACCAAGGTTTAAAAGGATGTCATGTACCGACATGCCAAGTCAGACTCTATACATTTTAAGATAAAGTCCATTTTCTCCATTGTGACCCAGGTAGACCTTAGTGGACTATGATTACATCCAACTAGGGATGAGATAAATGTAGCAATAGTGATGGGGACCAGTGATCAAAATCTGAGGTATTTGATTTGACTTTGATCATCAGAGTCTATGCTTTAAATTCTGATAATGCTTGATAGTTCATCTGAATTTTTAGTTCACGTAATCTAAAATGTATGTCATGTAGAGAGTGAAAGTACTTCATAGTTTTGACATGAAGGTCAACTTCTTTTTTTTTTTTTTTTATTTCAAGAGGGAGTTTCGCTCTTGTCGCCCAGTCTGGAATGCAGTGACGCAATCTCGCCTCACTGCAACCTCCGCCTCCTAGGTTCAAGTGATTCTCCTGTCTCAGCCTCCCGAGTAGCTGGGATTGCAGGCACCCACCACCAACCCGGATAATTTTTGTATTTTTCGTAGAAACGGGGTTTCACTATATTGGCCAGGCTGGTCTCGGGCTTCTGACCTCAGGTGATCCACCCGCTTCGGCCTCCCAAAGTGTTGGGATTACAGGCGTGAGCCAAGGTGCCTGGCTGAAGGTCAACTTTTTAAAAAGACAGAGCAGACGTGTTTTTGCCCTCTAGTTGTATAGCTCTGGTTTGTAAGCACTTTATGTGTTTATGCTTCTATTTTTCTCTCTAGTGGGCGGCATCTTAACTGAATGCTGATGAGGTGATTTGTCTATCACTTTCATTTACTTTACAAATGCTCCTCAGAATATGAAACATCCAGTGAAAATAACTGATAAAACATTTATTTTGGTGTTCTCATCTGTGTGAGGGATTAGGGGAATACTTTCTATTCTCATTGCTCCAGGAATATAGACCAATGCTATTGCTTCTTGTTTCATTATCATTGTAAGTTTTAGATGAAGGTGCAGCAGGATTTAGGGGAAGGGCTGCAGAAGGGGATAAAGCTAATACACAAGTAAAGAAAGGTAACTAAGTAGAGAAAGGTAAATTCTTCCCTTTTAAAAGCATGTAAATGTTCACTTTTCAGTTCAAAACAAGAGAAAAATGGCATGTTTTCCATAGTTGTTAATATTTAGTACCGAAATAACAGAACACTTATGATATTATGGTCATTGTAATTCATGAAATTAAACAGATATTATTGCCTTTGGGAAACATGTTTTTATTGTCATTTAAATCACATATTAAGAAAATAATATTGCTATAATTTTTAGTCCCTCCTTTGAGTTCTTTCTAGCTAAGCACTTTCAATGTGTAAAATATCTATCCTTCTTACAGAGAGACAAGTATACAAATAGTTAAAAGTTAGGATTAACAATGCCATATTAATGGTGGAAAAAGCCCTACCCTTCTTTTAACAGGGTATTTTATACCTGTTGTTTTGATATTCATTTATTAATGTATTAAATATGCCATATAATTTTCTGGATCTTAGTTTACTTTTCTGTAAAATTTTACTTCTACAATTATTTGAGATTTTATATCTATTTTTGGAATATATAACTGTTCACTTACAGTCCTCTAACATCTATTACATTTATACTTTTTGACAGGCATTGTTCAAAGAACTTTAGTTATATTAAATATGACTAAAACCTGATGACAAACTATTTCTGTCTCTATTATGACAGGCATTGTTGAAATAACTTTAGATGTATCATAGTAAACATGACAAAAACCTGATGACAAACTATTTCTCTCCATCTATGGCAACAAAAGTGGCCCATAGAGAGTTTGCTCCAGATCAGAAAGCTAGTGGTTCCAGTGCTAGAGAGGGAAAGATCATACACTTAATTGACACACTTATTTATGGCATACTATGTGCCAGTAACTACTCAAACTGCTGGAGATCATTGAAAAAAGAAAAAAAAAGAAAAATCAAAAACCTCTACCTTTGTGAAGTTGATCATTATCTATTTTACCTATGCTTAAAGACAATCATTCAGTTTAGATATAATAGTTTATTTATCTGACAATTATAAAGTCCCTTGTTCTTTAGCCAGCTATACAGCAATACAAAAATGTCTCACTATATATGCCTACTCTTTATGCAAACAAAAAAAGTATATACACAATGTGAGTTTCTCAAGGGCTGCTTCCTGCCATAATACATTTCATATTCACAATCAAGTGTCCCAAGAGAATAGATTCTCATTAGTGTTGAACATGGAGTTTTTAGTTGAATGTCTAAATGGTACCTTCTTTTCATATTGGGCTTAAATTTTTGCTTAAAAAATATAACTTCTCCAGTGATTCTGTTGAGATTAAAGGATTCATAGGCTTATTCTTTTAAAGTTGGCATGAGAATATTTAAATAAGATTTGCAAGTTTGCTATGTCATTTGCTTAATGGGTAGGTACCATCAGAGATTTTCACTTTTCATTTATAGATATATAAAATAAAATTATAGCAGAGCATGCTGTTATTACAAACATCTAGGCTTTGAGAGTGTTTGAAGTAACTAATAGAAAAAGAAATTGCAGTTGTACTTTAGGGCATGGATATACATTCCAAAAGTCTTCTCTTGTTTTCATCTGTTGTTTCAAAGTTTATGAGCTGTGACAAGATCATGAGCAATATTTTAACTACAGAAAAGTAATATATTCTCTACACTAATTTTAATGCAGCTTCCACAAGCAAGATGACAATCTGAAATTTAATCTTATGAATGCTCCAAGGGAGAAATTAAAACAGTTAAGCTTTTAAATAAAAAATAGTATACAGTATCTGGCTGGGCACGGTGGCTCACACCTGTAATTCCAGCACTTTGGGAGGCCAAGACAGGTGGATCACGAGGTCAAGAGATCGAGACCATCCTGGCCAACATGGTGAAACCCTGTCTCTACTAAAAATACAAAAATTACCTGGACGTGGTGGCGGGTGCCTGTAGTCTCTGCTACTCAGAAGGCTAAGGCAGGAGAATCGTTTGAACCTGGGAGGTGGAGGTTGCAGTGAGCCAAGATCGCACCACTGCACTTCAGCCTGGTGACAGAGCAAGACTCCATCTCAAAAAAAAATAGTATACAGTATCTACAAACTACACACATTGCCATAGAGTCAAATCAGCATTCTGTCTCTTCTTGATATATGTTAAAATAATTATTAAAATATTTCAATTAATTTTAAATAATAAACATACTTCGGTATAAATTTAATAAGCATTATTTTCATAAGTAAAAGCCATGGCTTACTTTCATATAACATGTCAATCATAATGCATCCAGTTAAGGTAATATTTATTTTCTTTCATTTTGAAACCATTTCTTACAGGGAAAATATACATTCAATAGCAATTTTCCTGCAAATTTGAAAAATTTCTCTTGACTACATGTGTGTACATTTGAAGCCTAATTTTTATTTTATTTTATTTTATTTTATTTTTTTAAGACGGAGTCTGGCTCCGTTGCCCAGGCTCTGGAGTGCAGTGGCGCGATATCGGCTCACTGCAAGCTCCACCTCCCGGATTCACGCTATTCTCCTGCCTCAGCCTCCCGAGTAGCTGGGACTATCACCTACCACCTGCCACCACACCCGGCTAATTTTTTGTGTTTTTAGTAGAGACGCCACCACGCCCAGCTAATTTATTGTATTTGGTAGAGACAGGGTTTCACCGTGTTAGCCAGGATGGTCTCAATCTCCTGACCTCGTGATCCGCCCGCCTTGGCCTCCCAAAGTGCTGGGATTACAGGTGTGAGCCACCACTCCCGGCGTGACGCCTAAATTTTTAACATGTTCAACATGTTTGCATACATAATAAAAACACAAATGCATTATAGTTATTTAATGCATACAGTCAATATATTATTGTTTGTTAATATGAATTAAGAGACATGGAGATATTTACTACTCAGAATGTAGTGCCAAGTGCTGCATTAATTCACTCCAAAAATAATGGTAGAAAACCAAGGTTCTATAAGAAAGTGTATAAGAAATACTTTGAAGGATCTCATGCTTCTAATTCTCAGGAAAATACAATTTTTTGGTAAGATGGTATATCAGTCCATTTTCGTGCTGCTATAAAGAACTGCCCGAGACTAGATAATTTATAAAGGAAAGAGGTTTAATTGACTCACAGTACAGCACGGCTGGGGAAGCCTCGGGAAACTTACAATCATGGTGGAAGGCAAAGGGGAAGCAAGGCACCTTCTTCACAAGTAAGCAGGAAGAAGTGCCTAGCAAAGGGGGAAGAGCCCCTTATAAACCATCAGATCCCATAAGAACTCACTCATTGTCAGGAGAACAGCATGGGGGAAACTGACCTCATGATTCCATTGTCTTCACTTAATCTCTCCCTTGACAGGTGGGGATAATGAGGATTATGGAGGTTATAAAGCAAGATGAGATTTGGGTGGGGACACAAAGCCTAAGCATATCAGATGGTTATTGACCTGGGTCAAAAAAAAGAGGCTGGAATTTTAGTAGTATAGGAAAAGACCAAAGACTTTCCATGTCAGAAGATAAGTGTGACCAAATATTCAGAAGTGAAAATTGGACATATTGTGTTAGAGAGACAGTGAGAGATGTAATATTTTAGGATAAAATAATGTTCAAAGTAGAATGCTAAGATATAAAGTAAAAAAAAAATTCTAAGAATGTGAGTTGAATATTTTCTAGGATGACTGAGGATAAATATATTCTCAAAAAGATGCATTAACCCACACTATTTCAGAGTTCAGCATAGGTGAACTCTGAAATAAGGAGTGAAGGCAGATGAAAAAGTACCATGGTGTCTCCAGTGAAATGTGTTGAAAAATTACCAAAAGTGAAAACGTCCTTTGTTGTTGAAAATTACAAATAAACTTATAAACAATATGACAAAGAGCAGAGACTTCTTTTTTCTTTCGAGACAGAGTCCTGCTCTGTCACCTAGGCTGGAGTGCAGCAGTATAATCACAGCTCACTGCAGCCTTGACCTCCCTGGGCTCAGGTGACCCTCCTGTCCTGAGTAGCTGACTATAGGTGCATGCCACTACACCCAGATAATTTTTGTATTTTTATTAGAGAGGGGGTTTCACCATGTTATCCAGGTCTTGAACTCCTGGCCTCAAGCAATCTGCCCACCTTGGCCTCCCAAAGTGCTGAGATTACAGGCATGAGACACAGTGCCCAGCCAAGAGCAGAGATTCTAATGAATTGTGTATCAAAGGTCAAATGAACTGAATGAATGATGGAGAATGATTATTTGGATAAAGGAGACAAGCATTTTCATCAATTCCTTTAAGTTTTTTGTTTGTTTTACACAATGTTCAACCAAAATGAGCTTGTTTTGGTAGAAGTGGCTCTTAAGTGGCTATATTTCTTCCATTTATTAAAATTTAGCACAATTCATTGTACCCATGAGTTGTATGGGTACAATGAGTCAAGGAAATTTTGTTTTCACCATTTATAAACTGCTAAGCGTTGTAGAAAATACTTGGTAGTGAATTAGGGCACACAGACCTTGAGTCCATGGTTTTTAACTTAAAAATATACAAGTCATACAGCAATAAAATTATATTGCATATGCAAAGCACTTAGCACAATAATTGTTAATTAGTAGGTATAATAATTGTAAGTCAGTTAATTCTCTTAAAATGGACTTCAAACTTTTGTTGATTCTCCCTTTTTCATTCTAGTCTAGTACCCATCAACTTCGCCATAGCCTAGTGTGATATCTTCCTAGGGTATTCTTTGAACAGTTAGGGTTTAAACAGGATTAAAGAGAGAAAAATTTTATGGCCCGACAAATTAAAATCGCACCTCTTTTTGTATAGCCAATTACAAATAAAATACTGCAGAAGTTAAATTGAATGCTTATTCTAGATTTGATAAAACTAATGGATAGCAATCATTTTGTGAGGGTTAGAAGTGAAATACTAAACAAAATTGTAATATAGTCACCTTATATGTACATTGATCCTCAATAAATCAGTGTTTCAGATTAGTGGAGATTTATCTTTAGTGGTATTAATTTTAACTTGAGTAGAATAACCCTAGTTGCATCATGTGTTGTCTTCTGTTGATGTGTTTCTGTTACCAAAAAAGGAGCACTTTTATTACTGACTTTTTTCTTTTCTCTCTTTTTAGTAATTCAAGGGACACCTTTGCATTCCTCTCAATTCATAGACCTTGCTCTTCTTGCTCTTCTTCTTATCCACCTCCTATACTTTTTTCTTCCTTCCTGACCTCCCTCTCAAAGAATTAGAGGCAAATATTTGTGTTCTTTTTACTCTTAGGGTTGCTCATTTTGAATGTGCAACAGTAGGAGGATTCTATTATTTTTTCTACTGCATTGACTTCTATAATCATTCAACAGGAGTCTGTTACCTGGTTAACAGTAATACAACTTGTGGTTGACTATTTTATTCATAAAATATTTTAATATTATTAAATTAAAAAATACATTGATGAAAAAGTATATGTTTATTATCAAAAAAGTACTAACTGCAATTTTCTCTTATAACTATAGCCTCCTCTTTAGTATTTGGAATACTTCATTGGTAAAAATAGAGTTTACATACAACTCATTTATTATGCAATATAAGAATATTCCCTAGATTAGTTTTTGAATATATACTTACTCACAGCTCAAAAATGCCACTTTTGTTTATATAAAGCTCAAATTTCACAATTTCCTTAATTATATTTTTGGCAATGTCTCTCCAAATTATTTCTATCAACTAACTTTAAGATACCCAATAATTACAAACATTGATGTCCTCATTAGAAAGAACCAATGGGTGGCTTTGTCAAGAAATCAGAGTAGAGTCCAAGCTCAGGGTTCTCTTAACTAGTTATATGATTACAGGAAGGACGGTTAACTTCTTTGAGCCAGAGATTCTTCATTTTTAAAACAGATGCTACAACAGCTCTATAAACTACCTGGAATTGTTGTGAGAATAAAATAAGATGAAAGTTAAACTGATTTGTGAATTGTAAAGCATTATGTTAATACAAGTTGTTGGTATAGTTACCATTTTTATCACATGTAATTAGTTTCCTGGTTAATAAAAATACAAATTAGAACAAAGTCAATAATGTAAATTTGTATAATAAAATGATTTCTAATATATCATTAAGTATAATAGTAGAAAACATAAAGTAGTATATTTTCCAGCTTTTATAAATAATTTTCTCTGAGTTTTGAAATGATGATGTTATCTAAGTATGTTAATTATTAAGAAAAAATACTAACAATTATATTTTCTAATATTTTACATTTAGTTTAAACATAAAATAAAAAGATAAATTGTAATTCAATCACCCCTCTGAGAATCCAAAGACAATTTTTTGTTATCTTTTAGTAACTAAAATTGGAAGTAGAAATAGATTATACTTGAGCTTTACAATACTTAGTATGTATGTTTGCATTTCTTTTATTCTTGTTTTAATAATGTTTTCTTAAATTGTTGGTACAGATAATTACTATAAAAGCAGTATCCATGTGATTATTTTCAAAAATCTATATATATGAGGTTTTTTAAAAAAGCAAACTAGTTAAAAGCATTACATCTTTTTTGAAACTCAGTTAAAAAAAATTAAAAAACCTAATCAGATTCAAATGATCTCATCAGTGTTCATAAGACCCAGTGGTCCTATAGAACTCTAAGTTGAATTTAATAGCTTATCCTTTGGGAAAACGTCCAGACTTTAGGATAGTGATTATCAAATGTTATTTTGTAAAAAATTTTGTGTGTATCCTAATGCAAAGAATTTCTGAACCCATTTTTTTTATTTTGAAACCTTGGTTCAGCACATTTGAAAAAAAGCCTAGAAATTACTTCAAGAAACACTAGTTTAGGGATTGTATTCTGCCAATTCATTATAATACAGGGAGAAATTTATGTAGGAGGTTATTAGATATATTTTTTATAAAGCATTGTGCACAATTATGAACACTTAAATGGAAACAGATAACATTAAATAAATATTAAATACATCTAATTTTGATGTATTTTTTCATCTCATCAATATTTTCTAACATCAACATCTATGCTTAATATTGGGGCTGGAAATTAGTCTCTCAAATAGTGGATTCAACTGTTTCTCTTTGGGATCTTAAAATTATCTAAACTCTAAATGTTTCTTTAACATAATTTACTAGACTGTAAGAAGCTATTGTTAAATAAGTGATTCTTAAGCCAGTATTACTTTCTTTAATAACAAAATACTTCTTTTCCTGTATACTAGGGCTCACCAGGAGAACGTGGGTCAGCAGGTACAGCTGGCCCAATTGGTTTACCAGGGCGCCCGGGACCTCAGGGTCCTCCTGGTCCAGCTGGAGAGAAAGGTGCTCCTGTAAGTAATGTCTAGGAGAAAATATATTATGCTGCTACCCTGTACACGTTATTACTTTTTATTCAATAATATTAGCTTTTCATACACCACCGTATTCTCTCTGCATATGTGTCTGGCATGTAAATACCCTGGCTCGTATATGTATAATAGAGAAAATTTCAAATTCAATTAAATGAGATGACATTTTCCCACACTTTATGAAACCGTAATACCTGTGAGGGAGTTGGATATTATTAATGTAAAAGGCTTTTCATTTTGCTTTTTTTAAAAAAAAAAAGTTGTGAGTTTTTTATTGAAGCTATACCTTGCTGCTTTACATTAGAAAAGTGTGAACTTTTTACACCTCTTGTAATACAAATTCAATTTCAAGCATTTCCATAGTCTGTAAATAAGACTCATAGAAAATAGCTGCCCTTCTCATGTAATCTGAGCTCCGATCGCCAGTGAGTGAGACAGGGAACATCTCACTAATTATTTCATCTAATATCTATTGGATTTTAACATTTTTTGGGGGGGGGTTTATTATACTTTAAGTTTTAGGGTACATGTCCACAATGTGCAGGTTAGTTACATATGTATACATGTGCCATGCTGGTGTGCTGCACCCATTAACTCGTCATTTAGCATTAGGTATATCTCCTAATGCTATCCCTCCCCCCTCCCCCCACCCCACAACAGTCCCCAGAGTGTCATGTTCTCCTTCCTGTGTCCATGTGTTCTCATTGTTCAGTTCCCATCTATGAGTGAGAACATCTGGTGTTTGGTTTTTTGTCCTTGCGATAGTTTACTGAGAATGATGATTTCCAATTTCATCCATGTCCCTACAAAGGACATGAACTCATCATTTTTTATGGCTGCATAGTATTCCATGGTGTATGTGTGCCACATTTTCTTAATCCAGTCTATCATTGTTGGACATTTGGGTTGGTTCCAAGTCTTTGCTATTGTGAATAGTGCCGCAATAAACATACGTGTGCATGTGTCTTTATGGCAGCATGATTTATAGTCCTTTGGGTATATACTCAGTTTATATTTACATGACTATGGACTATTCCACTCATTATGTTTAGGTTTCTTTGTTAAGATTTCTTCTCTATTTTTTTTCCTGCTTTTGATATGATTGTATTTTTTAAAAATGATTCTCTCTTCCTACAAGATTAAAACACAAACTGTTTCAGTAAATGTAGATAAAAAGTATTGGCTCTGATACACAAAAATATAAGTTGAATATTTTTGTATACTGGTAAGTATTGATATATAAAATTAAGCTTAAGCTTATATTCAAAAATACTCCTCTATCACTAAGACTTCAGTTTTATCAAGTTGATTTGCTTTCATTGTCTATGCATTTTCTCTGATTATTCTGTGATATTATTCCAATATTTCTGTTTGAGACCATTTTGTGCAGTTATAACAGAATACCACAGACTGGGTAATTTATAATGAACAAAAATATATTGGCTCATGGTGCTGGTGGATGGAAAGTCCAAGATAGTGGGGCCACATCTGGTAAAGAACTTCTTGGCACATCATCCCATGGTAGATGGAGAAAGACAGGGCTAGAGAGAGAGAGAGAGAGAGAGAGAGAGAGAGAGAGAGAGTAAAAAGAAAACAAATTCCCTTTGTTTTAATGAACCCACTAATGCAATAACGGCATTAATTAATTTCATTTTGCCCTCATGGCCTAATCAGCTTTCATTAGGCCCTACTCCCCCACACTGTTGCACTGGGAATTAAGTTTCCAAAAGATGTTTTTTTGGTGACACATTCAAACTGTAGCAAATAAAAAAAAAATGTTTTCTGTAATCCATTACCTTTCAGAAAGAGTTAGAATGTTGGAATGGGCCATGCCACCTGTGGATAGAACTTTTAGGTGACAGAAAAAGCACTTTTAATATGCTGAGAAAATATATTTTATAGTGTACTGTGTACTAGGAGAAGATAGAAAATAGATTCAGTTCCTTTAATACAAATTAATTAAAAAATATAGGGAACACATATTTTGCACAATACACTAAATAATGCATACAGAGAAAATAGACATAAATTGCTTTGTATACAAATTGAGAATATACTAATTAGATAAGTCAATATTTCTGTGAAGATAATATATTGAATGGTAGATTTTAAAGTGGATAAAAACCTTAGATTTATGAAGAATAAGTAAGTTATTGAAATAAAGATCAGAATATCAAAAAACATTGAAACCGATAAGAAATTAATTAGGTGAGACAGATGAAAAATTATTGACATTAGCCTTTGTAAGAGCCAGGATTCAGGCCTGAGTTTTGTTGGTAATTAGTGATATCATAACTAGAGAAGGGAAAAGGGAATGCCTTGCTTCCCCATCCTCTTTCAGTTATCCCAGCCAAGGACAACAACTCCAGCATGCTCATTCCATTTTCTATTAGCCAAAATTAGCTATTTAGAATAACTAAGGGGTAGGCACTGTATTGTTAGCATTATACTTTTGAAGGAGCTGTCTGCTTAGGGACAGTAACATAAAGTGGGTAATAAGAGTGTTCAGTGAAAGGAGTTATAGATATCCATTCAGAAGTTTAATAAAAACTGATGAAAATGTTGGGCAAAATGTTATATCTAGACTTTACTTCTTCCTCTTTTCAAATATAAATTTTAGATCTTACCTCTGCTGAGCAGCTTATCTTATAAAAATGTTATGCAGTTATCAGCAGGTTTACATTTGCATTAAAAGAAAGGCAAGATGTGACCTGTGGAAGACAAGCCCTTGGTCTACCTACCCATCAACCCTGCTTCCTAGAATGGAGAAATGTCCTAATTAGCATCCCTATATTATTAATCAGTTAGATTAGAAACTCTAGGAGGTGAGTCTGGAAAGCAGGTAAGAAGAAAGGGGCTAAAACCTTCTCCAATTTAATTTCATTGATAGAAAATTTTGATAGGGAAACTGATTCTAATGAAAACTATTAGTTACTGGATGCAAAGATTACAGAGAAGAAGTGATTTTAACTATGCATCTATTTGGGGACAGTTGTAGAAATTGGGGGGAAGAGCTAGATCTAAAACACAGTGAAGTCAATGCACTAACTATAACTGAATTAGGCAATAGCAGTTTGAAATTTTAGGAAAAGTATTCTTCAAATACTTATTTACAATTTCTAGCATGTATGTGTGTATAATTGCAGAGAAAATAATCAGTGCCAGAATTGTAAGTCTGGGAGTCATTTAAAATAAGAGTGATGTTTAAAAGCATATTTTTGGATTACCACGTGATGTAGTGTTGAGAGAAAACAGAAGCCTGGACTCAAGTCTTAATGGAGAATTATAATGGGTGTAAGTTCTGAAAGCATCTAATAAGAGAGAAAAATAGTCCATGAGGTTGTTTGTGTGTGTGTGTGTGTGTGTGTGTGTGTGTGTATGTGTGTGTGTGTGTATCTCCAGAGGCATGCCATCAAACAGAACAAGACATAAACAAGTTCCCTTTTGTGGGATGTAAAAGATCGAGAATACTGAAATCCGAAAGACAAAGAAATAAAGAGACTGGGATTTTACCTGCTGGGTATTTATACCTTTAGATTAATTCTAAATTGATTCAAAAAGAAAAAAAATGGACTATAGAGGAGTGGAGTAGGGACATGTAAATCACCTCAAGCAGGGCATGGAACCCATAGAAAAATGAGCCATAGGTGGAAGTACTAATAAGATTGAATGCGTTGCCTCA
Organism: Homo sapiens; assembly: GCF_000001405.40. Taxonomy (NCBI): domain Eukaryota; kingdom Metazoa; phylum Chordata; class Mammalia; order Primates; family Hominidae; genus Homo; species Homo sapiens. The sequence continues at coordinate 102,943,148 of NC_000001.11, read as the reverse complement.
TTATTATTATTATGTGGTGCATATATTTATCTACTTTATCAATAATAAGAAAATAGTCAGTGGAAAAGTTAAGGAGTTAAGGAAATGAGAGTAGACTCAAGTTGCCTGCTTGAAGACAACCAGAAGTGGGTTGGGAGCTACCCCTATCATTTATTTAGTTCATGATTTTGGTTAAGTTATTTAAAATCAAAACCTCTGTTTTCTCAACTCTGAAAAGAAGATGGCCATCTCTGAAAAGAAGATAATCACAGTATTTTGTGAGGACTAGATAAAATTATAGTTCTAAATCATTTTTCAGAATTGTGATAAGTTGTGAGAAGTGTTCAGAATAATCATTACTATTAGTAGTAGTATTATCATTACCATCAGTGTGTGAATCAGAGTGCCATAAAAAAGGATGAAATAATAAACTGAGAATGAATACACAAATGAGCTTTTGAGGAAGGAGTGATGGATTTTGTGAATTGTAATAAAAGTTGTGGGTGTGAGTATAGGTTAAATATAAGACCATGCCAAATCAAACAAAAGACATGGGGATGTTTAGCTAATTCTATCATTTTTTAAGGAAAGATTTAGTTATTAACGTAAATGGAATGTTAGAAGTGGTGAAATAAAGAACGGTTACAAGGAGAGATGAATGTTTCCAGTAGTTGTGCAGATTGTGGGCCAAGAGATACATAATGGAGGAAGAGTTATGTCATCTTGAGGAATTATAAATGGCTAATATAAATTTAGAGTGCTGTAGATCTGTTGAATTTCTCCCAACATCACACAGACCAGGGTCAGAAGAAATGAATGGCAAGTGATTCCTGGCTAGAGATTATGTGTACTATAATGAAGGCAGAAGAGAATATATCTGCCTTATTTACAGGAAACCTTATACAAAAGGATTGACTTTTAGAGTTTAAGGCTAGCAAGGGAATTCAAATTAAGGGGAACTATCTGAATCAACTATTGTATTTAATATAGTGAAGTTTACTGTGAATAGCACAGCACATCCTATGAGTATTGATAGATTTGAAATATCATATTTATTTGAAGAAGATAAAAGGTCTCCAGAGTGACATCAGGGGCATCCTTCTTATAATAATTATGGCATCCTTTTGAAAAACAAGAACATATGAAACCCAGGCAAGTAATAAATTAGTTAACAATTTAATTTTGCCTTATTAATGTTGTTACTTTTGTTGTCATTAATTAAGTAATGTAGCAACAGTTCCTTAAGTGACTACTCTGGTCCACAGGCCAGAGATATATAATAGAATGCAAAATCAGACACAATTCCTACCCTCACATAGTTTATTATCTGATAGGGCAATTTGATAATATGCAAAGAATCACTAAATACATATATAATGGCAAACTCAGGTTACTCATATGAATGGAATGTAATAGTGTATGTCAGATTATAGTAGAGAGACCTGCTAGAATTGGGGACTTTCCTTGGACAAGGCATTGATGGTGAGATGTAAAAGATGAGAAGGAATTAACTATGCAAAGAGTTCTCATAGGGGCATTCCAGGCCAGAGGAAAAAAATGTGCTCAGGCAATGTCACAGGAATGGACATGGCATCAGATTTAAGGGACTGAGAAAAATGTCTAGAAGGGTTGGAATGCAGAGAGCAAGGGTTAGGGGAGGCTAGATGTGTTTGGGCAGGTAGCAGGAGCTAGATCATGGTAGGCTGCCCTAAGCCATGAAGTCTTTATCTGAGGAAAAGTAAACAAGTAAATTGACCTAAGAATGTAGGTAACATGATCTGATTGGCTTTCTGGATGCAGTGTGATGAATAGATTGGAAGGAAGTAAGAATACGTATGGGGAAAGGCAGGAGGTTTTTTTCAGTAGCTCAGAACAAGGATACCAGTATTATAGAGTAAGGTGTCAGTGATGGAGATAAAGTCAATATATTCAAGAGATAATTAGGAGATAAAATGTCTAAAACTAAGTCATTTTAAAGGAGCAGGAGATGTTAAGGGAAGTGAGGGAAAGTGGGGTAATGAAAAGGCAAAACCTAATGACTTGTAGATTCCCAGCTTGTATAACAGAAGGACAGAAAGGACCTCTGAATGCAATCAAAAATATTATCTTGTGCAAAACTGATGAAATTTTGACTCTTAGAAAATAATTTATTTTAAATTACAAAAATATATTTTATCGGAAACAGAAGTTGAGTTCATTATCAAGGCACTTTTAAAAAATTACACAGTATAGGTAAATTTAAACATGAAAATAATGCCATTTTTAAAAACCAGGAGAACCAAAACAAACACTTAAAAATAAGAAAGTTACATATGAAACATATAAAGCATATGGCAAAGTTGGACATATGAGCAACTGCATTTTTTGATTTCTAAAGCCTAATACCCATTGCACAGCTATGCCAGTGGCACTAAGGAAGGGGAGAAGAGGCTCAGCAAAGTTTTGCAAATGTAAGAAATCTGATTTGTCAATATATAATAATTGCATGTTTGAAAGAAAAATTCTAAGTTGGGTCCTAATTATTTTTGTGTATCATAGCCTAAGATTTATAAGTGATTTAAAAAAATAGTATTCTTAGTCACAAATGAAGGTAGGGAACATGTATCATTTATTCTTTAAAATGTTTTTCTAAAAAACATTAAACAATATCCTTGTCAAATATAGAAGCTAGATTATTACTCTTGTAGCTGCACTTCAAAACTGTAAAATTAATGATCTTTGGATATTCAATACAGGGAGAAAAAGGTCCCCAAGGGCCTGCAGGGAGAGATGGAGTTCAAGGTCCTGTTGGTCTCCCAGGGCCAGCTGGTCCTGCCGGCTCCCCTGGGGAAGACGGAGACAAGGTTGGTATTCATTATTCGTGTTAGTAGATCCTGTGAAAAAGCTTAATTTTTGTCAAGAATTCTAGATAATTCTAATCTTTATGATTAGGCGCCAGGTGAAAGGTTACCTTTTTCAAAGTTTCACACACATTTTCATATGCTCAAAAGTTTTATTTAAGAGGTTCAGAATTAGTATCTGTTCCATAAAATAGTATGTGATACATAAACAGAAAACTCAATTAAAAGAACAGTGGTAGTGAGAAAAACTAGTAGATGCCAAAATTTATTTATTTTTAAGAATATCCTTCTGAAATGAATATAAAATAAAAAAATTAATTACATGTATATGGTTAGTCCTCATGTCTTGGATATTGTACAATAAGACTTAAGAATGAGCTACATATTTACTTCATAATCCTGTTATCATTTACCAACATGTGAGTACAGACTCTAAGCTCCTAATTCCAAATGTATGGCTGTGTGTTAAATGTTTCAATTGAATACATCATTATATTATTTTAAAATATTATTTAAAAATTTTTAAACCAGCACTCTGATAATGTGCATCATTTTAGCATCTGGAAAATTAGCAGAAAAGAATTTTTTCCATTATTTTGTTTTTATTTTTATTTTTTACTTTTTTGAGAGAGAGAGTCTTTTTTTGTCGCCCAGGCTGGAGTGCAGTGGTGCAACAGGGCTCACTGCAGCCTCAAACTCCTGGACTTGAGCGATCCTCCCACCTCAGCTTCCCAAGTAGCTGAGACTACAAGCATGCCTCACCATGTGCAGCTAACTTTTTAAAAACATTTATTTGTAGGACAGGGTCTCACTATGCTTCCTAGGCTGATCTTAAACTCCTGGGCCCAACCTTTCACCTCAACCTCCCAAAACCTGGGATTACAGGTGCGCGACCCAGAACCTAGCTGGTAAAGTAATTTTTGATTAATGTGTAATTATAGATTTTATATGTCAGTGTATTTCCGTTACCAGTTTATACAGGTAATATTTGAGACAAAATTGATTTTTGAATTATAAATTCAGTTGTAGTATACTTTGAAGTTAAACGGACTTGTCTGTTAACATATTAGTCAATATTAGAAAGCTAGAAGCAGTGGGAACCCAAGATTTTCCATTTTAAACAGTGACATTACACACTAGCATGTAATTATATTAAAGGTAAAATTTAACTGTTTGATGATAATTAAGACAATGCAATAGCATGTTAGAGATAAACTCTAAGTCAAATCTTTCAATTTCAGGGTGAAATTGGTGAGCCGGGACAAAAAGGCAGCAAGGGTGACAAGGGAGAAAATGTGAGTTTCCTACTTCTTACTGAGAGAACATTATTTATTTAACAACTTTTACTGTTTACCATTGATATTTTTATATAGTGCTACTTACTTTCCTAGCCAATACTTATAATACCAATACTACATTACCTCTGCAGTTATATCATTCTATAATTTTATATATTTGTGAAGTTTTCTATTTCTGTGATTAAGTAAAGTATGATGATTGTAAGGCCATTATTTATAACTCTGCTATAGCACATGAAAGAGTAACATAATGAAATAGTCTTTTTTGTATGATTATGAGAAATTTTGTATACATATATTTACCAAAATTAACAGTATTACTATGTTCTACATGTATACAAATTGGTCACTTATTCCCATATGTTATAAATACTTATTTTAAAATTTTTCATTTAAATCATAAAACTTCAATATAATTTTGGTTGTTCATTCAAATGGTGTGTTCACTCTTGTCTTTATGATGTTTTTCTTTGGTCACTACCAGTATATATTCTCTTTAAATTATGTATTTAAACATGTTCCTACTTCTTAAATGAAATATGTTAGATGATGATACTGTCACATGCTTCAGCACTTCCTTACTAATTTATACTCTCTAAAGAATATCTGTGGACATTATTTTCTAAGTTCTTTTTTTTTAATTTTTTTTTCCCTTTAAGTGTTCATGTATTTGCTCTCTGATAGAAACATAAATTGGGGGAGTACAGAGATATGTCCTTCAAGTTTTTTTTTTCACCTAGTATGGAAGTTTATACATTATCCCCAGCAATTTCATTCTAACAGACCAGTCTGGTTCTATTTTGTGATCCATCAGTCTGATGCTTTTAGGGTTGGATTTACTGCCTACATTAACACATAACGGAAAGAAGATTTTTATTAGAATTGATGGAATCCCAAACTGAAGAGTTACCATAGTCCTATGAGATGAATTTTTCTAACTAAAAAGAAAACACTAGAATGAAAAGAGAAAAAGCTTGTAGTAATAATTGTAGTATTTAATGCATAATTCATTTTTATATGCAGTGAAACAAAACACCAACAAACAGGTGATAGCACTGATACTCCAGATCCATGCTGTAAAATTATGACAAGAAATTGTGTACAGAAAACCGGCTGCATATGTTTGATGCAGTTAGTATTGACTATACATTTACAAAATGTATTTTGGTATCTGCCTTAGTCTGTTTTGTGTTACTATAAATGAATACCCGAGGCTGGATAATTTATAAGGAAAATAGGGTTACTTGGCTTACAGTTCAGCAGGTTGTACAAAGAAGCCTGGGGCTGGCATCTGCTTGGCTTATGGTGAGGGCTTTTGTTCTGTGTCAAAACATGGCAGAGAAGTTCAAAGGGGAACCGGGCCTGAACAAGGAGGGACCAAACCCTACAGGAGTGCTGACTTTAAAACAACCCTCTTTCATGGGAACTAATTCATTCCTTCAAGAAACAATTCAATCTCCCCAGAGCAAGAACTCAATCGCTATGCAGCTATTCCTGATGGATCCACCTTAAGAACCAAAACACCTCCATTTAGGCCCCACCCCCAACACTGGGAATTAAATTTCAACATGAGTTTTAGTGGGGACAAACCATATCCAAACGATAGCAGTAAATTACTTTAGATTCCATTTAGATTTCTTAATTATAAATAAATACTATGGATTTAATTAGACTACCTTATACACTCGACAGAAGCCACATTTTTAAAAGTTTTATTTACTCCTTAAAAGCAATGCTAAAATGACTGCATGGCCATTATATGGGCCAGCAAATCTCAAATATTTTTGCCTTAGGACCCTTGCATACTCGGAAAGGTTTTTAGGAGCCCAAAAAGCTTTTGTCTATGTGGGTTACTATCATATGAATGAAAGCTGATATATTTAAAATATTTATGTATTGATTTATTTATAATTAAGAATAATAAGCCCAAAGCACTTTTAATAAAAACTAGCTATATTTTTGCAAATAAAAATATATAGTCCCAAGAGTACCATTGTTACATTTGTTTTGTCTAGCTTAATAGAAGAAGCTATATTCTCATATCTAGTTCAGCCTGTGGTGACATGTTTTTTTGGTTGAAAGCATGAAGAAAATCTAAGCTCACATAAATTATGTAGTTATAAAAGGGAGGGGCATTTTCAGTACCTTTTCAGATAATTTTGAATATTCTTTGATTTTACATAGAAATTTTATAAGTGGTAGTTTTTCTTAAGGGTCAATTGCACAACAGAATTTGAAACAAAAACAGTGAGCTTTTTGTGCTATTACATTATATTCCACTGCTCTATCTTGCACGTTGATGACTATGTTTCATACATAATTTTGTAATATCCTTCATTGATAATTTGGAAATTATTGATTTCCTGGGTAAGGTCCTCAAAGTGTTGACACAATTCTTTATGCGATATTAATATCATAGGAAAATACTTTCAGATTGGGAAGATATAAAGCCTGCAATGGCAGATGAGACATTTCCAAAATTCTAATTTTTGCTTTAAAGTTTGAACGTTATTGACAGTAAATACTGTCAGTTGTTTTCTTTGAAATCCAAGGCTTCCTTTATATTGAATAACATCTGCCAAAATCATACTTACTATTTATAATCACACTTATTATTTATAACTGATTATTTATAATCACATTTATTATTTATAACTAAAAAATCATAGTTTTTCTGTCAGCCGCTCTTTCAAGTAAAAATAGCGTTCCATGTAAAAGTTAGTGTTCCATGTAAAAGTTCAGCCAGCATTTCAAACTATAATCCAAATGTTTGTAGGGCTTTTTTTTTTTTTTGAGACAAGCACTGTACTTCAGTATGAGGCAAACATACTTTATGTATGTCTTCAGTTTGTCAAATGAATATGAAAAGACACATATTCAAGGTCAATATTTAATAATATTAATAACTTTCAAAGCCTCATCAATACAATTACATCCATGACATTCTTAGATGGAACAGCCATTTTTGTGTTGATTGAAAGTATATCGTGGTAAAATACAATTAATGCTATTACAAATGGTAGCTACCAACATGATAAGCGCTAAGTTACCAGCAACTTTATTCACCACGGATTTTACATCATTAGTGCAAAAGTCTATATAGTTAAAGGACAAAAAATGCCTTACTGTTGTTATGAGAAGAGTTATGAACTAGCAGAATCCTAAAAGCATATCAAGAACTCCCAATGGCCCATGAACCAGCTTTTCAAAATCTTGCTTTAACAGTTCCCCCACAAGTAGTAGTTACAATACAGAACAATACAGTTCAATGACAGTTTTATTTCTTTAATGCCTGAACCTTTTATATTGCCTGACCCGTTACTAATGTAAGAAAATGAGACAATGAAGAAATATCTATGCATGTAAGACTCATAATGTCTTTTGAAAACTATTGCTCAAAATAAGAGGTCCTGGTGTACTTAATATATAACAATTAGTTTACATGTGTACGCATATGTGAAAATTCCAAATTTTCATATATTACTACATTCTATCTGTATAGAACCCTCAGAATTCTGATATTCACTCAGAAGACAGTATATAGACAATTTTTTCATGGGCCCTTTCCTAATCATATTTATCTCATTAAAGAAATCTGATACTTTGAAAATTTTCAAATGCGAATCTTACAACTTGATGTCTGATAGCATAGAAATCTATCTTGAAGATTCACAACATTACAAATGAGAGTGTTTTCAACAAATGTCAACTTAAAATTGATTTCAAATGTGAAAGCTTGAGTCTCAAGGAGTAAAATAAATAATGATTGCAGTAAATGCAAAATAATTCTATGTGATGCTTCTTTTTTTCCAAAGGAGTGCAGAAGTGTTTGATCTTGGTAGGCTAAATGTTCTGTTTCATATGGCTGAGGCTCTTCTGGCTTCACTTTAAAAATTACTTATTTTTATCTCACTGCAGGGCCCTCCCGGTCCCCCAGGTCTTCAAGGACCAGTTGGTGCCCCTGGAATTGCTGTGAGTATTCCACATTGTTCAGCAAATCTAAATCCTTACAGCTCCCTGATTAAATTTGTATACTGTCCCATAACCAGTCAATTTTGTGGGGTAATAAGTTTTGTTTGTATGTTTGACATTAAATCAAATTTAAATTATCAAATATAGCTAGCCGTGCTGATTCTTAGAAACAAAACATATTGTAACTTCATTTGAAAGTAAGTAATAATTTGTTGAGAATTCCTTAATAGATAATAATTCAGAAAATTATTTCCGTTATTAGACAGCTTTTACTTCACTTGGTATACAGGATCAAATCAAAATCAGTTATGATCCAGAAGCAAAGAAAATAAGCAAAACAAACAATAGTATATTGGAGCAGATAATGGGCATTCAGTCTACTTTTTACTTGGTTATTCTTAAATACATCTGCTTTGATTAAATTAGAAATGGCCACATTTTTTAATGACTCATATCGTAATGATTTTTTCCAGTTTGTGATAATGTTTCTTTCTCTTCTCTAGGGAGGTGATGGTGAACCAGGTCCTAGAGGACAGCAGGGGATGTTTGGGCAAAAAGGTGATGAGGGTGCCAGAGGCTTCCCTGGACCTCCTGGTCCAATAGGTCTTCAGGTAAGATGATCCTGTCATTGTTTACTCCATCATTTCTACCTACTTCTCACCAGGTTTTCTGGTGGATGTAAAACAAAGTATTTTTTTCTTTTTTTCTACGTAAGAACTTGGGTACAATGTTTATCCATAAAGATCATTTTATTTTTAAATGAGCAGCTGAACTTGAAATCATTTTATCATGTATGATTAATTCTCCTGAACATGTATCAGCCCTCGCTCCTGATTCTGGAGTATTTTTAGACCCACCTTAATTATTACACTTCCTTTCTTCACTCCCATTTTGTTTGGAAAATGAATTACAACCTTGCCTAAGTCTGATACTTAAAAGTAAGATAGGAGGAGCCAAGATGGCCGAATAGGAACAGCTCCAGTCTACAGCTCCCAGCGTGAGCGACGCAGAATACAGGTGATTTCTGCATTTTCATCTGAGGTACCGGGTTCATCTCACTAGGGAGTGCCAGACAGTGGGCGCAGGTCAGTGGGTGCGCGCACCGTGTGCGAGCCGAAGCAGGGCCAGGCATTGCCTCACTTGGGAAGCAAAAGGGGTCAGGGAGTTCCCTTTCTGAGTCAAAGAAAGGGGTGACGGACTCACCTGGAAAATCGGGTCACTCCCACCGGAATACTGCACTTTTCCGACCGGCTTAAAAAACGGCGCACCACGAGATTATATCCGGCACCTGGCTCAGAGGGTCCTACGCCCACGGAGTCTCGCTGATTGCTAGCACAGCAGTCTGAGATCAAACTGCAAGGTGGCAGCGAGGCTGGGGGAGGGGCGCCCGCCATTGCCCAGGCTTGCTTAGGTAAACAAAGCAGCCAGGAAGCTCGAGCTGGGTGGAGCCCACCACAGCTCAAGGAGGCCTGCCTGCCTCTGTAGGCTCCACCTCTGGGGGGCAGAGCACTGACAAACAAGACAACAGTAACCTCTGCAGACTTAAATGTCCCTGTCTGAAAGCTTTTAAGAGAGCAGTGGTTCTCCCAGCACGCAGCTGGAGATCTGAGAACAGGCAGACTGCCTCCTCAAGTGGGTCCCTGACCCCTGACCCCCGAGCAGCCTAACTGGGAGGCACCCCCCAGCAGGGGCACACTGACACCTCACACGGCAGGGTATTCCAACAGACCTGTAGCTGAGGGTCCTGTCTGTTAGAAGGAAAACTAACAAACAGAAAGGACATCCACACCAAAAACCCATCTGTACATCACCATCATCAAAGACCAAAAGTAGATAAAACCACAAAGATGGGGAAAAAACAGAACAGAAAAACTGGAAACTCTAAAAAGCAGAGCACCTCTCCTCCTCCAAAGGAACGCAGTTCCTCACCAGCAATGGAACAAAGCTGGATGGAGAATGACTTTGATGAGCTGAGAGAAGAAGGCTTCAGACGATCAAATTACTCTGAGCTACGGGAGGACATTCAAACCAAAGGCAAAGAAGTTGAAAACTTTGAAAAAAATTTAGAAGAAGGTATAACTAGAATAACCAATACAGGGAAGTGCTTAAAGGAGCTGATGGAGCTGAAAACCAAGGCTCGAGAACTACGTGAAGAATGCAGAAGCCTCAGGAGCCGATGCGATCAACTGGAAGAAAGGGTATCAGCGAGGGAAGATGAAATGAATGAAATGAAGCAAGAAGGGAAGTTTAGAGAAAAAAGAATAAAAAGAAATGAGCAAAGCCTCCAAGAAATATGGGACTATGTGAAAAGACCAAATCTACGTCTGATTGGTGTACCTGAAAGTGATAGGGAGAATGGAACCAAGTTGGAAAACACTCTGCAGGATATTATCCAGGAGAACTTCCCCAATCTAGCAAGGCAGGCCAATGTTCAGATTCAGGAAATACAGAGAATGCCACAAAGACACTCCACGAGAAGAACAACTCCAAGACACATAATTGTCAGATTCACCAAAGTTGAAATGAAGGAAAAAATGTTAAGGGCAGCCAGAGAGAAAGGTCGGGTTACCCTCAAAGGGAAGCCCATCAGACTAACAGCGGATCTCTCGGCAGAAGCCCTACAAGCCAGAAGAGAGTGGGGGCCAATATTCAACATCTTAAAGAAAAGAATTTTCAACCCAGAACTTCATATCCAGCCAAACTAACCTTCATAAGTGAAGGAGAAATAAAATCCTTTACAGACAAGCAAATGCTGAGAGATTTTGTCACCACCAGGCCTGCCCTAAAAGAGCTCCTGAAGGCAGTGCTAAACATGGAAAGGAACAACCGGCACCAGCCACTGCAAAATCAGGCCAAAATGTAAAGACCATCGAGACTAGGAAGAAAGTGCATCAACTAACGAGCAAAATAACCAGCTAACATCATAATGACAGGATCAAATTCACACATAACAATATTAACTTTAAATGTAAATGGACTAAATGCTCCAATTAAAAGACACAGACTGGCAAATTGGATAAAGAGTCAAGACCCATCAGTGTGCTGTATTCAGGAAACCCATCTCACGTGCAGAGACACACATAGGCTCAAAATAAAAGGATGGAGGAAGATCTACCAAGCAAATGGAAAACAAAAAAAGGCAGGGCTTGCAATCCTAGTCTCTGATAAAACAGACTTTAAACCAACAAAGATCAAAAGAGACAAAGAAGGCCATTACATAATGCTAAAGGGATCAATTCAACAAGAAGAGCTAACTATCCTAAATATATATGCACCCAATACAGGAGCACCAAGATTCATAAAGCAAGTCCTGAGTGACCTACAAAGAGACTTAACTCCCACACATTAATAATGGGAGACTTTAACACCCCACTGTCAACATTAGACAGATCAACGAGACAGAAAGTCAACAAGGATACCCAGGAATTGAACTCAGCTCTGCACCAAGTGGACCTAATAGACATCTACAGAACTCTCTACCCCAAATCAACAGAATATACATTTTTTTCAGCACCACAAAACACCTATTCCAAAATTGACCACATACTTGGAAGTAAAGCTCTCCTCAGCAAATGTATAAGAAGAGAGATTATAACAAACTATCTCTCAGACCACAGTGCAATCAAACTAGAACTCAGGATTAAGAATCTCACTCAAAACCGCTCAACTACATGGAAACTGAACAACCTGCTCCTGAATGACTACTGGGTACATAACAAAATGAAGGCAGAAATAAAGATGTTCTTTGAAACCAATGAGAACAAAGACACAATATACCAGAATCTCTGGGACGCATTCAAAGCAGTGGGTAGAGGGAAATTTATAGCACTAAATGCCCACAAGAGAAAGCAGGAAAGATCCAAAATTGACACCCTAACATCACAATTAAAAGAACTAGAAAAGCAAGAGCAAACACATTCAAAAGCTAGCAGAAGGCAAGAAATAACTAAAATCAGAGCAGAACTGAAGGAAATAGAGACACAAAAAACCCTTCAAAAAATTAATGAATCCAGGAGCTGGTTTTTTGAAAGGATCAACAAAATTGATAGACCCCTAGCAAGACTAATAAAGAAAAAAAGAGAGAAGAATCAAATAGACGCAATAAAAAATGATAAAGGGGATATCACCACCGATCCCACAGAAATACAAACTACCATCAGAGAATACTGCAAACACCTCTACGCAAATAAACTAGAAAATCTAGAAGAAATGGATAAATTCCTTGACACATACACTCTCCCAAGACTAAACCAGGAAGAAGTTGAATCTCTGAATAGACCAATAACAGGATCTGAAATTGTGGCAATAATCAATAGCTTACCAACCAAAAAGAGTGCAGGACCAGATGGATTCACAGCCGAATTCTACCAGAGGTACAAGGAGGAACTGGTACCATTCCTTCTGAAACTATTCCAATCAACAGAAAAAGAGGGAATCCTCCCTAATTCATTTTATGAGGCCAGCATCATTCTGATACTAAAGCCGGGCAGAGACACAACCAAAAAAGAGAATTTTAGACCAATATCCTTGATGAACATTGATGCAAAAATCCTCAATAAAATACTGGCAAAATGAATCCAGCAGCACATCAAAAAGCTTATCCACCATGATGAAGTGGGCTTCATCCCTGGGATGCAAGGCTGGTTCAATATACGCAAATCAATAAATGTAATCCAGCATATAAACAGAGCCAAAGACAAAAACCACATGATTATCTCAATAGATGCAGAAAAAGCCTTTGACAAAATTCAACAACCATTCATGCTAAAAACTCTCAATAAATTAGGTATTGATGGGACGTATTTCAAAATAATAAGAGCTATCTATGACAAACCCACAGCCAATATCATACTGAATGGGCAAAAACTGGAAGTATTCCCTTTGAAAACGGGCACAAGACAGGGATGCCTTCTCTCACCACTCCTATTCAACATAGTGTTGAAAGTTCTGGCCAGGGCAGTTAGGCAGGAGAAGGAAATAAAGGGTATTCAATTAGGAAAAGAGGAAGTCAAATTGTCCCTGTTTGCAGATGACATGATTGTATATCTAGAAAACCCCATTGTCTCAGCCCAAAATCTCCTTAAGCTGATAAGCAACTTTAGCAAAGTCTCAGGATACAAAATCAATGTACTAAAATCACAAGCATTCTTATGCACCAACAACAGACAAACAGAGAGCCAAATTATGAGTGAACTCCCATTCACAATTGCTTCAAAGAGAATAAAATACCTAGGAATCCAACTTACAAGGATGTGAAGGTCCTCTTCAAGGAGAAATACAAACCACTGCTCAATGAAATAAAAGAGGATACAAACAAATGGAAGAACATTCCATGCAAATGGGTAGGAAGAATCAATATCATGAAAATGGCCATACTGCCCAAGGTAATTTACAGATTCAATGCCATCCCCATCAAGCTACCAATGCCTTTCTTCACAGAATTGGAAAAAACTACTTTAAAGTTCATATGGAACCAAAAAAGAGCCCGCATTGCCAAGTCAATCCTAAGCCAAAAAAACAAAGCTGGAGGCATTACACTACCTGACTTCAAACTATACTACAAGGCTACAGTAACCAAAACAGCATGGTACTGGTACCAAAACAGAGATATAGATCAATGGAACAGAACAGAGCCCTCAGAAATAATGCCGCATATCTACAACTATCTGTTCTTTGACAAACCTGAGAAAAACAAACAATGGGGAAAGGATTCCCTATTTAATAAATGGTGCTGGGAGAACTGGCTAGCCATATGTAGAAAGCTGAAAATGGATCCCTTCCTTACACCTTATACAAAAATCAATTCAAGATGGATTAAAGACTTAAACGTTAGACCTAAAACCATAAAAACCCTAGGAGAAAACCTAGGCATTACCATTCAGGACATAGGCATGGGCAAGGACTTCATGTCTAAAACACCAAAAGCAATGGCAACAAAAGCCAAAATTGACAAATGGGATCTAATTAAACTAAAGAGCTTCTGCACAGCAAAATAAACTACCGTCAGAGTGAACAGGCAACCTACAAAATGGGAGAAAATTTTCACAACCTACTCATCTGACAAAGGGCTAATATCCAGAATCTACAATGAACTCAAACAAATTTACAAGAAAAAAACAACCCCATCAAAAAGTGGGCAAAGGACATGAACAGACACTTCTCAAAAGAAGACATCTATGCAGCCAAAAAACACATGAAAAAATGCTCATCATCACTGGCCATCAGAGAAATGCAAATCAAAACCACAATGAGATACCATCTCACACCAGTTAGAATGGCAATCATTAAAAAGTCAGGAAACAACAGGTGCTGGAGAGGATGTGGAGAAATAGGAACACTTTTACACTGTTGGTGGGACTGTACACTAGTTCAACCATTGTCGAAGTCAGTGTGGCGATTCCTCAGGGATCTAGAACTAGAAATACCATTTGACCCAGCTATCCCATTACTGGGTATATATGCAAAGGATTAGAAATCATGCTGCTGTACATGCACACGTATGTTTATTGTAGCACTATTGACAACAGCAAAGACTTGGAACCAACCCAAATGTCCAACAATGATAGACTGGATTAATAAAATGTGGCACATATACACCATGAAATACTATGCAGCCATAAAAAATGATGAGTTCATGTCCTTTGTAGGGACATGGATGAAATTGGAAATCATCATTCTCAGTAAACTATCGCAAGAACAAAAAACCAAACACCGCATATTCTCACTCATAGGTGGGAATTGAACAATGAGATCACATGGACACAGGAAGGGGAATATCACACTCTGGGGACTGTGGTGGGGTGGGGGGAGAGGGGAGGGATAGCATTGGGAGATATACCTAATGCTAGATGACGAGTTAGTGGGTGCAGCACACCAGCATTGCACATGTATACATATGTAACTAACCTGCACAATGTGCACATGTACCCTAAAACTTAAAGTATAATAAAAAAAAAAGTAAGATATTAGAAGGGTCCTCTCATAGGACTCATAACAAGATAAGTTAGTACTTCAGATTGATAGCAATAGGAGGAACACGAAGTCCCAGGCAGACAGGGGCGGATCTGGAGACACTTTCGCTTCCTTTCCCCGGAGAAACTCGACCTATGACTCTTTACTTTCAAGATGGCTAAAAAAATTGAAAGCATTTTGAGAAATGGGATCCTGCCAAAAGCAACTGCCAACAGCACATGTTAAACAATAATAGGTAAAATAAATTAAGTCGATCATTTAAGATCGATTATTATCATTTTAAAATTGTAATTTGAATTTTATGAAACATATCCAGGAAAATAAATATTAAATTGTAGAACACTACAGCCTCTGTTCAAATATATCTTACAATTGGACTCTTAAACAACATGTTCCAGAACAGATACCTTCTATTCTGGGTTTTTGGTTTTTTTTTTGTTTTTTTGAGACGGCGTCTCACGCTGTCACCCAGGCTGCAGTGCAGTGGCCTGCTCTCGGCTCACTGCAAGCTCCGCTTCCCAGGTTCATGCCATTCTCCGGAGACGGGGTTTCACCGTGTTAGCCAGGATGGTCTCGATCTCCTGACCTCGTGATCCGCCCACCTCAGCCTCCCAAAGTGCTGGGATTACAGGCGTGAGCCACTGCGCCTGGCCGTATTCTGGCTTGTTTTTTTACCTTCCGCTTGATGTTCACTGCTTCCTATAAACCTTGGAAACGTTGAGCTTTTTTCTTCCACTTGCTTATTCTGTCTCTTCCTAGTGATCCACGGAAAGATTATAGCATTTTGTCTTAAATGATATTGAGGTCCCACATGAGGGTAACTTATGGTATATTATTTGTATTAGAAATGGTAAATTAAGTCATCTAGTTCACTGAACCTAGAAATTTGTGAACTTGTAGAAAAGCCTATGTAAATTGAATTTATATAAAAAATTTGTATCTTTATTTTTATAAATATGATTATAAAATTACTGTGTTGATATTAAATATCTTATGTGCATAATTACACAAATTGCATCATGAACACAATATAATGAATTATTACTGTTAAAACACTTAATAAATGTTTATCAGATAACAAGATTTTTTATTTATCTCATTTTAAGGTCAAAATAATTCTTTTTAAACTTGGAGAGTGCAAAAACTTCACTTTCATATTTGTCATGTTTAGGTTATACTTGTTAGACAATTATACGTAAACAGTCATAAGTACCACATATCAATATGTGTGTGAAGCATACATATTTGAAAACAAGGCATTAAAATTAGATTGTCAATGGGTACATTAATATTCATTTTCTTTTTTTTATTTGACTACTCTGAATCCTATAAAACTGTAATTTAGAAACAGTTCTCATGATTAAAGTAGGTGTCTTGTAGATTATGTTTATAAAATATTCAATAAACATCATCTTCATTTTCACGAAGAAATGTGCTCTTTGATGAGGGTGACTCAAGAAATCAATTCATTTAAAAAAGTGATTGCATTTTCCCACAGCTACTTCTGTAAATCAGGAAACTGAATGATGCTAATGTAATTAACATGTTCACAATTGCATCTGCCTCCTTTAATTGAGTCTTCATGGCAGAATAGATATTAGCAATTATAATAGACATAAATAAAATAATCTAATATTCAGGTTACATGTCTTGATTTTTCAATTTGATGTTTACTGTCATCTGCATATGAAGGATATATACACACACACACATATATGGAGTGAGAGAGAGTGTGCATTCTTGGCCTAACTTCATTTTTCAACTCATCATTTAAGTGGCAATGATTTTAAATTGACAGACCTTAAAACAGAATCTCTCCACGCATAAATTACCTCTTTGGAGAAAGGTAGGACATTTCATGAGAATGGATTAACCCTAGAGTGCTTTTCAGAGTGTTTAGTTCCATGCAACAAGAGATTTTGACTCATTGTGTCTCCACTAATTGTAATAATAATAATTTTTTGTCTTAATCAATACAAACTATGATCTAACTGAATTAAAAATAAATAAATTTTTTTCTATTGGGATATTTTTATTGAACTAATTGGAATAATTATATGCATAAAAAAGATGAAAATGCACAACTGGGTTTGTAATAAAAAAACTGTGAATTAATATTGACATACCTTTTAATTTGGGGATACTAAATTAGATGCACTCTATCCTAAAAGGGTGTGAAAACCTGGACAAAAAATAAGGAATGTAATTTTAAATTTATGGTGTTTTTGGAAACTTAATTATGTTTAAGTTGCAGTGTATGCTATTTAAGAAAATGGTGTTAAAGTGAAATATTTATTTAAACTGTGTTAAAATATACATGCATGTTTAAGAATTTAAGTTTATGTGTTTCATCAAATTCAGATTTTGAATTTCTGAAATTGACTGATTTAGAACCTAAAATTTTTTGCAGTCACCTACAATTTTTAGGTCTATAAGATCTGAGAAATACTACCTGTCTTTTTCTTCCAGAAACTTCACTTATAATTCTAGAAACAGTCATCAGATGATGGTAACAGTTTGGGAAGTATATATAGCAGTCTCTTTTCTTAGACATCTTACTGACATTTGAGAAAAAAATGAAATTCTGGTACATATTTTTTGTTACAAATTAGTAACTAAGATTTCCTCATAAAAATGAATATATGCCACAATTAAACAAATATATAAATATATTCAGTAAAGTTCCTTCTTTACAAACTGAAAGTCATGTGGATATAGTAGGTTATAAAAAAATTTTGTGGATCATTACCAGCATTGAAAAAATGAAATAGAACATGATAAGGTAAAATAGAATGAAAATATCAAAGGCTATCATCTATGCAAAAGGCTAAGTACTGCTTTTTTGAAACTCATGTTTCAGCTACTTTACATGCGCATGGTTAGGGAGCATTAAGTAAAATACATTTTTCACAGTGGCTCACAGTCAAATAATATTCAGCAATTACAGTGCAGTGTCAAGAAGTCAGTAATGTCACGAAAGTACTAGCAGTTATTTAGAGCTTTTACATTGTATTTTTATGTCTAAAATAGATTACATCTAAAATATTATGCAAACATTAAAAATTAATTATGTATAGCATATATAAGATGTATTAATATATAAATAATTATACACTAAAAACATGAAAAACTGAAAAAAATCCATAATCCTACAATATTAGAAACGATTACTATGTTTGCTATTTGTCTGATAATTAGCATACCTATTCTACCTACATATTTTACAGTTAAACTTATGCATATTCATTTGTATTTTTTATTTGTTGTATATATTATTCATGTTTAGAGTATTAGTATCACATTAATAGTCACATAACATTCCACTACTTTATGTAACTGAATTTCTTTAGTTCTTTTTTCTAAGATTAAACTTTTGGAATGACAGGATTTTCAGTATCATAGCTACTGTTAGCAAGAAACATTTTATTGAATGTAGCTATCCTTATTAGTTTATTTTCTTAGAGTTCATTCATTCAACAAACATTTTAATTTTTGATTGCTCCTCTGCTAGTTCCTAAACAGTTAACACCTAAAAGATCACTGATGAATGCATGCCCCAGAGTAGTTCATGACTGTAAATATACACAAAAGTGACATAAGAAAATTTATAAATGTACAATTGAAGTATGTACAAAGTATTGTTGTGACATGAAAGAGGAAATAATAATCTTCATGGAATAATTTTTGGGAAGATCAAATAAGTAGTCAAGAACTAAAATAATTTTTCGGTGAAGACATAGACAGATGAAATTTGAGTGCAATCTTTCTGTCTTCCTTTATACTGTAACACAGAGCTTTTCCTAAATATCAGTTACAGTGCAATTGAATACAATGGAAATAGATTTGAAAGAATTTTTTTGTCTTTTGGAGACGGAGTCTTGCTCTGTCACCCAGGTTGGAGTGCAGTGGCACGATCTTGGTTCACTGCAAGCTCCACCTCCGGAGTTCACACCATTCTCCTGCCTCAGCCTCCCGAGTAGCTGTGACTACAGTCGCCTGCCACCACGCCCGGCTAATTTTTTTTTTTTTTTTTTGTATTTTTAGTTGAGACGGGGTTTCACCGGTGTTAGCCAGGATGGTCTCGATCTCCTGACCTCGTGATCCGCCCGCCTCAGCCTCCCAAAGTGCTGGGATTACAGCCGTGAGCCACTGCGCCCGGCCTGAAAGAATTTTTAAAAGTATAATATAGTAGGTTTCATGGGCTCATTGATTTGTAAGATTCAGAAATTGAATTAACAGGTCAAAAATTCAGAAGATATTTATAACCTTTGAAATGTATTGGAATATTTATTTTACCAGACTGGTACCTAACTATAAAAACCTCATATACTAAAATATTTTGAGTCAAAAGATTCCAGAAATCTGTACCAGGGAAGTTCTATATATTATTTGTACGGGACTGAGCAAATGGTTGGGTGTTCATAAATTCCCAGATCAAATTAATATTTAGTTATTATAACTAAAAATAAACAATATAATATTATACAAAACATAAATTTTATTTGTAAATGTAGGTGTAAGATTTTATCACATGTGGTCAACATTTGCATAGTAGGTATTTTAACAAATGTTAGTATCTGAATCTTAATTTCCATGTACTTATTGAACTTTATACTTGATTTTATCTTAGAAATTGACCAAACTTTTTTTTTTAAAGACATCAGTGACTTTTATTATTTTTCTATTATATTTTCTTAGGGTCTGCCAGGCCCACCTGGTGAAAAAGGTGAAAATGGGGATGTTGGTCCCATGGTAAGTTTTTATTTTTGGTGTTTGATGGGTATGTGTTATATGCATGGCAGTCACTGGTTTGTAAAGTATTATGTGTTCTTTCATTACTATGTATATATTATTGAGGTGTATATAAGCAACTGACATGATTTAGTTATATATTAGTCTTTAGCTCTGGATTTTGATTTGGAGCAGGTAGAGAATAGGTAATATTCACTCAAGATTTAGATAATTAGCAATTTATACAGAATCAAAAATTAACTACTTTGAAACAAATTCTTAATTTAATAATTCTGTCTTAATTAGAATGCTATGACTTATAATTATTTGCATTTATTGATTCTGGCTCTCTAAGACCTGAACTGAAAATTTGAAATGCATATAATTGTTTATGAAGCACTACCTTAGATAAGAAAATAATTAGCAAAGGTAATTGAAATCCATAATGAAATGTGATGACTGCATGTCTTAAGTGGCCCTTTCCTTCAACATTGCCCCCAATTTTCACTTCCTTCAAAATACACATTTTGAAATTTTAACACTTGTCTGTTAGGTTTTATTCTCCTTAGGAATTACACTCAAATCTATTATATTCTTTGAAATGATCCATATCATCATTAATAAACCTAGATATAAGAAATGCATAAAAAACTTTGCTGGCCGGGAGCGGTGGCTCACGCCTGTAATCCCAGCACTTTGGGAGGCCGAGGCGGGCGGATCACGATGTCAGGAGATCGAGACCATCCTGGCTAACACGGTGAAACCCCGTCTCTACTAAAAATACAAAACAAAATTAGCCGGGCATGGTGGCGTGTGCCTGTAGTCCCAGCTACTCGGGAGGCTGAGACAGAAGAATGGCGTGAACCCAGGAGGCGGAGCTTGCAGTGAGCCGAGATCGCGCCACTGCACTCCAGCCTGGGCGACAGAGCAAGACTCCGTCTCAGAAAAAAACCACTTTTCTGATTCAAATAACTGGTTAATACTTCCAAGCAGTAACAGATACATAGCAAGTTCCTTTCCAGATATGGTTACCATCGTTCCATGAATCATTGATATATTCTTCCTGATTACACGGTAGTAGATAATAACAGAAAAGCTTTTCAACCATGGCATTAGAATAAACTGAGATCTTTTAAAAATACTAATGTCCAGTGAAATGTACTAATGTACAGTGAAAAACAAATTCGCTGTAGACTATTTTAATCACAACTTTGAGATAGGAGTTTCTGGCATCAGTATTTTATAAAAAGTTTTCCAAGTTAATTTTACTGCACTGTCAGGAGAGAAAATCTTTGTTTTACAATGAAATTAAATAATTATTCTTATTTCTAATTCTAGCATATAGAACCTAAGAGTTGACATAGAAAAAGCTAAAAATACCTATCAACAAAAAATACTTCTATTGAGTTAATGAATTCTAATTCTATTCAAGCACCATTTATTTTTCCAACTTTACATTCTCTTTATGTTGTAACATATTCTAGCATGAAATATATCTAGTTATATTGTGAACACATTATACCAGACAGTAGCAATAGGCTTTCTTGGCCCATTTTCTAATCAAATTGTTTCTCTTGAAATCCTAATTTCCTCATAGCTATGTGTAAAGGCTCATTTGCTAACATGATGTTGTATCCATGAAGGATGACTTATAACCCTGATGTGCTTCACTAACTATAGTTTTTACAAGCTTAAACTTCTTTTAGATTTTTCAGTCATAAAATGAAAATGTTGGAAACACATTTGAATTTGGTCTTTGTAAACCTCAATATTTCTCTCTTACAGGGGCCACCTGGTCCTCCAGGCCCAAGAGGCCCTCAAGGTCCCAATGGAGCTGATGTAAGAACTCTGAAATATATGTTAATTATTTTGAAGTTATATAGGTATTGTTATTTTATAGCAGATGCTCTTTGTGAGTTATAACAATATTAAACTATTGTTTAATATTAAGTGGTTAAGAACTCAAGGGTCACCTATTCACTCCACTTTATTATACAATGAAATAAATGGAATTTATAGTGAACAAATCATGGAAAATGTAACATAGGTACACATTTTCCATTCAATAGATATTTACTGGTGACTGAGAAATGTTATAATGTTGTGTATATTAAAATTACTACATTGTTCAAACCAACATACTTAGACTGTGCCTTGCATATGATAACTCTTATGCACTTGTTAACAGTGGCTTTCATGTAAAAGCTTTGCATTTTGTATTTTCAGACTATATAATGTTACAGCAATATGTGCGTGATAGGTGCACCCTTTATCATGTAAAATGTTTTCTCTTAATTGTATAAAGATGATATTCTCCAAGCTTAAAAATTATTTTAATGTTATAAGATTTTGAAATATAATGCCATATTTATCTTACTGTTACCATTAATGGATCCATGGCTTTGATGATATTTTTCCTTCTGGCCAACTTTTCACAATGAAGAAGTCTATGTTTCCTTCATGTCTCTGGTCTTCATTTTCTTCATTATTTAATATCTGCTTTAATTCTGGCAGGCCAGAACTGAGTAAAAATAGACTAGAAAGAGAGGAATTAAAAGAGTTTTTAGATTTTCATTCTTCTTAGGTAATTTAAAAGCTAAAAGATGTTATAAGGGGTTTGTTTCTTGCGTGGATTATGTAATTCTTAACCAGTGTCATAATTTTGATTCACTACAAAATCACCGCCTAAAACCAATCTGACTATTCTATTGGCAAAGAGATTGAAATTATGTTTCAGGAATCAACCAGAGTTTGAAAGTCTCCTGCTTTATCTTCAAAATTATAGTGAATTTGAAAATCAGTGTAATATATTGAATTATTTGCTTTCCAACACATTTGACAATTCTATTAAGCATCATTTAGTCTCATTCTTTAAATGACTAAGAATACTCATGCATCTATTTCTCTTTTTTGAGAACAACTAGACATATGTTTACGAATGCATTATTTTAATAAGAATATGGATAATTACATTCCTTTTTCTACACTGCAGGGACCACAAGGACCCCCAGGGTCTGTTGGTTCAGTTGGTGGTGTTGGAGAAAAGGTAAATATGTTAGTGACACACAGTTTGAAACAGCATGAATTAAGAACTGTAATAATATTGGGTAGTAGTTTAAGTGCTTCTAGTATGTGTGTTTCTAAGCCTTTTACATAGTTATATGATTCACATGTCATCTAGTAGTTGCAAAAATTAAAGTTAAAATGATTTTGCAATATTGTGTTTTGGTTGCCAATTATTATATTGAATGAGTGCAGGCATTATGTTCTTTAAGCAGGAACCTCACAATTACGGTGTCCTTAATATCCACATTTATAAGCTGAGAAAGCTGAGCCCTAGAGGATTCCTGTAATTTCATCAAAGATTTTCCTTAGAAAGTGACTAAGCTAGGATACACTGCAGTCCATGAATGTCTAGTAATAGTACTCAAAATAGAAGAGATTGGTTGATGTAACTGACTTAAAGGGAAAAAGGAATCCTGCAAGCCACAAAGGAATGAATCATTCATTTTGTTATATTTTGAGTTATATTTTCATTACGAATACTCTGACCTATCCTTGTCACTTGTCAAAATATTTGGCATGAACCACAATATCTGGGCTCAGAATAGCTTTTTTTTTCTTGTGAACATGATTTCATTTAAAGGTCTGCTCTTCCTTTTATAAAAATGTCAAAATGATTCATTGATTTCTTATTTATGCATTCATGCTCACTTCTTAATAGAATTTTCAAGAAAATTATCATGGATATTTGCGTGCTTTAAAAAATAAACTACCAATTTTCAGAAAGGGAAGAATTATATTTATAACATCATATATTATGCAGTGAAAACACTAAAAAATTCCTTAATATGCTACTTGTTAAAGGATATCTGCAGTGTAGACTTACTCTATTCTTAAAAATGATTTCCTTTCTTGGTCTCAAGTTTTTTGTGTATTTTATATTATATTTAAATTTATTTCTTTTAATTAAAGCATTTAATTCTCAGAAAAATGTAATAAGATTAGATTGTTATTATATTTTGATATCTACTTCAGCTTGACACCTGTATTCTAGTATTTTGATTATAATCATTATTTGATTAAGATAATTTTTAACTCATTAGATAAATCTTACTGCATTCTTTGATTGACTGCCTTTTTTAATATATTCTTAAATTTAAAGTTGTGTGTTGAAACTGTTCCAGTAGTTGGTGTTGAAACTGAAAACACACTTTTCATTCCATTCAGTTGTCCTAGAAAACATTTTTCATCTTGCTTAGTCTCCTATGGGAGAGCACTTGTCTCTGAGGATATCATCAGATTAGACAAAAGGCACCAAGGCACACACCTTTTCCTCTTCTCTTTGCATCATCTCCTTTTGGCTCTAATGCTGACTCAATTGTTGTGGGAGCTAGTCTCTAGGATTATTAGCTTTTATCGGCTTATCTTGTTTCCTAAAGAATTTGAATGCAGAGGGAAAGTTGTCATTATTTCAGTGCTACTCTTGAAAATAGGCATGAATGCCAGGTGTTTAGTTCTGAGAAACTTCCTTCCACATTGTTTCCATTTAATTTAAAGCCTATGTATATTATAGTAACACTTTGCCAACTTTGACTCTTATGAGAATAATTCAGTCAATCTGAATCATTTTGAATCAATCCCAGTCAAAATGAGTTACACTAAAAAACACAGTTTTAATTTTGCTCCTTTCTTTTGATTTTTTTTTATGTGACAGCACGATAGAAGCAGAATTCTAACCTTCATTTTTTTGTTTGTTTGTTTGTTTTTTGTTGTTGTTGATGTTTTTTAATCAAGAATAGTATAATTTCTAATAGATTACAAATTTCTAACATCAGCTTTGATTCTGGCTGAATGTATACCCATTTCTAATTGGAAAATTTATTTCCAGTCACTGACAATGAAGAATAAAAAAACCAGTATCTTTTAGTCACATTGCATTTTGTCTAAATATATTTAACCTGTTCTTCATGTACTGTAAAATTGCTATAAATAACTTTTGCACTTCACTAATTTTGTCAATACTTGGAAATATGTCAGGATATTTTCTTAAGATTTATACATATTTTATAACTTTGTACATACAGAGTAATTTGTTGTTCTTTCTGAAAAAATATGTACCTAAACAAGTGCTTTATATAATGAGGTAAATAGTTACACGATAAGTGATGAAGACTTCATAATCTAACATCTCCTTCATATATCAGTGCTCTATCATAAAACATATTAATTATTATTCTTCAGAATGAATAGTTTGTAGCATTTTGGTATTAGAAATATAGACTTAATTTATATAACATTAGTCTTGTTGCAATGATTTATTGATTTGTGATTTTGTCCCACCTTTCTTTTAAATGAAACATTTTAGATAAATTTTAAATTTCATTTTAGCTAATTGTCATTTTACATTGTGCACACTTGGATCTAACATACTAAATGGTAGTTTTCATATATTTTGGACAAATGAATATTAATATATTATTCTAAAAATGAAACTTTGTAGTAAAAAGCTCATACTTTTTTTGAAGCAGAATATATTTTAAATTTTTTATCACCTCAAGCATTTATCATTAGAAAGCACATACATAAATTCTAAGATTATTTAAACCTATCTTTTTACCACATATCATTTCACTCATTTAATAAAAAGAAAATAATCTTTTCACAATATCCATAAATTTAACTTTATAGTTGATAAGAACGAAAAGAGAACAACAAAACATATAGAGGGTTACTACGAAATATTTCAACTATTTCTTCTGCATTTCTAACTTTCTGTGATGTTACCATGAATTAATGTGGTACATAAGAAAACATTTTGGTTATTTCTTTTGCTGTGCAGAAGCTTTTTAGTTTAATTAAATCTCATTTGTCTAGTTGGGGGTTTCTTTTGCCTGTGCTTTTGAGGTCTTAGTCATGAATTATTTGCCTAGACCAATGTCCAGAAGAGTTTTCCCTATGTTTTCTTTTAGTATTTTTATAGTTTCAGGTCTTATGTTTAAATTCTTGAATCCTTCTTGAGTTGATTTTTGTATATGGTAAGAGATAGGAGTCTAGTTTAATTCTTCTGCTTAAGGCAAATCAGATTTCTCAGCACCATTTATTGAAAAGAGGATCTTTTCCTTTTTGTTTTTGTCAACTTTGTCAAAGATTAGTTTGCTGTAAATATGCTTTTTTAGTTACTACAGCCTTGTAGTTGAATTTGAAGTCAGGTAGTGTGATGCCTCCAGTTTTGTTCTTTTTGCTTAAGATTGCTTTGGCAATAAGACTCTTTTTTTGGTTTCCTGTGAATTTTAGGTTTTTTTTCTAATTATATGAAAAATGGCATGTTCAATGTACATGCTCAATAGACTTATCATATTTCTAAATAAATATTTTAACATGGACATTTTACAATTGATTTCAATGCCAAACTACTTGTTTCATTTTTAAGATATGAATATCAGCCCTTGGAAACATCACTAACATCATT
Source organism: Homo sapiens (assembly GCF_000001405.40). Taxonomy (NCBI): domain Eukaryota; kingdom Metazoa; phylum Chordata; class Mammalia; order Primates; family Hominidae; genus Homo; species Homo sapiens. The sequence goes on along the minus strand of NC_000001.11, from coordinate 102,916,884 downwards.
ACATTCTACTGAGATGAATGATACCTCTCTTTATAAATAATATAAATGCAATTTTTTTTTGTAAGAGTTATCCAAAAATTCTGGAAGTATTTGCTGTTCATCTTGAGAGATGAAATAATTTACACATCACACTACTTATAATAAACTCTGGAAAAGTACTTGATGTCTCCACCATTAAGTGGGTAATTTAAGAATTTAAAATATTTGTGTATTCTCACAGTAAGAAACTATGTACACAAAATAGTCTCTGCCCTGAAATTATGTTTGTATGTAATATGACACATTTATTTAAGAGCAGTGGATTTGTGTCAGGAATATTGGAAATATTAGAGTTAAAAAGTAAGGGAAATTTAGGCCTCACTTCTTTTTCAATTTAAAAGAACAATTTCCACCTCACAATTGCTGAGACCACTAGTGTGACTGATTTTGAGTGGAAACATGGTAAATGAATGTATTGTTTTACTTAAATGATTACTTGAACAAGATGTTATATTTTTGTGCATTTTGAATTGTGGGGCATTAGCAACAGACTTTCATAGCTAAACCCTACTAGTTACAGAGATTTATTTATTAGTCCACTGGGCTAGAAAAAAAGCCATTCATATGTAAACAGGGAGATAATAAAGGCTATCACATTTATGTGTATACTCAAATGGAGCAATTTTAATTAACGTCTAAGTACCTTTACATATATTATAATTATTGTCTTTCCTCTAAGTTCTTTAGATTCCTACTAAACAAATCCTATAAAATATCAACATATGTACCAGCAAGTCATCTGTTGATTTGTTGTAGTTAAGATAAATAAATTTACATTTTAGCAAACAACAATTTGAAAGTGTTCACTCAATAAACTTTATTGTAATATGAATATTGACACAGTGCAAATACACAATATTTTAGGAAACATGCATATGTCTGTTATGATGGTTTTGTGGTAATCTGGATTAATATGCCAACTATTAACCAACCAGTGACAACTACAGCATCAAGCCTGCATATTTCTGTCTACTCACCTGAGAAATAAAAGCACTGGAGTCACTGATAGAAAAATTTATTTTTGTTATTAAAGTTTTTCAATGCCTTTTAAATAATATAAAAAAATAAGGGCTAATCTAAAATGATATGATAACATTTGAATTTTATAAATGTAAAAGATCATCTCTGTATTCTAATACTAATTTGATCTTCTCTATATAGGGTGAACCTGGAGAAGCAGGGAACCCAGGGCCTCCTGGGGAAGCAGGTGTAGGCGTAAGTACTGTGTTATTGTTAACATAGTGTATTATTGGTTTGGGAATTTCTTTTACAGCATTACAAACATGTAACAACTCTTAGCTGTGGTTCGAATTTTACTTTCCCTTCCCAACTCATTAAGGAAAATCACAAATACAAAGCCTTGTTTAATAACTTTGGATATCTTTACATATGTGGATTGATAAACAAATTGAAAAAATATCATATTTGCTGAAGTTAGAACATTAAAACTATGGGCTGTTTACTGTATACATTCCCTTTGATGAACTGTCCATAAAAGGAACAAACAAAGAAGTCCTGCTGCCTTAAATAAACGTGTCAATTGTATTGTGACTATATTATTCTAATTAGTTTAAAACGCGATTAAATTTGCCCACCAGGAAATATTTGACAATATCTGGAGACACTTTTGGTCTTCAAACGTGGAGGGTTGGTATCCAGTTAGTAAAGGCCAGGGATACCATTGGACTTCTTAAAGGGCAGAGAACAGCTCCCCACAGCAAAAATTGTCTGGCCCAACGTGGTAAAACCCCGTCTCTACTAAAAAGTACAAAAATTAGCCGGGCCTGGTGGCGCGTGCCTGTAGTCCCAGCTACTTGGGAGGCTGAGGCAGGAGAATCGCTTGAACCTGGGAGGCAGAGGTTGCAGTGAGCTGAGATTGTGCCACTACACTCCAACTTGGTGACAAAGTGATATTCCGTCTAAAAAAAAAATATATTCTGGCCCAGTGTGCCAAGGTTAATAAACTTTTATGCAAAACTTGTAAGATAACTCTTCTTTCCTTCTTCTTCTTTTTTTTTTTTTAACATTGTTTAGGGTCCCAAAGGAGAAAGAGGAGAGAAAGGGGAAGCTGGTCCACCTGGAGCTGCTGGACCTCCAGGTGCCAAGGGGCCACCAGGTGATGATGGCCCTAAGGGTAACCCGGTAAGTGAGTTTGGTCCCCTCTAATGTGGCATTTATGCCAAACTCACCTTGGAGCTTTTCTTAGAAAGATTTGAAATCCTGAGACTCTGGAACATAGATGGTAAATCTGACTTTTCATCATTTCATATATTCGTAAGCATTCTCAATTGAATTAATTCTTTAGAAATTTTTTGGCGGGAGAAGAGAAATATTCTCAGCAGGTTTTGTCATGACTTTAACCTCTTCACCTCCAGAATGTCATAATTTTATAAAAATTTATTTTTCATTTATTTCTTTTTCTTTCAAAACGTCATTCTAGGGTCCTGTTGGTTTTCCTGGAGATCCTGGTCCTCCTGGGGAACCTGGCCCTGCAGTAAGTATCAGGGAAAAATCAAGAAATTATTTTGGAGTGAATGTTTCCAATTTCTGTATTGTTAATAAAGAAAAAAAAATCTAATAACCTAAGTGAACTCCCAAAAACAGAAAGAAAAAGAAAACATAAAAAGTAATTGCAAATGCAGGAAAATCCATATAGTTGGAGACTATTGCACCAACACTAAGTGATTAAGCTCTTCATGCAACATAGGTACAACAATTGGATTAGATTCCTAGACTTTGATGGGTTGTAAAAACAAGTTATCTGAGTAGCATCATTATTATTATTTCAAAGTTACAGGATCTTTGCTTTTCTGTTTCTCTTCTATAATGCAAATCCTATTTCAAACTATACCATATTTGTTCATGGTGAAATGATTCACTGACATTGTATACTAATGACATCTTCTTTCTTCCTTATATAAAGAGCATGCTGGATTTTAAATTTGATATATTAATAGTAGCAGTTTTACAAATTTTTTTGCGGAGAGTGAGAGGTACCACAATCTTTTTAAAAAAGGTTAAAAGAATATAATGATTTTACTTGTCCATCTGATAATTTTTCTCAAGAGATGGCCTAACATACTTTTTTCCTGATAAGTAGTGTGATTTATTGATACTGAGATATATCTTGCTTCATATTTTATTGCCTCTTATAGGGTCAAGATGGTGTTGGTGGTGACAAGGGTGAAGATGGAGATCCTGGTCAACCGGTGAGTAAATGCACTAATTTATTTTTAAGTTTTTACATAGTCTCAAGGCATTTTAATGAGATAATTAGAAGTAATCAGCCTTTGAAAAACATAGCTCTATGTATATGCACTTTTTTGAAAGAATTATCAAAAAAATTTTTGAATTCCCATTAAAAATCAATCTTACATGGAGTGTTTCTTATTTGATGTAAATTAATAAACAGTATTTATAATGAAAAGTGTAATCATATTATACTAATAAGGTTGTCACAATATATCAAATTCAGTTATCTATCCATTGTGTTAAAAAATTAAAATCACTAATAATACTAAAAGCAAAGTTATTTCCTATCATTAGCAAAAGTTATTATCCCATCATTAGCATGAATTATATTAATTGTGAACCTAAATGAACTCTCAACATAGTATAGGCCTTTTTAAAAAAAACTTGTGAATGATACAGGAGTGTACTTTGACCACATTTAGTTATTTAGGGAGAAAGTAAGGGAGGGAACTCACTTTAGGAGCCAAAGACAATGGTCCCTCAACACAATTTTGTCTCTGGGGCCATTCCCACTAGATGCTTTGCTATCACAGATACAGGCTTATTCTGCATAGACAGACCTGTGGATCATATCTCAGCATGTGTATTAGTCCATTCTCATACTGCTGTGAGGTACACAAGAATGGGTAATTTATAATGGAAAGAGGTTTAATTGACTCACAATTCTGCATGGCTGGGAAGGCCTCAGGAAACTTACAATATGGTGGAAGGCGAAGCAAGCATGTCTTTCTTCACATGGCAGTAGGAGAGAGGAGTGCAAAGTGAAGGGTGAAAAGCCACTTATTAAACCATCAGATCTCGTGAGAACTCACTCACTATCACAAGAACAGAATGTGAGTAACCACCCCCATCACTCAATTACCTCCCACTGGGTCCCTCTCAGGATACATGGGGATTATAGGAACTACAATTCAAGATGAGATTTGGGTAGGGACACAGCCAAACCATATCAGTATGTTATATACAACTTGGCATAGAATGTTAGTGTTGTACAAAAATAAATTTAAAAGTAATAGTATTATGTTTTCACATATTTATGTGATATGAGCAGAATTATTAACCATATGATTATATTAATTAGCATGCCTGTTTAATGCTTGCCAGATATAAATTAGCACTTTTTAATAGGACACAGTTTTAAATAAAGAGAATTTGATTCACTTTGTTCTAACTATAAATAATTTTACCATCTAAATTTACCAGCTCTAACTATAAATATCTAGAGGAAGTTTAGGTATCTGAAATAGGGCTGAGATTTTCCAGGAAATATTGACATGTGGAAATGAAGAAAGAGGGTTGGTTTCCATCCAGATTTTGAAAATTTATGTGGGCCACAAAATAATATCCAATTTTGTTAAAGGTATTTTTTCACATTTTATAGGGTCCTCCTGGCCCATCTGGTGAGGCTGGCCCACCAGGTCCTCCTGGAAAACGAGTAAGTTTCTTTAATTCTTTATTTGAAACATATGCTCATTAGTCACCATGGATAAATTTATATAATGTGTGTAAGCTGCAGGCAGCATGTTATAAGAATAATGAGAAATATCATAAATCCTAAAAACAATTTTTAAATGTGCCAAATAATAACTAAAATAGAACATATTCTAACTATTTCACTGTCACAATAAAAATGAGAAAAACAACTTCTACTTAAAGAGCTTTCCACTCCTCTGTGCTTAGAACTCCCCTTTGTACAAATGTAGTAGATTATTATAAAAGACTTTGGTGGTATCCTGAACATTAACTCCTATTGTAATACATGGGGATGAGCTGTCAAAAGTCCAGTGCTAGCTTAAAACATTGTAAAAACATGAATGCATCAATGAAATGAGGTGAAATGAGCTCAGGAATCAGTATATAATGTTAAATTGCTTTACACTGTCAAACTTCTCTGGCTCGGAAACAGTATTTTAATGATGTGCTATAGCAAAATATAAATAAATAGGTATTGCTGACAATATTGGCCACAGTAGACCCTAGGAGATTTACTTTCCTGTCCTTTTCTCACTGATGCATTCTTTTCATAATAAAGCAATCTCTGCAGACCTGCCTCTTACAGCAGCTATCTCACTTTAGCGTGTTCTTCTGTACCACCTGCAGTCTATTTTCAAACCGGCACATGAGTAAAATATGTGATAAACATCAAAATATATTTATGAGGCTGATTCCCTCTTCAGTAATCCAAAGTCACAGGGCAATTGGGGCCACTACTGTTTTCTAATGGTATCTTTATTTCAGGGGTATTTTTCACACTGAATATCCTCACATTAAACATAGAATGTGAATGGGTTTTACTTGTCTCTCAGCAATACAAATTTGAATCAATATTTACAAACATTTCTCTTTCCAAAAATATATTTAATTTATAATAAAACTTGTCTCTGAAAACAATTTGCTCTTCATTGGCCAAGTACATTTTCTTACATTTTCTTTTATTATTATTATTGTGTCTACAACCCCAAAGCATGGTCTCAGTGTCAATAGATTTATCCCCAAACAACCATGGGACTATTATTCTTAGAAAGTAATTGGAAAGTGTACATGATTTTTGATATCCATTGCCTCTTTCTGCTGTAAGTCCAGCTGCTCATAAAACTGTGATGCATAGCTGTCTATTATACTATTTCAGACCTTTTGGAAGAATAACTATAAAAAACATCCTTGAGAATGAGTTGAAATACTTCTTGGAACAACAGGAAATCATTTTTTTTATCTTTTTTCTGGCCTCAGATGGTGGGATGCTATATAATGTGGTTAGTAGAACAATGCAGTCACAATAGCTGGCTTTCAACCCAGCTACACCAGTTATTACCTGTATTACGTTGGGCAAATTGTGTATTTTCTGTTTCTCAGAGGACCTAACACCCACCCTAGTGTTGGGTTGAACATAAGATAAATCATGTAACACAATAAAAAAAAAAATCACCTCATAACTGTTGCTGTGTTAGCACTGAGTTATGGCATAGTTATTAAACACTTCTGAGCACAGGGATAATCATCATACAAGTATAAAGTATGATGCTTTTAATATAAGCAAGGAAATTAAACCTTGCTTCAAAATGTGGTAGCAGCTAGAAAAGGAGAGACTATATCAAAATTGATTTTAAATATTCTATTACATATTGGCAGCTTCTCAGCTCATTTCATTACTCAAGTCAAACTCTCAGCAAGTGCTATCTAGTCTAGTTTCATTTTAAAATATGTCAAAAAAGTACATATTTATATTTTTTAATAAATTTAAGTAATTATCATTTGATATTTGAGATGAAGTATCTTAACATGGTAACAGAGTTATAGAATGTATTTGTTTCTTTAGCCATTCAGTGGTGGGTCACATGAATTATTCATTTTGAAAACAACTGAATATTTTTGAAAAATTTTTTAAGTAATAGAATAAAATAACCTATTAAAGAGTATTAATGCAAACATAAAAAAGAGACATATATGTGTGAACCAGTAAATCTCATGAGCCTTTTAGTATAATAATATGACCCAAAACTTATATATAAACCTATAACTATCACATAAAAATATTATATGTTAAAACTATTAAACTGTTGTGTGAAGCTATTTTGACATAATAATGTTGACGCTATTGATATTATAAACTTTCAAAATATTTTCAGTCATATTTACTAATTTTAAAATCATGATAATATAATGCAGCAAATTTTTATTCTTTATTATAACATATTTTTAAAATATATTTGTGTTTATTACTTTGGAATGGATAATGATCGACAATTATAATTTTAGTGAATAACTCAGACTCCTAGGAAGACCTCCCCTCAATTCTGGAATTGAGAAAATATCGTAGAAAATTCAATACATATTCAGATTTAGATTATATATTTGCTCTACAACACCGAAGTAGTTTTGAGTAAGAGAAAGTCCATGTATTTACATTCTTATTCATTTACATCTGAGTTGGACCTCTGCAATTTCTAGTTAAATGAGATATAATTTTAAAACATGAGTTAATTGCTGATTCTTAATTCTTGTCTCTTATAATGAAGGATGCATTTTCATATATTAGAAATAATCAGTTATAATAAAATATAGTAGTATATTAATGAAAATATAATGTACAAAAAAATTTAGTTATTTGTTGCTTTAAGAACATGAAGCATCCTTTTTTAGTACATTTAGTGTTGCTATAAAAGAATACCTGAGGCTGGGTAATTTATAAAGAAAAGAGGTTTATCTAGCTCACAGTTCTGCAGGCTCTACAGGAAGCATGATGCCAACATCTGCTTCTGGTGAGGGCCTCAGGCTGCTCCCACTCATGCTGGAAGGAGAAGCAGAGGGGGTGTGTGCAGTGATAACAAGGTGACAGAGGAAGCAAGAAGGGGCAGCAGAGGTGCCAGGCACTTTTTAACAACCAGCTCTCTCAGGAACTAACAGAGTGAGAAGCCACTCACACCCATCCTGGAAAGGTATTAATCTATTCATAAGAAATCCATCCCCATGACTCAGACACCTCCTATTGGGCTCTACCGCCAAGATTTGGAATAAAATTTCAACATGAGGTTTGGAGGGGAGAAATATCCATATTATAGCAATAATCAATAATTATTTTTTCATCCAAAATTAAAGATTACATGATATTGTGAAATTGTAAGCAATTGGTAAATTTTTCTTTAGATATAAATGTCAAATACAATTAGAAAATAGAAAAATTATGTTACTCTCATTCCTGCCAGTATTTCTAACTAGACAACATTGTTAACTCCCCTGATTAAAATGTATTTAAAAACCCTTAAAAAAATAAAATTATGGTTAAGTGGATTTATGAGGTGGGTAAAAAATAAGAAATTAAGATAATTTACTTGCAAAGTTATACTTGATTTTTTTATATAGATATATAGGCAATGGTCTCATTGAAGAAAAAGACCAGAAAATACCTAAGGGTATATGTAAACCTTATTTGTAACAAATTGGACATTACACATCAATGGAAAGTGGATAGACTATTGAAAAAATTCTGCTGGGAGAAATGATTTTCTATATGGAAAAAGATTAAATATACCTCATCTAGCTCATTTAACAGAATTCAGTTCTAATTGATTTATAATCATAAATGTCAAAGGTAAACTTTGAAATATTTTACCAAAAATTATTTGAGAGTAATTTTTTGACCTCCAGTCATAAATTCTGATCACACAGGTGTAATCAGAAAGGAATAGATTGATGTATCAAATATATGACCATTGAAATTTCCTATTTATCCAAAAATACTTAGAAGACATTGGAACAAAAAGATCCGATTAGGAGAAAATATTTGTAACATACAGGAAACATGCATAGAATAATTTGTTAGAATATCTAAGTATTTCTTACAAATTATAATAGCAAGAAAAAACAATAGAAAAAAATATGCCAAAGGCATGAAAAAGTATTTGACACAAATACCCCATGAAACAAGAAAAAATATTTGTAGAAATCAGGAAAGTGTGTACCAGAAATTACACTGAGATACTATATCACATACACCAATTAACAAAAATGTACTCTGACAAACCAAGTATTGGGAAGAATGTTTTCAAAAAACAGTGAAGATTATTATGCATGGCTGTTTTGAGTTACTGGGCACTGCCACTTTAGGGAAATAGTTCTATGTTACCTAATAGAATCTAACATGAACTTTTTCTGTCATCTGGTAATTCCATTTCTAAGCACATATCCTAGATGACATTTTGCACATATCCACCAAAAGACTCAAGGAATAATGTTTTGTTATCCTTGTTAATAATAACTGTAGACAATATAAGTTAATTGAAGTATATTAATAAACTAAAATTTTGTATGCTAATAAAATAAATGCACTACAGATGCATGCATAACAGATGAATCTCAAAATCTAATATTAAACATTAAGCAGAATAAATATGTGTATGTGTATATGTATGTCTTGTGTGTGTATGTGTATATAACGTTGAACTGGAAAATATATATTACATTATTTCATTTATATAATATGCAGAATTGTTACAGATATGTTTAGCATTTTAACATAAGTGGTAAACATGATAAAGAAACATAAGCCAATGATTAACAAAAATTTAGGATGGTAGTTACTTCTGTGGAAAAAAAGTGGGTTGCAATTGTTACGAGTGGTATGTAGGAAGCTTCTAAGTTAATGATACTGTATTATGTAGTGCATTTAGGTTGAAAGCCTAAAATAATATAATATTGAGTCATTCTAGCATATGTTCTTTAACATTATGAGATAGTACATTAGTTGAGTTCCCTTTGATTTTTGATAAATTATTTTAAAATAACCTCATAAAAATTTTAGCACTGTTCTATCCTCTCTTTTTAAATTACAATTTATAGAAAGATGATGAGCTATTTTAATCCATTCTAGTCACTTTGTAAACAAAATTAGAAGGCTTTGTATTCATGAATTAATAATAACATGAGAACGGTGGTGACTATGCATTGCTTACAAAGCTATTCACATTCATTTTCATATAATAGAAAAATCAACCTTAGGTCAGCCCGATCGAGCATAATATGCAGGGTTTTCTCTTTTAAAATATGGCAACAATAAATTGAAACTGAAAACCATTTAACACAATATGTTAAATTGTTTTCTATATTAGGTTTGGATAAACTGGCATGCTTAATTGCTTCTTTCTGTTTTACATAATAATCTATTTTCTTCACCAGAGTAAAATATATTTTAATGGTGTGAAAAATTACTCTTATGTCAACAATCTTATTACCAAAACTATGATTTGTTCTGATTTAACACTAGCAATTAATGCTTGCACCATTAATTTACAGCCTACAGCACTAGTTAATTTAGTCAATAACTCTACCTCAACATAAACAAATAGGTGGCTTAGCTTGAAAAAAGAAAAAGAAAAAGAAAAAAAAAATGGAAACACAGGTCAAGTGCAGTGGCTGACACCTGTAATCCCAGCACTTTCAGAGACTTAGGCAGGAGTATTGCTTAAGCCCAGGACTTTGAGACAACATAGTGAGACCCTCATCTTCACAGAAACTTTTAAAAATTACCCAGGTGTGGTGGCACATGCCTGTAGTCCCAGCTACTTGGGAGGCTGAGGTGGGAGGATTGCATGAGCCTGGGAGGTCCAGGCTGCAGTGAGTCATGATTGTTCTACTGTACTCCAATCTGAACAACAGAGGGAGACCCTCTCTCAAGAAAACAAAAAGTAAACCCAAAAATTGAAGCCCAAATTACTTACTAACATTATTTGCAACCTATAAACTGACACTCCTTTTATCTTAATTTCACTGAAAAGTAGAGACCAGAATGCTGTTGCATCAGAATCAGACAGAACTTGTTTCAAATCCTTGCTACTTAAAAATGTGACTTGGGATAAGTTAATTTATTTGAGTCTCAGTTTTCTCATTTAAAAAGCAGGCATAATAACTAATTTACAATACTGAAGTGAGGACTAAATTAAGAAAATGTATATTTAAAGCACAAAGCCTAATGCCTGAATCTATCAGAATCTCAAACAGTGGATGTTATTATTAAGCATTGAATAAGGGTTTCCAATTGTAGTATCATTTATAAACTAAATAAACCTATTATTAAATAAAATATAAAATAAGGAGTAAAATATTTTCTTCCAATATCCTAGTTGTATACATGAAATGATAGCTCGTTAGCAATAAATTCATGGTAAAGTTAGTTTTGTTTATTGTTGATTTTGCTTTGTTGTTTGAGTTCAGCAGTGACCAATACTGAACTAACTGGGTGATACACATACAAAAAGGATATAGAATATTAATTAACTGCACTTTCAGAGTATAGTATATTGTGATTTTAAGGAAATTTATATTTGTAATACTAATATAAATTGGTTATCCCTTGGTACAAATTCATGTGACATATATGGTAAAGAATTTCCTATGAGAACAATTACCAAAAATAGAAGCATTTAAACTCATGACAACTTCATGTATATTTTAATAAAATGGATTTGTCAAACAGTAGATATTTAAGACCAGTTTAAGAAATAATAAAGTTATTAAACTATGAGTCAACTGAGAAAGAGGTATTTGGTCACACCCACGATCCCAGCACTTTTTTTTTTTTTTTTAACTTATATGGGTGCTTTAGCAACTCAGGGTACAAATAAAGGCACCACTAATTTTCCTTCCTCCCTCCCTCCTTCTTTTCTTCCTTTCTTCCTTCCTTCCTTTCTCTCTCTTTCCTTTTTTTTTAATTTTTATTTTATTATTATTATACTTTAAGTTTTAGGGTACATGTGCACAACCTGTAGGTTTGTTACATATGTATACATGTGCCATGTTGGTGTGCTGCACCCAGTAACTCGTCATTTAGCATTAGGTATATCTCCTAATGCTATCCCTCCCCCCTCCCCCCACCCCACAACAGTCCCTGGTGTGTGATGTTCCCTTTCCTGTGTCCATGTGTTCTCATTGTTCAGTTCCCACCTATGAGTGAGAACATGCGGTGTTTGGTTTTTTGTCCTTGCGATAGTTTGCTGAGAATGATGGTTTCCAGTTTCATCCATGTCCCTACAAAGGACATGAACTCATCATTTTTTATGGCTGCATAGTATTCCATGGTGTATATGTACCACATTTTCTTAATCCAGTCTATTGTTGTCAGACATTTAGGTTGGTTCCAAGTCTTTGCTATTGTGAATAGTGCCGCTATAAACATATGTGTGCATGTGTCTATAGCAGCATGATTTATAATCCTTTGGGTATATACCCAGTAATGGGATGGCTGGGTCAAATGGTATTTCTAGTTCTAGATCCCTGAGGAATTGCCACACCGACTTCCACAATGGTTGAACTAGTTTACAGTCCCACCAACAGTGTAAAAGTGTTCCTATTTCTCCACATCCTCTCCAGCACCTGTTGTTTCCTGACTTTTTAATGATCACCATTCTAACTGGTGTGAGATGGTATCTCATTGTGGTTTTGATTTGCATTTCTCTGATGGCCAGTGATGATGAGCATTTTTTCATGTGTTTTTTGGCTGCATAAATATCTTCTTTTGAGAACTGTCTGTTCATATCCTTCACCCACTTTTTGATGGGGTTGTTTGTTTTTTTCTTGTAAATTTGTTTGAGTTCATTGTAGATTCTGGATATTAGCCCTTTGTCAGATAAGTAGGTTGCAAAAATTTTCTCCCATTCTGTAGGTTGCCTGTTCACTCTGATGGTAGTTTCTTTTGCTGTGCAGAATCTCTTTAGTTTAATTAGATCCCATTTGTCAATTTTGGCTTTTGTTGCCATTGCTTTTGGTGTTTTAGACATGAAGTCCTTGCCCATGCCTATGTCCTGAATAGTATTGCCTAGGTTTTCTTCTGTGGTTTATATGGTTTTAGGTCTAACATTTAAGTCTTTAATCCATCTTGAATTAATTTTTGTATAAAACTGGCTAGCCATATGTAGAAAGCTAAAACTGGATCCCTTCCTTACACCTTATACAAAATTTAATTCAAGATCCCAGCACTTTGAGAGGCTGAAGCAAGAGGATCACTTGAGCTCAGGAGTAGGAGATCAGCCTGGGCAACATGGTGAAACCCTGTCTCTACAAAAAAATACAAAAATTAGTCAGGTATGATGACATGAGCCTGTAGTCCTAGGTACTCTGAGGCTGAGGTGGGAGAATAGCTTGAGCCCAGGAGTTCGAGGCTGCAGTGAGCCAAGATAGCACCACTGCTGTCCAGCCTGAGCAACTGAGTGAGACCCTGTGTCGAAAAGAAGAAAGTACTGTACATAAGTGAGATCACTCTGTTTATACACTGTACATATGTGAGGTCACTTTGTCTATACCACAGGTGAACACAAACATCTAATCATAGAGGGGTATAATGCAGAGTGAATTCTATGAATTGAAACTGATTTGAGAATACTGTCACCACAAACCTTTGAGTTCAATATCTGATGCAGCAATCAATTTAATACCACTTTTGTGAAAATAGCAAGAGCATATTTCTATGCAGTAAGGTAATATCTGTTCTACAGGCTTGTGCTTTGGTTGAATACAGATTTGCCTTACAATCTGTTTCCCTTTAGTCCATCTAGAAATGTTAATCTTAAATTAGGTTTGTATATATTTTGTGGAAATTAACATTTCTCAGATCCTTACTTTCCCACTGTGGAAACAATAAAAAAGCCACAATTTTTTTTATAATATCTTATGGCGGAAGTAGCAATGACAAGAAATGTGTTCAAAAGTATTACCACTTTTTTTCTGTGATTGAATCTTACGCATGAATGATAATAAAACTTCCTAACAGAATATTGATCATAATGTTGTAAGTGGCAGTGATACTGAGAAAGAAAATTCTAGTGGTTATTAAACAAGTAGGAGAATTACATTATCATTCATAGTACATGTACTTTCTGTCATGCATTTGTAATACTTGAGAATGAATGTATATTTCCTTAAGGGACTGGAAGATTTGTACAGCTTGTTTCAATAAGCCATGGACTTCTAATACTAAAGTTATCATTTTAGCTAGTTCCATGTCCTTTTACTGAAAAAAAAATCTAGAGCTGACCAAAATAATTTAAGCATTATAACCTGAAAATGCACATATTAAATGGAAATTTGAATTCGGCTCATATTGCCAAAGGGAAGTTCACAATAAAAAATTAAAATGGTAACTGTTGTTATTAACTGGTTATAATGACAGATGAAGTTTTAACTTATTATGCACACACACATCATATATATAATATAGTATATATATATGTGTGTGTACCTTGTATATGCATGTACTATGTGTGTGTATATATATATATGCACACACATATAAAGTATTATTATATATAGTATTAATTCAAATTTCAAATTCAGACATTTTCTTTTACAAAGTCCTTTGAAAAATTCTAATATAAATGTATAGATAGAAAGTACATTGTAATAATAAAATAAATTATAAATCCTCTTAAAATTTCTGTGTGGTACAAAACTGTGCCTTCCAAGTAAGGTCATTATGAAAACAAGGTCTGCATTTAATTTGAGAATCACTGAAGAGATTATATACCTTTCTAGGAGATTCATAGTTCAAGAAGAGTATTAAAGGTTCTAAAAATTTTGAATCAAATTTATTTATTTTTAAGCTATTTTAAATATTAATGTTTTTAATACTTTTGGGAAAATTGTTCTAATTTTTTAATGTGGGGAAACAAAAATTCTTGTTCATTTAACATGTTCAAAAATGTCTGTTTATCCAAATAGCTAACTGTATACTAAATTTGGCAGTTTATTTTGCTAATATTAAAAAATCAAGATCTCCATATGCCAAGACTCTGCCTTTCTCCAATTCTCTTTTTTCCTCCCTAACTCTCAAGTCACCACATACTCATGCACCCTAATATTCTGACTCATAGCAAGACAAATGCATAGATGCTTAGCTACTGGCCTAAGTGAACTCTTAACAGGTCCATAGAGACTATCATGTACTTTCCATTCTTATTCCTTTAAGCATGCACGTGAGTGATCAGAAGGTAAAGTGTTAGAAGAAGCCATCCCTCTCTCATCAACTCACACTGTAAGATTCAGATCAGAGACTAGGTTTTTAGGAAAATCCTCTATACTGCCAAACTGGATCATTGTACCTATTTTGTACACTGATATCATCTTTGTTTATTTTACAGTGTTCTATTTGTTAATTTTTGTATCTGTGTTTGTGACTAAATTCTGTGAATTTCTTAGGGATTTGATTTTACATGTTATGTATATGCATAGCACATTCTGGAATATAAGGGATATTTAAATGTTTGTGACATGAGTGGAAAAATGATTAAATTACAGAATCATACTGTAAAACTTGAATAGTGAAAAGAAGATTATATTAGATGCTTTATATGAAGAATAGTTCTCTTGAGTAGAAAAATCTGTTATAACAATAACTACTGGTGGAGAATTAACTAGGCCCTATTTTAGTGGGTTATGTTTTTATGAGGTATTTTTCAATAAGAACACTCATTACTTCATCAAAGTGCAGCAAGAGCTCACCAGATTAAGTTTCTGCCCCTTCGTTTATGCAAACATATGAGGAATAAGTTATTGGGACAACAATTTGTCCGTAGGCATTCTTTGTTTTGTACTACTATAACAGAATAACACAGACTCTGTAATGTATAATAAGCACAGATTTATTGGCTGAAGGATGGGACATCCAAGATTGAGTGGCCACATTTTGCAAGGGCCTTGTTGCAGTGTCATACCATGGTGGAAGGACAAGGAGCAGACTTGAAAGAGCAAGACATCAAATTCACAGCCTCAGTTTTTTTTTTTTTTTTTTAGACAGAGTTTTGCTTTTATTTCCCAGGCTGGAGCACAATCGTGCAATCTCGGCTCACTGCAAGTTCTGCCTCCCGGGTTCAAGCGATTCTCCTGCCTCAGCCTCCCGAGTAGCTGGGATTACAGGTGCCCACCACCACGCCCAGCTAATTTTTTGTATTTTTAGTAGAGACGGGTTTCACTGTGTTGGCCCAGCTGGTCTCGAACTCCTGGCCTGAGGCGATCCGCCTGCCTTGGTCTCCCAAAATGCTGGGATTACAGGAATGAACTGCTGTGCCTGGCTGCCTCAGCCCTTTTATATTTATTATTAATCAATTCATGAGCCCTCATGACCTTAACACCTTCTATTAGGTCCCACTTGACTTACTACTCTCTCAGGAAAAGTATATCTGCTTTTGTCGTCATTTTTCTTATTTTTTTGTCATCTGGAAAACATATAAGGAATAAATAAAATTGGGAAAAATGAGAAAAAGAACAGAACAAAGTCATTTAATAAAATTTTTACTATGACAGATATTTGTTCACAGAAGGAAGAAATTATTTAGACAAGAAGCCCTTTATTTTAATCACAACTTAGTTGCTGTATTGTCATTTAGTTATGTTAAAATTCTCTGGGCTCTTCTAATACTGATTTTCTTTCTCCTTTGAAGTAAAGGTGATATTTTCCTTCCAATTTTAGACAATAGATGGCTTGCTTTTTTAAAAGCCATGTATTGATATATCTTTTCTACTATAAACTTCATGTTTGTAAATGCAATCTTTTCAGGTTAAGCCCACATATCATTATGTTACTAGTTTAAGGAAAAACTGTCATTGAATAAGGAAAAGCTATTATTTCATTGAATGTCATTATTTCTATTTCCCAAATAATAATCATTATTATTGTTGTATCTACTTTGCATATGTTATTATTTTAAAGATCACACCAAAATAATTTCTGGCTCAACATTTTAACAATAGAACAAATTTGAAATTCATGGCTCAACACAGAATTCCTTTTGCTTAAATATGAAATTTGAAAGATGTCCTTTGAAGTTTTAATGTATATATTATTATTAGCATATTGATTCCACCTCAAGAGATTACCCATAGAATTTATACATTTTTTATCTTTGGGTTGAGGTACAATGAATGTCTAATAATAGATAGTTATAGGAATGATATTGAGAAAATCATTACTAATGATGTCATCATTGACTCTTTCTGAGATAAAATGAGTTCGTGGAATTGAAGTGCTTGATACTCATTTTATTCATCTTTACTTTGTGTATAAATTCATGGGGTACACGTGCAATTTTGCTATACTGATATTACATTGTGATGAAGTCTGGGCCTTCAGTGCATCCATCACTGAAGCAATGCACGTTGTACCCTCCAAGCAACCTCTCATCATCCACCACTATTGATACTCAGTTTAAAATACGATATAAAAGGCTGGGATATATTCACCATTAAAATATTAATATGGCATCTGAAAAGGAACAGTCACCCTCCTGCCTCACCTTATTCTCACCAATTAACACCACCATGACTACTCTCTGCAACCACCAACCCCAATCTCAGTTAATGATTTTGAGCACAATTTATTATGAAAATTAAGGTAAATGAATGGAAAAACAAGACAGTCTGAGGGAAAAAAATGAAAAGCAGTTTCTTAGAGATCATTAAGTTTCTTTTTCAGTCATTCTGTACTTATGCTTTTGGATGGCATCTAAAGTGTAATTTTTTTTTCAATTTTACTTCTAATATTAGGATTTAAAAAGTGATATTTGCTTTCATTTTACCTATTTATGTGAACTGCATAGTTCTCAAAAATGAAAATACTGTGTCTGTTGACCATCATAATTTAAAATATTGTGTTTCTTTAGTTGTTATGTGATCCTGTAAGAATGCATGAACATATACATATTCTAAGATTAAGGAAGGGGCCATTCTTAAAACACATATGAGAATAAAAGTAGAATACAAGTAGATATATTAAATTAATTTCTAATAATAAACATAAATGATATATCAGTATTTAACACACTCAGGGTGGCGATTTTAATTCATCAGCATTTCTTTAAAAACTTTATTTTTACTGCTTTCTTATATTGATGTGAAGTGATTGTTGTATACTTAATTTGTGCTGTTTTTCAGTATTCTAAGAGGAAGTTTGTACATAAAATGGGTTTTGATTTTCGTTATTATGTTTTAAACCAAATAGTGATAGAAAACTACAATTTATTCATCTGTTACAAACTAAAGTTTAGTGTTTGTAAACAAGTGCTCATTAACATTACTTTTATATGTGATACATATTTTACAATAAATCTTATGTCTATAGGGTCCTCCTGGAGCTGCAGGTGCAGAGGGAAGACAAGGTGAAAAAGGTGCTAAGGTAAAAAAAAAATAATATATACATAATATATATTATATATTATATATACAAGGTATTATATTTGAAAATTTCATGCATAAACTGATCTACTTTTTTCAGTGCATTTAATAAAATAATAAAAGTATTTTCTCATCACTAATGTGCTCCCATATTTTACTTTCTAACAGGGGGAAGCAGGTGCAGAAGGTCCTCCTGGAAAAACCGGCCCAGTCGGTCCTCAGGGACCTGCAGGAAAGCCTGGTCCAGAAGGTCTTCGGGGCATCCCTGGTCCTGTGGTGAGCATCTGTGTTAAAAAGATGCCATTTTGAAAATAACATTTTTATTTTAAAAAAATTTTGAATGAAGGTGTCTATGTTAGCATTATTTCATAAGTTATAACGTGGATAATTTTGTGGGAATTCTGTAAATATAATGTAAAAAAGATATTCTTCATATATTTAAGTATATCATTTATTTAATAAGTTCATGGTGAAACACTAACTTATAAAGAGAAAATAGAAAACCAAATTTTAAAATTTCAATGATGTGAAATGTTTATATATAACCTATGTATATGTATATATAGGTGTGTATTTGAATATAGACATATACACATATTAAAGACACAAAATTATTTACAATATTTGTAGATGTCCTCCATATGGTGGAACTTAAGGGTGATATTTCCTTTGTTTTCTTATTGTATTTCTAAAATTTAAAATAAATAAATAAATATGTATTATTTTATTAATTTTAAAAATCAATCATTTTTATTTTCTCTAGGGAGAACAAGGTCTCCCTGGAGCTGCAGGCCAAGATGGACCACCTGGTCCTATGGTGAGTAAGATCTTTTCAGTCATTTAAAAAGTGAGAATTTCTAAAACAAAATTGTTTATTAGCTAGAATTTTTGACATTTTAGTTTATAAATAGGTTTGTATTTTTTCTAATAGTCCAAGAAGTATATTATTTTGTCTTAGAGGAAAGTAATCCTAACTGATAGGTATATGGAAAATAAACCACTTGATCAGAAGATTTGTTTCTTTCTTATGCACTTTGGATGAAAAAATATTTCCACTCTGAATGAAATGCCACTAATGATCCAGCCAGTGTTTTTCCTAGTCTGGATAGTTCCCTAAAACGTTTGCAGTTACACTTATTTTCCTGGCATTTCACTTTAAAAAGTATGCTGGCACCAGCATAGAGTGATTCTTTGACGAAACAAATTGTTCTCTTCGTGAGTCATACAGGCTGAAACATAAAACAGTAAAACTCAGTGAAAAAAGATATGGCTACTGTAACACTGAAGCTTGGTCACTATCATTAAATCTGTGTGCAAACAACATGCTTGAGAAATGCAATAAAGTATTTTGTTGACTGGGATACTATTCATAGGTGGAGTTTATTATAGGATCTGAGGCTATACTTGATACAAATTTGGGCAAAAAGTGAGAATAAAAGACTTGCCCTTTAAAATAATTCCTTACTAGGTGACTTAGTTGCTTTATATATATATATATTTTTTTTTCTTATGGTAGAGATTTTTGAGTGTCATTATCCAGTAATAGTTAAGTGTGGAGTGATTAATCAAAATGGCAAATCATACATATAGCACTCGTATGTGTGGTGAGTATTAGTTAAGTCCTGCTATATGGTATTTTAAAATTTATTCAAATGCCTTTTATCATAAATATATTAATTATCTCAGAGATAGAAACATACGCACAAAGCCATCACAACTGGGATTCACAGTTCATTCAGGAAAAATTTTGGTTATTCCTTTTAACAAAGATGCCACAGCATCTTTGGTATGCAAAGCATACCTACCAAATATTTCATAAGTTTTAAAGAGATTATTTAAACTTTCACTGAAGAATTTAAAGATCACTTATTTAGTAACTAGATAAAAGTTATCAAATTTTGGTAGATTTCAAGCAGGAGATGATCAGTTCTGCCCATTATCTCATCAGCTTAGGAAAAGGGCCCCGGTTGAAGCAGGATCAGCTCCACATCTGTACCATTACTTATGAATATTCTCCTTAGATATGATAAACTCATAACTGCCCAGAGTCAGAGCCTGGAAGGAAAAAATACCTTGCCTTAATGTCACTCTAAAATTTGCCAGAGATTTTTTCTTGTTATTTCAGATTTTCCGGTAAATATTTTGACCTTTCTGCAGATGAAATAAAAAGCACCATGCTGGAGATTTCCTTCAGCTAATATTAAAAATAAAACCTTCTGACATACCACCTGATTTGGCATACAAACTTTTGTATTTTTGTCTTTTAAATAAATGTGAGTTTACAGCGCAAGAGGACAGAATAATTTCCAAATCCTTTAGGTAAAGCGGAATGATAAACATCAGAAGTGGGCTGCATGGGCACATTCCATTCTGACTGCTTGTTTTATGGCGAGTACTTACGATGTGAATATAATGTGTAGTTTTTTCATAGCTTTAATTAGTCTTGACTTGTGATATGTAATCTCAATGAAAATGCTACTTGGTCTTCATGAGGTGAGGATGGGCAGATAAATCATCTTCAAAATGCCATTTATGGCAATTTAATGAGCCTTTCAACTCAACTAAGAAAGATCTATTTTAGTAGGTAATTTTTAAATCAGAATGAGAAGTAACTTATTATGGTTACTAGTTAAGGTTATCGACTCTAGAGCCAAACTCCTGGGTTCAGAAACAATCACTACCACTTACTTGGTGGATGACTTTAGGAACATTACCTTTTTTTTTTTTTTGGCTTTAAGTTCTTCATTTATAAAATGGGAATATTGCTAGCCTCTATCCAGTGATATTTCTAAAGTTTAAGTGAGTTCAATTGGGATATGGATATCTTCTACCCCATGGGGTTCTTAAGTTAATTAAATGAATTGCTTGTAAATCACTTTTATATCAACAATTAGCACTAGTAGCACCAAATCAAGAATCATTAAATGAATGAAATAATGATAAATATGTTGAAAACCAATCAATTTTATATTCTTAGTGGAAAGTAACTAAATTTGACCTCATTCATGCATGTGTGTCATCAATAAACCTTATGCAAGTTGTTGACTATTAAAGCAAATGGAAGAGATCAACAAGTACAATTATACTTAGAAAAGTTAGAGTGTTAACATGTTAAGTACTATGATAGACTCAAGCAGAGGATACTAGATATACACAGAGTTGGACCATTTAAATGTAATTTCCTCTAGGGACCCTTCCCTGTTTAGAAATATGATACGATTATTAAAGAAGGAACAGAGAGGTGTAAGTGTGGATAACACAGTGGCTGTGAGATTAACGAGATTTGGAAATTCATAGAGGTTTCTATTAATCTCTGAAATTAATCTGTGTGAAAGCTATAATAATAATACTTTCTCCATGATGAATTTTTTCCTCATTATAACATATATTCACATCCATATCCAAATCTACACAGGCTTCAATTTGCTTATCATTGGAGTTCCACAAGTACCTATTGGGTCTCTTTTCCCCTTCTAGAAGCTGCCTGTAACTACCTACTGTATTGTTTCTACTGGTGAGATAAAGCTACCAAGACATTCCCCTTTTCCCCACCTTTTAAATACAACCTAGCTGTTCAGTAAGTACAACTTACCTACTTTCATCTCTCCAGATTGGCAGCTACCTATTTAGACAATTGAAATATCTAACAGAGCATCCATTAGACACATAGATAAGTTTAACAATTTTATAGGAAGTTTCTGGATATGAAATTCTTTGGGGTAGAGTAAAACAAACTGATTTTTTAAACTCTTAAAATGATTTCTGCTTGGTGTCTGCCCACACTATGTTATCAGCTCTACTAGAGTCAGATGTGATATAGTATTTATTTTTTACTTGAAAAAGTACATATTTCACATGGTAAAAAACTTGTTTATAAACATGAATTCAACATATATTTACATTTGTATATGTGTATAGGTGTACACACACACACTCACACACACTACAAATGTGTACTTAGATCACCGTATGGAACTGAAGATTGACAAATAGCACATAAGGGTTGGGCATGGTGGCTCACGCCTGTAATCCCAGCTACTCGGGAGGCTGAGGTGGGAGAATAGCTTGAACCTGGGAGGCGGAGGTTTCAGTAAGCCAAGATCACACCATTGCACTCCAGCCTGGGTGACTGAGCGAGACTCTGTTTCAAAAATAAAAAAGATAAATAGCACATATGGAAGCTAATCAAAAGCTAAGGATGATGATCAGCCTATATAAATAACTCTATTGGAGTTTGTTTTTTTAAGTGGGACTCTGCTAGAGTCGGTATAATATAATTTTATTAGGGTTTCTTAAAGGATTTTTAAAATTTTCATTAGAATTTTGTATTGGTTGAATTATACTACTATTTTAGTAGTCAACCAACATTAAATGGGAATAAGACTGAATGTTTCAGTATTTATTTATTGAGACAGAGTCTCACTCTATCACCGGGGCTGGAGTGCAGTGGCACAATCACGAGTCACTACAACCTTGTCCTTCTAGGCTTAGGTGATCCTCCCGCCTCAGCCTCTCGGTTAGCTGGGGCTGCAGGTTTGTGCCACTGCACCAGGCTAATTTTTGTCATTTTTAGTACAGATAGGTTTTTGACAGTTGCCCAGGCTGCTCTTGGACTCCAGGGCTCAAGCGATCCATCCACCTCTGTCTCCCAAAGTGCTGGGATTACAGGCGTGAGCCACCAAGCCTGGCCAATTGAGTGTTTTAAAGAGAAGAATGAAGATGTCTAAATTCTACCCTCTGATACAAAGTCAAAATTAAAATGATTTAGTCACTTTTAAAACTAAAATGTATTTGATTTTTTGAAGTCAGAATTAACATCTGTCTTAGCTTTAAGGTTTTATTTTGTTTTGTTTTGTATTCTTTTAAGACTCTATTTGTTTTAATGCAGCTGAAAAATTATTCAGCATTTATGTTCAAAAAAGATTATTTAGTATTATCACACATTTCTGCTTTTGATAACAAAATGTTAAATAAAATATCTGATAGCATTATTTTTTAAACAATAAAAACTTAAAAGATAGGATGGGATACTGAATTAGAGTTTATTTCTTTAATCCTACATTTAAGTTATCTGTAGACAAGGGTGATATGGGTAGCATTCCACAATGATTAAAAAGGTTTAAATAAAAAAGCATTTGCTTTTCACCAGATTAAATATTATTCCACAATTTTATATTTTAAATAAAGTGTAGGATCTGCAGTTTCTTTAAATTTCAATGAACTAGAGTTTTGAAATGCAGATCAAAGCAAATATTCCAGAAAGTATAATACTGCAGGGGAAAATGTTTGCTTGTGTATTCTAGACACTTAAGAATGTATCATCCCTGTTTTCCTTTTCACTTTATTACTTATGAATTATGTATTTCCCTGGGGGTTTTCAATTTACAATATCCGAAAGAGAAAAATAGAAAATATGTATAGTTAGAATAACATTTTTATATGCAGAGTTGATGTTTTTGATCTGTTTCAGGTTCAAAGGGTTATTTATAACTGCTCTCGATATCATACCAATTTCTATTTCCAGCTGATGAAAATAAAAACTGATTTTGTTTGGCAAACTCATCTTTAGATGTAGTTTATAATGTTAAGAGAGATTATTAGCTTAGATAAATTAATATTCATTATCTTTAACTTCATGAATAATATTTATGGAAAGGATTTTTAATGCATTTAAAACACAAATAATGTCTAATATATTTTTCACTAAGCTTGAGCAATTAGAATCACTAGTAGTTCTTTTCTTGCCATTTTAGCTTTTTCTATTAGAATGGGATGAGAAAGTTGACAGGTATTTATCTGTAGCATATCTAAAACTAATGATAATAATTCAAATTTATATTATGCTTCACTGTTTATACAATTTTTACTATGGAGAGCAAAGCCCCAGTAATGGGGAGATAACTATATACTTGAAAGTGAATTTGACAATTTCATTGTGGTCTTTTTGTCTGAGATTTAACAGGGCAGGATGATTGTTTATTCTTATACAAAAGAGAATGTAACTAAATTCATATAAATTTGACTCTGAGGATTAGTAATTTTCTCCTTATTAGAAGATTATTATTAAGCATATCTACACTTAAAACTGCATGTGCTTGTATGAAAATAACTTTTGTCTGTTGTTAATTGAATAATATAGGGAAATTGTCCACTTTAATACTTAGAGAATTCCAAATTCAGTTATGAATTAAAAAACATAAGTATACCTAATAATAGTCTAAAATACCATTGTTACACAAGGGCTAATTTATATTAACACTATTCTTGCTCTTTCCTGATATTCACAGTTTTGGTTTGAGAAGCAGGCTTCAGAAACTAAAGAATAGGGAGGGCCCATCCTCATTCATGCAGCAGCTCTATGAGATAGGAATTGTAGTCCCCAGCTTGTAGATGAGAAAACTGAAGCTCTATTTGTCCAATTAATTTAAGTAGCTAAGAAGAGAGTTTGGTATCTATGCCAGACCTTATCTATTCTGAACCCATACTTTTCCTAGTACATCATACTGCTTGGATCAGATCCATAGTTCTTAAGGCTTTAAATTCACAAAAATTATGGACCAGGATATAATGTGCTGTTTTACACTGAAGAAATAGTGTTTCCAGATAGAGGAAAATATTACTCATGGTAGCCTTGTAGAAGATACAATAGTGGTGACTCATGATGTACTTTGGTAAAAAGTTAAAACAATTTGCTGTCATAGAGCCATGATGAAAATTATTACTGAAATTATAATTGAGCTAATTGAATTCTATCAAAATAATTCTAATTCATAGAGAAACCATATGAACAGTTTGCTTTTGTTGCTGGGTGCCTTAGGACTTGCGGCAAGCAGTAGTGACATAGTGACATATCTAGGTTATCGTGGCCCTAATTTCATAAGTCACATATAAATCATTTTTTTAGCATCAGTTTCACTTCCAACAGCATCTGTTGCCTGCGTAGTTTCACTTGTATAATTTCACAAGGACTGTATTTTGTGTTGTCTTCAAAATTGTAGTACAACAATTTGGCTTGTTAGTGTGGTGTGTTTTTGTGTTTTGTTTTGTTTACTTTCTCTAGCGACAGGGTGTTCCTCTGTCACCCATGCAGGAGTGCAGTGGTGTGATCTTAGCTCACCGAAGCCTCAAACTCATGGGTTCAAGTGACCCTCCTCCCTTAGCCTCTCAAGTAGCTGGGACAGCAGGTGCACACCACCAATTATTCTAGTTTTTGCTTTTTTTTTTTTTTTTGTAGACAAAATGTCTCACTGTGTTACCCAGGCTGGTTGCAAATTCCTAGGTTCAAGCGGTCCTCCCACCTCAGGCTCTCAAATTGCTAGGATTACAGGTGTGAGCCATTGTGCCTGGCCTAGAGTACAACAATTTATAGATAAAACAGTTTGTTCGAAAGTCATCAGTATGAAAATTTCCTTGGGCGGGGGGGCAGGACAGAGTTGGTTGCTAAAGTCATGCCATAATTTTCATAGAATGTAAGTTAAAAGGATAAATGTCTTAGTCTGGGACTATTAAAAACGTTAAATTATTGAAATAGAAGTATATTTATATAAAAAATAAATTTCTTTATTAATTTCATAAATCATTTAGATATGAGGTGCAATTTAGAAATTACAGCTGAAAGTACCATCTTGATGTAGTTTGTAACGTCTTATACTTTAGCTTAGAGAAATTAATAGTCATGATCTCTAACTTCTTCATGAATAATATACATGCAATATTTTATTGGGATTATTAAGTATTCGTAGTATATGTCTCTCTCCAGTAATCATAGTGAAGGACATCTGATTTCAAGAGAACAAAGAATAAGAATTGAGATCAGAATTCAGAAAATTGGCCATGGCCTAGAAGAATTACAGAGTTCCATGTTTTAATTTAGTATATATAGGAATTATCTTCTTATTCTATAGAATATTATTAGGCAACCATTCTAACATATACAAATAGAGGTTGTTATTTAAATACAAACCAAACAGTGTATTAAAATTTTGTCTATTTTTTTTCCTGTGGTTATCAAAGATCTATTGACTGTTCAAAAGTTTATTGAGTTTTTTCAAAAATGTTACTAAAAATATCATAAACTTTTAAATTCATGTAACATAAAAATGTTTGAGTAACTGGATATATAATTTGGAAATCCCTTCCAAAACTAGTGTACTTAAAAATTGACACTTTATTCTTAACTGAAAAGCCATATAACCATGTTCTATTTCTAACTTTACATTCATTTAATCAAAATTATCAATATTATGGTTACAAATTAAACCATAGTGTTTTAAATATATAAATTTACTTAGAAGCCTTAAAAATAAAGCAACATTAATCATTACTATTTTCAACTCCGTATTTTCAAAACTAAACTAGGTCTGTGACTAGTTATAGGATTCTCTAATTCATACCTACTCTGTTTTTGTTTTGGGGTTTTTTTTTTGTTATTATTTAGGGACCTCCTGGCTTACCTGGTCTCAAAGGTGACCCTGGCTCCAAGGGTGAAAAGGTGAGAATAAAAGAATGTGTTATTAATAAAAGAATATGCTTTTATATACTAATAGCCCTGCTTTTGCAGATTAAAATCATTCAAAAGAAAATTTCAAACAATATCTTCATTCTAACCCTGAAAAAAGCTTCAATCCTTAGCTTCCCAGATGTATGTAGAGGGGAGAAAATATGCAAATAGTGAAAAATGTGCTGGAATTCAGTGCTATATCTTCTCAAGGTTCCATTATAGCAACCATATGTAGAAAGCATATGGTTATACTAAAATAACTATTCAGAAAATAAACAGACTGAATAACAAAATATCTATTTTTATGTTTTTAAATGTGAAAATAAAAATTTTAAACTAGAAATATCTTTCAAATACTAATTTGATGTACTAGAATTTATGCTGAGTTGCACCAAGTACTTAGAGAAATTAGCCTTTTTAAAAATGGTATTATTATTGTTTGGATTATTTTTAAATCTTCAAATGCCTTTTAAAGACTGCAGAGTCTCTGAAGAGTAGAAATTATTTCATATTAAATGAGATGCCTATTAAAATAATGAGTTTTCTGTTATTTATTCAACTTATATTATAGGAGATCATTATTGGTTTAGAGATTCCTCAAATGGAACACTTAAAATGATATTTTTAGAAAGCATTTTGTTTTGTAATATTTCCAATGCTTAATAAAGCCCTCACTTAAAGTAAGCAGTAAAAGATCCAGTTAGGTGATGAGAAGGAGATTCTTAACTGTATATTTCATTCAGAAGGGTATTTTAATGTTGTTTTATCAGCATTGTTCATTTTTATGCTTTAGAAATTTAATGTGCAAATATTTTATAACTAAAATTTTATGAAGATAGTAATGTACATGTTATTATTTTTTTTCTCTGCCTTTCAAAGGGACATCCTGGTTTAATTGGCCTGATTGGTCCTCCAGGAGAACAAGGGGAAAAAGGTGACCGAGGGCTCCCTGGAACTCAAGGATCTCCAGGAGCAAAAGGGGATGGGGTGAGTAAAAATATAGGTTATTTTTTCTACTCATTTCCAATAATACACACACACACACACACACACACACAGTCCTTTAAGTATGATCAAAGAAAGAATTTAGAGTGTCTTAATTCTAATTTAAGTCAGTAATGTTCTTAAAAAGATATTTTTATTCAGCCCTAGAGTAAATAAATTTTAAAATATTTAAGTTAGAAACCATAAAAATTACAGTTGAGTATTATTTAAACAAACATGTACTAAATTCCCATCACCTGTAAATCATATTCTGAGGGATAAAGGAATATACACATTAACACATATAGATTGAAAACAAAAACCTCATTGATATTGTAGCAACATAGGAAAAATCCTGATTATTTTGCACAAGTTATTTTTTAGATTCACCATGGAAAAATGTTTAAGCCATTCATAAATATTTTTGCATTCTCTAAATTTTACAGTGTATGCTGTTATGAAAATATTGAAAAGTTATGAAAACATGAAAATGAAATAGCTGAGAAAATCCCTTTAAATTGGCTGATTCTCTCTCTAGGGAATTCCTGGTCCTGCTGGTCCCTTAGGTCCACCTGGTCCTCCAGGTTTACCAGTAAGTACAAGACAAAATAACCTTATAAGGTAGGGTTAAGTTACAAATATAACAGAGACACAAATGCTCCAGATTTTTATCTGTGCTTTTGCATTTGCATTTTGTAGGGTCCTCAAGGCCCAAAGGGTAACAAAGGCTCTACTGTAAGTACTTTTCCCTTTGACAATTTAATTTTGCATTGAAACCTATTTAATTGCCTCTTCTTTATTTATGTCCTCTCTCTTCTTTCTAACAGGGACCCGCTGGCCAGAAAGGTGACAGTGGTCTTCCAGGGCCTCCTGGGTCTCCAGTAAGTATATGTTAACAAGAGTGATGTTCTGACAGTTTGCATCTGGAAGCTGCCAATGATTTCTCTGAACTTATAAGATAGACAAAAAGCACATTCTGCCAAAAGTGCTGATTTTATAGGAAACATTATATCATTTAAGTAATCAAATCTACATGCCAAGACTTAAATTTTAATTGATTTCACTCTTCAAATATAAATGCCTTAATTGTATATTATAGTCTTGTTTTTATTATTTTTTCAAGAGAATCATATACTATTTTGTCACGTTAATGAAACCAACTTATTTTATGCCGTAAAGATACATTTTTACTTGACTCTAGGAATAATGACAAAAATTCAGATGCTTCACATTTTTTCCTAGTGCATTATAAAGATACTAATAAAAACAATAGTAATAGCTACCACTTTATTAATACTAAAATGTTCTAGGCTTCACATAACTAATTAAATGGTAGAATTAAAATATAGGTCCATGTGAAAGAAATGTTATTCTTCTTTCTTGAGCTAAAATCTTTCCAACTATATGTATACTAGTTTGCTAGGGCTACCATAGCAAAGTACCACAGAGTCGGTGGCTCAAACCACAAAAATGTATTGTCTCCCAGTGTTGGAGGCTAGAAGTCCTAGAACAAGGTGTCAGCAGTGTTGGTTCCTTCTGAGGTCCATGGCGGAAGGGTCTGTTCTGCACTTCTCTTCTTGGCTTGTGGTGGCTGTCTTTCCCCTGTGTCTCTTCACATTATCTTCCCTCTTTGGGTGTATCTGTGTTTAAATTTCTCCTTTTTATAAGAATATCACTTATATTGGATTAGGGCCCACTCTAGCGATGTTATCTTAACTAATTATATTTTCAGTGACTGTATTTCCAAATGGGATTACATTCTGAGATACTGAGAATTAGGACTTCAACATTACAAATTTTTGTGGGATACAATTCAACCCATGACAATATGATAACTATTTGATATAGCTCTGCTCGTAATGTAAATTCAAGTCGGGTTGCATTGATTTTAAGTTTGTTAATTTATAATGATTTAAGTCACACATATTTGAAGCAAACTAATGTGTACATATTTTTTAAAGTTTAATGTTTTATAATATAAATTATCATCAAATATAATACACAGTTGATTAGATAGCGCAATAGCTTTAAAGTGCTGTTCTAATCCTCAGAGACTTTACAATCTAGTTGTGGAGTTAGGGCATATAAATGATGACTAATTAATAAACAAGAGACTAACATATATAACATATCTACACAAATCTGTGCTATATTATTGTATAGATAAAGGGTGAGAAATCATCTAACTTATTCACCTACCTCAATATCTCCACCAAGTTCATCATAGAAGAATCTATGACGTTTATATATTTATAAACTTATCCTATAGCATAAATTTTGTAGCTAATGAAAAGCTAAACCAACTCTAATTTCTTATAACAAAAACATAACCAGTAATAATTAATATCTGCAGAATATTCCACTTTATGAAACAATTGCACTCACATTATCTTCTTTACAGGGTCCACCTGGTGAAGTCATTCAGCCTTTACCAATCTTGTCCTCCAAAAAAACGAGAAGACATACTGAAGGCATGCAAGCAGATGCAGATGATAATATTCTTGATTACTCGGATGGAATGGAAGAAATATTTGGTTCCCTCAATTCCCTGAAACAAGACATTGAGCATATGAAATTTCCAATGGGTACTCAGACCAATCCAGCCCGAACTTGTAAAGACCTGCAACTCAGCCATCCTGACTTCCCAGATGGTATGTAAATAATACATGACAAAGCAAATGTACCGAGCCCCTGAGTTTCTGAGGTGCATTGGCAGCTCATTCATTCTAGTTAAATGTTTAATACAGTCTCTAAATAAAATGAAACAGTTATTAATTATCTTCTAGACAGAAAAAATCATTTATACTGCATAAATCAAGATTTGCTTTGGAAAATCCTTGTCTGTTAAATGGGATTTTATTAAATTATGACAAGATCATTTTTGGATGATTACAGCTAACACAAATGTACTTTGCTTGTAATAACTATCACAGAATGGATACTGTGTATACACACATGTGTATATTGTAATATGATTACTAACTTCATGTTAATGTGAATACTTACATTAATATGATTATTATTTTAGATTAATATGAATATATGGATATGTGTAAATAGCATAACTGATGTATATTTGATCTATCAGTTTGGCAATGATTTGGTGAACAGAATATTAAGAACTGGGATAGCTTGGGGCAAAAATGTATCTTTAATTGAGCCACAGATATTCCAAACAGCTGTGAATAGCTTACTTACTAATAACAATTAGGATAATTCATCATACCAACTCTTTGACAAAACCTTTATATACCTATTGGTCAGAGAAAGAAAGAGTTTCAGGTTGCTAAGTTAGTTGACTAAACTCTTACAATTATTAAAGTAGCAAGGGGCAGATCTTCATCTGATTTTTAAATTTCCCACTGCATGTTGAACTATTTTGTCTCCCCTTTACTCTGTAGAAAATATTGTTTTGCACTACCAATCATATAATGTCAGTTATAACTGTGATCTAAGTAACTCAATGCAGATAGAAAAGTTCAGTGTAGTTCAGAAACAGCCAGCATAAAAAAAAGGATGTCACAAAAATCTTCTTATCTTAATCAAGCATAGCCTGTTAAAGGTAAAACACAGGTAATTATTAGCGTTCCTATACAAACTGGTATCTAACATCTTCATGTTTATAATATGTTTATCTGAAAAATATACATTTAGTTTAGTGATTTATAAGGAGATTTACTTTTAACTGGTGTTATTTAAGCAAAAGATGTAGATGATTTAGATAATTCAATGTTATATACTCCTAAAAACCATGTAAGATATATCAAAGGTTTACAGTGGTTATCTCTACTTGGTAAAATCTTAGATGATTTTTTTTATTTCCTTGTATTTTTTTCCTGGGAATTCTAATTTGTTTCAGACATGATTATATTAATGGTATAATCTGAAAAAATATAGATGTTTTTGTTAAAGATATTAAAGTTATGCGACTATTAGAATACTTT
Organism: Homo sapiens; assembly: GCF_000001405.40. Taxonomy (NCBI): domain Eukaryota; kingdom Metazoa; phylum Chordata; class Mammalia; order Primates; family Hominidae; genus Homo; species Homo sapiens. The sequence continues at coordinate 102,885,513 of NC_000001.11, read as the reverse complement.
TCCTGTTTATATACAAGTAGTAGCAGAAGATAAAGCAGGTTGATATTGCATTGTTTAGAGTTCCAGCACCAAGATAAGCAATTTGAGCTTTTAAAATATTAAAAGTTCATAACCAGTGGACTTATATAATTCAAATATTTCAAATGAAGTGGCAGCATGAAAAACAGTTGGAAGTATAAAGGTAGAAATAATTCGATTCCTTTCCTTCTCAGTATAAAGGTCAAAGCTGACACCCCTATAAAAAAAAAGGTTAACAAGAGAAAAATATTAAAAATGTATTTGATTATAGTTCAACATAACATAGGCGCCTTCAGATTCAAGCTCGAAAGATACAGAGGAAGCTATCTGATTTTATGCTTAGGTTCGATAAGGCAGGGACAGCTGTGTAGAAATGCAATATAATATTGGACAAAAAAAGGGTATGAGCTAATGATACTAATCCGAGTAGGGAAACCTAGTAAGGCCTTCTGTTCAGATACTCCCTGGCCTGTGTTGTAGTATTCCATCCTCCCAGGTACGGGGTAGAACCCCTCTGGAATAAGGGTTTTAATTTCTTTATGGCCAGCTGTTACACAGAAAGGTGGGTGAAGGTTATGTTAACAGTGGCAAATCCATATGGTATACTAAGGGTTATAGGAGTGAAAGTTTATTAAAAAGTTTCAGAACAGAAATGAAAGAAAGTAAAGTACACTTGGAAGAGGGTCAAGCGGACGACTGGAGGGCTTCAAGTGCATGGTTTGACCTTTGACTTGGGGTTTTCTACATTGGCATGCTTCTGAGGTTTGCATCTCTTCTCGCCTGATTCCTCCCTTGGGGTGGGCTGCCCACAAGTGCAGTGGGCTGCCAGCACTTGGGAGGGGCCACACACACATTTTGTTTCCTGGAGCTGTGCGCATGCTCACTTGAGGCGTCAGTTTAGTGTTCCCAGAGGAAGGTTATTTACCAGTTAAACTCCAACCATTTGCATCTTAGTGCACATGCTTGAGCCCAGTAGCCCACCTCCTGAGATCGTATAAAGAAGCTGCTGGTCACCAGTTTCAGGTGTTTTCTATGAGGAACAGGAAGACTGCCATTCCCTGGCACCAGCTGCAACCAATTGTTTTAGCAAGACAGTTTAACAACTGCCTGACCTTCATCTGATGGTCGCCTGACATTCCTGGTGGGATTGGCAGGGCTCTCCTGCCCTGTTTATGTCTGACTACCTACTATAACAGTTAGAGTAGTATGTTTAGGTTTTATAGCTGGCTTTGCAAAAAAGGGGTTCTGGTTTCTATGACCCACTTTGGGGAGGAGGGATTCTAATTTCCATGACTTGCCTCGAGGGAGAATGAGGGATGAGAGACAGGAGGGCAGAGGTCAGAGAAAAACTGCCTCAGCGGCTTTCACTTTGGGGTATCATTTTCTGAGTCCCAACAGAAGGAAGCAAAGTAATGTTTACATGTATATCACTTTTGGCTCCTAGTAACTTTTGTTAACTAAAGCCGTATTGTCAGTTATCTAAAGAATAACTTTGTTACTCCCACTATTTTCCATGCTTACTCACATAACACCAAATGAATGGTGATGATTATTCACATAATAAAATGTGTTCTGCAACATTTCAGCAATGGCATTAATAGCAGGCTGCATTAAAATATAAAGTAGTCCTTCTTAGGACCCCCCTTCAAAGAGAGAGTACATTTATTGCAAGAAGTTTTTTTTTTTTATAAAATAAGGCAGAGGTATGATCTCTGAGGCTAAGTAGATACGATATCACCTCCACTGTTACAAATGAATAAACTAGGAAGAAAATATATTGATTACACTACTCAGATTACTTAAGTAGTAAATAATACTTATGAGATTTGGAGTCAAGTATATCTTATTTCAATATGCATGCAATTTATTACACAGGGATAAATGGAATGTTAATATTTGAGGAGATGATATTTAAGTTGAAACCAAAAAGTGATAGGCATGCTAAGAATTTTAAAAAGGTATTCCAGGTAGAACATATGGGGCATTTGCAAAGCTTTGAGGCAGACAAGAGAAAGTATCACTCTTTATTAAAAACCGTACCCCAATATGCCCAAAAGCTTAAAAGGCAAAAGATCTATTAATATGTATTTTCCTTATTTCTCTTTCTAACAAAATTTGACATCTAATGCATTCAACAATGATGTCAATGAATTTTTATATGACATATTTTTTGCTACCTTCTAGGTGAATATTGGATTGATCCTAACCAAGGTTGCTCAGGAGATTCCTTCAAAGTTTACTGTAATTTCACATCTGGTGGTGAGACTTGCATTTATCCAGACAAAAAATCTGAGGGAGTAAGTACCAATCTGTTTTGGTGGTGAATGTTGACAGTTCCTGCCATGTTTTGCAATATTGAACTAAACAGGAAAATTATACTGTCATATTTTCATTTATCTGCTTTTCTTACAAAATAATTAGAGTACTTCATTTGCATAAACATGAATAAGCACCAAATTGATGCACAGAGTTAACAAATACTTCTCTTCTTTATTTTTTACCCAGATGTATTCTTTCTGCACCTGCTTGCTCACTAAAATTCTATGGATTTCCATGACACAGCACAGCTGAATCTCAAATTTTAGTGCCACTAAAGTGTTCTTCTGCCCAATTACCACATCAGAGACCTCACAGCTGCATATTACACCCAAAATATCTAATTTTATAAAGAATTAAACTTTTATATACAAGTCTTTTCTGCACTTACATATTTTTTAAATATTTAGTTTCTTTAAACAAATTCTTTAATTTTTACCTAACATTATTACCAGTACACTGAGTTCTGTCTTCAAAGCTAAATGCAAATCATTAATGTAAAGAAAGTTTGTTCACGAGCATAACTATATTCTCCAAACATTTTATAAGTGGACATTTTGTCTTTATTGGTATTCATGTAATAAATCTCATTCTTCCTAGTAAATGGTGTGGACAATAGAGGCACAGAAACTCCTTAAGGCAAAACAAGTAGCTTTATGTGTGACTAATGGTTTTGGGAGAAAAGTTAAGTTTCTGAGTAAAGAGTGGGTAGTAAGGGCAGGAGAAAAAACAACTTCCATCTTCCAACACTACTTGGCATGTAATGAAGCACAGTAAAGCTCCCCTAGCCTCCAGAGAAATGTGGAAAAACAGAAAATGTTGTTTCTTACACAGATAACTCGAGTTCCCTATTGTGAAGACTTATATACCCTTTGCTGTTCTTCACAAAGCAGAACAATAAATGCAGATCTATAAGATTCTAAATATTCTAACCAGCAGGGAGTAATTCAGGTTGCTTCCAATCAGTGCCTTTCACACAGTATATCTCCTTAGCTACTGGCTAAATACTTTCAAACATGTTCCTTGGCTATGGAGTGAAGATGGTACCTGCCTTGCTTGATGAAGCTGACTGACATTTTGAGGATTTCCTTTGCAAAGGGTTTCTGAGTGTTCCACCAATGTCCCCTATAACCCTTAGTATGCCTATACCCGGTTGTCTTTCCCCTTTTCCTTTAGAGCTGATAAAGACAACAAAAAGGAAATGACTCAATCTTCACTACATAGAATGTACAGGATCTATCTCAAATTTTTCTCTTTGTCTCATTTTGTATAATCTAATTTGTGTCATTTTAAAACGATTTTAAGCACTCTTTATTTTCTTAGTCTTACTGAAAATGAATTATATGTATATAAAAATACTGTTTATATTGTAAATTTTCACCTACTCACTAACTTTTCTGTTCCTTTGCAACAGGTAAGAATTTCATCATGGCCAAAGGAGAAACCAGGAAGTTGGTTTAGTGAATTTAAGAGGGGAAAACTGGTATGTTATTACCTCAACATGAAACGATTTTTCACGAACTCAAGAAGTGACATTCTGATTATGTATTTCTGGACTTTAACAGTGAAAGTCTAAATTATGCTAAATGAGGATTCCCTGTGGTCTCTAGTTTGTTCCACTTAATATCTCTTAGACCACTGTGGTATCTTAAAGCAACCTAACATTTTTGTATAAAAGTAAATGGAAATATGCTAAATTTATGGAAAACAAGGATCAAATCATGCATACAATTTATTAAGTACCTGAGATAGACATCATAAAAATTGATTATGTTAGAAATATCAGGTATAAAGAATATAATATCTACTTAATATCTTCCTATTATTTCACTTTCTGTCTGCTTGAAACCTAATTCCTTCTTTATTCTTCATATCAATAAGTTGGAATGTGCAACTTTTTCTGATTGTTCTGGCACAAATTTAAAGATTTCCATACAATTACCAGTTCATTTCAATAATTTTCTAAAGATATTTTAAGATTAGATGTCAAAATTAAATTAATCTTTAAAAGGTGTTTAATCATATACATGTGTTTAAAGTATTTTATTTAGAAGTTATTGAATTTAAAGTGTTTTCCAGTTATCCAGATAATTATTCAGTTGTTTAATTTTCTTTGAAAAGCTATTATTTTCCATTTATGATTATTTATACAGTTATTATTTCTATACAAACTCATGCATATTAACCACTTTTATTGACACTCTCCACTGGAGTTATAATTCTCTATTACAGTCTTCAAGTTGCATATTAAATATCCATATTACATTATTATCTTTGTATAAGTTTAAAAATATATACAGATAGAACTCTATGTGTGTGGATTGAATTTTCCCAGTAGATTTTTTTCTTCAACCCCCAAGAATACTCATGATCTGACCTACTATTCAGTAAGAACTAAGTAAAATCTGTTTTAAGGAAGAAAGTAACAAATAACTGCCTTTACATTGACCTAATCTATAATCTAGGTGAACATCTTAACCTTTTTTTTTTCAAATTTAAGTGTATATGTTACAGCTGAACTCAGATATTTTTATTACCAAAAATAAGACAATTTATAAAGATGATATGAGACAGTTGCTAATAAATTACAACTGAGACTATTTTCCTGCTATAATTTCAGAATAAGTATTGACTCAACAAATATTAACTTGCCTTGTCTTGCACATTATGCCTGCTGCTGGCAATACAATGTTGAATACACACATCATCTAAAAATAGATAAACAGGCATTTCTGAAAATATTAATAACCTTTGAGGACTATAGCCCCAAAATGAAAAGTGTAGGAACATGTTTACAGATTTGGGTAAAGTTGATACATTTTGAAATGTTTGAAAGGAATAGTCAAAATCAAACAACATAAAACCAGCTAATCTTTGCATTATTCTGAGATTCCTTGGTTTTCATTGTTCCATTATTTTACCAATTTTTTTTTCAAAAAGATACAGAAATATATTGAAACATTTCTTGGAAACTAAAGCATTTTTTATAGTGTTTACTGTTTAGGAAACTAAGACTTAGAGATAAAGTGGTTTTTTCAAAGATAAGCAGTGGCTACAGTAACTTAGGTGGGATACAATTCATAAAATCTTGTCTCTGGGTCTTCTGACCCTCAATGTACACTTTTTTTCATTAGGTTAAGGTGGGTCTTTTGATTCATCTACATGCTTCTGGCATCACAGTTCACTGTCTGCAGTGATTTAATTCTTTGTAGCATAAAAGAGGAAAAGAGTCATTAGGTGTCTTTTTATTCCTTTATTCCTAGCTTTCATACTTAGATGTTGAAGGAAATTCCATCAATATGGTGCAAATGACATTCCTGAAACTTCTGACTGCCTCTGCTCGGCAAAATTTCACCTACCACTGTCATCAGTCAGCAGCCTGGTATGATGTGTCATCAGGAAGTTATGACAAAGCACTTCGCTTCCTGGGATCAAATGATGAGGAGATGTCCTATGACAATAATCCTTTTATCAAAACACTGTATGATGGTTGTGCGGTGAGTATAAGTTCTGCTTGTCTCCCTTCACAGAGATGATAGGCAGCATGTCACCGTTTCAGTCGGTCCTTAGCCAGATTTTTCTCATGAAATGGACGTCAGTTGTTATTAACATTTGTTGCTTAATCTTGACATGTTAAACTATGGTATGTGAGAAACCAGTAATGTTAACACACACACAGTTATGCACATAGACACTCTGAAACATTTTTAAAGGCATACAGAAGGTAATCTTGGATTATATGTTATTTTATTCTGACATTTGAATCATATCACAGCTAGTTATTCCTAAAATGAAAAAGAAAATAAAAACACTTATTTCATTTGCCTCCTTATTGCTGATTTTAAAATGACAGATAAAGGAATCACCATTATACCATTTATAATATCAATAATTTTTAGCCCTATATTTTGTTTATAAGAAGCTTGTTAATTTGTACTATATCAGTTTGAGATCCAGTATCATTATTGTTATCTCTATCTTATAGAACTACCTTGTTCACACACATAAGATTTTACATAAGAAAATAATAAATAGGTGCCCTAAAAAGTTCATTGCTTTAGCTGAGTATTGATGACTGAAGAGAAGTCACAATTGTAAATAAGTAAGTTCATGTTTTCATCAAAATGAGTGGAGTGCAAGTAGAATGAAGAAGAGAGAGTAAAGCAAATGAATGGAGCAAGAGTTGGGAAAAGCTTTTCCAATATAGTTTATTGTTAAATATTCATAAAATTAACATATAGCAGAAGAAATTTTTTTGACATTTGACCTTGTGTGTTATAGTTGTGAACCTGTATTTAACTTTTTCTGTAAGAGAATTTGACTATGTATATCTTAACTATAATGGTAAAGATGTATTATTTATACTGGAGGGGCTGGGTGTGGTGTCTTACCCCTGTAATCCCAGAACTTTGGGCAGCCATGGCGGGCAGATCACCTGAGGTCAGGAGTTCAAGACCAGCCTGGCCAACAAAGTGAAACCTCATCTACTAAAAATACAAAAAGTAGCTGGGCATGGTGGCACATGCCAGTAGGTCCAGCTACTCAGGAGACTGAGGCAGGAGAATGGCTTGAAACCAGGAGGCAGAAGTTGCAGTGAGCTGAGATCACTGCTCTCCAGCCTGAGCAACAGAGCAAAACTTCATCTCAAAAAAAAAAAAAGAAAGAAAAGAAAAAGAATATATATATATATATATATATATATATGAGGATTCAATACCAACATCAATTTTCATATTAAATTGTATTTATTATGAAACTCAAGACTCTTTTTAATTACAAAATATATAGCACTATCATAGTTAAGTAATTACAGCTAAGTATTAAATGTACTAATCAATATTCAAAATTTAGAACTATACAGTGATAAGAATTATTACATAGATAATAGAAAATTTGTTTTTCTATTCTCTTCTCTCTCAGCTTCTTACCTCCACTCAGAAGCCCAAGAAAAAATAAGATGCATTTAAAAATATTAAAAGATTGTATAACTTTTTATTTCTGCTTTATTTTACAGTCCAGAAAAGGCTATGAAAAGACTGTCATTGAAATCAATACACCAAAAATTGATCAAGTACCTATTGTTGATGTCATGATCAATGACTTTGGTGATCAGAATCAGAAGTTCGGATTTGAAGTTGGTCCTGTTTGTTTTCTTGGCTAAGATTAAGACAAAGAACATATCAAATCAACAGAAAATATACCTTGGTGCCACCAACCCATTTTGTGCCACATGCAAGTTTTGAATAAGGATGGTATAGAAAACAACGCTGCATATACAGGTACCATTTAGGAAATACCGATGCCTTTGTGGGGGCAGAATCACATGGCAAAAGCTTTGAAAATCATAAAGATATAAGTTGGTGTGGCTAAGATGGAAACAGGGCTGATTCTTGATTCCCAATTCTCAACTCTCCTTTTCCTATTTGAATTTCTTTGGTGCTGTAGAAAACAAAAAAAGAAAAATATATATTCATAAAAAATATGGTGCTCATTCTCATCCATCCAGGATGTACTAAAACAGTGTGTTTAATAAATTGTAATTATTTTGTGTACAGTTCTATACTGTTATCTGTGTCCATTTCCAAAACTTGCACGTGTCCCTGAATTCCATCTGACTCTAATTTTATGAGAATTGCAGAACTCTGATGGCAATAAATATATGTATTATGAAAAAATAAAGTTGTAATTTCTGATGACTCTAAGTCCCTTTCTTTGGTTAATAATAAAATGCCTTTGTATATATTGATGTTGAAGAGTTCAATTATTTGATGTCGCCAACAAAATTCTCAGAGGGCAAAAATCTGGAAGACTTTTGGAAGCACACTCTGATCAACTCTTCTCTGCCGACAGTCATTTTGCTGAATTTCAGCCAAAAATATTATGCATTTTGATGCTTTATTCAAGGCTATACCTCAAACTTTTTCTTCTCAGAATCCAGGATTTCACAGGATACTTGTATATATGGAAAACAAGCAAGTTTATATTTTTGGACAGGGAAATGTGTGTAAGAAAGTATATTAACAAATCAATGCCTCCGTCAAGCAAACAATCATATGTATACTTTTTTTCTACGTTATCTCATCTCCTTGTTTTCAGTGTGCTTCAATAATGCAGGTTAATATTAAAGATGGAAATTAAGCAATTATTTATGAATTTGTGCAATGTTAGATTTTCTTATCAATCAAGTTCTTGAATTTGATTCTAAGTTGCATATTATAACAGTCTCGAAAATTATTTTACTTGCCCAACAAATATTACTTTTTTCCTTTCAAGATAATTTTATAAATCATTTGACCTACCTAATTGCTAAATGAATAACATATGGTGGACTGTTATTAAGAGTATTTGTTTTAAGTCATTCAGGAAAATCTAAACTTTTTTTTCCACTAAGGTATTTACTTTAAGGTAGCTTGAAATAGCAATACAATTTAAAAATTAAAAACTGAATTTTGTATCTATTTTAAGTAATATATGTAAGACTTGAAAATAAATGTTTTATTTCTTATATAAAGTGTTAAATTAATTGATACCAGATTTCACTGGAACAGTTTCAACTGATAATTTATGACAAAAGAACATACCTGTAATATTGAAATTAAAAAGTGAAATTTGTCATAAAGAATTTCTTTTATTTTTGAAATCGAGTTTGTAAATGTCCTTTTAAGAAGGGAGATATGAATCCAATAAATAAACTCAAGTCTTGGCTACCTGGATTGGTCATTTTCTTTCTTAAATAGGTTCCAAATTATTCTCAATTTCAGATAAAGCTTTTGATTCTTTCTTGACCATCCAGATTAGAACAGTTTTACACTTCTGAACAAACATATTACCATTCAGAGATAAGTTGTCTAAATCCCCCACATGCATAAGATAGTGAAAAGGACATGGTAATACTGAATTTATAAAATAAAGGTAGATTATACTTAAAATTTCAAAGAGATATTTTTGTAATTACATATTTTACATAATGATGAAAGTATAGCAATAACAGAATATTTTGCATATTAGCCTGCATCAGGGATGCAGTGTTATCCATTTAAACCAAATAAACTTTAATTTGGCACTCAATAGAATGAATAGATAATTGAATGTCTATGCTTTTATATTCTTTCCATATATAGATATAGTCTTCTTCAGGACGTCAGACTTTTTTCTCTCCCTTATGATTGATGTAATCTAGACAAAAGAAAGCTCACCAGAATAGAAAAAACTTGTTAGATGACATTTTAATCCTGGCCCCAGCAGGTATGTTATTCATATGAATACAAAGAACAGTATTGACCTTGAAGGCAGGGTAAATCATGGACTTAATGCACATGAAATTTGATCTAACTTTAAGAAATAAAACTACAAACACAAGGTACAGAAGTGACTATAATGAGTAAAGATATTACAACAAATTATTAATTTTATTAAAAAGTTAAAAAAACAGGAAATCTGGGAAAACAATGTTTTTTCTTTCTGAAACACTTCTGTGATTTTTTAATATTATATTTTTGGCTGCAGTCTCTTTGAGTGCCTCTTTATAAGAGATTTCATAATTTAACTTAATATAGAGTAAGATACTCTAATATGCAAGGTGAAAAAATGTTTCTTATTGATACCTTAGAAATATTTCTGTTTCATGTCTTGTTATTGGTAAGTAAGTATTATAAAATTTTTAGATTATTTAAAAATTTAGGAAAATCTCTATTACATATATTTCATATGCACTACAAAATTTGTGAGAAATTTCCACAGACTAGCTTCTGATTCTGTTTATTTCAAATCTTGTTTCTCCTCCACTGCCTATAGATTTTATGTTCTGGGAACCATAAAACACATGGATGCCATGGTACAAACTCAGTCTTCTTTGTGATCATCATAACATATCATTAGTTCATTCTTCCATTGCTATAAAGAAATACATGAAACTGAGTAATTTATAAAGAAAATAGGTTTAATTGGCTCATGGTTCTGCAGGCTGTACAGGAAGAATAGCAGTTTCTACTTCTGGAGAAGCCTCAGGAAGCTTCCAATCATGGCAGAAGGCAAAGTGAGAATGAGACGTCTCACATGGCTGGAATAGGTGCAAAAGAGAGTGAGAGGGGAGGTGCTACACACTTTTAAATAACCATATCTCATGAGAACTCACTATCACAAAAACAGCCCAAGAGGATGCTGGTAAACTCTTCATGAAGGATCCACCCCCAGGTCCAATTACACCACATTAGGTCCCAGCTCCAACACTGCGGATTACAATTCAATATAAGATTTGAGTGTGGACACATATCCCAACTATATCAGTGGATGACAGGGTTATTCCAGAAAGCCATTTACACTAGGATTGCCGGCATTAATATACATAAAATAATGACAGGTTGTATAATTATACCCCATCATGTAAATATAGTATACAAACCCCAAATAAATGAATCTATATTTGAATTTTCTCCTTGCTGGCCCCTTCCACTCTACCTAACAAAAGGCGAAATGACAAAGAGTAGTTGCAGTGGTAAAACAACGTTCTTAACTAATCATGGTCAATCTTACTCTGGCAAATTTTACTAATAATATGACCATGCAGACATATTTCTAGGAGACCTCCCAGGGTCTTAAATGGAGCCCATGCAAAAGAAGTGTCCTGGAGCTTAAGCTTTATGAGATTCATGTTAAATAGATGGCTTCATACTGGATAACTGTAAAACATATGAGTTACCTAACACAAAATCTGGCATATATCAGCTATAAAGAAATTGCTGCTACTCTAGATTTCTTTGTGCTGCTATTATCACCACAGTATAAGTCCCTTTCTGAAATGTAGCTAGTAACACCTGTGCTACCCAATATCATATAATTTTTATAAAGATTTCATTTGAACAAAGTAAATATTATACAAATTGCATGATCACAGAGACCCAAATCATCAAAGAGACTTACATACAAACTTTACAAATGATTTGCAAAAGATACCAAAAAAGAACAGCAGCCTAAGGCATTTTAAATCCAGCAAGTCTGAATTCACCAGACATAGCTTATCAAATCTTCTTTTTCTATATATACCAAAATGTGTTTTACTTGCCAGAGGATGATTTTAATAGGTCTTTGGGGTCTCTCAACTTTGGTACTTTGCTAGTTTCATATCCCTGTACTGGCTGTATGATTAACCATTGCTCAGTACAGCTGCAGTCAGGAGATCCATAGATTGCAGAATTATTTACAGAAAATTTTTTAAAGAAAAATATCTCGCTTAAACCATTCCAAGTTCAGTAAGCTGTACATAGCAACCCATGCAGAATCCTCATTCACTATTCATCTAATAAATCCAACTGTCAATATTTAGAAGGAGATGGTTCAGGGTTAAAAAAGAAACAATATAAAAAAAAATTTACAAATCCACGGTTAACTCTTTCCTAAAACCACAACGTGAAATAATTTCAGAAATGTTTCATGCTATAGTAACTGTGACTTATTTTACAATAACATTATAATGGTAGTTCTGTCTATAATACTATAAGTATGAGATAAACAAAACCATGGGGATATGGTTTGGCTGTGTCCCCATCCAAATCTCATCTTGAATTCCCCCTTGTTGTGTGAGAACCCGGTGGGAGACAATTGAATGATAGGGGCAAGTCATTCAAACGCTGTTCTTGTGACAGTGAGTAAGTTTCACAAGATCTGATGGTTTATAAAGAGGTGTTCCCCTGAACAAGCTCTCTCATTTTTTGCCTGCCACCATCCACGTAAGATGTGACTTGTTCCTCCTTGCCTTTCACCATGATTGTGAGGCTTTCCCAGCCAATTAAAGCCCATTTTAATTGAACTGTAAGTCCAATTAAACCTCTTTCTTTTGTAAATTGCTTGGTCTAGGGTAGGTCTCTATCAGCATCATGAAAACAGACTAATACCGTACCTTGATACCAGTGAAGTGGGCACTGCTGAAATGATACCTGAAAATGTGGAAGCAGCTTTGGAACTAGGTAACAGGCAGAAGTTGGAACAGTTTGAAGGGCTCAGAAGAAGACAGGAAATTGTGGGAAAGTTTGAAACTTCCTAGAGACTTGTTGAATGGCTTTGACCAAAATGCTGATATGGTCTCAGATGGAAATGAGGAACTTGTTGGGAACTGAAGCAAAGGTGACTCTTGTTATGTTTTAGCAAATAGACTGGTGGCATTTTGCCCCTACCCTAGAGATTTATGGAACTTTGAACTTGAGAGAGATGATTCAGGGTATGTGGCAGAAGAAATTTCTAAGCAACTAGCATTCAGGAGGTAACTTGGGTGCTGTTAAAGCATTCAGTTTTATAAGGGAAGCATAGCATAAAAATTCAGGAAATTTGCAGCCTGACAATGTGATAAAAAAATAAAATCCCTTTTTCTGAGGAGAAATTCCAGCTGCAGAAATTTGCATAAGTAACAAGGAGAGGAATGTTAATCCCCAAAACAATGGGGAAATCTCTCAATGTATCCAGGGCATGTCAAAGATCTTCATGGCAGCCCCTCCCATCACAGGCCCAGAGGCAGAGCAGGAGAAATGGTTTTGTGGGCCAGGCCCAGGGTCGCCATGCTGTGTGCAGCTTAGGGACTTGGTGCTCTGTGAACCAGCAGCTCCAGCTGTGGCTGAAAGGGGTCAATGTAGAGATTGGGCCTTGGCTTCAGAGGGTGCAAGCCCCAAGCCTTGACAGCTTCTATGTGGTATTGAGCCTGTGAGTGCACAGAGGTCAAGAATTGAGGTTTGGGAACGTCTGCCTAGATTTCAGAAGATGTATGGGAACTCCTGGATGCCCAGGCAGAAGTTTGCTGCAGGGGTGGGGCCTTCATGGAGAACCTTTGCTAGGGCAGTGCAGAAAGGGAATATGGGGTCAGAGTCCCCCACACAGAGTCCCTGCTGGGGCACCACCTAGTGGAGCTATGAGAAAAGGGCCACTGTCCTCCAAACCCCAGAAATGGTAGATCCATCGACAGCTTGCACTGTGTGCTTGGAAAAACTGCAGACACTCAATGCCAGCCTGTGAAAGAAGTCAGGAGGAGGGCTATACTCTACAAAGCCACAGAGTCGGAGCTTCCCAAGACCATGGGAGCCCACCTCTTGCGTCAGTGTGACCTGGATGCGAGACATGGAGTCAAAGGAGATCATTTTGGATCTTTAAGATTTGACTGCCCTGCTGGATTTCAGACTTGCATGGGGCCTATAGCCCCTTTGTTTGGCCAATTTCTCCCATTTGAAATGGCTGTATTTTTTATTTATTTATTTTATTTATTTTTTTGAGATGGAGTCTCGCTCCATCACCAGGCTGGAGTGCAGTGGTGTGATCTCGGCTCACTGCAACCTCCACCTCCTGGGTTCAAGTGATTCTCCTGCCTCAGCCTCCCAAGTAGCTGGAACTACAGATGCCCACCACTACGTCTGGCTAGTTTTTGTATTTTTAGTAGAGACAGGGTTTTACCATATTGGCCAGTCTATTCTCGAACTCCTGACCTTGTGATCCGCCCGTCTCAGCCTCCCAGAGTGCGTAAGCCCCCACACCTGGCTGGAATGGCTGCATTTACCCAATGCCTGTACTCTTACCGTATCTAGGAAGTAACTAACTTGCTTTTGATTTTACGGACTCATAGTCAAGGAGGGACTTGCTTATTCTCAGATGGAACTTTGGACTGTGGACTTTTGGGTTAATGCTGGAATGTGTTAAGACTTTGGGAGACTGTTGGGAAGGCATGATTGGTTTTGAAATGAGAGGCCATGAGATTTTGGAGGGGCCAGTGGTGGAATGATGAGGTATGGCTGTGTCCCAACCCAAATCTCATTTTGACTTCCCACATGTTGCGGGAGGGACCTGGTGGGAGGTAATTGAATCATGGGGCAAGTCATTTCCATGCTGTTCTTGTGACAGTGAATAAGTCTCATGAGAGTTGATAATTTTAAAAAGAGGCATTCCCCTGCACAAGCGCTCTTATTTTTTGCCTGCCACCATCCACGTAAAATATGACTTGCTCCTCCTTGCCCTCTTCCATGATTGTGAGGCTTCCCCAATCACATGGAACTGTAAGTCCAATTACACCTTTTTCTTAAATTGCTCAGTCTCGAGTAGGTCTTCATCAGCAGCAGGAAGATGAACTAGTACACCCTGATTCCTATTCTAAAATTACCTCTATATGTCTATGCAGAAATAATTAAGTAGCCTTTCTTCCCACAATGTGATGATTTCCTTTTTGTGGAATCTAAAAAGCAAAACTTACATCTCAGTAGCAGGTCTCATTCCAGTGATAACACAGTATAAGCTATTGAGTTGACTGACTTAATTCACCCCCATATTAGGGTGCATGGTGTAACTAAAATATTTGGCTGCTTTTTGGCTCATAGAGTGAAATGATTATTTCTGGGGCCCAAAGGAAGATTCACATGAAATGATGAAAACTTCTTTGCTCAACCCTATGTGAGATGTCCAGACTTTGAATTAAATAAAACAAATCCACTACTTACAGATTCCTCCAGTCACTGTGGTTCAAAGGTCTGTGCAACCAATTCCTTAACAACACAGGTTTTTGTATCTTACCTATTTCTGGGAAATAAAATAAAACAAAATAAAAATAAGACATAGTAAATAAATAGTTTAAGCCACTAAATAAAAAATTGTTCCCATAGCTACCATTCAATGGGTAAAAGTATTTTCAAGACTCTGAAAGTTTTCATGTAATTTTTATGTAACTTTGATGTTTCTTTTCTATGTAGAAAGAAACTAAGCTCATTTGTTAGATAACATTACTATCTAGTTGTCTTCACAGTTTTGATGTTTTAACATCAATACTTGACATGGTTTGGCTATGTCTCCACCCAAATCTTATCTTGAATTGTAGTTCCCATAATCCCAACATGTTGCGGGAGGGACCTGGTTGGAGGTAACTGAATCATGGTGGTGGGTTTTCCAGAGCTGTTCTTGTGTAGTGAATAAGTCTCATGAGATCTGATGGTTTTATAAAGAGCAGTTGCCTTGCACTTGTCTCTCCTGTCACCACATAAAGAAGGATGTCATTGCTTCCCATTCCACCATGATTGTAAGTTTCCTGAGGCCTCTCCAGCCATGCTGAACAGTGAGTAAATTAAGCCTATTTCCTTTATAAATTACCCAGTGTCAGGTATGTCTTTATCAGCAGTGTAAGAAAGGACTAATACAGTAAATTGGTACTAGTAGAGTGGGGTACTGCTTGCTATTAAGATGCCCAAAAATGTGGAAGTGACTTTAGAACTGTGTAACAGTCAGAGATTGGAACAGTTTGGAGGGCTTAGAAGAAGACCGGAAGATGTGTGAAAGTTTGAAGCTTCATAGAGACTTGTTGAATGGTTTTGACCAAAATGCTGATAGTGATATGAACAATGAAGTCCAGACAGGTGGTCTCAGATGGAGATGAGGAACTTATTGGGAACTGAAGCAAAGGTGATTCTTGCTTTGCTTTAGCAGAGACGGGCTGCCTTTTGCCCCTGCCCTAGAGATCTGTGGGACTTTGAACTTGAGAGAGATGATTTAGGGTATCTGGTGGAAAAAATTTCTAAGCAGCAAAGTGTTCAAGAGGTGACTTGGGTGCTTTTAAAAGCATTCAGTTTTATTCATTCACAAATATATGGTATGGATTTGAAACTCATATTTAAAAGGGAAGCACAGCATAAAAGTCCAGAAAATTTTACACCTGATAATGTGATAAAAAAGAAAAACTTATTTATCTCAGGAGAAATTCAAGTTTGCTCCAGAAATCCACATAAGTAACAAGGAGCCAAATATCAATCACCAAGACAATGGGAAAAATGTCTCCAGAGAATGTCAGAGGTTTTCACAAGAGCCCCTCCTATCACAGGCTTGGAGGTGTAGAAGGAAAGAATGGTTTCATGGGCAGGGCTGTTGGCCTTGCTGCTTTGTGCAGTCTTGGGACTTGGTGCCTTGCATCCCAGCCATGGCTAAAAGGGGTCATTGTACACCTCAGGCCATTACTTCAGAGGGTGCAAGCCCCGAGCCTCGGCAGCTTACATGTGGTGTTGGGCCTGTGGCTGCAGAGAAGTCAAGAATTAAGGTTTGGGAACCTTTGCCTAGATTTGAGAGGATGTTTGGAAATGTCTGGATATCTAGGCAAAGGTGTGTTGCAAGGTCAAAGCCCTCATGGATAACCTCTGCTAGGGCACTGCAGAAGGGAAATGTGGGGTAGGAGCTCCCACTCAGAGTCACCACTGGGGAACTTCCTAGTGGGGCTGTGAGAAGACGGCCACCATCCCCAGACCCCAGCATGAAAGATCCACTGACGGCTTACACTGTGTGCCTAGAAAAGCCACAGCAACTCAACACCAGCCCGTGAAAGAAGCCAGGAGAGTAGCTGTACCCTGCAAAGTCAGGGGGTGGAGCTTCCCAAGAACATGAGAACCCACCACTTGCATCACCGTGACCTGGATGTGAGACATAGAGTCAAAGGAGATCATTTTGGAGCTTTAAGATTTGGCTGCCCTGCTAGAATTCAGAGTTGCATGGGGCCTATGTCCCCTTCGTTTTGGCTTATTTCTCCCACTTGGAATTAGTATATTTACTCAATTCTTGTACTCCAGTGAATCTAGGAAGTAACTCATTTGTGTTTGATTTTACAGGCTCATAGGTGGAACTGACTTGCTTATTCTCAGATGAGATTTTGGATTATAGACTTTTGAGTTAGTGCTGAAACAAGCTAAGATTTTGGAGGACATTTGGGAAGACATGATTGGTTTTGAAATGTGAGAACATGAGATTTGGGAAGGGGAAAGGACAGAATGGTATTGTTTGGCTATGTCCCCACCCAAATCTCATCTTAAATTGTAGTTCCCATAATCCTCACATGTTGTGAGAGGAACCTGGTGAGAGGTATTGAATCATGCGGGAGGGTTTTTCCCCTGCTATTCTCATAATAGTAAATAAGCCTCATGAGATCTGATGGTTTTATAAAAGACAGTTCCCCTGCACGCATTTTTTTGTCTGCCATCATGTAAGATGTGCCTTTGCTCCCACTTTGTTTTCCACCATGATTGTGAGGCCTCCACAGCCATATGGAACTGTGAGTCCTTTAAACTTGTTTTTTTTTAAATAAATTACCGAGTCTTTTGTGTTTCTTCATAGCAGTATGAAAATGGACTAATACACTAGTGAAATAAATAAGAATAAAAAAATAATAATAACACCAGCTCTTAAAGTATTATCTGTTTAACTAAAAGTAAAAAAGTGATATGACTAGGGCAAATTGAGGTTTCATTGTAGATTTTGGATTAAATTCTTGAAAGTCTCTCACAATTTTTAAGTAAATATTTTCTAAAAATATATTCAGTGGGTTTTGAAACATGGAATAATGGAATGTCAATGCCAGAAAATATGGTCGTCATTTATTCATCAATTAATCAATGATCAATTATATGATTTAGCATTGTGATGTGTCCAGGTTTCTAATAAAAAGAAGTCAAGTTCACAAAAGAATTATAAGTTGTCTATACTATATCCTTATTAATAGCCTAATGGAAGAGATGCATCCATCCCATCTAAAAGAAAAGTTTATTATCAAGTTTCTGACTATACAGAGATTCGCAGACCTGGGAAAGGAATAACAGCCAGTTTATAGGTGTACATCATAAAGATGATGGTAGGTCCCCAAGTGTTTGTAGGGTTTAGATGACTGTGTGTGAAGGAGAAAAAGAAGATCACTTTAAATAGAAAATCCATGAAAGTATTCCAGAAGCATAAGCAGGGATAGCATATGAAAAGGACAAGAACTTTGATGAAACAGCAGTCAGTGAAAGAACACAGGTGATGGATTGCCAAGGTCTGTATTTAGGGTTGGGTTATAATGGCTTAAAATCACACAAAAGAGTCTGCATATTATGCAACATATAATGAAGAATAAATGTTAGTTCTTAAGTAGGACAAAGTCACAATGGAAGTCGTGTTGAGAATGACAATGTTGGCAGATTTTTCAGGATCTACCTAGTAGACATTCTATCCATGTTGAATGAATCTGTGAGATAAGTCAGATAATGAAGACTAAGTGCCAAGAGATTGTTGAAGATGTTTCAGTGGATGATAAAGCAGATTTGTATTATGGTAATAATACATGGATTATTTAAAATGAAGAAACAAGTATAAATCTTTTTTTTTTTTTGAGATGGAGTTTATCTCTTGTTGCCCAGGCTGTTGTGCAATGGTGTCATCTCGGCTCACTGCAACCCCAGTCTCCCAGGTTCAAGCGATTCTCCTGCCTCAGCCTCCTAAGAAGATGGGATTACAGGCATGTGCCACCACACATGGTTAATTTTGTATTTTTAGTGGAGACAGGGTGTCTCCATGTTGGTCAGGCTGGTCTCAAACTCCCGACTTCAGTTGTTCCATCTGCCTCGGCCTCCCAAAGTGCTGGGATTACAGGCATGAGCCACCGTGCCTGGCCATAAATCAATTTTTTTTTAAATACTTTTTTAATAATTTACAAATATTTCAGGGTCATTCACCAGACACATCTCAAAATAGTTGCCCAGCCTTTAAGAACTTATAACAACATAGAAATCTTATTTTTACTAAAATCTGAAAAGTCAACAAGTCGCAGTGAAATAAATGATATCTGGCATAACTCTATTGCTTGACTTTGTATCTTCTATTGTAAGTCATATACTATTGTAGAAATTACATATGAAAATAACTTCCAATTACTTAAACAATAGATACTTACAATGTTTTGGGCCAGTTGCTTGCCTCATATAAATAAAAGTTTGTGCACATTATCAACCGTAGAAGAGGTGCATTTATAGAGTTATTAATTGCTAAAATTTAGTTATATACTTTTGTCTGCTAATGTTAAAATTTTCCTAAGTAAATATTGGCACATAAGGAATAGCTAAATAAACTGTAAGCCTTGGACATAATTATGAATTATTTATTGGAATAATAATATCTAGTCTGAAAAAGATCAGAGCATTATAGCCAATAACATTTTTTTTTGTTTTTAGTAGAGATGGGAGTCTTGCCATGTTGACAACGACTGGTCTTGAACTTCTGTCCTCAAGTAATCTTCCTGCCTTGGCCTCCCAAAGTACTGGGATTATAGGTGTGAGTCACTGCACCTAGCCTCTACCTTTTTTACACAAGATTTACTTTTCAATCTACTGCAATTTAAATTATCTTCTGAACTCTTTTGAAAGTTTTTGACATCACAAATAAAATATTTACCTAATCCAATATGCATATTTTCAGAGATGACAATTTATCATGTCAAAATCTGCTCCCCCTTCCTGTGCTCCTTATCTCACTTAATGGCACCACCATCCACTCTTCTGCCTGGGCCAAAGACATTTGGAGTAATTATCAGTTGCTTGCTGTTCTTTCAAACCAGTCATCCATTACTGTCAATTATTCTTACGTATCTTTCAGACCTCTTCCTTCCTCTTTATCTTCATTACCACTGAAATCACCTTTGCGAAAATAAGAGTGAGAAAATTATAACAGTGAAAGAAATCTGACCTAGCCAACTCCATCTTGCCTTTAGCCTCCAAATTGCCTTTGGCCATTCCTGGGCAATAGCCAAGCAAACTTTGGAAGGAAGTTAGTCTAAATAATAGCTCTTTCCAAAACTAAACCACCTTTGTAAAACTAATGAAAGATCACCAGATTAGGAGGGTGAGAAGGGCCTGATATCTGCCCAAGATACAGGCATAATAAAATGATTACCAGCCATTATTCTGGAGGTCACAAGATTTGCAAATTCTCTAATTCCTTCTGTAAATAACATTACTACTGTAGAACCTAAGACTGACCTTTTGTGATGTGTTTTCAAGCTTTTGCGTTTCTGACCAGATGGTCCCAAGAGGGCCAGTGACATCTCTGTGACACTCACCCAGAAGGGACTCAGCACTCAAGGACCATTTCCACACCACTATGATTGCATTTTCAACCAATCAGCAGGACTCATACCCTAGCCCTCTGCCTGCCAAAGTATCTTAGAAAAACTCTAGCCTCCACATTTTTGGAAAGGCTGATCTGAGTAATAATAAAACTCTGGTCTCCCTTTTAGCCAGCTCTACATGTATTAAACTGTCTTTCTTTATTGCCAATTCCCCTGTCTTGATAAATCAGCTCTATCCAGGCAGCTGGTGAGAAGAATCCATTCGGCAGTTACACCGCTGCCCAAGTTTGGGTAGTAATGATTATTCACTACACAATTTTAAAAGCCTTGCTATGTGATTTTTTACTTTCTTTATTTCCAAATCTAAGCTCCATACACAGTTCTCTCCCACATAGAAAATTCCTCATTGGCTTCCTATCACCTACCACACTGACTTTCACTTATTCTGTTTTACCATGTGTAAAACATTCATTTCACAACCACTCCTTCTCTCTTGTTCTCTTATCTATAGGCACTCCACCCAAAACTGAAATAACATTTTGAAAATATATTAATTGTGATTCATCCTGGTATGTAATATTCCATTTTATGGTATTGTATTTTATTTCAGAAAATATTAGTTGTACTCATTAAAGTGATCAGTTATTTAATCTAGAAAACACTGGTCAATGGAATAGATGTCAAACACATTATATTGTTGAATAAGGCCACCTGAGTTACATTCCTTCCTATTCTGCCTCTATCCAAGTTGGTTCACTCTGGTCTCCTATGTCTAAGTACAATGTAAGTTGGCATTGTGATGCTAGTTGAATTGTATGACCCTATTGCATGTAGATAGATTTTACCTAAAATATGTTCATTGCAATGTTCTATCCAATATCAGTTAAAAATGAAAAGAATATACATGTTTGCTATTAATAAATTGGTTTATGAAAAGGTTAGGTACATCTGCAGCTTGAATAATAAAGTTGTTAAAAAATCAAGTTTAGTAAATTTAATAACATGGGATGCTATTAGTAATGTACTTCTAAGTGAAAAAAAAAATCTAAGTCTAGGAAACATTAGTTTCATAATTTTGCATATACTGAAGATAAATGTTGCTTCTTTTTGTATTTTGTTTTTTAATCATCTGAAGTCACTAAGAACAAGCTGCACAAATACCCAAGCCTTGTCATGGAAATTAGTTATTTCCATATTAAATTCTCATTTGTAACACAAAAGAAGAGCTGAATCATTAAATAAAAAACTAAAAGCAGAGGCTCTTTAGGCTAATTCTAGTTAACTTCATTCAAATAGAGTAGCTGGAGGCAGGCTCAGTGGTAGGTTAGTATCATATACTGCATCAGTTACTGTGCAAGCCTTCCCAGCAAGTATCGTTCACAGTAATGCAGATCTGTATCAAAATTATATGCCTTGTTATCAGAAGCATTAGTATTACTGAAGTCTCCACGTTGTCTTTAAGTAACACATTTGTGTAACAAAAGGAAAACAGATGTGCAGATGTACAGATCTTTGAAGAATCACAACTAAAGAGCCCAAGGGAGAAAAGGCAGGCACCATTTATATTTTCTCTTTTCTTCTTCACTCACTAATTTCTACCTAAAATTAATGTATTCTGTTTTAATGGTTAATATAGACCTAAAAGAAAATTACTTGATTACTGATGAGAGTTGTATTAAAACGACCTAAGATTACTATTCTCCTTTTTTTTTTTTTTTTTTTTTTGAGACCGAGTTTCACTCTTGTTGCCAGGCTGGAGTGCAGTGGCACAGTCTCGGCTCACTGCAACCTCTGTCTCCAGGTTCAAGCGATTCTCCTGCCTCAGCCTCCGGAGTAGCTGGGTCTACAGGCACGCACCGCCACACCCAGCTAATTTTTGTATTTTTAGTAGAGACGGGATTTCACTATGTTGGCCAGGAGGGTCTAGATCTCTTGACCTAGTGATACACCTACCTCGGCCTCCCAAAGTGCTGGGATTACAGGCATGAGCTACTGCACCCGGCCTATTCTCCCATTCTTAACAAACATATACCCATGACCATTAACTTACCCAAATATTCAAAAATTTATCTTATTCTTGGTCCCCTAACAAAGTAAAACAAAAATTATCCTTGGAATATTTATCCACATTTTCATAGTTTTTATATATATGGGTGTGCCTCTTACACTCATTTTATAAGATCCTTCCCTGCCCAGATGGCACATCCGGTAAAACAACTGTGGGAAGGATTTAGTTTAAAATAGAGGATAGGTATAATGAAGCACTATGAGTCTGGCAGAAAGCCAAGGAGCAGGACAGGAAAATGTTCAATTTGACTTTGTCCTTGATATGCCATGGAACTGGAGCATGTAGAAAATCTTACTAACTGAAAGACCAAAGTCATCTTAATGCAAGTTCTTATCAAAAATCTAAGCTGCTTTGTTGTTCATATTTTAATCATTCAAAGCAAAGCCTTTTTATTTTTTTCTGAAAGTTTCAAAAGTGACCACACATTTTATAGAAATGTTTTTCAAACTTCCCATTCTTAGCACCACAAATGACTAAGTATATTTTAACAAACTGATGAAAGGAATGGGTTAAAAAATTGCTTATTTGCTCCATAAAAATCACTTCAGAAATATTTTAAAAGAAAGTTGCAAAAGGTTAGCTATAATACTTGACAAAAAGCCAAATAATTTCTTAATTTCCCCATCTCCTTTTTTTTACTTGCAATTCTATGTTTATTACAGCACGATTCACAATAACAAAGATATAAAGTAAACCTAAGTGCCCTTCAATAGATAAATGAAAATGTGGTATATATACACAATGGAATCCTGGTATACATACACAATGGAATATATACACAATGGAATATAGGAAAACGTGGTATATATACACAATGGAATGCTATCTATCCACAATAAAACAATGAAATTCTGTCATTTTCAGCAACATGTATAGAACTGGAGGTTATTGTGTTAAGTGAAATCAGCCAGAAACAGAAAGACAAATATTTAATATTCTTATTATATGTGAGAGTGAAGAAAGTTCATCTCATGAAGATAGAGGGCAGAGTAAAAGATACCAGAGACAGGGAAGAATGTGGGTTGGGAGGGAATTACGAGAGGTGGGAGGGAATTAAGAGAGGTTGGATAATGGGTAGAAACATAAAGTTAGATAGAAGTACATTTTAAAGTTAAATAGCAGAGTAGGGAGACTATAGTAAACAAGAAAGTGTTGCATATTTCAAAGACTTGAAATGTGTTCAACAAATATAAATGGTAAATACTCAAGGTGATGGATACCCTAAATGCCCCGCCTTGAACCATTACACATTCTATGCATATAACAAAAAAAACACATGTATCAACTATGTATGTATAAATGTTATATATCAATAAAAAATAGTGTGGCTAGACTTCAAGTGGCCTAACTTGGTTTTATTACCACCATAGACGTTAGTAATTGCAACTTTGGAAAAAAGTTTTAGTATTATTTCCCTGGAAGACCAAGTCTGAAGCAAACATTTTAGGGTGCTTGCAAACCCAGAAAAGTAATAGTGAAGGAAAAGGTAGCATGGGAGGAAAGAAAGAAAAGCAAATGACCAAATTGGCCAGAGCATCATCATAAAGTACAGCTGATTTCTTGTCAAGCAGCATTTCTCAAACAAGACTTTATGAAAACCTAGGACCTCAGAATAATTACTAGAAGTGGAAGAGAATTTATTCACCAGCTCCTTTCCATCTCCTATCTCTCATAAGTCAACATTTACCCCGTTGAATATTAAATCTCCCCACTTTTCCAGGTTTTATTCCCTGGCCTCTGAAGGCAGCTCCTGGAAAAGCTGGATCAGTGCAAGAGTAGCAGCAGCATTCATCACACATGCTGTAAACTGCACAGTGAGTCAGCGAGGAAAATCTGGTCAGTGGTACTATTTATTTGCTGGCTGGAAGCTGAAAATGTCATTAATCTGATAAGGTGGGCTATATCATGGGTTCTGAGAAGGTCGTATGATGTCTTGAACCTTAGTAGTAAGTAAGCATGGAATGGATGGCATAAATGAGGTGTGCAATGAGAGTCATGAGACTATCTGACTGGACTCTGAGCAATATGGGGACAGGTTGCCGCATCAGACTGAGTTGAAGAAAATATAAGAATGCTAAAATGATATAACATATGCCATGATGGTGCTGACAGAGCACTATGAGCTTCTCTCCAGCAAACAGCAAAGTTGTCATCCTATGGCGTATAAGATTGTGATCAGTTCAGACCTTCCTGGAATGCCAATCAGTTACCTTGAGCCGAAATCTATGGTCATGGGAGTGTATGCATGCATGTAGACTAGGACCTGTATATTGGGGTATTATCATTGTAGCTTGGCTCATAAGTCTGTTTTTTATTAATTAATATAGCTAAGGCTATTGGGCATTTAAGGAGAGGGGCATTTACAAAGATCCACATATGGAGGACATAGTAGGTGAGAGATGGGAGTTGGAGGAAAGCATGATGGGAAATGGAGAAATAAATCAGAGAAGAGGACAACAAAAATAATGAACATGAAGACTTTGAGGAATAAAGAGAGAGATGTAAAAGAAGAGATAGAAATGAGGAGGGAGGCCGGGCGCGGTGGCTCACGCCTGTAATCCCAGCACTTTGGGAGGCCGAGGCGGGCGGATCACGAGGTCAGGAGATCGAGACCATCCTGGCTAACACGGTGAAACCCCGTCTCTACTAAAAATACAAAAAATTAGCCGGGCGTGGTGGTGGGCGCCTGTAATCCCAGCTACTCGGGAGGCTGAGGCAGGAGAATGGCATGAACCCAAGAGGCGGAGCTTGCAGTGAGCCGGGATAGCGCCACTGCAGTCCAGCTTGGGCAAAAGAGTGAGACTCCGTCTCAAAAAAAAAAAAAAAAAAAAAAAAAAAAAGAAATGAGGAGGGAGCCAAAAACTGTACACACACCCATAAATATGCACAAAAGGGAACAGAGAGACGTATGGAGGGAAGAATGAGTGAAAAGGACAGGAAGGAGGCAGAGGTAGATAATGAGATGATCAATAGCACAAGAGAAAGAAAAGATGTGTTGGTATGCTGATCACTGCTCAGATGATTATATGTTCCCCTAGTTTCTTTGTTTTGTTTTGTTTTTGTTTTTTGTTTGTTTGTTTTTTTATACTCTTAAGTTCTAGGGTACATGTGCACAACGTGCAGGTTCGTTACATATGTATACATGTGCCATGTTGGTGTGTGCACCCATTAACTCATCATTTACATTAGGTATATCTCTTAATGCCATCTCTCCCCCCTCCCCCCACCCCACGACAGGCCCTGGTGTGTGATGTTCCCCTTCCTGTGTCCAAGTGTTCTCATTGTTCAATTCCCACCTATGAGTGAGAACACGTGGTGTGTGGTTTTTTTGTCCTTGTGATAGTTTGCTGAGAATGATGGTTTCCAGCTTCATCCATGTCCCTACAAAGGACATGAACTCATCCTTTTTTATGGCTGCATAGTATTCCATGGTGTATATGTGCCACATTTTCTTAATCCAGTCTATCACTGATAGACATTTGGGTTGGTTCCTGGTCTTTGCTATTGTGAATAGTGCCACAATAAACATATGTGTGCCTATGTCTTTATAGCAGCATGATTTATAATCCTCTATTTGCAAGGTTTTTCAGTTTTCTCTTCATAATATTTTTATGACTCTTTCATTGTAAAACTAAATTATTAGTATTCTAGTCTGAGTTCATTCTTAAATCAATTTCCTATATATTCTTCCTTACTGTAATCATCTACCTTCACTTCCAAATAGGCTCACAAATACTTCAATGCACACCACTATTGCTGTCCGATCTATTTTCCTTCAATTATTCAGATTGTCACTGGCAGCAAATCCATAGGGGTCTGCAGCAACTTCAATTCTTTTCTCCTCAGGAAAAAATAATTTGACTGAGGGGCAGAAAGCAGAAGGAGAGACCAAGGCAACTTTTAGAGCATGAGTGAAAGTTTACTAACAAACTTTAGAGTAGGACTGAAAGGAAGTAAAGTACACTTGGAAGAAGGACAAGTGGGTGACTTGTACACAGTTTGACCCTTGACTTAGGGTTTTATATGTTGGTATGCTTCTGAGGTCTTGTGTCCCTTCTCGCCTGATTCTTCCCTTGAGGTGGGCTATCCACATACACAGTGGCCTGTTAGCACTTGGGAGGGGCCACATGCACAATTTGTTTACTGGAGTTCTGTGCACACTCACTTGAAGTGTTCTTCCCTTATCAGTTACCATTCCTAGAGGAAGATCATAGACCAGTTAAACTTCAACCTTTTGCCTCTTAGTGCACATGCTTGAGCCAACTTGCCCAATTCCTGAGCTCTTACTGGGAAACTGCTGATAAACAGTTTCAGCTTTTTTTAATCTATTGGGAGACTGCCTTTCCCTGGCACCAGCTGGGACTAATTATTACTTTAGTGAGACAGTTTAACAACTTCCTGACCATCACCAAATGGTCCACTGACATTCCTGGTGTGTGTGTGGCTGGTGAGGTGGAGCAGGGGTTTTGGGAGGAGCCTTCTCCTGCTCTCTTCTCATGCCTGACTATCTACCTATTGTAACAAAATGTTACAGTTTGTTTTCTCTTCTACCACAATAATGCTGCCTAAAAAACAATTGAAAAACTTTGTGGTTTAAATATGAAGTCTTTGTGCTGGATGGGAGGCTGTTCTGGCCTGAACCAAACTAGCTGACCTTGGTTCAGCTTGTTCATGTGTTTGCTGGCAATTGGTTGATCAACTAGAGGCCAGCAATAAAGAATGCCCTTGCCTGTGTGGGTTTCCTTCACATGGCAGCAGGCTAGACCACATCTCTTCAAATGGTATCACAATGGGAAAAGAGAGAAAGGGAGAGAGAGAAAGATAATGAGACATGTACACAGCCATTCATTTGAGGACAAGAGTCAAAACTGCTTCACTGTTAATTAGCAGACTTTCTATTGGAAAAACAAGTCACAGGCCATCATATTCACTAGAAGAAAAGAAATAATAGTATCTACCTCTGAATGGGAGGAGCTGAAAAGTTCTATTGCAAAATGTACGAATATTGGAAGTAGTGAAAGATTGTGATGATATCTGGATTCTATCATAATCTTTGTCAATCTCATACTCAAAAAATTTTTACATATTTAATATCCAAAAACTGCTTCTATCTGGCCTAAGCTTTATTTTTTTAATCTTTTCTGTTTCTCCTCAATGTGTTCCTTCTCCCTGAGTCAGAGTATCTATTCACTCTGACATGACTATGCCTTCCATTTTGGTTCTGTGCTCTTACCCATATCCTCTAACTTAAATGCTTTTTTTCTTTTTCATACTTACCCAAATTCTATTTTTATTATTCAACTTTATTTCTATTAAACTTTTGTTTTTATTAAAGCCTCAAATGTTTTCTGATTACTCTAATGCATATTGCTATTTTTATTTTTGAACTCCTACAGTACAAACATGAGGTCTACTTAATTTCAGCCCTTGGTTGCATAGTTGTTTATGTCATATACTGCTGTTTAATGAGTGTTAGTTTAGTCTACCCAAAAAGAGTACAAATGTGTATCCCTCACAGCTTAAAAATCACTTCTAATGATATAATAGGTATGTTATGGGTTGAGTTGTATCCTACAAAAATTCATACATCCAAGTCTTAATCCCAGTATCTCATATGTATTTTATTTGGACACAAGGTCTTTAAAGAGATAATCAAGTTAAAACAAAGTAATAATTGTGAGCCCTAATCCACTATGACTGAAGTCCTTATGAAAAGGAACTTTGGACACAGAGGCAGATACACATAGAGGGAAAACTATGTGAAGAGACACAGGAAGAAGACATTCATTTACAAACCAGGAGAGAGGCCTGGAACAGATCCTCCTCCCACAGCTCTCAGAATGAACTAAGCCTGTCTATATCTCAATTGTCAACTTCCATCCTCTAGAAGTGTGAGAACACAAGTTTCTGTTGTATAAGTGCCTCAGTTTGTGGTACTTTGTTACAGCAGGCCTAGAATACTAGGTATTAAGTAAATATTGTTTGAGTAGATAAAAGACATTAGTGTTAAGCAATAACCCTACATTCTTAAAAAAGAGAGAGTTTTATTAAATTGCTAGGAACTTAAAATTTTTGGATCTCACATTCCAAATGCATAACACAAGATTTTGCTTTCAGTGTGTATCACTCAAAATTAAGCTAGTAACAGGTAAACTAGTTATGTTCCCTATTCTTATTTCTTGGATATGAGGAGAGGAAACACATGCAGCAGGAAAGAAAAAGGTGACTAACAATTACTAAATTTCGAGAGTAAATTGGATTGTTTTGCTCTGTGCAACTATAAAATGGTGATTAACAAACAGGTGCTAAATGTTAATGAAGTATATGAGATTAAAAATAAAATAGGAGTAAAAGTGTACAAAAGTGTATGGATGCAGCTATGACATATGTTCTTTTACTTCTTTTTTTGGATATCCAGTGGTGAATGAGACAGACCTATTCCTCACCTTTGAGACTTCAAAGATAGGCCAGATGTAGGAACAAAACGGCTGATTAGAAGCAGCTGCAGTCCGCAGCACTCACAAAGAGAAATGAAAAGGGGTGAGTGAATTCAGCACCTTCAATGGAAATATCCATGTTCTTGCATTGGGAATAACTAGGTGAACAACTTGACCCATGGAAAATAAAGAAAAGGAGGGGGGTGACAAACCACCCAGGAGTGGCACAGAGCCCAAGGAACCACCACCCCAAGCCAAGGGAAGTGGTGAGTGATAGTGTGACCCCACTCTGTTACAAAGTAACAAGCTAACCTCATGATGACAGGATCAAATTCACACATAACAATACTAACCTTAAATGTAAATGGGCTAAATCCCCCAATTAAAAGACAGAGAATGGCAAGCTGAATAAAGCACCAAGACCCATCGATGTGCTGTCTTCAAGAAACCAATCACACATGCAAAGACACACATAGGCTGAAAATAAGGGAATAGAGGAAAATTTGCCAAGCAATTGAAAAACAGAAAATTGCAAGGATTGCAATCCTATTTTCTGACGTAACAGACTTTAAACCACCAAAGATGAAAATAAAGACAAACAAGGGCATTAAATAATGGTAAAGGGTTTAATTCAACAAGACGACCTAAACATCCTAAACTTAAATACACCCAACAGAGAAGCACCCAGATTCATGAACGAAGTTCTTAGAGACCTACAAAGAGACTTAGTCCCCCACACAAGAATAGTGGGAGATTTTAACACCCCACTGTCAATATTAGATAATCGAGACAGAAAATTAACAAAGATATTTAGGACTTGAACTCAGCTCTGGATCAAGAGGACCTGACAGATATCTGCAGAACTTTCTACCCCAAAACAACAAAATATACATTCTTCTCATTGACACATGTAACTTACTGTAAAATTGATCACATAATTGTAAATAAAACACCCTCAGCAAAAGAACTGAAATAATAACAAGCAGTCTCTCAGACCACAGAGCAATCAAATTAGAACTCAAGATTAAGAAATTCACTCAAAACCACACAATTATCTGGAAATTGAACAACCTGCTCCTGAATGACTTTTCGATAAACAATAAAATTAAGGCAGAAATCAAGAAGTTATTTGAAACTAATGAGAACAAAGACACAATGTAACAGAACCTCTGGGACGTGGCAAAGACAGTGTTAAGAAGGAAATCTATAGAACTAAATGCCCACATCAAAAAGCTAGAAAGATCTCAAGTTAACAACCTAACATCACAACTAAAAGAACTAGAGAACCAAGAACAAACAAATCCCAAAGCTAGCAGAAGACAAGAAATAACCAAAATCAGAGCTGAACTGAAGCAGATAGAGACATGGAAAATCATTAAAAAAAAAATCAGTGAATATAGAAGTAGTTTTTTTGAAAAAAAAAATAAAATTGATAGACTGCTAGCTAGACTAATAAAGAAGAAAAGAAAGAAGAGTCAAGTAAACACAATCAGAAATAAGAGAGATATCACCATCGACCCCACAGAAATACAAACCATCAGAGAATACTATAAACACCTCTAACAACACAAACTAGAAAATCTAGAAGAAATGGATAAATTTCTGGACATGTACCCGCCCCTCCCAAAGCTGAACCAAGAAGAGGTTGAATCCCTGAATATACCAATACAAGTTCTGAGATTGTGGCAGTAATAAATAGCCTACCACGCAAAAAAGGCCCAAGATAAGATAAGACAGATTTACAGTTGAATTCTGTGTCTGGAATTGGCGGGTTCTTGGTCTCACTGACTTCAAGAATGAAGCAGCGGACCCTTGCAGTGAGTGTTACAGTTCTTAAAGATGGTGTGTCCAGAGTTTGTTCCTTCTGATGCTTGGGTGTGTTCAGAGTTTCTTCCTTCCAGTGGGTTCGTGGTCTCACTGGCTTCAGGAGTGAGGGTGCAGAACTTCATGGTGAGTGTTATAGCTCTTAAGGTGGCACGTCTGGAGCTGTTCATTCCTCCTGTCCGGAGTTGTTCCTCCCTCCCGGTGGGCTCGTGGTCTTGCTGGCTTCAGGAGTGAAGCTGCAGACCTTCACGGTGAGTGTTACAGCTCATAAAGGCGGTGCAGACTGAAAGAGTGAGCAGCAGCAGATTTACTGTGAACAGTGAAAGAACAAAGCTTCCACATAGTGGAAGAGTACCTGAGCAGGTCTCTGTTGCTGGCTCGGGCAGCCTGCTTTTATTCCCTTATCTGGCCCCACCCACATCCTGCTGATCGGTCCATTTTACAGAGAGCTGATTGGTCCATTTTGACAGGGTGCTGACTGGTGTGTTTACAATCCCTGAGCTAGACACAGAGTGCTGATTGGTGTATTTACAATCCTCCAGCTAGACGTAAATTTCTCCAAGTCCCCACTAGATTAGCTAGACACAGAGCACTGATTGGTGGGTATACAAACCTTTAGCTAGACACAGAGTGCTGATTGGTGCATTTACAATCCCTGAGCTAGACACAGAGCACTGATTGGTGTGGTTACAAACCTCTAGCTAGACATAAAAGTTCTCCAAGTCACCACCCCACTCAGGAGCCCAGCTGGCTTCACCTAGTAGATCCTGTGTGCTGAGCTGCCCGCCAGTCCCGCACCGCGCGTCCGCACTCCTCAGCCTTGGGCGGTCCATGGGACCAGGCGGTCGAGGGGACCGGGCGCCCTGGAGCAGGGGGCGGCGCCCATCGGGGAGGCTCGGTGGGCGCCGGAGCCCATGAAGGGTGGGGGAAGCTCGAGCATGGCGGGCTGCAGGTCCCGAGCCCTGCCCCATGGCGGGGTGGCTGAGGCCCGGCGAGAATTCAAGCGCTGCGCGGGCGGACCGGCAGTGCTGAGGGACCCGGCGCAACCTCTACAGCTGCTGGCCCAGGTGCTAAGCTGGTCACTGCCCGCGGCCGTTGGCGCCAGCCGGCTGCTCCGAGTGCGGGGCCCGCTGAGCCCGTGACCACCCGGAACTGGCGCTGGCCCGAGCGCTGCGCGCAGCCCCGGTTCCCGCCTGCGTCTCTCCCGCCACACCTCCCCTCAAGCAGAGGGAGCCGGTTCCGACCTAGGCCTGCCCAGAGAGGGGCCCCTTCAGCGCAGTGGTGGGCTGAAGAGCTCCTTGAGCATGGCCAGAGTGAACGCCCATGCCGAGGAGGCGCTGAGAGCGAGGGAGGGCTGCTAGCACGTTGTCACCTCTCAGAAGGACATGAGGTAATTTATCTCAGTGGCTCTAATGTTCATTAGTAGCCCAGGAGGGTGTCTGTGGGTAAATGATCTTTGAGACCCCCAAGTTATGTAGAAAATTTCCATCTGAATGGCAGTGAGAGAGAGAAAGTGCATGAAGAAAGGGAACATAATGATTACATCATGAATCTAGTGGAAAAAATCTTGGCAGACCAAAAGTCTGAGTAGAATTTCCTTTTTTTTTTTTTTTTTTTGGAGTATTGCTGTGAGAATGTTTTCCTCTTCCTCTCACCACACCAAAAAGTTCTGTAGTGTAGTTCTGAAACTTTCTGTTAAACAGACTGCAGCTCCTGCAGGCTGCTGCCCAACCTGGCCTGACACATTAAGAATAAGAAATAAAATAGTAAGACATGCCTTAGAGACTTGCTTAAAGTTCTGCAGTGAGGAGAAGCACAGATCTGTCCACCAAAATTGAAAACCCAAAGCAATACTTCAGAGATAAAACAATACCAGAAAGAGAAACAAGCTATCATTAACAGAACAATTTAAAACATCTGCTGACGATTTAGTCTCACAACTCAACTTTGGCAGAAGAAAATTCAATATTGTTCAATGAAATAAAGTATTGAGGGAAATAAAATCCCAGTGCCTAATATAACAATAGTATTAATGGCTGCAGATTCTGTGTGACAGATGCATTCAGCTGCCACTGCAGAGGCAGCTGCACAGCAATATACCAACTTGAGGCATAATAAACTATTCAGTATAGACAGACTCATTCCCAAGACAGAGTGATTTGGGCAGATATCCCATGTCCTACTCTTTGAGGGAGTCCTGCCCTACTGCCAGCAGTCAGTTGGACAATGATTATTTGAGCCAGGGGGAGCTGTTTGCCAGATGGAGCTGAAAAACTACATGAGACATGATTCCACCATAAGTTGGCCTAAATTGTTCTGATTTCCAAAGCCGCTAAGGGATATTACTATGAGCCACGGGAGAATTATTTGCATGAAAACCCCTAGAACCCTTTGTAGAAATCATTAAAGAGATTGTAGTGTAATAGAAGTCTTTAATTGGTGACCAAAGAGCCAAATCTGGCACTCAGACCTATGTTGTGTGGTCACATACACCTTTTATTTTTTTAACTTTTTATTTAGATGCTAACCTCTAAAAGCCTGAATTTCTGGCTTCTCTTGAAAATTTGGAGAATCTGATAAAATGAAAAGTGCCCACCGCATCTGTTAGATAGGGGCATGCATTCTCTAATTTGCTGTGTCCTCTTGCACTCGCTGTTGTTTTGCTTATATTTGTTGCTCCAGTTTCATTGGTCCTTGTAGGCATTTGAGCCCTAAAACAGAGGACAAATATTTTTAACAAAAGCAGCAAAAGAGGATAAATATTAAGAAATATTGATCAGAGAAGAAATTTGTTTTCCAAAAGAAAAGCAGAAATTATGATATATTAATAAATCCAGTAGAAATTGGGCAGATCAGCCAGTTATTGTGGAAACGGAGTCAGATCTCATGAGAAGTAATTGAAATAACAAAAAAGGTAAAACAGGCTATATTATGGGATGGCTTACACTCTTTCAACCAGAATAGCGAAGGCAGTCACGAACCAAGTGAAGATGCTGTCAAAGTAAAATCTTTATCAAAGCTCGCCTGTATTTAGGATCTCCTCTCTGGTTTGATCTTATACAATGGCATCATAAAGAAAATATATTTTGCAAATGAAGTCATTAATAATTTGAGGATGGCTCATCCCTGGTTGAG
Source organism: Homo sapiens (assembly GCF_000001405.40). Taxonomy (NCBI): domain Eukaryota; kingdom Metazoa; phylum Chordata; class Mammalia; order Primates; family Hominidae; genus Homo; species Homo sapiens. The sequence continues at coordinate 102,851,846 of NC_000001.11, read as the reverse complement.
ATAGCTCCACATTGAATATCTGAAGAGGAATGTGGAAAGAATTTGTGTCAGAGGCAAAGAACATCATGAAGGACATCTGACTTACATGCCAAAGAGGTAACCTGAGCCTCGATGCTTCAGATGGCTTCATGGCACTGCTGTGATCTTGTCAAACTCAAAAAATTACTGATGTTTATAAAGAAACCTCTGAAATCTGGAGCTCAGCCCTGAAATAAAGCAGAGAGATGCTCACTCTCCTGGGTTCCTGTGTAAGGGTTTGAAGAATGTAGAGACAACTTCTCAGACTACTCTCTCTGTCCTTACCATCTTCCTGGAGGGCTGGGCTGTCCAAGAACATAAGAACACAGACAACAGCATAGTATATAAACTGACTGCTCCTAGACTCTGAAACACTGAGCTTCAAGGGCTCTGAGGATTGTGCCCTTGGACTGGAACCATGCCCCACACAACCGCCTGTGCTGATCTAGAAAGGATGTTACATTCAATTCACTACATTTTATTTTTTACTAAATCCCCTTTAAAGATTTATTGAACGTGTTGGAGAGGAAGTTAGATAAACAAGAAAGTCTTTTAAAACTCTTCTGAAAAGTCAAAAGAAAAAGGCAGATCAGTCAAGTACGGGGCCTTACAACAGGGATGGGGTTTGGCTTCCCCCACCAAGTCTCCATTAATACCACAGTGGGAGTGACCTGATTACTCCTGGGCAAGGGTAAAAGTCCTGACTTCCTAATGGGCCTCTGCCACCACTCCAGTAGAGACAAGGGGATGCCTTGTTACTTTCCTGCCAATTAGGGGCAGAAGTTTAGGCTTCCCATTGATTTCTATTGATAACACAGGGAAGAGCTCACTGCCAACAGTGGAAATGAAAGTCCCAGCATCTTCAGTGGCTATGTCTGCTATCATCCTTGCAGGGATGTAGGGAGCTTTGTTACAGCCTCACAAGGATGGAAGTGTGTGATCCTCACTGAGTCTTTCTTGATGTCAATAAGGTGACACCACCTGTTTTCAGTTGGAGTAGTGCAGTTACTATGTAAAAATTTTTGGCCTTGCTAGGCTCCTCCTTTTCTGGCCCTGTACGTAGAGCGAATAAACTTTTCTTTGGACTTTTTATGTCCATGTCTGTTGGCATTTCTGGGTTGCCAGCTTCTTCAACTCCAAATTTGGAATATATGAGGCAGAAAGAAAACCCAAGTGTTACAGAACAAATAGTGTCTCCCAAATAGTTATGTCCACTTGGAACCTCAGAATGTGCTTTTATTTGGAAATATTGTCTTTGCAGATGAATTCAAGTTAAGTTGAGTTTATACATGATTAAGGTGGACTCTTATCCAATATGGCTGGAGTCCTTACAAGAAGAGAGAATAGAGAGGTACAAAAATACAGAGATTGTAAAGGGAGAAATAAAACCATTCCTATTTGCAGATAAGTTGGTTGTCTATGTAGAAATTCCAAAGGCATCTACAAAAATAAAAAGTAAAAAATCTCAAACTAATAAATGCATTCAACATGGTTGAAGGATGCAAGATTAATGTAACAGCAATCTATTGCTGTATACTAGCAATAAACACATAGACATCAGAATTGAAAATACAGTACCATTTATAACTGCTAAAAATAAAATATTCATGTGTAAACATAACAAAACCTGTACAGGACTTGTAAGCTGAAAACTACACAACACTGATGAAAAAAATCAAAGGTTATTTATAAAAATGAAGAGAAATACTGTAGTCATGTATTGAAGTATCAATAAAGTTCTCAATTCTCAAAAATTGATATATAAGTTTAATTGAGTTCCTGTAAAAATCCAAGCAAGATTTTTTGCAGGTGTGTACAAGATTACTCTAAAATGTGTATTGAAAGCCAAAGCCACTAGAATAGCTAAAACAATTTTGAAAAAAAATAAGAATAAAGTGGGACAACTGCTCTTTCTGATTGCAAGACATTTTTCACTATAGTAATCAACACTGTGTGTGGTATTGGGAGACTAGACAAATAGATCAATGGAAAAGAATAGAGAACTCAGAAATAGACACAAATTTGCCCAATAAATTTCTGATAAAGGCACAAAAGTAATCCAATGGAGGAAGATAGCCTTTTCAGCATATGATGCTGAAACAATTGCAAATAAATAAATAAAACTTGTGCTACATCTCATATCTTATACAAAATTAACTCCTCCTGGATGATTGACTAAAATATGAAATGTAAAACTGTAAAACTTAAGAAAAAAGAAAGGAACTTATCTTTTATATTTATGTTTTCATTTTTTAAAATTTTAATTTTGGTGGGTATATAGTAGGCTTCTATATCTATGAAATACCTGAAAGCTTTGATTACAAGCATACAATACATAATAATCACATCATGTAAAAAGGGGGTATCCATCCCCTCCAAGCATTTATCTTTTGTGTTACAAATAATCCAATTATACTCTTTTACTTATTTTAAAACCAATAATCAAATTATTGTTGACTATGGTCACCCTAATGTGATATTAAATACTAGGTCTTATTCATTCTTTTTAACTATTTTTTTTCTATCCGTTACCATCTCCACCTCCCCATCATCACCTCACTATTCTTCCTAGTCTCTGATAACCATCTTTATACTCTCTATAAGTTCAATTGTTTTGAATTTTAGATCCCACAAATAAGTGATAACATGCAATGTTTGTCTTTCTGTGCCTGGCTTATTTTACTTAGCATAATGACCTCCAGTTCCAATCATCTTGTTGCAAATGACAGGATTTCATTCATTTTTATGGCTGAACAGTATTCCATTGTGTATAAGTACTAAATTTCTTTATCCCTTTATCTGTGATGGACACCTACGTTGCTTCCAAATCTTAGCTATTGTGAACAGTGCTACAACAAACATGGAAGTGCAGATGTCTGTTCAAGATACTGGTTTCCTTTCTTTTTGATGTAAGCAAAGCAGTGAAATTGCTGGATCCTATGGTAGTCCTATTTTTAGATTTTTTTTTGAGGAACCTCCAAACTGTTCTCCATAGTGGTAGTACTAATTTACATTGCCACCAACAGTGTTTGAGGGTTCCTTTTTCCCCACATCTTCGCCAGCATTTGTTGCCTGTCTTTTGGATATAGGCCATTTTAACTGGAATAAGATGATATCTCATTGTTTTGATTTACATTTCTCTGATGATCAGTGATGTTGTATGTCTTTTCATATGCTTGTTTGTCATTTGTATGTCTTCTTTTGAGAAATACATATTTAAATATTTTACTGATTTTTAAAATCTATTGAATTTTCTGTATGGAGTTTGAGCTCCTTATATATTTGGTTTATTAATCCCTTGTGAGATGGGTAGTTTGCAAATATTTTATCTCCTTCCGTGGGTTGTCTCATCACTTTGTTGACTGTTTCTCCTTGCTGTACAGAGTCTTCTTTAACTTGATGTGATCCCATTTGTCCATTTTTGCTTTGGTTACCTGTGCTTGTGAGGTACTGGGCAAGAAATGTTTGCCCAGGACAATGTCCTGGAGAGTTTCCCCCATGTATTCTGATAGTAGTTATACAGTTTGGGTTCTTAGATATAAGCCTTTTATCCATTTTAATTTGATTTTTGCATACAGAAAGAGGTAGAGTTCTAGTTTCATTCTTCTACATAGAAATATTCAGTTTTCCCAGTACCATTTATTAAAGAGACTGTATTTTTTCCATTGTATGTACATTGTTGGAAACTTTGTTGAAGATGAGTTAACTGTAGGCGTGTGGATTTGTTTCTGGATTCTCTATTCTTTTGGTTTATGTGTCTGTTTTTATGCTAGTACCATACTGTTTTGGTTACTATAGCTCTGTAGTATAATTTGAAGTCAGGTAACGTGATTCCTATAGTTTTCTTTTTCTGTGTGCTTAGAAGACTTTTGTCTATTTTGGGTCTTTAGTGTTTCCATATAAATTTTAGAATTTTTTTTTCTGTTTCTGTGAAGAATATCACTGGCATTTTGATAGGCACTGCACTGAATCTGTAGAATGCTTTGGATAGCATGAACATTTTAATAATATTGATTCTTGAAATCTATAAACATGGAATATCTTTTTATTTTTTGGTGTCCTTTTCAATTTCTTTCATCAATGTTTTATAGTTTTTATTATAGGGATCTTTTACTTTTTTGGTTAATTACTAAGTATTTAATTTTATATGTGGCTATTGTGAATGGGATTGCTTTTTTTATTTCTTTTCAAGATTGTTCACTATTGGCTTATAGAAATGCAACTGATTTTTGGAATGTTGATTTTGTATCCCACAACTACTCAACTTGTTTATTAGTTCTAACAGTTCTTTTATGGAGTCAAGGTTTTTCCAAATATATCCCTGAAAGCAAGGATAATTTGACTTCTTCCTTTCCAATTTGAATGCTTTCTATTCATTTCTCTCATCTGATTTCTCTAGCTAGTATTTCCAGTGTATGTCGAGTAACAGTGGTGAAAGTTGGAATCCTTGTCATGTTCCAGATTTTAGAGAAAGGGGTTCCAGTTTTTCCCCATTCAGTTTAATACTAGTTGTGGGTCTGTCATATGTGGCTTTTATTATGCTGAGATATATTTTTTCTATATCCAGTTTTTTGAGAGTTTTTAATCATAAAAATATGTTGAATTTTATTAAATGCTCTTTCAACATCAATTGAAGTGATCATATTGTTTTTGTCCTTCATTCTGTTGATATGATGTATCACATTGATGATTTGCATATGGTGAAGAATCCTTGCATCCCAGAAATAAATTCTACTTGGTCATAATGAATAGTATTTTTAATATATTGTTTAATTTGATTTGGTTTGCTAGTATTTTGTTGAAGATTTTTGCATCAATATTCATCATGGATATTGGCCTGTAGTTTTCTTTTCTTTTTTTTTCATGTGTTTTTGGTTTTAGTGTCAGGGCCTCACAGAATGAGTTTGAAAGTATTCTATTCTCCTTTGTTTTTTGGAATAGTTTGAGTAGGATGTTATTAGTTAGGTATTTGGTGGAATTCAGAAGTGAAGTCACTGGGACCCAGGCTTTTCTTTAGTGGGAAATTTTGTATTATGGCTTTGATCTTGTTACTTGTTATTGATCTGTTCAGAATTTAGATTTCTTCCTGGTTCTATCTTAGTAGGTTGTATGTGTATAGCAATTTGTCCATTTCTTCTAATTTTTTTCCCAATTTATTGGCATATAGTTGTTCATAGTATTCACTAATGATCCTTTGAACTTCTGCAGTATCGGTTGTAATGTCTAATGTCTCCTTTTTCATCTCAGGTTTTATTTACTTGAATCTTCTCTATTTTTTTCCTTAGTCTGGCTAAAGGTTTGTCTATTTTGTTTAAATTTTCAAATAAACGAACTTTTTGTTTCATTTACCTTTTGTATTGTTTTTCTTTAATTTTATTTATTTTTGCTCTGATCTTAATTATGCCTTTTCTTCTACTAATTCTGGTTTGGTTTCCTCTTGCTTTTCTAGTTCTTTTAGACACATAAGTCGATTGTTTCTTTGAAGTTTTTTTTTTTTCTTTTTTGATGTAGGCACTTGTGGGTATAAACTCCTCTTAGTACTATTTTTGCTGTATCTCATAGGTTTTGGTTTGTTGCATTTTCATAATCATTTGTTTCAAGAAACTTTTCAATTTCTTTCTTAATTTCTTCAATGACCCACTGGTCATCCAGAACCATGTTGTATAACTTCTAACTATTTGTATAGTTTCCAAAATTCTTCTTGTTATTGATTTTCAATGTGGTCAGTGTAGATGTTCGCTATTATTTAATTTTTTGAATGTTTTATGACTTGCTTTGTGACCTAACATATGGTCTATCCTTGAGAATGATCCATATGTTGAGGAAAAGAATGTGTATTCTGCAGCCATTGGATGAAATGTTTTGTAAATATCAGGTTTATTTGGTCTATAGTGAAGATTAAATCCGATTTTTTTTGTTGATTTTCTGTTGGAAAGTATGTCCGTTGTAGAAAGTGGGGTGTTGAAGTCTCCAGCTATCATGATATTGGGGCCTATCTCTCTCTTCAGCTCTGATAATATTTGCTTTATATATCTGGGTGCTCCAAGTATGTCCGTTGTAGAAAGTGGGGTGTTGAAGTCTCCAGCTATCATGATATTGGGGCCTATCTCTCTCTTCAGCTCTGATAATATTTGCTTTATATATCTGGGTGCTCCAGTGTTGGGTGCATATATATTTATAATTGTTGTTATCTTATTGCTTAATTAACCTCTTTATCATTATATACTGTATTAGGCCATTCTTGCATTGCTATAGAGAAATACCTGAGACTGGGTAATTTATACAGAATGGAGGGTTAGTGGGCTAACGACTTTGCAAGCTGTATAGGAAGCATGATACTGACATCTGCTTGGCTTCTGGAGAGGCCTTAAGAAACTTACAATCATGGCAAATGCAAAGAGGAAGCAGGCATGTCACATGGCCAGAGCAGGTGCAAGAGAGCAAGGGGAGACGTCTCATGCTACACACTTCGAAATGACCAGATCTCAAGAGAACTCACTCTCTATTGCCAAGAGAGTACCAAGAGAAATGGTGCTAAACCATTCATGAGAAATCTGCCCCCGTGATCCACTCACCTCCCACCAGGCCCCACCTCCAATATTAGGCATTACATTTCAATATGAGATTTGAGTGGGGACACACATCCAAACTACATCATACAGTGACCTTCTTTTCCTTTCCTTTTACTTTTTGCCTTGAAATCCACTTTCTCTGACATAAGTGTAACTATTACTGCTCTTTTATGGTTTACATTGGTATGGAATATCTTTTTTCATCTTATTTTCAGTCTATGTGTGCCTTAATAGGTGAAGTATATTTATTGTAGGCAACAGATTATTGGGTCTTCTTTTTTTATCCATTCAGTCACACTATGTCTTTTGATTGGTGAGTTTAGTCCATTTACATTTAAGTTATTAAATTATTATTAAGTGTATTAATAATAAACTTAATAATAAGTAAGAACTTTTATTATTGATAAGTAAGAACTTATTCCTGCCATTTTATTGATAAGTAAGAACTTATTCCTGTCATTTTGTTATTCATTTTCTGATCTTCTCTTCCTCCTTTCTTTTCTTTCTGTCTTTTAGTAAAGGTGATTTTCTCTGGTGATATGATTTAGTTTCATGCTTTTTATTTTTTTGTGCACCTGCTATACGTTTTTTGGTTACAGGTTAAAACGAGGATTGCAAATACTATCTTATAACACATATTTTAAGTTGATTACAACTGAAAATATTTTGCATATACTAACAAACATACAAACAAGCAAGAAGAAAACTAATAGGCTCTACGCCTTAATTTTATCCTTCATTTTTTTCACTTTTTGTTGTTTCTATTTATATCTTATTTTATGGTCTATGTCTTGAAAAGTTGTTGTAGTTATTATTTTAGAATGGTTCATCTTTTAGACTTTCTTTTTAAGATAAGAGTAGTTTACACACTACAATTACGGTGTTATAATATTCTGTATTTTTCTGCATGCTTACTATTAGCAGTGAGTTTTGTAGCTTCAGATGATTTCTTTATAGCTCATTAATGTCCTTTTCTTTCTGATTGAAGTACTCTCTTGAGAATATCTTGTAGAATAGGTCTGGTGTTAATTAAATCTCTCACCTTTTGTTTTTCCTTCATGTTTCTCACCTTTTGTTTCTCCTTCATGTTTGAAGCATACTTTTGCCTGATATATTATTCAAGGGTAAGCTTTTAATTTTTTTTCCTTTAGCACTTTAAATACGTCATGCCACTCTTTCGTGGCCTGTTAGGTTTTCTTCTATGGAAAAACTGGTGCCAAAAATATTGGATCTCCATTCTCTTGCTGCTTCTTGGATCCTTTTTTAATCTTTGACCTTTGGGAGTTTGATTATCAAATGCCTTGAGGTTGTCTTCTTTGGGTTAAATCTGCTTGGTGTTCTACAACCTATTTGTACTTAAATATTGATATCTTTTTCTAGGTTTGGGAAGTTCTCTCTTATTATCCCTTTGAATAAACCTTCTACCCCTATCTGTCTACCACCTCTTTAACACCAATAACTCTAAGATTTGCTGTTTTAAGGCATTTTCTATGCTGTAGATGTGCTTCATTTTTAATCTTTTTATTTTGTCTCCTCTGATATTGTATTTTCAAATAGCCTGTCTTCAAGCTCACTAATTCTTTCTTCTGCTTGATCGGTTCAGCTATTAAAAGACTGATATATTCTTTAGTATCCCAATTGCATTTTTCAGCCACAGAATATCTACTTAATTATTTTTAATTACTTCAATTTCTTGTTAAATTTGTCTGATTTAATTCTACATTCTTTCTGTGTGTTATTTTGAATTTCTCTGAATTTCCTCAAAACAGCTATTTTGAAATCTCTGTATGAAAGGTTACATATCTCAGCTTCTCCCCCTGGTGCCTTATTTAGTCCATTTGGTGAAGTCCTGTTTCCCTTCATGGTCTTGATACTTACAGATGTTTGTCTCTGTGTTACCATTGAAGAGTTAGACATTTATTGTATTCTTCTCTGTCTGGGTTTCTCTGTATTTGTCATTCTTGGGAAGGCTTTTCAGATATTCAGATTGACTTGAGAGTTGTAACCTAAGCTATATCTGTTTTAGGGTTTACCTTATGCCTAGTAATGCTGTGGTTCTTGCAAACTCATAGAAGTCCTGCCTTGATGGCCTTGAAAAAGACCCAGAAGAATTATATGGATTACCAGGCAAAGACCTTTGTTCTCTTCTCTTACTTTTCCCCAAAAAGAGCCTCTCTCTCTCTGTTCTGAGCCACCTGAAGCTGGGGCTAGAGTAACACAAGCATCCATGTGGCCACCAGCACTAGAATTTCACTTCGTTAGATCTAAAGCCAGCACAGCACTGGGTCTTGGCCAAGGCCTTGGCCAAGGCCTGCTGTAACCACTTTCTGGTTACTGCCTACGTTTATTTAAGGCCCTAGGGCTCTACAATCTTCCCAGGTGGTAAAGCCAGCCAAGACTGTGTCCTTCCGTTTAGGGCAGTGAGCTCCCCAAGGTACTGAAGAGGTCCTTGATGTTCTATTATACTATGGCTGAGCTGGCACTAAAACCACAAGACAGAATCCTTCCCACACTTTCCTCCCCTTTTGAAAGGCAGAGGAGCCTAACCCCTTAGCCACTGCTGCCACAGACCCACAGAGAGTACTGTGAGACTACTGCCAATATTCCCCTAAGGCCCAAGGACTCTTCAGTCAGCTTGTGGTGAATTGTACTTGGCCTGGGACTCACCCTTCAGACCACTGGGTTCCCTTCAGGCCCACAGCAGGTCTAGAAACAATGTGATGGAAGATTATCTTTGAAATCTGAGGCTGGACATCAAGTTATTAAACATGATTCCAAAAGCAGCATGATCCATAAAAGAAAAATTTTGCCCATTTTTAAATTGGGATTTTTTTTCCCATTCAGCTGTTTGAACTTCTTATATATTCTGATTATTAATCCTTTATAAGATGGATGGTTTGCAAATATTTTCTTCCATTTTGTGAGCTGTCTCTTTGCTTTTTTTTTTTTCCTATGCTATGCAGAAGCTTTTTCACTTAACGTAATTTCATTTGTCCATTTTTGCTTTGGTTGCATGAGCTTTTGAGATCTTACTCAAGAAATCTTCACAAAGACCAATGTCCTGTAGTGTTTCTACAAAGTTTTCATCTAATGTTTTCTTAGTTTCAATCCTTGGATTTAACTCTTTAATTCCTTTTGCTTTGACCTTTGCATATGGCATAAGATAGGATTCTAGTTTCATTCTTATGCATATGGATAGTCAGCAACCCCAGAAAAATTTGAAGAGACTGTCCTTTCCCCAGTGTATTTTCTTGGACTTTTTTTTTTTTTTTTTGACAGCGTCTCACTCTGTCACCCAGACTGGAGTGCAATGGTCTAATCTCAGCTCACTGCAACCTTCACCTCCCGGGTTCAAGCTATTCTCCTGCCTCAGCCTCCTGAGTAGCTGGGATTATAGGCACGTACCACAATGCCAAGCATTTTTGTATTTTTTTAGTAGAAACAGGGTTTCACCATGTTGGTCAGGCTGGTCTCAAACTCTTAAACTTGTGATCTGCCCACGTTGGCCTTCCAAAGTGCTGTGATTACAGGTGTCAGCCACTGCACCTGGCCTTCTTGGCACTTTTGTCACAAAATAAGTTAACTGTAAATGCATATAATTCTGGGTTCTCTATTCTGTTCATGTGTCTGTTTTTATGCTACCATGCTGTTATGACTCATATAGCATTGTAGTATAATTTGAAGTGGGTTTGAATAAACATTTATTAAGGGAAGATATACAAGTGACCAACCAGTATATTAAAAAGTCCTCAACATTACTAATCATCAGAGAAATGCAAATCAAAACTACAGTAAGATATCATCTCACCCCAGTTAAACTGGATTTTATCTGAGAGACAGGTAATAACAGATGCTGGTGAAGATGTGGAGAATGAGGAACCCTTATATACTGTTGGTAGGAATGTATCTTACTACAGAGAACAGTAAAGAGATTCCTCAAAAAGCTAAAAATAGAATTACCTTATAATCCAGCAATCCCACTGCTGGTATATATCCAAAAGAAAAGCAATCAGTATATTAAAGAGATATGATGCAGCCCCAATCCCTGTTGCACTGAACAAAGAGGGACGAATGTGGGAATAAAGATAAAGATAAAATAGTATATTTGGAAGAAGAGGTCAGGGGGCTCCTTGCTTCTAGTGAACAAGGGCCCTGAGCTTTTTGCTCCCTTCGTGTTTATTGAGTAAAGGAGAAGGGGAGAAGGGGGTGGTTGTCAGATAGCTGCTTGATTCAGTGCGGGCTTGCATGGCTGCATTTTCTGAACAGTAGTCTCCAGATGTTCCAGTAGATAACCTCAAGGAACATGGCTCCAGGGAGTGATTGCACTCAGCATACGTTCTGGCGGCAGGAATAGTCATGAGTTTGCCTACACCCTGCATTAATGATAAACATTTTGCTGTTTGATCATATTGCCTCCAGTGGAATGATGAGTTAGTCGTGACCCACATGCCTTTGGCTCCTTACATTTCCCCCTTTCTGTTTATGTATTAATTGAATGAATGTAAGGCCAGGCTGGACAGCTCTCATTTTCTGATTGGCAGTCCATCTGATTTTACAGACTACAAACAGAAAACAGAGACAAAACAACATTATTCCAAGAACTGCATATGAGATGTTAATGTGGTGCTTTATGTAGGTCCAAGGATTTAGGTTCTTCAGGCCTTGCTGGAATTCTATCCAGTCTTCTAAAGAAGGCTGAAACTCTTGAGTTTGCTTACTTAAATAAGGAATTCTGTTTTGTAATTTGCCAATATCAAAGGTGATGTTGGGTGTGAAAGCTCCCTGCAAATGGGCTTTCACAAGGTCCCGTGGATACTCACTTTGGTTATATTCTAAGTTGGTTACACAAATATGAGTGTGATTAAAATAACAGCACAATTGCTGTTGCAATTGTAAGATTTATACTTGTTCTTCTAACCCTAGAACTGTGGATTTCAACATAGCCACTTCAGTTTGTAACTCAGTGTTAATTTTATTCTGAAGTAGCCACACTTGGTTGGCTGTATGTGTCCAGTTCTCTATGTACTGAGCCGTTTGAACAGAACTATGCAAAGCTACAGAGGACATCACAACAGAAGTTATTAGTGTGACCAAGGAAACAATAGCAAATATTATCATGCCTAAAGCTCTACGGGCATGATGAGAAGGCTGAGTTAGAAGTAGTTTCACGAAGTGCAAAGCACGGATGGCAGCCTAAGGCTTGGACAGATTAATGGGAATCCATAGCCCAGGGATGCAACCCAAAATTATTAAGTAGAGATATTATGTGTTTGCAATGTGCTATGATTAATGCAGTGATATAACTGGCAAGATTTACAGTTCAATTGGGTATTGTTTACCTGGAGCTGGTCCTTCTTAGCTGCCAAAAAGTCATAAGGATTAAAAACAAAAATCATAAATTGAGTGGTGATATTCTTTACAAATGTAAGGTTAAGACTGTGTTGCTTACTATTGCTATTATTGCATAGTATCCCAACCTAGATGCTGCCATTCATAAATGGGAGTGCTGCCTTCCATAGTGTCTCTTGGACTGGTCCTTTCCTCCCTAGATGATGCCACTGAGGAAGAGGCAGGCTAAAGCCTGCTTTTGCCAAGCAATCTGGGCAGCAGACTGGGATTGGATCCCAGTGTAGTATAAAGAAGCAGCATTAAAAGTTTGCCACTAATGCCAGTGAAGTTTGTGGCATGATTTCTGGTTTTCATCTTTTCCATATAGTTGACCTTTAGGTCGCCAATCCACAATGTCTCCAGTTAACATAGGTTGTTTTCCAGCCAATGGGCCAAGACACTGTTTCCATGGAGCAGGGTAGAAACTATCGAAGGGAATCCATTCCATATAGTCAGCACAATTGGAGTGATTGGACTGGGAATGGTTGGTTAGCATACCAATTACATTAATACAACCAAGACTTAATAGGTACATGACTTTTCCATAGCGACTCAACCATTCTTGAGCTTGAATTATAAAGACAGCTATGGTTGAGTGACATCTTTGTAGTGTCAAGGGGAGTCCTTCTTGTGGGGCAGTATAATTAATGACATTGTTCTGAGAGTCTAACTGTTCTGTGTCAGGGGGAGTTAGGGGTCCTGGAGTCCATGCTCCCTGATCATGATAGATCTCAGGGGAGTGTCACTCCAAAGTACAGTTCATACTACTGGGGGATTGGGAACATATGCCCAATATGCTTTTGCCTCTGCACAGGGAAAACATACTGCACAGGACATTGTGGCTAACATGGCCAAGAACATGGAATCAGGGGTTTTTGCTTGGCCTTGATGCTCCAGTAGTTTCTCAGCTTTCTGTTGGTTTTCTTGACTTGCCCCCAGCTTATGGTGGTTGATGTCATCGTGACTCCAGTTGGCCTTCTCTCTGTCTTTGCACTCAGGCTCAGCTGGCTCATGGCTTGTACAAGAGGGACTAGGCCCATGGTTGGCCACCCAGGGTTTCTCCAGTCTCCCATGGTCGCATGAACCTTGAGGGCACCCATACAGTTTGTCCATCTCCTGTAAAAACAAGCATACCCTCATCCCCACGTTAATAAATCCACCGGACCTTTCCATTATCCTTCTTCCGGGGATTTCCATACATTTTTGGATAAACATTTTTCTTTTCCTCTAACACTTTCCAATGTCTTTCTGCTGGAGTCTTACCATCCGTATCAGGAGTCAAAAAAATTAAAGTAAATAAGACTAAATATAGTTTTGTTTGAGGTGGTAAATGGTCTCCTATTCCTCCTTTCTGTTTATTCAACATACGTTTTAATGTTTGATGTGCCCGCTCTATAATGCCTTGTCCTCTAGGATTATAAGGAATTCCTGTTTTATGGGTTATAGCCCAAAGCTGTAAGAAATTTTGAAAAAACTAACTAGTATAAGCAAGTCCATTGTCAGTTTTTAATTGTTTAGGAATCCCCATGTGAGCAAATGATGACAGACAATGTCGCTGTACATGACCAGCTGTCTCAGCTGTTTGGCATGTATCATGCAGCATATGAGAATAACTGTCCATAGTCACATGAACATAGCTAAGCTTGCCAAAGGCTGCGATATGTGTAATATCCATTTTCCAGATTTCATTTGGAGCCAAATCTTGTGGGTTACAGCCTTCTACAGGTGTGGCTCCAGGGACTTGCTGGCAAGTAGAAGAGGCTTGTATTATAGCCCTAGCTTTGCTGCAAAACAAGTGAAACATGCGAGTAAGAGCAGAAGTATTTTGGTGCAGTAGCGCATGAGAGGCTTGAGCTTGCTGAAACACAGATCCAATCAATTTATCTGCTCTATCATTACCTAGAGATAGTGGTCCAGGAAGTTGTGTGAGAGTGAATATGAGAAATATGAAAAGGAGCTATGTAAGAGGGAATAGCTTGTTGAAGTCTTAGAAACAAGCAGTTCTGTTTCTAGGGTACATTTAATTGCAGCAGTTTCTATGCGACTGGCTACATTTAAAAAAAATCTGAATCACAGACAATGTTGATAGGATCTAAAGCTATGAGCTGTAAAACCTGAATGACTACAATTAACTCTGAGCTGAAACCCCAGAGGTCATTATTGTTTGAGTATGTTTAGGTCCATAAATAACTGCATGACCTTTGGAAGAGCCATCAGTAAAATAAGTCTGGCCACCTGAAATAGGCTTGTGATGAGTAATCACAGGAAGAATTAAAGAATGGACTTTATAAAACTGCAAAATTTTGTCTGAGGGTTAGTGGTTGTCTGTTATTCCCAAGAAGTTTGCAAAAGTGATTTGCCATGCAATTGACATTTCCCAAGCTGTGGCCTGTTGCTAAGTGTCTAAGGGAACAATAATTTTGTCTGGATCCTATCCCATAAGCATCTTTGACCTATGCTTATCTATTGTCACAATTTGTGTAATTAAAGAAAGATAGACTTGCAAGGTTTTGACTGTTTGATTAGGTAGAAAGAGCCATTCTATTACTGTTACAGATATGTCTAAGCATTGGCCTAGAAGTCCTGTTGGAGAGTGGGGGGTAGGAAGAACAAACTAAAGCAAAGGTTGGTGTGGCTGTAGCCATGAGGAATGTCGTTATTGAAACATCTGCTCTATAAGCTGTAACTCTGCTTTGGCCTCTTTGCTCAATTGCCACGGGGAATTTAATGAAGAATCTCCTTGCATGGTTTAACCTGTCTTTCCAGGTATTGATACCAGGTTAGAGTTTCCTTGTAGGAATTTCCCTAAACCTTTTCCACTCTAATATCCCATGTCTTCAACATTTTAAATCCTGGGTTATCAAAGTTTTTATTTGTAAGTCTCATATCCCATGCTGTACTTATATTTGCAATATAAGGCTAGAAAGTACATGATTATCCATCCAGACCAAGACAAGGTAAAATCTCAGCACTCTTTTGAACACGTTGAACTGCTCCTACTCCCACTAAGGATGTGGAGGTTAGTCTGAGAGGCCATGCTGGGGGACCAGTCCTTACAGGATATTACTGACACATCAGCTCCTGTGTCCATAAGCCCATAAAATTTCTTTCCTTTAATTCTTTTTTTTTTTTATTTTAAGATCGTGTTAGGAAGATTTGAAAAAAATCGTACAGTTTCCATATACCCTTCATTCAGTTTCCCCTATGTTAACATCTTACATAACCAATGCACTTATCTCTGAGAAACTACCATAGGCACAATGCTATTAAACTACAGATTTTTTTTATTATACTTTAAGTTTTAGGGTACATGCGCACAACATGCAGGTTAGTTACATATGTATACATGTGCCATGTTGGTGTGCTGCACCCGTCAACTCATCATTTAACATTAGGTATATCTCCTAATGCTATCCCTCCCCCCTCCCCCCACCCTGCCACAAGCCCCGGTGTGTGATGTTCCCCTTCCTCTGTCCATGTGTTCTCATTGTTCAATTCCCACCTATGAGTGAGAACATGCAGTGTTTGGTTTTCTGTCCTTGTGATAGTTTTCTGAGAATGATGGTTTCCAGCTTCATCCATATCCCTACAAAGGACGTGAACTCATCCTTTTTTATGGCTGCATAGTATTCCATGAAGTGTATGTGCCACATTTTCTTAATCCAGTCTATCATTGCTGGACATTTGGCTTGGTTCCAAGTCTTTGCTATCATGAATAGTGCCACAATAAACATACGTGTGCATGTGTCTTTATAGCAGCATGATTTATAATCCTTTGGGTATATACCCAGTAATGGGATTGCTGGGTCAAATGGTATTTCTAGTTCAAGATCCCTGAGGAATCGCCACACTGACTTCCACAATGGTTGAACTAGTTTACAGTCCCACCAACAGTGTAAAAGCATTCCTATTTCTCCACATCCTTTAATTCATACTACACAGATGGGTCTATTAGAGGCTATGAGTTGGGATATATAGATTTTTCATGTAGTTGTGCTCCAAACTCTTCATTTCCTCATTTCTCCTTTCATGGAGAAGGGTGTAATTTGCAGGGAATAAGCAATAGTTGAGCAATATATTCTTCCAGTTCAAAAACCTAAAGATTTTGTGACATTAAAGCTACATGAATTTCTCCTTCATAATCAGAGTCAGCTACTGCTGGGACTACAGTAATGTCTTGCAAGTTAAGGGGCTTTTGCCTGAAATTAGTCCTGCTGGTAAAGGTCCGCAAATGCCAGTGGGAACTTTGGTAGTTTTGTCTCTTCCAACTAATGTAATTCTTTCTCTGATTAGGAGATCTAATCTTGCATTTCCTGGTGTTCCTGGGGTGAGGGAATCAATGGTTCTCCTGGGACCCAATCCTGAAACAGGGTAGTGGCCTGGACTGGGAATGCCCTCATTATTTGTGGGGCCTGAGTCCAGGCCCCCTTCTCATTTCCCGACAGGGGGGTGCTATTTTGATGAAATTTTGAGCAGCATTGATTAGCCCAGTGATTTCGTTTGTTACAGCGAGGACAGAGTCCTGGTATTTTTTTCTGCTGTGGGGTGGAGGAACTACATAATAAAATCCTTGCTGTCCTCAGATCTTGTGGCATTCCTTTTTAAATGTCCAGTTTTTCCACAGTTATAACATTTTCCCATTTTAGAATTTGACCCTTGGCTCTTTTTAGATTTGTCAACTGCTAAATTAGTCATTGCTTGCACTCACATTGCAGAGTGATGAAGCTCAGTTCCTACATCCTGACAAGCTCTGAGAAAATTTCCTAAGTTTGTTGTACACCTCATTGGTGCCAGTGCACATTTACAATCCATGTTTGCATTCTCAAAAGCTAAAGTTAAGGTTAGCATTTCTGCATGAGTGGTATGAGGAATCTGAAGCTTCACTGCCTCTTGTAATCTTGTGAGAAAATGTGCATAGGGCTCCTATGACCCTTGCATGATACATACAAAGGAGTGTACTGGAACTCCCTCTTCTGGAATTGTGGCCCGGGCACATTTAGCAGTCTGTGCACAATGCTGATAAGCAGCATTTGGGATTGTCATTTGATGTTCTAGGTCTGAATAAGGGCCATTACCTAACAGCATATCCTCTGTAATGTCTTCCTGTCTGGCAGCACAATTCTGTCTAGCCTGGTCTGCACACATTTCTTGTCAATTTAAATTCCATGTCAGATATGCACTAGCAGACAAACAAGTTTGAGCAAATGTTTTACATCAAAGGGTAGAAGGCACATATCACCAAACACAGATTCTAGCAATTCTAAAGTGAATGGACTCTTTACTCCACTATTAACTATACTAGCTTTTAATCCCTTCAATAACTTAAACTCTAATGAGGTGTGTTTATAAGTATACTGCTGTGGATTATTTGGATCAGGCCTTACGGAAATAAGAAAAGCACAACATCCTAAGGGCTCTCCAGCTATGGCAGCAGAGCCTAAAATTCTTTGTATTGGTGTCCCTATTTTTGCTACCAAAGGAGGCGGTACAGATGTTTCTGCTATTGGAGGGGGAGGTATAGGCCAATTTTTATCCTCCCTTTTCTGTTTTTTTTTATTTTTATTTTCAATTGGTGCTGTTTAACAGCAGATTCTTTCAGATTTTTAGGCTCAGAACATGACTCCTGCTGTCCAGCAGAATAAGAAGGAGACAATGGCAGAAGGACAGTAGAAACTAAACTGCAAGTGGAGGAAACAGAAGGATCAACTTTAAGACCTTTTTGATGAGGCCATTTTAATCCTTCTCTTGCTCTGTCCTAATTTTCCACATCAAAACTGCCTGTCTGTGGAAACCATGGGTTATGCATAATAACCTCCTGCAGAAGCTTAGTTAGTGTCTGCAAATTAACCTGAGTTCCAGACTGTCTCAACAGAACTTGAAGCAACTGCACATAATGATTTTCTTCAACAGACTAATTATGCCCCATGTTACCCTGATTCAGAAAACTTCTCACTCCCAGTACTTCTTTCCAGCACTGACCTTATATCATTCCCAGTACCTCTTTAGGGCACTGAACAGTACTTCTTTAGGGCACTGTCCTTATATCTGCTGTTGGCAGACTCCTCCCGAGGTCCCCGTTCATCTTGTCAGTTTCACTTCCTCTGCTCCAACGGACCTTCTTCATTCGCGTCCTTGAAGTCCCTGTTCAGGCACCACTTTGACGCAGCCCCAATCCCTGTTGGACTGAACAAAGGGGGACGAGTGCAGGAATAAACATAAAGACAAAAGAGTATGTTTGGAAGAAGGGGTCAGGGGGCTCCTTGTTTCTAGTGAACATGGGCCCTGAGATTTTAGCTCCCTTTGTATTTATTGAGTAAAGGAGATAGGGAGAAGGGAGTGGTTGTCAGTCAGCTGCTTGATTTGGTGCAGGCTTGCATGACTGCACTCTCTGAACAGTAGTCTCCAGATGTTCCAGTAGATAACATCAAGGAGCATGGCACCAGGGAGTGATTGCACTCAGCATACCTTCTGGCGGCAGGAGCAGTCGTGAGTTTTCCCACATCCTGCATTCATGATAAACAGTTTGCTGTTTGATCATATAGCCTCCAGCAGAATGCTGAGTTGGTCATGACCCACAGGCCTTCAGCCCCCTACAGAGATACCTGCACTCCCATGTTTATTGCTACACTGTTCACAATACCCAAAATATTGAATCAACCTAAAGCCTATTAACAGGTCAATGGATAAATAAATGGTGATACATATATACACAATGGAATATTATTTAGCTTTAAAAATAATTAAATCCTGTCATGTCATGTGCAACAACGTAGATGGTACTGGAGGACATTATGTTAAGTGGAGTAAGCCAGACATAAAAACAAATATTGCCTGCACTCACTCATATATGGAAGCTAAATAAATAAACTCATGGAAATAGAATGATGGTTACCAGAGGCTGGGAAGTTTAATGAGGAAGAAAGGATTCAAATGGGATGTTTAATGGCTACAGAAATACAATTAGATAGAAGAAATAAGACCTAGGGTTTGGTAGGACAATAAGGTTACTGTAGTTAACAAAAATTTACTGGCTACAATTAGTCATTACTGGTAATGTTAGAAACAAAATGCTTGCTCCTCGATTGTGAGAAGTAAAATGCTTGTTCCTCAGTGCTGCAAAGAAATAGCACTCAAACACAAAATTTTTCAGCAAGGCAATTTTTACTTCTTTTTTTAATTAGTATTTATTTTCTTTTTTAATTTTTATATATATATTTTTTTTATTATACTTTAAGTTCTGGGGTACATGAGCACAACATGCAGGTTTGCTACATATGTATACATGTGCCATGTTGGTGTGCTGCATCAATTAACTTGTCATTTACATTAGGTATATCTCCTAATGCTATTCCTCCTCCCTCACCCCACCCCACCACAAGCCCTGGTGTGTGATGTTCCCCTTCCTGTGTCCAAGTGTTCTCATTGTTCAATTCCCACCTATGAGTGAGAACATGTGGTGTTTGGTTTTTTGTCCTTGCGATAGTTTGCTGAGAATGATGGCTTCCAGTTTCATCCATGTCCCTACAAAGGACATGAACTCATCATTTTTTATGGCGCATAGTATTCCATGGTGTATATGTGCCACATTTTCTTAATCCAGTCTATCATTGTTGGACATTTGGGTTGATTGCAAGTCTTTGCTATTGTGAGCAGTGCTGCAATAAATATACGTGTGCATGTGTCTTTATAGCAGCAGGATTTATAATCCTTTGGGTATATACCCAGTAATGGGATTGCTGGGTCAAATGGTATTTCTAGTTCTAGATCCCTGACGAATTTCCACACTGTCTTCCACAATGGTTGAAATAGTTCACAGTCCCACCAACCATGTAAAAGTGTTCCTATTTCTCCACATCCTCTCCAGCACCTGTTGTTTCCTGACTTTTTAATGATTGCCATTCTAACTGGTGTGAGATGATATCTCATTGTGGTTTTGATTTGCATTTCTCTGATGGCCAGTGATGGTGAGCATTTTTTCATGTGTCTTTTGGCTGCATAAATGTCTTCTTTTGAGAACTGTCTGTTCATATCCTTCACTCACTTTTTGATGGGGATGTTTGTTTTTTTCTTTGTAAATTTGTTTGAGTTCTTTGTAGATTCTAAATATTAGCCCTTTGTCAGATGAGTAGGTTGCAAAAATTTTCTCCCATTCTGTAGGTTGCCTGTTCACTCTGATAGTAGTTTGTTTTGCTGTGCAGAATCTCTTGAGTTTAATTAGATCCCATTTGTCAATTTTGGCTTTTGTTGTCATTGCTTTTGGTGTTTTAGATATGAAATCCTTGCCCATGCCTATGTCCTGAATGGTATTGCCTAGGTTTTCTTCTAGGGTTTTTATGGTTTTAGGTCTAATATTTAACTCTTTAATCCATCTTGAGTTAATTTTTGTATAAGGTGTAAGGAAGGCATCCAGTTTCAGCTTTTCACATATGGCTAGTCTGTTTTCCCAGCAACATTTGTTGAATAGGGAATCCTTTCCCCATTTCTTGTTTTTGTCAGGTTTCTCAAAGATCAGATAGTTGTAGATGTGTGGTATTAAT
Organism: Homo sapiens; assembly: GCF_000001405.40. NCBI lineage: Eukaryota > Metazoa > Chordata > Mammalia > Primates > Hominidae > Homo > Homo sapiens. The sequence goes on along the minus strand of NC_000001.11, from coordinate 102,831,331 downwards.
TCTGAGGGCTCTGTTCTGTGCCATTGGTCTATATCTGTGTTTTAGTATCAGTACCATGCTGTTTTGGTTACTGTAGCCTTGTAGTGTAGTTTGATGTCAGGTAGCGTGATGCCTCCAGCTTTGTTCTTTTGTCTTAAGATTGACTTGGCAATGCGGGCTCTTTTTTGGTTCCATATGAACTTTAAAGTAGTTTTTTCCAATTCTGTGAAGAAAGCCCTTGGTAACTTGTTGGGGATGGCATTGAATCTATAAATTACCTTGGGCAGTATGACCATTTTCATGATATTGATTCTTCGTATTCATGAGTATGGAATGTTCCTCCATTTGTTTGTATCCTCTTTTATTTCGTTGAGCAGTGCTTTGTAGTTCTCCTTGAAGAGGTCCTTCACATCCTTTGTAAGTTGGATTCCTAGGTATTTTATTCTCTTTGAAGCAATTGTGAATGGGAGTTCACTCATGATTTGGCTCTCTGTATGTCTGTTATTGGTGTATAAGAATGCTTGTGATTTTTGTACATTGATTTTGTATCCTGAGACTTTGCCGAAGTTGCCTATCAGCTTAAGGAGATTTTGGGCTGAAACGATGGGGTTTTCTAGAATACAATCATGTCATCTGCAAACAGGGACAATTTGACTTCCTCTTTTCCTAATTGAATACCCTTTATTTCCTTCTCCTGCGTGATTGCCCTCGCCAGAACTTCCAACACTATGTTGAATAGGAGTGGTGAGAGAGGGCATCCCTGTCTTGTGCCAGTTTTTAAAGGGAATGCTTCCAGTTTTCGCCCATTCAGTATGATATTGGCTGTGGGTTTGTCATAGATTGCTCTTATTATTTTGAGATATGTCCCATCAATACCTAATTTATTGAGAGTTTCTAGCATGAAGGGCTGTTGCATTCTATCAAAGGCCTTTTCTGCATCTATTGAGATAATCATATGGTTTTTGTCTTTGGTTCTGTTTATATGCTGGATTATGTTTATTTATTTGCATATGTTGAACCAGCCTTGCATCCCAGGGATGAAGCCCACTTGATCATGGTGGATAAGCTTTTTGATGTGCTGCTGGATTCAGTTTGCCAGCATTTTATTGAGAATTTTCGCATTGATGTTCATCAGGGATATTGGTCTGAAATTCTCTTTTTTTGTTGTGTCTCTGCCAGGCTTTGGTATCAGGATGATGCTGGCCTCAAAAAATGAGTTAAGGAGGATTCCCTCTTTTTCTATTGATTGGAATAGTTTCAGAAGGAATGGTACCAGCTTCTCCTTTTACCTCTTGTAGAATTCGGCTGTGAATCCATCTGGTCCTGGACTTTTTTTGGTTGGTAAGCTATTAATTATTGCCTCAATTTCAGAGCCTTTTATTGGTGTATTCAGAGATTCAACTTCTTCCTGGTTTAGTCTTGGGAGGGTGTATGTGTCGAGGAATTTATCCATTTCTTCTAGATTTTCTAGTTTATTTGCATAGAGGTGTTTATAGTATTTTCTGATGGTAGTTTGTATTTCTGTGGGATTGGTGGTGGTATGCCCTTTATCATGTTTTATTGCATCTTTTTGATTCTTCTCTCTTTTCTTTTTTATTACTCTTGCTAGCAGTCTATGAATTTTGTTGATCTTTTCAAAAAACCAGCTCCTGGATTCATTGATGTTTTTGAAGGGTTTTTTTTTGTGTCTCTATCTCCTTCAGTTCAGCTCTGATCTTAGTTATTTCTTGCCTTCTGCTAGCTTTTGAATGTGTTTGCTCTTGCTTCTCTAGTTCTTTTAATTGTGATGTTAGGGTGTCAATTTTAGATATTTCCTGCTTTCTCTTGTGGGCATTTAGTGCTATAAATTTCCGTCTACACACTGCTTTAAATGTGTCCCAGAGATTCTGGTATGTTGTGTCTTTGTTCTCATTGGTTTCAAAGAACATCTTTATTTCTGCCTTCATTTTGTTATTTACCCAATATTCACTCAGGAGCAGGTTGTTCAGCTTCCATGTTGTTGAGTGGTTTTGAGTGAGTTTCTTAATCCTGAGTTGTAGTTTGATTGCACGATTGCACTGTGGTCTGAAGGACAGTTTGTTATCATTCCTGTTCTTTTACATTTGCTGAGGAGTGCTTTACTTCCAACTATGTGGTCAGTTTTGGAATAAGTGCAGTGTGGTGCTGAGAAGAATGTATATTCTGTTGATTTGGGGTGGAGAGTTCTATAAATGTCTATTAGGTGTGCTTGATGCAGAGCTGAATTCAATTCCTGGATATCCTTGTTAACTTTCTGTCTCGTTGATCTGTCTAATGTTGACAGTGGGGTGTTAAAGTCTCCCATTATTATTGTGTGGGAGTCTAAGTCTCTTTGTAGGTCACTAAGGACTTGCTTTATGAATGTGGGTGCTCCTGTATTCGGTGCATATATATATTTAGGATAGTTAGCTCTTCTTGTTGAATTGATCCCTTTACCATTATGGAATGGCCTTCTTTGTCTCTTTTGATCTTTGTTGGTTTAAAGTCTGTTTTATCAGAGACTAGGATTGCAACCCCTGCCTTTTTTTGATTTCCATTTTCTTGGTAGATCTTCCTCCATCCCTTTATTTTGAGCCTACGTGTGTGTCTGCACGTGAGATGGGTTTCCTCAATACAGCACACTGATGGGTCTTGACTCTTTATGCAGTTTGCCACTGTGTGTCTTTTAATTGGAGCATTTAGCCCATTTACATTTAAGGTTAATATTGTTATGGGTGAATTTGATCCTGTCATTATGATATTAACTGGTTATTTTGCTCATTAGTTGATGCAGTTTCTTCCTAGCATTGATGGTCTTTACAATTTGGCATGTTTTTGCAGTGGCTTATACCAGTTGTTCCTTTCCATGTTTAGTGCTTCCTTCAGGAGCTCTTGTAGGGCAGGCGTGGGGGTGTCAAAAATGTCTCAGCATTTGCCTGTCTGTAAAGTATTTTATTTCTCCTTCACTTATGACGCTTATTTTGGCTGGATATGAAATTCTGGGTAGAAAATTCTTTTCTTTAAGAATGTTGAATATTGGCCCCCTTTCTCTCCCGGTTTTTGGAGCTTCTGCTGAGAGATCAGCTGTTAGTCTGATGGGCTTCCCTTTGGGGGTAACCTGACCTTTCTCTCTGGCTGCCCTTAACATTTTTTCCTTCATTTCAACTTTGGTGAATCTGACAATTGTGTGTCTTGGAGTTGCTCTTCTCAAGGAGTATTTTTGTGGTGTTCTCTGTGTTTCCTGAATTTGAATGTTTGCCTCCCTTGCTAGGTTGGGGAAGTTCTCCTGGATAATATCCTGCAGAGTGTTTTCCTACTTGGTTCCATTCTCCCCGTCACTTTCAGGTACACCAATCAGACATAGATTTGGTCTTTTCACTTAGTCCCATATTTCTTGGAGGCTTCGTTTGTTTCTTTTCATTCTTTTTTCTCTAAACTTCTCTTCTCACTTCATTTCATTCATTTGCTCTTCAATCACTGAAACCCTTTCTTCCAGTTGATCGAATAGGCTACTGAAGCTTGTGCATTCATCACATAGTTCTTGTTCCATGTTTTTCAGCTCCATCAGGTCCTTTAAGGACTTCTCTGCATTGGTTATTCTAGTTAGCCATTTGTCTATTCTTTTTTCAAGGTTTTTAACTTCTTTGCCATGGGTTCGAACTTCCTCCTTTAGCTCGGAGAAGTTTGGTCATCTGAAGCCTTCTTCTCTCAACTTGTCAAAGTCATTCTCCATCCAGCTTTCTTCCATTGCTGGTGAGGAGTTTCATTCCTTTGGAGGAGGAGAGATGCTCTGATTTTTAGAATTTTAAGTTTTTCTGTTCTGTTTTTCCCCCATCTTTGTGGTTTTATCTACCTTTGGTCTTTGATGATGGTGACGTACAGATGCGTTTTTGGTGTGGATGTCCTTTCTGTATGTTAGTTTTCCTTCTAACAATCAGGACCCTCAGCTGCAGGTCTGTTGGAGTTTGCTGGAGGTGCACTCCAGACCCTGTTTGCCTGGGTATCAGCAGCGGAGGCTGCAGAACAGTGAATATTGCTGAACAGCAAATGTTGCTGTCTGATCATTCCTCTGGAGGTTTCATGTCAGAGGGGTACCTGGCCATGTGAGGTGTCGGTCTGCACCTACTGGGGGTGCCTCCCAGTTAGGCTACTCAGGGGTCAGGGACCCACTTGAAGAGGCAGTCTTTCCGTTCTCAGATCTCAAACTCCATGCTGGGAGAACCACTAGTCTCTTCAAAGCTGTCAGACAGTGACATTTACGTCTGCAGAGGTTTCTGCTGCCTTTTGTTTGGCTATGCCCTGCCTCCAGAGGTGGAGTCTACAGAGGCAGGCAGGCCTCCTTGAGCTGCGTTGGGCTCCACCGAGTTCGAGCTTCCTGGCCACTTTGTTTACCTACTCAAGCCTCAGCAATGGCGGGCGACCCTCCCCCAGCCTCCCTGCAGCCTTGCAGTTCGATCTCAGACTGCAGTTCTAGCAATGAGCGAGGCTTCATGGGCGTGGGACCATCCAAGCCAGGTGCAGGATATAATCTGGTGTGCCATTTGCTAAGACCACTGGAAAAGCACAATATTAGGGTGTGAGTGACTTGATTTTCCAGGTGCTGTCTGTCACAGATTTGCTTGGCTATGAAAGGGAATTCCCTGACCCCTTGCACTTCCCAGGTGAGGCAATGCCTCGCCCTGCTTTGGCTCACGCTCGGTGCACTGCACCCACCATCCTGCACCCACTGTCCGACAAGACCCAGTGAAATGAACCTGGTACCTCAGTTGGAAATGCAGAAATCACCCGTCTTCTTCATCGCTCACGCTGGGAACTTTAGACTGGAGCTGTTCCTATTCAGCCATCTTGGAACCCCCTCCCATCAATTTTTACTTCTATAGAAGGGTGTGACTCACGAATGGAGTAATGGTGAGAGCACACCTGAACAAAGGAGGGGAAGGGGTTCATATTCCTGCATCATAGGGTCATTTCCTTATTGGCTAGGGTTGGACCACACAGTCTAAGCTAATTCCAATTGGATATTTTAAAGAGGACAGGGGTATGAGCCAGAGTGGTGGGGTGAATAGTTTGGCGGGAAAGACGGTTAGGAACAGGTAACTAAAGGTGACTTAGGTCAGAGCAGGTGACCAGGGGTGGCTCAGTTCAAAACAGATGACCGGGATGAGTCAGGACGGAGGAGATGCCCAGGGGAACAGATGTGAACTACTGATTAAAACTGGCTGTTTACTGAAACTTCGAGGAAGTTAAACTTTAAAATAGAGGACAAAGAACTGAACATACTGACATACTGATTCTTTGAAGACAAATCTAGAACTCATTGTATCCAACAGTAACAATAATTTACTAGCTAACAATATTGGTAGCACAATAAGGTGACTATCATTAAAAATAATTTTGTATATTTCAAAATAACTAAAATGGTGAAATTGGAATATTCTAATACAAAAAAGATAAATGTTTGAAATGTGTATATCCCCATTGCTCTGATTTTTTTGTTTGTTTTTTGAGACAGAGTCTCACTCTGTTGCCCGGGCTGGAGTACAGTGGTGAGACTTGGCTCACTACAGCCTTGACCTTCAGGTTTTAAGTGATCCTCCCATCTCTCAGCCTCCCAAGTAGCTGGGACTATAGATGAACACTGTGACACCTGGTTAATTTTTACATTTTTTGTAGAGATGGGCTCTCGCCATATTGCCCAGGCTGGTCTCAAATTCCTTGGGCTCAAGTGATCTGCATGCTTCAGTCTCCCAAAGTGCTAAGATTATAGGCATGAGCACCACACCTGGCCCCAATTACTCTGAATTGATCTTTACATATCCTATCAAAATTGTACATGTGTCCCATAAATATATACAACTATTATGTAGCCATAATTAAACAATTTTTAAAAATAAAAAAAGAACAAGTATATTTTATAAAAGTTAAAAACCTTTGATCTGTGAAAAATCTCATAAAGAGAATGAAAAGACAAGTCACAAAGTGGGAGAATAAAGAGACAAGTCATATGTTCAACAAAGACTAGTATCTAGGATATGTAAAGCACTCTCAAAACTCAATAGTGATAAAATGAACAATCCAATTCAAAAATGGCAAAATACATGAAGAGATATTTCACTGCAGATGTTACGCATGTGAAAATGAGCACTTATACTGTGTTCAACACTGTTAGCCATTGGTGAAATGCAAATACACACCATAATGAGCTATTACTACATACTCATCAAAATGAAAAATAAAATAAAATAACGTCACCAAATACTGGTAAGAAATCACAGTAACTGAATGACTCATACATTATTGGTGTGAAGGTAAAATTTCACAGTCACTCTGGAAAACAGTTTGTCAGTTTCTCAAACAAAAATTAAACATGCAACTACCATAAAACCCAGAAACTGCATACCTAGGTGTTTATTCCAGAATACTTAAGACTTGTTTTCACACAAAAACCTGAAGACTAATGTTTATAGAAGATGTTTTCATGATAGGCAAACACTGCAAACAACTCAGATGTCCTTCAATGGGTAAATGTTTAAACAAACTGTAATACTTCCACACCCTGGAATACTATTATGATAAACAAAACAACCTGGATAAATATTCAGATAATTATGCTGAGTGAAAAAAATCAGTTTCAGAGTTTATACACTATATGTCTCCATTTATATATCAGACTTGTAATGACATAATATAGGTCAGTGATTGCCGGGAATTAAGTAAGGAATCAGAGTGGGAAGAAATTGTATGTGCCTATGAAAGAGAAACATGACCGACCCTGGTGATGGCAATGTTATGTATCTAGACTGCTTTAATGTTAATATCCTGCTTGTAATGTTGAGCTATGATTTTCCAAACTGATACTATTTGGGAAAACTAGTTAAAGGGTATGCAGGCTTTCACTTTATTTTTTCCTAAGCTGTATATGTATCTACATTTTTAGCACAATAAAAAATTTTAAAATTAAAATTTCAAATTTTCGATAAGAAGCATAATACTGAAAATAAGATACTTATGTACTCCAAATTTAACACATATTGCTATCACTTCATACAACAGAGAAATGATAAGCTATACAGAAATATTCATATCCCATCTTCCTATGTCTCTTCCTAAGTTCCTTGTACATATGGGTGTACATTTGTTTACAAGCATAGATAATAACTACAAACTATAAATAACATTGCTTAATCAATTTTGATTAGGTGCAATATGCAAACAATAAAATTATTCAATTTAAATGTAAAGCTTCATGAGCTTGAGATAAATAAACCTATGTAATTTCCACCCCAATCAAGATATAGAACATATCTATGATCTCAATTTTTTTTTTGCCCCTTTGCAATCCATGTTCTTTAACTCTGGCTCCACAAATCCTGTGTAATTTTGAGTATCATAAATATTTACATAAACTTACCATACAATATATTTTTGAAACTCAGCTAACACCAGAACTACCACTTTTCTCTTCGTGTCTGATGTCGCTCAATCTCTCTTTCTCACTTTTTCAATATGGCTGTGTACTTGTGACTTCCTGAAAAGCTTCCTGACATTGGAGGAAAAGATTTCACTTTTTCTTGAAGGAATTTTAACACAAGCATTTTAATTAGAAGTGCAGAAAATATTTATCTGTGGAAAAGAGAAAACAGCTCACAAGTTGGGATACTAGGAGAGCAGAGTCTTTCCGTAAGTTCTTGTTTAAAGGCCTGGAGCTGGAAATCTGGGATGAAACAGTGTTGAGAGAGCATGTTGTCAAATTTATGGTAAAAATATTGAGATAATTAGAACAAACCAAGGAGCTCCACTTTTACCTGTCTGTCACTGGGTCATTGTTGCCCAGGGCATTCTGGCAGCAGAATGAAAGTGAAGATAATATAGTAAATAGAGTGAGATCTTTGCCAAACCCATAGGAATCCTACAAAGGGAAGAAAAAGAAAGGCCTTATTTGGCCAGGTGCAGTGACTCATGCCTGTAATCCCAGCACTTTGGGATGCCAAGGCAGGCGGATCATGAGGTCAGGAAATCGAGACCATCCTGGCTAACACGGTGAAACCCCGTCTCTACTAAAAATATAAAAAATTAGCCAGGTGTGGTGGCGGGTGCCTGTAGTCCTAGCTACTGGGGAGGCTGAGACAGGAGAATGGCGTGAACCCTGGAGGCGGAGCTTGCAGTGAGCTCTGATGGCGCCACTGCACTCCAGCCCTGGCTACAGAGCGAGATTCCATCTCAAAAAACAAAACAAATCAAAACAAAAAAACAAACAAAAGGCCTTGTTTTGCTCTGCTGTTAATGGACAGAGTAATTGTAAGTCTTACTGGGGTGATAGAGACTGGAGGTAGACCCCTCTCTTGATTACCACAACCAATCTTACATATTATGACATAAGAAAATGCTGATAGTTAAATACATTAGCCAAGAATGTACAATCATTAAGGTAAAAAATCCCTGGAAGATGACCTGGTTCCTGCTTCTCTTCCTCAGTTGAGAGATTCAGTGTGGATAGAGTAAAGAGGATAAAGGAGAAATTAGGAAAGCAAAATGACACTTCTACCAAAGTAGTTCTGCCTTCCAAGATAACATAAATCACTGGAAAGAATTCCTCTCTAGGTACTTTAAACCAAGGGGAATCAAATAAATGCCCTTTTCAGTAATGGAGGGGATTCTATTGTAAAAGTTTTTTCTTCATTAAACTCTTATGGAAAATTGGCCAAGAAAGAGACTTGCTATAAGTTAAAGTTTAAAAGTTAGAACTTAAAAAAAAAATAGCCTTGCTAAACTGATTTTCTTGTAGAGAAAGGCTTTGGCCTTTAGGCTTCATAGTTTATGAACCTGTACTGAGATAAAATGGGGCAACACATGAATTTAGAAATTTCATGGGTTATTTAAGCTGGAAGCATAGCTTTTCTACTAGTGCAATATAAGATAATATATTTTTTATATTCATCCTAAAAATTGGTAGGTGGATCTGACCTATATAGAATAAATTTATGGAACAATAGAGAAATGTGGCAGTGAGAATTCTGAGTCCCCTTTACCTTCACCCCTGGTGTTATGTAAGTGTAATCCCATCCTTTGTGTGTGGCAGCAGCCTCTGTTTTGCTTGTAAATGTTACAATATGGCAAAAGTAATAGGATATCACTCACTTGATTGGACACTTTATATGGCAAAGATGGTAAGATGTGTCTCCCATGATTACGTTATATTATATAAAATTTCATTTTAGCAGACTGGCAAGCAAGAGATTCTTCTGCTGCTCTTTAAGAAGCAAACAAGTATGTAGTGAACTGCTTATGAGACAGGACTACACTCATAGAACTGCAAGGAAATGAATTCTTCCAATTTGAATGAACTTGAAAGTAGAGTCTTCCTAGTCAGTCCTCCAGATAAGGATGCAGTCTACTTATCACCTTAATTGCAGCACATGAGACCCTAAGCGGAAGATCTAGTTAAGTTATGCTTAGACTTCTGAATCACTGGCATTGTGAGGTAGTAAATGTATGTTAATTTAAGCTGCTCAGTTTGTGATAATGAGATCTAGGATGAGTCATCTTAGAAATTCAATTGCTGAGAATTCAGGCTGATAAAATTAAAGTATTTGCATTAAATGGCTTATTTTAAATCACTTTTCTTTTATAGCATAAAATAGCAATAGATGATTTGTTAAGAAGGAGTAGTGATCCACTAAAGAGGAGAAGAAAATATTGGCAGGTCAATATAATGTGAACAATATCTGAACAATGATTATCAAGCAGTTTTCCCTTAATGCTGAAAGAAAAGATGATTACTGGATATAAAAAATGTTTAATAGAAAAAATGAATTTTAGTATTTGATAGTATAGTAATAAAATTATAGTTAAAAATAATTTACTGCACATTTCAAAATAGCTAGAAGAGAAAAATTGTAATATTCCCAACACAAAGGAAAGATAAATATTTGAGATGATGGATATCCCAACCCTCAATTTTCTCATTATACATTTTACACATGTATCAAAATGTCACATATATCCAAAAATATGTACAACTACGATGTATCAGTTAAAAACCAAAAAAATGTTAAAAGCATTGAAATCAATTTTTCATTCATATTTTCATCACAAGATCACAGCTCCTGAGGCTTCTGAATTACTGAGATCCAAATAGACTACCTTCCACATTTTCTAACAAAAAGATGACTTTATGGATTTACAGTTGAAATTTGCTATATTTACTGTTTGAGAAACTGTATATATGTCAATATTTTTAGTAAGATGATGGAGATATGTTGCATAACTAAGAAAATTATAGTATACAAAAAATCTTTTAAAATGGAGTAGGGAAAAACAATTTTGTTAAATGTGATTGTTTTCTAATAACTAATCTTTTTATGAATGATCATAGTCTTTTATCTATATGGTGATCCTTCCATTACAAAGACGCAAAATTGAAGGTTGTCAGCCAACCATATTTCATTTCATTCAAATTTTGACGTTTTACACCAAATGAAGTGCTTGCAGAATTGTAACATGCTAAATCTGATTGGGCTTTTATATGAGTTTGTATAAGGAACAGGACCACTTGTAAGTCACATAAAGGTTGTTTTATACAAACTTTTGGGATGAATTTAAAATTTTATATGACATAATTTTTATTATTCTAAATTTTTCCTTTTAAAGTTTTCTAATACTCTGATTTGGGAAAATTGGCTTGTGAAAAATTGAGGTAATATCATTAAACATAAGGATACTGTAAAACAGTAAAATGGCTAGTGATACAACAATGAGCAATGACTTTAAGGAAAAACTATTGCAATGTAGAAAATAGGTATGAATTAAAATAGAGTGTACTTCAAACTGAGGCAGGTAGAGGAGAGTTTTATACAAAATTTGCAATTTGTTTATTAAGTATTTGATGACTATTACACCAGATGTTTTAATTAGTAGAGAAAAATGATTTTGGTGGGAGGAAGAGTAAGATTTCTTTTCCTTCATTTTCAAAGTACTAGGGTATCATCATGTTCTGCAAACTCTGGAGCCAGTTGACAAACAGATGGGTTAGACTTCAAATTAAAAAAAAAAAAGGGGGGGCAACCGCAGACGTCAATATCTTGAGAGTCAAAGTTGTAATTTAAAAATACTTATTTTTAAAACATACAGGTAGCTGCAGATGTTAAAATTATTGACAAAATTGAGGTTTGTAACTGTGCACATGAGAGTAGAATAAAACAGAGCCTGATGTCTGATGTGATAAATATAAATCAAATATAAATCACATTTATTAACAATAATTCATGTTCTAAAAATTGGATTTTTTTTCCATCTGAGATAATATCATTAGAAAAGGTATCTTCTACTTGAGTTGGAAAAACAGTAGGTGGAATTCAATACCAGAGAAGCAGCAAAGAAAGGACGGGCAGCAGGATAGCAGTTTATTGAAGGGAGGATCTGAAAATAGCAACAGAAACAAGAATGGCCCACAACACAACATGAATGTGCAACAAGAGATGTTTCCAAATCCAAAGACCAAAGCTTCAACAGCGTGAGAGGAGGCATTCAGATACTTCTTCACTGCTTGCTCTACAGAATTAACTTTGGGAGAGCACAATGAACATTGTGACATTTATGGCATTGGCGAAAACTGGTGAAGGAACCCCTATGGGTGAAGGAAGAATATAAGGTGGAACAGTGCTACAGTTGGAGTGCAGGTAAAGACATTGAGCAGGCCAAACTAGTGAGACCTAGGGACACAGTGTCTACTTTTGACTGAGGCTTAATAGGAACAGCAGAGAATGTCCCTTCTACACTCTGCCACCAGATTAAAAATTAATGAGTATCAGGTAACAGAATAAACTCTTAGAAGAAGACCAGCATAAGAACAAAACCCTGGAGAATAAACCTTTCTAAGGCACACAGCAAGGATCTAAAGCTAAGAGTGATGCAGAGATGATAAAACCATCCCTTAACGTATATATGTTATCACTAGAAGAATTTGATAGCTCTGCTGTGCTGAGGGTAACAATAGCAAAAATATAATCCTAACCAAGTGCAACTCCTGGCCTCATACTAGCAGAAGATCTATCAGAAGGAGAGGCATGGCGATTATTTCTAACTCACCCTCCACAAGTCCCACAAGCAAGTTATTTAGTTCTGTTTCTACTGTCATATATGAGATGTTGGGCTTCCTTCAGTAAAATATTACAAGATTCATAAAAAACAAGAAATACAAAAACACTGCCAGCTGTTTGTGCCAAGACACAAAAATAATCAACAGAACCAAGCAGGTATATGACACTGATGTTGGAAGGCTAAGTAGAACGTTAAAATACATATAATACCTATAATAAAGGTCTTAATAGAAAAAGTGGACTGTGCAATTTTAGATGAGTAATTTTAGCAGGGAAATGGAATATATAAGAAAGAAACAAATGAGAATGCTAGAAACAAATAAAAAGTAGTGACAAATATCAGAAATGACTTCAACAGGCTCTTTTGTAAACTCAACAGAAAAATTTAAGGATTCAGTGAGCTTGAAGATAGGTTTTTTTAAAAAAGTGAGAAAATAGAACAGAGGATCCAAAGGCAGTGGGACAATATCAAATGGTCTAATAAACATATTCTTAGAATTCCAGAAAATAAAGAAAGGAAGAATGGGGAGAAGAAATATTTAAGAGAATAATGGCCGCAATTTTTCCAAAACTAGTGAAAGATATTAGACATACACATAGGCCTATCATATTCAAACTGTTGAAAATAAATGAAAATGATAAAACATACAGGCAGCTACAAAAAAAAGATACAAATCATTGAGATGATCAAAGAGAAGAATTGCAACAGAAATCTCATCTGAAATTATGCAAACCAGGACACAGTAGTTTGGTGTCTTTGAAGCACTGAAACAAAACAAAACAAAAACAAACCTGCAGAAAACATTCTATATCCCTTACTTTTCAAAGTGAAGGAGAAATAGCTACTTACACACACACATAACCTGTGATGATTTACTAGCCAGTAGACCTGCGCTACAGAGGCATTAGGTAATTTCTTCAGGCAGAAAGAAGATGATGCCAGACAGAAACTTGGATATACAAGAAAGAAGAAAAATTGATGGATATAAAGTAAATAAAGACAAGCATAAAATCCAGTTTCTTTTAAAATTTAATTGCTCTAAAATACCTATTTTATTTTATTGTACTTTATGAAACAGGCTATAGCTCTGTTGCCTAGGCTGGAATACAGCAGTGTAATCAGCTCACTACAGCTTCAAATTCCTGGGCTCTGCCTCCTGAGTAGCTGAGACTATAGGCATGCTACAACTCCAGGGTATAAAGTAACCCTTTATAAAGCAAAATATTGAGATTTTGTAACATATATGATATAATATATAAACATAATGTTATATATATAAAATTTTTTGAGGTGAAGTCTCATTCTGTTGCCCAAGCTTGAGTGCAGTGACATGATCTCAGCTCACTGCAACCTCTGCCTCCCAGGTTCAAGCAAATCTCCTGCCTCAGCCTCCAGAGTAGCTAAGATTATAGGCAAATGTCACCACGCCTGACTAATTTTTGTATTTTTAGCATAGACAGTGTTTTACCATGTTGTCCAGGTTGTTCTTGAACTCCTGACCTCAGGTGATCTGCTCTCCTCAGCCTCATAAAGTGCTGGAATTACAGGCATAAGCCACCATGCCCAGCCCACAATGTAATATATATTTAAAGCATCTGTTACAGTAAAATATATAACCGCGGTGCCACAAGGATGGAAGGGAATAATTGGTATATTCAGTTCTGAGCAGTTTACTCTACAAATCAAGAGTATAATGTTATTTATAAGTAAAGAGTGACTTATTAAAGATGTATATTTTAAATCCTAGGACAACCAATAAATTTTTTAAGGTAAGAAATAATAAGTCAGTAGTAGAGACAAAATAGAATTTTTTAAGAACTCAGCTGAGGAGAAGGCATTAATTCTGTGTTATATGCATTTATTTATTTAGCTTTCTACATTTATTTCAGCTTATAGGAACACAGTTTTGCAATGATTTATTTCTTAATGTTTTTCTAAATGCCTTTCTCCATAAATTATAAGTTGTATGAGAGCTGGAGCCATATATGTTTTTGTGCCTCATTGTATCACAACACCCTAGACTGTACAATAGGTTAATTAAGTATTTGTTGAATAAGTGAATAAAATCTAACTGCCTTTGGAAGCAGTTTTCTCTCTCTCCAATGCCTTCGGTCCATTTCACCGGCTGGAAAAGGGTTCCTAAGCTTTCAAGACACTCTTCACTAGCTCCTTTTGTGTCTGCAACTGCCCATGCATACAACACTCTTACTTAGAACTCACTGTATTAGTTTGCTAGGGCTGTCATAATAAACTACCACAGACTAGGTGGCTTAAACAACATAAACTTATTTTCTCATAGTTCTGGAGGCTTAACTCAAGGTCTCAGTATCTGAAATCAGTGTCCACAGGTTTGGTTTTTCTGAGACCTCTTCTGTTGGCTTGTAGATGACCACCTTCTCTCTGTGTCCTTACATAGTCTTTCCTCTGTCTGTCCACATCCCTGTTATCTCTCTGTGTACTCAAATTTCTTTCTTTTTTTTTTTTATAAGGACAGCAAGTAGATTGGATTTGGGCCCACCTTAATAACCTCATTTTGAATTAATCACCTCTTTGAAGGCCCTATTGTAAAAGACAGTCACATTTTGAGGTGTTAGAGATTAGAGCTTAAACATGTATATTTTAAAGGGATGCAGTTCATTCCATAATGCTTTTTGTCAGTACTGAACAAAACAATGGTGGAAGATAGGGTGGCCTAATTGTGAGCAAAAAAGTGGTCTCTAACTTAATGGAGTTTGATATAGTTTATTGAGGTGATAATTAGGTAATCTAGTATAGTCATGTGTGGCTTAACAACGTAGTTACTTTTTGAAAACATTAATTTCACCATTGTATATACTTATAAAATCTTAGATGGTATAGACTTCACACCAAAACTATATAATATGGCCTATTCCTTTAAGCTGCAAACCTGTACAGTATGTTATTTTACTGAATCCTGTAGACAATTGTAAAACAATGGTAAGTATTTGTGTATCTAAACACAAAAGTACAGTAAAAATACAGTATTATAATCTTATGGGAAAACTATCACATATGAAGTCTGTCATTGGCTGAATTGTTATTATGTGGCATAAAACTGTATTTGCAATACAGTGATAATAGTGCAAACAGAGTTAAAATCTTCTGATGACATCCAAGATATGAAGAGACAGAAAACAATTATTTCGAATGACTATAACCTTTTTCTAAATGTTAGGCAATCACAGTTAGAAATTCTACTTGTTGGAAAGTATATAACTTCATATTTTAATTTCCCTGTTTTGTTTTTTAGCAACAGATATTGCCTAGTTTTATGGAAAAATGATTAAATAGCATTTGCAAAATTAAGTACATAATGAGTTTTTCATGTGCTCATTTGGTAGGTTTAGTTTAATTTGTAATTACTGTGTACACAAGTATACTTTGTAGAAGCAGTTGAGATTTGATGTTACACATTAGTTATAATTATTATGGTAAAAGTAGCTACAAAAAGAGTTATAGAGGCATAAGTCTTTCTTGAAATCATGCTAAGGATTCCAGCATATGTATGGATAATTGGTGTAATCATGTATTTAAAAAATACTTTATCACTTAATATTTCCTATGTTGGAAAGAACAACACTACATACACTGCTGGACTATTGGAGGGGAGGACTTCTTCCTTTTACCCCTCTTCTCAGTTTTTGAGGTACATAAACAATGATATATGAAACTTCTAGATTGCTAGTGCATTCTAGGTTCCAGTTCTACACAGGACTAAAAATACCCTTTAAGTGAAGTCTAAGTCATAAGGGTGACTCTCAGAAAAATACAAAACAAAATAGAAAGAAATAAAGGTGAATCAATAAAAAGGAAGTCAAACTGTCACTGTCTGCTGATGATATGATCGTGCACCTAGAAAATCCTAAAGACTCCTCCAAAAAGCTCCTAGGACTGATAAGCAAATTCAGCAAAGTTTCCAGATAGAAAATGAATGTACACAGATCAGTAGATCTGCTATACACCAACAGCGACCAACCTGATAATCAAATCAAGAACAAAACCCCGTTTACAATAGCTGTAAAAAAATAAAATAAAATAAAACACTTAGGAATATACCTAACCAAGGAGGTGAAAGACCTCTACAAGGAAAACTACATAACACTTCTGAAAGACATCATAGATGACACAAACAAATAGAAACACATCCCATGCTCACAGATTGGTAGAATCAATATTGTGAAAAATGATTATAGTGCCAAGAGCAATCTACAATTTCAATGCAATTCCCATCAAAACAGCACCATTATTCTTCACTGAACTAGAAAAAACAATCCTAAAATTCACATGGAACAAAAAAAGAATCCGATGGCCAGTGTAAGGCTAAGTAAAAAGAACGAATTTGGAGGCATCACATTAGCTGATTTCAAACTATACTATAAGGCTATAGTCACCAAAACAGCGTGGTACTGGAATAAAAATAGGCACATAGACCAATGGAACACAGTAGAGAACCCAGAAATAAACCCAAATATTTACCACCAACTGACCTTCAACAAAGCAAACAAAAACATAAAATGGGGAAAGGAGACCATATTCAACAAATGGTGCTGGGATAATTGGCAGATCATATGTAGGAGAAAGAAACTGGATTCTCATCTCTAATCTTATACAAAAATCAACTCAAGATGGATCAAGGACTTACATCTAAGACCTGAAACTACAACAATTCTAGAAGATGACATTGGAAAAACACTTCTAGACATTGGCTTAGGCAAAGATTTCATGACCAAAAACCCAAAAGCAAATGCAATAAAAACAAAGATAAATATGTGGTACTTCATTAAACTAAAATGCTTTTGCCTGGCAAAACAACAGTCAGCAGAGTAAACAGACAATCCACAGAGTGGGAGAAAATTTTCACAATCTATACATACAGCAAAGAACTAATATCCAGAATCTACAATAAACTAAAACAAATTAACAGGAAAAAAAGAAACAATCTCATCAAAAAGTGGGCTAAGGACATGAATAGACAATTCTCAAAAGAATGTATACAAATAGCCAACAAACCTATGAAAAAATGTTCAACTTCACTAAAGATCAGGGAAATGCAAATCAAAACCACAATGGAATACCACGTTACTCTCACAAGAATGGCCATAATCAAAAAATAAAAAAAAAATAGATATTGGCATGGATGTGGTGAAAAGGGAACACTTCTACACTGCTGGTGGAAATGTAAACTAGTACAACCACTGTGGAAAAGAGTGTGGAGAATCCTTGAAGAACTAAAAGGAGAACTAACATTTGATCCAGCAGTCCCACTACTGGGTATCTACCCAGGGGAAAATAAGTCATTATATGAAAAAGGTACTTGCAAATGCATTTTTGTAGCAGCACAATTCGAAATTGCAAAAATGTGGAACCAGCCAAATGCCCATGAATCAATGAATGGATAAAGAAACTGTGGTATATGTATATGATGGAATACTACTCAGCCATAAAAAGAAATGACTTAATGGCATTCACAGCAATCTGGATAGGGTTGGAGTCTATTATTCTAAGTGAAGTGATTCAGGAATGGAAAACCAAACATTATATGTTCTCAGTCATAAGTGGGAGCTAAGCTATGAGGATATAAAGGCATAAGAATGATACAATGGACTTTGGAGATCCAGGGGCAAAAGTGGGAAGAGGGTGAGGAATAAAAGACTACAAATTGGGTTCAGTGTATACTGCTCGGGCTTTGGGTGCACCAAAATCTAACTCATGTAACTGAATACCACCTGTTACCTAAAAACCTATGGAAATATTTTTTTAAAAGGGAGAAATGAACAAATTTTGATTTAGTGCTATGGAAAAAACTGTTATTTTTACTTTCGAACAACCTTTTCTAGTCAACAATAAACTTAAGGGATCACATGAAGTTCCATGAATAGCAACTAAAGTATAACATTGTTATGATTTTTTTCTTAATGTTTAGAATACATTACTTACATATCTCATTTGTTGGAAGGATTGTAATTTTCTATTTATTTCCTCTAATAGGATTAAGCTTGCGGAGATTTTGATTATTTTCTTATGCCAGTTTTTGTAGAATGCATTTATCAATAAATTTAGTTTTTTTGAATTATCAAATTTAGTAGCACAAATTTGTTCATAATATCCTCTCAGAATTGTTGAAGCTTTAAGTAAAAAAAACTAACAAGATATTACAAGGAAAAAACACTAGGGGTCTATATCTATCATGAAAATAGATTAGTACTAAAATATATTAACAGAATAAATCTAATGATATTTAAAATAGATAACATATTATTACCAAGTAGAGTTTATTCCAGGAATACATGATATGTAAGCAAATTTGTAGTTTTAAATACCTAGATTAGAAAAGAAAATTCATTGAAATTAATTATCTAAGTTTCTACTTTAAGAAAAGGAGATAATTTAACTCAAAATAAGTAGAAGGAAGGACACAATAAAGGTAATGGTGTGAATCAACTAAACAGAAAATAGGCAAAAAGTGAGAGAAATTAACAATTTCAAAATTTGTTTCTTTGAATAGGTTAATACAAATTTTAAAACACTAGCAAAATAAAAAGAGAAATTGTCAATATTAAAAATTCATGGAATTATTATTAAATATTTTGCAGAAATTCAAAAGACTTCAAGGGAATACAATAAGCAATTTTGTACTATGAATTTACCAACTTATGAAAACAAGAAATTTTTCAAAAAACATTTTACAAATGCAGACATAAATAAAAACCCAAATAGCCCCATATCCAGTTACTTATTTTAAAAATTTTGTTAAAACTTACCTTAAAAATAAAAACAAACAAAACCTCAAGAATCAGATATTTTTAGGTGCTGAATACTCTTAAACATTTAAGAAACTATTACACTAAGGCTTTAAGAAAACATAGGAAAAATTATATGTGCCAACATGCTTATTGAGGCCAGAATAACCTTGATATCAAAACCTGACAAAAACATTTAAAAAAAGAATAGAACAATTTTTATTGTTAGATGAGTGAGATTTGTTAATTTCTTGGATAATCCTAAGAAATAAAAATATAATATGTAACTTCCATGTTAGTAGAGAGGAAAAAAGACAGAATTGAGGAAAAATAGCCCAAGAGAAGGGAGAAAAACAAATGTAAAATAGATCAGAAGAAATAACAGAAATAACACAGAATATAAATACATTTCTCATTATAGCAAAAGTAAATTAATTGAATGTTGCATTTAAAAAATAAATCAAAATAAATGAAAAATCCAAGGCATAGTATATATTTCTATGAAATTTCACTTAATGCAATGATCTTAAAATATAAAAGAAGTAAAACCATTCTTGTAAACTGTATAAAATTAATCAGGAAAAAGGAGAGTGGGAGAAACAAAAATAAACCAAGCTTTCAGCACATTCAGCGTTAATCATTGGGTCATCTTGCTCTCTGACCTGCTTCCTCATAGCTGTTTGCTACCTAGTGCCCCTGAATCACATACACACTGTCAGAAGATTATAGTTCCCCTTAACTGCTCTTAGAGATAACAACTTGAACATTATGACACATTAAGTCTTCCATTTGAGATATTCTTTTAGGTCTTGTATATCAGGGAAAGTACTGACATCACCTGCTCCTGGGGGCTAGTGCGGTGGCTCAAGCCTGTAATCCCAACACTTTGGAAGGCCGAGGCAGACAGATCACTTGAGGTTAGGAGTTTGAGACCAGCCTGGCCAACAATGTGAAACCCCTCTCTATTAAAAATACAAAAAGTAGCTGGGTGTGGTGGCGTGCACCTGTAATCCCAGCTACTCTGGAGGCTGAGGCAGAAGAATCGCTTGAATGCAGGAGGCAGAGGTTGCAGTGAGCTAAGATGATTCCACTGCACTCCAGTCTGTGCGACAGAGTGAGACTCCATCTCAAACAAACAAAAACAAAACAAAAAGCAAACAAACAAAAACCCCGTGAACTGACTCACCAAAAAACAAAAAACAAAACAAAACTAGTTTCCACATCCTGATGATTTCATCCTCCTTAAACTGACCAATCAACAACAAAAATCCCAATTTTCCAGCTCCTCACCATCCAGGAACCCCTTAAAAGCCCCAGCCCAGAACTCCTTGGGGAGATGAATTTGAGGGTTTCCTCCCATCTCCTTGCATGGCCATCCTGGGATGGTTAAACTCTTACTCTGCTTCAAACCCTGCTGCTGTGGTTTGTCTGTGTCCCCACCCAAATCTCATCTTCAATAAACCTTATTCCTTTATAAATTACCCAGTCTCCAGTAATATGTTTATAACAATGTAAGAAAAGACTAATAGACAAATACATCCTGCTGTCTCAGTGTATTGTTTTGTTATTGGGCTGCTGGTCTTGTAACAGCAGAGACTTAACAGATTTTTTTTAAAAGACAATTAATAGTGTGAAGAGCCCTCT
Organism: Homo sapiens; assembly: GCF_000001405.40. Lineage (NCBI taxonomy): Eukaryota > Metazoa > Chordata > Mammalia > Primates > Hominidae > Homo > Homo sapiens. Next base: position 102,810,851 of record NC_000001.11, on the reverse strand, counting down.
CAAAGAACAAAGAGACAGAGATTTGAATATGGTTAGATATTTGACCGAAATGTTAATGAAACACCACACCAACAACCTTATTATTTTTATTATTTTGATATTTTCTGATATTGATTTTGTAGTAAATCTCAACCTATTTTGTACATATATATTAGCAGTATCTACCCAAAATTATATAAATTATGTAAGTTTATGCAGCACTGTATTTATGAATAGGAAAACTTACTGAATATATTCATAATTATTAATAGGAGAATTTCTCCTAGTAGCTATCACACCATAATTGTAGTATAATATATAGCATAATGTAATTTGGCTCAAGGCATAGAGAAAAATACAAATTGAACATAAAAAGAATGCTGAGACAGACCTGTGCATTTATGAATACTTTATATAAGTCTGAAGAGGCAATGCTAGCCACTGGTAAAGAACAAACTTTTTACAATAAATAGTTTTGACATAATTATAGCAAAATTGCTATCCAGTCACATAAAATCTATTTAGTCTTCCTTCTGGAACACAGGTTATATTCTCCAAATTTTCTGCATTTAGGTGTGGCTCTGAACATGTCTAAGCTAAGGAATATGAGCAAAATTAATGCATGTCGCTTATGACCTAAATTTTGGAAAGTATGGTAGTTTCAGCACATATTCTTTGTCTTTTTTTTTTTTTTTTTTTTTTTTTTTTTGCAGACCAGGTACAAAAAATGACAATACCCTAGAGAATAACTTAGCCACTTGAACCTCTTAATCAACATATGGAGAGAAACCTCATACTGACTTGTATAGGACTGATAATAGGAGAAATATTTTCAGAAACATGAAATTGAAGCAACAATACAATACAGTAACTTGATTAATAATTTTATAAAATAAACATTTGAGTCTCTGATTGTCCCAAGTTTTGGCAAAGATGTGAAACATTCATACTCTGCTGGTGGTAATATAAAATTGGTATAGCTAATTTGAACATTAATATAATGAATAAAAATGCTAGAAAATAATATAAATTAATAAAATGAACTAACAACACCTTCACACATTGTGGATTTATCCTAAACACAAGTTATTTACCATAGTAAAAAAAATTAAAGGAGTAAATACACTATAACTTTATATATTTTTGATATATATATGAACTATATTTATGTATATAGACATACTACAAAGAGACATAAGGGATATTGTTTAAAGATGCAGCTAAACAGTAAAACAATAATAAAAAACTATACGATGTTTATTCAAAAGTCAGGAGAGCATTTACTTCTAGAGAAATAAGAGGAAACACTGATTAGGGATGGGCAGAAAGGAGTGTCTTGAGGTGTTGGCAATATCTGTTTCTTATTGTGCATGACTGTTACTCAGGTATTTGCTTGATAATTACTTGTATAAGTTATACATGATTTTATGTGTTTTTGTGTGTATGATCTATCTCAAAAAATAATTTAATTGGGTAGATGAACATACATTTTCAAAGACTTTGTTAGCTGTGTCTGCTATCAAGGATATTATCTTCTGACTGTCAAATGGCTGAGAAGTAAACTGTAATCAGGGTGTTGATTCCCAAGAATGAAAAGAAAAAATGGAATAGGCTTTGGTTGTGGGGAAAAAATCACCATAAAATCTTGTTAAGTTATTGACAGGATTATTTGTGCCTACCAATTGCAACATTTTATTGGGAATTGTTAATGGATAAGCACTGATGAGTTTCCTAGATGCTATCTATACCATGGTACCTTCTGTTTAAGTATTTTTTATACATCTTCCTGTTGCTTATATCCAGATTTAAGGATATATCTTACCAAATTGATGACATTGAGTAGCACTCATACCCTCATAAAGAAATTCATTTATATGCAATGTTCTAGTGTCAGTTAATTCTTCAGATGGCTGATGCATTCCTTATGATGACCTTCGAAATCACAACTGATTGGATTAGAAGTGGGCATTTGACTCAAGCCATTTAATACATAAGAGGCAGTCTATGCACCCTAAAGCCGAGGATTCTGAACAATATTAGTCTGTTTTTACAAGGCCCAAATGATCTTTACTCACATAATTTTGAAATTGGAATATAAAAGAATGAGATTGAAATAAGAAGCAGAAGCAAAGAGATAATGAGATTAGTTGCTGAGATTTACCAATATGAAAAAGTGTTGGAATAAAAATGTTGATTGAGAGACATGCCAAGTGGTAACTAAAAGATCTGTCAAGTTCCAGGCAAAATCATACTTACATCAATTCATTATCATCATGTGATAAAATCTAAATTATTGGTCTAAGTGTATAATGGGGTGGTTCTAAAACTATCTTTTCCTTTGTTACTAAAACACTTAAAATGATTTGTGTTTATAAACATGACCAAGTACCATGAGTAAATTTTTAATAAGTAGTAGCTATGATATCATGTCTCAGAATCATCTCAATAATTTGGAATCACTATAATTGTACTTTGAAAGGAACAATAAAAATTCAAATAAGCCTTGAAAATCGGATGAGAAAAAAATATAAGAAATAAAATATTAGGTCTGCTTGGTGCAGAGCTGAGTTCAATTCCTGGATACCTTTGTTAACTTTCTGTCTCGTTGATGTGTCTAATGTTGACAGTGGGGTGTTAAAGTCTCCCATTATTATTGTGTGGGAGTCTAACTCTCTTTCTAGGTCTCTAAGGACTTGCTTTATGAATCTGGGTGCTCCTGTATTGGGTGCATATATATTTAGGATAGTTAGCTCTTCTTGTTGAACTGATACTTTTACCATTGTGTAATGGCCTTATTTGTCTCTTTTGATCTTTGTTGGTTTAAAGTCTGTTTTATCAGAGACTAGGATTGCAACCCCTGCCATTTTCTGTTTTCCATTTGCTTGGTAAATCTTCCTCCATCCCTTTATATTGAACCTATGTGTGTCTCTGCATGTGAGATGGGTTTCCTGAATACAGCGCACTGACGGGTCTTGACCTAATAGGCATCTACAGAACTCTCCACCCCAAATCAACAGAGTATACATTCTTCTCAGCACCACACGGCACTTATTCCAAAATTGACCACATAGTTGGAAGTAAAGCACTCCTCAGCAAATGGAAAAGAACAGAAATTATAACAAAGTGTCTCTCAGATCACAGTGCAATCAAACTACAACTCAGGATTAAGAAACTCACTCAAAACCGCTCAACTACATGGAAACTGAACAAACTGCTCCTGAATAACAACTGGGTACCTAACGAAATGAAGGCAGAAATAAAGATGTTCTTTGAAACCAACAAGAACAAAGACACAACATACCAGAATCTCTGGGATACATTCAAAGCAGTGTGTAGAGGGAAATTTATAGCACTAAATGCCCACAAGAGAAAGCAGGAAAGATCTAAAATTGACACCCTAACATCACAATTAAAAGAATTAGAGAGGCAAGAGCAAACACATTCAAAAGCTAGCAGAAGGCAAAAAATAACTAAGATCAGAGAAGAACTGAAGGAAATAGAGACACAAAAAACCCTTCACAAAAAACCTGAATCCAGGAGCTGGTTTTTTGAACAGATCAACAAAATTGATAGAATGCTAGCAAGACTAATAAAGAAGAAAAAAGGGAAGAATCAAATAGATGCAATAAAAAATGATAAAGGGGATATCACCACCGATCCCACAGAAATACAAACTACCATCAGAGAATACTATAAATATCTCTATGCAAATAAACTAGAAAATCTAGAAGAAATGGATAAATTCCTCGACACATACACCCTCCCAAGACTAAAACAGGAAGAAGTTGAATCTCTGAATACACCAATAAAAGGCTCTGAAATTGAGGCAATAATTAATAGCTTACCAACCAAAAAAAGTCCAGGACCAGATGGATTCACAGCCGAATTCTACCAGAGGTACAAGAAGGATCTGGTACCATTCCTTCTGAAACTATTACAATCAATAGAAAAAGAGGGAATCCTCCCTAACTCATTTTATGAGGCCAGCATCATCCTGATACCAAAGCCTGGAAGAGACACAACAAAAAAAGAGAATTTTAGACCAATATCCCTGATGAACATCTATGCAAAAATCCTCAATAAAATACTGGCAAACTGAATCCAGCAGCACATCAAAAATCTTATCCACCATGATCAAGTGGACTTCATCCCTGGGATGGAAGGCTGGTTCAACATACGCAAAACAATAAACGTAATCCAGCATATAAACAGAACCAATGACAAAAACCATTTGATTATCTCAATTGATGCAGAAAAGGCCTTTGACAAAATTCAACAACACTTCATGCTAAAAACTCTCAATAAATTACCTATGGAGGGGACGTATCTCAAAATAATAAGAGCTATCTATGACAAACCCACAGCCAATATCATACTGAATGGGCGAAAACTAGAAGCATTCCCTTTAAAAACTGGCACAAGACAGGGATGCCCTCTCTCACCACTCCTATTCAACATAGTGTTGGAAGTTCTGACCAGGGCAATCAGGCAGGAGAAGGAAATAAAAGGTATTCAATTAGGAAAAGAGGAAGTCAAATTGTCCCTATTTGCAGATGACATGATCGTATATCTAGAAAACCCCATTGTCTCAGCCCAAAATCTCCTTAAGCTGATAGGCAACTTCAGCAAAGTCTCAGGAAACAAAATCAATGTGCAAAAAATCACAAGCATTCATATACACCAATAACAGACAAACAGAGAGCCAAATCATGAGTGAACTCCCATTCACAATTGCTTCAAACAGAATAAAATACCTAGGAATCCAACTTACAAAGGATGTGAAGGACCTCTTCAAGGAGAACTACAAACCACTGCTCAATGAAATAAAAGAGGATACAAATAAATGGAAGAACATTCTATGCTCATGGGTAGGAAGAATTAATATCATGAAAATGGCCATACTGCACAAGGTAATTTATAGATTCAATGCCATCCCCATCAAGCTACCAATGACTTTTTTCACAGAATTGGAAAAAACTATTTTAAAGTTCATATGGAACCAAAAAAAGGCCCGCATCACCAAGTCAATCCTAAGCCAAAAGAACAAACCTGGAGGCATCACACTACCTGACTTCAAACTATACTACAAGACTACCGTAACCAAAACAGCATGGTACTGGTACCAAAACAGAGATATAGATCAATGGAACAGAACAGAGCCCTCAGAAATAATGCCGCGTATCTACAACTATCTGATCTTTGACAAACCTGACAAAAAACAAGCAACGGGGAAAGGATTCCCTATTTAATAAATGGTGCTGGGAAAACTGGCTAGCCATATGTAGAAAGCTGAAACTGGATCCCTTCATTACGCCTTATACAAAAATTAATTCAAGATGGATTAAAGACCTAAATGTTAGACCTAAAACCATAAAAACCACAGAAGAAAACCTAGGCAATACTATTCAGGACATAGGCATGGGCAAGGACTTCATATCTAAAACACCAAAAGCAATGGCAACAAAAGCCAAAATTGACAAATGGGATCTAATTAAACTAAAGAGCTTCTGCACAGCAAAAGAAACTACCATCAGAGTGAACAAGCAACCTACAGAATGGGAGAAAATTTTTGCAACCTACTCATCTGACAAAGGGCTAATATCCAGAATCTACAATGAACTCAAACAAATGTACAAGCAAACCCCATCAAAAAGTGAGTGAAGGATATGAACAGACACTTCTCAAAAGAAGACATTTATGCAGCCAAAAGACACATGAAAAAATGCTCACCATCACTGGCCATCAGAGAAATGTAAATCAAAACCACAATGAGATACCATCTCACTCCAATTAGAATGGCGATCATTAAAAAGTCAGGAAAGGACAGGTGCTGGAGAGGATGTGGAGAAATAGGAACACTTTTACACTGTTGGTGGGACTGTAAACTAGTTCAACCATTGTGGAAGTCAGTGTGGCAATTTCTGAGGGATCTAGAACTGAAAATACCGTTTGACCCAGCAATCCCATTACTGGGTATATAACCAAAAGATTCTAAATCATGCTGGTGTAAAGACACATGCACACGTATGTTTATTGTGGCACTAATCACAATAGCAAAGACTTGGAACCAACCCAAATTTCCAACAATGATAGACTGGATTAAGAAAATGTGGCACATATACACCATGGAATACTATGCATCCATAAAAAATGATGAGTTCATGTCCTTTGTAGGGACATGGATGAAGCTGGAAACCATCTTTCTCAGCAAACTGTCACAAGGACAAAAAACCTAACACCTCATGTTCTCACTCATAGGTGGGAATTGAACAATGAGAACACATGGACACAGGAAGGGGAACATCACACTCCGGGGCGTGTTGTGGAGTGGGGGAAGGGGGGAGGGATAGCATTAGGAGATATACCTAATGTTAAATGATGGGTTAATTGGTGCAGCACAGCAACATGGCGCATGTGTACATATGTAACTAACCTGCATGTTCTGCACATGTACCCTAAAACTTAAAGTATAAAAAAAAAGAAATAAAATATGACACCACTATATGCCCTAAAGATATTAAAAACATAATTGGCATATTGGCAATTGTTAATTATACGTCAATATTTTAAAAAATAGATTAACAATTTGATTTCATCGAAATTGATACAAATGAATTGTATGTCTGTTAAAGACCAGGGCAGCGTATATAATTCATGGAGTCCAGTTCAAAATGAAAATGCAAGATTCCATGTTCAAAAAGAAGGAAAAAGTGTCATTATAGGTACTAAAATATCATACCTTTTCTACTTGTCATGATGGCTTTTAATTTGCTGTTGAAGTCTGTGCCATCTTTATCATGACAATACTGCTGGGGCAGGTGCAGATCCTCAGATGCCCCCACATGGACCTACTCTGTAACTTGAAATGCACACACATACACAGCCCACTGACTGCCAGCTTTCTCCTCCTGCCAGCGACTAGTTAACACCCTTGGCAATCCCCTTCCCCAAGTTCTCACTGCCCCAACCAGGGTGATCCAGTGAACCCTAATGGATTATATTGTTAAAGCTGGACACATTCAGTAATTTGATGAGAGTCAGTTGAGTGGTTTTTCCATGATGAGCCTGTAAACATCCTGTGGTGCTGTACAAGGGCAGGCAAATACATTAATAGAATAGCGTACAGAGTACAGGAACAGATTCACACATATACAATTACTTGAGTTATGAAAGAAGTCACTACACTTCAGGGGAAAAAGTATAGTCTTTTTATACTTTTTCAGATCAACTGACTGCAATGTAGTCTACCCTCCATATCTGGAGGTTTTGAACCTGAGAATTCATCTAACAGCTAATAAAAAATATTTGGGATAAAAACAATAAAAATAGAAATAAAACAATAAAAATAATACAAATTAAAAAAATATAGTATAACAACTATTTATATAGCATTGACATTGTATTTGATATTATAATCTAATATGAGATTATCATAAATAATCTAGAGATAATTTAAAGTATATGGGAGGATGTGCGCAGGTTATATGTAAACACTAACTCATTTTATATAAGGACTTGAGCATCTTTGGTTTTTAGTATCTGTGGGGATTCCTGGAACCAATCCCCTACTAGTACTGAGGAATGACTGTATTGGAAAAATTGAATCTTGGTCCTTGCCTCAAATTTTAAATAAAAATGAACTCTGGCTCTTACAATATAACATTAGAGAATATCTCCATAGGCTTGGAGCAAGCAAAAATTTCTTAAACATGGTAAAAGGCTCAAACCATTAGCAAAAATATTGATAAATTGGACTTTGTTAAGAAATAGGAAAGTTTGCCTAATAAAGATATTATTAAGAAATTAAAAGGCACATCTCAGAGTGGGGAGAAGACGTGCAATATCTGACACACTACTCATTCAGAAGATATACATGTCTCTTCTAAACTAATAAGGAAAAAAACAGAAGCTCAAATTTGATTTCTTTATAGATTTTTTTCTTTTTTTTGAGGCGGAGTTTCACTCTTGTTGTCCAGGCTCCAGGCTGGAGCGCAATGGAGCAATGTCAGCTCACTGCAACCTCCGCCTCCCGGGTTCAAGCGATTCTCCTGACTCAGCCTCCCGAGTAGCTGGGATTACAGGCACCCGCCACCACATCCGGCTAATTTTTGTATTTTTGAGTAGAGACGAGCTTTCACCAAGTTGGCCAGGCTGGTTTCAAATGCCTGGCCTTAGGTGATCCACCTGCCTCGGCCTCCCAAAGTGCTGAGATTACAGGCATGAGTCACCACGCCCGGCCCTCTTTATAGATTTTAAACAGGCATTTTAATAGATATGCAGATAACCCATTATATGAAAAGGTGACCAATTTTATTTACTATTAATGAAATGAAAATGAAAAGTATGATAAGATACTTTTGAATACTCCCTACAATAGCTTATATAATCTTAAAAATTCCACAATATCCGTTGTTAGTTAAGAGTAATATACTGTTGATAGAATTGTAAATTAGTAAAACTACTTTGGAAGATTGTTTTAATTGATATGCTAATATTTCACAATTCCCATCCTAGATATATAACTACCAGAAACACATACCTATGTACACTAAAAGAATGTTCATAGCAACAATGTAATATTTTCAAACTTGTAGGGAGGGCATATGTTGTAGAATTAATAAATAAATTCGGTACACTCATTAATGGAATATTTGAAAACAAGTAAACAACTTGTTGCTACATGCAGAAACATCGATGAATCTCACTCATCTCAAATACGTCAAACATAAAAGAGTGCATATCAATTGATATAAAGTTCACCATTGGTGATAGAACTAAGCATAGTGATTACTCAGTGGGAGATGGGGGTGAACGGAGAATGGGAAGTAGGGAGCTTCCTGGGTGCTAGTACTGTTCTATATGTTAATCTGGTTGTTGATTTCTTGGGTATTTTCATAGAATAATATTACACACACTAAAGAAGAGACAGGTAAAATGAGGAGAAAAATTTATAAAAGTAATAGATATGTAGAAAAATAATGAGAAGACCTCACATATATCTAATAAGAAATTGAGGAGAGAAGGATAGAAAGGAAGGCAAAAAGACTATGTTAAGAGAAATAGTGACAAAATTGTGATGAGATAATTTATTATTTCTATTCAAAGAAAAATTGAAATCACATCTTATACATAGTATCAATTCTCAGTGTACGAAAAACTATAATGATGAAAAACAAACTTTGAAACATTTAGAAGAAAATATATAAGACCTCTGATTTGGAAATATTTTTTGGCCAAAAATATTTTTGTTTAAAGAAGGACTGAAAAACACAGCAGTAAAAGAAAATGATTATTAAAATCTACGACATTAAAAGTAAAAAATGTCTCCTCAGCAAGGACTTACATGTGAAAAACAGTGATTGGCTGTAAAAAGATATTTTCAACAGATTAAACCAACAAAAGTTTGGTATCCTAAATGTGTAAAGAATTTTTGCATGCCAATTTGAAATAAAGTAATGGACTATCCAATACAAAAATACACAAGACATGCAGAACACAAAATCATAGAATAGAAAACATAAACAAACCAGAAATATGTGAGAAAATGGATCCCTGACAATTTTTAAGAAGTAACTTTACGACCTCTGAGCTACTTAACTCTAGATTTCTTTTACTCTTTTGATATGATCGGTTGTTAAATTTTTCTAATTGATGTACCCAATTCTACTCTTGAGAACACATGTAATTATGTAACAATAATTTAAAGAATTTATGGAATTTATTAACCTCTATTTATCTCTCCCACTCATTCACTGGAGGATTCAATGGAATCTGTAATATTCCAGTTTTTAAAAAAAAAAACAGAGTAAATAATGCATAATACAAAATTTGACAAAGTGGACAGTAAGGGTGGTAGCTTTTTATTGTCTTTTTATTACCCTACAGCTTTCTGTATTCTTGAAACAGATCATAATAAATTAATACCAACATTAAAACAGATTATAATATTGAAAAAAATAAGGGAAGAAGAAGACAAATGTGTTGCGCCAATTTTACCCCTGCCAAAACCTGATTACAGGAACTATACAAGTTCAAATGTGTCAAAAGATAAAAAATTATAATTAGTATTCCTATCGATTCTTCACAACTCTTTAGCAGAGTCTGCCTATTTTAACTGTTGTATTTGTAATGCAGACTGTGCCTTGACAGACACTAACAAAAGTAAATCAGCAAACTGATTCTCCTTCTTCTTTTTCAACCTTAGGCTCCAGGCAATCAAAGAAACTATGAACATCTGCCTGGATTCTGATTGCACTGTTCACTGATTCAGTGCACCCAAATAAGCAACAATTAGTCTGTTCAGCATGTGTCAAAAGACCCGTCAAGTTAATTCAAATTAGGACAGGATAAATTGAATCCAGTTGGCATCTTGCATATTTGTGTGCAAAGTTTAAACAAGCATCAACTGTACTATGTTATCTTTTATTTACAAGCAAAACAAGAGCATATTGTTACGTAATTCCAGAAATAACCCTTTCTCACCATAATTTTGCTTACCTCATTTTCTAGATGTATTTTCTTGGGTTGGAACAATTTTTAATGTATTTGAGCAGACTTTTGTATTGAATCTGGTTAAAATAATATCTGCCTTCTTATACGCATTCATTTTATTTCCAATAATTAGCTCCAAGGTACAAAAATGGGTTTCAAAGATTGAGATGTGTAAAAATTATGCTTATAAGTATGAGCTCTCTTTGGTCAAAATTAGGCATTTATTTCTTAAATTTTTAGAAAATGTTAATGCCTTTAAGTGGTCAGGTGATAGATTTTCAACTTACTTATTGAATAGCAATCTGCAGTATCAATTACCTTTGTACCTTTAAACTGAATCAGAGTATCTGAATATTTAGAGAAATAAACTTTGAGGAACCTGACAAGCTTACAGCAGAAAACAGAATGATTGCATTGGCATTAATTATCTTCTGTCCCATTTTTTTCATTTAGGAAAATATCTTCCTACAATGCCCCATGTTCCATCTCTGTTGATGTTTGGTTGGAGTAATGTAGATGGTCACCAAATATGTTGCACTATTGATTTTCAACGGAAGAGCTCCACAGTGCTATTATCTGTAAGTAATACTCCAGTTGAAACATAACTTTGCAAAAAAAAATAGAAAATTGATTTGCCAAGCTCTTAAATGTTTACTTTTAGTGACTCATATTCTCCCACTTTTGACATTTCACTAGTGAGAGAGGGAGAAGGAGGCTGTGAGAATCTGTGGTTCTGACTAAATATGGAAACAAGGAGAACTAAGAAAAGATGAGGATGAATTGTATCAACATCTAAGGAAATATAAAACAATATGGCCTATGATTTAGCAGAGAAAAAGTTTGAAATAACAACTAATGATCATTTACCAGGATGCTTGCAGGTTTGGAGATCAGCGAATGTTTGCCAGAATGCTTGGGGTCTAACAGATCTCCACTTCCACAAAATAGAAATACATACTCTGGTTCATATGGGCTAGGGCGTTAGAGAGACTTCTCCCCTTCTTTTCTTCTAATTTGAATATCAAATAAACACTAGGTTGGAAAAAGGCACTGCCTGGCAGGATGAGACTTTGTGTGTGTGCGTGTGTGTGTGTGTGTGTGTATATATATATATATATATATATACACACACACATATATATACACATACACATATATATACGCATCCACATACATACACACCTATAACACACACACATATATATAGATACATGCACATATATGTGTGCATGTGTATTAATATAAGTTTCATCTGTTAAAATCGACATTGAAGAAAAAATATAAGAAGAAATACTAACATAATTCCCAAATGGTTAAAATATGCCAATAGAGGCTTTCTGCTAAAATCTGCTATTAGCAGGAACCTTGGGACTATTTCCAGTAGCTGTAGCCTGGAGCAGAATTTTCTGCCTTTAAAGAGGCCTAGTGCAGCAGGTTAGATGTCTGCTTTTAGTGTGATAAGGCAAAGATTTCCTTTGTATGGAATTATCTGATACTAACACTGTGTGTGTGTGTGTGAGTGTGTGCATAACATTTTCATCACATCATTGGGTGCCTATGTGAAGATCCAACCAGAGAAATATGGAAATTCAGTTACATTGAATTTTATTGAATATCCAGTTTCAGCTCAAAAGTTCTTCAATCATTGCTTATTTTCAAGCCACATAATCTTTTATTTACCTCATCTTTTATTTTAAGAAACTTGTGGAGTGTCATGTTAGTTTGGACTCTCCCATGAAGATGCTATTACACCTCCTAGAAGAAAAATACATAATCTGATTGTTTTCATTAGAATTATGTGACTTTAAGAAATGTGAGTCTTTAGTTACTAGGATGAGTATACATAGTTCTAATCAGTATGTTGTCAGATTTATTCAGGCACTATTTTATTTTATTTATTTTTTATTATTATACTTTAAGTTCTAGGGTACATGTGCACAACGTGCAGGTTTGTTACATATGTATACATGTGCCATGTTGGTGTGCTGCACCCATTTACTCTTTTAATGCTAAGCAGTAGAGTTCAGAACCAAAAGATGAGTTTAGAGATGAGTTTCACAAAGACATTTGTTTCTGATTTTAGTTTGAAGGTCACATTCATAGGCTTACTCTTTCACTCTTCTGAGAGACACCTCACTCCATCTGATTGGGTTGTGGAGAGGGGTGTTTCCTAATCATCCCAATGTTCCTGCTGAGAGCTGAATCTGCTCATCAATAATTTCTAAATACTAATGTCTGGAGGGTACTTACTCTGATGTTTGCCACACATTCACCCTTGCTTGCTTCAGAAATATTCGTGGGCCTTGGAGATGCTGGGCTAAGGTAAAGGAATAATATGGGAAGAGAAGAAATTATATAAACTTTTTTCTATTTTGTTATGTTCATCCAAATATATATACCCCTGCTTTGATAGCCGGTGTGATAGAAGCTCTTAAATCATCAGTCCATGAAAGGTCAAGAGAAAGTAGACCTGCAAGATATGTTTGCCCCTACTGAGCTCAGTTGCAAACAGAGCTATTCTGAAACACCGTTTCCATGAAGTGGGTAGAAAGGCTAAGGTGAATAAAGTACTCTCTTGTCTGTAAATCACTCTTCTGTACATTCTGTAAATTAGTCTTCTCCTGAGCTATTCCAGTCATGCAGGAGGGCGTGAATATACATAAGAGAAAGAGAAATGGATTGTATCTTGGGCAGGGATTTTAAAGGAAGCTGTGTGGATATTTAGCCTCTTCAAACCTCTTCTCCTTCTCTCAGTCTCTTTTTATCAGGACCTTGTGGGTATCCTTGTTTCTGTACTTATTTAATATTTATTTTGAACCTAAAAACAATAATTATATTTATCTCTATTATCATAGCCTTTATATTTTTTGTCCGATAGTTCAGTCTTCTAATCCTTTTAAGTTTATGTCATCAAAGATATTAGCTATCTCAACCGAAACTTTGTCAGCAAGAACTGCAGTAGCCACACCTTTATTCTCGACACAAAAATCACAATAAAAATGTTTGAACAGCCCTATGTCAAACTCAGAGTTTTTTGTCACAGCAAAAAAATCTTCATCTTAATTTAAGCTAAATTTACATAAAAACTCTAAAAATCAGTACTCTTTACAACTCTATTTTTTTAATAAACTATAACTATATATGTGGTCTATAAATTTATTTATTTATCTTGTCTACAAGTTTATCTTGCAAATGTTTATCGAATAACTAAAATGAAGAAACTCTCTCTGTGGGGGACATCTGCTCTTTGACCGGACAGATATCACTTGCCTGACTCCTTGATAAATGCCCTCGTGTGTTCCATCAGAGATTACTCCTTCCCCGTTTCTGTGGCACTGGAGAGCCTGTCAATCCAGGCCTTTCCTGCCACTCCCTCACCCTGCCAAGAGAATATGACCCAATCCAGTCCACTCTTCCAAGACTGGAATTTATTTTAGAAACTAATTTCAACTTATAAAAGTAACAGAAATCATGCACAAATTCTGTTCACCTAGATTTGCTAAGGGCACCACACTGGTTTAATCACTCATTCTCTAACTCTGCGGACATCAATATTTTTTTTAATTTCAGGAGTAAGTTGCAAAGACATTTAACACTACATACTTTGGTGTAATTTCCTAAAAAAAATCCCAGAACATTGTAGTACATAATCTCAGCAAAATTATAAAATTTCAGAAAATTAAGTGACTTATTAATTTTAATAATTTTAATATTTTTTAATAAATTAAAATTAATAAGTTTAACAATATTAATATTGTATTATATATATAATAATATAATAATATTATATAATATATATAATAAAATATAATAATATTATATAACCTACAAGCCTCATTAAAATGCCACCAATTATTCTGTGATCCAATCCAGTACCACATATTGCTTTACTTGTCTTGTCTCTTTAGTCTCATTTAATCTAGAATATTCCTCCTACATTTCTTTGTGATCTTACACTTTTGAAGAGTTCAGGGCAATTATTTTGTAGATTTCCCCATATTCCGAGTTGTCTGATTTTCTTTGTAATGAGATTCAGGTTAGGCTATTTGCCTGGATATTTGCCTGGATATTTGCCAGGAGGGCCACAGAATGTTGCAGTGTTCTTTCAACCACAACATGTCAGAAGGTGCACTATGTTGCTCCATTACTGGTAATATTAAATGTGATGACTTCCTTAACTTGGTGTCTGTCTTCTGTCTCCAATGTAAAATTACTAATAAGCATCTTGCAGGAAGATTCTTAAAAACTATGCAAATATTCTACTTTTATCATTCTTTTATCATTATATCATTAATAGAGGCATCCATTGATGATTGTTGTCTGAACAATTACTGCTTTTGTGGCCTCCAAATAATATTTTGTTTTATTTTTATCATGTTTTCTGCAAAAAATTCTCCATATCCATTTATTTGTAGATTGATTACAAATTAATACACACTAATCCTATTCTATGGATTATAATGTCACTATAATTATTATTGTTGCTCATATTCACCAGATTTGAGCAACAAAAATAATTTTGTGGGTGCAATGGGATCCTCTTCAAGCTGGCTTTCCTGTCCTTTTGACATGTTTTCATCACTTTTTGAGCACTTTTTAATTTTTTGCCACCACAATATTCTAGGATCATCTTTCAACCATTTATCGTCTTCTCTTTTATTAGAATGGGATATTATATATCTAACCATAAGTTCATATGATCCCTCTAATTTATATCGAACTGGATCATATTAATTCTGACCTGTTTTTCCTTTCCACATTTGCAATTCTGTTCTATAATATTGAGAATCCTGGCTCTCATATCCAAAAAGTACTTATTTACTTTCTTAATTTTAGAATATACATAAAATAGCTTCAGAATTTTTAGCCCATTGACAGATGAACTGTATATAATGCAGGCTAGTCCATTTAACTCACATTTAGAAATTGCACTCTGAAAAATTATTTTAAAACTTTGGGTAAAATTTAGTCCCTCTCACCCTCCTCAAAAATATCCTTAATAACTTCTAACTAGTGTTATCTCCCTTCCTAATTTTCTTTAAACTTTTTATATACACCTTTGCATCTTAACTGTATGAGTACACCTTGTTTTTCTACCTGTAGAGCAATATAATTCATCTCCTAAACTTATTCTTCCCTAAGAAACACAATTGACTGTTGACTATTTTCTTCACCATTGAAAAAGCCATCATTTAACAAGTAAAATGAGATATACAACAATATTTACCTGTAACCAAGTAATCTTCTAAAATAAACTTTGAAACATAAGTGGGCAAAATTAATTATTCATATCTTCCTAGAATATAATGACATCTCTCCAAAAACAAGCTTTTAAAAATTATTAGCATTAGCTATTATAATAATGTGTGACATTACATATTTCCAAAACTGGTTAACGTATATTGATAAATTATTCTACCTTTGAGTTGGCAGTGTTAAGTCACAGCAAAGCTCACTATAAAATAAAGCAAAACATCAGTATTTTTAGTGTCATGATTTTCCTTTTTCTGTAGTGTTGTGCTATATATTAAGTATTTGGAAAGGTGATAATCTCCATAGCAAGTTCTTCCCACTCCTCTGCCCAGATATCAGCTAAACAGTTGCTAAATGCTCTTAATTTTTTGCCCCACAGATTGAAAAGACCACTGCCTAGCTCTTGCATTTTACAGTGGAGCCCCAGAATGAATTTCTGAACACAAAAACAGAACCCCTAACCTAAGCCAAAGTCATGTTGTTTTTCCTTCTGTGCTCTTTAATTAAAGGTTTGAATTTTTATTGTTTAAATAGTAAAACTGATGAATATACGATAAACTAAAATTCCATTTGATTTCATGCAGATACTGAAATATCAGATGATACTGAAAATAATTGTGTGAACTATTCACCATCTGACTGGTATGTTCTTATAATAGTTTTATGAGATTGAATTTGATTCAAAGTACTTATAAACCTAAATTGCAATACACATATTTCCTTTACTGACCACAAGCTATGGGAAATAAATTAAACTAAGTTAATATCCAGAGATAAAATTACATTTTACAGGCATGAGTGCCATTTAGAGATATTGGATTCAGCGAATCTTTAAGAATGCTATCTTAACTGAAATGATAATAATATAGTACTCTAAGCAAACACTAAGATGAGTCAGTCAGTTCTACCTTGGTTGGATTGCAGACGAATTATCTAAGTTTTCTCTCACTTCAATTTGAAGCGTTAGGACAGTCTTCCTCTTTACGGAGGAAGCTGCCCTCAGGTGTCTTTAGCACTTATTGCTGTTAACAAGAATGTGGGCTACCTTAATCCACTGTCAAAAAAGATCAGAGAGAGATGGTACAGAGGACAAAGAGAAATGCATAAATATAGAAGAGGTTATCATTAAAATGAAAATTACAAATAGTGGATGCAATTTTGTGTAAATGAACTTTCAAATGAAAAACAAATATACCATTTCAAATAGAACATTTCAGGAAGCCAGTCACACAAAACATGACACGGAAAGATAATAACTTTTTTTTAATTTTTCTATCTCCTTATCTAGAATACTGGTTATTGACTAAGAGGTCTGAGTTATTAAGCATCAAGAGAGTTGAGCATGCTCTTGGCCTAAATAGATGGGCTCAGGTGAATTAGTATTATCTACTGAGCTTTTGACGTTTATGGGATATTAGTTGACAGATTGGCTTTATTATCAGATTGTTTTTAAAAACTGAGATGAAAAAATTGGCAAGCATAATATTCTTGGTCACTTCAGAGCTCATTTTAACACCTCCAGTCTTACTCATTAATGCTGACTTTGACCTTCAATCTAAAATTCTATGAGTCTATGAATCTTTCTCTTCATGATAAAATATAAAGCTGACCCTGTATTTCATCTTCTATGAAATATATTACTGCACACTGTGAAATGAAATTATTTTCACCTTATGATCATGATGATGATTTTCCTGATGTTAAGTTGCAAATTCTGGAGCAGAGACATTTGGGGCAGGAGTTTATGAGCAAATCTATTGATAGTTTAAAAAATCAGCAGAATAATTCAGATTAATAAAAAGCATTCTTTTTCACTTCATTTTTTCCTTTATACTTCCATCGTCCTTTGTTTGTAACCATACCACTATGCTTTACAGTCTTGTTTCACGACTTGAGTTGGATTTTTACGGAAAAAAAAAAAAACTTACATTTTTTCTTCTCTTATTCTATGTATGTATTTCAAAATAAATAACATGATTTAAACAAGAATAATATATTAATTGGAAACAATAAATGTCACGATGAAGGCATTACTCATTCCCCTTTTTTAAAGGCTTATTGATGCTATAGTGTTAAACAATTCCTAAAAATGTTTCATGCCTCAAATTATGAGCTGCAAGTTCCTGAGTTGGAATACTTTCCTGCCAGACTTTCATCTTTGGTGAGTATTTCCCAGTTGTTTCTGAAATTACTCCCTCTGAGGATATTGTTGAAATGTTGTATGCATTGCTGCTTGTCGAAGCCAAGAAATGATGCAGAGCTGCTCACATGAGTTCTTCTAATTGTTCTTGTACTAGCAACTGAGGAATTCCCACAGATAGGTTTATCATAACACTTTGTTAGCATTTTTGTATAACAACTGCCTTTTCATCCTAAGGAAACCCTGGAGGAAAATACAACATTCAGGAATAGGGTTTGAATATTAATTAATTGATGCTTCAAGTAGGAAGCTTTCTTTTTTAATCTTCTAAATGCACATAGTGAAATTTGTTTATAAAATTTAATTTAACCTTCTTTAAACTATACACAGTATGTAGATTTTTAGTGAAGCATTTCATTTGTATTTAATAATTTCACTTCAGAATTTTTTACTTTGTATCTGCTAAACTATAACATAAGTTTGGTGTTATCATTAATATTCCTAATCAATGTCTTCAAGGTGAGTTTTGATTAGTTTTAGGTTTTTCAATAAAGGATTTACCAGCCCCAGTAGTATAAATTGTTAAATTAGAAAATAGCCTATTAACTAGGATTTTGGTTTGCTGGTTTTTTTAAATTAAACTGTGGTGACTTTTTTAGCGGTAAATATTCTTTGTATAATTTGTTGTTGAAACTAATATTAAAGTTACTAAGGACCTAAAAAATGGTGTTGAATAGTGAGTTGTTTTCACAACCTTGGCACATTTTTTGTTATGATTTATAATAAAAAATAAAATATATCATTAATATTGATTTAATTAGGTGCATACTTCCTAAAGGAACATTTCAAGTTTCAAGTAGGTGTCCCTGACACAGTGATCCACAGTCCATTTTTGTCTGTCATTGATTGAATTCTGTTTTTGAAACTAATCTATTTTTGAGATAATAGGGAAAATAGTTTTAACATTGACTGCATCCTTCATTTTTTTGTTTTCTTAAGGTTTACTGAAATTATTCTTACCCTATGTTTCATATTTGAGATGTTAATAAATGGACTACTTTGTTTAATATGAAAACTGAATGTTATAACTTATCTGATATTTTTATTCTATCTTTGTGGAAAATATTGATTTATTAACACATTTTCCAATAACCTTTATAGTTAACCCTATTAATTTTAAAATCGGTTAATTAATTTATTCATATTAAGGGTGTGCTTTTTATTTGTTTAATTAATAATATTACTTAATCAGTTATATTATTTTATTATTTGTGTTAGCAATACAACTGTTAATGCACAACTTTAAAAAAGTGGTAAATTTTCTCATATCATCAGTCCTTACTTGTGATATTTATCTTTGTTGTCTTCTAGGGATATAGACAGATGTTCAAAGTAAAAAACAAAACAAAACAAAAAATCTTGAATTATTCTGAAAATTATTAGCATTTTCATTGTGTCTAAAATTTATGATAATCCATATTATTCAGTATGGAAATTATAACTAATGGGGAAACACTACTTTTCAGATGAAACCCAAAACTTAAAGCCAACTAACTTCAATACAAAAACAAAAAACAAAAAGTAAAAATAAGAATGCAATAAATTACCAGTTTCCAGCTATAATGTTACAATGGTTAGACTATTGCCAAGTTTTAAAATATTTATATCCCAGATAGGTTCATTTCAATGGAACATGTTTGATTTCTAGAAGCCTCTTTGATATGCAGGCTTAAGAATATTTCATAGAGTGGTATCAGACAGAGGCTGACCAGAAATGGTGGATAAAATAGCAACCAGGGGGCACTGCAGCTTTATGAAATTACCTCAAAGATTCAGATAAAATCTGTTTTGAGATTTCTTAAGAGTTTAAATATGATTTACAGTTTACTATAATGTAATTTTGAGAGACCTTGGAAAGAAGGTTTTGGTAGGGGTTTATCTTAAAAATCAAGTCATACTTTTCTTAATTGTATAGTTTTAAAACATGAATATTATTTTAAATGCTCACATAATTTTAAAAGGAATGATCTTTTATTTCTTATTATTTAGGAGCTGATTCTCAGGAACCTAAGGATTGGCAAATAAGATTAGAATTTTAATGTTCTATTGTATTTAACCTATTTGCAAAAACACATATTTCTATGAAAGAAAAGACTAAAGTATAAAGTTAAAATTTTTCTTTGAAACATGTGCTATTTAGGACATTTAATATGTTCAACTTAATTTAGATTACATCATTATGTTGAATTGTATAGGAAAATATTTTATATTTTGTAAGGAGACCCCCTGAAACTATTGCTACAGAATAAAAGATGAAATGCTCCTGATTATTGTAAATACAAAATTGCATGCAGGATTGTGAAAAGACAATGCCAGGTTGCAATGCCAGAATGAGCCAACAGCTCATGATGTGCTTCCTCCTGCAGAGAGCCTATAAATGGACATGCAGTCAGGGAGGTTTCACATCACCAAGATTCCTATCCCAGAAAAGCAGATGTTCATAGCTCTGGGAATGGAATGTGACCCTTGTGGAGAGCCTATAAACGGACACATGAGGGGCACCTGTCCATACGGATAAGATAGGGCTATAAACGCCCTCATCTTTTCACGGCTCTTCTAGGCCTCTTTAGCATTAAGGCATGCTCCCTTCTGAGAATTTCTGGTCTAACTGGTTGTCTAGCTTCACGTCCTGTTTCTATGGATTGTTTGTAACCAGCTTTTGCTGCAACTGTTACTGCTGATTAATATCTTGCTAATCATAGATTATGGAAAGACAGTGTTTCTGTTTTAAGGCTCTGTTAGAAATTACTGATGCACACACTATATTGTAAATTCTTATCTCTGTGTACTGTACTACTGCATACAGATGTTATGTTAAAGAATTACTTCATCCCAATGTGACCATCTCACCTCATAATCAAATGACCCTAAATCCCTCACTAACCTACCCCCACCCTCACTAAACTTAATAATAAATGCTGGTATATCTAGTGCATTGGCGGCACCACAGGACCAGAAGGCAGTGACCTCCCTGGACCCAGCTTTCACTATCTTGTGTGTGTCTATTATTTCTCGACCTGCTGATCTGCCTGGGAACAAAGAGAGAGCCCAGTTGCATTGCAGGCTGCTGGCCAGATCCCATGCCAGATCTTTCATTAGTCCATATTAGAAGACATTGAATAAAAATCTAAGCAGTCATCTTTTTCAAGACAAAATAAATAAAGAAATAATTATTTAAAACATTTTCCCAGAACAAGCATAAATCACAAATTCCAGGGGTAACGTTCCAATATCATATGTTATTTTAAACTTCATTAAAGTATCAAATTAGTGTGTATACGTGTGTGTGTGTGTGTAATGATAACCATATTAGTTTAAAATTCTGAATAAATAAAAAGTACTACGTGGCAACATAAATAACTGTTGGTTTCTTTAAGTGAAGAGAAATCAAGAATCTCATCCTGCAATTTCAATTACTTGGGCAGTTGGATATGGACTTTAGTTACCTCAGCAGGGATATCAAAGTAACTACTCACCTTTGCTTTTGAACTCTGAGCAAAGCCTGCATACCACTGATCAGTCATAGATCGATCAACCTACCATTTTCTTTCTGATATCTCTACCTTCACTTTTCTAGAAACCTCCAGAGAAGTCAAAGCAACCACAGTGCTCATCTTATCCTCCTCCTTCCGCACTGTTTACATACAAGACCTGAAATTCTTATGTATCTATGTATATATAACTGCTGTAATCTCATTCTCATAATATTCTGTATTTCATCTTACCTCCCCCTTACTTCCATCTTTTAGGAGAGACAAGGAATCATATTTATAGAACATGTTAATGTTGTTAAATTTACCATTACAGTTTTGTAATTTGTATCCTTCAGGTAAGAATCCTTAATTCTCATGTTCATCTGAAGAGCTCTAAAAGTCTCTTTAGTTAGAAAACATGAGCTCTATCTTAGTATATCTGTATATATTTGATAATGTACTTTATATAGAGATTTATATGATAATAAAATAAGTAGAGCAGACATTATTGGTGCCAGATGCACTCAGATCCTTTTATTGCTTCTATAAGCCATACTCCCTACTTCTGTGTGCTTTCTTTGTAGGCTTGCATCTGTAACTTTCTTCAGGGGAATGTTCTTGTACTACTGAGAGCTGGCAGTATTTGGGAGTTTGAGAGCTTATGTCCCTCTGGGTGGCCTTAATCAGTGACTGACTTGTGAGTGAATTTGGAAACCCAACTCTCTTGCTTTGGGCAGGTCAAACAATATTACGTATTTCACTTTTCACCAATTTCCTTTGGGAGCACGCTTTAATAAATCACTTGCACACATATCCTGCCACAGGATCTGCTTCTAGGGAATTTGTCCTGAGACAAAGAGACGTTCTATAGCTATTCAAAATAGTATTAATAAAAATTACAATCATACAGAAAAATATTTTCATATAGATAATCTATTGAGTGGTTGGGGTGTGTGTGTGTGTGTGTGTGTGTGTGTGTGTGTGTGTTCTTGCATAGAAAATAGACTGGGGAGGACTGTACTAGTATTTGGGACTTCTGGTTTGAGAAACAGGGTTGACTGAAATAATGAAGAATCTTGTGTCCTAATATAAAAATACAGAATGAAATGTTATTGAAATAAATTAAATATATACTTGTCATGAAAAAGGAAATAGAAAATTCCCATGTGTCAGAAATATGTATATGTTAAGCCTATGAGTGGCAGGAGGCAAATATTGAGTCCCTTCCATCAATTCCTATTGATTTCATGTGAAAACTCACAACCTCAGAACTTCTCCTTGACAGAAAGCTGAGTCTAGCTTCAGTCTGCTAGTATAGTTCAAGAATCATCAAGGAGCTTATACGAAAAAATAAAAAAGTAAGAGGAGATTTAAGAAACTATAAATAAATGAGAAGCAAATAATCTGATAAAGAATATTTTTGCAGTTTGACTTCTTTTTTAGGAAGCAGTCTCTGTCATGAGTAGCATATTTTTGGTTTATTGGGGAAGATACCTAGAGTCAACTCTTGTGGAAGGGTGTTGGGGGTGGGGGAAGCAGGATTAAGGCAGAGAGAAAGGTTGACCTGTAACACCATCTGAAAAGAAGCCTCCACTGATTATATGAGGAGATCAGAAATGGGGATCATCTTTCAAAGTTGCCCTAACTCAGGTGAACAAGCCTAGACTCTATATCCTTTGATGATTAGTCATTTAATGCTGGATGTCCCAGGAAGAAATAGCTTTAGATCAGGTGGCTCTCTTCAGCCAGGCAATCCAGATAGGAGTTCAGCAGCTAAAAACTGTCTACTTGCAACACTTCTAGCAGCTGGAGGAAATAAGTCACTTCTAAAGGGGAATCTAAATAGAGTATGATAGGATAATGCACATTTCTATCAAAAGTTCAAAGACAATTTCCAGCTAAATGATGAAAATGTACAAGTAGTCATTTCATAGTAAAGGAGAGGTGAAAATATGTGGATATAACTACTTTATTACCCTGAAGGTAGTAGTTAGTAGAACAAGAAATATTAATTATAAGAGTTAGAAATAAAAACTTAAAAGTGACATTACTCCAAAGAGACAGAATCAACCACATATCTCTACTTTTTTGTCTTCCATTCAATCGTCAACCCTTTTGAATCTTCATCTTTTTTCAAACAAAATGTTTTCCCTATAGCTTCTATTTTCTCAGATCCAGTAGATTTTTCTTGGGCCTTGGGCTACTTGATTTTCCTGGCATGTTTAAAACTGCCAACTACACCTTTCTAGAAAGGTTCTTCTCTCTTGCCTTGGGTGACCCAACTCTCCTTGTTCTCTCTTACCCATTCAGATATTCCTTTATGGACATATCCTCATCTTACAACTCCATGATGTCATTCTTGGCCAATTGCTTTTTCAACTTTGCAGCTAGCTGGTGTAGAAGCAACCATTCTCATCTATATGCTAATGACTAGCAAATCTCTGTGGTAGTCTTTGTCCTCACTCCAGGCTTTAGATCTGTTTAGTCAATTGCCTCCTTATCACCTTCAACATCCTGTAGTCACATAGAACTCAGAATGTATAGGACTAAACTCATATTTTTTCCCACTCGAATCTCCTTTTTCTACACTACAAAATTAATTATTGGAATATAAATTTGGACCAAACTACAGAGAAAGTATCCACTTAATGACACATCCCTCAATGTATTCAGAACTGTTTTTAAAGTTCAGGAAATTAAATTTAACATAAGAGCTCATTTATATCTGTTTGAAATCTGATCTTAATTTCATATTAATAGTTAAATTAATAAATGATTCCCCTATTGTCTTTGAGGTTCAAATGAGATAACAGGCTTTGTATAAATAGTTTTTTAATAAGACTTGATGATTGACATTCCCCAGTGAATTTTCCATTAGATAAATAAAGAAGAAGCTGGGCATGGTGGCCCACACCTGTAATCCCAGCACTTTGGGAGACCAAGGCGAGCAGATCACTTGAGGTCAGGAGTTTGAGACCAGCCTGGCCAACATGATGAAACCCCATCTCTACTAAAAATATTACAAACATTAGCTGATCATCGTTGTGCGTTCCTGTAATCCCATCTACTCAGGAGGCTGAGGCAGGAGAATCACTTGAACGTGGGAGTCGGAGATTGCATTGAGCAGAGATTGTGCCACCACACTCCAGCATGGGCGACAGAGTGAGACTCTATATCAATTAAAAATAAATATATATATATATATATAGTGAAATGTCTTAAGTCTTTATTCCTTTTTCACATGTTGTATAATAAAGATAGATTTGTGCTTTTTAAATAGCACATAGAGTTGAGAGGTCTTTGAATCAAAGGTTACACACATCATGTTTCAAGGTTCTTAAAAATGTCAGCTGACTTCCTTATACTCACAAATTGAATACATTTTTGCATATATAATTGGGAAAGTGAATTATGGCCTACATTAGTAGCTACTAGTTCTACTAGTAAATACCTTATACGTAAGGTATTCCTGGAGGCAATCAATTCAAGTTCTCTGAGTAGCAATCTCAGAACTGTATTAACAGTGACTTAAATATACATTGTTTTGCAATGGCTTACACATACAAGATTTTATTCTTTTAAAATAATCCTGAATGTAATCATTCCCTCGCTGATGTGGCAACTCAAGAAAGTTATCAGATACCTAGGGCTAGCTCCTATCCTCAGGATAAACTCATAGTCTAAGAAAGTTTGACATTACTCAAGAGCTTCATGCTCCTCCCATTAAACATTTTTCCTGAAGCCTGATACAACACTCCTAATTATATTTCTTTATCCAAAGCTTAGTAATGTGGCCATTTTTCATTGCAAGAGAGTCTGGAAAGTTTTGTCTGTAAGTTGAGTGCATTGTTTGTCAAAATGAACTATTTTTCTAAAGCAAGAAGAGAAAAGGGACCTGAGAGGCAGCTAGCATTCGAATACGTGATTGAATAATTACACTATTTAGGTCTGTTGAAATTGAGCCATACATTTCAATTTCCTCTCTAGTAAAGTGTTCAACATTATCTTTGGATTGTGGCAGACAATTACATTTAGCCAGAAGTAATATGTGGGAAAGGAAATGATCTGACAATCCTAAAAGGCTCCACAATTTAATTTGTGTACTTTCTAGCAGATAATTTACAGATAAAATAGTACACAGCAAATGAGCTAGAAGTAATGCTACTCAGAAGAAATCCAAAATACATTTAAAATAGTTTACTGCAAAAGCTACAAAAACATTTTAAAGATACAAAAAATTTTTGATGAGATAATGAATGATCAAAATGTCTTCAAATCAGAAGAAATACTGATATGGTTTGGCTGTGTCCCTACCCAAATCTCATCTGGAATTGTAATTCCCGTAATCCCCATGTGTTGTGGGAGGGACCCAGTGAGAGGTAATTGAATCATAGGAGGGATTTCCCCCATGCTATTCTCGAGATAGTGAGTAAGTTTTCATGAGATCTGATGGTTTTATATAAGGGGCTTCCCCTTTCACTTGGCTTTCATTTTTCTCTCCTTGCTGCCACCATGTGAAGAAGAACATGTTTGCTTCCCCATCTGCCATGATTGGAAGTTTCCTGAGATCTCCCCAGCCCTGTGGAACTGTGAGCCAATCAAACATTTCTCCTTTATAAGTTACCCAGTCTTGGATATGTCTTTATTAGCAGCATGGAATGGACTAATACGGTAATCTGATACCACAGAGAGTGAGGCGCTTCTGTAAAGATACCTGAAAATGTGGAAGTGACTTTAGAACTGGGTAACAGGCAGAGGTTGGAACACTTTGGAGGGCTTAGAAGAAGGAAGAAAAATATGGGAAAGTTTGGAACTCTTTAGAGACTTAGAGGGCTCAGAAGATGGGAGGATGTGGGAAAGTTTGGATTTTCTTAGAGATCTGTTGAATGGTTTTGACCAAAATGCTGATAAGGAAATCAAGGCTGAGGTGGTTTCAGATGGAGATGAGAAATTTGGAAACTGGAGTAAAGGTTACTCTTGCTATCCAAAGAGACTGACAAGATTTTGCCCCAGAGATCCATGGATCTTTGAACTTGAGAGAGATAACTGAGAGTATCTGGTGGAAGAAATTTCTAAGTGGCAAAGCATTCAAGAGGAAGGAGAGCATAAAAGTTTGGAAAATTTGCAGCCTGATGATGCCATAGAAAAAAAAACTTCATTTCCTGGGGAGAAATTCAAGCAGGCTGCAGACATTTGTTTAAGTAACAAGGAGCCAAATGTTAATCACCAATAAAATGGGAAAAATATATCTGACATGTTTCCAGGGCATATCAGAGACCTTCACAGTAGCCCCTCCCATCACAGGCCTGGAGGCCTAGGAGAGAAAAATAATTTCCTGAGCCGGGCCTAGGTCCCCTTGCTCCATGCAACCTTTGGGACATGAGGCCTTGCATCCTAGCTGCTTCAACACCAGCTGTGGCTTGAAGGGGCCAATGTACAGCTCAGGCCATTGTTTCAGAGGGTGTAAGCCCCAAGCCTTGGTGTCTTACATGTGGTGTTAGGCCTGAGGGTGCACAGAAGTCAAGAATTGAGGTTTGGGAACCTCTGCCTTGGTTTAACAGGATGTATGGAAACACCTGGATGTCCAGGCAGAAGTTTGCTGCAGGAGCAGAGCCCTCATGGGGAACCTCTGCTAGGAAAGTGTGGAAGAAAAATGTGAGGTTGAAGTCCCCACACAGATTCCCTACTAGGGCACTGCCTTGTGGAACTGTGAGAAGAGGGCTACCACCTTCCAGACCCCAGAATGGTAGATCCACGAACAGCTTGCATTGTGTACCTGCAAAAGCCACAGACACTCAATGCCAGCCTGTGAAAGCAGCCGGGAGGGCGGCTGTACCCTGCAAAGCCACAAGGGTGGAGCTGTCCAAGGCTGAGGTAGCCCACCTCTTGTATCAGCATGAACTGAAGGTGAGACATGGAGGCAAAGGACATTGCTTTGGAGCTTTAATATTTAAGTACTGCCTCCTTGGATTTCAGATTTGCATCAGGCCAGTAGCCCCTTTGTTTTTGCTAGTTTCTCCCATTTGAAATGGGTGTCTTTACCCAATGCCTTTACCCCCATTGTATCTAGGAATTAACTAATTTGCTTGTGATTTTACAGGCTCATAGGTGGAAGGAACTTTTCTTGTCTCAGATGAGACTTTGGACTCTGGACTTTTGAGTTAATGCTAGAATGAGTTAAGACATTGAAGGACTGTTGGAAGGGCATGATTGTGGTTTGAAATGTGAGGACATGAGATTTGGGAGGGGCCAAGGTCGAATGATATGGTTTGGTTGTGTCCCCACCCAAATCTCATCTCAAATTCTAATTCCCATAATCCCTATTTGTCCTGGGAGGAACCCAGTGGGTGGTGATTGAATCATGGGGGCAGTTTCTCCCATGCTATTCTCATGACAGTAAGTTCTTATGAGATCTGATGGTTTTATAAGGGGCTTACCTCTTCACTCAGCTCCCATTTATCTCTCCTTGCAGCCATCATGTGAAGAAGGACATATTCCTCCCCTTCTGTCACGATTGTAAGTTTCTTGAGACCTCCCAAGCCCTGTGGAATTGTGAGTCAATTAAATCTCTTTCCTTTAAGTTACCAAGTCTTAGGTATGTCTATTAGCAGCATAAGAATGGACTAAAACAAATTCTCAAACAAGCATTCTTTTCATTTGTTTTGAGTTTTGTGTTTATGCAAGATTTAATTATGATCAGGCAAAATTTTTATAAAATACAAATGTTTAATGGACGTTCCAGGATATATAGTGGTTATTTCTTATATAATGCTTCATAATGTCAGTGACAAAGTAGGCTGAACAAGAATCAGTCACATGGAGATTCAATACTGGGATGTATAACTTAATGTCATTGGTACATCTGAGTGATATATTTTCTACTTTTTTCTACAGCACTTTCTAAAAATTCTGTCTCTATCATTCCTTCATTATCTGCCTCTCTTGACCTTTTCCTGATTTCCTAAACTAGGGCCCTCTTATTTCTTGTCTTGGTTTTGGCTTATTTTTCAGAGAATGCACAATTTTTCAGATGAAAGTTCAAGCAGAAATGATTCACAAATAACCATAAGTGCAGACTCCCACCTCTCAATTACATATTCTTTTTCTCTTGTTAAGAATAAACAATTCTGGGATGTTAAATGATGACTCACAGTCTATTCTCATCATTATTCTGTCTATAAATTTGTAATAAAAATGAATGCATATCATTAAGACAGCTAAACCACCTCCTTATCAAAAAGGCAGAAAAGCCCAGGGCAAGTTGGTTTTTATTTATTTATTTATTGACAAATATACTAAATATATAGTCTAGGTAGACTTTTTTATTTGTGAAAGTAATTTTTATTTCATTTTTTTAGATATTCATTAGGCACCTTCTTTTATGACTGTTTTAATTGGATAAAATTGACTATATGATTAAAGACAAGAGTTACTTTGTTTTTCTTAACACTCGCTGCACATTAATGTTTTTCTATGGATTTACATAGATAGAATAAATAATGCCAAAACACTCTTACAATTATCTTAACAAAAAGATGATGCAACTTTTAAGAAAAAAATCTATTAAAAAGCCTCTACTTTTGTTCTCTACTAATTTCTGATATGGAGTTATTAGTAAGCTGTATCTATCATTTGTAAATATCAGTATAAATTCAAAGTATTGAAAAAATTCTATAAGAAATAACAAATTTCAGTTTTGAATTGCAGAATGACCGTGTAAAATCTGTAAATCATAATTTATTTCTATGACATAAATGATACATATGCCACCCAAAACACAGAAATTTGTATTCATAGTGAAACAATAAAACTAAATGAATGTTTTATACACAAAAATATGTAAATTTTATTTATTTTTGTCTGTCCTTATTTACTACATAACTCAGTTTTTTTTTCTTTTTTTTTTAATTTTATTTTATTATTATTATACTTTAAGTTTCAGGGTACATGTGCACAATGTGCAGGTTAGTTACATATGTATACATGTGCCATGCTGGTGTGCTGCACCCATTAAGTCATCATTTAGCATTAGGTATATCTCCTAATGCTATCCCTCCCCCTCCCCCTACCCCACAACAGTCCCCAGAGTGTGATGTTCCTCTTCTTGTGTCCATGTGTTCTCATTGTTCAATTCCCATCTGTTAGTGAGAACATGTGGTGTTTGTTTTTTGTCCTTGCGATAGTTTACTGAGAATGATGATTTCCAATTTCATCCATGTCCCTACAAAGGACAGGAACTCATCATTTTTTATGGCTGCATAGTATTCCATGGTGTATATGTGCCACATTTTCTTAATCCAGTCTATCATTGTTGGACATTTGGGTTGGTTCCAAGTCTTTGCTGATGTGAATAGTGCCACAATAAACATACGTGTGCATGTGTCTTTATAGCAGCATGATTTATACTCCTTTGGATATATACCCAGTAATGGGATGGCTGGGTCAAATGGTATTTCTAGTTCTAGATCCCTGAGGAATCACCACACTGACTTCCACAAGGGATGAACTAGTTTACAGTCCCACCAACAGTGTAAAAGTGTTTCTATTTCTCCACATCCTCTCCAGCACCTGTTGTTTCCTGACTTTTTAATGATTGCCATTCTAACTGGTGTGAGATGGTATCTCATTGTGGTTTTGATTTGCATTTCTCTGGTGGCCAGTGATGATTAGCATTTTTTCATGTGAATTTTGGCTGCATAAATTTCTTCTTTTGAGAAGTGTCTGTTCATGTCCTTTGCCCACTTTTTGATGGGGTTGTTTGTTTTTTTCTTGTAAATTTGTTTGAGTTCATTGTAGATTGTGGATATTAGCCCTTTGTCAGATAAGTAGGTTGCAAAAAATTTCTTCCATTTTGTAGGTTGCCTGTTCACTCTGATGGTAGTTTCTTTTGCTGTGCAGAATCTCTTTAGTTTAATTAGATCCCATTTGTCAATTTTGTCTTTTGTTGCCATTGCTTTTGGTGTTTTAGACATGAAGTCCTTGCCCATGCCTATGTCCTGAATGGTAATGCCTAGGTTTTCTTCTAGGGTTTTTATGACTTTAGGTCCAACATTTAAGTCTTTAATTCATCTTGAATTAATTTTTGTATTAGGTGTAAGGAAGGGATCCATTTTCAGCTTTCTACATATGGCTAGCCTGTTTTCCTGGCACCATTTATTAAATAGGGAATCCTTTCCCCATTGCTTGTTTTTCTCAGGTTTGTCAAAGATCAGATAGTTGTAGATATGTGGTGTTATTTCTGAGGGCTCTGTTCTGTTCCATTGATCTATATCTCTGTTTTGGTACCAGTACCATGCTGTTTTGGTTACTGTAGCCTTGTAGTATAGCTTGAAGTCAGGTAGCATGATGCCTCCAGGTTTGTTCTTTTGGCTTAGGATTGACTTGGTGATGCGGGCTCTTTTTTGGTTCCATATGAACTTTAAAGTAGTTTTTTCCAATTCTGTGAAGAAAGTCATTGGTAGCTTGATGGGGATGGCATTGAATCTATAAATTACCTTGGGCAGTATGGCCCTTTTCATGATATTGATTCTTCCTACCCATGAGCATAGAATGTTCTTCCATTTGTTCGTATCTCAAAATAATAAGAGCTATCTATGACAAACCCACAGCCAATATCATACTGAATGGCCAAAAACTGGAAGCATTCCCTTTGAAAACTGGCACAAGACAGGGATGCCCTCTCTCACCACTCCTATTCAACATAGTGTTGGAAGTTCTGGCCAGGGCAATTAGGCAGGAGAAGGAAATAAAGGTTATTCAATTAGGAAAAGAGGAAGTCGAATTGTCCCTGTTTGCAGATGACATGATTGTATATCTAGAAAACCCTATTGTCTCAGCCCAAAATCTCCTTAAGCTGATAAGCAACTTCAGCAAAGTCTCAGGATAGCATTCTTATACACCAATAACAGACAAACAGAGAGCCAAATCATGAGTGAACTCCCATTCACAATTGCTTCAAAGAGAATAAAATACCTAGGAATCCAACTTACAAGGGATGTGAAGGACCTCTTCAAGGAGAACTACAAACCACTGCTCAATGAAGTAACTCAGTTTTACAAAAGTAATAGGGATAAGATAAGACTATATGCTAAGGATTGTGGCCTCTAGCTGCATCCATGTTCCTGCAATGGACATGATTTCAGTTTTTATGGCTTTGTGGTATTCAATGGTGTATATGGCACCTAGGTTTATTCCATTTCCTTGCTATTATATATAGTGCTGCAATGAACACACAAGTGCATGTGTCTTTTTAGTAGAACAGTTTATTTTCTTTTGGGTATATATCCAGTAATGAGACTGATGAGTTACCTAAGGTATTGATTTTGTTATATAACACAACTACCAGTTTCCTTTCTATTCATACATAAACACACATATTTGGAAACATGGTCCATAGGTGGAATTGTATTGCAAACTTGAATGAGATTTAAAATGCAATTGTTGAAATGGCAACAAAAAAATAAATAAAAAGCTAAGGTGTTTTGATATATAACTTAAGTTGTACTTTGTACGTGGCAAATTTATAATGATCCTTCCTTCACACGGAAACATTTCATCCTATAAAAACAGATAAGATTATTAGTTTTACTTTAGTCACCGTCTAAAAATCATTCTTTTAACAAATACTTACTTGTTAAATATATGTTTCTGAGTGCCAGAAGGATCTCCAAGTGCTCTGGATACAGTAATTAGTGAAAACACAAATATACACACACGCATGCATGCACACATACACACATCACTGGCTTCAAATAACCAACTCTAAAAGGAAGAATAAGACAGTAATGAATAAAATATAAAATAAGTTTTGTTAAATATTAGGAAGTGATAAGTGTGACTGAAAAAAGAAAACATAGAGAAGTATAAGAGGATCAAGAGCTCCAGGATGAGGGAAGATAGATGCAAGTTAGAACTGTTGGCAACTCACTAAATTAAGGGAAAAAGTCAAATTTTAAAATTTTAAGATAATAAAATTTGGAAACAATGCATGAAAGACTACACTACATTTCTATATAGTACATTGACCTATATCTAGAGAAAATTATAAAAACCCTTATTTACTAAGACAAATATTTTGTTTTTTAAATGTGTTATATCACCCTAAGTGCTCCAAATCAGGTTCAATTTGAACATTAAAATTTTGTGAACATTAAAATCCTGTGAAGTACAATTTTCTGGAAAATCTTCTTTAACGAGTCAACTTTTATCTTTTTTATTGCAGAAAAATCTATTTTGACAATAGACTACACTAAACATAATTTATATAACTGAATGATTCCATAAATATTAATCCATTTCTTGGCTCTTAATTGTATTTTCAAAATAACTTGTCAAAATATTTCACGTAGGCAATTTTTATATGTCCTTAGAGAAAAGCACCTTGGAAGAAAACACTACTGGAATTTTAAGTAATGAAAATCAGTTACAAACAAGAAGTAAAATGAAGGTTAAAAAGCAAGTAGTGATTAATGTACCTGGTAACATCTTTAAGAGGTGACTCAATCTCTCCCTAAGTAGTCAGCATGTATTTATGAAATGATAGAAAGGCAATCAAATGTGCATCACATAAAAAATAAAGAACATCACCCTTATTACAATTAATTTTAAAATAAATGATGTGAATATTGAGTTAAAATTAAATAAAGAGTTTGCATTGTTTTTCCCTAAGAATTGAGGTTCAGCAGGCCAGGCGCAGTAGCTCATGCCTTTAACCCCAGCACTTTGAGAGGCCAAGGCGGGTGGATCACCTGAGGTCAGGAGTTTGAGAGCAGCCTGGCCAACATGATTAAACCCCGTCCCTACTAAAAATACAAACATTAGCCAGGCATGGTGGTGTGTGCCTGTAATCCCAGCTACTCCAGAGGCTGAGGCAGGAGAATGGCTTGAACCCAGAAGGCGGAGGGTGCAGTGAGCCAAGATCACACGATTGCACTCCAGCCTGGGCAACAAGAGGGAAACTCCGTCTCAGAAAAAAAAAAAGAAAATAAAATAAAAGAAATGAAGTTAAGCAAATAAAGGCCATTAGATACTTAAACAAGATGAAATACAAATAGAAAATAAACAACTTATAATAATTATAATAGTGTTTAATAGTAATTATAAACAAAAAAAACAACAGAGGGCTGAGGGACATGTTGTGGAAAAAACTCAGGGTCAGTATCAATCATTCCTTTACTCATCTTAGTACCTATCAGGTAATGTCAGGTAATATTCTAAGTTCTGTGGCTAAAGGATGATCAGTGCATAGAGAGCTCCTGACACAATGAAGACTGTGATCATGGATTTCATTCACTAAATCCAACAGCCATAAGCAATCACTTTCAGTTGCCTAAGGTTGAGTATTTCATCCAGTCCAGACCCTTTGCGTTTGTTCTGGAATTCCTGGAGCATGAATTCCTTTAGCTGGAAAACAGCTGTATTGGCTACTCCTGGATAACAACTTGACACTAATTACACATAGTGGATTTTGGGGTCTATGTTGGCATTATCTCATATTTATCTGGAACATTCGGGAATAGCTATCTTTAGGCCAGCATCCTTGGATGATGGTCCAACAGGAGTTTTAAATCAGTGACTGGATCAATAAGGAGGGTGAAATTTGCGTCTACATGCATCTCAACTATTTGTTTATTTATTTATTTATTTAAGCTTTCTTGCCAGGCTGGAGTGCAGTGGCACGATCTCGGCTCACTGGAAGCTTCGACTCCGTAGTTCAAGTGACTCTCCTCCCTCAGCCTCCTGAGTATCTGGACTTACAAACATGCACCACCACGCCCAGCTGATTTTTGTATTTTTAGTAGAGAGAGGGTTTCACCATGTTGGCCAGGATGGTCTCGATCTCCTGACCTCGTGATCCACCTGCCTCAGCCTCCCAAAGTGCTGGGATTACAGACATGAGCCACCAGGCCCAGCCCATCTCAACTTTTTAAAGCCCTTGTCTCTTGTTCTTTTTATTTAGTCAACACCTAGTTACTTCACCTGCCTCCACCTGCCCCACAGAAACTGGAAATAAAAGGATATTTAACTATTTCACTGAAGACTTTCTTTTTGAATCTGTTTTTCCCTCTCTGGCATTTGTAATCAAGAGTTTGGGAGAAAGCTGACAAGGTTGACCAGATGCCTAGCTCCTGCTGAGATCTCCTCTGGTGCTCTGACAGATCAAAGAAAGACACTTTGAAAGGCAAATGCATGCTGCACAGCACCCCTGCAGTGACTGATGGGCTCTGGCACCTGCTCTTACCTTGTGTTCCAGACAACTGAGAGCTAGTGGCTGGCAGAAGGGCGTGAGCTCTTTTTTGGCCCATGGTTCAGGAGAGCTAAAATTTACCTGAGGCCCATGTCTACTGAAGACTTCATAATACATTTCTGAATCAAATATGCAGCTTTGATAGAATTTTGCACTGTTTGATCAAAAGCAAGGGGTTTGGGAACTTTTGCAAAAGTATATCCCATCTTTTTATATGCAATAGTTTATTGGTTATATAATAAAATGATACTACTTTGGATTTTAAAAAAGAAACATTTGACCTAAATGGTCACTATTTTTTAAAAGAAGATAGATTTTAGGAAAATAAGAGAATATAGGGTAAAAATGAAAACAAAAACTGGTACTATGATGTTATATGAAAATAATAGCTTATAAAGTTATAATGGAAATAATAACTACACACCCCCCACACACAAAGACAAACACGCATGCGCGAGTGCAAAAATATATGATCAGCCTGGACTTTACCCAAATGAAAACTATGATTGTGAAATTGGTAAAATTCTGAACCATTTTTTCTCCATTTTCCAAAACCTTTTAATGTTATTATATTGCTTTTTATTCTGCAAACAAGTATTTACCTCAAAAGAAGGTATGTGATTTATACATTTTGAGGTGTATTTTTTAAAATCTTTTATTTTGCAAGATTTCAAATTTTTAAAAATCAAAAAATAAAATATTATAAAAGTAATGCAAAAACATTAAATAAAATGTTGAAAATATATACAACAAACACAACATTGGTAATCTCAGCAAAAAGAATAAAAGAGGCAATTAACATTCTTGAATTTATTTTTTCTCCTATAGTATATCCAAATAATTGTTATTTCTCTTTGCTTATTATTTACCGTTTCGTTCATCCCCAATTTGGCCATGACAGGAATAGTATTAGATTAAGGATCTGTCAGAGGCACGTGAACCAGAGCAACTCCATCTTAAATAGGAGCTGGGTAAAATGAAGCTGAAACCTACTGAGCTGCATTCCCAGATGGTTAAGGCATTCTAAGTCACAGGATAAGATAGGAGGTCAGCACAAAATACAGGTCATAAAGACCTTTCTGATAAAACAGGTTGAAGTAAAGGAGCCTGCCAAACTCCACCAAAACCAAAATGGCAACGAGAGTGACTTCTGGTCGTCCTCACTGCTACACTCTCACCAGCGCCGTGACAGTTTACAAATGCCGTGGCAACCTCAGGAAGTTAACATATATGGTCTATAAAAAGGGAAGGCATGAAAAATCCACCACTTGTTTAGCATATCACCGAGAAATAACCATAAAAAGGGGCAACCAGCAGCCCTCAGGGCTGCTCTGACTGTGAAGTAGCCATTCTTTTATTCCTTTACTTTCTTAATAAACTTGCTTTCACTTTGCACTGCGGACTCACCCTGAATGCCTTCTTGTACCAGATCCAAGAACCCTCTCTTGGGGTCTGGATCAGGACCTGTTTCCTGTAACAGTTCTGGCATAATAAAAAACTGTCAGAAATTAAGTATATGAGATGGAGAAAATAGTGCTTCATTTCCTCACTACCTCATATATATTTTTCATGAAACTAATTTAGAAAAGTAAATAAACTGTAGTGTATCATAAACACATACAAAATGGAAATCTATTATATGTCAAAATTTAAAGAGAGTAGTATAAGAATTACCTAAAATAACAACCGGCAAAAAGTAGATATTTTAGATTTCTTCTCTTTTTCTTGTATAATTATATAGCAAAATAAAATATATTTTTGTATCTCTCTGTAATGTTTTTAAAATGGAAATATCTCCATAGGCATATATATATATGTATATATATATATGTGTATATATGTATATATATATGTATATATGTGTATATATGTATATATGTATATATATGTGTATATATGTATATATATGTATATATATACGTATATATATACGTGTATATATATACGTATATATACGTGTATATATATGTGTGTATATATGTATATATATGTGTATATATATGTGTGTGTGTATATATATATATATATATATATATATATATATATACACTTCCTAGGTGAAATCTATGACTTGACATTATTGGCATCATGATTTAGCAAAATTTACTCACATATCTATGTAGTTTCCCAACATTTAGTTTTATTTTCATTAGATTTCTTTTATGTAAAATTATTTGAATTATTCAGTGGACAGACAAATATTAACTGCAAATATTATAGTTGGTGTTGAGTATATGTGATGGAGATTGTACATCTGATCATAATGGCTCCATGATTAAGCTAATCAAGAAAAGGGTAGTGTATTAAAAAAGGAGGTAGACTACCAGTGTATCACTAATTCAAGTTTTAAAATTTTTGCATGGTGCTCTTCCAATTTCCTGTCTGGCATGTAAAAAGCTAGAAGTCACCACTCCATCTTTACATCAAGTAAAATGACAAACCACTTAAAAATTAACAACTCAGGTCAGGCGCGGTGGCTCACGCCTGTAATTCCAGCACTTTGGGAGGCCTAGGCAGGTGGATTCGAGAGCAGCATGGCCAACATAGTGAAACCCCGTGTCTACTAAAAACACAAAAAATTAGCTGGGCCTGGTGGCGGGCACCTGTAATTCCAGCTACTTGGGAGGCTGAGGCAGGAGAATCGCTTGAACCTGGTAGGCGGAGGTTGCAGTGAGCCGAGGTCGCGCCATTGCACTCTAGCCTGGGCAACAAGAGTGAAACTCCGTCTCAAAACAAAACAAACAAACAAACAAAAAATGTTGGCCAGGAGTGGTGCCTCACGCCTGTAATTTCAGCACTTTGGGAGGCTGAGGCGGGTGGATCACCTGAGGTGGGGAGTTCTAGACCAGCCTGACCAACATGGAGAAACCCTGTCTCTACTAAAAATACAAAAAATTAGCCGGGCGTGGTGGTGCATGCCTGTAATCCCAGTTACTTGGGAAGCAGAGGCAGGAGAATCGCTTGAAACCGGGGGGGCAGAGGTTGCGACGTGCGGAGAGTCCACCATTGCACTCCAGCCTGGGCAACAAGAGAGAAACTCCGTCTAAAACAATAAAATAAAATAAAAATAAAATAAAATAAATGAAATGAAATGAAATAAAATAAAACTCTTCTTAGATCCAACAAAAAGGTGGAGTCACAGAGCTATCTGCTGCTCCTAATATTGGAGAGCCCAACAGGTGAACGCAGAGAACTGCAGCTTGCTGGAGCGGAAACCCACAAGCAAAAGCAACACGGGGAACCAACATTGAGGTAAGAAAACCTGAACTATGATGGATTAATTGCTGGAGGCTTAGCAAAAACAAACCTGAGAGATTAAAAATTCAAAGGTGACCCAGATATTTTGAAGCTCCACACTTTTGTGAGTCTTATCGACAGACCAGATTCTCACAATTCATATTGAAAAAATATCCCCTGCTGCTTCTAGAAGGGGAGAAGAAAAAAAATCATTTTGAAACATGCCAGAGCATTCTGTTTTTCTTAACAAGGTCTGACCTCAGTAGAAGCTATTTAACCAGACCCTAAACTGCTGAGGTTTTATCAAAGTCTAACATGAAGGGAAAGAAAATATTCAACTCCACTTGTCTCTAGCATGTGGAGAAAAGGAAATATCCAAATCCAGCCCACTCTAGCTATCTTGTCCCATTGAAGGGAGAAAAAAATGAGATTTACATGTGAAGTTCACAGTCCGTTGGTATAGGCTCAATAAAACTGAGAACTATTCATAGAATTGTAAAATGTTTCTCCTCTCTCCACATCTATCACATCTTACTACCACGTTATTAAAGATCTACTGATAGCAATTCCTTTAACCCAATAAATCATGTCAAACTGTTAAAAAAATTTACAAGCAATACTAAAAAGCAAAATCAAAATAAAAAACAGTTTGAAAACAGAGCAAACATCAAAAACAGAATCAGATATGGCAGGGATGTTGGAATTATCAGACCAGGAATTTAAAACAACTATGAATAAATATGAAATAGAGAGGCTTATTGAAAAGAAAATAAGATTAAAAAGCTTATTTGGATGGAAAGGCAAGGATGAGACAGGGTGGGCTGCTGAAATGAGGCAGGGTGGGCTGCTGACATGAGCCAGCAACAGCTCTGAGAGAGAGTTTTATTGAAAAGAAATAAGGAGTAAAAAGCTTATTTGGAGAGATAGTACATTCTGAGAGATGAGGCAGGGTGGGCTGCTGAAATGAGCCAGCAGCAGCTCTGAGAGTTCTGCATTGGGTTTTTATGATGTCAGATTTTTTCTTGAAGTTTCCGCCTCTGTCTTAAATGACTGCCTTTTTTATTTGTCTAGTTTTCCCTCTCCTGCCTTAAGTCTCCACCTTTTCCCTTACCTAGTTCCTACCCTAGGGTTCTGAGATTCTCCCTTAAAGTCAGTTGATGTGCACGTGTGGGTACAGTGTTGAATATGAATTCTATCTTTTTTTTCCATAGGCTATTGGGGTACAGGTGGTATTGGTTATATGAGTAAGTTCTTTAGTGGTGCTTTGTGAGATTTGGTGCACCCATCACCCGAGCAGTATACACTGCACACTACTTGTAGTCTTTTATCCCCCCGACCTTTCCCCCAAGTCCCCGAATTCCACTGTATCATTCTTAGGCCTTTGCATCCTCATAGCTTAGCTCCCACATATGAGTGAGAACATACAGTGTTTGGCTTTCCATTCCTGAGTTACTTCACTAAGAATAATAGTCTCCAATCTAATCCAGGTCGCTGCAAATGCTGTTAATTCATTCCTTTTTAAGGCTGAATAATATTCCATTGTGTGTGTGTGTATATGATACATATATATCATATATATGATATATATATAATATATATGTGACATATAT
This sequence comes from Homo sapiens, assembly GCF_000001405.40. Classification (NCBI taxonomy): domain Eukaryota; kingdom Metazoa; phylum Chordata; class Mammalia; order Primates; family Hominidae; genus Homo; species Homo sapiens. Next base: position 102,771,362 of record NC_000001.11, on the reverse strand, counting down.
GATATATCATATATATCATATGTATGTGATATATATGATATATATAAGAAACCTGTGATATATATACATATATGATATATATGATATATATGTATATATATTGCATATTTCTTATCCACTCATTGATTGATGAGCATTTGGGTTGGTTCCATGATTTTGCATTTGCAAACTGTGCTGCTATAAACATGCATGTGTAAATATGTTTTTCTGTATAATGACTTCTTTTCCTCTGGGAAGATACCCAGTAGTGGGATTGCTGGGTCAAATGGTAGTTTTACTTTTAGATCTTTAAGGAATCTCCACACTGTTGTGCAGAATAACCACACTGTTTTCCATAGTGTCTGTACTAATTTACATTCTCACCAGTAGTGTGGAAGTGTTCCCTGATCACCACATCCATGCCAACATCTATTATTTTTTTATTTTTTTGATTATAGCCATTCTGGCAGGAGTAAGGTGGTATCCCATTGTGGTTTTGATTTGCATTTCCCTGACATCAGTGATGTTGAGCATTTTTTCATATGTTTGTTGGCCATTTGTGTATCTTCTTTTGAGAATTGTCTATTCATGTCCTTAGCCCACTTTTTGATGGAATTGTTTGTTTCCTTCTTACTGATTTGCTTGAGTTCGTTGTAGATTCTAGATATTAGTCCTTTGTTGGATGTATAGATTGTGAAGATTTTCTCCCACTCTGTTGATTATCTATTTACTCTGCTGACTGTTCCTTTTGCCATGCAAAAGCTGTTTAGCTGAATTAAGTCCCAGCTATTTATCTTTGTTTTAATTGCATTTGCTTTTGGGTTCTTGGTCATGAAATCCTTGCCTATGCCAATGTTTAGAAGGGTTTTTCCAATGTTATCTTCCAGAATATTTATAGTTTCAGGTCTTAGATTTAAATCCTTGATCCATTGAGTTGTCTGTTGCATAAGGTGAGAGATGAGGATTCAGCTTCACAAAAGACTGCTGAAAGAAATCATAGACGACACAAACAAGTGGAAACACATCCCATACTCATAGATGGATAAAATCAATATTGTGAAAATGACCATACTGCCAAAAGCAATCTACAAATTCAATGCAATACCCATCAAAATACCACCATCATTCTTCACAGAATTAAAAAAAAATTTCTAAAATTCATATGGAACCAAAAAAGAGCCTATATAGCCAAAGCAAGACTAAGCAAAAATAACAAATCTGGAGGTATCACATTACTTGATTTCAAACTATAAGGCCATAGTCACCAAAGTAGCATTGTACTGGTATAAGAATAGGCACATAGACCAATGTAATGTAACAGAGAACCCAGAAATAAACCCAAATGCTTACACCCAGCTGATCTTCGACAAAGCAAACAAAAACATAAAATGGGGAAAGGACACCCTTTTCAACAAATGTTGCTGAGGTAATTGGCTAGCCACATGTAGGAGAATGAAACTGGATATGAATTCTGTCTAATGGATATGAATTCTAATGGATATGAATTCTGTCTAATGGCTACATTGCTAATTACTGCCACCACAGGAAGGTTGAATAGTGCTCAAATCTATACTTACTGCACCTGTGTATCTCTTAGGAATTTCTCCTTTGTCCTCTTCTCTTCTTATCAGCGTGAGCTGGCTACATTCTGTTAGTTTGACTACCAAGTGAATAGTTACTAGCGCATCTTACGGGGCGTTTCTTTCTGCATAGGTACGTCCCCCTTTCTCTGGTCATATCTAGCATGCACGTTTTGGATGGTCTGTGGGGTGTGAGATTTACAGACCTCCTTTTTTCAGGTGCTTTCCCTCCTGCTCATGTCTAGCTATCTAATAATATATTCATGTTAGAATAAAAAATAAGAATACCCAAGTGCCTTTCAAGATGACTAATGCTATAAGAATAATGTATTTTATTAAATATTGTATCAGAAAACAATTTTAAATTTTAAATTTTAAATGTTTATCTAGCTATGTTAATTAGTATCTCATTGTTCAATGCTTCACTGAGTCGGCTCTTCATGCCTCTGAGAACTCTTATTCAGCTCACAATTTTTTCTTCTTAATTTCAAACTATATAGTAATATTTAACAATTTGTTGCTGTTATAAAACTTGTCCAACTTGAATTTCTAAAGTAAAAATAATTGAGGCATTCTGTTTGCTTATTAACTGAGTGGATCTTAACCTTTCAAATTCCCATAGTTTCTGAGATCCTGGCTTCCTATTGTGAGGCAGGATTTTATCACTTATAGGAATGATGAAAAATCCCTCCAATCATGTAAATACTTCCCAGGAAGTGAGCTCAATATGACAGAGAATGACCATCCTGCTTTTTTGCATCCCTGGGAATTCATGGTTTTCTAAGTCCACTCTGGGCTCCAGTTAATAGATACAGTGAATAATATTTGCTATCCTTTGGCATCATTGCCTTTACGGAAAAAGAAAAAGAACTTGGTATCCCTATATAACCCATATTTGCCTGGCTTGTTTATATCATTTAGGCATATGAGTAATACATCTATAATTACCATATTAAGCCAAATATATTTGCTTTCTCAGGTATAGAAGTCCTAAATTTTATCACTTTATTGGAATTTTCAGTTAAACTATAATAAATCAGCCTGGGCAACATAGTGAGACCCCTTTCTCTGCAAAAAATAAAAATTTAGCCAGGCTTTGTGGCACACGTCTATGGTTCCAGGTACTTGAGAGGCCGAGGTGGGAGGATAGCTTGAACCTGGGAGGTTGAGGCTGCAGTGAGTTTTGATTGTGCCACTGTGCTCTAGCCTAGTTGTCAGAGGAGACACTGTTTTAAAAAATATATACATATATATAGATAATGGAAAATACATTATACATATATTATGCAATATATATAATTATTGTATACCTTGTAAAATATAAAACAATTATAAAAATAAAATCACCAATGATTTTCTACATAACTTTTCAGGCAGAAATTAGATTAGATACAATTATCAATTACATGAATCATACTTCCAGAAATGTTAAAACTTTGATAGAATACATTGTTTCCTCTGACTTTTATTATTAAAATGTAGAAATACTGATTTTATTCATACCTATATGAACAGGTAAATTGCCTGAGTGAAAACATATTTTGTATATATTAATATCTAATATTTTGTTCTCCAGCTTCCTTTCAAGATTATTATCTGAATTTACTACGCTTTGAAGCCAAATGTGAATTTCAGCTCTTAGAATGGATGATAGTGAAATAACAACTTTATTATGTTTTTATAACAATGCTTAAACCATATATACTGATGAGCAATGAGTATAAATGCTTTTAGACCATGATGATGAAAAATGCTTTAGATGATTGTCATGATGATGGTAATGAAGACAAGTAATGAAGATAAAATATTCTCCTGGTGCGTCCTTTTCTGACAAAAGTAGCATCAAAATTCAATGAAAGGTCATTGTGAAAATAAGATCTACCTTCCATACAAAGGCTTTGACATATCATTTATAAAGCAGCTTTAAATATCATTTTGCTTAATTAATAATCACTTGTTCAGACAAGATAGATAATGTTTATTTCTATTTTTTTCAGATAGCTTTTCTACAGCAAAGGATCGTTGAAAGGTAATCACAAAGATAAAAAAAAATCTCACAAGTTTGACATTAGCAGACTAGAATAAATGCAAGTCAGACCTTGACAGATATCTATGACCTGATTTACTGACGATATAGAAAATTTTAAAAAGCTTAGTTATTTTGCTAAAACAGTTTTATAGGCCAGGCACTGTGGCTTATGCCTGTGATACCAGCGCTCTGGGAGGCCAAAGCAGGAGGATCGCTTGACCCCGGGAGTTGGTGACCAGCCTAGGCAACAAGGTGAGATCTCGTCTCTACAAAAAAACAAATGAAAAGTCAGCCGGTCATGGTGGCACACACCTGTAGTCCCAGCTACTCAGGAGGCTGAGGTAGGAAGGATCACTTAAGCCCAGGAGTTCAAGGCTGCAGTGAACTAATGATGGCACCACCGCCTTCCAGCCTGGGTGACAGAGTAAGACTCTGCCTCTAAAACAAACAAACAAAATGAAACAAAACCAAAACCCCAGCTTTATATCTCAGATGCAATTCAATTTACAGAGTAATGCAGTCTTTACCTATTTGAATTGAGCACAAGAAGCTAAAATATTCTCTTTTTTTCTCTAGGCATTCATGGTAGTTTATTTGGGTAAAACAGTCAAATTATCACTCTTTTGAATGTCATATTCTAGCTTGTCCATAATGTATAAGGAAGTTTGTTTTTCTACTGCATCTCCTGTTCCTCCCATGTGAACAAATTTTGAATCAGCTATAATAAAACAAAGCCTTTTTCCATGACCACCTGGTTATTTCTTATACCACATTTGTCATTACTATACTGAAAATTTAATTGCAGGGCAAAACATAGTTCCTTCGTTCCCCATAAAAGATAATGAGATTTTCAAGGAGAGTCTGTGATTATATTAATTAAAAGCCCTTTTCTCTGAAAGTTAAAACAACTGTAGCTTAACATCATCATCCCTTTAAACACATTAACTCATTAGAAAAAAAAGGAATGGTAGCCTTGAGCGTGCATTACAATTACATATGTAATGTATCTCTAATCATTCACAATGGATTCCCTGATTAACTAATATTGCTAAATACTTGGCATCACATACATATATCATTAGCAAGATGAAAAAACTAAGCTTAATTCGATTTTATAGTTACATCAACAGCTGCCAAGTGTCTTCCACCAATCAACCTTGACCTACAATTAGAACTCTTCAGTTTTGTAGTGGAAAAATAAGGACATTCAAATTTCAGGTGAGTGAACTTAGATGAGTCTAAACTAAAATAGCTCTGATGTATTCTGTACCCCTCAAATTAATTTTTATACTAGGTGGGGATTCATTATTTTCCTTGAATTAGAGTGTTCTGGTTAACCAATCACCATGCTGACTACATTCTCTACCATCTGATATGGTTTTATTTAACTTTGTGTTTGCCAGTGTACTATCCTGATGACATAACCAAATATCTTTTTTTAAGACTTACAGTCAATATAGGGAAGCAAATATTGAATCAATTTGATTTAATTTCTTTCCCTTGTCTTCTTTTGGCTTTATAACTGTATGAGATTTATTTTTTACTTTTATATTTTTGCTTTCACACACCACTCAACATTCAGTACAAGAAAGAACATTTCACTTCTCATAGCAGATGGGTAGGGAGTTTTTGCCACACACTAAGCAATTCTTCAGAAGACGCTAACTGGGTATCCTATAATTCAAATCAATTCTGACACTACTACTTGAAATTAGATTCAGATCAATCCCACAGGTTAAGCTCAGTTCTACAAGATTGCCCCCCACTTCAGATGCCAATCATAAGTAGTAGGTGGCTATCTATTCTTCTAACTGCCAGCTATAAATCACGGTTCCCATGACCCTCTCCTCAGGTTCTATTAATTTGGCAGAATGGCTCACAGAATTCAGAAAACACATATGTTAATGTTTATTGTATTAACAGGGTATGATAAATACTATAGTTGAACAGCCAAATGAATAGAGGCATAGTAGGAGGTCTGGAAGGAGCCTGAGTGTAGGAGCTTCTGTCTTCGTGGAGTTGGAGTATGTCCCTCTCCTGGCATTTGCCAACCTGGAAGCTCCCCAAACCTTACAGTTCAGGAATTTGTATAGAGGCTTAATTGCATAAACATAATTAATTGACTCGATTTCTAGCCCCTCTCCCCTCTTCAGAGAATGGGGAATGGGGCTAAAATTTCCAAGCTTCTAATCCTGGGTTGGTCTTTCTGATGACCAGTCCCCATCCAGGAGCCCACTATGAGTTGTTTCATTAGAACAAAGGATGCTTCTATTGCCCAATAAATTCCAGTAGATTTAGCAGCGCTGTGTCAGATGTTCCTATCATTTAGGAAATTACAAGTTCTTAGAAGCTCTGTGTCAAGAACGAGGGTCAAAGACTAAATATATTTTTTTAAAGTTTATCCAAGAACGCTTATTGCTTATATATAGAAACAGAGAGAGAGATTGAGAGGGGAGGTGTAAAATAATGTTGTATAGTAGTTATTTTACATGCTTAGTCCATTATGGATTATGAACCACTTCTGACGTATGTACTTCAAAAATAATTTAAATACTCAACTTTACATTCAGAATCCTTTCTCAGCTTGTGAGAGTAGAATGAATCTATTAGCATTTAGGTTCTTGGTTTCCACAAATGGTGAAAAAATGTTACAAGGTTAATAGTTGTTCATATGCAATTTATGAACAAAGAAATACTAATTAAAATGTTTAGTGGTCAATATTGAATAGGTCTACAAAACTAGAAAAATTAATTTATTAATAGCAATATAATGTGTATAATTATATATGGGGAAATAATGAGCTAAGTATGTAAAATAACTACATAAGCTGTGAAAGCTAAAAAAAAGTTTAAAAGTTTATTACTATGTCTAACTTATTCATGTCCTGTTATAGATTGTCTACAATAGACTTCTGCCACAGTCAATGAGGTTATGACCCTGTACGTAATAGGCTCTTCACAAAGAAGTATTGACTGGCTGACAAAATATTTTTGTTAATTTACTTCTCTATTTCTATTTCATATTCTGTTCCATAAGCCCAAATATAGCTCAAATTTACAAGATCATATCCAATAATTATTCTATAATAGCTGCAACTTGAAGATTAGGTTCTATTCCTGAAGAAACGTATAATTTAAAGCAATATCAAATACAAGTTTTAAAATAGACAAACAGTTGCCTCTGAATCAACACCATCTTGCCACTAGTATGTCATACATATTCATTTGTTGACCTGGCCTGAGTGTTCTTCACTGGAGAATTGCTTGGTCCCACCATGCTTCTCTGAAGTTTGTTTACCCATTTGCTTTGGTTACTGTACCTTTCTACATCATGACTGCTTGTATAATTGAAATCTGTTGTATAGTTTATCTCTGGTATATGCATATATTTTGTTTTCAACTGCTTACTTATAAGCTAAAAATTACTCCCTCTTTAAATTTTTGCCTATTTATTTTTCTGTCTATCTTGGTGCATCAATCTCTATTATCCAATGCTATAGCTGCTGCGGGGCTGACAGAGCTTCTTAGCATGGCTTCACAAACTCCACCCACCATCAAAGATAAATGATGTACTTTCATTGGATCCATAGTATAATAAGACAAAAGTTTACTTAGAAAAGTATCACTGTACATGTTTATGTATAGTTTAACGAATATTATGGAGAAAGAATAAAATGTCTAAAGTTAATAAAAAAAGAAATATTTATCTTCCAAATATATATGCGTTTGTAACAACATACAAAATATGGATTACACACCACTTGTGACATATGTACTTTAAGAATAATTTAAATACTGAAATTAAGAAATACTGGTAAACATTTATCAACACCACACCAATTTCAATGAAGTGTTTCTCAGCATTTCATGGACATCTTAGTAAAATGGAAAAATCAAATAATCACCCATATGTTCCATATCAAATTTCTTTGCCTCTGCTACCAAGAACACTATGAAAGTGTATCTAATGTCTGTGTAAACTAGTGATGGTTTTCTGCTATTCTGTTGATGCAAAAGTAATTGTGTTTTGCCATTGAAAGTAGTGACAAAAACCGCATTTACTTTTGCACCAACCTATTACTTTAGGCAATAACGTGGGTGTAAGAAATTTTACATCACTTATAGGGAGGGAAAAATGCTAACTTTTTTCTTTGACATCTAGCTACAGTGTTACAACATATAATCATCTTATTTAAATATTCTAGTTGCCTTTTGATTACCACTTTTATTTGTTCATGAGCATTGTCAAAAGTGTATTTTATGTCACAGAATACATCCTTCGAAGAATAGGATGTGCCAGGATCAATTGCTAAGCTGAAAAGCTAGCAGTGACCAAAGAACACCAACAAAGAAACCCAGCCTCCAAAAGAGAAAAGTCATTCTGACATAACAGCTACAGAACTGACAAGTGTTAAGGACAAACATATTAAAATTTTTATGCTTTCAGAGTCTATGATACTTCTTATTAATTGAATAATTGTTTTGTTTAGAGGAAAGTAAGTACTGTCTTCTTGTGCATGAGGGGACACATGAAGTGAGGGGGCTTAATATCTGCCTTTTTTCATATAACATTTAATTAATAATGAATCTACAAATTAATTTTATTGGTTCATTTTTTTTTCTGTGTAATACACCACCCAAAAACTTAGTAGCTTAAAACCACCTTTTATTTACCTCACGATTCTGTGGTTCTGAAATTTGGGCTGGACTCAGATGATGAAGACTTCTGCTAAACTTGACTTGACTCACTCGCCAGCCTGTGGTCAGTTGACATGTTGGCTTGGGGCTGGTTGGTCTGAGGGTCTGAGGCATCTCATGTCTGCTTTTTGCAGTCTCTCATATCTCAAAAGCCTAGTCTGAACATTTTTACATGTTTCTCAGGGAGTTGCAAGAGCTTGAAAAGAGGAAAAATGCCATTCACAAGTGTTAAAAGCAAGTCGTATGGTCAAGGCATAGGTGAGTACGGGAGACCACACAATGTTATACAGTAAAGGAATGTGGACACCAGAAGGAGAAAAATTTGGGGACCATTGTTGCATTTCATCATATACTTCATGAATGGTGCTTTCTTTGAAATAAACTATTCAGGCAGCTGTAGCTTGCCAGTTTTTTTTTTTTCTGTGTAAAATCAATTAAAAGCTGGATCTTATAGGTCTTGACCCAGATGCATACTCCTGGATGTACTACCGACCAGTTATGTGATACTAGGTAAGTAAATTACAAGTTCAATTTATAAAATAAACATTCTAAGTTCTATGGCCCCTATGGCCCCTTGAAAGTCTATTTTGATTTCATAAATTATTTCATCAATACTTCCCATAGGCAAAATTCTTGTATGTAAAATGGGGACACTACAAATAAACATAATAACTGGATACTGATATAAAGGAATTTGCACTCTAATATTAATCATAATAGCTACATATTAAAAACCTCTATTACCATATATACTCTCACTTAGTACTTGTAAAAATCCTGCCAACCAGTTATTTATTTGAATTTTACATATGAGGGAAAGAGGAACATAGAGAATAAGTAATTAGCTTTAAATCACATGTCTATTAAGTGATCTTGGCTTAGATATGGACCCCAGGTTCTTAATCACTACATTATATTTACTCTGAGCCTAATGAACAAAACAAAACATAAAGACAGGGTAGAATAAATTCACAGCAGTTAATGCACTTCAGAGCTCAGATAAGGGAGTATGAGTCAGGAAATGCTTGCTATGTCATTTCAGTTATGAAGTAGGATTTAAGGAAACTGAGGCTTAGAGAACTTAGATTAATTGTCCTTTGTAGGAGTGAGAGAACATATTTAACTTTGGTTTAATATGAAGAAGACTTTCTTTGGGGAAACAGTAGAATTTTTTCTCTAGAAAAAAAAGGCTGGTAAAGATAGCACTTGACTTTAAATATTGCCCTGAGTAGTTTGAACTGATTTTTGTCCAAGAGGCAGTGAAGATGCATGGAATGTTTTTAAACATAGCACTTATGTCACAAAAGGTATTGATTAATTTGGCATGACTGCCTTTGAGGCCATGATAGTTAAAAACTGATTAAAATATCTTGGAAAAGCGTTTCTCAAAGTGTATTTCACAAAACACTAGTTTCTAGAGGTTATAAGAGGTTTTTTTTTAAGTTGCTATGTTGAGATAAGACTGGGAATTTTGGATTAAACAAGTCAAAGAGGTTTCTTTATTGGAAGATATCTCTGCTAATGAGTATGTTAAATCTCTAAAATGGGGCAAGGCGTGTGGCATTTCTAAAATATATTTAATCATAGGAAGCCCTCATTTCTTTGAAGAGACTCTAAAAGTGCAGTGTTCCTCAGAATACTTCTGAAAATGCTGACTTGATTATAAGTGATGGAGAAAGTAGCAATGGGGAGAGAAAAGAAATTAGAAATGTTTCTTTTGGTAAAAGTAGGTATGGTAGGATTACCAATTTGTTTAGAAAGGACAAGATAAAACAATATTAAAAATAGATCCACAATTTTGAATTTAAATAAAGAGGAAATGAAATTTAAAAAATGATGGCTGCTTGATTAGATGAGGCAGGCGGAAAAGGAGACTAATTCAGTTTTCATTGAGGAATCTGGGTACCAACTAATTTTATGAATATTCTCTTTATTCATTCTTTTCTATGAACCAGCCTGTACTCTACTCCTGACATATACCTCCTTGTGAAGTACGCCTGATTAGAGTAATATTCTTGCACTTTTTCTTATTACTTACCCGTAGTAGGTACAGAAGTGTGGGACAACAACTCCTTGATGAGTTTGAAAGTTTTGATCAGAGGCATGAGGATATGCCTATGTAAAGTAAAAGGACTGTGTTTTCATGGAGAGACCTTTGGTTTTCAGTGCTGTACTGTTAAGCATTAGAAAACCTCTTGCAGCAGTGTGTCATATTGAAAATACTATAGTTGTGCCAAGACAAGGTCTTGTTCTCTAATCTAGAGTTTTATAAGTATAACAATTTATATTTTGATTTCCACTTAACTGTCTCTTTTATCCATCTCTCAACTGGTTAGAAGCTGAGCAGAGGAAGCAGGGGGATTATTCACTGGCCTTCTGGAAATACAGATGATTCCTATGCCATGGCTTCTGGGTTTTATACCTCCTCCATTCAAGAGACTAGTTTAACCTGAGACCTGAAAATTTAAACTGCAAAGTCACAGGCATCTCTTGATGTATCATTTAGGTCAAGTGTCTTTCTCTAGTTCAGAAGGCAGAGTCACTTAGTACAACTATATCTACTCTGGGTTATTATAAAAATATTGATTAATTTAGCATGACTGGATTTAAGGCTAATTTATTGTGAGCTCAAAAGGAACTCTATGAGGTTGGAATAACCTGAGGGAGGCCAGTAAATAGATTTGGATATTAGGAAAAAGTGAGGGCAGATTAGCATTAGTGTATATCAACTTAATACTGTACCCTTAAGATTTCCTTGTATGTTGTGTAGGTCTGAGATAGAAGTGAGGCAATATGGATTATCATAAATTTATCATTTTACAATGACAATCACTAACTCATTGGAAAACATGAAAGCTGTAAAATATTCAAAACTATCTTGATATGCAGGCTCAGTTAAATCTTTTTCTGTAAAAACCAAGATCTCACTCTTTGTCTGCTACATACGCCCTTTCAAAAGTTCCTTAGGTCTTTTACCCAAGATAAAACTAGCTATACTATCTTTAGCTCTGCCTCTAATTACTATTTATATATAGCTTTTCACTTTAAAATTGTATAAGTAGCTCCTAAATTGAGAAACCAGCAGTAGTACATGTTCTCAGCTAACTCATAGCTAGCTTCAAACTGTGCCTTGGCTCACCCAACTATTGTCATTGGAAGAAGACAAATTTTGAGCAGTACTCATTATCTCATTTGCATTTTTACAATGTTGCCCGAGATCACTGATCTAATGTACTTTACTTCTCATCCACCAAAATTAATCCATTTCCTTCTATTATTCAATGCTTCTGAAAAGTTAATGTGCATCTTTTATGATTTATTTCTTCCCTTTAAAAAAGCCTACTCTGTATATTTTTTATATTCCATTTTCTTAATTGGTATTCATCGTCAATATAACATAATATTACATTATCAATGCTAATTTGTAGTGTCATAATACCCTTTTGGACATGATATTGTTAGCATACCCAACTGCATTGCCTGTAGAGCAGGCTTGTACCAGTAAAGAGGAAGGCTAGGCCTTCCCTAACATTAAGCAATCATCCTGTACAAAGTAGGTTTTCAAAGTGCATTTCAAAAATTCTTTTATAATCTGGAAAAAATCATGTTATCTTGCTTTTGAAGATGGATGTTGACAAACATAATAATGGATAAAACAAAAAGTACATGGTATCCTGAAAAATATTTTATTACTGTGATATGATCTTTAAAATAAGGAAACTATAGAAGACTTCCTAAGGATATTTGTTTTCATACTACAACCAGAAAATATGATGTATATTTGATATTCTTCTTCCTGCCAGTTTGTCTTCGAGACTGTTCTGGTGCTTCAAGCCTGGGGGGTAATACAGGAAGCAATAGTGTTAGGAAATTTGCATCATGATTCTAACTCTAAATCATGGAAAAATAAATGGTGAATACTAAATTTTACAAGCTGTCACATCGATTGGCCATTCTCTATCCATATAAGCATGCTTTTCGCTTGAAAAAAGCAAACAGTATTTTGAGGAAAAATTTGATGAACTCTGCCTTACGATATGAGAATCAGAGGGTAAAATGACTATTATTAAATGGTCTTACATCTGGGGAAAATGTACCTTTCTAAAAATTGATCAATTGAATAAGTTCGGTAAATTACTATCTAGAAATTTATTATGTATACCATGACAAGGATTGAGTAGTTCTGTTCATTTTTGCCTTATGAAAACATCCCAGAAATTGAAACTTAATATCAAGGGAGAGCAATGCAATAATTCAGGAATATTTGTGATAAACCATTCAGAAACACCCCTAAAACTATGGATTGTTCAGTTCTTCAGTTCTCTAAATCTTGCTGAAAATTGTGTCTCAAATAACTTCATGCAAATTAATGTAGTTCTAACAAACTCAGGCATTGACATCTCCAAGAATGATTCCTTTTCTTTTCCATGGATTGTATTAATGACAACTGACAAGTTGTCATAAAAGATTTTCCTGATGTCTTCAGTTCATCCAGTGTGGGGACATATGCACTAATCAATGTCATCGTTTGAACTCCCTCCAGCCTCAATTTTAATGTCTTAAGCCTGAGGCTGACCATATGGCTCAAAAATAAGTCTTTTCACCATCTAAAAGGTCATAGTCTATGTTTAGCTACATTTTTAAAACTGCTTTGAGCTTATGACTTAAGTACCTGGGTGACTTTCAGAAATGATAAATCTTTGCTAAGAAAAAAGTGACTTGTTTAATGAGACACAAAATAAAGCAAGCCAATATATCCAAATATATTTTACTGTGTTGGAAAAACATATAAGTGGTAGAAACCCATAATTTGTGGATATAATTCTATTTCCACCTATAATAAAAAGGAATCCAAATTATCAGTGATAAATTTCTGACTCTAGGAGAATTTAAATGAAGGCACTGTGGCATTTACTTTTCAGTCAGCTTGCTTTTATCATTAATAATCAATTAGAAAATCTAATATAATCCGTATTTTTAAAACTCAACGTCCCAATGGGAACTACCACAACCATAGATTTTGTAAAAGTTGGATGATTATATTCTCACTTCAAGTTCTATTAGAAAAATAAAACCCCTTTTTTCACATTCTGGGAACTATTTATTTAACCAAAGAAACATTGCAAGAATTGCAAAGAACATGTTCTTACTCTCAATTTATTTATGCTTCAAGAACTTAAGAAAAGTAAAATAAAATAAATAATTTTTCTAAAAATTAATATGCTTAAGGCCTTAATCACAAAGATTAGATTAATACTTGACTAAATGCCCAACTTGTCTCCAGGATTTGAAAGCCTTTAACCTAATATTTCAGATACTCCCAATCCTTGGTTCACTTGACTAAAGAAAGCAGCAACAGTAGACATACTTTCTTAAATCTGTAGATTGATATGATTAACACAAAATGTCTATCCTCATTATCTACAGATCTGCAGCTTCTTAATTTCCCTACTGTCTTTTTGCATTGTTTTCCTGATTCTCTGGCATACTCTGTTCTTGTAAAAGGCTCACGGTGATACACATCAAGGGTAGAGATACTGATCATTGTCTGGTTCTTGTCACGAATTCCCACAGGAGCTGATTCTCAAAGACCTAAGACTGCCTCAGTAAAATCTAAATTTAGTTCACTCCTCTGAAAGCTAATTTTATTTCTAGCTTCAGACACAGTTCTTGGTTGCCTTACTTTTATTTGTAAACATATTTATTAATTTTAATTGTATTTAAGTTGTACAATATGATATTCTGATGTATATGTATATGTATATGTATATATGTATATAATGTGTGTGTGTGTGTGTGTATACGTATATGCGAATGTTGCAGCCATCATGGAAAACAATATGAAGGTTTAACAAAAAATTATAAATAGAACTACCATATGACCCAGCAATCTCTCTAATGAGTCTATACCCAAAGAAAATATAATCAGCACCTTTGAGAGGTATGTGCACTCCAATGTTTATTGCAGCATTATTCACAGTAGTCAAGATATAGAAACATTAGGTGTCCACCAAAGGATAAATGAATTTTAAAAAATGTGGTACATATACACATTGGAATATTATTCAGTCTTAAAAGAATATATTGCCATTTGCAACAATATGAATGAACTTAGAGAACGTTAGCTAAGTGCAATAAGCCAAACACAGAAAGAAAAATACTGCATGACCTCAATTACACATGGAATGTAAAAAAGTCTTACTTTTCTATTGGCCAGTCGTTATCCCCCTACCATGCATAGTGGCCATGTCTGCAAACAGACCGTAAATCCAGTACAAAGATGCCTTTAAGAATACATTTTAAGATTATTTCCCCAATTCTCTGAATATATAAATGTAATTTTAATAATACATATGTTTTCATAGGTAGATAAAAGGATGTTCCTCCTCATGAAAAACAAATGGGTTTTATCAACTATTGGTATTCCCTGTTTATCTTAAATCAGGGCAAGATTTACGTGAAGGAGTGCATATTGTATCTGTAAATGCTTTGTTAGGGTTTAATGGTTAAAAACACTTTTTTTCATTTTTTTTTGTTGTTGCTATTTAAATAAAAACAACTGTCTACCAGCATTTCAAGTAAGTTAACAGGCAAACAAAACATTTCACCTGTTGCTGAATATTTATTTTCTGCAAATTTTCATACCTTGTGATTTTAAGCATGAATGTAGTCTGAGACATGGAAAACAACTTTGAATTTTGTTTTATAAATAAATATTTTTATTAAAGTATTAATACAGAAAATCATACAAATTAAAATATAAAAGTTTGATTAATTATTACTAAATTAACACAACTGTTCATCTGCATCCAGAGCAATAAACATGAAATTAATGCCAGAAAACTCCCCTAGGAGCTGTCCTAATCACTTCTCTCCCTTTCCTGAAACCTAACCCATTCAAATTGCTAATATATCAGATTAATTTTGCCTATTTTTAAACTTTACATAAATAGAATCGCATGGCATGTAGTATTTTGTGTTTCTGTCTTTTGCTTAACATTATGTTTGTAAGATTCATCCACATTGTTTCATGCAGCAGAAGTTTGTATATTTTCATTGCTTCAGAATATTTCATTATATAAATAAAACAGTTTATATGTTATAGCATACGTGAATTATTTGGTTGTTTGTAGATTTTTAGCAATTAAACTAAAGCTGCTATGAGGATTCTATACATATATCTTGGTCCATAAGTATTAGTCTGTTTCCACACTGCTGATAAAGACATAGTCAAGACTGGGCAATTTACAAAATAAAGAGGTTTAATTGGACTTAGAGTTCCACATGGCTGGGGAAGCCTCACAATCATGGCAGAAGGCAAGGAAGAACAAGTCACATCTTGTGGATGGCGGCAGGCACAGAGAGAGAACCTGTGCAGGGTAACTCTTCTTTGTAAAACCATCAGATCTTGTGAGACTTATTCACAATCACGAGAACAGCTGAGAAAACCTGCCCCTATGATTCAATTACCTCCCACTGGGTCCCTCCCACAACACGTGGAATTTAATATGAGATTTGGGTGGGGACATAGCCAAACCATATCACCATATATATTTAAATTTCTATCGAGTATGTTTTTAGAATTAGCATTTCTAGGTCATACGATTTGCATTTATTTACTTTATGAAATAATGCCAAATATTATTTGAAAGTGCTTTTACAATTTTAAATTCACAACAGTAGCAATGAGATTTCCAGTTGCTTAATGGTATCCTTGACACTTGGTGTTTTTATTCTTTTGAATTTTAGCAATTCTTTGGTGAGTAGGGTTGATCACATTTTTATTTTAATTTACTCCTTGCTGGACAACTTTGCCCTGACTTGCTCAGTTAAGGAGCTGTGCAACAACCTTCCAAGTACCTGAGTGTGTAACTTATTGGGTTGGCCAAGCCTGGTAAAGCTGTTGGAATGAATATTGATTCTAAGTGTTAAAATAAAAATTTTTGTATAGACTTGTAATTTTTCTCTCGTGGCATTCCCTTAGAAATGTTCTGTGTCTATCCAGCACCCCGGTAGGCCTGGTTGGGTTTCTAATCCTCCTTAACCACTTATCTCTCATATGAGAGTGTGTAAAATAGGAACACATGCTCTACCTCCATTTAGGGACTTGCTTGGGATATAGAAGAGACCATGTGTCTCAGAGCTGTGAATGGCTTATTATTATTTTTTATTACATTGAAATCATGACGTGTGTAAACTTTAAATATGCAAATAAATTTTTAAAAGTCTTCGTGCATTCTTAAAACATACTAGGTTATCCTCTTTTGTGTAGAGTGCTTCTTAAAGTCCATTGTGCATTTTTCTATTTGGTTGTTTATTATGTCTTAGAGTTTGCTTTATGTTCTAGATTTGAGAGCTTGGTAGTTATATGCATTACCAATATCTCCTCCTTTCTCTTTTATTCTCTTAATTGTTTCTATTATTGGTGGGAAGTCTATAGTTTTAATATAATGTAGTTTAACCTTTATTTACTTTATAATGCATGTTTTTAATTACTTGTAGAGGAAACCTTTTTTACCATATCATAAACATATTATTTCATATTCTTGTTTAGAAGCTTATTTTGGTAATCATTTAAACAGATGTGAGGGAGGGATTAAGATGCCTTTTTCCCATTTTATTCAATTGTTTCCTCATGTTTTAAAAGTATGTCCTTTCTAATTCTAGAGTTGTACCTTAGGTATAAGCAATTATCCATGTATGCGGGACCCTTTTCTGGACTCTCTAGTGTGTTCTATTTGCCACTATTTTAAATAATATTATGCTGTATTAATTACTATATTATGATAGTCTTGATATGTGGTTGAAAAAAATTCCTAATTTGCCCTTATTCCGGATTATTTTTCCTACTTTTGACACTATATATATATATATATACACACACACACACACACACGTATATACATATATACACATATATATACACACATATATATACATATATACACATATATATATACACATATATATACACATATATACACATATATATATACACATATAAACATATATATATAGTAATTTTCCCTGAAAAAAAAGTTGGAATTTTGAGCTGTAGTGAAACAAATCTATTGGTCAATTTAGAGAGTGTTGTCTTTAAAATACCAATCACTTCAATTCATTAATATTGTGTATCTCTCATTTAATTTAGGTCCTTTTGATGTTCTTCCTCAAATTACCCACTTTTTTTTCTTCTTTTCCTGGCTAGAATGATCAATGTAATAATAAAAAGAAGTGCAAAAGTTGTCATTATTGTATTATTTCCTTAAGACAGAGGAAAGCTTCCAACATTTCACCATTAATTATGATTTTTCCTGTAGGTGTTATTTTTTAAATACCCTTCATCAGGTTAAGAACAATGTTTTTTTTCCTAGGTTGCTGAGTTTTATTACATTGATGATGATGATGACAACGGTCACAGCTATTAAGTTTTATTAATTTTTTAATGAGAATCTCTTGAAGATAAATCAATTTTTCTTCTTTATTCTAATTGCACTCTTACTTATCTTTTATTTTCAAAAGACTTTCATAATGCTAAATATTATCTTACAATATTATATGTCATTTTTTTATCCTAGTATATAAATATGGCATTTCTTGTTTAGCTTTTTGAAGTTTAGATTGACTTCTTTTTTTAAATAACACACACAAGAAAACACCTCTATCAGTATCCTGTCTTATATAGTTTTGTTCAACTTAAAGTTTCTCTTCAAATAATTTTTTGATATATTCAATCTTAACATATTTATTCTTAATTCTTTAGGTACGTATTACCAAATTTTTCTTTATAATAATTATATGAGCTTAATGTATTAGTCTACGTTACTATAAATAAATATTTGAGACTGCGTAATTTATAAAGAAAAGAGGTTTATTTTACTCTCAGTTCTGCAGGCTGTACAAGAAGCATGGTGCCAGCATCTGCCCCTGGGGAGGGCCTCAGGAAGCACTTACTCCTGGTGGGAGGCAAGGGGAGCCAGCATGTCACATGGTAAGAGGGGTAGCAAGAGAGAAATGGGAGGTGCCACACTCTTTTTAACAACCAGCTCTCATGTGAACTAATAGAGTGAGAACTCTTTACTCTAGGGATGATACCAAGCCATCCATGAGGTATCCTCCCCCATCACCCAAACAACTCCCAACAGGCCCCACCTTCAACACCAAGGATCAGTTTTCAATGTGGGATTTGGAGGGGACAAGCATCTAAACTATATCACTTACCTTTCAACCAGAAGTGTCTGACAGCACCTATTTTTTCTCCCTTTCACTAGTTATTGCATTTAAAAATACTGTTTCAGCCTGCTATATGAAATTGGTATCTCATTTTAATTTTTATTTTACAATAGACTTTTTAATTGGAAAAAATATAGATATACAACTATTATTCCCAGGTCTATTAATATTAAAGCTTGGTTTATGAAAGTAATATATCAATAAAATAGGAGATAGAACAGCTTATTGTCTTAACCTAGTAGGGGTGATGACCTCACTATAAAAAGCTTCTAAGCACCAAATACTTTCAGTATAATTCCAAATAATGAATAATTTTTTGTAAACAATTATATAATATGTAAATTACATAAGCAAAATTGCTTTTCCATCTTAACTTACCTGCAAATAGAATTACATCATAAAATTATGTTTAATATACACATGTCAAATCCCAAAATACCTGAAGGTATAGTCTCTTACTTGTTACGGAGTACTTTTAAGATTTTATATGAAAGACTTTTGAGTGATGTATTCTTTGAATTTCTATTAATAATAATGAATTGTTTACATCATTTACAATAGTCAGTCTCGTCCTTCTGTCATGAAATGCTTCAATTTAGTCCTTTTATTATTCTCAATTTTCTGGTCACTTCTGCTATTACTTCATAGCTGATTTCACAACAGAAATGCTGAATACACAAATTTATCTTTCATTGGTCTCTAACCACAGATAATATCCATGTATTATTTTGCATTTTGTGTTAAATATGATTTCTTAAGTACAATGTTATCCTCTATCTGCCTCCACCAAGATGCAGCAGAATAAAGTTAATAATTTATAACTCCATCCAATTTAGAAAAATATTTTAGGAATGGTCCCAGGGGCTTGCTTCACAGTGATTTATATATAATGTTGATTTCTTGCCTTGTATTTTAGTGAGGGTAAATAGGATGAGATGAGTTTACCACTATTGTATTTAATAGACTTCTTTAAATAGTAAAAGATATCTATTGGTTGCTACGTGAGGTGTATAAAGAGTGAAACTTTTATTATTTTTAGGTACTCAGTTCAAAGAGTTTTTTCCTCCGCCAACATGCAAGTCCTCGACTATGCGATCATAATTTTAGAGATACACTTTATAAAAGAAAGTTAATGAAATCATAGCAAATACATTTTTTTTTGCCTTTACTTCAATGAAGTGAAGGTCATTGTGATGAAGGATCATTTCCTAGTTCTCACGATTATGCCCACCTAGCCTGGTATTTTCTCTAATCATGTTTTTGGTTTTCTCCTGAGATCTGTTTATCAGAATTGAAGAACCTGCCTACCAATCATTTGATGTATAACCTTTGGAGCCTCATAAAAATAAAGTACTAACTTGCCTCTAGGCATGCTTGGAGAATATATTACACAAAGCCAAACTGATTACTATTTGTGGCCTTAGGAAAGAGCCTAGTAAAACCTCCATATGATTCACAAACTGTTGAGACAATTTCTTCGTTTTATATATGGATAACACATGGCTGTCTCTAACTCTGCAGTGTCAGCCAAGGTATTTTAAGTTATTGCCAGAAGAGCCATTGGCAGAATAATTTTAATAGCTTTCAGTTTCGTTACATGATTGAAGACTCTTGAACATGAATTTCTACTGAAGAGTAAATTTTACAGAAGTAGTTAGCAATACACAGGGGTTTGTTTTTACTAACTAAATATATGTATATTTAATACTTTTTAGGGTTTTTGGCCAAATCAGTGTGTATATAACTTCTAGATATATATTTTAGTTACTCTTACTTACATGAGTTGTTGTAGTCAGATAAAGGTATTAGACACTTTAAGGAATACTTACCCTAAGATCTTTTTCTGCTAAATTAAAATAGAGTTGTCCCATTTTTGACTTCCTTTGGTATTTGAGTCTTCTTGTTGTTAATAGCAACAAGAGATACAAATTGTGTGCACCAATTTACACACCCACCAGCAAGTTATAAGAATTCTAGTTGCTCTATATTATTGCTAATGCTTGGTGCAGTGTTTCTAATTTAATCCAGGTTGGTAAATTTCTTTCATCACTTTTGGATTATAATTTGCATTTTGTAAACCATTAATCATGCTCAGCAATATGTTGTATCATTTTCACCCTTATTTGGATTTTCCATTATCAGTTGATTTGTTTTTATTTTTCTCATTTATTTATGGAATTTATCTATACAAATCTTCAGTGTCTTGCCTTTTTACTTTCTTAATGCTGCCTTTTAATGAATAGAGCATCATACTTTTTGTGTTGTTTGTCAATGTGTTTGCTGTTTGTGCTTATTACAGCATGTTGAAGAATCTGTGTATATATATATATATATATATATATATATATATATATATATATATATATATAAAGATAGATATTTTCCAGTGTTTTCTTATGTAGGCACTTGGTTTTAACTTTCTCATTAGATCTCTAAACCATCTTGAAATTATTTGTTGTATTGTGTGAGGTAATGGTCAAGATGGATTTTTTTTCATACATATATACACATACCCATTGAGCCAGTATTTGTTTGCTGACAGAACCATAATTTCCCAAATACATTATACTTACATCTATTTTATAGTCAGTTGACTGTATATGTATGGACATTTCCTTGATTCCCAATTTTTTAAAAAGTATTCTGTACTAGCTTGAAGAGAATACTGTGATTTACTGCAGATATATAATAATTCTTAATATTTGCAAATGCAGTTTCCCCTGAGTTGTCCTTTATTGTCTTCAGAAATTTCTACACTTCTTAAATTTCTCATTTTCTTATAAATTTTAGAATCACCTTGTGAATCCACCTACCATTTTCCCACACACACAGAAAAACAAAACAAAAAACAACTTGCTGGGATTTTAACAGGGATTATACTGGATCGAGATCAGTTTGAGAAGAATTAACAATTTATTACCTGTAAACCATGGAAATTTTCATTAGGTTTTCCTTAATTTCCTTTCTGTCACATCTTTTAGGGTCTGCACTACCTTTATGAGCTGTAACACTCACCATGAAGGTCTGCGGCTTCACTCCTGAAGTCAGCGAGACCACGAACCCACCAGAAGGAAGAAACTCTGGACACATCTGAACATCTGAAGGAACAAACTCCTGACACACCATCTTTAAGAGCTGTAACACTCACCGTGAAGGTCCATGGCTTCCTTTTGAAGTCATTGAGACCAAGAACTGGGCACATCTTGGTGACCACTAAGGGACTATCACCTATGGCCAAGCGGTGAGTACCATCAGACCCCTTTCGCTTGCTATTCTGTCCTACTTTTCCTTAGAATTTGGGGGCTAAATACCAGCACCTGTCAGCCAGTTAAAAGCGACTAGTACGGCCACTGGACTAAAGACACGGGTGTCAGGCTTACTGGGAAAGGGCTCTCTAACAACCCCCGACTCTTTGGAGTTGGGACCATTGGTTTGCCTAGAACCAGCTTCCGCTTTTCCTGTACTTCTAGGCTGAGCCGAGGATCAACAGAGAGGAAAGCCATTCAGCTCCGGGGTCCTGACAACAAGTTGGTTGTCCCTGAGGCCATGATCGGAGCTCTCAAAGTCATGTCACCCAAGCGAGACTCACCCATCTATCCTATCTATCCTGACCCTTGCTTCCTGGGTCCTAATGCCTGTCAGAAAACTTCCTCTTGCCTCTCTTCTCTGAGGCTAGTCCCACTTCTAAAAACCATTCCCTGCCTCTGGTGCTTTTTTAGTTTATCCAATAAGAATGATTCCTAGTATAAACTTCAGGACTTTATTCCCTTCTTTAGGCACCTTGCCTCACTCATCAGAAAGACTTAATTTTTGCCCAAAGCCCTGTCCGGTGGGAAGACCAACTATCCTTTTAGTATCCCTCCTCAGACAAGCAGGACTAACAAAGCCTATTCCTGAAGCTAGGATATGGGGAGCTTCAGAAATGTTATCCTCCCTATTCAAGTGAAGACAAAAGGTGTCACTCTTCCGACCCTGGAGATCCCTTCCCTCCCTCAGGATATGGCATTCCACTTCATTTTTGGGGCATAACATCTTTATAGGACAGGGTAAAGTCCCAATACTAACAGGAGCATGCTTAGGACTCTAACAGGTTATCGAGAATGTGTCGGTAAGGGCTACTAAATCCGATTTTTCTCAGTCCTCTTTGTGATCTAGGAGGACAGGCAAGGGTGCAGGTTTTCAAGAATGCATCGGTAAGGGCTACTAAATCTGACCTTCCTTGGTCCTCCTTGTGGTCTAGGAGGAAAACTAGAGTTTCTGCTGCTGCATCAGTGAGTGCAACTATTCCGATCAACAGGGTCCAGGGAATGCTGCAGGTTCTTGGGCAAGAGGTGTTCATGCTGCTACATCAGAGAGCACAACTATTCAGATCAGCAGGGTCCAAGGACTGTTGCGAGTTCTTGGGTGGTGGTGGGGGGACAAGCAAACCAAAATCGTGGGTGGTTTTGTCTTTCAGATGGCAAACACTCAGGCATCAACAGACTCACCCTTGAAATGCATCCTAAGCCATTGGGACCAATTTGACCCACAAACCCTGAAAAAGAAGTGGCTTATTTTTTTTCTGCACTATGGCTTGGCCCCAATAATCTCTCTCTGATGGGGAAAAATGGTCACCTGAGGGAAGTATAAATTACAATACTATCCTGCAGCTTGACCTTTTCTGTAAGAAGGAAGGCAAATGGAGTGAAATACCTTATGTCCAAGCTTTCTTTTCATTGAAGGAGAACCCACAACTATGCAAAGCTTGCAATTTACATCCCACAGGAGGACATCTCAGCTTACCTCCATATCCTAGCCTCCCTATAGCTCCCCTTCCTATTAATGATAAGCCTCCTCTAATCTCCCCTGCCCAGAAGGAAACAAAGAAATCTCCAAAGGACCACAACCCTCCCTACCCCCCGGGCTATCAGTTATGTCCACTTCAAGCTCTAGGGGGAGGAGAATTTGGCCCAACCTGGGTACATGTCCCCTTCTCCCTCTCTGATTTAAAGCAGATCAAGGCAGACCTGGGGAAGCTTTCTGATGATCCTGATAGGTATATAGATGCCCTACAGGATCTAGGGTAAACCTTCTATCTCACTTGGAGAGATGTCATGCTATTGTTAGATCAAACCCTGGCCTTTAATGAAAAGAATGCAGCTTTAGCTGCAGCCCAGGAGTTGGAGAGACCTGATATCTTAGTCAAGTGAATGACAGAATGACAGCCAAAGAAAGGGACAAATTCCCTACTGGTCAGCAAGCCATCCCCACTAGGGATCCCCACTGGGACCTCAACTCAGATCATGGGGACTGGAGTCACAAACATCTGTTGACGTGTGTTCTAGAAAGACTAAGGAGAATTAGGAAAAAGCCCATGAATTATTCAATGATGTCCACCATAACCCAGGGAAAGGAAGAAACTCCTTCTGCCTTCCTAGAGTGGCTATAGGAGACCTTAAGAAAATATACTCCCCTGTCACCTGACTCCCTGGAGGGTCAATTGATTCTAAAAGATAAGTTTATTACCCAATCAGCCGCAGATATCAGGAAAAAGCTCCAAAAGTGAGCCCTGGGCCCTGAAAAAAATCTGGAGGCATTATTAAACCTGGAAACCTCGGTGTTCTATAATAGGGACCAAGAGTAACAGGCTGGAAAGGAAAAATGAGAGCAGAGAAAGGCTGCAGCCTTAGTCATGGCCCTCAGACAAACAAACCTTGGTAGGTCAGAAAGGACAGAAAAAGGAGGAGGCCAATCACCTGGTAGGGCTTGTTATCAGTGTGGTTTGCAAGGACACTTTAAAAAAGATTGTCCAATGAGAAACAAGCTGCTCCCTTGCCCATGTCCACTATGCCAAGGCAATCACCGGAAGATGCATTGCCCCAGAGGACAAAGCTTCTCTGGGCCAGAAGCCCCCAAGCAGATTATCCAACAATAGGATTGAGGGTGCCCAGGGCAAGCACCAGCTCATGTCATCACCCTCACTGAGCCCTGGGTACGTTTAACCATTGAAGGCCAGGAAATTGACTTCCTCCTGGACACTGGCGTGGCTTTCTCAGTGTTAATCTCCTGTCCCTGACAGCTGTCCTCAAGGTCTGTTACCATCAGAGGAATCCTGGGACAGCCTGTAACCAGGTATTTCTCCCACCTCCTCAGTTGTAATTGGGAGACTTTGCTCTTTTCACATGCCTTTCTTGTTATGACTGAAAGTCCCATACCATTATTAGGGAGGGACATATTAGCCAAAGCTGGAGCTATTAACTACATGAATATGGGGAACAAATTACCCATTCGTTGTCCCGTGCTTGAGGAGGGAATCAACCCTGAAGTCTGGACATTGAAGGGAACAGACTCAAGCTCCAGCCTTAAGCCTTCCCACAGGACAAAATTTCTCTTTATATATCACAGAGAGAGCAGGAATAGCTCTTGGGGTCCTTACTCAGATTCATGGGACAACCCCACAACCAGTGGCATACCTAAGTAAGGACATTGATATAGTAGCAAAAGGCTGGCCTCACTGTTTACAGGTAGTTGCAGCAGTGGCTTTCTTAGTGTCAGAGGCTATCAAAATAATACAAGGAAAGGATCTCACCGTCTGAACTACTCATGACGTAAATGGCATACTAGGCACCAAAGGAAGTTTATGGCTATCAGACAGCCACCTGCTTAGATACCAGGTGCTACTCCTTGAGGGACTAGTACTTCAAATACGCACATGTGTGGCCCTCAGCCCTGCCATTTTTCTCCCAGAGGATGGGGAACCAATCGAGCATGACTGCCAACAAATTATAGTCCAGACTTATGCGGCCTGAGAGGATCTCTTAGAAGTCCCCTTAGCTAATCCTGACCTTAACCTATATACTGATGAAAGTTCATTTGTGGAGAATGGGATACGAAGGGCAGGTTATGCCATAGTTAGTAACAGTACTTGGAAGCAAGCCTCTTCCCCAGGGACCAGCTCCCAGTTAGCAGAACTAGTAGCACTTACCTGAGCCTTAGAACTGGGAAAGAGAAGAAGAATAAATGTGTATACAGATAGCAAGTATGCTTATCTAATCCTACATGCCCATGCTGCAATATGGAAAGAAAGGGAGTTCCTAACCTCTGGGGAAACCCCCATTATATGTTACAAGGAAACCATGAAGTTATTGCATGCAGTGCAAAAACCCAAAGAGGTGACAGTCTTACACTACCAAAGCCATCAAAAGGAGAAGGAGAGGGGAGAACAGCAGCATAAGCAGCTGGCAGAAGCAGGGAAAGACCAGCAGAAAGGAAAGAGAGAAAGAGACAGGAAGTCAGAGAGAGAGAGAGAGAGAGGAAGAGATAGAGACAAAGAGGGAGTCAGAGAGAAAGAGACAAAAAGACAAAGTAAAAGAGAGAGACAGAAAGAGAGAAAGAGACAAAAAGTCAGAGAGAAAGAGACAGACAAAGGAGTCAAAGAGAGAGACTGAGGAAGAGACAGAGAGACAGAAAGTCAAAGAGAGAAGTAAAGAGAGGAAGAGACAAAGAGGGAGTCAGAGAGGAAAAAAGAGAGCGATAGAAGTAATAAAGAAAAAACAATGTACCCTATTCCTTTAAAAGCCAGGGTAAATGTCTGTCTACCCAGCCAAGGCTTATTCTTCTTATGTGGAACTTCAACCTATATCTGCCTCTCAGACAGTTTGCAAGAAATAACGAAATCTGTCCTTGCTCTACAATCCCAAATAGATTCTTTTGCAGCAGTGACTCTCCAAAACCAAGGCCTAGATATCCTCACTGCTGAGAAAGGAGGACTTTGCATTTTCTTAGGGGAAGAGTGTTGCTTTTACGCTAACCAGTAAAGGATAGTACGAGACACTGCCCAGCATTTACAGGAAAAGTCTTCTGAAATCAGACAATGCCTTTCAAATTCTTATACCAACCTCTGGAGTTGGCCAACATGGCTTCTCCCCTTTCTAGGTCCTGTGATAGCCATTTTGCTATTACTCGCCTTCGGGCCCTGTATTTTTAACCCCCTTGTAAAATGTGTTTCCTCTAGGATTGAGGCCATCAAGCTACAGATGGTCTTACAAATGGAACCCTAAATGAGCTCAACAAACAATTCTACCGAGGACCCCTGGACTGACCTGCTGGCTCTTTGACTGGCCTGAAGAATTCCCATCTGGAGGACACTACAACTGCAGGGCCCCCTTTTCACCCCTATTCAGCAGGAAGTAGCTAGAGTGCTCATCGCCCAATTCCCAACAGCAGTTGTGGTGTC
Organism: Homo sapiens; assembly: GCF_000001405.40. Lineage (NCBI taxonomy): Eukaryota > Metazoa > Chordata > Mammalia > Primates > Hominidae > Homo > Homo sapiens. The sequence goes on along the minus strand of NC_000001.11, from coordinate 102,744,628 downwards.
CTGTTTAGAGGGGAGATTGAGAGATGAAGCCAGCTGGACTTCCTGGGTTGAGCGAGGACTTGGAGAACTTTTCTGTCTAGATAGAGGACTGTAAATGCACCAATCAGCGCTCTGTGTCTAGCTAAAGGATTGTAAATGCACCAATCAGTGCTCTGTGTCTAGCTAAAGGATTGTAAATGCACCAATCAGTGCTCTGTGTCTAGCTAAAGGATTGTAAATGCACCAATCAGCACTCTGTAAAAACCCACTAATCAGCACTCTGTGTCTAGCTAAAGGATTGTAAATACATCAATCAGCATTCTGTAAAAATGCACCAATCAGTGCTCTGTGTCTAGCTAAAGGGTTGTAAACGCAGCAATCAGCACTCTGTAAAATGGACCAATCAGCAGGACATGGGTGGGGACAAATAAGGGAATAAAAGCTGGCTACCCAAGCCAGCAGCAGCAACCCACTTGGTTCCCCTTCCATGCTGTGGAAGCATTGTTCTTTTGCTCTTCACAATAAATCTTGCTGCTGCTCACTCTTTGGGTCCGCACTACCTTTTTGAGCTGTAACACTCACCGTGAGGGTGTGCGGCTTCACTCCTGAAGTCAGCGAGACCACGAACCCAACAGAAGGAAGAAACTCTGGACACATCTGAATATCTGAAGGAAGCAACTCCGGACACACCATCTTTAATAGTTGTAACACTCACCACAAAGGTCCGCGGCTTCATTCTTGAAGTCAGCAAGACCAAGAACTCACCAGAATGAATAACTTCTGGACACAAAATCTCTCTCCCCACTCCCAGTCCACAATATTTATTCAGCTGATTCTTATTTTTATAGATTTGCGTTTTCCAGAATGTCATATAAGGTGCTCATACAGGATGTAATCTTTCGTGTCTGGATTCGTTCACCAAGCATGATGCTTGTATTAGAAATTCGTTCCCTTTTATTGCTGAATAGTATTTTATTGTGCTAAAATATAACAATTTGCCATTTGTCAGTTAATAAACATTTGACTTATTTTCAGTTTTTGGCTCTTCTATGTAAAGCTGCTATATAAACATTTGTGTGGACATACAGTTCCTTTTGCCTTGAGATAGTAGGTCATATGGTAAAGCATATGTTTAAATTTATGAGAAACTGCCAAGAAATTGTTTGAAGTGGGTGTACTATTTTGCATTTCATCAGCATATATAAGGTACTCTTTCAATTGCTCTGCTTCCTTGCCAGAATGTTGTAGTCTTTTAGTTGTTTTGTTTATAATTTTTAACCATTTTTACAAGGGCGTAGGATACCTAGTTGTAATTTTGATTTTCTTTTCTGTAAACAGGATGTTGAACATTGCTTCTTGTGCTTAGTTGCCATCTATGTCTCTTCTTCGATAAAGTAACACATCAAAGACACTTTGATGATTTATTGAGTTGTTTTCAGTTTTATTGTTGAGTTGTAAGAGTTCTTTATATATTCTGGGTATAAGTTTTTTTTAACAGATATATACTTTGTAACTACTAGTTCACAGGTCAGTTATTGAATGTGGGGTGAATTTTATCCTCTGTTTAACTCCATTCATGAGGTGCAATTATACAGTGAGCAACTCTAAAATGTACCTAGTGGCAAATGGCTATTTCTAGAAAGGTAACCCTTACAAAGTTTATGATGCTGTAAATTCCTCTTGAATGTGCTTTGCTCTGAAATGCATTTGGGGATAATTTTTTTTGTTTTCTTTTTATTTTAAATGCTCTTGAATAAATGGAGTTTTACAAATCAAATTGCAGGATAAAATGAAAGGAAAGTATGCCTGGTAACAGGAACAAAGAAGGCAGAATGAAAAAGCATATTAACAAGAAAGTTTTGCGTTTTTAAACTACTAACTAATTAATGGAAATTTGACCCAGTTATAGTTACAACTTCAGGGAGTAATGGCATTTGGATTGATACCATTTTTCATAAATAGAAATTTATATACTGTTATATAAACCCATGTCTTATGACACGTGTTAAAAATGTACTTGTGGTCAAATGCTCAACTTAATGACCTAGTGACTCATATTAAAAATATGATACTTTAAATATTATATTTTACTATTTTATATAAATATGAGCCTACTTCAAAATTATAATTCCTTTCAATACTAATTACACTTCTTATAAAATCACTTTCCCTTTTTTAAACCTTGATAGGTTTTTATTGTAATTTAGGGTATTTTTCCTTTGCAACAGAAATTTTAAAATTAATTTGTATTGCTTATTTTATTTAATGTTATGACTAAATCACGCAAGAATTTTTTTTGCCACCTAGCTTACACATTCTGGCTAAAATGTATTTTTTCCTACGGACTAATTAGCTATTTCAGAAAAATAAAACTAGGCAAGGCATCTTACAGAAGTATTAAAAGCCTGATATTCAATTTTCAAATTACTGAATATTTAGTCAAGTAAAATAATATTCTAATTCTAATTCTAATATTCTAAAAGAGTGTAAAGAAGAATGCAAATTGATAATTTTCTAGGAATAAACATAACCTATTAGTTTAAAGGAAATATGCAACCTGAGAGGTTGTATATTTTTATTTCTGTATGTACTGTCATGTTGTATGCTACAATTAATAACATAATTTATAAAATATTTACCTAAATAAAAGTAGGTACTCATATATTTAGAGTAATATTCTTTTTTTGTTTGTTTGTTTTCGAGACAGAGTCTCGCTCTGTTGCCAGGCTGAAGTGCAGTGGTGCTATCTCTCTCACTGCAACCTCCACCTCCTGGGTTCAAGCGATTCTCTTGCCTCAGCCTCCCAAGTAGCTGGGACTACAGTTGCCTGCCACCACGCCCATCTAATTTTTGTATTTGTAGTAGAGGCGGAGTCTCATCATGTTGGCCAGGATGGTCTTGATCTCTTGACCTCATGATCCAGCTGCCTCGGCCTCCCAAAGTGCTGGGATTACAGGCATGAGCCACCGCGACCGGCCTAGAGTAGTATTCTTTAAACTTTCATTCCCCTTGACATACCCTAGATAGAGGTTTTACATCCCAGTAAATTTAAAGACATATGCTTAGTTTCAATAAAGTTTGAATATCAGATAAACTTTTTGAAGCATAAGTATGTCCTGTGCAGTGTTGAGACATACTACTCTGAGATCTTCTCAATTCCACACACAGTCCTATAGCTGTTCTTTAAATACCACAGGCATATTTACATTAGGGCCTTGTCACTTTCTGTTTTCTCTACATTGAATGTTCTTCACCAGAATGCACTCCTTTACCTTCTAGTCCTCAGTGTGAGACCCGCTCTGACCACTCTATTTGAAATTGCAACTCCCCTCTGACCTTGCTCTATGATATAATTTGAGTATTTGTCCATGCCCAAATAACATGTTGAATTGTAATCCCCAAAGTTGGATGTGGGGCATGGTGGGAGTTGTTTGAATCATGGGGGCTAATCCCTCATGGTTTCATGCTGTCTTTGAGATAGTGAGTTCTTGCAATATCTGGTCCTTTAAAAGTGTGTGGTAACTCCTCCCCAACTCTCAGCCATGTGACGTGCCGGCTCCTCTTTCGCCTTCTGCCATAATTGCAAGCTTCCTGAGATCTCGCTAGAAGCCCAATAAATGCAAGCAACATGCTTCCTATAAAGCCTGCAGAACCATGAGCCAATTAAACTTTTCTTTATAAATTACTCAGTTTCAGGTATTTCTTTAGAGCAATGCAAGAATGGCCTGACATACTTTTTCTGTTTTTTTCTCATAGTATTCATAAAAAATGTTCTCATGCTTATAATTTTACTTATTGTTTATTGACTATTTCCCCTTGCTAGAATGTAAGATCCATGGGGGTCGAGAAATTTATCTGTTTTGTCCATGGTTATATTCCAAGCACTAAGAACAATGACTGTCACTTAGCAAACACTCAGAAATATTTATAAAATGAATGAATGAATGAATGCACAAATAATGATCTAAACACTTACATGGAAAAATTTTGGCCTCTTGGATGGAAGATATGTGGGTTTGCACAGTGCATAGAAAAATTAATGTTGCTAATCTATTAGAGTAAGATCAACAATATTTGCATATGCATTTATTTGAGTCCCATACAATATTTTTATGATGGAAATCGAATCATAACTCAGTTCATTTTCCATAGCTGCTATTTTTAAAATTAAGGCAAAAATAGAGTGACAAAGCATATTTCCCTTTAGTGACTATATGCCTAGTAAAACTTTGTAGTGAATTGGGCATATTCTCTAAACTATGTGCTATTGAATTGTCTACTATTTTAGATGGTGCTTTCTTAAACACTAGTATCAGACCACCTATATAAGCAATCTACTGATATACCTTTATTGATTAACCTCTTTTGTTGAAACTGTAAGGATTTTGAGAATCTTCACAACATTTCACAGTGTTTTTCTCGTACGAGAAATATGCATATCAAGTACTAGTGTAAGGAATGTTTTTACTACTCCTGATAAAAATAGCATTAAAATATTATGAAAATGTTGCAACACATAAGTAAACATAGTCTTTTTTGCACTGAATGCCAAAAACTCAGAGCCAAATTTATGCCATAACATGGCCATGGACTAACATATTAATTTTCCTGATCCTAAATTCTAGGATTATTCATTTATTTTTAAAAAGCCTTCTGATGTAAATGCATGTGTTTACACTATTTTAAGTGTTTTCTGAAAAAAAAGTAGAATGGCACTAAACAAATAAAATAAATGTAAAAGAGTATTGTTTCATCTAGCATTTCCCCAGCAACTGCCTGTGCTCTCCCATCATAAGCAGGTATTAGTGCTGCCAGGCCCACTGTTCATCCCATGCACTCCCAGTGTTGTCCTACAAATTAACCAGGGGATTTTGTGCAACCCCGTGCAATATAACAATTACCACGAATCAGTCTGCATAATTCTAAAATTGCTAAGGAAGTGAGAATCTCATAAATGTGCCTACCAGTTACATAATTTACATAATTTCAAACCTATTGTGAGCTATATAACTGTCATTCCAACAAGGTGGTTGAATTAAAATTACATCCAGTAAGACGAGTGAGGCCTGACTTCTCATTGGTTTTTGATACACACCTAGTCTTATATTGTTTTGAGTGGGATATTTATCTATTCAAGAAATAGCTACTGTAAATTTTACTTGTAGTTAAAATTGAATGTAATGGGCACCTCTAAACAATTTTAGACACAAATTGGTTAAATCCTTATTTTTCTACTGTCCTCTTCCGTTTAATGTTTTCCCTTATGGATAATAATGCCTTTTTTTATGCAATCTCCTTTTGCTAGCTAGAGCTGGTAAACTAAACCCTAAAAATCAGGTATTTTAAGGATTTTATAAACCTTCAAATTATTATTATTGTTATTAATTATATATTAACTATTATAAATTAATAACATTTTGTTAGTAGTATTTTTTGTTACTAAGGCAAATTTTTACCCTGAGATTTAGGATGTATGACTTAGATAAATAGAAACCTTTCTTTGCTTATTAATAAAAAATTGTGACCTCCAAACCATAATCCATGTTTATAAGGCTTAATTTTTTTAAAAAATCATCATTTTTCCTTAACATTCTCCTTAACTTTTAGAAGTCATATTCAAGAAAGGGGCTGAAACATTATAAATTAACATGAATTTATTAAGGGTTTATGTGTATTATTATAAACTGTGGATAAGAACAAGTACGTATTAAATATTTTCAAAATCTAAACTTTTAAAAATGTCAAATCACAGATAAAGTGGTTAATTTTCTACTCAACTTGCTACAAAATAACAACTATAGTGTTTTATTCTAAGCATCTCCACTCAATTTTCTCTCACCCACTGCAGTATCATATCAAAAATCTAATCAATTGTTGAGTATCAGAGATCACTAGTCTTTCATTAATTAAGAATTGGCTTACCAGCTGGCCAAGATTCTTCTCATGTTTTCTGATAGGTAACATATTTATGGCATAATGTCAAAATTGCTACCTTGAAGTGTCATTTGATCTAGTAACTTAGGACACAACTGTGCTCTCAACCCAGTGTTTCATTATTTCCCCATGTGTAGAATTATTATTTTACATGTCTCTTCATCTCTCAATTTAAATGTGAAAACTATCCTGAAACTCATAGGCAACTCATTGGTTCCTCTTCAATGCTCCAATAATGCTGAATATGTATTTCTATTTCAGTAGTCATGAAGCTGTATTTTTAATTAAATATATTTATTTAATAACGAATGGAATACAAAGCGCTTCTGTGAATTGGCTAAACATAAATAAGATGAGACCCTTATCACTGAGATAGCCACAGTGACATGAAATTATTTTTATGTTTATTTACATAATTAAATTCTGATTTCATTGTAGCTAGGTATCATCACTTATTTTTTTTCATGCTTGTGGCATTAACAGGTTGCCAGACACGTTCAGTAAATAAAGATATGTATGATTGGAAATGGAGAAAGGAAGCTAGCTGAAATCATTTCACAGGGGTTAAAGTTGATGAAGACAGCTTTACATCTGAGAGCATTTGAACAAACAAAGTTATACTTGGAGGAAAAGGGGTCTTATATGCAGCCTATTGCATAGACAGCCATGACACTGTTTAAATGAGCACAGCTTCTCCACAGTTACTCAGCAAAACACCCACAAAACTGAAGTTTTAAAATGCAAAATGTATATTTAAACAATCAACTTTCTTCTCTGCAAGGCCTGACGTGAAATTCATGTTTGTCTTTCTTACTTCTATTGCCACTGGATGGGGCAGTGAAAATCTCAAGAGCATCCACAATCCAGGCAAGCTAGAAACAGTCCTGCATCTAGTAGGCTAAATAGTTAAGATGAGAGTTTCATTCATAGGTAGGTCAGAGTATAATCGTCTCCACAAAAATTCTGGTTTATGTTTTTTGTTTGTTTCTTTGAGTCTAATCGGGATCTGGTTTTTCTTCAAGCCAAGTCAGAAAATGAGAGCAATAAAATGCCTTTCACAGTTTCTATTGTCTCTGGGAGCAACTCCTTAAGCTTGCTAAAGCTGTTTTCTGTGTCTTTTATCCCAAGAACCCTAGACTGATAGCATGTAACAATAAAAGAGGGAGGTAGCCAGCTTTTTAGAGATTGTTTGAGGGGGAAATGCCTCCACAGAAACATGTTAAAATCTCTCAAAAATCATCAAGACTTAAATAAAATGTTATCAGGGTTTTGCCAGTTCAAACCGAAGTGGAATAAGAAAGAGAGCATAGGATGAGAGACATCCAGAACAGATCAGATTAGAAGCTGTTCTGAGAGAAGAAACTAAATATTTAAATTAGAATTGTGCTATGTACATCTTACAGTTATTCTTAGACAAGTGTATAAAGTTGCACTGAAAACATCCTTTACATATAAAACCCCTTCCTACTGTTATATTGATTTGATAATTCACAACAATGACTCTGATCTTTTCATAAAAACTTGAGAAATCCTCATAAATACTGGTGGAGGTAGATTTCTGGATTGGGTTGATGCTACTACTATTTCAATCAATATTTTTCTGTCTAAGGCATCAAAAACCAAACCAACCACTCTATACTTTGCAAGATTTTGCATAATTTCTGACTGGATATGCTACAGAATATATTCTGAAAAAACAAGTGTGAGAGACAGGGCCTGTTGAGGACTGTTTTCTGTCAAATTTAGTGGCCAATCTAGTGCTATAGCCTCACTAAGAAAATAGCATTTAGAAGCAACAAGGCAGATCAGAGCTCACTGAATGTGCCAGAGGAGAAATGGGTATAATGCCTGTGATGCAGGCTTGCACAACATTATGATCGCCATCCCATAAAGATTTTTGCCTTATCTTGCTTATTTTACAACTTCTCTACTGTTTTTATCAGCCCCACAAAGTGTCTTTTGAATTTGATTCAATAAAATTGTTTAAATCTAATGCTGCTAACAGGAGGACTAAAGGATACAGTCACAATGTTTGTGCACAAACACAGAAGTATGACACTGTCTTGTTTTCCTTACAAATGTTTTTACAAACGCAGAAGACATATATTAAAGCGGTTTATAAGACTTGCAAATACTTGTTTCATGCCGTTCTCACCAGAGACTCCTTTAAAAGAAAGCAAAGCAAAAGATAAGGCTAAAATATGCCCAAAAATCTACTACGTACCCTTCTACATTCAACTTTGTAGGCTCTGGTTTAAGGCAAAGTGTTAATACCTAATTAGTCATTTAGAATTTCGTAGATGGTTAGAAAAGACAGAGAGGTGAAAAGTGAATAAGTGAATAGGATTGTGTAGAAAACTAAGAAGAGCATACAGATCCAGATTGCTGCACTTCATAGCCTTTTATGTACATTCTATGCAGTGAATTTTACAAGTTTCTGTTTTAAACTTAACCACAGTCAACACAAAATATTATTTACAGTGGAGATTGAACATAGAAGTGAAAGAAAATTGTCTTGTTTACAGGCATTTCATTACTGGGGAATAGTTCTCTTCATTTATTTATCCTGACTTAGTAAATAACTGAAATCATTTACTGTATTTAGAAATTATCCCAAGAAAAAATTGGAAAAAATCTGTCTAATCACAGTTGATGTGATTTATACAATGAATATTTACCTATAATAAGATAAACAAGAAACTGTGTTTTATTATTATAATAAAATAAACATTTAGAAATATATCTGAACTAATTGAATTGGACCATTTTGACCTATTTATTCTCAGTATTAACAATATTTCAACCACTAATCATAATACAACAAACACCAAAACTTTAAAGATAATTCTAATTTACAAATAACATAAACTATTTTATATATGGGTTAAAAAGCAAATGTTTATTTATAATTTTACTACACTAATAGGAATTACTATTGGTGAGTTCAGGACAATTTTCAAATTACTGAATATTTAATCAAGTAAAATAATATTCTAAAAAAGTGTAAAGAAGAATGCAAATTGATAATTTCCAAGGAATAAGCATAACCTATTAGTTTAAAGAAAAAAATTGGACTATATTTTTGTTTTGTTTTGTTTTGTTTTGTGTTTTGTTTGTTTGTTTTTTTGAGACAGAGTTTCGCTCTGTCACCCAGGCTAGAGTGCAGTGGCAAGATCTCGGCTCATTGTAACCTCCACCTTCCAGGTTCAAGCAATTCTCCTGCATCAGCCTACCTAGTAGCTGGGACTGTAGGAGCACACCACCCCACCTGGCTAATTTTTATATTTTTAGCACAGACAGTTTTTGACCATATTGGCTAGGCTGGTCTCGAACTCCTGACCTCAGGTATCAGCCGGCATTTGCCTCCTAAAGTGCTGGCATTACAAGTGTGAGGCTCCACACCTGGCCTCTACTATGTCATTCTAACTAGGAAGCATTAACTGAGAAGAAATAGAGAATTATAAATATGAACATTGTTGCTGTTATGATAAACTATGCCCACACTATGCTTAATGGAATTCAATTTTACCTTTAATATGTATGAAACAAAAAGATAGTGACCTTTCTTATCCTCTGTAATCTTCATCCTCTGGGATAAACATATCATTGGGTGAAATATAGGGTTCATTAAATTTCTTCTGCCCTTAGGTATAGAATGACTGAGCAGTGAGGTGCATACACATGTAGGAAGTGTGTGTGTGTTTGTGTGTGTGTGTGTGTGTGTATTTGTGGTTGCATTTATTTGTCAGAGTTTACCCTAACTGCTAGTGATCTCTAAAAAACTAAATAGGCTTTTTTTTTTCTTTTTCAGAGCACATATACAGCAACTATAGGGTTCTGCAGTTCTATACCTTTGCCTCAATCAATACTGTGGGTGTTTCCTAAAATCTCATCAAAAACCACAAAACATTTTGAAGGAAAGCTATCTTGTTCAGCTTCCCTTGAGTGTGATTTGAGTCCTTCAGGCTTGCCACATCTGCATATCTCTGTCCGGCAGCAGCCATCCCCTTCAAAGAAGATAGAAACATCAAAGAGCCCAAAAGCTCCAAAATAATCAGGAGGAAGGTGATTTTTAGGTCTCTAAATAGCATTAACTCACTTCTCTAAGAAATGCCACAGGTAGCATCTCTAGAGCCTTACCTAACTTGAAAATTATACCTACTTGAGGAAGAAAAAAAAAGACAGTGATTGCTGAATTTATTAGGGTGGTCTTCTTAACCTCAGAATACTTTCAAATAATTTTTCACGAATGCTAAAGGAACAAATCTAGGATAATGAGTAAATATAAATAACTCCATTATTCTGCCAAATCTTGTTTAACAATTAGAAAAGCTGAAGCATTCTTCTGGAAAATAACATCGGATTAGTTTGGAAGACTATGGTATATTTTCATTAATTTAAATTTATAATTAATTCTTAAAGCTCCCCTCAAATTTGAATTTATTATATTATTGCAGTTTTGTGTTCTAAATATTTGCTTGAATTGGTATTGCGCTTCACAATGTAGATTTTTCATTCAGACTCTTCAACTGTTGCTGAAAAATTATTGATGTCTGATGAAGATCTTGATTCTTTTACAGTTCTATATGACATAATCAGTATAGAATTTATAATTGTTGGTAAGGTACACTTAATAGAATTTTTAAAGCATTCTGGATTGTTCAGTGCATTTGAAATCACTACGTCATAGGTGAAAATTTTTATCAATTGGAGAATGTACATCATTACTACAAATGTCATCTTTGAAATATCAAATTAAAATCTTTGGATAAATCATCATTTCTGTCTAACTCCTGTCCTCTCATCCAATTTTCTGCTTCTCCACCCCATCCCCCATCCTAATTTTTTCTTCAGAGGCAAGTGGTTATCAGTGTCTTCCTGAGGCTTACTAACTTTACTTTCTTCCCACATGTACCTTTTTATTAATTTTTTAACTTCCCTAAGCTTTGTTTTTCTCTCATAAGTAAAATAAGAATGACAACCCAATCATTGCTATGAGGATTAAGTAAGGCATTTGAAGCATGCAGCATGATATCTAACCCCTAATATTTGGTCAACAAATGAGTTAGTTATCCAATCAACCAAGGAGTGTTACATTTTTCTTTTATTTGTGTCTTGGTTCTGATGCTTTGTTTCTAACTCTATTAAAAACAAATTATTTTAAGCCCTTACTAGATCTCCTGCATTATTCTACTAGTCTGCTAACCAATCTATCTTTCGCTGTCCTTAATTGTTTATCATCTTTCTGAAGCAAATATCTGACTTTATCACCTTCTGCTTTTGTGTGGCTCTCCACCATCTATAACCATGGTCTTCACCTCCTCTCAAGGTATTCGTATTCACTTTTTTATAAATTATATACATGGCTTACTATGTTGTAGAAGTTATAAAACATATACAAAATAGAAAATAAGATGAGATAAAAATAATCAGAATCCATTGTTCTATGGGCATTCCAGTGAATAATCTTGCATAATCCTTGTTGGTCACATTCAAATTTAGAGACTCCTGATTGCTAGTGATTCAAAGTTCCTTAGTAAGCACTTATATCTTCATACCATATTCTCTTTGTCTTTCTCTACCTTTCCCTTAAACATTGTGTTCCAGCAATTTGGGATGATTCATGGTCTGTACATGCCCATCTGTTTCTATTCTGGGTAATTTTCCTTCTTACTTTTCTGGAACACTCTCTCCTTGCTATAGGGGAGATCCGTCTTCATCCTTCAGTAACCTTCTGTTGCCCCTGCCATATGAATAATTTATTATTCTTTCTTCAGTATTATATCTTTATGTTACACATACTCCTAAGGCTATAAATTTTCCACATTATTTTAAATTATGTGTTTACTTATTTGGTCAACTTTCTAGATTGAATTTGTTAAAGGTAAGAACTTTTTTTCTCTGAATTCTCTGATAATTATAATTCAATAAACATGTATAAATTAAATAATTCAATACATATTTTTTAAACTAAATTGAACTATTTGTGAGATTTCCTACAATTATTTGCATGCTATTGTACACTCATACTCGACTGAATGCTGAACTCCTGTTCATTATTTAATACTCAGATCAAGTATTGACTCTATGATACCTCCTTTGAACTTCCAAGGTTCAAGATGGAGTTGATTTTTCTTTCTTTGAAGCATCCCTTTTTTCGTATTTACATATATAAGTACTTATCTTATTTGATTGAAAATATTTAATTTAGATATCTGGTTTACACCACCCTCTCAAAACAAAACAAAACAAAACAAAAAATCAGCTAACTTTATTCAGGGCAAAGGCAGCGTACCTAGTTTCTGTTTGTTTCAGTGATGATTTATTGATTGAATCAATAAACAAATAACCAGAAACAAATGATTAAATGAAAAGGGCACTAAGTGATAACTGAATAATTCAAAATTCATTGTTTCAAATGGTCTGATTTCTCTGTCCAAAATACTAAGAGTGTTTCAAATGTCCCACAAAATTTACTTAGAAAAGGAAAGTATTTTGATCTTCTGGAGTCAGGTGAACCTAAATTCTTAAACCTTGATATTATAACGTGTGCATAATACATTTTCAACATTTATTTCCTTAACGTGTGAATGGAACTCAGAACATACACATATTTGAGTTAGAAAATTGAACTAAGCAAACAAATAAAATTATGCAAAATTTGTTCTGTTAAAATATTAGCTTCAAATAAAATCATCATTGGTGAGATTCATTATCACTAATTATGTAATATTCTTATTCACTTAATCTAAATATGTTTGTAGTAGACACATCCATCCTATTGCCCGTTATAATTTTTAAAAGGCATATGCAAAAATGAGATTAATCTATAACCCAATGAGAAATATATTACAACATAATGCTGTTCAACCTTTTTTTCTCAAGTAGCTATAAAAGTGGCCACTGTGGCCGAATGCCATATTTCTTAACACGCTATTGGTCATGTCTCATATAATATTATAGTTCCTGGTGGGCACTTTAAACTTAATTAAAATGTACAGTTTTCTACCACTTAGAAAATAAATCTGACATGCTATAATTCAAATATAAGCACCCTCCTGGTGGCCATCAATAATTGATGATGCAGAGATAAAGGTCTTTTTTTTCAAATTGCACCTGGTGAAGGACTATTATCTGGTAAAAACTGATGATTTACTAAATTCAGCTACCTCATTATTTTATCCTCAACATACAAGAACTTACTGCTAGTATTCTAGTATCTGAACATATGTTGATGTATCAGGTTGCTGCCTTGGGGTGCATCAAGTTTAAAACCACTCTTTGGCCAACTGACTTAACTCTTCAGTTCCTCAATTTGCTAATCTATAAAAGAGGATGATAAGCAAAACTTTTCTCATAGATTTTTGTGGAAATTAAATGATGGATTTATAGAAAAGGACGTATTTATTAATTTCTATATATTGACAGCACTGAATTCAAATCACCATGCTTGTTTGTATTAAGTAGCAAGTGAATAGAAGAGAAAGTAATTCTAGGTTGTTTATATCAGATACATGTTTAATGCATTTCTCCACTAATGAACAGTCACAGACCTTGAATCTTAGACTCTGATTATGGCTTTTGAAAACTGCAATTAACATAGTTAAAACTTTGATGAATAGGTCTACAGTTATTTTCCTCTGGATTGATTTATTGTTAGATTTTTGAAGATGCTGGCCTCCTGAGACCTCATAGTCTAGGGTGATAGGTGAGATTTGTCAAATCCTGATCTCCTTCCCCATGGAAGAAGATTAGAGATGCCCAAGACAAAAGGACATTGTGTCCAGACTTTGAGCTACTGTAGCATGAAGGAGCTACTGTAGCTACTTTAGCAAATCAGAAGGGAAGGCAAGAAAGCAAATGGGAAGTAACAGTGACTGGATATTGGAACAGAAAGTTTGACTGGCCATGGATTGCTGCCAAACTTGGTGGGTGAATTGTACATTTTTCTTTAAAACCAGTAAAATATCATGGCTTTTATAGATGTGGATCATGAATATAGCCAGGGGTGTATGGTAATGAAATTACCATACAAAATATAGTTACATGTCCCTAATGTCAGAGAGAAGGTGTACAGCCCTATTTTATTTCCCCTTGGGAAACAAGTCACTCCTCAAAGGAGTTTCATTGCTGGATTGATGTCTGACAGGCAAAACAGATGCTATTCCATGATTTATCTTCTCACTTCTGAGTCTACACTGACACATCCATTAGCACACATTCATTTTGCCTACTATCAATCAATTAGTGCTTCATTCTCTTAAAGACCAGCACCTCCAACATGTAGGCTTAATCCCATCTCCTCCTACCTTTGTAAAGGTCCTTTCAGGAAAGAATAGGTAACTGCGTCAAATGTTGCTGATACATTTAAGAAAATATATAAGAAATGTTTCTTTCTGTGAAATCATACTTTCCTAGTTTTCATCCTGATTCTTATATTGGGCCTTACTGAAATCTTCTTTGGTCTCTTTCTTACGCAAGTTTATGGAACTTTCTCTGTGTTTAGTCTTGAGTCTCCTTACTATACATCATCAATTCCTACAATTCTTTATACCTTGGCACATCTTGTCAAGCATGTGCACCTTACCACCTACTGAATATTACTATATTGATTGTTTTTCTTGTAATTTAAATAAAGTGTCAGACCATTGTGATCAATCTTCAACAACTCTCCCTACTCCAAAATGCTTTTTCTTTGTTCCTAACTGCCATAACTGTCAAAAACATCATTGCTTGCTCAATCTAGAGAGCCAGGAGTCATTCTCAAGTTTTTCTTCTCTTCCCTCACAAATCCATCACAAATCCTTGTTACTCTACTAGAGAAAAATCTTACTTCATCCACTTTGGTTCTACACCACTGCCATTAAATTTTAAAAGTTACCATCATCTCATATATGTGCAGTCTTGAATTGCTCTATCTACTTTCACTCTTGCTTCCATCTAATTCATTCTCCAACTAGAAGTAATAACTAATGTAAGACATGAATTTGAACATGGCAGTTTTCTGCTAAAAATGTCTAAGGGGATACTTATTATATTTGAGAAACAGAAGTATCCAATAATTTACATGACTATTAAGATTTTTTTAAACTGGCACTCTATTTCCCAAGTTTCAATATAGTCCCCTATACACTCCCACCAAATAATACTTATCTTTGCCTCATTGTTTCCTCTTATTGGCATTTTTTGAGGACCCTCCAAAAATTAGATCCTCTATAATCTTCTCTCATAATACCTGTACTTTTGTTTCATAGTTCAATCATAGTTTGTTATTATGTATTTGTATAATTATTTGATTTATTTACAAGTCTTTGAATGTGATTATATTTGGTTTCTACTCTACTGACATTTTCTTCAAGATGGTATTTTGCTTAGCTTCCAATTTCAACATAATTGTCATTAATAAATATTTTTTGAATTAATAAGTAAAACAAATTACAAGGACAAAACTAAAATACACTATTCAACTATGCACTTCCATAGTTTTCTTTATCTCAAAACTTCCTTAGCTATTTCTCCTTGGTTTTACCAATCCTCTTGTCTGTGTCTTATTATTGATTGCTCCCTCTAAGACTACATTTTTGAATAACAGGACATTTTAATGACTATATTTACATGATGCTAAGTGTTTGAATTTGACGTTTGTCAATAGCTGCTGTAAGCATCAAGCTCTATGTAATTGCAACAAATCTTTGTCAACTCATTTCTACAGAGATTTTTTACCTTCTATTTATTCTATAAAATGCTTTCTGTCATTTTACTTACTAATCACGTCTCGTTCATCTGAGTGCTATGTTCTGTGCATTTCAAGACACTATGGAAATACAGAAGGCAATAAAATTATTTATGTTTGGTGTCTAAGCTCAAGATGACTCTCCCCACCATGGAGTAAAATAGGAATATGATACAACGTCCTTAATCTGAAACAGCTGAGGATTATAATAGAGCTCAAGGATGCCTTAAATATTTTGCACTTATTATCATTATACAAGTAAAAGCCATGAAAATGGGATTTTAAAAAACGGCTTCTCAATTATTATCTTTGGTTGGTTTTCTGTTCTATGTCCTCTTATATCTGTCTTAGTTTTGTTTGTGCTGCTATAATAAAAAATACCATGGACTGGGTAGTTTATAAAAAAGAGAAATTTATTTCTCGCAGTTCTGGAGGCTGAAAAGTTCAAGGTCAATGTACTATCAGGTTCAGTGTCTGGTGAAGGCCTGGTCTGTACTTCCAAGGTGGCACCTTGTTGCTGTGTCATCTGCAGGGGATTTGAGGGGAGAACACTGTGTCTTCACATGGTAGAAGTGCAAAAGGGAGAAAAGAGTCACTGTATGAAGCCTCTTTTGTAAGGACCTTAATCTCATTGATGAGGAAGGAGCCCTTATGACCTCCTCAAGGCCCTAACTCTTATTACTATTGCACTGGAGATTCAGTTTCAATATGAATTTGGTAGGGGACACAGACATTCAAAAACATGGCAATCTCTTTATCTGATCTTTATAAAATGTATCTATTAGTTAGACTCCAATATGTCTTTGGTTAGAAATTCCATATTCTAGTGGATACATAGACATGAAATCTGACTTTAGAATAATGTTGACAGTCCAGTAGTTATTTCTCTAGGTAGATTTGTCTTCTGATGAATGTCTGAACATTTACCCTTCATATTATCTCAACTTTTTGCCTTTACACAATATTATTTATAATTATTTCTACCTCCATAAAGTACTTGTCTTTAACTTACTCTTACCATTATCACAATTACAAATTCTAATGCAATTGCATTTTAACATTTCCTAAATTAATTAAAATGTCACAATATACTTAATAGACTACATAATATAAACAGAATTTTTCACAGATAAGAAACAATGATTACTTATTTTGCAATCCCAAGCATCAGTCTTAGTACCTGTCATAAAAGATGGGCTCAATAAACATTGATTGAATGAACAAAAAAAAAACCAATTTTAAGCAGTTATTCAGATAATTTTTTATTCTCACAAAACAACTTTATTTTTATATTTATTTTTGACAATGGAAATTGCTCTCTTGCTGAGTGTAACACATCCACAGTTACCACTAAAGTACTGATTTTTATATCATTTCTGATGATACATTTTTTATAATATCAAATTACTCAGGAAAAGTAACATTACTGTAGTTTTCACAAAGCAAATGTACTTGGCAAACATTTCCCTTTTCTTTATTTCAGCGACTCATGGACTGAATAAAATAAAATGTTCTATTACTCTCCCAATTATATCAAAAGCACACTTTTTGTTTATAATGCAAGCTTTCTTTGAAACATAACAAATTTTGAAAAAAAATCTTTATTTTCCAAGTTAATAATTCTGATAAAAAATGTTTAATTTTGACATTTAGGCCGCTCTTGGTGGTATAAGGTTGATGAACATCTGACAGTGCTATAAAAAGAATTCAGTTCACACTAAAATCACTAAAATGAAGATTTATATATACATCATAACATTACTCCTCCTGTATCATAATGATAAGTTCTGAAACTTACAATTCAGAACTTATGAAAGAACAATTCTTTTCATTTTTTGATATCCCTTCCCTATGAAGAGAATTCAATTAATGTAACATGACTGTCCTCTCTCTTCTCTTTATCCCTTAGGAGGAATACAATATCCACCGGAGTTATGTTTGTTAATTCTCAATTTCTGAAAGCAATCAGAATTTGCAAAGCAGGCTTAAACTAAATAAATGACCAAAAAAGAAGAGAAAACAATGAAAACAGAAAAATAAAGATTTTTCAGAGAGAAAGGTAAAATGACTTGAGGTATTAAGGTGATAAAATCAGCAGCATGTATGTTGTTTGTGAACGTATAAGGGAGGAATTGATTTGGAAGTTGGACTTCAAGCTTGAAAGAAAATACAAAGAAGTGGTTTGGTTAGAAAAGAAATAAAATAATTTGAGACAAATAAAGTTTGAGATATTTGTGAGGCATCTGGCAAATATGTTTTACAGTTGATGTGAGTCTAACATTCAGGGATAATGTTCTAGGCTGGAATACATAGTTTTGCAATAACCAACAAATAAATAGTAGTGAAAATTATGTCACTGGATGAGAATGCCAAGGTATGATAAGGAGAGTTGAGGAGGAGCCTTGCAAAAATGTGGGAAAGATAGAGAAGGAAGAATCAGAAAAGGAAACAGAGGATGTAACGGTAGAGAAAAAAATAGGAGAGAATAATGCAATTAAAGATTCTATACTTTTGCACAAATACAGAGGGCATGAACAAACATACTCAAGTCCATCCCAGATAATTAATTATATGATTCTACAGTAAGGCATAATCCAATAGACATATTCATATTTCCATGGTGTCATTTTTGAATTTAATTCAGAATTTAGAAAGAATGTATAAAATAAGCCATCCTGAAACTGTGTTAAGTTTAAAAGAACCTTTATATCTATCCTAAATAATACTTGAAAAAGAATTTTAAATAAAGAAAGTTCTACTTAGTTTACAAAGTCTATTAATGTATTTGAAAGCAAACTCATAGAGCATGTAACCTACAAGAATTATTTCCTTGAATTGTGATTTTTTCCCCTGTTAAATAATTTTTAAAGATATTTACTTATTCTTTCATTCATTCACTTATTTTTTTAGAGACAAGGCCTCCCTCTGTCATCCAGGCTGGAGTGCAGTGGCACAGTCACAGCTCACTTCATTCTCCACCTCCTGGGCTCAGGAGATCCTCCCAGCTCAGCCTCACAAGTAGCCAGGACCACAGGCACGTGTCACCACACCTGGCTAATCTTTTTAACTTTTTGTAGAGAGGAGGACTTGCTATGTTGCTCAGGCTAATCTCTAACTCTTGGTCTCAAGCAATCATCCCACCTTGGCTTCTCAAAGTGCTGATATTAAAGGCATGAGCCACCAAGCCTGGCTTTGCTACATAATTTTTGAAGTCCCTTTACCGTACACTGGAGAGCCTTGAGGATATGTTGCGAGTGTTCTGTGTCAATACATCATTTAAGAAGAAGCATTTAGCTGTATTTAAAGTTTATTTCTGCCACAGTTAAATATTAAGCAACTCATTTGGATGTGAGAGCATGGATTCCTAAAGTAAGTTTATGTCACACTATGAACTTTTTACTCAGTGTGTGCATTTTGGCAAATGGCTCATGGAAATGTTTTCATGACTTATTTTCCTCTGAAAATGGAGGTATAATGGTAAAAATATTAGACTGAGAGTTAAAAAAACTAGAGTCAAATCCACACTGTATCACTGTCACTCTCTATAATATGGTAGAGAAACAACTTACAATGGTGAACTCTCTTTAAAGTGGAAATAATGCAATGATCTATGTATTTTATATATCATATCCATTAAAAATGAATATACTTCTTTCAAGAACTCCAATGATTCAAGTATGCTATATTGTTAAAAGAGGTACTATATTGCTTAAATATGTATAGAGAGGAATGCCTTCACAGCTATGTAATATTAATGTAGAGGAAAGCTCATATATTCAGTTGGTTGGTAGTTTTAGGTAGTTCAAATGGAGAATTGTATCCATTATTTTTATAGTTAATGAAAAACAGACACTTTCCTCAATCCTTGTGAAGTTTTAAAAATAAATTCTACATATTGTATTATTATCTGTAAAGGTAACTATGATACATTTTGTTACTTTGTTGGCTTGACTTTGCCTGTCATTGAGTAAATACATATGAATGTACATATTGTTCATATCTTTACATCTTTACATTGTTTGGCTGTTTGTTTGCTTTTTTTTTTTTTTTCAAATGTCCCAGCCTGTTTATGAGGATTCTGGAGTACTAAAGCTTTAACTGCTGCCTGGCAATGAAATAGAATATAGGACGATCACTCTTACTTTTACCTTGGTTTATTAGGATTAAGAGCAATACATTCTGCTAATTTATCAGTATTAAAGTCTACCTTTTTTGCATGCTGTGAATGTAGTTGACTTACTGAACAATACATTTCAAGTAATTTTATGGAAGTAAATCGTCTTTGTTGAATAAGAACGGACATTGCTATTTATCTGTGATTTTTGCTAAGGATATTTGCTAGTCTGATAAAATATAAGGCACTCTACAAAATTCTTTTGGGGTATTAGAATTATGGAAAGAACCAAGGTATATGGAAATGGATATCCGAATTATTAAAGGTGCAATAATAGGCTTTTTACTTTGCCAGTTTATTTCTACTTTTAGTCATGATGACAGATTCTTGATTACTATCCTAAATTAATCTTTGTTAGTTGTTTAAAACATTAACTTGAGAATTGAACTAGATTTCTACCTTTCTTAAAATGTAGACTTATAGCAGTTTCAACATATTTTTAAATGTTCTATTTGTTTTTTCTTAGCACTATTCTGTAGAAATCCTACTTTCTGGAGAAAATTGTTCCACACATTAAGATGCCACATGACTCATAAAAAAAAATTACCTTACCCAAAGCTGGAAAAGTTTACAGCAAAGGCTTCAGGGCTTACCCTTGGGAAAAAGAATAAAAATGTAGAAGGAATTTTTCACTACATAATATTCTTTGAACATGCTTGTAATTAACCAAGTTTGGATATTTTAAGATACTGTGCTATGCTAATCTATAGTGGCAAAACATTAAAATTAATGACATAGAAATGCTGTGAAACAAATTTTTGTAATTCATGCAGTATTTGTCAATCAATTCTTTGTCATTATTCTGAATGATGAAAAAATCTCATATAAAAATATGAAATTATAAATATAAAGAAAATTCTTTCAACCTAATATTTATGTATGTCAATATATGTCTTGGAGACAGAGACCCAAAACCATAACCAATGCTTTTGCTATGGGTTGACAAAAGATGTGCAGTTGACCATGAAGTACTTTACAGAGACAGTAAAGAATAAAAGCTTAATGATCAATGTAAAGAAGAAGAGATTCACTGACAGCAAGGAAATCATTCAACTTGACAGTTTTTCGCAGATAAAGCAGCTTAAAAACACTCTTAGTAAATCTTGTTGGGTAAGCAGCTCAATATCTATCAATCTTTAGAAAAGGGTTACATAAAGCCTCCTGATATATATATATATATATATATATATATATATATATATTCATACTATATATATATATTCATACTATATATATATTCATACTATATATATATAACTCCTCATACATATATATATCTCCTCATACATATATATATAACTCCTCATACATATATATATCTCCTCATACATATATATATAACTCCTCATACATATATATGTGTGTGTGTGTATATATATATATATAGAGAGAGAGAGAGAGAGATCTCTAAGGAAGAAATACACCTCAACCTATACTTATGAGGACAGCATTGCCTTACTAACAAGATCTGAGCTGGGCACACAGTGGCTTATGCCTCTACTCCTAGCTACTGGGGAGGCTGAGGCGGGGGAATCTCTTGAGGCCAGGCTGGACAACATAGTGATATCACATTTTTGAAAAAAGAAAAGAAACAAAACAAAGCAAAACAGCAATCTGCTATATTAAAAGTAAAAGAAAATTGCAGACCAGTAGTCTTCATAAACAGACCAAAAGTGTTTAATAAAATATTAGGAAATTAATCACGTGTATGTATAAAGTGGGTGCTACTTCATAACTAACTGCTGCATAGTAAAGGGATTAGAAAGGTTCAAACTTCAGAAAACAATTAATGTAATTCACCATAGTCACAGACTAAAAAAAAAAAAATCAATAAGTACCTCAACAGATGAAAAAAAGCCATTTGACTAAATTAACATTCATTGTGGATAATCCTCATTACACTGGGAATAGAAGGGAACTTGAAACTGGTAAAGGGAATATCGGAAACCTGCGTTTAACATTATTCTTTACTGTAAATG
Source organism: Homo sapiens (assembly GCF_000001405.40). NCBI lineage: Eukaryota > Metazoa > Chordata > Mammalia > Primates > Hominidae > Homo > Homo sapiens. The sequence continues at coordinate 102,722,829 of NC_000001.11, read as the reverse complement.
ACAATGATTTCTTTATAAAATCACAAACAATTCAAGAACGTATACAACTTGCCACTTTCATTCAACTTTTACTAAACAAGTATGATATGGCAGTGTAATAGGGCCAATACATAGTTTATATGACACTATTATACTAGAAAGTGCAATATAGCAAAGAAAAGAACAATAGATTTTTTATAGAATTGAAAGGAAAAAAAGAAACAAAGTTGTTTTCATGTATTGACTACATGAATTGTCTGTAGAAAATCCTAAAATACTAACCCAAAAAGTCACCAGAACAATTATATGAGTTTAGCGAGGTCTCAGAATAAAAGGTGAATATATTAAAATTAAATGTTTTGTTATAGGCTAGCAATGAACAGTTAGAAATTTAAGTTAGAACTAAATGTATATCAAATGATGAACAGAAAAATTGTGGTATATTCATATGGTGAGATAGTATTCAGCAAGCCATGCAACTGATTTATGCAACAATATCAATGAATATAATAATAGCATTATGCTACGTGATGATAGAGGTCAGAAGAAGATGAATAGAGTTTATTTTAAAATATGATATCTAGAAAAGCAAAACTACAGGGACAGAATCAGATCAGTGGCTGACAAGGGCTGGGTGAGGAAAGGAGATTCACTACAAAGTAACAAGAAGGAATATTTTCAGGTTGATGGAAATGTTTTCTATTTGATTATGTTAGTGGCTCCTCACTGTGTACATTTGCCAAAACTTATCAATTTGTAAATATAAAATTGATAAATTTTAACTTATATAAGTTATTTCTTAATAAAACCTGACAAGAAAAAAAATAATTAGAAAAAAGTTAAAAAAAATTGAGCAACTTGATATAACTTTACTACTTAGTATATGGACTATGCATTCTACTTTGTCTGTTACAGAATTTTTGTCAGATTCATAATATAGCCTTTTATGTGCTCCTTGGATATTTTCTTATGTTTTCTGTGAACCCATAGTCTTCTAGGATGGTGTTTGCAATTTGTAGGGGAAGAGGAAGGGGTGGTGGTAAACCTTAGGTCACGATTGGATTGTATCTTTCACATCGAGTTTAGAAATCTTCATACTCCTCATTGGATATTGCTTTTATGTAAGAATGATAATGTGTGCTTGTAATCACCAAGCAGACAAACTGTGAATGGAGAGCTAAGGGACAGACTTGTTACGGAATCTACTTGTTGTCTGATCTCTGGTTCCAGCTGATTAGTGCTGCTGTCCTGCTTGCCCAGAACAGTCTCTCTCTCTCTCTCTCTCTCTCTCTCTCTCTCTCTCTCTCTCTCTCTCCCCCCCACTTCCCCCCACCACCTTTTATTGGTAGGTGGTTAGGTAATGATTTGCCAATGGCAGTGCAAGAAAGATAAATGCATCACCAGTATAAAATTCTTCCCCAAATATCGCCAAACTTTCTATGACATCTCCAGAATTATATTATGAGAAAGAGCTAGTGGATCATATTACTTCACTTTTTTCTTGAAAAGAAACTGTACAAACCCTTGATTGGAAAAAAAACACTGTTGAAATTGGGTTAAACTCCTACTGTAGGGAGGTTAGCTTTCATTATAAGAAGATTGTTGAAGCATTGTGTACTGATATGACAAGGTAAATAGTCTCTAATAAAGTTACTCACCTATCTTAAGTATTTAATATTCCTCATATTACTTTCTGTGGTTCAGAATACTTTAGAAGGACTTAAAGAAGCTAATAGGATTTAAAGATAAAACTCAAACTATATTGCAAAGATAGTGTTATTAGAATTTTGTGACTAATTTGCTGTGCAATAGGGAAAGTGTGGAATTCCCGAAAGAAGTCTAAGCACATATATTCTAAAGTCTGGAGTCCTTTCTTATATAAAATGGTTGTTAATTAATTAAAACATCTGCCTGACAGTGACCTCTATTTCTCTTAAGTCGGATCTCTTAGCAAAGCAAATTTTATCATTCCCTAGACTCCTGACTGGTTTTAAAATATACTCCTGTACTACCACAGCCACATCTTTTTACCTGGCTTTAAGTCAGAATATAAAATACCATACTTAATAATTTCACAAATTCAACACATTTTTCTTTTTTTCTTTTTAAGGCTCTCAATATTACCATGACCTTTGCTAAAATAACTTAACATTTCCTCTAAACAGAGTATCTAAATGAGTTCATGCTACCTTTCTTATATATAAATAAAGTCTTCTTTGTCCCAAACCTGTAACTATACTATTGAAATAATACACTAAGGAACCTCAGCATTCTTTTTCATTATTAACAGATAAAATGCAGCACATTGAAATATATACTTTTTTTTTTGAGGTGGAGTCTTGCTCTGTCTCCCAGGCTAGAGTGCAATGGCACAATCTCGGCTCACTGCAACCTCCACCTCCCGGGTTCAAGCAATTCTCCTGCCTCAGCCTCCCGAGTAGTGGGTTTACAGGCACCTGCCACCATGCCCAGCTAATTTTTGTATTTTTTAGTAGAGACGGAGTTTTGACATGTTGGCCAGGCTGGTCTCAAACTCTTGACCTCAGGTGATCCACCCACCTCGGCCTCCCAGAGTGTTGGGATTACAGGCGTGAGCCACCACGCCTGGCCATATTCTTCTTTTTACAGTGTGATGCTTTGAGATTTATTTTTTTCAAAGCTCAAAAGCATCATTTGAAAAGTTGCTTCTTTACTCACCTAATTGTGAATATTATTCCTTCCTTCCAATCTACAATACAGGCAGATTTATTTACATTCTTGTGATTGAAGCCACATAAGATTTTGATTTCAGGACTAAGGTTATGTCCACATGTGTCCTGTAGATTCTAGATTATGATTAAATTATTTCTGCCACCTTAAATGATTCTATAGTATCATTAAAATGTGACTAAATTTCAGAATTAGAGAAATAGACAATGAAGAAACAATACTTAGAATTTTAAATCTTTGTAATAATCTTAATTTTCAATTTTTTTGAAGTTTCAATAAATTCTCTGCAAACAAAGATGATGCTTATAATTGAAACACTGTCAGTGGTATTATAGGAGAAAGGTGAATTATAAAATAAATTTACTTCTACTAAATTTAATTTTAATAAAATGTCTTAAGTATACAAGAAAACATTAAACATGTATGAGTGACTACTGGGGAAGAGATAGAAAATTAATTTAATGTTATATTTTTAAATTCCCAAGGACAAGCCTATAGGCTGCCAAGACACAAGAGATTTAAGTCAGATAAGACTGTCCCCTTTCATCACTGGGAAATCCCAATGTGAGATTTTAACCATGTCTCCATGGTTCTTGGGATATCCTTTAGATCCAACACATTGAATCACCCTTAGTGGATTATATCAAAGCTGGCAAATTAAGACTCTGAAATGATTTCTGAATTTTCTTTAACAACAACAAAATAAAGGCCTTTCATTTTAGAATATCAGTTGTTTGTTCATTAGAACACAACGTGAATAAATCCCATGACCTTGGATTGTCAATGCCATGAGACCGTGTCTATTTTAAAAATGAATATTATAAAATATTATATATAGAACAGTGCAAATCAAAATTAGACCTTGAGATACTTGAAGGTGGGCTGGGAAGCAGTGAACTCTGAAATTAAATTGCCTGAATTTGAAGTCATTTTATCCCTAATTGTCACGTGAACTTGTGAAAATTACTTAACCTCTCTGTATTTCAATTTAAAGTATTATTAATTTTAAGGTCTATACCTGGTAAAAAGTAAGATGATAAGGAATGTTCTAATGATAAGGAATGATAAAGATGATAAGGAATGATAAAGGAATGTCCTATTAACCTAAATAAGGAATATTTAGGTTAATAGAATTTAGGGATTATGTATGAATCATTTGTACAGTTGTCATGTCGCTTACTGTTTCTTACACATAATAAGTTTAATATAATTTCAAAACAAAAATTAAAATAAGTTCTGTAAGAAATATTTTCTAAAACTAATAATTTGGTTTACTTGTAAGATTTTTTGTTTATAGTGAGCAATTTAAATGCTTTTCAAAAATACTTCAAAATAAGTAGTGTACAGTCAATTGGCCAAGCTACATATAGCTTATTATTAAAATTCTACTAGTTCTTATGCACTGGTTGGGAGTCTGGAAGAATAGTGGTATTCACACACACACACACACACACAGACACACACCACATGCATATATACATATATTATGTGTGTGTATATATATGTGTGTGTGTGTGTGTAAATATTTAGTCCTCACAAGAATTTCTCAATTCAATTCTGTTTAATTGATGAGACCATTTGAACCGTACAAATGTTAAGTACTTTCCTAATGTTTCATAGCAGTTAGTGAAATAACGTGAATTTAAAATCAATGCAATCTAACTCTAAAGTCCCTGCTATCAAATATTTTTAAATATTACACTTTCCACCTCATAGATAATTTACACAAATGGAGGTTTCGAGCAAAGAAAACTGGCACAGGTTTTGACTAAAGTAAGTTACTGAAAGGAAGGAAAAAGTAAATCTTATCCAAAGTTTAATTTTCACAAGTTGGTAGTAGAGCCAGAACGCAAACTCAAATTCCATGTCTTTTCTATTCGATCCTTATACTTTATTTACCTCATACATATATATACACACACACACACATATACACATACATATATACATATATACACATACATATATACATATATACACATACATATATGTGTATATATACATACGTATGTGTATATGTATGCACATACGCACATTATCTCTCATATATATTATATATACATACATATATATGTGTATGTATATGTATGTGTATATATATATAGGCACATACACACATTTTCTCTCATAGATTTCAACATTACCTTATTAGGAAAATTCTAGTATAATCTCCTTTTTATATTTGAGGTAAATAAAGCATGAAAAGGACATGGAATTTGAGTTTGCATTCTGGCTCCACTACCAGCTTGTGGAAAATTTAAACTTTGGATAAAATTTACTTTTTCCTTCCTTTCAGTAAGTTACTTTAGTCAAAACCTGTGCCAGTTTTCTTTACTCGAAATCTCCATTTGTGTAAATTATCTATGAGGTAGAAAAGTGTAATATTTAAAAATATTTGATAGCAGGGACTTTCGAGTAAGATTGCATTGATTTTAAATTTACTTTATTTCACTAACTGCTGTGTAACATTAGAAATGTACTTAACATTTGTAGGACTCAAGTGGCCTCATATATATATGTGTATATATATGTATATATGTATGTATATATGTGTATATATATGTGTGTGTATGCATACACATACATATGTGTATACATTAACAACTATGCCTGCCACATAATAAGTATTCAGTAAATAACTACTGATATATCTTTAAATTTTAATTATACCCTGATTTATAAATTGACTTTGCTATAAAATAGCTAACTTTTTAAATTCAGAAGCTATTCTGAAAGATGTCATTTTTACATTGAAACATATATATGTACTGATTTGATATGCATATGATAAGCTGCATTGAGGGAGGGAAGCAAAAGAGGACATACATTCTGGGTAGCAGTCTGTGTGTCAGTAGCATCAGGAACAACAGAGATATTTGAAGAAAAAAAAAGCAGCATCTCACCCCCAAAAGAGTCCAGATACACTGGGCAGTACAGTCCAGAAACATATGCTCTTGAAGGATGTGTACTGGAGTGGAAAGAACAAGGGTAACATTGTTTTATTACATTTAAGGTACGCTAAAAAAAAATGTGGTAAGGAAGATGAGAGCCAAGTGAAACCAGTCATAGAGTTGTCAAGCAGATCTGAGAGATATTAGGGTGAAGGTGGTTGGGAAGGCAGAACAGGACCAAGTAACAAGGTGTGGACAGAATATTGATATTTGTGATAGCAGGAACTGACATAGAGGCAGACAAATGGATCCAGAGTTTGAAATGGCTCAGTTTTCATTCAGTATAGGATGACCAGCTTCAATGGTGGTACAAGGTTTAAGAGTCTCATAGCCAATTTGAACAGGATGTGATGTTTCCTAAGTCAGAGTTGGAAATGAATGAGTGAGGAGGGGTGGCAAGACAAGTGCTTAGAAAATAGTAAGTAGCATAAAATGGTAACTACAAACTATGTGGGAGAAAGTGTAACTTTAAGAATGAGAACTACAATCATTAGTCAGGAATAGGAAATAAAATATAATCAGATACAATTTCTGGAAAGACCTGAGGCAAGGAATCCAGAACCACGGCTATGAATGGTCAACTTCCAATTTGAACAAATTAAAGTGAACAAATGCCCCGGTCTTCCTAGAAATTTCAGGTTTTAGAATTAGAAGTCCTATGTCCAGGAAAAGCCTTCAGGCTCAAACAAACTATGTTGATTGGTCATCCTAAAATTATGACTAATAGACAATACAGAAACATGTATGGTAGCATAAAGACAAAGGCATGCCCTGGCCAAAGCCAAAGAACATCTGGTACAAAAGTGCCAGTGATAGAAATATTTCCTCTGTAAAAGAAATTATGCCAGAAATTGGGACTGAAATTGATTCCAGTTGTGAATAGAAGTACTTGTTTGTGCAAGAGCTTATTTACTTGTTCATTCATTCATTTATATTCCAAAGATTAAGAAGGCATAGGAATGAATGTCTCATGAACATTCAAGAGAAGGGTAAGCAAGTGAGAAAAAACTGAGTGAGACACCAGATTGAAAAGCCAGAAACTAGTAAAAAATATATATCTGAATTTAAGATCAGAGATATTTTTAAAATTAGTATTTGGACAAATCTATAGAACTATATAACCACAATCATAATCAAGATATAGAATATTTCTAACATCTCAAGATAATTCCTTAAGTTTGCTCACAACAGTCCTTGCAAACTTTTCTAGAATTCATGTAAGTGAAAACATACATTCTGATATCTATTTTTGCATAACAAGCCATCTCAAATGTCAATAACATACAACAATAACAATTATTTATATCACTAACGAATTTGGGCAGAGCTCTATTTGACCACATCTGGGAAGACTTGAAGATCCTCTGGAATCTGGAATCATCAGAATGTTCTCTTCCTCTCTTGTCTGGTAGTTGAGGCTGGCAGATGGCTAAAATTTGACTCTAACCTTGTGATAGGAGTGTCAAAGCTTTTGCAGGCATGTTTTAACAGACACAGGACTCTTTTGGGTCTGGCTTTCTTTTGTTCAGCAGAATATATCAGAAATTCATCTATTTTTCTGTGTATACATAATTGGCTCCTTTTAGTATTTTATTTCACAGATAAGACACAATCTGTTTATGCATTCATTTGTTGATGAATATCCAAATTGTTTCTAGCCTAGGGTTTTTATGAATATAGCTACTATAAGACTTACACAAATATTTTGTCTGACTTTTTTTATTAAATAAATATAGTAAATGTATGCGGTAAATGTCTCCTGAGTCATATATTAAATGTATTTTTAACCTTATAAGAACTGCCAAATTGTATTCCCAAATGGTTTACCATTTTGCGGTTTCATCAACAATGTATGCGAGTTTCAGTTCCTGCACATACTTCCCAGAACTCAGTATTGTGGATGTTTAACAGTATCTAATTGCGATTTTCAGTTTTGTTTTCCTGAAAACTCATGATGCTGACTGTTTTTCACCTACTTTTGGCTATCTTCTTTTTTTAAATGTCTGTTCAAACCTTTTGCCAAACTTTTAATGGTCAATTTCTCTTATTATTAAATTATAAGGTCTTTGCATATTTTGGATACTAAGTATTAGTCAAATAGAAAATGAAAATGAAAATATTAAAACGGAAAACATTTTCTTCCAGTCTGTGATTGTCTACACATTTTAATGTTATCTTTGGTGATTAGAAATTTTTCAGTATTGATATTCTCGTTCATTTTTTATTTTGAATTTTGCTTAATTCTGATCTGAAAAATTCCTGATAAAACCAATATGGCAATAATTTGCCTTTATATTTTCTTCTAGAAAGCCTACAGCTTGAACTTTTTATTTAGGTATAATATTCTTTTCAAAATAATCTTTGTATATGGTGTGAAGTTGATCATTTTGAGGTTCATTTTTCTCATATGGATATCCAGTTTTGTTATCATCATTTAAAGAAAATATCATGATTTTATTTGAATTTCTTTGGCACTGTGAAAACCACATACACACACACGCACACACACATACATGCACAAACACACATTATTTTTTGATGCTCTAGTTTATTTCATTGATTTGTACATTTCTTTACATGTTTACCTTTACACCAGTACCACACTGTACAATTTAAAGTAGCTGAAAATTAACTATTAAATAGTGTTTAAAATTGTTTTTGGCTGTTCTAGATCATTTCCATTTCCAAATAAATTTTAAAATCGACTTGCCAATTTCTACCAAAAACAAAATTCCAACCAGCTTTTGATTGGGCTTGTGTTGAATGTCTAAATCAATTTAGAGAGAATAGAGATAATGTCCCATTAATGTATTGCTAATTTTCAAATATTTGGGGATTTTCCAATTGTTTTATTTTGCTTATTTATAATTTAGTTCCATTTCAGTTAGAACATATATTCTATATGATGTTAATGTTTTAAACTTTATTGAGAGTCGTTTTATGTCCCATCTTTGTGAATGTGCCACATGGACTTGAAAATGACATAGAAGTGTCACTGTGGAGTCGAGTCTTATATATATGTCGAATAGGTTGTTTGTTGACTGCAGTGTTCAATTCTTCTGTATCATACTGATTTTTTGTCTACCCATGATCTCATTTTCTGAGAAGAGTGTTGAAATTCAAACCAAACTGTAATTTGTGAGTTCTATCACTTTTTGTTTCATGTATTTTGAATTTGTTGGTACATAAACATTTAGTATTTTTATGTTTTATTTATACATAGGCTATTTTTTTCATTAAAAAGTCCATCTTTATTTCTGATAATATTTTTTGTTCTGAAATCTATTCTGTCTGCTATCATAATTACCACTCCAGCTTTCTTATGATTAGTATTTGACTAATACATATTTTTCATCCTTTCACTTTCCATCTACCTGAGTCTTTTTATTTAAAGAGTATTTCTTATAGGAAGCATTTGGTTTTGTCTTACGCTTTTATTCATTCTGACGATATGTGTTTTATTTGGAGTAATCATGTATATTTACTCTATTATCAATGTATTTTGGATACATCTACAATATTGCTATTTATTTTCCCTTTCTCCCATATTTTATTTCTCCTGTTTTATTCCCATTTACTACCTTCTATATATAGATAAATTGAACATTTTTAATTGAATCTAACTATATTTCATGTCCTCTATTTAATTATTAGTTAGACCTTATTTGTGTGTGTGTGTGTGTGTGTGTGTGTGTATTTAACCTAGGTTTAAAATATTTATGTCTAGCCTATCAAAATTGACTTTTTCACAATGATGTAGCACTTTATCTATACTGTGAAAAATATACAAAAGTACACATTCACTTACCTTCTCTCATCTTTTGTCTTGTTGTTGTCATACACTTTACTACTATTTGTGCTATATTTTTCACAATACTTCATTATTACTTTTGTTTTAAACATTCAATTGTTTAAATAATTTGAATAATATATATTTTTCATTTTTATCATTTGTTGTCCTTTTTAAATGTAAATTCATGTTTCCATTTGATTTATTCTTTGTTTCAGTTTTTTCAAAATTGCTTTAATTTTTTTATAGTTTGCAGTGGGGTAAATTCCCATAACTTTTGCTTTTCAAAAAAAAATTTTTCTTTTTTTAAAAAAAAATATTTTATCTATATATAGAACTCTAGGCTGATGATTTTTTTTCTTTCCTCAATTTTAAAATTTCATTCTATTGTTGTCTTGTTTGTATTGTTTCTAAGAAGTCTGTATCTGTATTACATTATGCCTTACATTTCTTCTCTTTAAAAATTCTTATTGTTTTAAATGTTGTCTATTATTGGTTTTGAATAATTTGATTTTGATATACTTGTTAGGGCTTTGATTTTGTTTCTCTTGCTCCAAGTTTTTTTTCCTTTTCTTTTTCTTTTCTTTTTTTTTTTTTAGTTTGTTTCTTGGAACTGTGAATGTGTAATTCTGATTAAAAAAACTGGAAAACATTTGATAATTATTTCCTCAAATATTTCTATAATACTCTTATTTTGCTGTTCCATTACATATATATTACTGCACTTGATATAGTTTTACAGGTCAATGAGAGCGTATTTCTTGTTTTAAGATTATTTTTATCTCTATTTTGGATAGTTTCTATCGCTATGTCTTCATTTTCACTCATCTTTAGTTTGTTGTTATGATAAGGTTCCTTTCAGCTCTTGGAATTTCATTTATTCTTTTTACCCTATTTTTAACTCGGCTCATTTTGTCTATGTTTACTTTTACATTCTCTAGCATAAGCAATTTCTACTGATTTCATCATAATCATTTATGTGCCAATTTTTATTGACTGATTTTTCTTGCAGTTATGATTTACATTATTTTATTTCTTTGGATATCTAGTACTTTTATTGAATACTGGACCTTATATATATTAAATTGCTGATGATCTAAATGTCAATTCTTCCTTTTAAAAAGTGCAGAATTCTGTTTCAGAAGGCAATTCAGTTGCTTGTGCATCAGCTGGATCTTTTAGTATTTATTTATTTATTTGTGATAGCCTCACTTTGCCACCCAGGCTGAAGTGAAGTGGTGCAATTATGGCTCATTGCAGCCTCGATTTCCCAGGCTCAAGCAATCCTCCTACCTCAGCCTCTCTAGTCACTGGGACAACAGGTGTGCACCACTATGCCCAGCTAATTTTTTTCATTTTTGGGGAAGTGGGGTTTCACAGTGTTGCCCAGGCTGGTCTCAAACTCCTGGAATCAAGCGATCCTCATGCCTAGGCCTACCAAAGTGCTAGGATTACAATTGTGAGCCACTGCTCCTGGCCTCTTTTAGTATTTTAAAGCTATATTATGGCAAATCTTGGTTAGCTTTACTACAGGACTACTTTTCCTCTATTGTGTCTGTTATTTTCTGTGGTGATCCTGATAGATGCAAAGGAACAACAATGATGCTATTGCACTAGAGAATCAACCTATCTCAATTCATTGATTCTTATGTAAAAACCACTGAGAAATAGGGACATCTGGGCTCCAGAGGGTATCATTGAACCCACAAGGGAAGGGATAAAATTATTTAAAAGAGAAAGACCAAATGAGTGTGAACCTCAGGAGGCATGACTTACCAATGGCGTGTGTGAGAGAGATCCTTGGCTATATAAGTAGATTTGTGGATTTTTTTTTTTTTTTTGAGACAGGATCTCACTCTCCCCCAAGCTGGAGTGCAGTGGCACAATCTCAGCTATCTGCAACCTCTGCCTCATGAGTTCAAGTGATTCTTGTGCCTCAGCCTCCCAAGTGGCTGGAACTACAGGTGTGCACCATGACGCCTGGCTAATTTTTGTATTTTTAGTAGAGATGAGTTTCACCATGTTAGCCAGACTAGTCTCAGACTTCTGACTTAATATGATCCATCCGCCTTGGCATCCCAAAATGCTGGAATTACAGGCATAAGCCACCACACCCAGCCAATTTGTGGATTTAATCAATGACTTTTTTATATAGAATCCTTTCTCAGTGGCAACTGTAATATTTCAAATTGTAGCATCCCTTCTGGTAAAAGACTGGAGATTGGAAGAACTGCGATGAACAGGTTAAGCTTGCTCAGAGCGAGGACAATGGCTTTTTAAGTCATATCTATTTTCTTCTTCACCTTTACATTAATTTTGCTTCTAGAAAAACATAAGGCAAAAGGTAACTTCAGAAGTAGCAATTTCCTTGCTTTTCCTTGCTCTTAGCAGTAATTTCCATCTCTATTTCAGCAGGCAAAATTATGATCCCATACTAGCATCTCATTACTTCATTTCTAAAACTCACACGTTGGAAAATATTTTGTAATAAATGCTTTGTAGGGACATGGATGAAATTGGAAATCATCATTCTCAGTAAACTATCGCAAGAACAAAAAACCAAACAACGCATATTCTCACTCATAGGTGGGAATTGAACAATGAGAACACATGGACACAGGAAGGGAAACATCACACTCTGGGGACTGTTGTGGGGTGGGGGGAGGGGGGAGTGATAGCTTTAGGAGATATACCTAATGCTAAATGACGAGTTAATGGGTGCAGCACACCAGCATGGCACATGTATACATATGTAACTAACCTGCACATTGTGCACATGTACCCTAAAACTTAAAGTATAATAATAATAAAATAAAATAAAATTAAATTAAAAAACTATTTTAAAGAGAAGGCACATGTGTCCCTTTATCATATATGCCTCCAAAGAATTCAGGAAGCTTATTGACCCAAATCTCATTTCATTTTCCCAGGAATAGGCGCTATAAAAATCAGTGCCAGCTGGGAGGTCAGTAGCTGTGGTTAGCTTATCAAATATGCTTTCGTATTCATTATTCTGCTATTTCTTGCTCATATAATTTGCCAATAAATAAGAACTACTATTAATTACGTATTTTACTGAACAGTTTGAAATAGCTTTTCCCAAATTTTGAGTTGTACTGGAAATTCACAAATCTGTTAGCTGACTATATTTTCATTAAATAAGCAAAAATTATGAGATTACATACTCAGTGTTTAGAACTTATAGATCCAAGTAAAATAATCATCTTACAACTTGTGGCATCTGTGGTCATTTTAGAAGGCTTTACAATATATTCCAAAATGATAGGTACAAACAATGCTACAGAGATACAAAGATAGACAGCTATCAATATGTTGCATATTGAAGGATGTTAATAAAGAAAACCTGGTTTGATTTTTCTTCACAGGAATTTAAATTTTTATAGCTTCTTTTGAGCATAACATATTATTTCCAAAAGACTCCAATCCAATCCATGTAAACTAGGACAATTAATGTAATTGTACATTAGATCTAATTTAACTAGAAATTGAAAGTGAGATTTATGGTTGAAAATCAATAAAAAGAAAGAGAGAGAGAGAGGAAGGAGAGAGAAGAAGAAAGGAAAAAGAAAAAAATAAAGTAAGCTTAAAGGTGGCTATCCAAAAAAATACAGCCAAACACTGCCAAATTCAGAGTTATTTACTCTTGTTTTTGACAGTGCTGACAAATTTAATTACTGTAGCACTCATTTCATCAAATGTCACTCCATGAAGAAAGAATGCAACATCATATAATTATACTCATATAATTATTTCATCCATATTAGTTTTAAAAATTAATTTGCATGCCAAACTCTTCTATTTTCTTATGTTATTGATCTCCATAGTCACACAGAAAAAAATACTACGGAAGATTATCTTAAAAATTGTACGCCATAGTGTGACAAAAACCTTTTCTGTTGTTGTTTTAAGATAAATGCATAATTCATTTTTGCAGAGGTTTTCAGATAATGTGGTTTCAGATAAATGAGGTTCTTAGAATAATGACTATCTTAATACCATATATTTTCAATGTTTTTCTCATTTAGCTGCCGCCAGCAATATGTATTTTAAATGTTACAGGCAGGAAAAATCTAGCAGAGATCTTTGAAAAGCAATTCTCTGTCTTATTTATTTGAGAAACTTTCCAGAAGAGGTTAACCTATAAGAATCTGAGACTTGGGTCAATTTTGTCTGTCTTAAATGTAATCAAAGAATCACAGCCTTCAAGTTCAAGGTTAGTCATTCAGATAGTTTAGAGGGCAAGCTTTCATTTAGTTTTCTAGTCCAGTGCTCTTTCCATTTCTTCAGGAAGAAAATTGTGTGAAAAGAAATAGGGAGAAATATTATGAAGTCAGTTACTTTGAGAAAGGTTACAATTAAAAGTCTTACTCTTTATCTGAGCTCCACCAAGAGATTTCCTATTAAAAACAAGATGAGGCAGTTAACAATAATAGTAATAATAGATATTTTAAAATATTTAATATGCACAAATTATTTTATTTAATTCTCTCAGCAACCCCTTGAGGCATGACAGAGAAGTTAATTAAGTCACCCAGGAGTCAGAATTCAAACTCTGAATGTCTCACTTCAGAACCTATTGTTTCAATCACTAATCCGTACTTCAGATAGAGATGCTCTTGACCCTTGTCTCAAAGACCAAAACTTACATCATGTCTCTAAATAACTAACATTTTCTTCGTCTATTTGACTTCCTGATTTGGGGCTTTTATTTTCTTTATCCTATCATTTAACCACTCCTCTATGTCTTGGAGAGTTTCATTTAGTACTCATTTTGTATGCCCCAAATTCTGACTCCTGGATAATTCTGTCTCTTATAGTTGCAGATCTTTCACTCATAACTTGTATTCTCCAGATTGCATGACCCAGGCTCAATATTTTCCTTCTTTTTTTTAACTTTTATTTTAAGTTAAGGGTTACATGTGCAGTTTGTTACATAGATAAACTTGTACAATGGGGATTTATTGTACAGATTATTTCATTACCCAAGTATTATGCTTAGTACCCATTAGTTATTTTTCCGGATTCTCTCCCTCCCCCGACCTTTGACCCTCCAGTAGGCCCCAGTGTGTATTGTTCCCCTCTATGTGTCTATGTGTTCTCATCATTTAGCTCCCACTTATAAGTGAGAACATGTATTTGGTTTTCTGTTCCTGTGTTAGTTTGTTAAGAATAATGGCCTCCACCTCCCTCTATGTCCCTGCAAAGAACTTGATCTCATTCTTTTCATGGATCCATAGTATTCTATGGTGTATATATACCACATTTTCTTTATACAATCTATCATTGGTGAGCATTTAGGTTGATTCCATGTCTTTACTATTGTGAATAATACTGTAATGAACATACGTGTGCATGTATCTTAATAATAGAATGATTTCTATTCCTTTGAGTATATAGCCAGTAATGGGATTGCTGGGTCAAATGGTATTTCTGTCTCTAGGTCTTTGAGGAATCACCACACTGTCTTCCACAATAGCTGAGCTGATCTACATTCTCACCAAAAGAAGTGTTCCCTTTTCTCTACGACCTCACCAGCATCTGTTATTTTTTGATATTTTAGAAGTAGCCATTGTGACTGGTGTGAGATGGTGTCTCATTGTGGTTTTGACTTGTGTTTCTTTAATGATCAGTGATGTTGTTGAGCTTTTTTTCATATGATTGTTGGCCTCATGTATGTCTTTTTTAAAAAGTGTCTCTTCATCTCCTTTGCCCACTTTTTAACAAGGTCGTTTGCTTTTACTCCTGTAACTTTGTTTAAGTTCTTTATAGATGCTGGACCTTATACCTTTGTTTGATACATAGTTTGCAGAAAATTTCTCCCATTCTGCATGTTGTTTACTCTGAACAAATAAAGGGCATCCAACTAGGAAGAGAGAAAGTCAAAATATCCCTGTTTGCAGATGACATGATCTTGTATATAGAAAACCCCATAGGTTTAGTCCAAAAGCTTCTTAAGCTGATAAACAACTTAAGCAGTCTCAGGATATGAAATCAATGTGCAAAAATAGCTAGCTGACATTCCTATACACCAAGAACAAGCAAGCTCAGAGTCACATCAGGAATGAAATACAATTCACACTTGCTTCACAAAGAATAAAATATCAAGGAATACAGTTAGGGAGGTAAATGACCTATACAAAGAGAACTACAAAACAAATGAGAACACATTCCATGCTCATGGATAGGAAGATTCAATATTATTAAAATGGCCATAATGCCCAAAGCAACTTATAGATTTATTGCTGTTCCTATTAAACTACCACTGAGATTCTTCACAGAACTAGAAAATCCTATTTTAAAATTCATGAGGACCCTAAAAAGAGCCCAAATAGCCAAGGCAATCCTAAGCAAACAGAACAAAGCTGGAGGCATTACACTACCCAACTTCAAACTATACTACAGGGCTAAAGTAACCAAAACAGCATGGTAGTGGTACAAAAACAGACACATAGGCCAAAGGACAGAAGAGAGAATGCAGAAATAAGATCACACATCTACAATTATCTGGTCTTTGACAAAATTGACAAAAAAAAAAAGCAACAGGGAAAGGACTCCCTATTCAATAAATGATGTGGGATAACTGGCTAGCCATATGCAGAAGATTACAACTTGGACCCCCTCCTTACACTATGTCCAAAAATTAATTCACGATGGATTAAAGAGTTAAATGTAGAACTCACAACTATATGAACCCTCAAAGACAACCTAGGCAATACTATTTAGGACAAAGGCACTGGTAAAAATTTCATGGCAAAGCTGCCAAAAGCAATTGCAACAAAAGCAAAAATTGACAAGTGAGATCTAATTAAATTAAAGAGCTTCTGCACAGGTAAATACTTTTCTAGTTGAAAATTTAGTTCAGTGTGTTCACCTGAAGGAACTTCTGTTCCAACCATTCATAAATGTTCTCGTGTGTCATTATGAACCAGGAATCTGTGTGTCAATAGTCTCTCATTCAGTATGGTATACTTCCACCTAATGAACCCACTTCCGTGTTGAAAGCTTCAAAAATTGATTTTATTTCTACTCTTCTTATTGTAGTGAAATATTATGGCATGAATTTCTAGATAGATAAACAGAAAAACTAACAAATATATGTACACGTACATCTCTATCTACGTTTCTCATATATACATACTTTTCAAGAAATACATTATTTTAAAGGTAACCATCGTACAGTGCAACCTAAGGATACACATTGCTTTCAATGAATGATATCTGTCATTTTAAAACCAATAAAAATCTTTTTTAAATGATGATAAATAAACTTCCAGAATCTTTTTAAGTAATGTGCAAAAAAATGAAGAGCCTTAAAATCAGATACTGTTAAAATGTACTAATAAATGCTAGTTTTCTTCTACATAAACCTTTGCATGTTTTCTCTTTCTTCAGTTTCTATTTGATTATTTAAGTATTATAATCTCAATTCCTTTGGTAAAAGGAATGGTAATATAAAATTTTTACTATAAATATTTATTAAATATTAATTATGGATATTCTGGTTCAATGAATAATAATTATTCCAGTTGGGATAAAAATCCCAACGAAGAGGCCAAATCTGGATGACAAAACTGACTTTATCAGCAGGTATTCAAAGCCTTTCTCTCTCGAGTATGTTGTCAGATTTTTTAGTGCTGTATACCACTCAATCTGCATATCTGTTCTACCATTAAAGACTTAAACTCTTAGGAGGTTGTCTCTGTCCTTCTTCAGTCAGGGAATTCTATATCCTTAGATCCATGAGTTATGCCCATCTTGGCAGGAAATTTGTACCCCTGACCTCCGAAAAAGTCTATAAGAGGCCAATCTGATTTGTATGTATGGCCAAGTAATATTTAAAGTAATTTTTAGCTCTGATAAAATATCTTATTTACCAAAATAGCTTAAAAAGGTAAAAGAATAGTTGCTCACAGGAATTATAATTTTCCGTAATTTGATATATGATGCCATACCATTAATTTCTTGGCCTCTTAACTCTTTGACCTCAATTCCAGATTCCTTCCAATTAAGTCAGTTAATATTACAACACATACGAATCTGTTCCACACCCAAAGTTTCAAATCAGGATACTTTCTCCATGTCTGAAATGTTTTCAAACAAGTACTTCTGTGTAACTCTTATCTTTTCTCTTGGTCTGTCACATATTTTGTTGTCATATACAGTCAGACGCCGTACATTATTGACAGTGGTCCTATATTATAATGGAACTGAAAACTTTCCATTGTTTAGTGACATTGTAGCCATTATAAGATGCAGCAAAATTATTTAATTTTTTAATAAATTTAGTGAAGCCTAAATGTACAGTGTTTATAAAGTCTATAGTAGTGCAAAGTGATGTCCCAGGCCTTCGCATTCATTCCCCACTCAATTCCTGATTGTCATGGATAATATTCCGTGTCAACTTGACTGGATTGAGGGATACCTAGGTGGCTGGTGAAACATTGTTTCTGAGATTGTCTATGAGGGTGCTGCCCGAGGAGATTGGCATTTGATTCAGCGGACTGGGACAGGAAGAAGACTCACCCCCAAGATTGGTGGGCACCATCCAATCAGTTGCCAGCATGGGTAGAAAAAAGCAGGCAGAAGTGGGAGAAGCAGCTTACTGAGTCTTCCCACTCATTCTCTCTCTTCTCTTGCTGGACACTTTGCTTCTGTTTCTCCTGCCCTTGAACATCAGACTCCAGGTTCTTCGGCCTTTGGACTCTGGGACTTGCACCAGCAGCCTCCCGAGGGCTCTCAGGCCTTCAGCTTCAGACTGAGGGCTACATCGTTTGCTTCCTTGGTTTGGAGGCTTTTGGACTCAGACTGAGCCACTCCAGGCTTTTCTCTTTCCCTAGCTTGCAGATGACCTATCACAGGAATTTGACTTGTAATTTTATGAGCCAATTCTCCCTAATAAATGCACTTTTATATATACATATATTCTATTGGTTGCATCTCTCTGGATACCTTGAGATGTAGCTTTTTTAATGTTTAGATATGTTTAGATATACAAACACTTGCCATTGTATTACAATTGCCTACATTATTTAGTACAGTAACATGCTATACAAGTTTGTAGCCTAGGAACAGTAATACCATACAGCCCAGGTGTGTAGTAGGCTACACTATCTAGATGTTAAGTACAATCCATGATATTTGCACAGTGACAAAATTGCATAAAAACGTATTTCTCTGAATATAGTGATCATCATTAAGCAATGCATGAGTACAATTACTTATTTAATTATCTCAACATAACACACCCAATGCTATTAAGTGTGCCTTAGGCTGGTTGCAGTGGCGCACACCTGTAATCCTAGCACTTTGGGAGCCTGAGGCTGGTGGATCACCTGAGGTCAGGAGTTTGAGAACAGCCTGGCCAACATGGTGAAACCCTGTCCCTACTAAAAATACAAAAATTAGCTGGGCATGGTAGCGGTCGCCTGTAATCCCAGCTACTCCGGAAGTGAGGCAGGAGAATCGCTTGAACCCAGCAGGCGGAGGTTGCAGTGAGCTGAGATCTCGCCATTCCAATACAGCCTGGACGGCAAGAGTGAAACTCTGACAAAAAATAAAAATAAAAAAAAAATAAAAGCCTCAATTCCTTTTATATAAAAGAAAGAAAAATTTATTTCCCTTATTAAAACTCATTCATTTGTTTCTGCAACTATCTGCTCTCATCTCCTCTAGAGTGGAGGGGTGTCATAGAACTTACCTACCTTATTTTTGATTTACATCTTTAGTCTCTTTTGAACTGTAAGTTCTTTCACACATTTATCTATACACTTTATAACTCTTGGGATATGAACAAAGCAGACAGCCCCTCTAACCACTCTGAAAGTACTCACATTCTTTCTAAAATAAACAATTGCATGATATTCAAATCCATCAACTTAAAAAAATAAATGAAAACTTTATTTTTTACTTTACTGTCAACTTCTCAAATCTATGAGTGATTATTATCTTTTTTCTCCTTAAATAACATACTTTAACAATTTTTTTTCATGTTTTCATAATTATTGTACATAAGGTAAATAGTGAAAATAATCCTAATGTTACTGTTTAATATTTCCAATCCTTCAAGAGCCTTCAAGTATTTTAAATTTGCAAATTAACCAGAATTTTTCATCTTTTCATTCTTTAAAAGTTGATAGTATTTTATTTCATGTGCTCTTATGATATATATACTTTGGCCCCAAAAGTTTAGAAAATATATTAGAATAAAATTTTGTAGCCATGATCTAAATGTCACTATCTTATGTTAAAGTAAGTTTTCAAACAGAAAAGATGATTAATTTAAAAATAATTTTATTTTATTTTATTTTTTTATTTTTATTTTATTATTATTATACTTTATGTTTTAAGGTACATGTGCACAATGTGCAGGTTAGTTACATAAGTATACATGTGCCATGCTGGTGTGCTGCACCCATTAACTCGTCATTTAGCATTAGGTATATCTCCTAATGCTATCCCTCCCCGCTCCGCGCACCCCACAACAGTTCCCAGAATGTGATGTTACCCTTCCTGTGCCCATCTGTTCTCATTGTTCAATTCCCACCTATGAGTGAGAATATGCAGTGTTTGGTTTTTTGTTCTTGCGATAGTTTACTGAGAATGATGATTTCCAATTTCATCCATGTCCCTACAAAGGACATGAACTCATCATTTTTTATGGCTGCATAGTATTCCATGGTGTATATGTGCCACATTTTCTTAATCCAGTCTATCACTGATGGACATTTGGGTTGGTTCCAAGTCCTTGATATTGGGAATAGTGCCGCAATAAACATACGTGTGCATGTTTCTTTATAGCAGCAACATTTATAGTCCTTTGGGTATATACCCAGTAATGGGATGGCTGGGTCAAATGGTATTTCTAGTTCTAGATCCCTGAGGAATCACCACGCTGACTTCCACAATGGTTGAACTAGTTTACAGTCCCACCAACAGTGTAAAAGTGTTTCTATTTCTCCACATCCTCTCCAGCACCTGTTGTTTCCTGACTCTTTAATGATCGCCATTCTAACTGGTGTGAGATTGTATCTCATTGTGGTTTTGATTTGCATTTCTCTGATGGCCAATGATGGTGAGCATTTTTTCATGTGTTTTTTGGCTGCATAAATGTCTTCTTCTGAGAAGTGTCTGCTCATGTCCTTCGCCCACTTTTTGATGGGGTTGTTTGTTTTTTTTCTTGTAAATTTGTTTGAGTTCATTGTAGATTCTGGATATTAGCCCTTTGTCAGATGAGTAGGTTGTGAAAGTTTTCTCCCATTTTGTAGGTTGCCTGTTCACTCTGATGGTAGTTTCTTTTGCTGTGCAGAAGCTCTTTAGTTTAATTAGATCCCATTTGTCAATTTTGGCTTTTGTTGCCATTGCTTTTGATGTTTTAGAAATGAAGTCCTTGCCCATGCCTATGTCCTGAATGGTAATGCAGGGTAATTAGGGAAGAGAAGGAAATAAAGGTATTCAATTAGGAAAAGAGGAAGTCAAATTGTCCCTGTTTGCAGATGACATGACTGTATATCTAGAAAACCCCATTGTCCCAGCCCCAAATCTCCTTAAGCTGATAAGCAACTTCATCAAAGTCTCAGGATACAAAATCAATGTACAAAAATCACAAGCATTCTTATACACCAATAACAGACAAATAGAGAGCCAAATCATGAGTGAACTCCCATTCACAATTGCTTCAAAGAGAATAAAATACCTAGGAATCCAACTTACAAGTGAGGTGAAGGACCTTTTCAAGGAGAACTACAAACCACTGCTCAATGAAATGAAAGAGTATACAAACAAATGGAAGAACATTCCATGCTCATGGGTAGGAAGAATCGATATCGTGAAAATGGCCATACTGCCCAAGGTAATTTATAGATTCAATGCCATCCCCATCAAGCTACCAATGACTTTCTTCACAGAATTGGAAAAAACTACTTGAAAGTTCATATGGAACCAAAAAAGAGCCCGCGTCGCCAAGTCAATCCTAAGCCAAAATAACAAAGCTGGAGGCATCACACTACCTGACTTCAAACTATACTACAAGGCTACAGTAACCAAAACAGCATGGTACTGGTACCAAAACAGACATATAGATCAATGGAACAGAACAGAGCCCTCAGAAATAACGCCACATATCTACAGCTATCTGATATTTGACAAACCTGAGAAAAATAAGCAATGGGGAAAGGATTCCCTATTTAATAAATGGTGCTGCGAAAACTGGCTAGCAATATGTAGAAAGCTGAAACTGGATCCCTTCCTTACACCTTATACAAAAATTAATTCAAGATGGATTAAAGACTTAAACGTTAGACCTACAACCATAAAAACCCTAGAAAAATAATTTTAAATTGCTTCTGCAACTGATTTACCTCTTCAAAATGTACATGTAAAGTTTACAGACATACTTTATCTCTAAATATAACTGTACATATGGAATAAACAACACCAGAGTTGATGATATCACTATTCTATCTTCCCTTTATTCCTGGGTATGACAATGGCTTCTAACAGTTTTCTTTACTATTCAATTAAACTCCCACTATCATGCTACATATATTTTGCCATATTAGATATTTTTATAATATTATTTTCCAGCTATTATTTTCCCTTCAATGAATATTAATAGTTTCTTTCTGCATAAGTTGAAGTTAAAATTCTTCAGATTTGCATTCAAAGCTCTTCCCAATCTTATCTAACACTGCTTATCATTCCAAGCATATTTTCCACTATTTTCCCAATGTAGATTTTCTAATAGAATATAGTGTGTTTTGCTTATAATATCATAAATATACTATTCTCATTACAATTTCTGCAATATTTTGGTACTGTTACCCTCAAATTTCTAGTCATTCTTTACACATTTATATTTGTGTAAGTTTATTCTACCTTTCACCAAACATTCTTTGTATCATAGTCTGTGTTGGCTATTCTTCAAATAGTCCATATGAATAAAATGGCTTTTTCCCTCAAATATCTCATAGTCCACTAGAGAAGCCATATTCATATAGATAAGTGCAGTAGAGTTGACACTGCATACATAAAGGTAGGGGAAATATGGAATAAAGAAAGATTAAATCTCCATGCGGATGTAGAAACGTTCAGAGAAAACTAGCTGAACTGCAGATTCTTGGGCCCATCCTGAAGTATTGTGATGTTCCATGCTGGAGTTTCATAATTATTGCAACAAACTTAGAAAAAGTTTCCTGTTTTCTTAGACAAGAAATAGATGGCCTGGTACCTAGGATGTATTGCACACCATCACAAGTTCATACTGTAATGGCAGTCATACAAAGAGTTACATGCAAAATGCAAAATATAGATGAGACATGTATCAGCAATGTATAATGATATTTTGTTTGGAGTAGGATGAATCTCGAGAGTGGGTTGTAATAAAAAATGAACTAATTAATAGTGTTTTCAATACCAGTTTGTTAACTATTTAAAGAAATTTACAAAGTTGATAAAATTTGAAAAATAGTCTTGAAATCTTTGTTATTTGCCTTAATTTTCTAGATTTAGGGTGCTACTCTGTGTCTTACAGGGGATGGTAGAATTACATTTTAGGATGCTAAAATGTAATTTCATTTAGCTTTTAAATCGAGATAAAACCTAATGACAAACTGGCAAAACAATAGATTTTAGATAAAAACCTCTAACTAAGTTTTTGTAGAATAAGCATAATTTATTGCAGATTTTTTTAAAAAATCCCTACAGATTTCTACTGTCCTTGGAAATACAACCTGAGTTGTAAATTGATTCAATAATTTCCAAGTCAAGCAATAACAACCTGCCAATTGTTACAGATAGCCAAGATGTCCTACTCTTTATTTCTCAATTAAAATTATGTCTGTAATGTATTATCTCTATATTTGTTTTACAATTTTTCTCTTAAAATATGTTATCTATAGTTGGCAAAGTCTATCTGGAAATATTTTGGAAAAATCACTATGCTAGTGTACTCAAAGAAATGACTCTACTTTTTATACTGCAATGTCTACCATGGCAAATGGCTGCCATGCCACAGTGAGAAAAGACTGGCAGTAACATTATTTTAAATTTTTCCATAATGTCAAAACATAACATATTGTATTTCTCTACTTTAAGAGGCAATTAAATACTTTTGTGATAGGAATAATGACTTCATCATACTGATGATACTAACATCTACCATGCTGTAAAACATTTCAAAGTTTTGACAAATATTATTTTACTAGGTTTGTCCAGCAATCTTGCCAAATTTTTTTTTGTAAATCTCATCTTTAAAATTAAAGATACACACATGGAAGTTCAGCATCACAAATATAGATGCATATGGCCAATGACTGGTGAAGAAGCTCAGATCATTGCATATCTATTAAAAGTCAATTTGATAACACCTGGCTTCACTTGCTTGCATGTAGATGTAGCAATGAGGTCATTTCAGGGAGAAACTTCATAAGAAACTAAGGCCACTTTTTTCCTACAAATGCAGGAAGACCACTGCTTATGTTTCTATTGGAAATAGGGGCATCATTTAAATTAATGAAGGCACACAGTTATTAATTCCTGAATTTCAGAGTTTGCCATTTTGGGTGCTATTCATTAATATACACTCTTTTGTACATCAAATTTGCTTACTCATAATATTTTTCTCGTATTTTTTCCTATCCTCTGTTCAAAATATAAATGAAATCAAATTATATCCATAATTTTCACTAGTGTCTATTCTTTCATTGAACCATTCTCTTAGACTATGATTGCCTATGTGATATACTTTCTTGAATAAATATCATCTTCTCAATTTTACTGATATGAATAATTACACTATAAAATTTTCTCCCATAAAAGATCATGTAACATTTCCAAGTTCACTGCTTGAAATACGGACTGAGGAAAATGTGATTTTGGTAGACAATACCTATTATAATTGTTCATATTGCTAATTACCTGAAGATAAGTTTGAAAAGATAAACAGAGGCTTGAAAATGTAAATCATTGTTTGGCTTGCTAAAAAGGTTGAACTTCATACTATAAACACTGAAGATCAATGAACAGGTTTAACGAAAACAGCAGAATATGACATAATCATATTAATACAGTTGTATTAATCCAATTGGTTCACATATCTTTGACACGATTTGGGCAAAGATGAACACTGATTTAGAGAGGGCGAGAGTGGACAGCAGAAAAAAACACCATACATACTAGTTAATTTTAAAGATAATAATATTTTGATATGGGATAACAACAGTATGAGTAAAGAGGGAGAAACAGTGTTGGAAAGGTAAAACTTTTCTTCTAGCCTCTTAGGGTCTCTGGCTGGGCTTGAGAATTAAATCAACATAAAACAAGCTAACAGGAAATAACACACAATTTTAATATTTACATGTAAATGAGAGCCTTCACAGGAAAAAAAGAAGATCTAAAAAGCACTTTGGCCTATGTGCTTATGTACTAGGATGAACAAAGATGAATAATTGTAAAAGTACCTAAAATATACGGGGAGGCTAAAGGAAGATAAAGGTTATTTTAACAATATTTGTTTGTACAGATTTCTCTCAGCCTTGATTTTCCCATTCTGGTGGTAATATTATTTTCCTCTTGGGAGAGGGAGGGCGTCTTTCAAAGGGGAGTTTTATTTCTTGCTTTCAGGAAGAAAGGGTGTAGTCAGAGCACCTTTCTTGAGTCTGCTGTTTGTCAGCTGCCTTTAACACAAAATAATTCTTATGCCAAAGTGGCAGACTTTAAGGTACATATTCTATCCTTCCACAGTTTGCTGAGACCTTAAAGAAGATGAATGGATTATTGGGATTGAGGGTTGAGAGACTGTGTGGAGTGCAGCATGGCACAGTTTGGAGTTTCACTGTGCTGGAT
Organism: Homo sapiens; assembly: GCF_000001405.40. Classification (NCBI taxonomy): domain Eukaryota; kingdom Metazoa; phylum Chordata; class Mammalia; order Primates; family Hominidae; genus Homo; species Homo sapiens. The sequence goes on along the minus strand of NC_000001.11, from coordinate 102,697,539 downwards.
ATAGCATATGTTGAGTTTGGGATACCAGTAAAACATCTAATGAAGATATCTAGTAAAGAGACAGATATATGTGTTCAAGGTCAAGTCAGAGATCAGAGCTAGGATTTTAGAAGGACCAATAATTAACATATGGCTTCTAGCTCTCTTGTTGAGATCAAGGAATTGCTGTTTTCTACAGACAAAATATAAACAATAAAAATTGTAAATATAAGGACAGTATATTATAAAAGCATACCTACAAATAGTCATTTGCCTTGGGCAATTCAGTTACTTAAGCTATTTAGTTTCATATTAAATAAATCAAAATTATGAAAGGGACAAAAGTACCTACTTATAAATTAGATTAGCAAACATCCATTTAATTGGCCATTTTGTTTTATAAAGTAGGTTTGTTTGGTGCTCTTGGACTCACATGAATATTTCATGATGTTGCATGTATTTATACATCTGTGTATTTGATTTATTCATTTACTGCTGCAATTATGGCTCTCTTTTAAATGAACCCGTCCATGGGTTTTAATTTTTTCAGGTTTGAATGATGGAGGTAAAATTTAACAAACAGTTTGTAACAAGCTAGACTCAAAATCACTCTTTCTTTTAATAATAATAATTCCTCCTTGACCAATACAATGCTCCTCACTGTTCTCTTGGACTAGGATGAGTTTCAATCAAAGATACTATTCAGTCACTCCTACATAATAGGGTACACTCAGGTTTTCTGCAACAATTTTCAATAGTTTTAGGTGGGTAATAAGTATGTAGTGCTCTATCCATGATTTATGTTCCTTTTCCATGGAGTAAAGTTGTTGGTTGGCAATGGCTTCCATGATGTGACTACATTTCCCATCCACTTTTGCTTCTGAGTGGGGCAGAGGTGTATGGGCATATGTTATGATGAACACTTCCAGGCTGAATAAACCTTTAATTCTGTCATTCACACACTTTATCTTTCCCATCTACTGGCTGGATATTGATCACTTGGGTGAGCTTAGAAGCCACAGACTGAATATGACGAGAGACTCCATTAGCCTGAGTCATGGATGGCTGCACAGAGCAGAGCTTCCATTTACTTTTCCAGGGTGATAAATAAATTTCCATTTTCTTTAACTACTGACATTTCATGATCAACTTGTTAGAGAAGCTATTTGGCTATTTTAACTTATATAATACAACAGAGCATTCTGAACCACAGTCTGTACCTAGCTTAGGCCCTTAAGTTCAGTCTTCTTGTATTAAAGATATCCTCAGACCCAGTCATTGAGAAAACACCAGTCTAATTCTGTTTGCAAATCCGGATTCCTTAGCATCAGAGTTAAAAGTTTCTTTTAAAGAAATATGGAGGGAGAAGAAAAGAGGTTCTTTGGGAGCAGACTCTGTAGTTAGTTCTCTAAAGGTCATATCACTTATCTCCTGTAGAAACTCTGAGATATTCCTCAGTAACTCAAATAAAATAAAAGCTATTTTAAAGATAAAGAAACTGAACATCAGGCTGTTTTGCTGAAAGTCACATAGCTATTGTCAGAGTTGAATTTTGTACCTAGAATTGTACAACCCACGATGTTCTTTCAATTATATCACACTGATTTTTAACAGATGTAACTCTACATTTCTATTTGTCTGGACAGCTCTACTACTTCTTAAAGAGACAAAAGTAACTGCAGAAATTCATTCTTCAACAAATATAAGCTCAGAGCAAATATTTCAATGTATAAATGATGATCATTCAAGGAGACTATAACCCATAGGAGCAACCGTATATAGCAGTGTAGTTTATTTGAAAAAATGTGTGTTTCTGTAAGATGCAGCCATGCCTGCAATTTTGCTATTATGTATACTTGTTGGCTACAAGTTTCAAAGGTTTAGAAAAGAGCAATCCCATTTGTATTACTGTAGCTGCACATATCAATAAAAAGTCTCCCTGAAGATAATATAAAAGCTAGTGAAGATTGAAAAACCCTCTCAGAAATACAGATAGAGTCATTTGGGGTCACCTGTATTGTCAGGGAAAATATAAATGTATTTGAATGCACTGAATCTGAGAGCACTTATAAAATAAATGGTAGGAATATAAATTTGGGGCAAAAGGGTCATTGTATCACTGAAATAGATAATCTAGACCTGCTTTTTGTTATACCCTTTGTGATATTATAATGGTTGAGAATAATTCGAAAGTAGCCTTATTTGGTATTGAAGATGGTTAGTGGAGCACATTTTATTTCACAACAAAGCAGACATACAGTCTTAAAAATTCACCCTCGTCTCTACTAAAAATACAAAAGTTTAGCTGGGCCTGGTGGCGGGCGCCTGTAGTCCCAGCTACTCAGAGAGGCTGAGGCAGGAGAATGGCGTGAACCCGGGAGGCGGAGCTTGCAGTGAGCCGAGATTGTGCCACAGCATTCCAGCCTGGGCAAAAGTGTGAGAATCCATCTAAAAAAAAAAAAAAAAGAAAAGAAAGAAAGAAAAAGTCACATATCTGAAACTGAGCTATTCAATAACATACTGGTATGTCCCCTAAGAGGGAAGAAATATATAAGAGATGGCCTCTGGGTCCTTGAGGAAGACATTCCTGGGTTTTAATATGGGCAAAAGACTTTTAAAATAAATTTATATTATTTCAAAGGGGCAGAAACAGAATTTACAAACCAAGTTTTCTAAAGAAAATGCTCTATAAAAAGGGAGGTCAGGGTGTAGAGTCAGAAAGGAACCTATCTAAAGTTTAGTCAAGGTGAGTTAACATTAAATCTATTTTGGTCACCTCAATCTTACCCTTGCTTCTAAGTTCAGATTAAGTCACCTTGTTCATGACACCAAAATACTATTATGGTGTTTCTTCTTCAAAATGTAAAAGCCATAATAAATATCTTTACCTGTTAAACATAAAATTCATTTGATTTAGAAAATCTAGTAAAATGGACAGAAAACCTTATATGCATTTTTAAAAATGAGTCTGGATTTAGGTCAGGATAAATTTATTCCAAAAGATGATTACAATAAAGATGAACAATTGTAATGGTGAGAATGCTCTGATAGCAAGATTTACAAGTATCTCGAGGGGTAGACAGAAAAGGTAAAGAAAGTAATGCTGGAAAAACAGGGTATAGGGGAATAGGATGAGGAGATGGTGTAATAGGATGGCCAGCAAAAAATGGGGTTTGTTCTACACTCCAAAGGCTACTGAAGCTCCCGATGCCTCCTTAAAATTAAGAGTGGACACTTTTCATTCTTTAAATGTGGACATTCAGTTTTTCCAACACCATTTATTGAAGAGATTATCTTTACTCTATTGTGTGTTGTTAGTGGCTCTGTTGAATATTAGTTGACCATATGTGCTTGGATGTATTTCTGGGCTCTGTATCCTGTTCCACTTTTCTGTGTGTCTATTTTTATCCTAATTCGGTATTGTTTTGATTAATGTAGCTTTGTAATATAATTTGAAGTCAGGAAGTGTGATGCCTCCAATTTTTTTCTTTCTCAAGATTATTTAAGCTACTTGGTTTCTTTTATGTATATGTATATCAAAATGTCATACTGTAAACCTTAAATATATGCAATTAAAAACAACAACAACAACCAAAGTAGCTAAAGTTCAGTGTGGAGGAAGGAGAGAAATCTGCATGAAACTTGCACTAGTTACAGTTAGAGGACATTTTGTCCAGATTTATCAGGATGAACAAAGAATTCAGCCAATAATATATGACACAGAACAAGAATATCAAGTGTCTATGTATGGCCTTTTTATAGGTAAATAAGCCAGTCATTTGCAAGTATTATCTAAATCAAATAGGGAAAATTGGTTCTTTGCAATAACTTATTTCTTAGGACACAAAATGGTGGCAAGGTGCATTAGGCCATTCTCATGCTGGTATGAAGAAATACCTTATAAAGGAAAGGTTTAATTGACTCACAGTTTCACAGGAGTGGGGAGGCCTCAGGAAACTTACAATTATGGCAGAAGGGGAAGCAAACATGTCCTTTGTCACATGGCAACAGGAAGGAGAAGAATGTGAGTCAAGCAAAAGGGGAAGCCACTGATAAAACCATCAGACCTCAGGAGAGCTTACTATCAGGAGAATACCATGGGGGAAACCTGCCCCATGATTCAATTATCTGCAACCAGGCCCCTCCCATAACACACGGGGATTATGGGAACTACAATTCAAGATGAGATTTGGGTGGGGACACAGCCAAACCATGTCACAAGGTTTCTCAACCATAGTTGTTTTCCAGGGGCACAGGCTCAGATAAATTTCAGCATTTTAATATTAAAGTCCTAGCCATAAGAATATAATAAAATTTGCCATTTGGTATTTGAATTCACAAATTAATCAAGAAAATTAAATCTATAAAAAATTATCCCGCCTCCATACATGTTAAAAGTAAATAAACCAATAAATATAATTCCTACTTCTAATACTACAACCTTGGAGAAACTAAAAAAAAATGATCATTAGGACTCCTTCCAAAGAACAATACCTGTATTGGAACCTAAACATGTCTAAGTCCTAGAACATTTGGAGGTGGAATTGCATTGATCTAGTTTAAGTGAGGCTCTGAATTCCAAACAATTTTCAAATTTTCCTCTACCTTAAAAGCAGCTACGGGACCTGATAGGGATAGGAAAACTGAATTATAATGCGAGGTGGAGCCTTTAAGATCACTTCTGACAGCATCCATCTTCAAATGCTTAAATTTCCATAAAATATTATTTCTATTTATGTCTTTCATACCACCTAGCATTCCCCTAAACATTCTTCTTTGTCTTTAACCCATGGTAAAACTGTCTTTATCCCAAACCATAGCACCAACAAAATTTTAGTTCATTATCAGGTAAGGAATGCTTGTTGTTAGTTGTGTAATTGTTCTTAAATATCTTTAATTCTTGCATCTTTATATTAATTTTTATATGTTTGTGCAATGCTTTGCTTATTAGGTTTGAAATTCCTTGAATACAAGGGTTTCTTTTTAACTCTTTTTCAAAGGTCAATATAGTGATTTGACAATTGTAAATTGGGAACGTATTTATTTTCTAGTTCTTATATATTTATTTTTTGAAAATTTGCTTCATTCATATTACATTTTTAGATTTTCTGATATTTTATCAATTTATAAACTATATTATTTATAAGCATGAATTATTCAAAGGAATAGGACACTAAATTTTATTTAATTCAATTATCTCATTTTATTGATGAGGAATTGGAGGTGCAGAGATCAAGCCTTTACCTAAGTAACTAGCTTGTTGGCATATAATAAAAAATTTTTATGGTTACTTAATATAAATATTATGTTTCATCATTCTTCAGATACTCAAAGAAATTTATGACTCTTCTGGTGGTTAAGGAGTATTGACCTAGATAATTTCTGAGGACTTTCATAATAACATGATTAACCACAAGTGCTATATTTCTCTATTATATAAGTGAAGTAACAAGATAACTTTAAGTAATTCAAAATTTAAGTATTCAGGTAGCCTAGTTCAAAGTCTCTGGAAACATTGAATTTTAAAATGTATATTTATATTCTATCTTTAATGAAATCATTGTTACATAATATATATTTCTGCACAGACCAAAGTGCTTTAAAATGATAAGACAGAAAGGAATTTTTGCAGGATCCAGTCCTTTGTGCCACAGATAACCTGATGTAATCTTAGTCACAAGAGATGCCAGACAAATTCTTTTGCATCAGTAGGATACAGGAATAATTTGAGAACTCGTGCAAGCACAGGAAGACATATTTCTTTTCAGAGGAGCATAGAGACATAATTAGATATTTGCATGTAACATTGAACCCTTAAGTATGTTTTTAACCCAATTACTTAAAATTATCTAAACTGCTTATTCCACCACAAATAAGTATAGTCTTTGTTTTCAAAGAGCTTACAATTTAATCTTCTAATCAAACTTGTGAATGAATAATTATATTACTGGGTAAAATAAAATTAAGTAAGAAATATAAGTATATACACACAATTTGTACATTAAACAAACAGTTCCGTGGAATAAGCAGTTCAGAAAATATTATCAAACTGAAAATAAAAATGGCAAGATTTGACATTATTTGCTTCTATCCAGAGACATTCTTTATCAACATGAAACATTTGAGGAAAAAAAAGAAACAAGGAAACAAAAACAACAAATATCTCTACAGCACAGAATCTCTTAATCAATAGTCTAACCTCTTAATTATAAAATTTTAAGGACAACACAGATTAGTGGTTCTTTAAGCATTTTGAGTTTTTAGATTGTGTGTTTGTGTGTGTGTCTGTGTGTGTGTGTAGAACTTCATTAGAAAAATATGTACATTAAGAAAAGAATTTGCACACAATTATTGCTATTCTTCATTAATTCCAATGAATGTTAGATTAATAACCACTCAAATAGCCTGGATAAATTATTTAAATTTTCTGAGGTTAGTTCAGTTTTCTATAAACACTGGACTAGATTAAGAAAGTCTAATTTGGAATGCAGGACAAAAACCCACTTTTCTTTGGCGTTTTAATAACAAACTTCCTTGTGATCTTTATTCTTTAAGAATAAGGTTCTAGTGAGACTTTAGTACAGGGTTAAAAGAAGATTATCTTTAATTCCACCTTTAAGTTAAAGTCACAATTAATTTTTTCAGCTGAGCATTGTGAGATATAAAGTTGAAAATTTGCAGTCTTTGTTTTCAAAGAGCTTAGATATAATCTTAGAATCAAATATGTGAATAATTATATTACTGGCTAAAATGAAATTAAGTAAGAAAAATAAGTATATTCCATATGATATGGAATCATAAAAGAGTGAATACTTTTGCTAGGTATTTTGTAAATAATTAATAATGAAGGTAGTAAGAACATTAGTTATTGAAACACATTCATAATATATTGTTGGGTGAAAAGGCAGGTTAAAACAGTGTATGGGATGCAGAACATAATATTTATAAAGAATTAATATATGACTCAGTATTTAAAAAAAAAATTTCATGAGAGCCCAAAACAAAATGCTCACAATGGTTATTCTCAAATCAAATAATGGATTATTGTTATCTTATTTCTTGTTATGTGTATTTGTAATTGCCTAGAATGTATATTTTTATTTGTGTATATGTATATATAACTTTATTAAAAAATTCATAAATCCCATATTTTAAAAAAAGTAGACTCATACATTCAGCACTAAAGAAAAACAGTTCCAAGGTTGTGTTTAAGGATGTGAAGAAGATTAGAAAATGCCCACCCTAAAATATGCCACTTTGGCTTAAGGATTATTTTGAGCCAAAGGCAATTGAGAAGCATTAGACACAGGAAGAACTCACTGCCCTTCCTCTTTTTGCCTAAAAATGTGGAATAATTTTCGCTTGGTGAAGTTGAGTTGAATTTCCATTTGTAAATGTGTTACCCTCTTCGTTAATAGGAAAGTAGCAACCTTGTTAAACAACCTTTATGTATCATATGTTTCCTAGTCATCTTTACACAGTTTACTAACCTGAGGAGCCAAGGCCCTTTTCATTGTCTAGTCATGTCTCCATATACAACTGCTCTTCCTTTGATAGCTCTTTTCATTGATCACCAATTTATCCCCCTTTTGGGTTTTCACTTCTTTTCTATGAACTCCCCATGCATGTAAAAATATTAAATCAAATAAAATTTGTATGCTTTTTCTACTGTTAATCTATGTTTTATCAGTTTAATTAGTAGGACTGAGCTACAGAATCTAAGAGGGTAGAGAAAAAGTTTTCCCCTCCCCTACAAGTGCTTTCAGAAATGAACCTTAATCCATAACTTGCACTATATACAAAAATTCACTTAAGATATGCCATAAACGGAGCACAGTGGCTCACGCCTATAATCCCAGCACTTTGGTAGGCCAAGGTGGGCCTGAGGTCAGGAGTTAGAGAGCAGCCTGACCAATATGGTGAAACCCCATCTCTGGTAAAAATACAAAAATTAGCCGAGCATGGTGGTGGGTGCCTGTCGTCCCAGCTACTCGGGAGGCTGAGACAGGAGAATTGCTTAAACTTGGGAGGTGGAGGTTGCAGTGAGCCAAGATCGTGCCACTGCACTCCAGGCTGGGTGACAGAGCAAGACTCCATCTCAAAAATAAAATAAAATAAAATAAAAAAAAAAGATGTGCCATAGATCTCCATGTAAAACAGAGAACTTGAAAATTTCTAGCAGAAAACATAGAAGAAAATCCTTATGACCTTAGGTTAGGAAAGGATTCCTACATATATTACATCAAAAGCATTGTTCATTATAAAAGTTAAATCAAATTTTCCCAATATTAAAAGAAATCCTGTCATCAAAAAAGTTGGTTTAAAAGAATAAAAATACATGCAACAGACTGGGGTAAAATATTGTCAAAAAAACATATTTTGTGTGAATTTTTATCGAGATTATATAAAGACATCTTAAAAATCAATTTTTTTAAAATTAAAACACCAGTTTAAAAAATACAGAAAAATTTTAAACAGACACTTTATCAAAGAATATATGCTGGTCGTAAGTAAGCACAGAAAAAGGTACTCAGCACTATTTGTTGCTAGGAAAATGGAAATTAAAAACACAATAAGCTGTATTCCACATCTATTGGAATAGTAAACTGTCAACACCAGATTCAGGGGAGGATGTGAAGCAACTAAGCCTACCATAGATTTCTGGTGGGAATATAACATGGTACAACTACTCTGAAGACATTTTGGTAATTTTCTAAAAAGTTAGATATACAGTTACTATATGACAAAACATTGTGCCCCTAGGTATTTACCCAAGATGTGTAATTGTTCAACCAGGCTCCTCTTGCCTGCTACCCTGAAAAAGTCCTATACACTGAGAATAGCAGGTGTTGCAGCAGGGAAAGAGTTTACAGGGTCAGGTAAGCAAGAACAGGAGATGGTTCTCAAATCCTCCTCTCCAAGAATTTGAAGGCTAGGTTTTTTAAGAGTGATTTGGTGGGCAAGGGGCTAGGGAATGAGAAATGCAGGTTGGTTGGGTCAGGGATAAAATCACGGGGGTATCAGAACTGTCTTCACACAACTGAGTCACTTCCTAGGGGAGGGAAGTCACAAGTCCAAGTGGTATCTCTTGGTCTGCTGAAATGCTAAATCTGAAAAAATCTTAAAGACCAGTTCTTTACATTTCACTATAGTGATGTTATCTATAGGAGCGGTTGGGGAAGTTATAAATCTTGTGATCTTTCATCACATGACGCTCAAGTAGTAGGCACTAGAGAAAAGCAAGCTAAGCAAGTAAAGGCAATTTATTGTTTATGCCTGTTTTCAGCAAAGTCCAGATCCCTGTCATAATTCTAACCTTGTTTTATGAATGAGGCTCCAATCTCCAAGCAAGGACGGGAGTCAGTTTTCTTTGCCTCAAGTTTTAACTATAAACTAAACTCCTTTCATAGTTATCTTGGCCTGTGGACTAGAATAAGAAACAAAACAAAACAAAACAAAACAAAACAAAGAATAATGTAGCCTGTGAGGTGGGAAGCAAGATGGAGTCAATCGTGTTACATTTCTCTCATTACCAAGCATTTTGCAAAGGCTATTTTAGATGGATAAAACCTAGAATGCCAATATTTATAGCAGCTTTGCTAATAACTACCAAAACCAACAATTAAGTCATATGTCCTTCTACTGGAGAATGAACAAACAATAACTAGTATATCCGTTCAATGGAATAGTACTCAGCAATACAAGTACTGAACTGTTCATACAAGCAATAACGTGAATGAATATTGCATTTGCTAGTTAAAATATTGTTTTAAACTTTTAATTTTAAACTTTTAATTTTAAAAATCTTTTAAATTCAGATTTAAAAGACTGAATATTGTATAATTCAATTTATAGAACTCTCTGTAACAGGCAAAACTATAGAAATAAATTATCAGTGCTTACAGTTAAAAAAATTCAATGTTTGTTAAATGGTAAGAAAGACTATTTGGGATTATTGCAACAGGTGTCAAGACTATCGCAGTGGGGGAGAGTGACACGGCTCAACTCCAAAAACAGAAAGGAAAAGGGGATATTTATAGACAAGGAGCAGATTGACAGTGGTGATTGGTGGGGGAGGGTTGTCAGTGGAAAATTACTTTAAAAAGACATCAAAGGTAGAGAAATTATTTTAAAATGACTTACCAGTACTCTTGTGGAAGGCAGTGCAGGTTGATCCAATGTAAAGGGCAAGAGGCTTTTTTCTAAAAATGACTTAGCAAGATTCTTGCTAAAAAAGGAAAACGAACATTTTTTCTACACTTACACGTTTCTGATACCAAATGTGTGTATTTTACACACCAAGCAATTCTCCAGGTCTCTGAAAACACCAACTGGCTGTTCTCCAATTTTATGCAATTCTAACACTAACCTCCTGGAGTTAGCAGAGATCCCACAGGTTAAGAACTCAGTTCATCAAGATTGCCTCCCAGCACACCTTCAGGTGTCAGTTGTAAATAGTGGGTCTCCAAGTTACTAATATTCTGTCCAACTTGGCTACAAATCAGGAATTCCCATAATTCACTCCTTAGGCTCACAATTTGCTATAATAGTTCACAAAACTCAGAGAAATATTTACTTACGCTTACCAACATATTAAAGAATATAAGGAATGCAAACAAACAACGAGGGGAAAGGACACATAGAATTTGGCCTGAAGAGTTCCCAGCACAGGAATTTCTGTTATGTGGAGTTGGGGTGCTTTAACCTTCCACCATGTGGATCTGTTCACTGACCCAGAAGCCCTCTGAATCCCATGCTTTGGAAATTTTTGTAGGCTTTATAACATAGAAATAATTGATTCATAGCACAATCTCCAGCTCCTCTCCCGTCCCCAAAGGATAGGGTGTGGAAATATAAATTCTAAGCGTCTAATTGTTTTTTGGTGACCAGCTTCCATCCAGAAGCCTGTTAAGAGTCCTTCCATTAAAACATAAGATGTTCCAATCACCAAGGAAATTCCACAGGATTTAGGAGGAAGCTATGCATCCAAACATTTTGCATTCTGTAATCCTGCAGAATTATCTCCACATGAATGCCACCAAGACTTACAGCTTATGTCTTCCAGAGTAACATGTCCAGTTGCACTTGAGTCTGCTTGAAATGTAATGAGGTGGCCAAACAGCCCTGTGCTGTAATGTGGTGAGGAGAGCCCTGAGCCAGCTGTGGACAGTGAATCCATGCCCTGGGCCTGGCCCCGGAAACCATTCTGCCCTGCTAGAGCTAAGGGCCTGTGATGGAGAGGTAGCCTTAAAGATCTCTGAAACACCTCTAGGATTATTCTACTATTGTTTTGATCCTTTCTGTCTCTACTAATCTCCTTAGCAAATGGGCGCTTGGCCACACCCTTGGTTTGCTCTCCAAAACTCACTGTTTTACATTTTACATGGTCATGATGTAAATTTTCCAAACCTCTACTATTTCTTTTTTAACTATAAATTCCACCGTTAAGTCATTTATTCCTTCTAATATATTACCATATGTAGTTAAAAGTAGCCATACAACTGCCTAAATGCTTTGTTCCTTAGACATTTCTTCTGCTAGATATCGTAGTTCATTGCTCTTACGTTCTGCAGTCCATAAAGTCCTTGGGCAAGAACACAATTCAGCCAAGTTCTTTGCCACTTTATAACAAGGATGGCCTTTATTCCAGTTTCCAAAGTCTTGTTCTTCATTTCTGTCTGAGAACTAATCAGGATGATCTTTACCATCCATATTTCTACCAACATTCTGGTCACTACTTAAGTAATCTCTAAGAAGTTCTAGACTTTTCCTGTATTTCTTCTCTTTTTCTGAACCCTCAACCAGAAGTGGCCCTAATGCTCCATTCATGGCAATCTAGGCTTTCTCTAGCCTGCTCCTCCAAATTCTTCCAGTCTCTACCCACTACCCAGTTCCAAAGCTGCTTCCGCATTTTCAGGTATTTGTTATAGCAACAGCCCCACTCCTTGTTACCAATTTTTTATCATATTCCACTTTCTTCTGTTCTAACAGAATACTACAGGCAGGGTAATGTATAAATAAATGTATTTCTTCTGGTTCTAAAGGTTGGGAAGTCCAATATCAAGGTGCTAGCATTTGGCAAGGGCCTTCATGCTGTATTACCCCATGGTGAAAAGAGCAAGAGAGCATGTGTGAGAACAAGAGAGGATAATGGACAAACTTTTTTTTCATCCAAAACTCACTCCTGTGATAACTAACCCACTCTTTCCATGAAGGCATTAATGAAGGCATGCAGGCAGAATTCGAATGACCTTCTCACCTTTTAAAATTATCACCTCATAATAGTCACAATGGCAATTACATTTTTAGATGAGCTTTGGAGGGGACATTCTAACCAAAGCAGTTAAATTTTGTATGAGTCCAGCTATATGGCATTCTGGAAAAGACAAAACTATATAAACAGTAAAAAGTACAGTGGTTGCCAAGGATTTTGAGATGGAAGAGTGTTGAGTAGGCAGAGCACAGAGGATTTTGGGGGCAGTGAAAATACTTTGTATAACACTGTACTTATGGATACATGTCATTACACATTTGTTCAAATCCATGAAATGTACAACATTAACAATGAGCCCTTATGTAAACTATGAACTTTGGGTGATTCCAGTGTACCAATGTAGGTTTAGCAATTGCAAAAAATGGACCACTCTTGTGGGGAATGTTTCTAATGAAGTGGGTGTCTTAGTCCATTTCAATTGCTGAAAGACAGTGTCATATACTAGGTGACTTATAAACAGAAATGTATTTCTCACTTCTTGATTCATAGATGACTATCATTTTGCTCACATGGTGGAAGAAGCAGGGGACCTCTCTGTGGTTTCTTTTATAAGGGCACTAATTTCATTAATGAGAGCTTGGCTCTCGCAACCTAACCATCTTTCAAAGGCCCAACCTCCTAATACCATCCCCTTGGGGGGTTACCATTTTAACATATGAGTTCAGGGGTTAGACACAAAGATTCAGTAGATTGCAGGAAGCTATGCATGTGTAGGAAGAGGGACTAAATGGGAAATATTTGTACCTTTTGCTCAATTTTACTTTAAATCTAAAACTGCTTTAAAAATTAATCTTGAAAGAACAAAAAATATTGAAAATTAAAGTACCACGTAAATAGAGTATAACTAATGGTTGGACGATAAATTATCATATATATTGTAAGAGGGGATTTGAAAATGCTCCTGGAAATTGTACTGGATAATGTGAGTCTCTTCCACACTCAAGTTTCAAGATTTTAAAATCTTTCAATCGAAGTAAAGAAATGAATACATGCTGCTGGTTTATCAAATCCTCTCCAGTGGAGAGGAAACACAGCAGATAGAAAATCACGGAAGAAAACAGAGAATAAAAATAAGCTCAGATAATATTCCACTGCATGGTACCACATTTTCTTTATTCATTTACCTGTCAATGAACATTTAGGTTGTTTCCACATTTTAGCTATGGTTAATAGTGTTGCAATGTACATGGGAGTGCTACTATCTCCTTGAGATACTGATTTTAATTATTTTAAATACCCAGAAGTAAGATTGTCAGATCATATGGTAATTCAATTTGTTAATTTTTTGAGAATCCTTCCTTTTATTTTGGTTCAAAAATATTATGTGAACTAGGAAAGAAGAAAGGAGAAACAAAATTTAAGCATTTTAGTGCCCTATTTCCTGGGAGAAGTTTGCAAAAACCACCTTTTTACTGGGAGAAGAGTATAACAATAACACATTTCTTTTACCCTGGAGTTACTGCTTATCGTTTGATTCACTTATCTTATTTTCAATGTTATAATAAACAAAAAGCTATGAATACATGGTAATACATGGTAAAATATCAATGAAATTATTAGAATAACCAATTTAGGTTTGACATTTTTATCCTCAACAAATTAACCAATTATCTGAATAAGAAATATTTGATAAGTGAATTTGATTTATAAATTGAGTTTAAAATATTTAACTCAATTGTGAACAAAATATAATTCAGTAGAGCATTATCAGAAGCTTCACTCTTATGATTCCTAAACACAATGATGAATTGTCACTTATCATCTAATCTTGTGATTGTTTTTGTATCATACCAACACTTTTTAATGTAAACAGATATTGATGTAATCTCCCTTCTTAATGACTTTTTATAATTAGAGGCATCATATTATTCCTGACAACTATTTCTTCCACTGAGGCATAATTGGGAATTTTTTCTTCTAGAAATCAGTGTTGATTTGCTGCCCCATCCTTTCATTATAGTTCACTGAACTGTGTTCTCAGTACTTCCTTCTCTATTTTTAATACTATACAACCCTCCCAACACACATTTTAAGGAGATAACACACTTGAGTTTTTATAGTCAATCAAAATATATTTCATATATCTAGCACAGTGCATAACATAGAATAAAATGCCATTTTAATAATGATTTTTTATCATGACAAAAAATATTCTGAATGACAGCTCGTGAAAAAAAAAAGTTATCCTCAAAGAGGAGGTTGTTGTTCTATTCTCACATGGTCAGTATTCTCTAACTTCCATCTATACCTCCTCAGAATCATGTTACAACTCCCGAAAACTTAGTGGCCTATAAGGGATATCAATAATATATAAAAAGAAACTTGTTTTTAGTAGGCATTGAGAACCAGATGCAGATATAGTAGAAACCAATTTCAAAACAGCTTATTTAATGTAAATTTAACATCACAAAATATTCACTATTCTTTAATGTAGCTAGATTTTATTAATATATGGATATTAAAGTTTATAGATTGAATTTAAATCTTTGCCATTATCTTTAATGATGGAAAAATAATAACATATAATTTCCAAAATTTCTTAAGACCCAAAATATTTTTAAATTATTTATTAATTTAAAGTAATCTAGCTTAGGCTATGATAGAGAACACCACCAACCAAAAAGATGGCCAGGTACAGTGGTGCATGCCTGTAATCCCAATACTTTGGGAGGCCAAGGCGAGTGAATCACTTGAGGTCAGGGGTTCGAGACCAGCCTGGCCAACATGCTCAAACCCCATCTCTACCAAAAAATACAAAAATTATCTGGGCATCGTGGCTCGTGCCTGTAATCTCAGATACTTTGGAGGCTGAGAAGAGAGAATCGCTGGAACCCAGGAGGCAGAGGTTGCAGTGAGCAGAGATCACGCCACTGCATTCCAGCCTGGGTGACAGAGTGAAACTGCGACTCAAAAAAAAAAAAAAAAATTAGCTTTCATTCAAAAGACTAAGAAGGCTGAGGATGTGTATAGATGGGTAGCCTATAATATATAATTGGTATTTCTGCCCTTCAAAGATACAAATTGAAAAAGAGAAAACCTTACCAAAAAACTCCAACTCTAAAATACAATAAATCCATGAAAAGAATTTGTTTTGAAGGTCTCCAACCAACTAAAAATATTTTTAAAGATGTTAGAATAATGGCTTTGAGTCATGCAAACCTATACATTTGTCAGAATTCATAGAACATATACTTTAAATTTGTGCATTTCATTGTATATAAATTTCACCTCAAAAACACAAAGAGAACTGTAAACAAATATTGAACTCTAGTCATTCATATGCATGCAGGAGTACTTAAGGGGAAGTGTACTGCTGTCTGCAATTTACTTTGAAATGGATATATTAATACAAAGCAAATCGATGGATGGAGAGAGGGATGAATGGATGGTCAGATACAGATTAAGTCAGGCAGAGTAAACATTAATGGGAGAATATAGGAGGTGTGTATAGTATATGGGTTTCTACTGTACAATCTTCCAAGTTTTCTGATGCTTGAAATTTTTGTAATGAAGTGTAGGGGAGAAAAGTACTCTAAAATACTGACAATTTTTGGAGCTGATTGATGAGTATATGGGAGTTCTTTATACTATTCTCTTTACATTTGTGTATATTTGAATATTTCCACAACAAAAAGTTAAAAACAAAACAAAAGACTAATTCCAGTTAGTTGAGGAGATAGGTCTAGATCCCTAAATTCTGATTCTTAGTCTCATATTCTTTAAATTTTACTTGTCAAGTGCTTTCATATATATTTTCAGGATAATTCTCTGAGTGTACCAGTATGCTATTATTAAACTAATTTTACCAAGGGAAACTTGAGACTTAGAACAACCCTGTGATTTTAGCAGGATCACACAGAAGGCACTGATTATGGGGATTTACCTCAGAAAATCTTCTAAGACATATCTGTTTCATGAAACTTAACATATTCAGGCTGAGTTCAGTAGCTCCCTTTGAGAGACTGAAGTGGGAGGACTGCTTGAGGTCAGAAGTTTGAGACTAACCTGGGTGACACAGCGAGACCTTGTCGGTACTAAAAACTAGCCAGGCATGGTGGTGTGTGCCAGGTATTCAAGAGGCAGAGGCAGGAGGACTGCTCAAGCCCAGGAGTTTAAGGCTGCAGTGAGCTATAATCATGCCACTGCACTCCAGCCTGGGCAACAGAGTGAGACCCTATCTCTAAAAAAAAAAATAAAAATAAAAATAAATAAATTAACATATTTATTTTTGCTGAGGCTTCTTTAGTACTTGTACCTCATCTTTCTGTATCAGTTTGAAGTAGGTCCATCTTTAATTTGCTAAAGAAGGAAAACTCTTCCTTTCCCCTCCTAGGCTTCCAGGGAACTAAACTGACAAAAGACAGGTTAACAGAAGAAAAGCCACACAATTTTTATTAATATTTGCATGCATGGGAGTTCACAGAAAAGAAGTAAAACTCAAAGAAGTGGTTACACTGGGGGGCCTTATCTACCTTTTCAACAAAGGAAAGAAGGTACAGTAAATTTTGAGGAAGTGATAAGGAAACATATGAGGGAACTAATGGAAGATAAGGGCTGGTTTATCTTAGGTTGGAGCAAAAGTAATTGCAGTTTTCACCATTACTTTTAATAATAGCCATTATTTTTAATGGCAAAACCCACAATTACTTTTGTACCAACCTGATGGTTTCATGCAAACTCATTGTGATGTTGATTCCTTGTTTTTGATGATTAGAGTTATTCTTCTCTTCCTGGTATTGAGAAAGCACCTTCCTCAACAGCAAATTACGCTCTGCCTTTATGCAGAGAAGAAGGCAAGCAGTTCTTTTTGCATCTGTTGGTTCTCAGTTGCTTTCAGCTCAAAATAATCTTTCTGCTAAGGTAACATATTTGGAGGTGGCATACTATGGACTTCTTCAATATAATATAAAACAAAGTCACAGTGACTTAAATACATAAAATTCATTATATAGTTACTGCTTGGATTTTATGGTGTTTCACATTTCAAAGACCCAATCCTTTCCATGCATCTGCCCTTAGCACTGACTTCCAACTGCAAGGGCACTCCAGGATCCAAGATGCCTCTCAGAATGTCAAACTTCACACCTGCATTACAGTCATCAGCAAGAAGGGAGGGAGAGTGAGCAAAAGACCCTTTTCAGCTAGCTATACCTCTTTTAGGGAGCATGTCTTGAAGTCTCACTCAACAATTTCAATTCATATTGAAAAAAAGAAGTTAACGTGCTGTCACTTACAGATAGATAAAGATGCAAGAGGCATTAGGAAAACAGTCTTGTAGCTGCTGGTATTGATACTCTAAAAATGAGGAACAGTTACCAAAAGGGAAAAGAAGGAAAGAAAGATAAGTAACTCTGCTGAACAATTTCTATTTGTCATTCCAATCTACTCCCCATCACCGTTCATTCTATTTTTTGTGTCCCCCTGGAAGACTGACTTACACAAACTGAATCATGAGCACATACTTACCCTCTGGTTGCCAATTAGATTTAGCCAGCAGGAGAAACTAGAAAATTGAAAGACGGAAGTAGAAAGTAGTAAGTGGTCCAGGTATTTATTCTCCATGCTCCCTTCCTGCCAGCCTGCTATTTATTGGTAACTGCATACAACTTTTTCAGATGACAGCTTCTACAGGGACACTTTTCCTATAGTTACAACTGCCTTCAGGCCTAGAATTGATCATAGCTCTCTGCACCACAGACTGAGTGGCTCAAAGAAGAGAAATTTATTTTCTCACAATTTGAGAGGCTAGAAGTCTGAGATTAAGGTGGTAGCAGTGTTGGTTGGTTTATTCTGAAGCCTCTCCTTGGCTTGCAGATGGCTGTCTTCTCCCTATGTCTTTGTCTTTACATGATCTTCCCTCTGTAACCACTGGTGTTCAGATTTCCTCTTCCTGTATGGTTTCCAGTCATATTGGAATAAGACCCACCCTGATAACCTCATTTTAATTTAATTACCTTTTAAAGACCCTATTGCAAATACAGCTACATTCTGAGGTCCTGGGAATTAGAGCATCAACTAATCTGATGCTCTAGCATTGACTAATCTGAATCTGGAAGAGGGATGTCACACAATTCAGCTTGTAACAAGTCCCTTTAATAATGTTTCCCCAATTACTTTTTGTGAGTGTTCCACCTGTTCTTGCTGGGATGTTGACTAACAATCTCCGTCTTAATAACAGTGTTTCTCAAACTGTAATGTGCATGCAAGTTGCTTGTGAATCCTGATAAAAATTCGTTCTGATTTAGTGGGGAGAAGTGTTAATATTTTGCATGCTTCCAAATGATGTCATTGTAATGCAGCTCATCATGAGTTGCAAAGCACTATGCTATTTCTTAAAATTTCCTAGCTGTTCCTATGAGTGATTACTCCACTCAGTTGGTCCTTTCTTACTTTGAACTAATCTGGCCTATTACCTTGAGGCCAATTGATGTTTTCCATTTTTCTGAATTTGTTTTAAATATCTCAACATGAAGATTTTTACATATTCATATAATGGAACAGTATTGCCTAACTTGGTGGAAAGGTGAGTTCTGGTTAACACTGTAGTTCAATGTAACATAGATAATATTTTGTTATTAGTGTCTTCCCAGAATAACATTTTAATGACTTTTCACTTCAATTTTTCTTAAGTTGTTTACATTAAAATGCATTGTTAGTCACAACACTATAAAATCTTTATGACTTAAACACATTGGCATTTCCTGGACTCTTCCTTTATTACAGCTCATTAGCACAAAAGTAAAATTAATTTAATTTGGGCTTTGAGATTACTATCAGTCAGTCCTCTGTTTCTTTCTAAATAACAACAGAGAAGAGGAATGCTGCTGCAAACCTTTATATATAGATGCTATATATTACATATAGCTGGATGCTATATATAATGTTAGCAGAACATACCTTTATATATAGATATGGGCAACTCTTTATACTCATTATCTTATAAATTTAATAATTATTGATTAAATAAATAGATGAATAGATAAAATACTGATTTATGGATTAAATGAGCAAGATGTATTTACAAGGTAGCTAAAAATAAAGGTGAACAAATACTTAAGAAACATCTAATTACATTGTTAAGGGTACTAAGAGGTTTTCTAAAGAGTTTATGTTTGATGGTATAATAAATGAAGTCATTCGATTTTTAGGTTAGAAGTACACACTTTCTGTGGGAGACCCTTTCCTCAGGCCATACCAGCTTGTATTAAAACATTGACAGAAAAATGGTAAAAATATGGTAAATTTTTCTTCAGCTATGCCAGCAGAATGCAGGGCCAGCATTCCCCGTACTCTCTGGCTAAAAGAAGCCTGAGTGTTTCTGCGTGCTCGTGAGAGTCGGCATCATAGTGTTTGCCAATCCCCCTATTATTTATTTACTCTTTAGACTCCTGATGCAACTTTTGCTATTTATCAAATGTTTGATAAATTCTATATTGACATCTCAGAGCTTTACTCTCATGGCTTTGAAGTGGTAGAATAGCACAATTACTGGAGAATTTACTGCTGCCTTAGGCTCTGACTCAATGAAGAAAATTATGATTAAAGAAAAATGAGTAGAAAAAGATAAAGCTTCAGGGAAATACCACTGTACAATATATACTGTCATTTTTCACACTTGCCAGGGATAGGTTACATCATCCAAAAGATAAAACAAAATTAGCTATATTAATCACATAATCTTCTGATTAAACTTACCATTTACTCTATGTAGGAATATATTTCAGGTCCTGAAAACAGAAAAATCCACGTCTCTGAAGCTTCTTACAATATGGAATTATATAAGGTGGTGAGTAGCATTATTATCTGTCCAAAAGAAGTTATTCAATGAATACACATTTATTTACATGTTATTTACTTAATTAGAATAAATATAAAAATATTTTAAATAATTTCTGTGTAGCCTAAAGATTTGTAAATGGTTCTGTAAAATCAATTTCACAAAGAAATAAAACATCTCAATTTTAAATATTTAGTGATCTTGCTCAACTGAAATTTAAAATTTAGAAGGTCTAGACAAGTAAATGAGTTGCAGTTCTTTCAGGCTTAACATCTCGTTACTGTGGGCTAAGGATATGGCTTCACAATTGCCGACATTTTCCCTAATGAGAGAAGCAGCTATTGTGAAAGTCACTAGTCTTAAGTCATACCAATAGATAAAAAAATAATTTGAGTGCAAGTATGCACAGTAGCATTCTTTTACTGTGGGAGGGGCAGACCTGCTCTGACAATTTTTACTGAAGTTTCATTTATTGAGAAAGACAATGTCTTAGTTGTTGAGAGGGAATACAACTATGAACATGCCATATCTGGAGGTTACATTAAGGTAAACATTTAATAGACATGATGAAGCATTTGTTCCCCTGAACTCAACAGTTTATTTTAAATTAAGTTACTTGGACTTTATAATATTGTTATATTCACATTAAAAATTATACTCACACCTTGATATGGTTTGGTTCTTTGTCCCCCATCAAATCTCTTGCAGCTCCCACAATTCCCAAGTGTTGTGGGATGGACCTGGTGAGAGATTACTGAATTATGGGGGCAAGTCTTTCCCATCCTTTTCTCATGACAGTGAATGGATCTCGGGGATCTGATGATTTTAAAAACAGAAGTTGCCCAGCATAAGCTCTCTTTTTGCCTGCTGCCATCCTTGTATGATGTGACTTGCTCCTCTTTGCATTCCACCATGATCCTGAGGCTTCCCCAGCCACGTAGAACTGTAAATCCAATTAAACTTATTATTATTTTTTTTTGTAAATTGCCCAGTCTTGGGTATGTCTTTGTCAGCATCATTAAAATGGACTAATACAGTAAATTGGTACTGGTAGTGGGGCGCTGCTGAAAAGATACCAGAAATTGTGGAAGCTACTTTGGAACTGGATAACAGGCAGAGGTTGGAACAGTTTACAGGGCTTAGAAGAAGACAAGAAAATGTGGGAAAGTTTGGAACTCCCTAGAGACTTGTTGAATGGCAACATTTTGCCCTTGACCTAGATATTTATGGAACTTTGAACTTGAGAGAGATGATTAAGGGTATCTGGTGGAAGAAATTTCTAACCAGCAAAGCATTCAAGATGTGACTTCAGTGCTGTTACAAACATTCAGTTTTAAAAGGGAAGCAGTGCATAAACGTTCAGAAAATTTCCAGAGATTTGCATAGGTAATCAGGACCCAAATGGTAAATCCCCATTTTGGGGATTACCATTCGTAAGCCCCATTTTCCCCAATGGGGAACATGTATCCAGGACATGTCAGAGGCTTCAGAGCCACCCCTCCCATCACAGACCCAGAGGCTGAGGAAGAAAAACGGTTTCGTGGGCCAGGCCCTGTGTTCCCATCTTGTGTGCAGTCTAGGGACTTAGTGCCCTATATCTCAACTGCTCCACCTATGACCAAAAGGGGCCAAGGTACAGCCCTAGCTGTTGCTTCAGAGGGTAGAAGCCCCAAGACTTGGCAGCTTCCACATGGTGTTGAGCTTGCAGGCACACAGAAGTCAATAACTGAGGTTTGGGAGCCTCCCCCTAGATTTCAGAAGATGTATGGAAATGCCTGGATGCCCACGCATTTGCTGCAAGGGCAAGGCCCTCACGGAGAACCTCTGCTAGGGCAGTGCAGAATGGAAATGTGGGGTCACAGCCCCCCCACGCAGTCCCTACTGGGGCACCACCTAGTGGAGCTGTGAGAAGAAGGCCACTGTACTCCAGAACCCAGAATGGTAGATCCACCAACAGCTTGCACCGTGAGCCTGGGAAAGCCACAGACACTCAATGCCAACCCGTGAAAACAGCCGAGAGGGGGGGTTTACCCTGCAAAGCCACAGGGGTGGAGCTGCCCAAGACCATGGGAACCCAATCCTTGCATCGATGTGATCCAGATGCAAGACATGGTGTCAAAGGAGATCATTTTGGAACTTTAAGATTTGACGGCCCTGCTGGATTTTGGACTTGCATAGGGCCTGTAGCCCCTTTGTTTTGGCGAATTTCTCCCATTTGGAATGGCTGTATTTACCCAATGCCTGTACCCACAATATATCTAGGAAGTAACTAACCTGCTTTTGATTTTACATGGTCATAGGCAGAAGGGACTTGCCTTGTCTCAGATGAGACTTTGGACTGTGGACTTTCGGGTTAATTCTGAAATGAGTTGAGACTTTGGTGGACTGTTGGGAAGGCATGACTGGTTTTGAAATGTGAAGATACGAGATTTGGGAGGGGCCAGGGGCAGAATGATATGGTTTGGCTCTGTGTCCCCACCCAAATCTCCTCTTGTAGCTTCCATAATTAACACGTGTTGTGGGAGGGACCTGGTGGGAGATTATTGAATTATGGGGTGGGTCTTTCCAGTGCTGTTCTCATGATAGTGAATAGGTCTCACAAAATTTGGGGGTTTTAAAAATGGGAGTTGCCCTGCACAAGCTCTCTTTTTGCCAGTCACCATCCATTGGGAAAGAGAACAAACTAAGAACAGTGAGGTTGGGAATTAAGGCATCAAGAGAAATCCTGGGATGATGAAGGCAACAGGGCAAAGCCTTTGGGGTTGTATATGTCTGTCTAAGTTTGAATTCTGACTTACTTGGACATGTAAAGAACTGTGTGATATGGAGTCATTTAACATTAAAGGTCCAGTTCTCCCATCTACAAAATGAGCATATTCATATCCAACTGGGTATGTGTAAGGATTAGCACAGAGTAGATGTGATAATATCAGCCAATAAACATTTAGGTTCATGGATTAGACATCACATAAGTTGTAGTAACATGACTGTCAAAGGCTAACAGCCAGTTTATCTGGAGAGACAGAGACATTATGACACAAAGCAACAGACAATATCAGATCAATAGAGTAGGATAAGGTAAAGTGATTCAAATTGAGCTAACAAAATTGTGTGACTGTCTTATTACAGGCCATGACAAAAATCCTGGGAATTCTAAACGTTAAACTCTTTGTAAATCCTTGTGAAAAGAAGATTGTCAATTGAAACTATAACTGCATATGTTTATGTATAGCTCCAGATAAAATAAAAACATATGTAGGTTCACATATTCATTAGGTAATAATAATTGTTAGTATCTATTTTTTGCTTACTGTGCCCTAGGGCAGTTCTTGAGGATTATATTTACATTGGCTTATCTAATCAACTCTTTCCCTTCTAACAAACTAGTGAGGTAAATATGATAAAATTCCCATTTTATGGCTGAAGAAATTGAGGCACAGGGCCAGGTGTGGTGGCTGACACCTGTAATCCCAACACTTTGGGAGGTCGAGGCGGACAGATCAAGAGCAGCCTGGCCAACATGCTGAAACCTCATCTCTACCAAAGATACAAAAAATTAGCCGGGCGTGGTGGCGTGTGCCTGTAATCCCAGCAACTCGGGATGCTGAGGCAGGAGAATTGCTTGAACCTGGGAGGTGGAGGTTGCAGTGAGCAGAGATAGTGCCATTGCATTCCAACCCAGGCGACAGGGGAAGACTCTGTCTCAAAAAAAAAGAGAAAGAAATCGAGGCACAGATAAGTTGACTGAGCCAGTATTTGAAACTAGCAACTTTAACCTTGGGCCCACTTTCTTGATTAAATCACTATTTCACTTCTCAAGAAAATTTTGCATATCAGTATCTCTAAACTCAGTTCATATTAACTTTATTCTCATGCAGTTACTTTTGTTGTTGGGTTCTATATTAAGAAGACTGATAAAATATTGTTTTTAAAATGTGGACTTAAATCTAGTTACTCCTCATAATATATCTTGGTACTAAATGTGTGGTCTGAAAGAGATTGACTTTGTCTATTTTACTTCAATGAATAGCTGTCTATTAGGGGAAAAGAAAAAAACAAGATCAAGTTCTACATAAGCTGAACAATATAAGTGTACTTGTTAGTCTGATCAAGTCTCATTATTTGTATATATGAAAAAAACAGTATCCACAGTTATGTGATACATAAAAGAATGCAAAATGTGTGATACCTAACAGATATTGGAGACGTATTGTTTTATACAACAGAACATTTTTCTTGGTGAAAGCAATTTGATGAATTAGGAATTGGCAGAAAAAAAAATGGTCTTATCTTACATAAAATTGCCTTAAATATATAAAACCCTGCTGTGTGCTTCTCTATTTCAAGTATGTAATTTCTATATATATATTAGAATACAGTTAATGGCCAACCTCTCCTTAGCACTAGGAGAAACATACTATTAAGTTAATTATATCCAAACCTCCTTTTCTAATCATTCTTAGCTGTGAGCAAAAACCTCTGTCATTATATCATTTATCAACAATTCCCCTGAAAAGAGACAATCATTCTTCCTGACATGTATTAGTTAACTTTTAAAATATAGTCTTTCTAATGACAGTTAAATTGGCATCATAAAATTCTACTTTGTATAATGGAATACCTTTAAGAAAATTCTGTAAAAAACATTCATTTCATTTATTTTTATAATTAATTTTTCTTTCATGGGAGTGACATTTTCTATACATTTATCCAAATTCAGGGGTCTTTTTTTTGTGAATGCATAATTCTATCAACTTAATGAACTGAATAGCATTTATTTAACCTATTATCATGTAGTATGTCTGACTTTTCTAGCATTGCCATCTTCCATTTCTTCATGGTTTTGTGTTAATAATGGAAACAGGATAGCTAGCTCCTATTAAAACCATTCTTATGTAGAACTACTTAAGGAATGCTCAATGCCCCAGCAGAGTTAAGGTATTTCTATATAGGTCTATTAGAACTAAAATTCCTATTTTATTCACCATTCATGCTTTAGGTGTGTTAAATAGTAGGTTATAAAGCAAATTCATTAATTAGAATTTGCTAATTCTAATTAGCACACATTAATCACACATTAAATCACTTTCAACCATTAGCGCTTTATCATGAATTGAGATATGTAATTAGCAGGCCAATAATTTAATGAGGCTTTGAAAATATAGAACAAATTAGGAGTGACATTTAGCAGTGAGAAATCAGTAAGGCAAAGTGCAGATTATGTCGTGTTCCAAATGAAGAGAATTTAGGTTTCAGTAACAGGATAGCGAGAAAATGAGAGGGCATATGAGACTTCTGGTTGACTTTATTAGGGATTCTCTAGCTGGTTCCGCATTAAAACCACCTAGGGGACTTTTGAACAATACAGATGTTTGCTCCCCTTCCTTATCAGATGTTAACTGAATTCATCTCAGGTAAAGCCTCATCTCAAGGGGGCTTTCTGTGTTAGTCCTTCCCAGTAGGTTGCAATGTGCAACCAAAGCTGAGAATCCTTTTAGATGAAGATTTTCTACAAGAGATCAAAAGAGGTTTAAAGAAAACACGTTTGTTTATTTTACAATTTTTATCTAGGATATGCCTTAGATGAGAAAGTTCACTGCAATTTGTTTCCCTTAAAATGCCTTACAATGTTTCTTTTTTTCACCTACTTAGCTGGATAAAACAGTGATCGTGTGACTTAAGATTGGCATGTGGGAGCAAGTGTGGTGGCTCACGCCTGTAATCCCAGCAATTTGGGAGGCCAAGGTGGGCCAATTATTTGAGCTCAGCAGTTAAAGATCAGCCTCGGCAAAATGACAAAACCCGGTCTCTACAAAAAATACAAAAATTAGCCCCATGTGGTGGTGCACACCTGTAGTCCCAGCTACTTGAGAGGCCGAGGTGGGAGCATCACTTTAGCCTGGGAGGTAGAGGTTGCAATGAGCCGAGATCATGCCACTGCACCTCAGCCTTAGTGACAGAGTCAGACCCTGTCTCAAAAGAAAAAAAAAAAAAGACAGGCATGTGATATGCTCTAATAGTTGAAGTAGCTAATTTGATAAATTCTAGATATGCCAACAAATTATTTTTTAAAACTCTTAATTCATAACTTGTTGTTCTACTGATAACAATCATATTCTTGATAATTGAATAATAAATATTTGCACGGTTTATAATCTTTAATGACTGTATAGTATGTTACATTGTAAATGCTATTGTGTTCAATCTGATAAAATACAATAATTTTTAAAGAAGTATTTTTAGAATTCTGTATTATGAAAAATTTTAGGTTTTTATTATTTAGTTTAAAATTTTTAAGTAAGAAATGAAAAGTACAGAAATAAGAACATATACAATTTTACTTGGGGCCAACAAAATGAATTAATATGGCTAATTTCATCCTGCTACAAACAACTGACAATGCAATATGCAATATATGTCTTAAGTCTGCATATGAAAATATGTGATATAGCTTGAAAATTAGAAACAGAACACTCAATATGTCATAAATTCTCATTACAACCACATATATAAACAGATACGGGAAAATAGCCTGGAAATAAAGAATTTGTGAAAAACAAAGATAACAGTTCTCACTATTCATCTGTTCTTAATCTGTATCTCATTTCCTGACACTTTATAGAGGCAGAATATTAATGAATTCTACAATCAATTTATCAACATAATTTGGCCATAAAGAATGCTTATTTATTTTAGAAGCTCGGTTTTCCAAATAAGTTTGGAAACTTGTACACAAAAGCAGTATGTTAGCACAAGGGAGAATTCCACAGCCTGGATACATGGCTTTATTTGAAACAGTTTCTCCTGTTAAATGTGCCTGTCATTTCTACTTTATCGCAAATAACAGTATCAAATAACTCCATTAGGTCTAATCTTAAGGTAGCTTTCACACAGTGGATATCATTTAAAGGCATAGATTTAATTTAATATGTCTTTTACCAATTCTCCTCCATTTTCTTTGAAATTTACCTGCCCCTATCTACGTGAATTTCAAACATTTTAACTTAAAGTTGCTCAGTATAAATGTAATGTGAGTAACGTACAGACCTAAATTTTCCAGCAGTCAAACTAAGTTTTAAAAAATGTAAAATTACTTTTTTTTTTTTTGAGACAGCGTCTTTCTCTGTCGCCCAGGCCGGAGTGCAGTGGCGCGATCTCGGCTCACTGCAAGCTCCACCTCCCAGGTTCACGCCATTCTCCTGCCTCAGCCTCCCGAGTAGCTGGTACTACAGGAGCCCGCCACCACGCCCGGCTAATTTTTTGTATTTTTAGTAGAGACCGGGTTTCACCGTGTTACTCAGGATGGTCTCTATCTCCTGGCCTCGTGATCCACCCACCTCAGCCTAATTACTTTTAGTATGTTTATTTTAATCATTTAGCCAAGTCTTATCATTTTAATAAGTAATCAATATGCAATTATTAGGAGCATATTTACATTCTATTTTTTGCACTAGGTTACAAAATCCAGTGTGCATACACTTACTGCACATTATAAATCAGACCATGCAATTTCAAATGCTCAATAGCCACTTGTGGACTAATGGCTTTCGTATTGTTCAGTGTGGCCCAAACCTCTTTAATAGTCTATTATGTAAATCAGACACAGACATCATAAAAGTGGGATTGTAAATCTTATCACTTACATAGTAATAAGTTCATTGTATTACCTCCAGAACATCTGATTAAAATTTTTTATGTGTTTGTCCCTTAGATTGATATAATTCTTTTTATCATAAAATACCTGAACATAGATTGCTCAATTAAAAAATAAAAATACAGATAGATGGATAGATAAGTAGATCACCATTGAATATCTTTCAATGTAGAGATTAAAGTCTAGAATGTACATTCGCCAATAATGTTTAACTTTTAACCTAATTATACAATGCCCAGAGGAGTAAAGTGGAATATAAGTGCTCCCATTATGATGATGATGATGATGACTATGGTGACAATGATTATAATTTTCTAACAATGAATTGATATGTTCTCTAATAATAGGTATGACATCCTCATATAATGCAAAAAGGCTACCTTAAAACTTCTCCTTCACTCCACAGTGTTATAAAAGCCATCCCCTGTTGACTCAGACAAACTGTAGAGTGGATCATCTGAAATAATAGAATTTAAACTGTTTCTTGAAACTGGTACTTTCTGATTCCCTATACTTTCACAGTAAGTTGTTCTGTCCAACATATGCCAGCATCTAAACAAATACTATTTTATATTGTTACTTCAAAGTGTAAAAAAATCATACCATTAATAAAAATATCTCTCATTTTTATGTGTATTGCCCCACCCATGGGACACTATTCACACCTGAAGAACTAAAATGATGTCTTTCACAGTGCTGTACCTGTAGGATATTGATCAACTACACACATATACTATAAATTTTCTCTAAGGCAATTCTATTATATCCCAAGGTTTCCCTTTAGCTTGCATAAAGAAATGAATTATGAATAAAATGGTGGGATTTTCTCATAGAAGAACAAGGTAATTTACAGTTCAGCCACAGTGCTACAGTTTAAAAACAGCTATTTTAGATAAAACATGTAACCAAAGTCAATGCAATAACAATCTTCTAAAAATGTTTTGTTCTATTTCTTCTACAGAAGTTATAGGTGTATTTTGTGGACAGCAAATTTGTTGAAATGCCAAAATATAATATTGTAGGCATTTCTAGAAGAAAAATGACTAATTCTTGAAAAATATTTTACCATATTCAACTCAGAGATGGGGAATTTTTCTTCTACTTTACGTGAGAATTCTTGCTTTCCAAAATATTTTTATTAATAGCACTCTGTATAGATATAAAATTCATACATTCAATCATGACTTAAGAAGGCTTTCAAAATTTCATTTTTCCTATTTGTAGTAGGAATAACATTAAAACACACCACTCAATGTTTTCAAGTTATTATGAAAAAGTGTGTTTCTATCGATGAGTTGCAACTAACACTTTTAAATTTATAGTCCAAGCTCCATGATGGTTACTCATTGAACATAGATTTATAGTGTCTCATATTACATGTCAAGCAATGTGCTTCAAATTGTGACATAGTCAATAGCAGAAAATAGTGTATTTCTTTAGAAGGTTTATATAAAACAAAAATAATTATAATACAATTCATGGAATCAATTTTGAGCCCTTACTTGCTGATGGACACTATCTTTGCTGTTTATACATTTTATCTTATTTAATTCTAAAAATAGTCTTTTAGATAGATACCATTAGTATAGAACAGCAGAAAACTAAAGTGTTCAGAAATGTTAAATACCTTTCCAAAGGGCAAGCACATGAGACAGTCATGATTTACACCCAAATTTGTTTGATTTGAAAGTCCATATTTGTAATAGCTATAGTGAAAATAAGCTTTGCTTTTGAAACTGTCTAAATGTGAAATGCATTTTACAGATGACATTTATTAAATCTTCTAAGAATACCATGGAATAAGTAAGTAATTTTGCCCTCTTTTAGGGATGCTGCACTGATATTAAACATAAGTTGAATATTAAATGATGCTTAGGCATTCCCTGGAAGGAAAAATGACTAGACATTCCAAAGAGTTATGTATCCTTAGAGACACAAGCTTGCTTAGGAACAACAGTTATTCAATGGTGACTAAAGGGTGTGGTGTACAAGTATACAACTTTAATGGCAATTAAGAATCAACTGGGGCAGTAAGATAAAAGGCTGTCAGCTAGTCAGGAAGAAATGCTTATAAAATAAACTAAATCACTCTTGGTGGGCATGGAGAGAAAGAGAACATGTAAAAGTAGAGCAAGACGTAGTATGTGGGTGACAAAATGAGTTTGATATTGAGTATGTTAAATTTGAGGTTGCTTTAAGACATTCCAGTGAAGATGTATAGGAGCCAGTTGTAAATAAAAGTCTGAATATCAGGAGGGAAATAGGAGTTGGAAATCTGATTTGGGAGTCATCAGCATGTAGGGCTGATTGAAATACCTAAGGAAAATAATGGAGAGTGATACAAGTGCCTAACTTATTATTCACAAGTTGATAACTAGGCTATGGATCAACTCACTAAAAATGTATTGCTTTAGCTTCCAGAGCTTAAGGCACATCAAAAGAATGACATAAAATGAGATGGAGATTAATACTCTAAAAATGTTCCTGAAACTAGAAATTTAAGGCATAGAGGAAATGAAGGAATCATTAGCACAACATTCAGTAAAAAATAAGTGTATAAATATTACCAATCTATAAAACAAAATTTATGTAAACAGTAATATTTTCTGGAATATCCAAAATAAGTTTCAAATGAAAAAATCCAATTGTTTAGTATGAAAATTTCAAGAAGTGTACTTATTCCATAAATAAGACACACTTGTAATTTATTTAAAAACAAAATGCCTGTGTAAAGTACATATCTTTAAATTATTGTATGCTATACAAAACAAAACCAACCACCATCACAATAGCAATATGACCTCTGAAATATTTTTCAACAATGACAGACAACATAGGTCTCCTCGAATCTGCTTCTCTACTAGGGAATTATTATTGGGTATTTCTAGAAAATGTAGTAAAACAAATTCTTAAAGCTTGCCATAGATAATCTACATAATCTCATCAGTTACTGTTTTCTACAGAATTATATTTTCTAACAGATTTTTTCCCCTAAGTTTAGCTCTTCTTTCTGGAGTTTGTATAGGAACATGGTCTGTCATCATATCAGGAGAAAGTTTAAAAAATTAATTGCCAAACCTACTCACCTAACCTATTGTAACTGTAGGTGTTTTACCAAAGGCAGTTTACTTTTGACTTGATGAAAATATGACTTTCAACCCTCAACACATAGATAATTATGTCTCCACTTATTTTAGTATATTTTGTAGAATTATTTCAAAATTAAATAATTATGTGCTGAATATGTATCTAATGGAAATTCAGCAATCAGAAATCACAATTTCACAAATTACATAGAAATAGAAAATTTAAAGCAGATCAAAAGATATGAAAAGTTTGGGTTGGAAGTAGCATAGTGATAATGAGCAGTTTTATGGTTTGTACCATTTGTACTTAATCACTTTGACTTTGACTCATTACAACTGACATTCTATATATTTTAGTACACATAGAAATTCTAATATTCATAGCTTCCCTAGATTTATTTTTAATTTTTTGCACATTTTATACTTATAAAATTTAAAAAGTAAGTCTGCAAAAGCAATGCCAATAAAAAATTTTATATTCTTTAAAAATGAATAAATACTTCCAATGCTGAAAATATTTTTATATCAAGTATTCAATATTAATTTTGTTCTAAAATGAATAGGACTTGCATATTACTGAATGTGTTTTCCATATAGAAATTAAAATCAAATGATAAATATTAATTTTCTTTGTTGAAGGTCTTATGTAAATAGAACTGCAAAATTATGAAGAACAAGCTATTTCTAGATACTTACTTCTCAAAACTGTGTCTGTGACTATATTTTGGGCATGAATGACATAATTTAATGAAAATTGCCTTATTATTAAAAATAAATGCAGAAGCTCATCACAAAATGTGGAAAATATATCTCTGTATATGAGATAAAATATTTTTGTTTAATTTTTTTTCCTCTGTATTCTTTTTGTCTTACTATACCCTCCAGCAAAACTCAGAGTATTTTGCAACTGAAGTCCACAAATGTGAGCATTTGCCGTGAGTTTGGATGTATTACAAACACACATCGACAGAAATGAAAAATAAAAATAAGTTTCCTAGTGGATCTTTATTCACCCTTTGTTGTTGTGGGACTATGGTGACAGCTCTAATATCAAAGCTGAGTCATTCTGGAATGACAAAAACAAGAATTCCTAATAAGATCCTTTATTAGATTTTTTGAGTAATCAGTTCTCCTCTCCCCTACAAAGTAAACTCGCTCCAGTCAGATTCCTTCAAAAGTATCATGCTACTATAGCGTCAGCTCAAACTTCAGGTCCAGGATCTCCTTCCTTAGCTAAATCAAGTGCAGTTCATATCTCACAATTGTGTAAGTCAAGAATTTGGACAGAGCTTAGCCAAGGTGGTTTTTCATCTCCATTTGATTCGGATCGAAACTAATTGCTGGAATTCAACATGCAGATGAGCTAGTCTAGAGGATCCAAAATAGCTTCAGTCATTTTCTGAAGCATTACTAGTGGAAAGCCTGGGCTCAGTTGGAACTTTTATACGTGTTAAAACAAAATTCTAACTGTGAGGCCATTAGACTGGAGTGGCAATGGCACATTAAATTCCTACATGACGCCGGGCGCGGTGGCTCACCCCTGTAATCCCAGCACCTTGGGAGGCCGAGGCGGGCACATCACGAGGTCAGGAGATCGAGACCACCCTGGCTAACACGGTGACACCCCGTCTGTACTAAAAAATAAGAAAAAATTAGCAGGGCGTGGCGGCAGGCGCCTGTAGTCCCAGCTACTTGGGAGGCTGAGGCAGGAGAATGGCGTGAACCCGGGAGGCAGAGCTTGCAGTGAGCCGAGATCGCGCCACTGCACTCCAGCCTGGGCGACAGAGAGAGACTCCGTCTCGAAAAAAAAAAAAAAAATTCCTACATGAACGAGACAAAGCCCAATGTAAAACGGAATTGAAACTAGAAACTGCACCAATCAGAGACCAATGAACCTCTAACCAGACACTTTCCACTCTAACCAATAAAAATTGTTTTCTGTCTTGCTTCTGAATATACTGTATCAATGTTTCCTCTCTTGCCTGTCTCAGCAGAGTGTTAGCCCCTTTTGGTCAGATGCTGATCCAATCACTTAATAAATCACTGAATGCTCAACAAAACTTTTAAAAATGTAAATGGGCTTGTTTTTCTTCTATCAGATGGCATATCTGCTTATGACCTTTCCAGTATGCTGGTCTTGAGGTACCCAGAATTGTTGTATATCAGCCCTCAACTTCCAAAGATATATTCCAAAAGATAAGCTATGGTGCTAGGAACTAGTACAGCATGACTTCTGCTATTTCTCTTGGTCAAAATAAAGCCCAGCCAGGTTTGAAATGAGTGCCAAACAGTTTTACGGACATTTTTAGTAGGCCACAACATTCATATAATAAGATCTGGTATTAATAGGAAGGTATTCAAAAGAATCTTCAGTCTTTTCAATAAATAGGAAAATGATGGCTGCTAAGAAGCCTCCGATTAACCACGTTTGATGTAGATGGTAAGATTTCCTTTGGATCTATACAAATCTCGGTTGGTATCCTGGCTTTGCCATTTGCTAGTACTTTGACTTGATTACCTTACATTTTACTCTCGATTTTTTTGTCTGCAAAATTATGGCAGCAAAACTTATTTTACATAATATTTGCATTAGTCATAATGATCTGTGATAAGGCATAACGTAGTACTTGGAGCATAGTTAACATTTAATGGCTTGTCACAGGTATTATAATTGAATTTTTGGTATATTGTTAGTAAAATTACAGGCAATTCAATCCAGGAGTGCAGTTATAAGAGAACAAAACACTAATTTATGGTGAAAATTATGCTGATTATGTAATTCAGTGTAAAATATTATATAATTAATACATTTAAGAACTAATAACTTATGAAATTTTAAAGCTGCTAAAAACTAAGTGAATTTTAGAAGCTATTCTTTGGTGATGAAATAACTCTTTCAAATTAATTTGTAAAGCTGGAACTATTTTGAAGCTATTTTTTATAAGGCAGATATTGAAGAAGATAAGTTCATTAAACCTTCACTTACATCCAAGATAAAAAAATTTTTAGGTATGTTCCTGGATGCAAATAAAGCATCCTCTAAATTATACAGATTAAAAAAAAACAGATCAGTATAATATTTTGGGGCATTGAAACTCTAGTGTCAAACTTTTTCAGAAGTTTTAAGGCTACTTTCTAAACTTAATTTACATAAAAACATTTTAAAGTCCTACTTAACCCTAATGTAATGTTACTTCATTCCCCCAATAGCAAACGCGGTGCAGCTCATGGTAATTGGCATGAAAAGCCTCTTACTCTGATTATACTCCTTAAGTGTTTTCAAAGAAATCAACTTTATTGGAAAACAATATTCTAAGAAATGGCTTAAATGTTCCTTTTGCTAATGCTACTTGAATGCTATTGGTCCTAAAGGAAAAACTTAAAGAGTTATAAAAAGTTAATTAGATATGGCACATGCAAATGATTATGATTAATTAATTAGCAGTATCCCTTAAATAGGCACAATATGTAATCTCATACGTAGCTTAATATCTTTGTTATTAATCAATTCTTAATGTAAATAGTTTGAAGCTCTTGTTGGTTTGTAATGTGCATTATAAATAGTCCCTGTGGGAATCACAACTTTATTTCATTAAAACTCTTGCCTGCTGCTAATTGCTGCTAGGAAAATATGAACAAATTAATTGTGTTTTAGAAGCCAATGAAGAAATGTATAGGCTTCTGCGTTGATTTCTGGAGACTGCTATGTTGTAGATCATTCTTCCTCACTGTGATAGAAAATATACAGTAGCAGGCAACACTGACCTGTTTTAAGTCAGTAACACTTAGTAAATCTTACCATTACAGATACTAAAAAAAAAAAAAAATTAGTAAGAGATTAGTTGAAAATGCTGTTTATCATGCCAGCTGGGACACAATGTAAATTTATGTTATGGGTAATTAATTTGTAAATTTTAATGACTTTTCTTATGTGACACAAACATATCTTTAGCAAAGATGATTGATGAATATTAACTTGGTTAATATTTTTAAGGAGATATATATATATAATTTTTTTTTAAAAAATACACATATAAATATAGTCATGCTTGTTGACAACTCCTCAATAATCTTTAATTGTTACAAATGGCCTGTCCAAAATGTACCACATAAGATGGATTTAAAACCCCAAATACTAAAATGCTGGACTGAAAGGGAAGTATTTGCTATGAATAAAGAACACTGGCTTCCAAATGTAGATTGATAACAATGAGAAAATATCCATTTATCTTTTTAGTTGATTATTGGAGTCTTAGCATGTGGTTTCCACAATATTTTAGAATAATAAGATCATTTGTAAACAGAGGAAATGATCAGTAACAATATAGGCAGAGAAGTCTTCATACTATTAATAAAATAGTGTTTATTTAACATATTTTATTGTCTTGGATGGTATTTGTACCCAATATTTGTTGATCTTGTTTTTATTTTTCAATTACTTAATAATGGAATAAAATTATGATTTTCCACAACTTTGTGTTATACTCACTCTTATGATATTGTTGTTAAATTGGCTGCACACATTACCAACAATCTGTGTTAAAAATACTCCTACAGTCTATGAAAAACCAACATACATATATAAATTAGATTCATGAATGCAACATCTTAGTTAAATGGAGGAGGTGAGAAAATCTTTATTAAATGTCAAATATATAGTGTAAATCCTTTAGTAAAATAAGATGTGAGATGCAGTACAAGTAATTGTGTCTACTTGTACAAGTAAATAAATTCAAATAGAAAAATTTTGTCATAGTGACAATTAAAAATTTAAATTTATATATATATATATAATTCTAAAAAGTGGTTAAACAAAGACGTAACTCAAAAATGAAAAGTGTAAAACAGTTACACTGTGAACAGTTTATCTGTATTTATCATGTCCCCAGTCTTTTCATCTGAACACGATAGGGCTATATGCACACTATAGTGTATCATTTACATAGGAGTCTTTCGGTGCCGCTTTGCCAGCCAGAAATCTCCATGGCTGGCAGTGACTCTGTCTGAGCTTCACTTGGGCCTGCTGGGCTCGCTTCTCCCACTGGGCCCAGCAGGCTGCTCTGGGCTCATGCTACTCACCAGGATCCTGCAACCGCCAAGGCTCTGTGCTCATCCCATGGCTGGTACGGGATATGCCGCGATAGGCTTCCACCTCCGGCGTCAGTGTCTGGACTATAGGGAGCCTGCAATGCCTGAAAACTTGGAGATGGCAGAAACTGCGGAGCCCCAAGGAGTGTTACAGTTTTCGTTCAGGGAGTCTGGAGGTCTGAGCCCCCGTAAAATGTTACAGCTCTCGTTCGTTCTCTCGCCTGCAACTTGGTGAACAAGGGCATGCCACAGCTCAGGTCTTGCTGCCTTCTCTGTGAATAGGGGTGTGTGGTGCCCAGTGATCTTTTCTCCCATAGCTCTGCGAGGAGGAACACAGGTTACAGTTCTTTTCATATCCGCAGTTCCAGGTGCCAGGTTCTTGTCCTGCGACCAAGAGGATTTTTTTTTTTTTTTTTTTTTTTTTTTTTTTTTTTTTGAGACGGAGTCCCACTCTGTCGCCCAGGCTGGAGTGTGGTGGTGCTATCTCGGCTCACTGCAACCTCCGCCTTCCAGGTTCAAGTCATTCTCCTTTCTCAACATCCCGAATAGCTGGGACTACAGGCTGCCGCCATCACGACCTGCTAGATTTTTGTTTGTTTGTTTTTTATTATTATTATTTTTAGCAGAGGCGGGGTTTCGCCATGTTGGTCAGGCTGGTCTCGAACTCCTGACCTGAAGTGATCCGCCCACCTCGGCCTCCCAAAATACTGAGATTACAGTCGTGAGCCACCACGCCTGGCCAAGAATAATTCTATTGAGTAACAGAAAATCTCTGGACAAGAAGAGGGGACCCAAAGTGGGCAGCCCTCCGTGGGAGAGGAGGCCGGAAAGCAGGTAGCAGCCACCTGTGAGGCTGAGTCCAGGGTTTATATGTGCTCAGAATGGAGGAGTGCATGCTGATTGGTCCTTGGGCAGGTCTGGAAAAAGCACCATTTGATTGGCTAAAAGGCATCCAGGAAGTAAAGAAGTTCTTACTCCGGTGACGGGCTCCACCCAAAACTGGTAGGTCAGTTTTCAGGTTTCAGACTGTCTGTGGCTTGAAGTTTGGGTTTTACCCGGCACTGTCCCGTTCTACCAAGGAATTTATCTGTCCCCTCTTGCTATTGAGAGGTGACAGCGTGCTGGCAGTCCTCAGAGCCCTCGCTCGCTCTCGGTGCCTCCTCTGCCTGGGCTCCCACTTTGGCGGCACTTGAGGAGCCCTTCAGCCCACCGCTGCACTGTGGGAGCCCCTTTATGGGCTGGCCAAGGCCGGAGCCGGCTCCCTCAGCTTGCGGGGAGGTGTGGAGGGAGAGGCGCCAGCGGGAACCGGGGCTGCACGCGGCGCTTGCGAGCCAGCTGGAGTTCCGGGTGGGCGTTGGCTTGGCGGGTCCTGCACTCGGAGCAGCCGGCCGGCCCTGCCGGCCCCAGGCAATGAGGGGCTTAGCACCCGGGCCAGCGGCTGCGGAGGGTGTACTGGGTGCCCCAGCAGTGCCGGCCCACCGGCGCTGCGCTCGATTTCTCGCCGGGCCTTAGCTGCCTTCCCGCGGGGCACGGCTGAGGATCCGCAGCCCGCCATGCCTGAGCCTCCCACCCCCTCCGTGGGCTCTTGTGCGGCCCGAGCCTCCCCGACGAGCGCCGCCCCCTGCTCCAGGGCGCCCAGTCCCATCCACCATCCAAAGGGGCTGAGGAGTGCCAGCACATGGCGCGGGACTGGCAGGTAGCTCCACCTGCAGACCGGGCGCGGAACCCACTGGGTGAAGCCAGCTGGGCTCCTGAGTCTGGTGAGGATGTGGAGAACCTTTACGTCTAGCTCAGGGATTGTAAATACACCAATTGGCATTCTGTATCTAGCTCAAGGTTTGTAAACATAGCAGTCACTACCGTGTGTCTAGCTCTGGGTTTGTGAATGCACCAGTCGATACTGTATCTAGCTACTCTGGTGGGGCCTTGGAGAAACTTTATGTCTAGCTCAAGGATTGTAAATACACCAATTGGCACTCTGTATCTAGCTCAAGGTTTGTAAACACACCAATCAGCACCCTGTGTCTAGCTCAGGGTTTGTGAATGCACCAATCGACACTCTGTATCTAGCTACTCTGGTGGGGCCTTGGAGAACCTTTGTGTCCACACTCTCTATCTAGCTAATCTGGTGGGGACGTGGAGAACCTTTGTGTCTAGCTCCGGGATTGTAAACGCACCAATCAGCGCTCTGTCAAAACAGACCACTGGGCTCTACCAATCAGCAGGATGTGGGTGGGGCCAGATAAGAGAATAAAAGCAGGCTGCCCGAGCTAGCAGTGGCAACCCGCTAGGGTATCCTTCCCTACTGTGGAAGCTTTGTTCTTTCGTTCTTTGCAATAAATCCTGCTGCTGCTCACTGTTTGGGTCCACACTGCCTTTATGAGCTGTTAAACTCACCCCGAAGGTCTGCAGCTTCACTGCTGAGGCCAGCGAGACCACGAACCCACCGGGAGGAACGAACAACTCCAGACGCGCCGCCTTAAGAGCTGTAACACTCACCGCCAAGGTCTGCAGCTTCACTCCTGAGCCAGGGAGACCACGAACCCACCAGAAGGAAGAAACTCCGAGCACATCCTAACATCAGAAGGAACAAACTCCAGAGGCGCCACCTTAGGAGCTGTAACACTCACAGGGAGGGTGGGCGGCTTCATTCTTGAAGTCAGTGAGACCAAGAACCCACCAATTCTGGACATACTATCACCTTTCTTTTATTCATGTCTTGTACCTTTTAGAAATCTTTTCAGTTTAGCATGGGGGTTCCTGATTTTGTTTGAATGTTTTGTGGATGTTCCAAAATTTATATAGCTAATGCTTTATTGATGAATTTTAATTTCCTATATTGTATTCTGATTTATTTTATTTATTTGTTTTATTTTTTTGAGACAGAGTCTCACTCTGTTGCTCAGGCTGGAGTGCAGTGGCACAATCTCAGCTCACGGCAACCTCCACCTCCTGGGTTTAAGTGATTCTCATGCGTCGGCCTCCCAAGTAGGTGGGACTAGAGGTGCACACCACCACACCAGGCTAATTTTTCTGTTTTTACTAGAGACAGGGTTTTACCATGTTGGCCAGGCTGGTCTCGAACTCCTGGCCTCAAGTGAGCCGCCTGCTTCAGCCTCCCAAAGTGCTGGGATTACAGGTGTGAGGCACTGCGCCTGGCTGTATTGTGATTAATTTTAAGAATAATCATTTTGTACATATTATTTTGCCTGTATGTAGGTATATCTCTAAGAAAAAGTCCTCAGCATACATTTTTCTAATTATGAGTGAAGATGAACGATTTTAAAATGTGTAAATACCATCCTAATTTACCCCCACACGTATGTGTGTGTGAATTATCCATTCGCTGTCCTTGACTCACATTTTCTCCTTGTTAGATTTTCTCTTTACAATTTTTAGTGAGATTTTATACATTAAAAAAATTAGTCGTTTTCGATATGTTACATTTTTCTCATTTTTAAGTCTATATTTTGTTTGTTTTTCTGTTCTGAGGTTTTCAGGTTTTAAAAATAAACTACATCATGGTGTAATTTAGTTACAGTAAAAATGAAGTAACTAAGTGTACAGTTAAATGAATTTTTATAAAATGAATAATTGCCACAATAATCAAGATATAGAATATTTTATTTAATACAGAAAGTTCCTTCTGCCCTTTCCAGAAAATATTTCTGCCTCTTATTCGGGGCAACATGGATCTGTTTTCACTCACTATATATTAGTTTTATCTGTTCTAGAATATCCTATAAATGGAATAATATTGTATATACATTTTTATGTATGGCTCCTTTTGATCAACATAATGCTTTTAAGATTCATTTGCCTTGTATATATTAGTAGACTTTTGTTTTTATTTTTATTTTTGTTTTCACTTTTTATTACCAAGTATTGTTTCGTTCTGTGTATGCCAAGTGTGTTTATCCATTCACATGCTGAGTGTTCCCCAGATTGTAAGTAATATGAATAAAGCTCTTTACATGAACATTTATGTAAAGTTGTAATGTGGGCATGTGTTTTCATTTCTTCCAGGTAAGTATCTAAGGGTATTATTCATGTGTCATATAGTAAGTATATTTTAATTTTCTAGGAAAGTATCAACAGTTTCTAAAATAGTTGAACCATATTACACATTGATATGTCAGACTCTTTGGGAGGTTAATTTTAGACATTTAAATAGGTATGTAGTGATATCTTACTTGTTTTTAATTTGCATTTACACAATGACTTTAATGTTGCTCATCTTTTATGTACTTACTGGTTATTCATATATCTTCTTATGTAACATTTTCATTCAAGTTTTTTGTCCATTTTTAAATTAATTACTTCTTATCGAGATGTAGTAGCTCTTTATTTTTCCTGTATGCAAGTCCTATTTCACGTGTGTGTATTGCCAATAAATTGGCTTGATTTTTTATTTTCCTGTCAATATTTTTTTAAAAGTAGAGATTTCCATTTTGATAAAGTCCACTTTATTATTTTCTTTTATGCTTTTTGCCTTTTATGTCATGTTTAACCTCTCTTTGTTGACTTCTATAGGAAAGGGAAGACTCTTTCTGAGGGTTTGATAACTGAGGATGAAATAAACAGTCATCAGGCAAATTAACAGGAGAAAAAGTATAAAAATATATTATGTGCATGAAGGAATCTCAGGAAAGAAAGGTAAATACCCCCAAAACCCAGTAAGATCTTGAAACCTGTACACCCACTTTATAGGAAAGGGATAGTAGAAGCAGGCAACTTAGAGGAGAGAAAAAGATGTTTTGGAAAGATGAATGAGCCCTCAGAAGATCAAGTAATGATCTATGACAGTCTTTCTGGTCCTGCTGCTGACCTCCAGACTCTGCTTCTGTGATAGGAATTAATCTTCCCTGGTTGATGAGACTCCCAGGGAGGGGACTTATGACAATTGTGGTCCTTTTGGAGAATCTATCTTTAGGCAAATAAGGAAAATTCAGAGAAGGCTCCCTCCCTTTTCCCAAATTTGCTGTTCTCGGAGTGCTTTCAGTTTGAATTAATCAGCATACCAAAAAGGCACAGTTTGGTGCAGCATTTCTTGCACTCCTTCACTTCAAAGTCATGAACAAATTTCTCCTATATTTATTTCTCTCTATTGTTGTTTTGTAGGTATATATTTTTAATTTATAGAAATGTATTATTTATTTATTACTATTTTCATGAGCTTCTCTAATTTTAGTACTTACTCATGTTATTATGCACATGTCTGTCTCATTGCTGTGATTGTTTACTACTTTAGGAAGTGCCTCCACCAGTAAGAAGTATTTACCAATGAGAAGAGTGTCTGTGTACTCATACTAGACTATAATTTTTTTTTTCAGATCTACAAACATCTATCTCTAGTGGACTAGATGGAGCCCCACATATACTGTTACAGTGTTATTCTCACAGCCCTTCTAAAAGAAGTAAAAAGCCTTAGACACCTATCCCTTTCTACCTATAACACTCAGAGCCAGGCCAATACTATCTATTTTAAAAACTAGCATAAATGATCTTATGATCTCCTTCATTCCTAATTCTATCACTCACCAGAAGAATCCACACATTCCTACGGTACTGTCTCATATCTTGCCTTTCAATTTCCACTTGTCTCCTTCCATCCTTTCTTCTGTCCCCATCTTACATACTCCTCATTTATGGAAATTTCCCTTCCCCCTTTGAAAAACAATTATTTTAAGAAAAAAACAACTGGACAACAGCAGAAAGCCCCATATCCTCATCCCCTTCTCTAAGCATTTACTTTCTTGAACCAGCCAAAACTTTAATATCTTCTTGAGATACTAATTTTCTTGTCCTTTTTAAAGAGTGGGTAATTTTTTATCCTGTAATCATGAACCTAGATGCAAGCAAGGGGTCTTTCTTGCTTCACAGTTCTGATACCAGAAAGGGTGATCCAGACCCCAAGAGAGGACTCTTGGCTCTTGCACAAGAAGGAATTCAGGGCGAGTCCATAGAGTAAAGTGAAAGTAAGTTTATTAAGAAAGGAAAGAAATAAAGAATGGCTACTCCATAGGCAGAGCAGACCCAAGGGCTGCTTGCTGGCTATTTTTATGATTATTTCTGGATTATATGCTTAACAAGGGGTGGATTACTCGTGAGTTTTCCAGGAAAGGGGTGGACAATTCAAGGAACTGAGGGTTCCTCCCCTTTTTTAGACCGAATAGGGTAACTTCCAGATGTCATGGCATCTGTAAACTGTCATGGCACTGGTCAGAATGTCTTTTCACATGGTAATGTATTATAATTCATGTATAATGAGTAGCGAAGACCACGACAAGTCACTTCCGTCGCCATCTTAGTTTTAGTGCGATTTGGCCACTTATTTACCACATGCTGTTTTATCAGCAAGGTCTTTGTGACCTATGTCTTGTGCTGATCTCCTGTCTTATCCTGTGATTTAGAATGCCTATCCTTCTGGGAATGCAGCCCAGTATATCTCAGCCTTATTTTAATCACCACCTATTCAAGATGGAGTAGCTCTGGTTCAAACGTCTCTTACATTTCCACTTCCAAACTGTCCTCTCTTCCTCTTCCGCAAATACTCGAAGCACTGAAATTTTGCTCATAAAACTATGTAACTACTGCCAATTCTTTTTAGTGATCTGTGCACATCCAGGTCATCTCTCTTTTCTATCCACAGTTTTATCTCCTGTCTTAGTATCATATTCTATAACATTACAGCAATCTTAATTTCTGAGATTCCTGTATTCATAATGAGGGCCACACCAACATCTTGGCTCATGTTTCTTTGAACTTCTTTCCTCCAATATTCATGTCCTATTCTTGTCCTTATTCTTGTCTTCATACCTATTTTAGCCAGTTACCCACTGAACATATCCCTAGATCCTGCTGTTATCAATATCTTTAACCCTTCCATGTACTCAATTTCAATGATCCCCTTACCAGTTCAGCACATTCTTTCTTATAGCTAACCCTTTCAGGTACAAGACTCCAACAGTCTTTCAACCACAATGGACTTCCAATCCAATAATCTTAAAGCCTCATCATTGACTTAACTCCCTCCTTATTGAGAAAAGTTCCATAGTCCAACATTGTAACCACTCCCTAACACGTATCTTTAATTCTTTCTCACCTTTCTCACTTTCTTGTAACTTCAACTTGATTAAATTTTATTCTCACCTTGCAAATTTTATTCATCCTCTGCCTGAGAGTCTTAGAATGCTCTTCCATTGGATATCTATAAGCATTGCTCTTTTGTTTCTATAAGACTTTATAAAATGTTATTTCCATAAGATCTTCTTATTCCACTGTTTAAGTAAGGCAGTACTCCTTCCTTCTCGAGTTTTCTATTATCTCCATCTCCTTGTTCTGCTGTATTTTCCTCCATTAAAGTTAATAACAAAATAAAAGTTATTACTTTCTAAAATGCTACATATCTTACATATTTATTTTCTTTATTAGTTATTCTTTGTTTTCTACACTCTCACACACAGGATAGAATATGAGTTCTAGGTCCCCTTGTATATATATATATATATATTTTTTTTTTTTTTTCCACTGAGGTATTTTCAGTTTCTAGAACAAGTCTTGGTTCATAGAAGTAACTTAATGAATATTTTTAAAATGTGTTAAATGAATGAATGAACAAAAACAAATTGCCTCCAATAACTGTTGCTTGTGGCACAGGTAGCCATAACACGAACACAGTTGTGCCTTTCTGTTTTCCAAGGTTGAAGTAACTCCTAAATGAAAGAGTTTGTACTAAAATCCCAATAATATATGTAAAATCTATAGTTCTTTTCCCTACTATTTTGCCTTAGGAACGATTTTATTTCATTTGATGATTAACTGTGAAAATGTATTTTCTCCAGAATTTTCTGTATGTTGGACTTTTATCAAAATGTTACTACCACATACACATT
Organism: Homo sapiens; assembly: GCF_000001405.40. NCBI lineage: Eukaryota > Metazoa > Chordata > Mammalia > Primates > Hominidae > Homo > Homo sapiens. Next base: position 102,653,786 of record NC_000001.11, on the reverse strand, counting down.
TATTATAAATAGAGTAGAGAGACTGAACAAGAAAACTTGTGACTCCAGATCTCCAATTTTCTATAAAAGGAATGGATAATGAGATGAAATAATACCATGTATTCTTAGATTACTTTAGAAAAGCAGAGACAATTTTGTGAAATAAAATTTATGTATGTTCTTTCCTAGGTAATATGATTTGCTATTATTGCCCTATTGAGATTTTAATAAGCTCTTGGAAGGAAAGAAAGTTTGGTTTTAAATTAAAAAGAGTGCTATTTGTCTATGTTCTACAGCAAGGTACTCTGCTGCAGCAATTCACTTTGTTACACAATGTTCACCACAATACAAACCACTATTACAGATATAATACCCAGATGATACAAGGCACAGTAAACCAGGAGGTTTAATGTTTTTGATCCCATGCATGTCAATTTCTGCTTCATATTTTCACCTATTATGTGGTGTATCTATGTGTAATTATACAGCTGGTAGTGTTTTGATTTAGGTTTAACATAATTTCATATTAATTTTGTAAATTTCTCTCCTGATTGCTAATTAAAACATGCCAGTGATTACCCTGAAAGATATTAAGTCAGCATGAGGTGGTCAAATATTTCTTTGGAAACTCAAAATATTCATTTGTGCTAACCTAGGTGACTCAGGTACCACCAAATTTATTATTTTCTTATCAGTCCTAAAAACCTTTATAGAATGTGAAAAAAATCATATACAGTTTCTAAAACTTTTGCAGATGTTCATCTTTCTGGCAGCAGTTTCTTCCTGCACAAATTGAAAATGCTATTTAATTTTAAAAGGCAATATAAACAGACTCCAAAAAATATGTTCTCTTAATCATATAGAAGGGAAAGCTGGTAGTGTTTTTATCAAGTCTCATTTTACTCCTTGGTTACTAAATGTAGCTAAGATGACAAATTGATTTCTATACTGTAAAAACAAAATATTAACACACTTTTTTCCCCATAAGGTGGATTAGTTCTAGGTATTAAAATTTCAAGACATCAAGTTCAGGATACTTAAGTATCATTTGAGATAAATAGACATCTTTGGAAAATAGACAAATCAAATTTATAATTTTCTCTGAGTTTCAAGAAAAATTTAATTTTGGTAATCTCAGACTAAATAAATTAATATTGCTACAAGAATTGAAGAATTGGGTCAAATTTAACTTACAGTTCTGTTGATCATTGACTAATAATTCTTAAAGTATCCTTAACCATGTGGGAGGCTAAATAATAACGCTCAAAGGTCTCCAGGTCCTAGTCTCTGGAACCTGTGAATGTTACCTTAAATGGCAAAGAGAGACTTAACCAGATATGATTAAGCTAAGGATCTTGAGATGGGTAGATTTTTCTGTATCATTCAGGTAGACATTGAATGCAGTCACAGATGTCCTTATAAGACAAAGGCAAAGACAGATTTGAAACAGATAAGATGGTCACATGGCTGAAGTAGAGAGAAGCAGATGAGGCAGAGGGGAGCAGAGTCAGAGAGAGGTGAGACTCTGCTGGCTAGGTGCGAGAAGTCATGAGCCAAGGAATGCAAGTGATGCAACTTCAGAATCTGAAAATGAGAAGGAAGCACACTTCCCGAGAGCCTCTGGAGAGAGTGCGGCCCTGCTGACACTTTGATTTTAGCTCAATGCAACTGATTTCAGGTTTCTTATCTCTAGAGTATAAGAGAACGAATGTGTGTAGTTTTAAGCCACCACATTTGTGGAAATTTGTTACAGAACCCCTTAGGTAACTAATGCAAAAAAAGTGCCTGAAACACAAGAGGAAGATATAAAAGGCATTCAAATAGGAAGAGAGGAAGTCAAATTGTCTCTGTTTGCAGATGACATGATTGTATATTTAGAAAACCCCATCTTCTCAGCCCAAAAAATTCTTAAGCTGATAGGCGACTTCAGCAAAGTCTCAGGACACAAAATCAATGTGCAAAAATCACAAGCATTCATATACACCAATAATAGAGAGCCAAATCATAAGTGAACTCCCATTCATAATTTCTACAAAGGGAATAAAATACCTAGGAATACAACTTGCAAGGGTTGTGAAGGACCTCTTCAAGGAGAACTACAAACCACTGCTCAAGGAAATAAGAGAGGACACAAATAAATGGAAAAACATTCCATGCTCATGGATAGGAAGAATCAATATCATAAAAATGGCCATACTGCCCAAAGTAATTTATAGATTCAATGCTATGCTCATCAAGCTGCCATTGAGTTTCTTCACAGAATTAGACAAAACTACTTTAAATTTCATATGGAACCAAAAAAGAGCCCACATAGCCAAGAGAATCCTAAACAAAAAGAACAAAGCTGGAGGCATCATGCTACCTGACTTCAAACTATACTACAAGGCTACAGTAACCAAAACCACTTGGTACTAGTATCAAAATGGATATACAGGCCAATGGAACAGAACGGAGGCCTCATAAATAACACCACACATCTACAACCATCTGATCTTTGACATACCTGACAAAAGCAAGCAATGAGGAAAGGACTCCCTATTTAATAAACGGTGTTGGGAAAAGTGGCTAGCCTTATACAGAAAACTGAAACTATACCCCTTCCTTACACCTTATACAAAAATTAACTCAAGATGGATTAAAAACTTAAATGTAAGACCTAAAACCATAAAATCTCTAGAAGAAAACCTAGGCAATACCATTCAGGATGTAGGTAAAGGCAAAGACTTCATGACTAAAACACCAAAAGCAATGGCAACAAAAGCCAAAATTGACAAATGGGATCTAATTAAACTAAAGAGCTTCTGCACGGCAAAAGAAACTATCATCAGAGTGAACAGGCAACCTACAGAATGGGAGAAAAATTTTGCCGTCTATCCATTTGACAAAGGGCTAATATCCAGAATCTACAAATAACTTAAACAAATTTACAAGAGAAAAACAAACCACCCCATCAAGAAGTGGGCAAAGGATGTGAACAGACACTTCTCAAAAGAAGACATTTATGCAGTCAACAAACATACGAAAAAATGCTCATCATCACTGGTCATTAGAGAAATGCAGATCAAAACCACAATGAGATACCATCTCATGCCAGTTAGAATGGTGATCATTAAAAAGTCAGGAAACAACAGATGCAGAGAAATAGAAATGCTTTTACACTGTTGGTTGGAGTATAAATTAGTTCAACCATTGTGGAAGACAGCGTGGCAAGTCCTCAAGGATCTAAACCAGAAATACCATTTGACACAGCAATCCCATTACTGGGTATATACACAAAGGATTATAAATCATTCTACTATAAAGACACATGCACACATATGTTTTTTTTGCCGCACTGTTCACAATAACAGACTTGGAACCAATCCAAATGTCCACCAATGATAAGCTGGATAGAGAAAATGTGGCACATATATATCGTGGAATACTTATGCAGCCATAAAAAAGGCTGAGTTCATGTCCTTTGCAGGGACATGGATGAAGCCGGAAACCATTATTCTTAGCAAACTATCATAAGAACAGAAAACCAAACACTGCATGTTCTCACTCATAAGTGGGTGTTGAACAATGACAACACATGGACACAGGAAGGGGAACATCACACACTGGGGTCTGTCAGGGGGTGGAGGGGATCTAGGGGAGGGATAGCATTAGGAGAAATGCCTAATGTAGATGACGGGATGATGGGTGCAGCAAACCACCATGGCATGTGTATACTTATGTAACAAACCTGCACATTCTGTGCATGTATCCCAGAAATTAAATAGATATATTTTAAAAAGTGCCTGAAACAGTAGATTTCAGTGTGGAATCAACTGGAACAGGAAGACTAAGTCTGTAATCATAAACAACAGGTGATATGAATACAGATCCATTTTAAGTCTAAATACATGACATAAATTTGAGGAAAAATGTTTTGTTGTTAGGATGTTATGAAATAAAATATAAATATAAAATTTAAACTTTAAAATTTAAAGTTTAATAATTGTATATGTTTAATAATTTAAAATTTAATAATTTTGAACATACACAAAAGTTTGATAATTGTATATGTTCCTGTAAGTTCCTTCTTTTGACAAGAAAAAACATTATATGCACTTTTTTTTTTTTTTTTTTTTGAGACGAAGTCTTGCTCTTGTTGCCCAGGCTGGAGTGCTGTGGTGCGATCTCGGCTCACTGCAAGCTCCGCCTCCTGGGTTCACGGCATTCTCCTGCCTCAGCCTCCCGAGTAGCTGGGACTACAGGCGCCCGCCACCACGCGTGGCTCATTTTTTTGTATTTTTAGTAGACGGGTTTTCACCATGTTAGCCAGGATGGTCTCAATCTCCTGACCTCGTGATCCACCCGCCTCGGTCTCCCAAAGTGCTGAGATTACAGGCGTGAGCCACCGCCCCTGGCCAATATGCACATCTTAAATGCAATTCTATTTCAACTCTATGTTCTCTTTGCCTGTAAGGAGACCTCAATTTTCTTTGGAGCCTATTTCCTAAATCAGATAAATATATTATATAAGAGAGGATATGATTTTAGTGATAACAGCAGTAAAATAAATATGTAATCATTACTTTCCTACACAATCAGGACACTTTCCAACAAGAAATATATTTATTTTTAATGCCACTAGGAAAGACAGCAGCTAGACATTACTGAAGTTTCTCAGTTTGGGGCCCTACTGTCCTTTATTCATAGTGTCCATTCCATACCAACCTCTTGATGTTACATATTTTGGGTACCTGCCAATGGCTGGGCTTTCTGAAACTTGGAATTTTCTTTTTCTATCTGGTTAGACTTGTGAAGGCAACTACCATATTCCCTATGATACAAATAATACCAAATATATTTTTAAAAATTCTCTATGCAATTGACTTCTTATAATTTATATTTCTCCATTTTTTTTGCATGCCCGTGTTACATTTAGTTGCTGTCAAATGTAAGTGATACTTAGTTTTTCTACTGCAATATGGAGAGTTTTGCAGAACGATTTTCACTTTTCAAAAGCCAAATTTTACTACAGAAGGCATTGTAATGACTTTAATTATGGTTTAAATACTTCAGAATTATTTCTAATGGTTGTGGGTATTTCAGAGTAAATAGCAGGAAGTATGTGTAGAATCCTCATGTTGGATAAAGAACTATGACTCTTTTTTAAATGCTTAGTAATAATCAGTAAAAATTATATGCATATATATGTGTGTGTGTGGGGGGGGTAAATTGCCCAGAATTAAAAATAATTTCTTTATCTACCTTATGTTTTCAAGACAATTTTAATAAATCTTTAATGTTACAAATTATCTTCACTTCCATTCAATATATTCATAATTTTATTGTGAAAGTTCCATTTATAAGTCTATTTCGGTATCTAAATGTAAAACTACAGGCATTTACGACTATTTGTTCAACCGAAGAGAAAAATACCCAGAGTACCTGTTCTCATGATGCTTGCACTCTATTCAGGCTAGAGAAACAAGAAAGAAAAAAATGCACTTACTAACAGAAGGATCTAGTAAGCTCCAGACTAAAAAATTTAAGGCACAATTTAATGGGAGCTCAAAGACTTAAATTCTCTCCAAAATTACATTATAATCTTTTGCTTGAGAACATAGATTTGAGGCTCTCAAAATCAACCTTTTATGAAGTAAAATATAATCATGTGACTCGGTTTCATTCACTAAAGAGTGAGCAGAAATTATGTATGCAATCTTCTAATCTAGCCCTTAAAAAAGTGAACAAAACTAAAGCCTACCATACTCTTGTTGTTTTCATCCTCTTTTTATCTTTTCACTAGCAAGGATGGAGAGGACCCCAGTAAGCTTGGAAACCACATATTGAAAATGGTGTCATGGTTCCACTCAGCCTAATACTCTGAGCAAAGATGTGGAGGAGTGTTAAACTGGCATGGTCATCATAGAGTGAACAAAATATAAATGTCTGCTGTGTTTGAGGCACTTACATATCAAGTATGTTTGATGTATCATTGCAGTTACCCAAGGTAGAGGGAGTGGTATTTTATACAGGGTGGTTAAAGAAGCCTCTCTAATAAAGAGAGGCTGAGAGAACTTAATGAAGGGAGAGACTCACTTATGTGTCTATAAAAAGCAGAGTGTTAACTGTCAGAGGGAGAAATTATTGCAAAGAAGTGGAGGCAGGAGTATTTTTGAGAAAGCACAAGGAGGCTAACATTACTGGAACAGTAGACACAGGTGGGAGAAAGTGAGGTCAGAAAAGTACCGTGTGGCCATATCATATTGAGCCTTGAAGGCTGTGATAAACTTTTAGGATTTTATTCTGCATAAGACAGAAAGGCAGAGATATAATACAATCTAATCCTATTTAGAAAATCATGAGTCCTGTGTTGATAATTAAATGTAGGCAGGTGCATGAACAATTTAAAGACCATTATGGTATTCTAATATAAGCACTTACTGTTATAATTTTCTTTCTGAACTCCACTTTAGTTGCATCCCATAAACCTTGATATGTTTGTTTTTCATTTAGTATAATCACAAAAGCAGTATCCTTTGAGACTTTTTCTTAGGTGTAGGCACTACATAGGGTTTTGTTGATTAATTGCTAAATGTCTAAGGGGATATGACAGATGCCTTTATGTCATTGATTTTGGTTTAATCTATAGTTATCTGGGGATGCCCTTTGTATGATATCTATTCCTTTAAATTGTTTAAGATTTGTTTTGTGGCCCAGAATATGGTCAATTTTGGTGCATATTTCATGTATACTTGATAAGAAATCTTATTCTGTTGTTAAGTGGGGTGATGTAGGAATTAGAGTCAAGTTTATAGATAGGTTTTTCAGGTCTGGTAGTTAGATAGGTAGACAGACTTTTCATATCTTAGCAATTTTCTGTCTATTCATTTGATCAATTACTGAAAGATGAAGGTTGAAGTCTCAACTTGATTATGGAGATTTCCTTTTTCCTTTGTATTCTATTAGATTTGCTTCATGTATTTTTGAAGCTCAGCATTTAAGTACATATGTTTTTAGGATTTTTAAGTTATTCTTGGAAAACTACTTTTTTTTATAATGTAATGTCCCTCTATATTATTAATAAAATTCCATGTTCTGAAGTCTACATCATCTTATATTAATAGGGGCACTCTAGCTTTCTTTAAATTAGTATGTGCATGGCATATTCATGAGAGGTTTGAGAAATTTGGGGCTTGATCAAGGAAAAGATATGACCATGACATGGCAGTTTATTTCATCACTCTTTGACAGGTTTGTATTTTATGTGGGATGGGAGGGGGGATCTCTTATGACAGAACATAAGTCTATCCAGAGGCTTAAGTGGGGTTGCTACAGAAAGGGAGGAGGGCTGGGAATTTTCCTAGGGGGAAGGGGTATCAAAGATGGGACTTATGTATCCAGATGATGTGACTCAGCCACATCCAGAGGGCAGCAGTGGTTTGGGGGTCTTTATGGCATAGGGCTTATCTATTGCTGGCAGATGTGGCATGACGTTTTACAAAGTATTCAAAATAAGCAGGCTCTAAATAGCTAAAAATTAGCTTGTTTGGGCTGTTTTAAAAATAACTGGATGTGTAAATATTTGTGTTTGGCACTGGCAGGCTCTTGAGCTAATGGGTTGCAGCCTGCAGCGAAGAAATAAACAACCTAGTGGCCAATGTTCAGAGGCCATTATTTTGCCACATTTATATAACAATCCATCCCTGGTTCTATGTTGTTTTATAATCTAAATTGTATTTTGTTTTGTAGGGCTTAGATGGAGCCAGTGACAAAGCATTTTCATAACCCAGAATTCCATACAAGATGGGGCACAAACTAGGATTTCGAAAGTATTCACAGCCAGTCTATTCACCTAATGGAGGTAGAATAGATTAGAAACAGAAATGACTTTTTGATTTGTTCCATCTGTTTAGTCAGCAGACTGATATGATAGTTCTGGTGCATGTCATTAGCTACCTATAAAACTTGGTGATTGTTGTTTTACTCACATGCAGCAAGATGTGTTAACAAGTACCCAGATCCTTTCTCATTTTGTTCTTGGGCTAGATCCTTAAGGACAGACTGGGCCTCAGGGTGAGAGAGAAGATGCATGTTTTCTCCTCCAAGGGAGAGTTGGTTTCTCCTTCTTAATCATTTTGTCTGTTTTGTTCTTATTGCCTTGTGGTGGACGACAGGCAAAAAGAGGGTAAATTTTCCCAGTCCCAATTGTGGTGACACCATGTTGCTCTTTTCTCTAGAGGGCAACAGTCCTCTTCTCCAGGGTCCTCCCCTCCACTTCATCTTCTCTAGGAGTTTGGGTTCTTTTCTTCTGTCTGGTTGGCATCCTGGGTCCTCCCCTCCACTTCATCTTCTCTAGGAGTTTGGGTTCTTTTCTTCTGTCTGGTTGGCATCCTGGTGAAAAGCTTCTGTGAGCAGGGCCCAGCACACATCTCTTGGTTTGTAGCATTCCTTCAGTAGGATAGCCACTTCCTTTGAAGTATTGAGAAAAGGAGGAATATAAACTTCCTTAATTTCATCTTTTAAATAATGCATTTCTCAGCTCAGTCCAAGGCTTTGGGTCTCAATATACTCCCCAGAAATCAACTAGAATGACACCATCTCCAGTAGTAGATCCAAGTAAGACAGCAGCATCGGCATGCTATCTGCTTACAAATGTGTGCCACTCCAGCTGCACTTAAGAAGCCAACCCTTGTCTGTCATCTATGCCTTGTAGGTTCATTTACCTGCCATTGTAGTCCCCAAGGAAAGGACTCCTCTCATTTCAGCCAAATTCAGCAAATTGCCAGCCTAGCCAAAGGAGCACCTCCTGACGTACCTTGTTACTGTGTCTAAGATGTCCCACCATTTGTCCAGAGGCGTGTATTCCTCCTTTTCTATTCAGGCTCATAAGTGCCTGTTGCCTGCCAAATTAGGAACCCATGAAACAAAATACACAGTGGGCAGTTTGAATTACTACAAAAAGCAGAGGTAAGAACACCAAGAAAATGAAATGTTGATGAAATTGGATAAATATATGAAATAACATTCCAGTAACAATAGTGATTAACATATAATAATAAGATTTCCTTGTAGGAAGTTTGTCAGGAAATTGTAGAAAGATTAATTTTTTTTATAGTAGTTTAATCAAATTACCTTAAAAATTCCCTACAACAGTGACTCTAGCAATTTGCAAACAATTTATATCAAACTTTGAATTATGTCATTAGTTAATAATTAAAAAATAAGCAATTGTAAATAACACACACTGAAAAAGAATGTGATTATTATCTCCAATTTATTGATTTCCTTAAAATGTTGGCACTATAGTGCTTTCTTTGGCCTTTTCTTCTTATGTTTGTAATACCTTATCATTTTATTTTATTTTATGTTTTTATTATTATTATACTTTAAGTTTTAGGGTACATGTGCACAATGTGCAGGTTAGTTACACATGTATACATGTGCCATGCTGGTGTGCTGCACCCATTAACTCGTCATTTAGCATTAGATATATATCTTAATGCTATCCCTCCCCCTCCCCCCACCCCACAACAGTCCCCAGAGTGTGATGTACCCCTTCCTGTGTCCATGTGTTCTCATTGTTCAATTCCCATCTATGAGTGAGAACACATGGTGTTTGGTTTTTTGTCCTTGCGATAGTTTACTGCGAATGATGATTTCCAATTTCATCCATGTCCCTACAAAGGACATGAACTCATCCTTTTTTATGGCTGCATAGTATTCCATGGTGTATATGTGCCACATTTTCTTAATCCAGTCTCTCATTGTTGGACATTTGGGTTGGTTCCAAGTCTTTGCTATTGTGAATAGTGCCGCAATAAACATACGTGTGCATGTGTCTTTATAGCAGCATGATTTAGAGTCCCTTGGGTATATACCCAGTAATGGGATGGCTGGGTCAAATGGTATTTCTAGTTCTAGATCCCTGAGGAATCGCCACACTGACTTCCACAGTGGTTGAACTAGTTTACAGTCCCACCAACAGTGTAAAAGTGTTCCTATTTCTCCACATCCTCTCCAGCACCTGTTGTTTCCTGACTTTTTAATGATCACCATTCTAACTGGTGTGAGATGGTATCTCATTGTGGTTTTGATTTGCATTTCTCTGATGGCCAGTGATGATGAGCATTTTTTCATGTGTCTTTTGGCTGCATAAATGTCTTCTTTTGAGAAGTGTCTGTTCATATCCTTCGCCGACTTTTTGATGGGGTTGTTTGTTTTTTTTCTTGTAAATTTGTTTGAGTTCATTGTAGTTTCTGGATATTAGCCCTTTGTCAGATAAGTAGGTTGTGAAAATTTTCTCCCATTTTGTAGGTTGCCTGTTGATTCTGATGGTAGTTTATTTTGCTGTGCAGAAGCTCTTTAGTTTAATTAAATCCATTAGTCAATTTTGGCTTTTGTTGCCATTGCTTTTGGTGTTTTAGACATGAAGTCCTTGCCCATGCCTATGTCCTGAATGGTAATGCCTAGGTTTTCTTCTAGGGTTTTTATGGTTTTAAGTCTAACGTTTAAGTCTTTAATCCATCTTGAATTAATTTTTGTATAAGGTGTAAGGAAGGGATCCAGTTTCAGCTTTCTACATATGGCTAGCCAGTTTTCCCAGCACCATGTATTAAATAGGGAATCCTTTCCCCATTGCTTGTTTTTCTCAGGTTTGTCAAAGATCAGATAGTTGTAGATATGCGGCGTTATTTCTGAGGGCTCTGTTCTGTTCCATTGATCTATATGTCTGTTTTGGTACCAGTAGCATGCTGTTTTGGTTACTGTAGCCTTGTAGTATAGTTTGAAGTCAGGTAGCATGATGCCTCCAGGTTTGTTCTTTTGGCTTAGGATTGTCTTGGCAATGCGGGCCCTTTTTTGGTTCCATATGAACTTTAAAGTAGTTTTTTCCAATTCTGTGAAGAAAGTCATTGGTAGCTTGATGGGGATGGCATTGAATCTATAAATTACCTTGGGCAGTATGGCCATTTTCATATTGATTCTTCCTACCCATGAGCATGGACTGTTCTTCCATTTGTTTGTATCCTCTTTTATTTCATTGAGCAGTGGTTTGTAGTTCTCCTTGAAGAGGTCCTTGATGTCCCTTATAAGTTGGATTCCTAGGTATTTTATTCTCTTTGAAGCAATTGTGAATGGGAGTTCACTCATGATTTGGCTCTCTGTTTCATTTTATAATAAACAAACGTTTCTTTTACGATTGAAAAATTCAGAGAGATACAAAATTTGAAGTAATCACACCTTATTAACTTAAAAATATACCATATATAAAAAACTAATACACAAAAAATTATTAAAACTGATAAATTTAGTAAAGTTACAGGATACAAAATCAACAAACAAAAATAAGTACCAGTCCTATATACTAACAGCAATCTATATGAAAAAGAATCAAGAAAGAAATCCCAATTACAATAGTTACAAAAATACTTAGAAATAAGTATGGCTAAAGAAGTAAAATATATTTATAAGAAAAAACTAGAAAACACTGATGAAAATAATTTAAGAGGACACACACAAAATGGAAAAATATCCTATGTTCAACGATTTAAAGAATTAATACTTTTAAAATGTTTATACTCCCCAAAGCTACCTCCAGATTTGTTTAAAGAACCACATAAGATCTCACACAGCTAAAGTAATCCTGAGCAAAAAGAACAAAGCTGGAGGTATCACACCATCTGATTTGAAATTACACTACAAAGCTGTAGTAGTTAAAATCACATGGTACTGGAATAAGAAAAAAAAATAAACTAATGAAATAGAATAGAGAACCCAGAAATATATCTATGCTCTTACAGTAAACTCATTTTTGACAAAGGTGCCAACAACATACCTTGGAGAAAGGACAGCATCTTTAATAAATGGTGATAGGACAACTGGATACTCCTATGGAAAAGAATGAAACTAGATCCATATTTTTCACTGTATTAAAAATCAACTAAAATCAATTAAAGATTTTAATGTAAGACATAATCCTAGGCCGGGTGCGGTGGCTCACGCCTGTAATCCCAGCACTTTGGGAGGCCGAGGTAGGCGGATCATGAGGTCAGGCGATTAAGACCATCCTGGCTAACACGGTGAAACCCCGTCTCTACTAAAAATACAAAAAAAATTAGCTGGGCGTGGTGGTGGGCGCCTGTAGTCCCAGCTACTAGGGAGGCTGAGGCAGGAGAATGCGTGAACCCGGGAGGCAAAGCTTGCAGTGAGCCGAGATGGCGCCACTGCACTCCAGCCTGGGCGACAGACCGAGACTCCGTCTCAAAAAAAAAAAAAAAAAAAAAAAAAAAAAGGCATAATCCTAGAAAACTACTAGAAGTAAACATTGAGAAAACACTACAGGACATTGATCTGGGCAAAGATTTTTGGGGTAAGTTCTCAAAAGCACAAACGAAAAAAGCAAAAATAGACAAACAGGGTTTCATCAAGTTGAAAAGCTTCTGAACAAAAATGAAACAATTAGCAAAGTGAAGAGACAACCTAGAGGATAGGAGAAAATATTAGAAACTACCTATTTGAAAAGAGATTAATAAACAGAATATAAAAGGAACTCAGGCAACTCAATAGCAAAACAACCAAATAACCCAGTTAAAAAACAGGCAAGGGACATAAACAGACATTTCTCAAATGAATGCATACGAATAGCCAACAAGTAAATGGAAAAATGCTCAACATTATTTATCATCAGGGAAATGCAAATCTAAACCACAATGTGATATCATCTTATCTCAGTTAGAATGGCTATTGTCAAAAAGATTTTTTTTAAATGACAAATGCTGGCAAGGATGTGAAGAAGAAATAGCAATGCTCTTACACTCTTGGTGGGAATGTAAGTAAAAGAGATACTATGGAAAACAGTATAGAGGTTTCTCAAAAGACTAAAAATAGAACTACCATATGATCCAGAAATCCCATTCCTGGGTATATATCCAAAAGAAAGGAAATCAATATATTATAGACAGTTGCTCTCCCATGTGTATTGCAGCACTATTCACAATAGTCAAAATATGGAATTGAACTAAGTGTCCATCAATAAATGAATGGATAAAGAACACACAGTATATATACAAAATTTAATTTTATTCAGCTATAAAAAATAATAAAATTCTGTCCTTTGCAGCAACATTGATGGAACTGGAGGACATCATGTTAAGTGAAATAAGATAAGCTCAGAAAGACAAATATCTCATGCTGTCACTCATATGTGGGAGCTAAAAAAAGTAGATATCATGGAGGCAGAGAGTAGAATGGTGGCTACCAGAGGCTGTGAGAGGAAGGGAGGATAAAGAGAAGTTGGTTACTGGGTACAAAAATATGCTTAGATGGCATAAATATGTTCTAGTATTCAACACTACAGTAGGAAAATTAAAGTTAGTAAAAATTTATTGTATATTTAAAAGCAGCTAGAAGAATTGTAATGTTCCCAACACAAAGAAAAGATAAATGTTTGAGGTGATGCATATCCTAATTACCCTTATTTCATCATTATACATTGTATACACATATCAAAATAGTACGTGTAACACCCAAATATGTACAACTATGATATATCCATTAAAAATAAAGTCAAATACAGACACACACACACACACACACACACACACACACACATATATATATCATATATTATGTATTGTTTGAGTATTATCCCCAAAGAATGTACTTTTACTTAAAAGGGTAAGTAAAGTAAATTATATACAAGTTCTCTTGAATTTAATAAATCCTTTGCAAATGTGAGTCTTCAACCAAAGTTAGTAAAACTTTATACCATACTTGCTTTGTACCAGGAGCCATTATAAGTATTTAATATTTACAACAACCCTGTGATGTAGACACTATTTTTTCCCTGCTACACAGATGATTAAATGGAGTAAATGGAGGCATAGAGAATTAGAATAACTTGCTCAGTCATGCAGTTACTGAACACTAGTTATGTCTTAGGAGCCAAATTTGAGAATGTATGGTTTTAATCCACTCTTCCAAACTATCTCCCTATAACAAACATATCGATTGCAAACATTTCTATTATTATTTAGAAATTTATACAATAATTTCATATAAATGACATCTTTTAATTCTTACTACTACATTGCTTTATTCACTCTAAAATAATAATGTGATTTTGAATGTCTACTATTGCTACTTAATGTGCTGTTGCTCCAGAGTATTAAAATCTACGGCTAATAGCCATACAACCTTGCAGATATTTGAGGTATTTGCAATATTATAAACCATATTCAGAATATTCTGAAGGCAAATAGAATTTTCTCCACTTTATAAATAAGAAGCCTGAGTCTCAGAGTGTTTAGAACATTTTCTGAAATCATGCAGACAATATATTAAGTGGGATTGCTGAGATTTGAACTGAGTATTTGTGAAACTGGTTTCAGTCTTTGCACTGTATCTCAAAATTATCCAAGTTTTTATCCTTTTTAAAAGATACTCCATTAAAGATTTTCATTGTTCATCAGTGCTCTCAGAACTTGCTCAAGGAAAAACATAACTGTAATAATCAAATATAAATTCCAGGAGTAATCATCTCCTTTATATCATCCTCTCTCTTCCCTCCACCATAAAGGTGTGGTCCAGAATGTATTACATACATAGCAATTTAAAAATTATGCTATATTTCCTCACCTTTACTCCAATTTCACTTTAAGATAATGCTGATGCATTCTGCAGGTGCAGATATCATATTACGTGTTTAGTAGTGAGAACCAATCTCTACCTAAAGGTAAGTCCTTGAGAAGTTGTTGATAATGTGTTTTTTATTATGAACACTTTTGTGCTAAGTATATGAATCTTGAACATTTTAGAATTTGCTTCCAACTTGGTGTTTTATTTATTTATTTGTAAAATTGTATGCCACTCAGAGCATAAAAAGAATGATTAAATATCAATTTGAGCCAGTTCTAGCCAGTGGTGCATTCTTCTATCACAGTGTGCAACCATGTGCAACTATGAATCTTGGGTAAGAGCTCCCAGAGAACATTTGATGATTGAATTTGTGCTTATCAGATTGAAGTTTGAAAAATTTAGTGCTAGTAGATTGATTTTTTTTCCAAAAAGCACATGTAGATATATTAGAGGCCAAGTTGGAACCAAACACATTAAAAAATAGCTTTAGAGGCAAAACTCACTATTTACAGGTCATAAAACATCTGGTTCTTTAAAATCTTAAGCAAATGCCTTGATATATATGAAATTTGTACAAGTGAAATATGTGCATTTATATATGTGCTAATTTTCTTCTGAAAATACTGTGCTGTTTCACTTTATTAAAATAAGAAGAAAGAGAAAGAAAGAGAGAAAGAGAGAAAAAGAGAGAAAGAGAAAAAGAGAGAGAGGGAGAGAGGGAGCGACAAATGAAGGAAGGAAGGAAGGAAGGAAGGAAGGAAGGAAGGAAGGAAAAAAAAAAGAGAGAAAGAGAAGTCATAGCTAGATGTCCGAAAAATAAAATCAGGGAAAATATAATTTGGATTTTCACAGATAAAGAAGAACTGAATTCCTGATTACTTTCTTTCTTTCTTTCTTTCTTTCTTTCTTTTTTTTGAGACGGAGTCTCGCTCTGTTGCCCAGGCTGGAGGGCAGTGGCGTGATCTCGCCTCACTGCAAGCTCCGCCTCCCGGGTTCACGCCATTCTCTTGCCTCAGCCTCCCTGGTAGCTGGGACTACAGGCGCCCGCCACCCTGCCCGGCTAATTTTTTTTGTATTTTTAGTAGAGACGGGGTTTCACCGTGTTAGCCAGGATGGTCTTGATCTCCTGACCTCGTGATCCGCCTACCTCGGCCTCCCGAAGTGCTGGGATTACAGGCATGAGCCACCACACCGGGCCTCCTGATAAATTTCTAGTGCAACATAATGAAGTTAAAAATATGAATTCGAAAGACAAACTACCCAATTATTAAGCCCTGCTCAACTACTTACTAGCTATATAATTTAGACAATATTCTCTTTACCATTCTATAAAATGAACCTAATAAATATTTCTACCTTATATTTTAATAAAGATTAATGAAAATATATGTAAAAGGCACTTTTACACTTCTTGGCATATAATTAACAGTATAGAATTATTTTCCTTGGTAACTGTCTTTTGTCATGTGGCTTGAAGCTACAAATTCTACCCTAAATTTTCATGGCTCAGAGTTATTTGAGAAAAAGAAAAATATATGTGATTCTTTAAAATAAACGAGTCAACAGTATAGGGTGCCACTGCTTTTATTCAACATTGTACAATAGATAGTAGCCAGTAGAGTACGACAAAAAAAAATTAAAGGTGCATAAGGATTGCAGAGAAACAAACTGATTCACAGGTGATACAGATTTAAAGTCAGTATTACATATTCAACTCCAAATATATGTATCAATATATGCAGTTAGAAATTTAAATACATCTTAAAATATTATTTATAATAAATAATAAAATTTAAGGTATGCAGGAATAAGCCTAACATATTTGCCAGACCTACTGCACATAATTAGAAACATTTTTGAAAGACGTTTATGGAAACCTAAATATTCACGAATGTGAAGAGGAAATACTAAAAATATATCAATTCTATTCAAATATAGTACAAGATGAAAGCATTTCCAAACAAAAATCCAAAGTATTTTGTGAGACACTTTTCAAGTTTATTGTAATATTTATATATGTAGAAAAGACCTCAAAATAGCTAACACATTCTTGAAGGGGAGGGATTTCATAGGGTACTTTACTAAAAATCAACTTACTTAAACATGTTACTAACTGTTAAAGATGATCAAAAAATGTTTTGCTTTTGATATGGGAAGAACAGGAATGTAAATTCACTTTATTGCCCTGGAGATATATATGTTCAGCTCTCACAGGATTCTTCATCACTTTGGTACATTCAAGTAATGAAAACATGTTAATTGGACTTGGTAAACAGAAATTAGTAGACAGATTAGATGCCTATATATGGACCAAAGTGTGGATTGTTTGAAGTAAAACAGTCTGGGGCATGTGGTAAGAACAAAGTCGCCATGCGTTGCACTCTCTATCATAAGAAAGCTTTTGGTGAGCCTTAGATTTTGGAGATAGGTTACGCCAAACTAAGGGATACTCTTTCAACCTACTTATCATGTAACTAAAAAGTGGGACCCAGAGTAAAAGAGGCCTCTGTAGAAAGTTTAGGTTTCAGTACAAGATGTCTTCTCTCTGTGCCATACCTTCCAGGAAACTGATGGTGTCAGAGATATCACAATTGTAAAAGATGCTGTGTACATATGTCTCTGGTAATCCCAATAGCAGAGTTCCAGGAAGGTTATAGAGAAAGGCAATGCCATCTGTGACAGACCCCTGGTGTGCTAGTGGGTATTAGTAGACTGAGTTCCTAAACATGGGACCTGCATTTACCATGTTGAGTAGGGTATTACTTTATCTACTGCAAAAAGCCACAAGAACAAAGAAGGAATTCGTTGTTCAGTGGAAATGGCATGATGAGAATTGGACTTGAGTAGTTCAAGACGGTGTGTGTAAAATTACATGATTAGGTGGCCTGAACTTTTGTGATGTTTATTCATGCTGTATTAACATCTCTCCAACTCATACCTATGATTTATTGGAACTTTTCTCCACCTGGCCAGCTTCCTAGATGGCCATATTCTATGGCTAGCTAAAAACAGATGTCTGCTGAACTTTAGTTAGGAGTGGTCCTAAAGGACAGTGTGAAAAGAAACTGCTCCCAGCACAACTGTGAACAATATATTTATTACTAAATTCATAGGGATTAAGAACTGCTCTGGAGTATGGCTAATGCTGAATACATTGACTGGGTTTTTCAGGGGCAAAAAAAAAAAAACGATGAATGAGGGCAAGCAAATTCTGGGAAAGAGACATCTGGAAAGAGGCATCTATAGGTATTGCAGAGTTTCAATATTTTTACCCATAAATCCTTTGCATCCATCAAACCACAAAGGCAGCACTCAAGAGAAAAGTGGAAAGGGTGATGCACCCTCCTTCTTTGGTCACACCAGTGATTGCATGATGGGCCTATGAAAGTTGTGGCCATGGCCGCAGTGATGGAGGCTTTACATGGGCCCAGTAGTCTCATCTAGACTGTCAAACTACTCCAACTACTCAGTGTCCAGCCACTGAGCAGCAGAGACTGATTCTGAGAAGCACCATCATTCAGAATGACTATCCTGCTTCTTTAAGGTAAGGAGATTATATCTGACTCCTTCTAGAGATTTTTCCTTTATAGCTAATACAGTTGTGAGTTTGCCCTCCATTGCCACAGTACTGGTGTTGGCACTTTTATTTAAGGGCTTACACATGCCCTGTGTATTGCTGTGATATACCATATAAAATTGCCTCAGGTTAAACTTCATATTTCAGCGAAGAAGGTTCAATATAGATGAATGATGATGGAATCCAGAAGAATCAGGAACTGGACTTAAAAACATGGTGGTATAGACTGGTAGTGTTCAGCTAAAACTTAATAACCTATAGGCAGGGGTGCTGACCTCTAGGATGGAGATATATGAGCTGAATCAATAGCTAATATATGGTCATATATTACCAAAATCTATAGGACATTGAGCCAAGAGCCAAAGGGAAATGTATGATTAGGCCTTTTCTCTATCATTCCTGCTAACCCATGTGCAGATTTTTGCTTCAAAACTATAGGCTCCATTTGATTAAAAATCTTGGTCCAGTGGCTCAGTGGAAAAATAAAACCAAACCAAAACAATTATTTTATGTGTATAAGTAATTGATAATTGTCGTGATAAGCATGAAAAGTTACTCTTGTGACTATAAAATGAGACTGGGTATGTGTGTGGAGTTCACTTGGCCTGTTCCCTGGAGTACTTCCCTGACTGATGATAGCGGCAACCGGACAATTTTAGCAACCACATTGCAACAAGAGCAAGTTAACCAAAGTCTCAAACTCTTTGGGGAGAGTGACATGGGTCATGTCACAAAGCAGTCAGCCTTGACTAGCCAAAATTCTAACAAAGCACAAATGAAATCTAGAATTAGTGATAAAGGAGAGAGGTGATGAATAGCAGTTATGTCCTCAAGGTGAGTGACTGGAGCATAGAATGTTGCTTGTTTTGCAAACTGTCTTGTATCTTTGTAAACAAATAATGTGCCTTGCCACCCCTGGTGATATATTGGATTTCACAGAAGGCATGAGTAAATCTGAATGATGCAAAAAGTAAACTGTATTGGATACCTGTTGTGTGTGTGCTGCTTTCTTCAGATTCTTTTCCTTTGTTGTTATTTTAGTCACTGCTATAACAAATAATTTTAAACAGACTTCTGCCACTTTTGCTCAGGTGCAATCTATGTGCTTTGCTAAATATAGCTTCAATGATGTCTGGCTTCTTACCTTGGGGCTAACCTTTGAGTTACCCATGGGAACCATTTTGCCATTCCTTCATGTGTAGCTTGTGTGGAATGGTTACTCCTATAGGGCAACCCTTGACCAATAACTACGGAAGCTGAGGGACAAGTGCTTTCTCCTTTCTTCCCATTGGCAGAGAGTTATTTTATATATATATATACACACACACACACACACGCGTGCACACACACACTAATGCTTCTCAGAAGTTCCTGGAGATAAAATAGCCAATTAAGTATGGGTGGCAAACTCAGTAACTCATTTCTCTATTGGCTTTACTTTCTCTGCTTCATTCCCTCTGTTCTTCATTCCTATTCCCTGAGTTATCTTCTCAAGGAAACTTTTTGAAAAGGAGCCCTGTTCTTAGTTTCTACTCTTACAGACAAGGTAACACCCTAATACGATAACATTTTGCCAAGCCACCAGTTGAATGAACATAGAGAAAACTAACAATTTATGTTTTTAGTGTCTTAAGCTTAACATTTATTTGGTGATTCAAATATTATTTATTAATTAAAGGTATGTGTATATGTGCACATATATTTTTATATAGGTATGTGTATATGTATGTGTACTTGTTCTCTGTCTCTCTCGCACACACACACACACACACACACACAAAGCTTTTAGCTACTGGTTTAGAGGAAAAGGTTTAAAAATAAAATCAGAAGAATTTATGCCCCTAGAAATGTATAAGAAATCTGATCCAATACATAAAATTTTAATTTAGGAATAGGAAATTGAGAGTGATAGACATTTTCCTAACTTTTAAAAATGTGTACTATGTTTATATTTCTTTAGGCATGTTCACCTGCAGTCTTTAGTCTACGTAATAATCTATTTTAAATATTATTTGCATGCATTTATGTTAGATCTAGTAAAGGTTTTGTCAGCTTAAAATCATATATATAATTAGCATTGCATTTTTTCTCCTTCATGATACTTTGATTATGTTCATCATACTGAAGCACATTTAAAGTCCAGAAATTAATCTTGGTCACACATTTTTGGTCATAATTTTATTTATAATTTACAAATGAAAAATAAAAAAATCTTATAGTGCATAACTGTAAAATGTCAAATTTGGCAGTCTAATGGATCAGAAAATATAAAGGGATCTTACTTGTTCAGTATCATAGAAAAAATTATGAATTTTACATATTTTTCCAGACAATATAATTTATTTTCAGTACAAAATAATCTTAACATATCCATATCAATTATTATTTTAAAAATTAGTTGATTTTTTAACATTTATTAAAGAAAGTATTTCAAACATAGTTTAAGCTTTTCAGGTTTTCTTCATTTGAAACATCTATTTTTCCATCACCTTCAACCTCATTATCATCATTTAATTCAGACCATAAATGACTAAAACATCATGTATAATTTTCCTTGTTCATTTCTCTTTGTCTACCATCTTTAATATTTCTCATCCTCAAAGTCATATAATATATGCAGCTCATTAAATTTTGTATTCAATACAATTATGTTTTGCATTGCTTTTGGTATTTTATGTATATTAATTTTGACTTTTCAACATACAACCACATAATAAACTCTTAAAGGCAAAAGTAATATCTTTCATTATTTAATAGGTACTCTATTTTTAAATCTTGGAACAATACTGAATGTATCTTTTGAAAAATAAGCATTTTTATGTTTAACTTAATTACAGTCATAAAAAATACTTTTCTGTATTATACTAGCTTCATATGTGTAGTTTCAAACTTTCTAAAGCCAGAAAACCCTTTGATCAAATGAAACTTACCTTTAAACAGGACAATTATAAGCATAACTGCTCCAGTTGAAATGGGTTAAGGGTAGCAAAGTCATACAAATGTCTCTTGCTTTCAGTCAGCTGGCCTGAGATGTGTATTGAGTTTCAAAATGTTTTTTCTATAATATGTAGTCTTATTAAATTCATATAATGGCTTATTAAGTATTTTAGAATTGAAATAACCATATAAAGTATTTCCTATGATTAGTATTTATGATTTACCACTTATAATGCATAACAACTGTATTTCAACTATATTTTAAGATATGTTTTGGATAATCAGGGGGATTAGAAACAGAAAATCATCAATCCTACCAACATTTATTAAGCACCTTCTACATGCTTTATAGGCTCTGGAATACAGCAGTAAAGAGAACAAAATATCCCAGTCTTTAGTCTCAGGGATTTTGCATTTTGGAGGAGAAAACAAGCACAACACACATGATATCAGGGGTAGTTAGGGCGACAAAGGAAAAATGAAGTGAGGTAAAACAGGTACAGAGAGATGGAGAAGATGAAGCTGTTACTATTTTTAATAAGATAATTAAGTGAAGATTTTCTGTAAAGATGAATTTGTGTGGAAATTTGAAGATACTGACTTAAAATGTTGCCTGCTTATGTTGGAAGCTGCTTTATTTCTGTTTTATGCATTATTGCCTGCTATGTTATAGGTTTAGTGGAGGCGGTTTTATTATAATCATAGCTTAAATGCTTTCAAAGTTCCCCTTGATTCCAGTCTGATTCCATGTTCAAGTGATAAAATACTCCAGACTCATGAATATCCACTTAACGTGTTTTAGAAAGATATGTGAAAGCTATAAAGCACCAGGGTTCTTATAGAGGGATTACTGTGTAAAGCTTCAGGATTGAAATGTAGCATATTTCATTCCTTATTTGTTCAATGAAATGAAAAATTGTATAATAAAGTGGTCCTAACTATGTGTGACGAGTATACATCAAACTGTTTTCTTTTGTTATGAAATTAGAGTAAGAACTTAGTGTTTATGTGTAGTAGGCCATCCGCTCAAGGGTCCCATGATTTGTCACCATCACACGATGCAGTATAGAAGTTGAACATTACCAGCTTGAAGCCATGCTCAAACATAATGACAGTGGTTTATGTTTATAAATAATCCTTCTCTTAGCAATTCAAAGTCCTTCATATATCTTTCTCATGTGTTCATACAACTGTAATGAAAATTTAAGAGACTGCTAACCACTCTCTTTTCTCCCAGAGACTAAAAGTAAGGCACAGTCAGGTTAGCCTCATTGCCTCAGGTAAGTCAACCACTTAGCAGCAGAGCTGAGAATAGAACTCAGCCTTCTGACTTTTTCCAAGGAGCAAGTTTCAAAACCTTGCTTCACTGGAAGAAGTTTGTGCTTTTTGTCATTCCCAGTGGCAGAAAGGTAAAAATAAAAGATTGCCTATGTCAAAATCTTGCTACCTTTACAAAGGTTAGCTTTCTCGTGGTTCAAAAAATAGGCTTTAATATTTTTTCTTTTTTTAAAATGAATCCAGAAACTATAAGAAAGTCTTGGCAAATCATGGAACTAGACTCTTCTTTTTATTTCTAATATATCAGTGTCAATATTTTTAATAGAGTCTACATGGCATTACCCTAGTCATTATTCATTTAAAAATACCAAAACAAACAAACTTGCTAATCCAATCTGTAAAATGGCCATGAGTTTAATTTTGCAAATGTTATTGAGATCTATTTAGTAAGAGTGGGATATCCATCAAGAGTCATAATGATATTTATAAAATATGTATAGCTGCCTAGTCTACTTAAAAGGAACATCCAGCACAATCAGGGCAATAACTACCTTTTTATAAAACATTATTACTGGCCGGGCGCGGTGGCTCACGCCTGTAATCCCAGCACTTTGGGAGGCCGAGGCGGGCGGATTACGAGGTCAGGAGATCGAGACCATCCCGGCTAAAACGGTGAAACCCCGTCTCTACTAAAAATACAAAAAATTAGCCGGGCGTAGTGGCGGGCGCCTGTAGTCCCAGCTACTTGGGAGGCTGAGGCGGGAGAATGGCGTGAACCCGGGAGGCGGAGCTTGCAGTGAGCCGAGATCCCGCCACTGCACTCCAGCCTGGGCGACAGAGCGAGACTCGGTCTCAAAAAAAAAAAAAAAAAAAAAAAAAAAACATTATTACTGTTCTATTAGTGCTATAAACAAAGTATTGTGCTACTCCAGTGAAATGAACATTATTCACCAATTGGAACCAGCAAAGATTCCATGAAATGCTAATTGAAACTTGGATTTTGATGGGCATATATGAGGGATAGTAGGGAACTTCAAGAAAAAAAGCGTGGTGTGCAATCTGCCACAAAAATGGGATGAACCCTAGCAATTGTTGCTGTCAGCAAGATGTCTAGGTGATGACTACTACTTTCTTCTCTTGCTTTGGCCTGCTAACTGGTTCTGCTGCCTTCTTGAGAGCACACACCTTGAACTGCTGCTGGCTGGCTATGATGCTCATCAGCTCATGTTGGGCTTGCACTTTGAGCACTATTCCCTTGTGCTGCTTTGTGCTGCATATGCTGAGTCTTAACAATTCTCTGTTACAGATTTAACTGATCAAAGTCAGGAGTTTCAATAATTGGTGTGTAGGGATAGGGATATGTGATTTGGGCCCTTCTTAAAGTGGTCCTGTGTTGTCTGTATCTGCCTCTACTTATCTTTATGTCTCACATTGAATTGTGTGTTCTCATTCCAGCATAAGGAATACCTGACACTAGCCTCAATGAATGATGTTTATTCTGTGAGTATTAGATGCGTATCTAAACCAGTTATTGGACTCTATTCTGTACAGCACTCAGGAGAAAGAATGATGTACTATGCAACATGTGGGTTCATCAGGTGCTCACTTATATATGGGAAAAGTGTCACCATGTGGTCAGTGTGAGAGCCACATTCCTAAAAGCAGCTGAATCACTAGGACCCTATAAAATGTATTTGCTGTTTCTGCTGCCAAACACAATATGTGGCATTCAAACTTCTTGGGATTTCCTAGAAATACGTAAGTTCAAAGAATGACTGAATATAAGGGTGCATATGAAGGTGGAGTGCACAATAAAAGTAATAACAGGGATGAAAGGAGAAGTTACCATCCATGGTAAATAGTGTGCCAGACACTGGAAACTAGTATAAGATCATTGAAAATCCTGCAAGCTAGACTAAGGGTTTAAGATATTACTAGGAAATGTTGAGCTGTTGAAATGTTCTGAAGAGAAGTGAGTTTTAGAAACATTATGTTGTTGTGTTGGCATACTATATTTGGGTCTCCAATCAATCAACCAACCAATCCGTTTTTAACAGGAATAAAAAAATCTTGCCAAATTTAGAATCATTGTTTTACTCTACCTGGCATAGTAGTTACACAGAAATTTTGACAATCTGTCTGAATTAAAATTCAGGCTCCGCTGATCACTATTGTGTGACCTCGGGAAAGTTACTTTATCTCCCTGCTCTCAGGTTTTATCATTTTTAAGATGGGGATAGTTATTACACCTGCCTCTTATGACAATGGTGACAATTAATTGATTTAATATATTTAAGACATTTATAATATGTCTTATAAAATACATTTATAACTGTGTCTTACATATAGTAATCACTGGTAAAAAGGTAGTCACTTAAAAATATTTAATAAGTAATATCCATTCAACAAATATTTATTGAGTGCATATCTTTTAGGTACCGTTTTAAGTTCTCACAATATGGTAGTGAACAAACTGATGAAACAAACAATAGAAACACAAAACTACCTTCACGTACTGTTTCAAAATAGTTGTATTTTGGAGCATTTGGGAGGTTTGAGAAAATACAGGAGAATTTCGAGTTAAAGCCTCATCATAGACTTTTGCTGACACGTTGAGCTGCTCAGCCCCCAGACTTTTTTCCTCTTGAGAGGAGTGCCCAGTGTGTGGGTCTTTGCAGGAGACCTACTATGAAGTTTGGATGTTTCTATATATTCCTCCTTTCTCCTCTCTGGCAGCTGAAGCACTGTTTCTCTCAGTATGATGCTCTCACCAGGAATAAAAAGCCATACATTTGAAGATTATTTACTCAGCAGGCAGTGCAGTTAAGAGTCCAGTGGTGCCCGCAGTAGCGGTAGTTCAATGTTAGCAGGGCTGGTGGCAGCACCGTGTGCATGACAAGACAAGACACTGATTGTTTTATTAGCTGGTTGCCGCTCCCTTTCCTGTCTTTCAGATGGAATCAGTTTCATTTTCTCCAAATGTTAACATACAAACAAGCAAATAAGTATATAAAAATTGAGGCTACACTTTAGCTACCTCGAGTCCAATGGTCCATAGCCTTGTAGCCAAAAATTGTTATCCTGATTTCCCTGAAACACTAGCTTTTACAATAAACAAAACATGAAATGTAAGCTTTTTGTCTTTGTCAGCATAATTCAGTGAAATTAAACCAGTCAGCTACAGACAAATCAGCATAGACAGCTGTACTTTCCCTAAAAGGAATATATGTTTATAATAGCCAGTCACAGTGAAGATCCATGTACTTCTTCATTTATGCTTTATAAGCTGCAC
Source organism: Homo sapiens (assembly GCF_000001405.40). NCBI lineage: Eukaryota > Metazoa > Chordata > Mammalia > Primates > Hominidae > Homo > Homo sapiens. The sequence continues at coordinate 102,628,110 of NC_000001.11, read as the reverse complement.
TAAAACTGCTGAGAGAAGAGCTGTTTCGCATTTCTGGTTTGAAATCTTCCAGTTTGTGAACTGTTTTTTTGCATGCATAATAAACTATAACATTTTTCTAACTTTGATCTGATTTTAGTTTTGACACAACCAAGGACCTTAACTTGCCTAAGGCTTTGATGGTAGTCAAATCACTCATTATAAAACAGCTACTAGAGTGAAGTCAGAAGGAGGCTTTAATTCATTCAACCAAAATATATAAGCAGCTTCTCTGAGCCAATCACCATAATTGAGCAAAAACAGATATCATCTCTGCCTTCTTTAATCAAATATCATACATATAAATGTAAAATTACAGCTATAATAACTCTTTAGAAGAAGAGGCACATTATACATGATTACTTAAAGCAGGAAGATTTGACCTGATCAAGGATGTGAGGGCAGGCCTTTCTGAGATTTTGACAACTGACTGGAAATCTAATGGTTCTATCATTAGCCAAAAGAAGGCAAGATAATGGTACTCCATTGACAGGGCACTGTCTACAGATCATAGTGATTTACAGAGTGAGACTAGAGAAATAAGTGTGCACTGTATTCAGGAGCCAGTGGATTTGGTGCAAGATATTTTGGCCAAAGTAATCACTTTCCTCTAATTCAGGCAAGAGTTGATAGCAGCTCAAGTTATACATTGAAAGTCATGGCAAAAACTGGAATTACTTTTGCACTAACCTAATTCTTTTGGCATTAGAAAGAAACAGAAAGATTTGAGATAAATTTAGAAGAAAAGCATTTAGAGAATTTGGTTCTGGCTTAGATGTGAAGATAAAGAGGAGGGACATATTCAGATCGCTTGTTTGTTTCTGGCTTACCTAGGGTAGCAAGTCATCTGAATTCAACTGAACACAGAAGTATGCACTTGTTTGTTCGTAGTGATGTTAATCACTGAAAGAACAGTCATGGAAAACACCACTTTTTGGTTAATGATCATTATTTTAGTAATGGGCTTGTTGAGTTTCAGGATCTTATAGGTATTCCAAGTTTATCAAATAAGTAGTTGTATTTATTAATCTGGTTGTCAAAAAGAGCTCTAGTTTGAAGATACAATTTTATCAATTGTATGGGTCTAATTTAAGAAATAAGTGTGTGTGAGGCAGCCTAGGGAAATAATTTTGAATGAGAAAACAAAAGAGGCTAAGATAGCAAGTGCTGGCCAGGATATATAGGAAAGAGAACCCTTGTGTGCTATTGGTGGCAATGTAATTAATACAGCCACTATGGAAAACAGTATGAATATTCTTCAGAGAACTAAACATAGGATTGCTGTATGATCCAGTAATCTTATTTCTGGATGTATATCCACAGGAATTGAAACTAGTATGCAGAAGAGACTGTATGTAGTATGCAGAGAGCCTGTACTCTCACTTTCATTGCAGCATTATTTACAATAGCTAAGAAATGAATACAGCCTAGGTGTCCATCTTCAGATTAATGGATTTAAAAAACATGTTATACTTATATACAGTGGAATACTGTTCAGCCTTCAAAAGGAAGGAAATTCTGTCATTTAGGACAAAATGGATAAACCTAGAGTACATTCTGCTATGTGAAATAAGCCGGACACAGGAAGGCAAATACTGCATGTTCTCACTTATATGTGCAATCTAAAGCAATTGAACGCATAGAAGTCAAGAGTAGAATGATGGTAACAAGATCCTGGAGGAGAGGGGAAGAAAATGTTAATCAGAGCATACAAAGTTTCAATTAGACAAAGAGGAATAAGACCAGGCACAGTGGCTCAGACTTGTAATCCCAGCACTTTGGGAGGCTGAGCTGGGAACCCAGGAGTTTGAGACTAGCCTGGGCAATATAGTGAGACCCCATCTCTGCAAAAACAAAAATACATTGTTTGGGTCTGGTGGTGCACACCTGTAGTCCTAGCTATGTGAGATGCTGAGGTGGGAAGATGACTTGAGCTCAGGAGGTCCAGGCGGCGGTGAGCCATGATTGTGCCACTGTACTCCAGCCTGGGCAACAGAGTGATATTGTCAAAAAAAAAAAAAATGACAAAGAGGAATAAGCTTCAGTAATCTATGGTACAAAATGGTGACTGCAATAAATAATAATGCCTTGTATGTTTCAAAATTTCTAAAAGAGTAGATTTTACATTTATTTCACTACAACAAAAAAAATAAGTATGTGAAGTGATGAATTTGTTGATTAGCCTGATTTAATCATTCTACATTGCAAGCATTATATCAAAACATCACACTGCACCCTATGAATATATAAAATTATTATTTATTAATTATAAAGTAAAAATAATTGTTCAAAAAAGAAACTAAAATTCACTTTAAGAATTTCCAACTATTAATGGTAAGTAGAGAAGACTGAATGATCCCATGATAAAGACTGGGAGAATGTGATGGGATTATTTTTTTCTCTTTTGTCCCAGATTTATTTATAAAATGAGTGGCCTGAAGATATCTGATACTACTCAACTATCATTTAATCACTAAGGAAAAAATTTATGCTGTTTTCTTTCATCTCAGAGCTTGATGATTTTACAGGAAATCTTTTTTATGTCTCTGCATGGTTAAGGCTTTATTAGTAAATTTCACTGGAACTTTGGTTAATGGACAAACCCTGGAAATTAAAAGATGACTGAAGAGGTATTGACAACTCTGAAGAGATTTGTATTTCTGGAATTATGAGTTTGTCTCTAAAAGGAGAATAAAACTAGGAACCTTGAAGACGGTCCAGAATATGTAAAGCCAGAGACACTTATCATCCTCTTTTGGACATTTATCTGTTTACATTTCAATGGTAGGAAGCCAGGGGTTTTTCTCTTCTCCTTCCAGGGAGAATTTGTAGTATGGAGATATGTCCCTCTCTCAGGAGAGGAAAGGGGCAACATATATCAGCTGCCGTATTCATATTTTGGGATTCCTCTCCTGTGATGCAGAGGCGTAAGCACAGAGATGTACATCTGGCTTTCATGGGATCAAGCCAGAAGAAGGAAAGACTAAGGCAAGGGCAACCAATGCACTGATCACTGTAAGAAACAATATTTAGAAAAATATGAATAAATTTACATATTAAAACTTACCAATTTCCATAACATTTGTTGTTTTTGGCAGCACAGTTGACCTTTAAACAACGTGAAGCTTAGAAATGCCAACCTCCTGTGGAGTTGAAAAATCTAAGTATCGGGAGCCTCTGCGGCTCAGACTGGTTGCCCTGGCACTCGGGGAGGCAAGGCTACATGTTCGAGGCCAACCTGGTCAACATTGATTAAAAAAAAAAAAAAAAAAAAAACTTTAAATAGCAAAGACTTGGAACCAACCCAAATGTCCAACAATGATAGACTGGATTAAGAAAATGTGGCACATATACACCATGGAATACTATGCAGCCATAAAAAATGATGAGTTCATATCTTTTGTAGGGACATGGATGAAATTGGAAATCATCATTCTCAGTAAACTATCGCAAGAACAAAAAACCAAACACCGCATATTCTCATTCATAGTTGGGAATTGAACAATGAGGACACATGGACACAGGAAGGGGAACATCACACTCTGGGGACTGTTGTGGGGTGGGGGGAGGGGGGAGGGATAGCATTGGGAGATATACCTAATGCTAGATGACGAGTCAGTGGGTGCAGCGCACCAGCATGGCACATGTATACATATGTAACTAACCTGCACATTGTGCACATGTACCCTAAAACTTAAAGTATAATAATAATAAATTAAAAAAAGAAAAATCTATTATTTTTGACTCCCCCAAAACTTCACTACTAATAGCATATGGTTGACATGAAGCCTTACCAATAACACAAAGAGTTGATTAACACATATTTTGTATATGTATTATGTATCATATACAGTATTCTTACAGTATACAGTATTTTTACAATAAAGAAAAAAGGTTATTAAGAAAATCACAAGGAAGAGTAAATATATTTACTATTCATTAAGTGGAAGTGGATCATCATAAAGGTTTTTATCCTCATCTTCACATTGAGTAAGCTGAAGAGGAAGAGGAAGAAGAGCAGTTGCTTTGCTCTTTCAGGGGTGGTAGAGACAGAATAAAATTCACATACAAGTGGACCAGTGTCATTCGAACCCATGTTGTTCAAGAGTCAACTGTACTTCAATATATATAGTTAGTCCCAACAGAGATGGAACTGATCTTCAGAATGGCAACATATAAAATATCTTAAAACTTTCTAACCATCAACCATATATAATCAGCCATATATGATCTCACACTGCTTTGAACCACCATGATACATCCATCATATTTAATGGTGCTTAACTTATTTTTCCTAATAATATACCACTGGTACATTCATAGCGGTCCCAATTAAAATCATAAGCTAATTGAATATAAGAGCTATATCATATTTATTTAAACATATTACTAGGACATTGTTTTACCACAATGAATATTTGTATAATCTAATTGAATTGACAAGTTTTTATGTGATTTTAAAACCTACACATGCAGCCCTGAGGTTAAATGTATAGGTAACAGGTTACTCATATAGAAAGGCTTACCCCCCCTCCTCTCCACACATCTCCCATATGTCTTTCTTATTTTCATGCATCTGTCCAAACCATTCCTTTGGGAATATTTAGAAGACAATTTCACTTCATATGTATATAAACAGGGCTTGAGATTGTTGAATAAATTTACTATTCAGAAAAAATCATTGCTAAAAATAATTATAAATTATTACATTAGTCATATGAATTACTCCATGAATATTTAAGACTTCTGAGAGGTAACTTTATTGTGTCTTTCCCAAAAGATAAGTAATTCAGTTTTATGAGGAAACAGTTTTCTACAGAGAAGAAGAATAAAGAAGAAAGAATATTAATAGTTTTTGTTTCTTTCCCTTACTTCTGGGAATCTTATGTATATGCTTTCCACAATACTTTAGTTGAAGAGATGCACGTGTAGTAATTGTAAGAAGTGGTTTGGCACTCAATGTTCTCACTTACAAGCCTGCAGGCTTAGGATAGTTTAAACAAACCAGGCGTGGAAGGGATCCACCAGCACAGCACAGCTGCTCTAGCAAAACGTGACCAGACTGCTTCTTTAAGTGGGACCCTGATCAATTCCTTCTCACTGGGTGAGACCTCCCACGTGGGGCCCCCAGCTACCTCCTACAGGTGTATTCAGGCTGGCAACAGGTTTGTATCCCCCTGGGATGAAGCTCCCAGAGGAAGGGGTAGTCTGCCATCTGTGCTGTCTCACAGCCTTCACTGGTGATAATTCTGTGTACTGGAAAATCTGAGGTGACTAGGGTCTGGAATGGACCCCTGGCAAATTGAAGCAGCACTATGGAACAGTGACCAGACTATTAATAGGGAAAATAAAAAACCCAAATCACATCCAAAGGTCAGCAACCTCAAAGACCAAAAGTAGATAAGCCCACACAGATGAAAAAGGATCAGCACAAAAATTCTGAAAACTCAAAAGGCAGAGTGTGCTCTTTCCTCCAAATGACAACACCTACCAGCAAAGGTTTAGAACTAGGCTTAGGTTGAGATGGCTGAAATGACAGAAGTAAACTTTATAATGTGTATAAAACAAATTTTGCAGAGCTAAATAAGCATGTTGTAACCCAATGCAAGGAAGCTAAAAATCATGATAAAACAATGCAGGAGCTGAAGATAAAATAGCCAGTATAGAGAAGAGCATAGCTGACCTTATAGAGCCGAAAAACACACTACAAGAACTTCACAGTGAATCGCAAGTATTCATAGTAGAATAGACTAGGTGGAGAAAGGAATTTCAGAGCTTGAAGACCAGCTTTCTGAAGTAAGACAGACAAACAAGAACAGAGAAAAAAGAATAAAATAGGAACAAAACCTCTGAGAAATATGGGATTATGTAAAAAGACTGAATCTACAGCTGATTGGGGTACCTGAAAAAGATACGGAGAATGGAACCAATTTGGGAAACATATTTCAATATACGATGCAGGAAAACTTTCCCAGCCGAGCTAGAGATGCCAACATTCAAATTCAGAAATGCAGAAAACCCCCACAAGATACTCCATGAGAAGATCTTCCCCAAGACACATAAACATCAGATTTTCAAAGGCAGAAAAATGTTAAGGGCAGCCAGAGAGAAAGGCCAGGTCACCTACCTAAGGAAACCAATTAGACTAACAGCAGACCTCTCAGGGGAAACCCTGTATAGCAGAATATATTGGGGGCCAATATTCAATATTATTAAAGAAAAAACAAATCCAATCCAGAATTTCTTATCTGGTCATACTAAGCTTCATAAGCAAAGGAGAAGTAAAATCCTTTTTAGGAAAGCAAATGTTGAGGAAATTCATGACCACCAGATGTGCCTTACAAGAGCTCTTGAAGGAAAAACTAACTATGAAAAGGAAAAGCTGTTACCAGTCACTACAAAAACACAGGAAACTACACAGACCAATGACACTATAAAGCAACCACGTAAACAAGTCTGCAAAATAACCAACTAGCATCATGATGACAGGATCAAATCCACACATAACAATACTAACTGTAAATGTGAATGAGGTAAATGCCCCAACTAAAAGACACAAAGTGGCAAGCTGGACAAAGAACCAAGAACCAAGACTCATTGGTATGCTCTCTTCAAGAGACCCATCTAACTACAAAGATACACATAGATTCAAAATAGACAGATGAAGGAAAATTTACTGAGAAAACATAAAACAGAAAAAAGCAGGGGTTGCAATCCTAACTTCTGACAAAACAGATATTAAACCAATAAAGATCAAAAAAGACAAAGAAGGGAATTACATAACAGTAAAGGATTCAATTCAACAAGAATAACTATCCTAAATAAATATATGCACCCAATATAGAAGCACCCAGGTTCATAAAGCAAGTTTTTAGAGACCTTAATAGAGACTTTGCCTGCCACATATTAATAGTGGGAGACTTTAACACCCCACTGACAATATTAAACAGATCATCAAGAAAGAAATTTAACAAAAATATTCAGGACCTGAACTAAGCCTTGGATCAAATGAACCTGATAAATATCTACAGAGCTCTCCACCTCAAAACAAAAGACTGTATGTTCTTCATATAACCACAAGGCACTTACTCTAAAATTGATTGCATAATTGAGAGTAAAATGCTCCTCAACAAATGCAAAAGAACTGAAATAATAGCAGTCTCAGACCACAGCACAATCAAATTAAAACTCGAGATGAAGAAACTCACTGAAAACCATAAAACTACATGGAAATTGAATACCCTGCTCTTGAATGACTTTTGGGTAAATAATGAAATTAAAGCAGAAATCCAGAAGTTTTTTGAAACTAACGAGAACAGATACAATATATCAGAATCTCTGGCACACATCTAAGGCAGTGTTAAGAGGGAAATTTATAACACTAAATGCCCACATCAAAAAGCTTGGAAGAAATCAAGTTAACAACCTAACAGTCCCACTAAAAGAACTAGAGAACCAAGAACAAACAAACCTCAAAGGCAGTAGAAGACAAGAAATAGACAAGATCAAAATGGAACTAAAGAAGATAGGGACATGAAAAGCCATTCAAAAGATCATTGAATCCAGAAGCTGTTTTTTTAAAAATAATAATAAAATAGAACACTAGCCAGACTAATTTTAAAAACTGTCGATTCTAATAAACACAATAAAAAATGAAAAGGTGGCTATTACCACTGACCCCATAGAAATACAAATAACAATCACAGAATATTATGAACACTTCTATAGATGTAAACTGGTAACTCTATAAGAAACGCATAAATTCCTGGACACACATCCTCCCAACACAAAAACAGGAAGTAATTGAATACCTGAACAGATCAATAATGAGTTCTGAAATTGAGGCAGTAATAAATATCCTACCAACCAAAATGCCCAGGACCAGACAGATGCACAGCTAAATTCTACCACATGCACAAAGAAGAGCTGGTACCATTCCCACTGAAACTATTTCAAAAAATTAAAAAAGAGGGACTCTTACTTAACTCATTCTATCAAGCCAGCATCATCATACCAAAACCTGTAAGAGGTAACAAAAATTTCAGGCCAATATCTTTCATAATCAATGCAAAAATCTGCAACAAAATACTGGAAAACCAAATTCAGCAGCACATCAAAAAGCTTATCCACCATGACCAAGTAGGCTTCATCCCTGAGATGCAAGGTTGGTTCAACATACACAAATCAATAAATGTGATTCATCACATAAACAGAACTAAAGGCAAAAAGGCAAAAATACATGATTATCTTAGTAGATGCAGAAAAGGCTTTCAATAAAATTCAACATCACTTCATGTTAAAAACTCTCAACTAGGTATTGAAGAAACATACCTGAAAATAATGAGCCATCTATGACAAACACACAGTCAATATCCCTATTAAATAGGCAAAAGTTGGAAGCATTTCCCTTGATAACTGGCACAAGGCAAGGATACCCTTTCTCAACTATTCAACATAGTATTGGAAGTTGTGGCCATGTCAATCAGGCAAGAGAAGGAAACAAAGGGCATTCAAATAGAAAGAGAGGAAGTCAAATTATCCCTGTTTGCAGATGACATAAGCCTATGTCTAGAAAACCTCATCATCTCAGCCCAAAAGCTTCTTAAGCTGATAAGCAAACGCAACTTCAGTAAAGTCTTAGGATGAAAAATCAAAGTGCAAAAATGCTAGCATTCCTGTACACAAACAACAGTCCAGCTGAGAGTCAAATTACAAATGAGCATCCATTCACAATTGCCACAAAAAGAATAAAATATTAAGGAATACAACTAACAAGGGAAGTGAAGCACCTCTACAAGGAGAACTACAAACCCCTGCTCAAAGAAATTTCATACTCGTGGACAGGAGAAATCAATATTGTGAAAATGGCCATACTGCCCAAAGCAATTTACAGATTCAATCCTATTCCCATTAAACTACCACTGACATTCTTCACAGAACTAGAAAAACTATTTTGAAATTCATATGGAATCAAAAGAGAACCTGAATAGCCTAGGCAATCCTAAGCAAAAAGAACAAATTTGGAGGCATCATGCTACCTAACTTCAAACTATGCTACAGGTCTGCAGTAACCAAAACAGCATGATCACTGGTAGAAGAACTGACACATAAACCAATGAACCAGAATGGAGAACCTGAAATAAGAACACACACCTACAACTATCGAATCTCCAACAAATCTGACAAAAATAAGCAATAGGGAAAGGATTCTCCACTCAATAAATTGTGCTGGGATAACAGGCTAACCATAATCAGAAAATTGAAACTGGAACCCTTCCTTACATTACATACAAAAATCTACTCAAGATGAAATTAAAGACTTAAATATAAAACCCAAAACTTTAAAAATGCTAGAAGAAAATCTAGGCAATACCATTCAGGACATAGGCAAGGGCAAAGATTTCATGACAAAGATGTCAGAAGCAATTGCAATGAAAGTAAAAATTGATGAATCAGATGTAATTAAACTAAACAGCTTCTGCACAGCAAAATAAACTATCAACTGAGTAAACACACAACCTACAGAATGGGAGAAAAATTTTGCAAACTGTGCATCTGACAAAGGTCTAATGTCCAGCATCTATATGGGATTTAAACAAATTTACAAGAACAAGAAAAACAACTCCATTAAAAAGTGGGCAAAGGACACGAACAGACACTTTTTAAAGAGGACATACATGTGGCTAGGAATCATATAAAAATAAACTCTCAATATTACTGTTAAAAAAGCAAATCAAAACCACAATTGGGTACCATCCCACACCAGTCAGAATGGGTATTATTAAAAAGTCAAAAAATACCAGATGCAAGCAAGGTTGTGAACAACAAAAAAAAAAGGAACATTTTGACAATGTTAATGGGAGTGCAAATTAGTTCAGCCATGTTAGAAGACAGTGTGGTGATTTCTCAAAGATCTAGAGACAGAAATACAATTCAACCCAGCAATCCCTTTACTGGGTATACACCCAAAGGAATAGAAATCATTCTATTATAAAGAAACACACATGAATATGTTCATTGCAGCACTATTCATTATAGCAAAGACATGGAATCAACCTATTTGCTCATCAAAGATAGACTTGATTTAAAAAATGTGGTACAGCCGGGCGTGGTGGCTCACGCCTGTAATCCCAGCACTTTGGGAGGCCGAGGTGGATGGATCACGAGATCAGGAGATCGAGAACATCTGGCTAACATGGTGAAACCCCGTCTCTATTAAAAATACAAAAAAAATAGCCAGGTTTGATGGCGGGTGCCTGTAGTCCCAGCTACTCGAGAGGCTGAGGGAGGAGAATGGTGTGAACCCAGGAGGTGGAGGTTGCAGTGAGCCGAAATCATGCCACTGCACTCCAGCCTGGGTGACAGAGCGAGACTGTTTCAAAAAAAAAAAAAAAAAAAAGTGGTACATATACACCATGAAATAGTATGCAGTAATATAAAAGAATAAGATTGTGTTCTTTGCAGTGACATGGATGAAGCTGGAGACAATTATCCTCATCAAACTAATACCAAAACAGAAAATTGAATACAGCATTTTCTCTGTTATAAGTGGGAGGTAAATGATGATAACAACACATGGATACATAGAGGGGAACAACCCACACTGAGGTCTACTGGAGAGCCGAGGGTTGGAGGAGAAAGAAGATCAGGAAAAATAACTAGTGGATACTAAGAGGCTTACTAACTGGGTAATAAAATAATCTTTACAACAAACCCCCATGCCACATGTTTACCTATGTAACAGCTGTGCATTCTTGCACATGTACCCCTGAACTTAAAAGTTGCTTTTTTAAATACAAGCCTACTTTACCTGTATCCCATAGATACTGGGATGTTGTTTCTTTGTTTTCATCAGTTTCAAATATTTTTTTTTTATTTCTGCCTTAATTTCGTTCTTTACCCAAAAGTCATTCCCAAGCAAATGTTTAATTTCCATTCTATCATATGGCTTTGAGTGCTCTTCTTGGTATTGATTTTTATTTTCAATGTTATGTGGTCAAAGAGTGTTGTTGGTATGATTTGGGCTTTTTTAAATTGGTTGAGAATTGCTTTATGGCTGAGCATGTGGTCGATCTTAGAGCATGTGCCTTGTGCAAATGAGAAGAATGTATATCCTGTTTTTGCTGGGTAGAGTATTCTTTAGATATCTGTTAGTTCTGTTTGGTCAAGTGTCAAATTTAGGTCCTGAATATCTTTGTTGGTTTTCTGCCTCAATGATCTAACATTATGAGTAAGGTGTTGAAGTCTCCCAGTATTATTATGTGGTTATCTAAGTCTCTTTGTAGGTAGGTCTCTAAGAACTTGTTTTATGATTCTGGTCGCTCCACAAGGGTGTATATATATTTAGAATAGTTAAGTCTTCTTGTTGAATTGAACCCATTATCATTATGTAATGCCCTTCTTTGAACTTTTTAACCATTGTTGGTTTAAAATCGGTTTTGTCTGGAATAAGAATAGAAACTTCTGCTCATTTTTCCTTTTTTTTTTTTTTTTTTTTTGAGACGGAGTCTCACTCTGTCGCCAAGGCTGGAGTGTAGTGGCATCATCTCTGCTCACTGCAAGCTCCGCCTTCTGGGTTCATGCCGTTCTCCTGCCTCAGCCTCCTGAGTAGCTGGGACTACAGGCACCTGCCACCACGGCAGGCTAATTTTTTTTTTGTATTTTTTTAGTAGAGATGGGGTTTCACCGTGTTAGCCAGGATGGTCTCGATCTCCTGATCTCATGATCTGCCCACCTTGGCCTCCAAAAGTGCTGGGATTATAGGCGTGAGCCACCATGCCCGGCACATTTTTCCTTTAAATTTTTTTTTTTTTTTTCTGAACAGATCTTTCTCCATCCCTTTACTTTGAGCTTATAGTTGTCATTGCATGTGAAATGGGTCTCTTGAAGACAGCATACAATCGAATCTTTCTTTATCCAACTTGCCACTCAGTGTCTTTAAGTGGGGCTTTTAGCCTGTTTACATTCAGAGTCAATATTGATAGGTGAAGATTTGATCCTTTCATCATGTTGTTAGCTGGTTGTTATGTAGACTTGATTAGATAGTTGCTTTATATTGACAGTGGGCTGTGTACTGTGGTGGCAGGTATCAGTCTTTCATTTTCACGTTTAGCACTTCCTTAAGGATCTCCTGTAGAATAGATCTGGTGGTAATGAATTCCCTTAGCATTTGCTTGTCTGAAAAAGATTTTATTTCTCCTTTGTTTATAAAGCTTAGTTGGCTTGGATATGAAACTCTTGCTTGGAATTTTCTTTCTTTAAAGATGCTCTAGATAAGCTCCCAATCTCTTCTGGCTTGTAAGGTTTCTGTTGAAAGTCTGCTATTAGCCTGATGGGGTTCCCTATGTACATAACCTGCCCTTTCTATCTAGCTGCCTTTAAGATTTTTTTTTTATGTTGACCTTGGCAAGTCTGATGACTGTGTGTCTTGGGAATGATTGTTTTGTATAGTATCTTGCAGATGTTGTCTGAATTTTCTGAATTTGCATGTTGACCTCTTTAGGTAGGTTGGGAAAATGTTTGTGAACAATATATCCTCAAATATGTCTTCCAAGTTGCTTGTTGTCTCTCCATCTCTTTCAGGTATGCAAATGCATCATAGGTTTAATTTCTTTACATAGTCCCCTATTTCATGGTTGTTTTGTTCATTCTTAAAAATTCTTTTCTTGTCTTTTTCTGTTGATTTGAAGGTGAATTCATCAAGTTATGAGATTTTTTTTCTCAACTTTGTCTATTCTGTTAATAATGCTTCCAATTGCATTATAAAAATCTTGTAGTGAATTTTTCATTTCTACAAGTTCAATTTGGTTCTTTCTTACAATAGGTATTTAATCTTTCAACTCTTAGGTTGTTTTATTGCTTTTCTCGGATTGGGTTTCAATCCAAGCAATTCTCCTGTAACTCATTGAGCTTCCTTGCCATCAAAATTATGAATTTTATGTCTATCATTTTGGCCATTTTAATCTTGTGAATAAAAATTGCTGGGCTTGTGTTGTCATTTGGAATTAAGAAGATACTCTGGCTTTTAGAGTTGCCAGAATTATTGTGCTGATTCTTTCTGATCTGTGTGGGCTGATGTTCCTTTAATCTTTGAAGTTACTGTCCTTTTAATGGGGCTTTTTGCTTTTATATTTTTGAATGGTTGCTGCAGGTTAGTGCACACTAGTGAAATGGTGAGAGGTTCATTGGCAAGTGTGTACCAGTTGAGTGGTGGTGGGTTCCTGCATGGATGCACACCAATGGGTTCCTGCATGCATACACACCAGTGGGTACCTGCATGCATGCACACCAATGGGGCAACATGGGTAAGCTATAGGTGAGTGCACACCAGTGGGGGTCCATCGGCAGAAGAGCTTCAATGGGAATATGATGGCTACCAGAAAAACAGCCATTGTGGTGGCCACTGGCAAGCATTTCTCTGGGGCAGCTGAAGTTGTGCAGCAAGTGCGTGCATTCAGATGGCACCCTGGAAGAAGCTGGTGGACAGGAAGACATTCAAATCAAACTGTACCTTTCTCTCAGCAAGACAACCCTTCTCTCTCCAGGTTTGGCAGCTAACAAAGTCTAAAGCCATTTAGAAAGGCATGGAGAACTTTGGGGAATGGGCACCCATGGCCGTGTTCCACTGCAGCCATTCCCATGACATACCCTCTGAAATCCACAAAGACTGGAGTTATCTTTCTACCAATTCTCCAGGTACTTCTCTCTGTAAATTCAAACATCCATAGGGTTTGTAGGGTCTCCCATAGCTAGGATCCCAGAAGTGTGGGGTGAGAATGGGCTGATGCATGCTTATTTCACTAACCCTTTCCCTAGGGGCCACTCAGGGCCAGAAACAAATCCTGGTGCTTGGCAATCCTGCACAGGGTTCCCAGCTTTCTCCCCTTTCAGCCTCAGGGTCTGTGTTCTCCCTGTGTTTACTCAATGCCTTTTTTTCTGAAAATCTGTTTGGAATGTGCCAGTCTGCTTGATGGTGTGGCCTCTCTTGGTAGGAAAAACTCTTTTTGGCTGTGTCTATAAAGCCATCTTGGCTCTTCCTTTCCTCAAATAATTTTAGAAACGCTATTTACTTCTTCAATTGCAAGAGAATATAATTTCACAATTTCTTTTAGACCCATCTTGGGACTCTAGGATACTGTTAATACATTACCTAACCAGACTACTTTTACTGCCAATAGCACTTTTTTAACATACTGGAAAAAAAAAAAACAGCTCAAACTTTGGCCCAATCTGAGGATTTCAATGCCTTCTCATAAAAAAGTAAATAAACATAAAACATCTATCCATACTCTCTCTGCATAAGTTTTCTATATATAGAGCCATTTATGACTGTACATACTTTTACTGAATGGTAAACTCTACTATAAACTCTTTTGAAAAAAATTTGAGCATTGTTACAAGATAAATAACTCATAAATTAAATTAATACTTGTCAGTCTTTTTCTACATGCCAGACATTGAGCTTGCATTTTAAACAGAGAAACAGGTAGCAAACAAAGAAATGTATAATATGAAAGGGGTTGATTCATGTTATGAAAAAAAAACACAGAAGGATTACTTCAGGAGTGATGAGATACATATAAATATTTATATACATTTGTCTACATAAATTACTTGGAATTTTTCTGCATAGAATGTTTGTCTAGTTTATATGTACAAAGGTGTTCATAAAATAATCTAATGCTTGTTTAGATTTCTGTGGATCAGTGGTGATATCCGCCTTATCATTTCTGATTGTGTTTATTTGAATCTTATCTCTTTTCTTCTTTATTAGTTTAGCTGGCAGCCTATTTTATTATTTTTTTCAAAAAAAAAAGCTCCTGAATTCATTGATATTTTGAATGGTTTTTTGTATCTCTATCTTTTTCAGTTCAGCTCTGATTTTGGTTATTTCTTGTCTTCTGCTAGCTTTGGTATTTGTTTGCTCTTGGTTCTCTTGTTCTTTTAGTTTTGATGTTAGGTTGTTAACTTGAGATTTTTCTAATTTTTTAGGTGGGTATTTAGAACTATAAATTTCCCTCTTAACACTGCCTTAGGTATATCCCAGAGATTCTGGTATGGTGTATTTTTGTTCTCATTAGTGTCAAATAACTTGTTGATTTATGCTTTAATTTCATTATTTATCCAAAAGTTATTTAGAACCAGATTATTCAATTTTCATGTAATTTTATGGTTTTGAGTGAGTTTCTTAATCCTGATTTCTAATTTAATTGTGCTGTGGTCCAAGAGACTATTATGATTTCAGTTATTTTGCATTTGATGAGCAGTGTTTTACTTTCAATTACATGATTAGTTTTAGAGTAAGTGCCACGTGGCTATCAGAAGAATGTATATTCTGTTGGTTTTGGGTGGAGAGATCTACAGATTTCTATCAGGGCCACTTGATCTAGGGCTTAGTTTAGATCTGTTTAATATTGTCAGTGGGTGTTAAAGTCTCCCACTATTGTGTGTGTCTATGTCTCTTTGAAAGTCTTCAAGAACTTGCTTTATAAATCTGGGTGCTCCTATATTGGGTGCATATATATTTAGGATAGTTAGCTCTTCTTGTTGAATTGAACCCTTTACCATTAGGTAAGGCCCTTCTTTGTCTTTTTTGACCTTTGTTTATTTAAATTCTGTTTTGTCAGAAACTAGGATTGCAACCCCTGCTTTTTTTCTTTTCTGTTTGCTTGGTAAATTTTTCTACATTCCTTTATTTTGAGCCTATGTGTGTCACTGCATGTGAGATGGCTGACTTGAATACAGCATACCAGTGGGTCTTGTTTTTCATCCAACTTGCCACTCTGTGTCTTTTACTCAGGGCATTTAGCCTGTTTACATTTAAGATTAGTAGCAGTATGTATATTTTTTTTTCTGTCATCATGATGTTAGCTAGTTATTTTGTTGGTTGCTCTATAGTGTCACAATTCTACAGTGTCACGGGTCTGTGTACTTCAGTGTGTTTTATAGTGGCTGTTAGTTTTTTCTTTTCATATTTAGTGCTTTCTTTGGGAACTCTTGTAAGGCACATCTGGTGTTAATGAATTCCCTCAGCATTTGCTTCTCTAAATAGGATCTTATTCCTTTGTCAATTATGAAGCTTTGTACGGATGGATATGAAATTCTGAGCTGGAATTTCTTTTCTTTAAGAATGTTGAATATTGGCCCCCAATCTCTTTTGGCTCATAGGATTTCCACTGAGAATGCTGTTAGTCTGATGGGCTTTCTTTGTAGGTAACCTGGTCTTTCTCTCAAGCTGCCTTGAAGAGAATCTCATTTCATTTTGACCTTGGGGAATCTGATGATTATGTGCTGGGGATGATCTTTTCATGGAGTATCTTACTGGGGTTCTCTGCATTTCCCGAATTTGAAGGTTGGCCCCTGTAGCTAGGTTGTGGAAATTCTCCTGGATGATATCCCAAAATATGGTTTTCAAATTGGCTCCATTCTTCCCATCTCTTTCAGGTACCCTAATCATAGATTCCATCTCTTTACATAATTTTATATTTCTCAGAGGTTTTCTTCATTCCTTTTTTCTCTACTCTTGTCTGCCTTTTTTATTTCAGAAAACCAGCCTTCAAGCTCTGAAATTATCTAATCCTCTTAGTCTATTCTGCTATTAATACTTATGACTGAATTATGAAATTCTTGTAGTGTGTTTTTCAGCTCTATCAGGTTGATAACGTTTTTCTCTATACTGGCTATTTTGTCTGCCAGCACTTGCAATGTTTTATCATAAATTTTAGCTTCCTTGCATTGGGTTACAACACACTCATTTTGCACAGTGAAGTTCGTTTCCACACTCTGAAATCTACTTCTGTCATTTAAGCTATCTTTGGCTCAGCCTGGTTTTGGATCATTGCTGGAGAGGTGATGTGGTCATTTTATGTCTGGAATTGGTGCTTTCCGGTGGGTTCTTGGTCTAGCTGACTTCAAGAATGAAGCTGAGGACTCTCACGGTGAGTGTTACAGTTCTTAAAATGGTGTGTCCCGAGTTCGTTCCTTCAGAAGTTCAGATGTGTCCAGAGTTTATTCCTTCCGGTGGGGTCATGGTCTTGCTGACTTCAGAAGTGAAGCCACAGACCTTCACAGTGAATGTTACACCTCTTAAAAGTGGCACATCCAGAGTTGTTTGTTCCTCCTGGTGGGTTCGTGGTCTCGCTGACTTCAGGAATGAAGCTGCACACCCTCGCCCTGAGTGTTACAGCTCATAAAGGTATTGCAGACCCAAAGAGTGACCAGCAGCAAGATTTATCGGGAAGACCAAAAGAACAAAGCCTCCACACAGGGCAAGTTGCCCCTACAGCATTGCTGCTGCTGGCTTGAGTGGCCTGCTTTTATTCCCTTATTTGCCCCTCCCACATCCAGCAGAGTGGTCCATTTTACAGAGCACTGATTGGTCCATTTTACAGAGTGCTGATTGGTCCATTTTGCAGAATGCTGATTGGTCCATTTTTACAGAGTGCTGATTGGTGCATTTACAAACCTTTAGCTAGACACAGAGCACTGATTGGTGCATTTACAACCCTTTAGCTAGACAGAAAAGTTGTCCAATTCCCCACCCTAACCAGAATCCCAGCCAGCTTCACCTCTCAATTTGACAGAAAACAGGTACTCTGGCATTTTGAGTTTTCAGCATTCTTGTGTTGATTTCACGGGAGTTGCTAACTTTTGGATGTATTTATTTATTTATTTATTTATTTTCCTTTCACCAGTCTGGCCACTTTTGGGTAGGGAAAAACATATTACAAAGTGTTCATATATCTCTTTGTTGTTTCTTAAACTACATGTTAGGATGATTGGATGATTGGGAGAAAATCATTTCATTAAAGTTTCAGTATGGAAGTAAATCATTAAAGGAAGTTAAGTATCAGTTTATAGTTATTTTCTCTGGCATGTTTTTTGTTTGTTTTGTTTTTTGTTTTATTTGGTTTTGAGATGAGTACTCCTCTCTCTTGCTTATCCAAACTACAGGATAGAGTCATGTGAACTGCTGGCATTTAAAAAAAGAATTCCTTCTTTCCAATCGCTCAAATTATCTTATCTGCTATTGTTAGTTCTAAGTGTATCCCATTCAATTCTCCTGAGAATAAACCTCTTGTTCCTTGTCTTGTCTCAGAGACATGCATGTACTCAGTGTCATTTTGAGAGCAAGAATGTTCTGGTTTGATGGTTCCAGTCTTTCAAAAGACCCCCCTATTTTGAGACCTATACTTAACATATGACTCTATCAACTCATTAAAGATTTGTCTCAGCTAAATCAGTTACCACTTGTCAACCTATGTTGCAAAAATTTGTTAAAATCTGTAGTCAAGTAA
This sequence comes from Homo sapiens, assembly GCF_000001405.40. NCBI lineage: Eukaryota > Metazoa > Chordata > Mammalia > Primates > Hominidae > Homo > Homo sapiens. The sequence goes on along the minus strand of NC_000001.11, from coordinate 102,609,796 downwards.
TGAACCCTGACCTTTTCTCTTTGTGCTTATGACTTAATAGCATTTTTATTTCTTGCAATAATTTTAGTAGGATCCTAGGTATGAGAAAGAAAAAATAGGAAAGTCAAGTTGCTATCTTCAGTTAGAAGCTTCCGATCAGCTCTATTGAATGGTTAACATGAATAGTCTCTGTATCCGTTATGTTAATTGTATTTAATCATCATAAGTCTGGTATATAGGAATTATATTGCACCTGTTTTGTAGATGTGATATCTGAGGCTCATTCAGGGAGTACAGGATTGTGGAATGATTATTATCAGTTTGCTTTTCTCTACCCATACCAGTTCGAAACTTTTTCTAGTCTGTTCTTTGCCTTAAGAATTGACTCCCATGGAATGCATCTCACTTACTGCTTCCCTTTGGTTAAGTTTCATCAGTGGAAGCAACTGGTAAATTAGAGTTTTTACCAGTTGGACTCTCCTCCAGATTCTACAGTTTTTTCCAATTGGCCTCTCCTCCACATCCTCCTTCTCCTTCTAGAGCTTCTTCTCTTTTTCCTCCTCCTTCTGTTCTCCAGCTCCCATAGAAATGAATGGCTTACTGCAGTTGCCAGTCTTGGATGCTTCGACATCCCTTACTGTTTGTGCTCTTTAAACCTGCCCACACTCTACAAGTGATATCTTTTTTCACGTCCTTTTATGTGAAACAACTATGTTGAATTTTGTTTCCCAATGAGGCTTCCCTCATAAGGAGGTAAATCTTGATACAATTCTTGCTTTTTCTTACTCCATAATCCAAATTCTTTTTTCTTTTTTTTTTTCAAATTCTTAAACACTGAACTACATTACTTTATCTTGCACTATTGACTCACAGAGTTCATTAGACACTAATTCAAATGTAAAAAAAAATTAAAGATATGTGTATGGGTATAGAAAATCATATCACATTCAACTAAAAAAGCATCTAGAATATGTCTTCACCAAACATTTAAGACTCAAATTGTGAAATCAAATGAAGCAACTAGAAATATACAAAGCAGTTTCAAAATTTAGCCATATTGTTAAAAACACCTATTGTGTACTTATTAGAGGACTTGAAATTATAGCACTGAGAGAATTGTACAGCTTCTGTGCAAAGATTCTGTGTAATGTGAAGAACTAGAAGGGACAAGGCAAAAATGTTTTCTCCCCTGATCCAAAGTTCCTAGCTTACACCCTCCTATTTCATCTACCCCAAGCATCTCCAGTCACAGCATTTGTGGATAAATGAAATAGAACAGATGGTTTAGCTGGTAAAACTGTTGCTCTAACTCTATATGGAGTTTGAGTTTCCTTATCTCTGTTCTTCTCTGAAAATACTGGATAGGTTATGTGCAGGGCAGACTATTTAAACCAACTGTTTTTAAAAGACAGAGTCATTTTTCTTCTCGTCAATTTCCACCCTTTCTCACATATTCCATATCATGTTTTCCATCTGTATAAAATACTAAGGCTCCTTTTTTTTCTTGGGATAGACTATCATGCTTGGACCAAATTAATCTCAGAGGAATATTGAGATTCCAATAAGAATACAGATATTTATCTGTGAGAAAGGCATATAGTGCAGGTTCAAGGTTCAGTTCCTGCCTACTAAGAGGTTCTAATCTAATTGTGAAATTCCTCCATTATTTATTTTTCTAATTCACAGAAATTGCCTTAATTTGGTCCCATTTTGTTTTGTTTTGTTCTTCTTAGTTTAGATTATCACAAAAATATATTGTTATTCTTTCACTCTGCAGCTCTTAATCCTTCCATTTTATTCTTATACTGAGAGATAATTAGTGTTCTAGCAGGCATATAACATAATTTTCCACCTCCAGACAGTTCTGATTTATTGGGAGTGGTTTTGTTGTATGCTGTGTTAAGCAAACAATGGTTGAGTGGGAAGGTATGTTAATATTTATTGCCAAAGTTTGCCAATACTATCCAGTGCCCAGTGACACAATGACAGCATTCAAAATACATGTTTCCATTCTTACCCTAGAATCTAGTCACATTACAGTTCTGCCTTAAGGAGGTGGAATAGCATAATGGTTAGGATTTGGAGCCAGGCTTTCTAAGTCCAAATTCTAGATCCATCCCTTGCTAGTTTTATTGAATTTAGTCTCAGTTATTCAAGCTCTCTGCCTCATGGTCATCATCTGAAAAATGACGGTAATACTTGTATCAATTGGAGAAGGTTGTTGTAAGAATTAAATTAGTTAATATGTGTAAAAGCAGTACTTAGAACACACTAAGTACAGCTTAAATATTTGTTGTAATTACTATTCATACAATATGTCTGCAACTTTTCTGTCTTTCTTGGTGAAACTACCATGAAGAATTTTTCTCCATTTCTCTATTCAGCAGAGCCTTACCCAATTTCTAAGAACCATCTTCAATGCTAACTTACCAGATCACAGTCAATCCAAAGTCTATTCTTTAAGTCTCTGAAAGATTTTATTTCCATTTCCATTTAAAGTAGTTGTATTCTGTTTTGTACTTTCCCAAAACTTCTTAGGCATTAGAAGCTTTTCCTTCTTACACTGTTTTTTCATTAGAATTATATGGCTGCATTCCCACTATTAGCAAGCCTCTTTCTTAACAACAAAATTGTGTTGTTGCCTTCTTAATGACATAACATTGTTGCGCATTTCATGTGTCATTAAATCATGATCTTTTTCAGCATGAAGGAGAAAACCAGAGATATGCTTCAAAGAGAAGCATATCTGTGTGTTTTTATAATTTTAGCAAATTATGTTTATATAATCAATGTATATATTTTGCTCACAAAGCATATGTTTTCATCTGAATCACAAATGCTTTTTGTGCTCAGATAAAGCACTGCTAATATTTAGGGTAAGAGAAATGAAAATGCCATTATGTTTGGTTTGTGTTTAATATGTCTCTCCTATCTCTCTTTTACTCTCTCTTTCTCCTTACTACTACATATATATATAATCTTTAATTGGACCAATTAAATTATTTCAAAAAGAACAAACTAAAGCCTTATTTCATTACAAATAAATTAAGAATTAGGAGACAATAGAGACTGACAATTCAATACCAATAGATAAATAATTGATAAATACTAAAGAAATAATTACATTACAGCATACTGTTCTGCTAAAACTAAGCTGTATCTGTGACTTTAAAATTTGATTTAACTTATGTATAAAAGAAACAAAGATTTGACATTTACAAACAGAGAAACAGGTGCTGTCAAATACTCAGTAATGTATACAAGTGGATGTTTTCAAGGAGATACTGAAATAAATGAATTACAATAAAGCTGGGAAAAATATTAAGTTAAGAGAAATAAATGTTAGATGTATATCTACTTGGAAAATACAACACTCCAAATAAAAACTTAAGGGCTAAAGAATTTTGAGAAGAAAGAAAGAAAGAAAATGAGTAGAAATTTAAAGAAGGAAAATAAATGCGGCAAACGCTGCTCCAGCTGCAAGCTTTATCTTCTCATTGCCTTTCCTTCTGTGAGAATTCCTCTTTTCTTCTCTTATGAGAAATCTTGTCATTGGATGTAAGGTCCAAACTAATTCAGGTTAATGTCATTTTCAGATTCTTAATTACATCTGCAAATAAACTATTCCAAGACAATGCCAGTGGATGTGCTGAGATCATTGTTCCAAAGAACAGTATCATTCAGCAGTGACAATCTAAATCAGAAATTCCAAGTCTTTGCTTTTGCTATACCTAGGCTTTTTTATATAGCAATTTATTTTTAGATTTCACCTTTCTTCTCTCATGAAAGTCTATCAAGCACCTAATAATTTATGTAGTTAGAAGGCGCACGATGAGTCCCAACTAGTTGTAGGTAATTTGCATTTTTAGCATGAAAGTAGAGAACCAATACCCTGATATTCTGCAAAGAAATAGATATAACTGTTGGAATTTCATACACATTATCTTATGCCATCTTCAAAAGAGTTCTTTAAGTCACAAGTACCTATATTTTTCAGAAACTACATACTTTGCCTTGATATGTAATTTTCATGTAACTTTAATTATGACTGTTCAAACACTCTAAACTACTAGAATACATGCTTGCACATTTTGTATTCCTCTAGTATCTATGTATTATGTGTATATAGTTAATTAGAAAAAAACTTGTGGGTAATATTCCACAAAGTACTGACTATTTTAGTACAGAAATGACAAAATCTACTTAGTAGTAACAAATTTATATTATTTGGAATGTCCAATTTTAAGTAAATTATCTAGAATTTATGACCCCCCCCCAAAAAAAAGTGACCAAACACTTTTATATAAATAAATAATTTCAGGTAGTTTGAAAATAATTTTTATTCTAATTTTATAGACAAATAAACTAATGTTAAGAGAGGTAAATAGCTTTACCTAGATGATTACCTAGATTTTATTTATTTATTTATTTATTTATTTATTTATTTGTTTATTTTGGGACAGAGTTTCTCTCTTGTTGCCCAGGCTGGAGTGCAATGGCATGATCTCGGCTCACCACAACCTCTGCCTCCAGGGTTCAAGCGATTCTCCTGCCTCAGCCTTCTTGAGTAGCTGGGATTACAGGCATGCGCCACCATGTCAAGCTAATTTTGTATTTTTAGTAGAGACAGGGTTTCTCCATGTTGGTCAGGCTGGTCTCGAACTTCTGACCTCAGGTGATCTGCCTGCCTCGGCCTCTCAAAGAGCTGGGATTACAGGCGTGAGCCACCGTGCCCAGCCCACCTAGATTATTTACCTAGCCGGTATTTTTATGTATAAATAGAATCTAAAATTGCCTTTTCCTATATATTCTGTTTTTGCTTAGTATTCTTTCTATTTGGCATGTGGGCAGTATTTGGGATGGAGAAGAACATTGACATATAGGCATTAATTTTTTTTAAATGATTGCATTGGTCTTTCTTCTTCATTAATATTACTTGTCTATTCATAAATATGACAACATTATAACATTAGCTATAATGTTATAATGAATAAAATGTTATCTAAGAAATGAGATATGTTTCTAAGGTATATTTTTAAAAAATGTATATGGATGTCCCCAGTGTGTGATGTTCCCCGCCCTGTGTCCAAGTGTAATGGGTGCAGCAAACCAACATGGCACATGTATACATATGTAAAAAACCTGCACGTTGTGCACATATTAATTTAAAAGAAATAAATGTTAGATGTATATCTACTTGGAAAATACAGCACTCCAAATAAAAACTTAAGGGCTAAAGAATTTTGAGAAGAAAGAAAGAAAATGAGTAGAAATTTAAAGAGGAAAAATAACTTAAATTATAACAAAAAAATATATAGATGTCTCATGAAGAGTATCCTTGTTCAATTCATTTGCTAAAAGTATATTTTAATTAATTTAAATATATTTAGAAACAAAAATATCTGACATTTGATAGGGCATGTATTAATTTTCTAGGGCTACCATAATAAATTACCATAAATGAAGTGGCTTAAAACAACAAAATTTATTATCATATAGTTCTGTAGGCCAGAAGTATAAGATCACAGTGTAGATAAGGGTGGTTATTTCTCTGAGGGACAATGCATTTTATGCCTGTCTCCTAGCTTTCAGTAGCTTCCCATAGCCCTTGGCCTTTCTTAATTCACAGATGCATTACTCTAATCACTGCCTTTATCTTTTCATTGACTTTCCTTCTGTGAGATTTCCTCTTTTCTTCTCTTATAAGACCTCTTATCACTGGATTTAAGGTCCAAGCTAATTCAGGTTAATGTCATTTTCAGATTCTTACTTACATCTGCAAATAAACTATTCCAAGACAATGCCATAGTCACGGTTTCTGAATGAAAGTTCCTTTTGTCGGGGGAGGGACACGGTTCAACCCACTACTATGTATTACACTTCCTAGCAGGAATATTAATGATAGAGTTAAGATTAAGTCTTCCAAAGTTAAAACATTCAGAGTGATACTGATTCATTCTACTTCAGAGTAGACTGAGGTAACATTTTAATACTATTATAAAAATTTTATAATAAACATTTGGAATATTATTATCTGTTTATCTCTTTAGTACAATAATAAGTGCATGTCATTACAAATATTCAAGCAAAAAATCCAGTTTCTTTAATATCAATTGAAAATGTTTTATATTTTGTGACCACAAGTTAAAATGATTTAGTATTATAATTTTTGTTAAATAAAATTACAAAAATTTGGGAAAACTACAGTAGCAGTAGATAGATTTTATGGTAGCCAAGTCTATGCACAGAAGCAGAATAACTATAATAGAAAAATTAAAAATAAACCGATAGCACAGACAAACAAAGCAAATGACAGGCTGTTTCATAAACTCCAAAATATGAGCAAGTGGACAAAATCACCTCCTTTACCAGACCATGAAGGATCAAACCTGTGTAAAAGCAAGGCAACAGGGCTTCTGGAAGTTTTATGAATGAGAGAAGCCTCTACATTCTCAACAGAAAATCAACAGATAGTGTGGAAAGACCCATCTGTTAACAGCAACTAAAATTGGAAATGAGTATTACAGACTCTCATTTGTAGAGAAGAACCAAAAGCACATGGTAATATCAAATGGCACCGGAACAGGACAAGCCCTTCTAATTAAAACTAGTACTTGAAGCTTCTTTCATATTGACTCAGTCTCTGCATTAAAATCAACTTGTCTTTATCCATAATCACCAGATTTTAAGCAATGTACAAGGACATTAGAGGCAAAAAATAACTCACATGCTTCCCTACTCAAATAATTTTGCAGTTCTTCAGCTTTACCTATTATTAATGAACCGTGTTTCAGCTGTAAATATAAAGTCAGAATCTATTCTTAGTTGTACCTGACAGGGCTTCGAGACAAAAAGCCAGTAGGAAAATTCAGCGCCTAATCACTGAAAAACATTAAGCTAGTCATGTGTTTCAATTTCTTCCTCCTGTCCATTCCTGGATATCTTACAAGGCATGGATGACTTTTTATGTTCTAATTCCACCTATATTTCCAAAATTAATGTCTACTATCTTCCTATAAGCACTGTAGCTTTCAATCATTTAAACTATCTAACATTCTCTTAAAAAACTGTGCTCTTTTACTAGGCACTTTATCCTTAAGTCCTTAAACGGTCCTTACTATGGTCATAAGCCAAGGAGAAGAGTCCAGTGGAGAGAGATTTTTGAATATGTAACAGAGAGAGAAATTATTAATGAGGAATAATCCTCAGAAATATAAGGTGCTTTTGCATTAATAATATCCTGAAAGATTTAGTTTCATGAACACTTTAGATGGTGATCTCCTAGAAGGCGGGGTTTGTCTTATTTATCTCATATTGCAAGAGCTTGGCACAGTACTCGGCTTATAATACACATTCCTGAGTGAGAATAGACTTGTACTTAGAAAAATTTGGAAGGGAAGAAGAACTTTTAAGAATATCATATCCTATTTAGTGTCTGACTTTTCTAAGAAACAGGCAAGATGAAAGAGTGAAATTGAAAAAAGTGAAGTATTAGAGATCCATTACTTGAGGAATGGAGAGGAATGAACTAAAGAATATTTAAAAGAAGCATGGACTAGAGTAAAGATGCAATTGAAGTAATGTGAATGTTAGAAAGGGTAAAAAATCATAATGTGTAATTAAAAGCAATAGTATTCTCTACCTATTTTTACAGTTATTTATTATGTGGCTTTGTGTACAAGTAAACATGATTTTGGGATCTTAAATCAAGAGAGTTTTATTTTCTCAAAATATCCTCTATGAATAAAACTTCTGTACTCTAAGAAACAAATATATTTATAGAAAGACTGAAGGACAAGAAAAGAGAGAAGATCTTCTACAGAGCATTTGTGGTGGGTGGTCAATTAGCTCAGCAAAGACAAATATCCAGGCAAGTTCTAACTCCAATGGGAGTTACTTCATTATATTTCCGGAAAGGCAGAAGAAGAAAACAGTTATAAAGTAATGAATTTAATGACTCAACTATAAACCTGTAAAGGGGAAAAACTAGCAATGTCCTATTGATTAATTACATATATTTTCAAAACTGCAACATTAAAATAATTGTTTTAAGATCCAAAAACATGCAAGATAGTGGGGAGGTGCTGCTACAGAGCACAACCTAACTTTCAGTGAATTAATGTTTAATAATTAAAACTTAACAAATATTCCTCTCTGCAACATTTCAGAAAGTCAAATATAATAATTGTAAGATTCTATAAAGTCTTATTTGTACTGACGTTTTTTTCTCGATTTTTTTGACGTTATCTTTCTTCATTTCCATTTGATGGGAAAGTACAATGAAAATGCAAACATGTACCTGGCATCCTGGCTTGGCTTCTAATACCATTCTCCAGACCTTCTTAAAGAAATGCTTGATTTTAGGGCTGGGGCAAGAAATACATACCATGAGATTGGAACACTTTTTTCATGCCAGATGATAAAAAAAAGTGCTTCAGAAAACTCAAAACAAAACACATTGATGGGAGTATACCAAAGAGACACAGGAGTAAACTAAAAGATCTTTCAGTGGCCAAAGGTGGAACAATTTGAGCCAAAATATAAAACTGGAACAATTTGTGTCTTAGCCAAAATATAAATATCCATGATTCCATATGATATAAATACATGATTAAATAAATAAATAAATAAATAAATGGGAGAGAATAGACAAATTTCCTGTGCAGAAGATTTCCAAATAATTCATGGAGTTGCTTTGCCATCAAGGAAATGGAGCATAACTTTATGTGCTTGATGTATGTGATGCATATAGTGACTTCCTTACAGAGAATGCAAAAGGGGACAAATGAGTAATTTTACATTGGAGAAATGTGAAAAACATTACCTCAGTCAGGTGATCAAGATAAACAGTAACAGTGATAAGTCACATTGATAGTATGTAACCTTGATACCACTTGATGAGAATGGTACTTTACCTCTGCAGCCTTCCTCTGGATAACCCCAGCATAATCATAATAAACATGAGACAAATCCAAATTAAGGGGCATTCTACAACCTATTCCTCAAAATTGTCAAAATCATTTAAAGCAAGGAAAGTCTGAGAAAACTGTCACAGCCAAGAGAAGCCTAAGGAGACATTGTGAATCAACTTAATGAGGTATCCTAGATGAAATCCTAGTAGAGAAAAGAAGATAGGTAAAAACTAAAGAAATCTGAATAAAGTATGGAACTTATGTATCCACATGGTTTCCTTAACTGTGATAAAGGCACCACATTATTGTAAGAAGTTAACAGGAGAATCTGAGTAAGGAGTTTATGTGAACTCTCTGTACTATCTGATGATTTATTCTATAAATCTAAAACTATTCTAAAACAAAAATTTCATTTAAAAAAGGCAAATATAACTTTCTCACTTTATATCTGACTTTTTAAAAGTAATATCATACTGAAAATAATATTTACTTTTATCGAAGTAATACATGTATGTAATTAAAAGATACGTGATCTGCAAGACTCATAGAACCCCTTTTTACTTGATTTCCCCCATGGGCAAAGATATTAAGGAATTTTCCATTTCTCTATTCCTTTGAAGACTTTCCCCATTGTCCCTCTGTTCTCCTTCAATCTGAACACCCAGTTATCAAGGCTGCTGATTGTCTCTCACTCTGGAAATCTTTTTTAATAGCATCCAGGATGTCTTTCTATTGATGTTCTTTGTAGAATATGTTTTCTCAATCCTGCGTCCTCTTCTTCAGTGGCTTACTTCATTCTTTATTTCTAGGACCCAAGTTTCAATATATTTCTGCAAAGAAATACATGGGAGGTAAATCTTGAGAGACTGTGTCTGTGAAATGTCTGTTTTATCCTCATACTTGTTTGAAAATTTGGCTGATTGCAGGATTGTTATAAATAGTTTTTTTCTCAGAAATTTGTTATGACACTGTTAAATGTTTCTATTGCTTCTCATGTTACTTTTGTCAACTCTAGTTCCATCTTTTTTCTCAATTATTTGTATTATCTATTGTTTTCCTTCTGTGAAAGCTTTTAGTTTATTTTCTTTAACCCTGATATTTTAAAATTTTCCCATGGTGTACCCTGATGTGGAATTTTTTTTTTCCAGTGGTTTGGAATATTTCATGTCCTGCAACACTGGGAGATTTTGTTAATTTTTTTTTGGCAATTTTGTCTCCCGTGTATTGTTTTCTCTCTCTTTTTAAAATTCCTACTAAACAAATGTAAAACCTCCTGCAAAATTTTAGTTTATCAGTTTACTCCTGAAAAATCTTGGAAAGTCACTGAAATTAGACTGAGAGTGAATAATAGAAAAGAGAGAGAGAGAGAGTTTATCCCAAAACCAAAACCAAACAAATAAAAAAAAAAAACAAAACAACAACAACAACAATAAAATACATCTTAGACCTCTCCAGCAGGTTACCAACACCCTCTGATGCATATTGGTAATTCCTCAGTTTTTCACTCTATTTTAAATTTATGTATAATGTAAAAGTGACCTTGTGTTTGACTTTTATTGGCTTAAAATACACAAATGTCCAATATAAGTTTAAGGTTTTTGAGAACTTGTCCCTTGAAATCTTATTAAAGAAATTTTTTAATGGTATAAGATTTTATGATGCAGAGCGTAACAGAAGACAAAATATTCTCACAATATTAGAAGATGGAGGTTTTATTCTCTGAAGAAATGAAGCCAGGAAGGTTCTAGAATTTTTTTTCTTTCTTTTTTTTTTTTTTTTTTTTTTTTTACATCAGGCCTATTCAAATGTCTGGGAAATGAGAAATTCTACCTTCTCAGGAGTGAGACTTTGAGCATTTGTTCCTCATCAGTTCCTAGAATGCAAGAAAGGATTCTGCAACGAAATTGGTTTTCTTCTCAACATCTCCCTCCACATGCACTTAGCTTTGATCTTCCCCACACACATTTTGGTCCTCTGTTGTGTTCTGCATCATGGAATCTTATAACATTTAAAAAAATCCTTTAATTTGAATGGAATTCCATGGGACATGCATTCAAAAAACTTAACCTTATATTGGATATATGTATATTTTAATCCAATAAAAGTCAAACACAAGGGCACTTTTACATCATACATAAATGTAAAAGACAGTAAAAAACTGAGGAATAAAGGCTTAAAGGAAATCATAGGAATATACCCAAAAATTCAAGAGGTCTTAAATCAGATGACAGTGTCCAGTTTTCCTGTTGTAATCTCTTTTGGAATAATCTTCTTTCTGATTTTCTGTTTTTTCTCTACTTTGTTAATTATTCTTTATCAAATGTTTCTTTAATTTTCACAAATGGATGTTTCAGGGCCTATATGAGGATGTTCCAGGAGTACAGAGGCCCCTCTGTTACAAATACTGCACATTTTTAAGCACAGATTTTACTGAAATTGTGTAGAAAAAGAAGAGTACCACACCATAATAAAGCAAAACATACATTATATAATAAAAATTTTAAACTGCTTACATTTTCTGATAAAACACAACCTCCAAAGAATTTTTGTGAATGTCAATGTTTCCAGAATCTCTAGGCATGTGAATTCTTATTTCTTTGCCCTTGGGCACTTGAAGAGAGAGTTTTGATAAACTCTGCCAGAGGAGCTAAAATCATTGTTAGAATTGGCCTTTACCTGAAGTCACAAAACATTTCATTGCAAATAATTTCTAAGGAAATTCATCCTTTAACACATTCATTGCTTACAAGAGAAAAAGCAGAGTTCAAAACTGGTTAAAACACAATGTTTCTCTGAAATATATTACAAAAAAAAAATCTCTAGGGCTGTCTGTAAGGCAGAACTTTGTTATTCCTTACAGAATTTCCATCAGTCAATCAACTAAATTAGCCAAAGTCCCATGAATAAAAACCATTATGCTGCAGTTTACTTCTGTAAAAAGTTTTCAAAATATGTTTATTAATTTATTTGCAGTTCTTCTACAAAACCAATGGTCTACATATTAACAACTGGAAGGCATTTATGTGCACAATTTATCATGTGAATCAAAAGCTATTCTTTACTTTCTATAAAAACACTTAAAATAACACATCTAATATAGTTGTTTCAAGCTGTGTATTAGGATGTGAATTGCCATGTACAATGACCAAAAACACAATTAAATGCCTCATGAGATAAATCAAACAGCTTTATTTTATCATTTGAACCGATCTTCTCTCTTTTTTGTACTCATTTCCTCTTTTTTTTTTTAAGTTCAAATGTATACAGCACAAAGAAACATCAGGAGAATTAGAATATAAATTAAAGAGTTTGTAGGGGACAACTGAAAAGTTTGAAGGAATTGTAGTGGGAGACAGAAAATTAAATTAAACAGAATGTGTTGTTAAGACCAGGCAGGGCTCTTGAATTGTCATGGCTGCATTGAGAATGTGGACTCAAGGTTGATGGCCAAGGAAAGACAGTATTTCTGGGCAAAAAGTGACAAGCAGGTAACAAATATGCAACGAGCAATTAGGTGTGGCTTTATGGTGATTCCCATTGCTCATTCTCATAATAAAAGAGGAGTTAAAAAGTTAGTTGGCTCCTGACACTGTTCTTTTCAGACTTTTGACTTCCACAAGAGTATGCTTCTGGTTTCCCCCACAATTCTAGCTTTCTCTCGTGCATTACTTTTGACTCTAATTCCATGCCTTTCTGACACCTTGAGTTCCTAAACTTTCACTACTCTTTCTTCATTGTCTTGGCTTTAGAAATTATATATATGTCACAGTCTCACAAATTTGATCCCCACTTCAAGACTCGCTTCTGAGCTCTAGACCTTCCTATCTCCTTCCTTCCTTCCTCCCTCCCCTCCCCTCCCCTCCCCTTCCTCCCTCCCTCCCTCCTTCCCTTCCTTCCTTCCTTCCCTTTTCTTGAGATGAAATCTCACTCTGTCATACAGTCTGGAGTGTAGTGGTGTGATCTCGGCTCACTGCAACCTCCACCTCACAGGTTCAAGCAATTCTCTCACCTCAATTTCCAGAGTAGCTGGAATTACAGGCACCTGCCACCATGCCTGGCTAATTTTTGTATTTTTAGTAGAGATGGGGTTTTACCATGTTGGCCAGGCTGGTCTGGAACTCCTGACCTCAAATGATCTGCCCACCTCAGCCTCCCAAAGTGCTGGGATTACAAGCATGAGATCTAGGCCTTCCTATCCAGCTTCTTTCTTGATATGTTCAATGAGATGCCCCACACGTATCTCAAACTTGAGATATCAAAAATTCAAATCGGTTTGCCACATCTAATTTCTCCATATCCCAGTCTTTTGCAAATAATGACCCCAGTTTCTCAAGCCATAAAAATGGGATTTCTTTTTATGGAGAAATATTTCTCTCTTTTACTCCATATATAATTCTTTGTCTATTATCCCTAAATATTAAAACTTTTTTTTTCCATTTCTCTCCATATATGCTTCCTCAATTGAATCCCATAATTTTCACTTGGACTACTCTATCAATTTCCTAATGGATCTTCCTGTTTCATTCATGGCTCCTACAATCCACAGTCACACAATGATCATAAAAACTTATTGCCAACACTTGGGGTGTATTATGCCATTTCTCTTCTTAAAAGTTTTTAATGATTTTGAAATACTTCTAAAAGCTGTTCACTTTGGCATGTTAATACTTGTTTTCATTTATGTAAGAGCCAATATTAATTCAACAAATATTTATGAAGAATCTGCTATAAAGCAGGTCAAGTTCTAAGCATTGCTGAGTGGCCCACACATTTATAAAACTTACTATCTTCAAGCTTGCATTCTAATGAAAATAGCCATCATATTTTGAGTGATTATTATAGACTTTACACATACTATGTCATTTAGCCTGCTCAATAACTCAATGAGATAGTTAAAACTTCTTATATACATCTTCAATATTAGTGTCTTTGTATCAGAAAAGCCATATTTTAAGTCATCTAATACAGTTTTATTGAACAATTTATTTATTTATTCAATAAATCTCCATTTAGAAAACATTATATAGTAAGGATTTTAACAAAACAGGAGAAAAAATTCCTTGCGTGGAAGCAGATTACACTGTAGTTGTAGAAAATGGCATTACAAGATAAAGCGGTAAAATACATAGTATATTAGATAGTTATAAATAGTTTAGAAAATGTTGAAAGGGAGATAAAAGTTTAGAAACAGCTTGCTTTTGGGCGCTCAGGTAAGAACTCATTAAGAATGGGCTATTTGAAAAAGACCTGGAATAGTGAGGAAGTGAGCATTTATATATCTTTGGAAGGAATGGTACAGAGGAAGGCATAGCAAATGCAAACACTCTAAGGCAGAAACATGATTTATCTGTCCTTGGAGCAGCAAGGAGACCAGTGTAGTTGTAGCAATACGAATGATACGGAGGACAATGTGAGGTAAATTCAGGTAAGTAATATGGTGTAACAGTTTCCTAGGGCTTCCATCACAAACTACCACAATCAGCGAGCCTTAAAATAAGACAAAAAAAATTGATTGTTTCACAGTTCTGGAGTCTAAAAAATCTCAACTTGAGGTGTTATCGGGGCCTTGCTTTCTCTGATCCTCCTCCTATCTTGTGGTATTTGTGGGCAATTTTTGACATTCCTTGGTTAACAGCAGCATAACTCCAGCCTCAGCCTCTATTTTCATGTGACTGTCTTCCCTTTGTCTATATCTCTGTATGGGTTTTCTCTGCTTATAAGAGCACCAATCATTAGATTAGTGCCCACCCTAATCCAGTATAACCTCTTAACTATTTATATCTGCAAAGATCCTATTTCCAAATAAACTCATTGTATTAATTTCCTAGGCCTGTTGTAACAAATGACCACAAACTGGGTGTCTTAATGCAACAGAAATTTATTCTGTCACAGTTCTGGAAGATAGAGGTGCAAAATCAAGGTGTCAATAGGTCCATGCTCTTTCAAACGACTCTTGAAAAGAATCTCTTCCATGTCTCTTAGCTTCTGGTGTTGCTGGCAATTCTTTCTGTTCTTTGGCTTGTCAATACACCACTCCAATCTCTGCCTCTGTCATCATATGGTGACTTCCCTGGGTCTTTCTCTCTGTATCTCTTTACCTCTTCTTATAAGGGCACCAGTCATTAGATTAATCCCCATGCTTATCAAGTATGACCTCATCTTAATTTGGTTAGTTCTCCAATGATCTTATTTCCAAATAAGGTCACATTCATAAATACCCAGGGTTAGGACTTGAACATATCATTTTGGGGGATGCAATTTAACCCATAACTGTTACATTCCAAGTCTATATGTAGAGCAATAATATTTAATCCACAACAGTCCATTGTCTGCCTTATAATAACTCTTGTCTATCATATGTGAAAAATTCATTCACCCCATCAGAACATCCTCAAAAGTATCAGTTTATTCTACCACTAACTCTTAAGTCCCAAATCTTATCTAGCTGTCAATTCAGAAAGTCTCAATCTCATGATCTAAATAATCTAAATCAAATATAAATAAGATTCTAAGTATAGACAATTTTGGATCAAAATTCTCCTCCATCTATAGACCTATGAAACCAAACAACACAGTTTCTCCTTCCAAAATAAAATCGTGGGGCTAACATAGGATAGATATTCTGTTTCAGTCTCTTTGGGCTGCTGTAATAAAATGCTATAACCTTGGTAACTTATAAACAATAGTTTCTAAGTTTATTCTCACAGTTGTGGGGGCTGGAAAGGTTAAGATCAAGGTGATAACAGATTCAGAGTCTAGTGAGGGCCCATTTTCTGGTGTATAGTTGGTACCTTCTCACTGTGTTCTCAAATGATGGAAGAGCTCTTTGGGGTCACTAATTCCATTCATGGCTCTGTTATCATAATCTAATCACTTCCCAAGACCCTGCCTCCTATTCCCATCATCTTGAGGATTAGGATTTCAACATATGAATTTTGGGGAAACACAAACATTAGACCATAGCACATTTCAATTAAGAAAAAGAGAAAAAATAAAGAATAGATTGATAGTCAAAAGCAAGTTTTTAATAAAGCAGAGCAGTTCAACAAGGTTTTAAGGCCTGAGAGCAATCCTCTGTTGCTCAGTGACCTGCCCTTTCTACCCTCTGTGGCAACAGTAGCACCCCAGCTTCTTTGACCTCTAACCCTTTGGTGCTGCTCTTGGAATCACTCTTCCTTCGTTTCTTCCTAACTCTGTCTGTTTTGGTCCAGGCTGTTAGAATTTCTGTTGGAATAAAAGTACTAAAAACCTTGTTGGTTTTCCCTGGATGCTAAGGGGGCACCCAATTAGATATGAACATTAGATGTGAACATTTTCCATGAAGCCTACCTGGATAACCCTATCTCTAATCCTGGCTTTAGATGACATGGTTGATTGGATAGATGAGTCACATACCTGACCTTTTCACCAAAAGGTTGTCTAGCCACACTCTTGGCTCTAGGCATGCTCAGAATTTTCCAAATCATCAAGTGCTGATTCATTTTTGTTTGGCAGTTTTTTTCCAAGCTTACCTCCTTTTTAAGTATTCTACTATAAGATGCAAGAAGGAACAAGATTGCACCTTCTATATATTGCCTCAAAATCTATTTAGCTAAATATCCAAGTTCATTGCTCCAAGTTCTACTTTTACTCAATGGTAGAACATAATTAGCCCAAGTTTTCTACACTTTATAATCTGTATTAGTGTCCTGGAGCTGTTGTAACAAAGTACCATAGACTGAGTGGTTTTATATAATGAAAATGTATTGTCTCAAAGTTCTAGAAGCTACAAGTCCAAAATCAAGGTCTTTGCAATTGTTGGTTCCTTCTAGGGGACAGTTCCTGGCATTGTAGACATGTAATTCCCATATAGTTCTTCCAACAGTTCTTGGCATTGTAGACATATAATTCCCATCTCTGTCTATGTTTTCATATGCTTTAGTTCTTTCCACTCTAAATTTTATAAATGACCGTTCTTATTTTCTTATAAGAATACCAGTTATTTGAGTAAGATCCATTTTAATCCAGTATGACCTCATCTTGACTACATCTACAAAGATCCTATTTCCAGATAAGTTCATATTCATGGGTACTAGTAATTAAGACTTCAGTATGTCTTTCTTGAGGGCACAACTAAACCCACAAAATATGACATCAATTTCATTTCTGCATTGTATCACTAAATTATTGAAAATCAATATGGTTGCCATGCTGTAGGAGACAAAACAGTTCAGATTTGTATGTCTTGAAATTAACAATATAAGGTAGTTTACAGACAAAAAGTAATGAATTATTCTTTTTTATTAATCCACAAAATTATTTAATAAAGCTAAACATACAATGATAATGTTGCTTAAAATAGTTTACTATTTGGCTTTATTCATTGATCTTTTTGGAAGATGTGGTTAGATTTTGGATATGGGTCATTGGGTGAATGGCAGTGAAATTTTCTGAGTTAAGAAAGAATAGGGGAAAGAAAGGTTTGGGATAAAAGATAAGGAGACAAGTTAAGTAAGTCAAATTTAATCTATCTATTAGGCATGGATGTTAGGTGGGCAACTGTGTATAGGTAAACGGAGTTTGAAATGAAGGTCCAGGATGGAGATATAAGTATGGAGTCATCAAAATACAGGTAATCTTTATAAACATGAGGTTTACAGAGATCATCAAAGGAGTGAGAAAATAAAGGAGTGAAAAAGCCCCTAAAACACTCACGTCTATGTGGTGAAGTGACATGAAAAAACCCATCATCTTTATTTTTTCTCAGGTTGATTCAGTCCTAGTAATTTTTGCATATTTATAATTTTATAACTAAAAATGTTATCCCAAACCACAAATACATATTTATAGAATACTCAGAATATTGTGTTTCTCTGTAGGTTTTATGTATATCTCCATTGTTTCATTGCCTGGTCCAGGAAATTAGGAATTTCAACTGTTATTTTTTATCATAACAAAACAAATGTGGAAAAAAGTCCTGGTATGTGGTGGCTATGGGATCTCCATTGTTTTGTGATACAAATATAAATATTAGTAATGTTTATATTTTTCAGTATGATAACTTTCCACTTTATTCACTAGTACTCAATAAACAGAAAAGACTGGACAAATAGACTAAAACTAAAAATGAAATGCTTTTTTTAAAGTAAATTTTTCCATTTAAAATATTACTTTGGCAGACTGTAGGAATAAGGTGTTCTAAATCTCTTGTTCTTACATATAGTTTTTAAAAAGTAGGTCCTTAAGTACTGCCGAATTATTTTTTCTCATCTAAAAGTCCATGGAAAGATTAACTAGAATATTCAAGTGTATGGTGATACATAATAATAAAAAGATTTGCTGAAGTATGGAGTTCGTTAAGCCAAACATCTTATTTGGAACTTGTTCAAGGTAGTACGTAATTGCTAGTATCAGCAAGACCAGAGAAAACATGTTTACCCTCAGCATTGTGTGGACGGTATGTGCAGTCATGCAACAATATTCAAAAATAGTCACTAAAAATGTCTTTTATTTGGCTTAAAACTGTTACACCTTAAGCTTCTGAGATGATATATAAATATTGACATTAGAAAAAGCAACAATATGATATAATCAGATTTTCTATTTTATTCTGTGTCCATATAATTTTTAGAAATGAAATTAAGATTTAAGCAAGCATACTCGAAATCAGGTAGTTCTGCTATTTTGAATCATAAAAATATAGGCGTAGTGTCTAATGATAGTAACATATCTCTTAAATTCCTTAAATTATGGCAATATACAACAAGAAAATAATTTTATTTATCTTAATAATAAAATGAAATGACCTAGTATATAGGTCATCTATAGGTAGGTCATATATTTTATTCCAACTACCTATAAGTTCATATATATTAAATGATTCATATATATAACATTTATAAATGTATTTTTATAAATTATCATTATATAAATAAATAATATAATTTATGTATCTGCATAGTATATATAAATTTATATATAATATATAATATAAATATATAAATTATATAATGTAAAATATTCTACCTACATGTTATGAGCTGAATTATGTTTTTCTGAAGTTATATTTTGTTGAAGCCCTAATCCACAGTACCTCAGAATGTGACTGTCTTCAGAATAGGGCCTTTAAGGAGATTTAGGCATACTTTGTTTTGTTTTATTGCATTTCACTTTATTGCATTCCACAGATAATTGCATTTTTTTTACAAATTGAAGGTTTGTAGCAAACATAAGTCAAGTACGTCTATTGGTGCCATTTTTCCAACAACATGTGCTCACTGCATGTCTCTGTGTGACATTTCGGTAGTTCTCATAATAGTTTAAGTTTTGTTCATGCTTATTATATTTGTTATAGTGATGTGTGATCAGTGATCTTTGGTGTTACTATAGTAATTGTCTTGGGGTACCATAATCCGTACCCGTATAAAACACCAACTTAATCCATAATTGTTGTGTGTGTTCTGATTGCTCTACTGATCAGGCTTTCCTAAGATCTCTCTCCATGGGTCTCTCTTTTCTATTCCCTGAAGCACAACAGCATTAAAATTAGACCAATTACCGGGCGTAGTGGCTCACACCTGTAATCCCAGCACTTTGGGAGGCCCAGGTGGGCGGATCACGAGATCAGGAGATCCAGACTATCCTGGCTAACACGGTGAAACCCCGTCTCTACTAAAAAATAGAAAAAGTTAGCCGTGATGGCAGGGGCCTGTAGTTCCAGCTACTTGGGAGGCTACTTGGGAGGCTGAGGCAGGACAATGGTGTGAACCCAGGAGGCGGAGCTTGCAGTAAGCCAAGATCGTGCCACTGCACTGTAGCCTGGGTGACAGAGTGAGACTCTGTCTCCAAAAAAAAAAAACTATGCGAAACCTATTCTGCCTGTCCTATTCTGCCTGTCCTCTAAAGATGGCACAACAAAGCCTGGATGACAGCACATCTTTTTACAGCAAGGTTTACTGAATATTTTAAGGCTTACTGAAGATTTTAAGCCCAGTGTTGAGACCTATTGCTCATAAAAAAAGATTCACTTCAAAATATTACTGCTTATTGACACTGCAGCTAGTCACCCAAAGGCTCTGGTGGAATTGTGCAAGGAGATTAATGTTGTTTTCATGCTTACCAACACAACATGCATTCAGCAGCCCATGGATCAAGAATCATTTTCACTTTCAAGTCTGATTATTTAAATACATATTTTAAAGCTAAAGCTGCCATAATCATTCCTCTGCTGTATCTGTGCACAGTAAACTGAAAACCTGGAAAAGATTCACCATTATAGATGAAATTAAGAATATTTTTGGTTCATAGGAAGAAGTCAAAATATCAGTATTAACAGAAATTTGGAGGAAGTTGATTCCAACTGTCATTGATGACTTTGAGGGGTTCAAAATTTCAGTGGAAGAAGTAACTGCAGATGTTGTCAGAATAGCAAGATAACTAGAATTAATAGTGGAGCCTGAACTGTGACTGAGTTGCTGCAATTTCATGATAAAATTTTAATGGGTGAGAGTTGCTTCTTATGTGTGAGCAAATAAAGTGATTTCTGAGATGGAATCTCCTCGTGATGAAGATGATGAGTACACTGTTGAAAGGACAACAAAAATTTATAGTATTACATAAACTTAGTTGATAAAGTAGCAGGGTTTGAGAGGATTAACTCTAATTTTGAAAGAAGCTCTGCTGTGTGTAAAATGCTATCAAACAGCATGACATGTTACAGAGAAATCTTGCAAAAGAAAGAACCAAATTGATGCAGCCAATTTCATTATTGTCTTATTTTAAGAAATTGTCATAGCCACCTTACCCTTCAGCAACTATCCCCCTGATCAACATGCAGTAAGACCCTCCACCAGCAAAAAGATTACAGCTCTCTGGAAGCTCAGATAATTGTTGGCATTTTTTAAATGATAACATATTTTTAAATTAAGGTATATACTTTTTAAAGACATAATGCTATTGCACACAATCGACTACAGTATTGTGTAGACATAACTTTTGTATGCATGTAAGAACCAAAATTTTTGTGACTCACTTTATTGTGATATTCACTTTACTGTGGTAGTCTGAAATGAACTTTTGATATCTCCAAGGTAAATATATTAGAATGAGACCTTTAGCATAGGCTCTAATCCAGACTGACTGGTTTTCTTAGAGGAAGAGGACAGACAAAGAAACAGAGACACTAGTGGTATAAACACCCAGAGCAGAGACCATGTGGCAATGCAGCTGGAAGGCTGCCATCTGCTAGCCAAAAGAGAGACGGACCTCAGAAGTAAAGCAGCTTCCTGACACCTTGGTCTTGGAATTTATGCTTTTAGAACTCTAAGAAATAAATTTATGTTGCTTAACCCACTCAGTCTGCGGTATTTTGTTTTGGCAGTCCTACTAAACAAATGCACTAATAATAATTTTTTATATATGTAATCACAAGTTCTCAAGAATTACAAGATAATAAAATGTGTTTAATACTAAAGTCATACCAAACATTAATCTGTTTGTGATGGTTTAGAAGAAATTTTAGACACTGCAATATCTCAAATTATTATTATTAGGATGAATTACTATTACTGTATTTTAGAAATACAAAAATGCTATCCAAGACCATTCCACCTGACAGAATATAACATAAAATGAGTTTAGATTCTTTATTCTTAAATATCGAGTCTGAAGTACAGCATTAAAATAATCAACTATAAAGGAATAGTTTAGCACTAAAAATGGTAAATTTTATTTACTATTATATAAGAAAAATGCAATGTACATTGCTCAAACTTTTAATAAACAATATTAACTGAAATATTTTATTCTTATTAAATATGTCAGAGATAAACCTATATATGATAGCATCACAATAGGCACAATATATGGATTATTTTCATTAATTTTATCTTTATTGATAACGAAGACTCTATAAATAAAAATTTTAATTTTATGTAATTACTAACTTTGTATAAAACAATGTATACAACTGTTGGTGTATTAGAGACTGTACAATTTTTCTTCTGTTCATTCTCTCTCTCTGCCTCCTGAGAAATACCTCAAGGAATTCATTGTTTTGTTTTAGTGAAATATCTTATGTGTTACATTTTCTAAAATTTTTCAAAGTAAAACAGTTTTTTTTATTTGGCTGAACAGAGTTTGACATTGTATCTTTTCTATGAATACCTCAGATAATGACTTCTGTACCATTAGACCCATTCTGAAAATATGGTAGGCCCCCTTATTTGCATTTTCTTTTTGTGATTTCAATTACCTGTCATCAACAGAAGTCTGAAAATAGTTGAATACAGTACAGGATATTCTGAGAGAGGGAGAAAGAGAGACCATATTCACATAAATTTTATTACACTACATTGCTATAATTGTTTACTTTTATTACTTATTATTATTAATCTCTTACTGTGCCTAATTTATAAATTAAATGTTATCATAGGTATGTTTGTATAGGAAAATACATAGTGTAAATAGCATTCAGTATCCACAGTTTCAGGCTTCCACTGGGAATGTATTCCCTGCAGATAAGGGTGGACTACTGTATTTACATAATTGACTTCCCTTTTCAATGTAATTGTCTCAGTTCTTAGCTCTGTTCATAGCATTAGTGAGCTCTTATTGAATTAAATACTGTTCAAAGATTAAAGAAAAAATGGATTTGATAAAATAAATACAGCTCTTGATGGTACCATACCATATTCTGACAAACTTCTACTGAATATTAAAGTATAAAGTAAACACACAACAGTGTACCACGTAAAATCATATAGATGTATATGGAAAATAGGCAAACTAAGATGGGGCAGAATGGATGGAGTCAAGAGCTTTGGCGAATGTCTTGTACAATCAATTGATTAAAATACTATAAAATAAAATAAAAAAATCTTTTATCTCTCACTATCAAATTACAAGCCATCATTTATCATACGTATGGATGGTATGTGTATACGTAAAGAATCTCTACACGTGTGTGTTTTATAATATATCTAGATATATTGTACATACATGTGTTTGTACATACACATTACTTACTTTCAAATTCTAGATAAATGCCCAGTTACAAAAGTTTAAGCTAGAGAAGGAACTGGGAAAATGGTTAATATTCTAAAAAAATATAAAGGTCCAAAAATGCATGTGGATTATACCATGTTTCTGTCTTTAGCTGCAGGAAGAAAGGTAGTGTCAGAAAGAGAGATGTTGCAAAGCCTTCATTTGCAGTGATTACCAGAATCAAAGAGTCAATGAGCCAACGTAACAAACCTTCTTTAAGGAGATTCATGTGTGAATTTGAGAAATTAAAAGCTAATTTACTGAAAAGATAATTTAATGTTTAAATAAGTGAAAGAAAATGCACAATGATTGGGTGTACACTGAATCACAGATTAACATATTACATTGTTAAACTAAGCAATCTTTCCTTTTTTTTCCTCAAATTTTAAAGTAAGCAAAGGATGAATAGATCTGCCAAGTAAACCAGTAAAATCTTGTTTTAGTTAGAACTCAACGTAACAACTTTCTCTGTCCAGTGAATTTCAACTCAGTGGTATAAGCCCTGGGGCAGAATAACATTTAAGATGTACAGGCATTACAGTTAAGGGCAAAAAGGACTAGGCTAAAAAGTACAGAGAGAATTCATGTCTCCTCTTTTCCTTTTATTGGATCTAGCCTTTCACACATGAGAACATTTCCTGTGTATTGGTTTCTGTGTAAGCTGGAAATAAATTGAGTTGCAAATTTGCATAAGGAAGTGACAGGTCTACTCACTGCTTCCTGTTAATTTATTCTTTTCTGAATATATCTCTTAACTATCTCAGATTTAGCATTCTAGTCAACTATTTAGAAACAATCTAGTAACATACATCAGAAAGGAAGTGCTAAAGTTAATTCAAGTTCAAATCTATCACTATTCAACTAGTAGAGTCAGAGATCCTAAATGACCTGCTTGAGTCATTCAGACAGAACACACACATTTTCTGCCTTCTAAGCCAGTACATTTTTATCATGCAATGCTATTCTCAGCATGCTATATTCTTCATTATATATCAATGAAGAAAAGGATTGGACAGTATCATGCCAAAATTTGACTAACAAGCAAATTTATTCCAAAAACAAAAAGTAGATCTCAAACCTCTAACAATATTTTCCAAAAACATAGTGTAGTCCTTTCTCTCCAATTTTTATTGTGATAAAATACTCATAATATAAAAATTACCTTTGGGAGGCTGAGGCAGGCGGATCACGAGGTCAGGAGATTGAGACCATCCTGGCTAACATGGTGAAACCACGTCTCTACTAAAAATACAAAAAATTAGCCAGTCGTGGTGGCTGGCGCCTGCAGTCACAGCTGCTTGGGAGGCTGAGGCAGGAGAATGGTGTGAACCCGGGAGGCGGAGCTTGCAGTGAGCCGAGATCGCGCCACTGCACTCCAGCCTGGGCGACAGAGGGAGACTCCATCTCAAAAAAAAAAAAAAATTGCCATTTTATGTATGGAGCTTAGTGGTATGAAATATATTCATATTGTGTGACCTTCACCAACATCCTTCTCCAGATCTCCTTTATACTTGCAAAACTGAAACTCTAGACTTATTAAATAATAAACCCTGATTTTTCCCTCCCTCCAGCCCCTGACAACTACCATTACATTTTTTGTCTTTATGAATTTGTCTATTTTAGGTGTCTTATATAAGTGGAATCGTACAGAATTTGCCTTTTGTGACTGGTTTATTTCACTTAGTATAATGTTCTCAAAGGTCACCTATGTTGTAATCTTATGTTTTAAGGCTTAATACTATTCCATTGCATGTATAAATCATATTTTGCTTATCTATTCATCTGTCTATGGACACTGGGTTGCTTCCACCTTTTAGCTATTACAAATGAAGTTTCTATGAACATAAATGTACATATATATTTTTGAGACTCATATTTCTTTTGAGACCGTTTGATGAAAAGACTGTCCTTTCCTTATCGAATGGTCTTGGCACGCTTACCTAAAATTATTCTACCACAGGATAGCCTTTTTAGAAAGCTGAAATATTAACGCAGAATAGAGTGATCGGTATATGTAAGATTAAATATAAAAAGATTTTCTTACAACTCTTAATGCATTCTTAAAAACTTGATAACTAAAAAAATAACTTAATAAAATATTTTACTGTCTTGGCGTGGTGCTCACGCCTGTAATCCCAGCACTTTGGGAAGCGAGGTGGGTGGATCACAAGGTCAGGAGTTCAAGACAAGCCTGGCCAAGGTGGTGAAACCCTATCTCTACTAAAAATACAAAAATTAGCCGGGCATGGTGACTGTCACCTGTAATCCCAGCTACTCGAGAGGCTGAGGCAGAGAATTGCTTGAACCCGGGCGGCAGAGGTTGCAGTGAGCTAAGATTGCGCCACTGAACTCCAACCTGGGTGACAGAGTGTGTCTCTGCCAAAAAAAAAAGAAAAAAAAAGTCTACTTTCTGATTATAGACATTTTATAAGCCAATGTAAGGGCTGGGTAGAGTGGTCGCACCTGTAATTCCAAAGACTCTGAAGGCAGAGTGGGGAGGATTTCTTGAAGCCATTGAGTTCCAGACCAGCCTGGGCAATATTGCATGACTCTAACTCTACAAAAATTTCTAAAATAGGCATGGTTGTGCATTCCTGTAGTCCCAGCTACTTGGGATGCTGACGCAAAAAGATCCCTTGAGCCCAGGAGTTTGAGGCTGCAGTGAGCTATGATTGTGCCACTGAACTCAAGTCTAGGTGACGAAGTGAGACCCCATCTCTAAAAAATAAAAACAAAATTAAACTATTTGTATACTTATGTTTATTTCTCCTTTATTCATATATATCTATGTATTTTAGCCTAGGTGGTACAAAAATGTTTCATTAGATGCACACACAAAATAAAACTATTCAAATGGCATTTATATACCTATCCATGCATTCTTTATATATTCATATATTAAAGTAGCTGTAATTTAGGACTTAGTAAATAGCAAGCACTGTGAGGGGGCTCTGGGGCTGCAAAGGTAAAGAAGACCAGGACTTAGTTCTTAAAGCTAGCCCACACAATATTAGGAAAAGATACTGCACGACGTTAAAAGCCACATTCAAGAGATACAAGGATAGTGAATATGAAAGATCCTCAGCTCAGCAAAAGTATATCCAGAAAGTATTAGGGAAATGGGGTCTTAGCTGTATACATTATGTAGTTCTACACACACACACACACACACACACACACACACACACACAGATACACATATGTATACAATGTTGCCATATATATATATGTATATATATATATATATATATATATATATATATCCATGGGGGATACATTCCAAGAACTGCAGTGGATGGCAGAAACCACAGGTAGTACCAAATCCTATATATACATATATATATATGTATATATATACACATATATATGTATATATATATACACATATATATGTATATATATATACACATATATATGTATATATACACATATATATACATATATACATATATACACATATATATAGATATATATATATATACATATATATCTACATACATACCTATGATAAAGTTAAACTTATAAATTAGGTACAGTAAGAGATAAAAACAGTAACTAATAATAAAATAGAACAATATAACAATATAGTATAATGTGAATGTGATCACTCTTTCTTTATCAAAATATCATATTACATGTATTTTCAGACCACAGTTGACTGTAAGTAATGAAAACTGCAGAAAGCAAAACTGCAGATAAGGGAGTATTACTAAGTGTATTATGCTTAAATGTTAAACATAATAATCCCCTCAGCAATTATTTCTTTCTCTCTCTATATATATATATCTATATAAAATATCTATATAAATATCTATATGAAATCTATGTAGATATAAAATATATATAATATATAAAATAGATATAAAATCTCTATATCTATATATAGATATAGATATAGAGAGACATACATATACACACAGTTATATTATGTATATGTCTGTAAGGGATAAATAATTTTTCTATCTTGCAAACACTTCTAATATTTATACAAGACCAGGGAAGGTGCATAGAAACCATTTTATCATAATGAATATCCCTTAAATTGACTAAAATAATTTATAAAATTAGCTTTTAAAACTTTCTAAAATTTATTAGGTATAAATCAAAGTCTTCATTCAATACAGTAGTTAGTTTTAAATTTTAATTCTTTATACTACAGATTATTGCTCTCTTTATAACAGAAAAAAAGCTTCTGCATTGAAAAAATATCTAGTGTTCCTGTTAAAGGTAAATATTTCTTTAGAACTACATCAAAAGAAATTGTTTCCAAACAAGACTGTCTATGTGAGAGAAAGCAACTATATTGCACACTTAAGAGATACCTTTTTGTTAAAGCTATTAATCATATTAGAAAACTTTAAAAGCAGTAACCGAAAAAGCTGAACTTTGTATACTATAATCCATTAGATGGAGAGCTGAAACAAGAACTTTTTTTTTTTTTTTTTTTTTTTTTTTTTTTTTTTTTTGAGACGGAGTCTCGCTCTGTCGCCCAGGCTGGAGTGCAGTGGCGCGATCTCGGCTCACTGCAAGCTCCGCCTCCCGGGTTCACGCCATTCTCCTGCCTCAGCCTCCCGAGTAGCTGGGACTACAGGCGCCCGCTACTACGCCCGGCTAATTTTTTGTATTTTTAGTAGAGACGGGGTTTCACCGTGTTAGCCAGGATGGTCTCGATCTCCTGACCTCGTGATCCGCCCGCCTCGGCCTCCCAAAGTGCTGGGATTACAGGCGTGAGCCACCGCGCCCGGCCGAAACAAGAACTTTAATCCTCAGGGTTTGATATATACTCAAAATACAGGTGTTGCTTTTTTCTAGCAAATTAAAGCTGCCCTCATTTTTCCCATTTGTGGACTTCTGGGGTGAAGCAGAACAAATCTTATGCTATGATCACACCTTTTCTCTCTAGTGCTCCTCAGTTATAAAATGCTATTCAATTTGGATGCCTTCCTTATGACAGACCTTAGTGAATCTAGTCAGTGTGGTATGGCGTGGATATGCATGGCTAGGGTTAGTAACCTCACTGAGGAAATTCCGAAGGTCCCATTTTGATGATGAATGTAGATATCTTGGCTCACAGACGTGGTTTGGCTCAGTTTCACCATCAAAATCCCACCTTGAATTGAAATAATCTCCAGGTGTCAAGGGTGGGACCAGGTGGAAGCAATTGGATCATGGGAACGGTTTCCCCCTTTATGTTCTCGTGATGTTGAGTGAGTTCTCACGAGATCTGATGGTTTTATAAGTGTCTGGCATTTCCCCTACCGGAACTCTCTCCGTCTTGCCGCCCTGTGAAGGAAGTGCCTGCTTCTGCTTTGCCTTCCACCATGATTATAAGTTTCCCGAGGCCACCCTAGCAATGCGGAACTGTGAGTCAATTAAACTTCTTTCCTTTATAAATTACCCATTCTCGGGTATTTCTTCATAACAGAGTGAGAACAGACTAATACACTTACTCTGCCAGATTGCCTTTCAGGAGTCTTCAATTTAGTACAGAGAAAATTTAGTCAAAATTTCCTCCCTGAAGTCAATGAAAACTGTGCATTTTCTTAACAATGAGAATTA
The DNA here is from genome assembly GCF_000001405.40 of Homo sapiens. Taxonomy (NCBI): domain Eukaryota; kingdom Metazoa; phylum Chordata; class Mammalia; order Primates; family Hominidae; genus Homo; species Homo sapiens. The sequence goes on along the minus strand of NC_000001.11, from coordinate 102,581,324 downwards.
ACCAGAATTGAAAAATCATAATGACCATTTAGCTTTGTTTCAATACAGCTTAACCAACTCCCATAAGAAAATTTGTTATATTTCACTATTTTAACAATTATATCCCAAGGAAATAATTGAAATAGATAATTACTTTTTGAATCTCTTCCTATAAAAGGATTTAAATTTGAAATTGGCATGAAGTAAAACTCTTTAATAAGATTTGAAGACATTAATAAGTGAATGCTCTCAAAATCTATTGAATTAAGCTTACTCCTAAAATATTACTGAGTTAAAGTAAATACTCAAATGCAGCCAGACACAAAAGTATAGCTTATAATAAGGTACGAGCAAATCAAATTACGGAGAAAGTACCCTGTTCAGCAATTACTCTTCATTACCGTGGGCTAACTTGTCCAAATTACGAGTCCCTTCTATTTCCTCTCACCCCAGCAATTCTTTGTTTCTTTTCTCCTGCCCTCCCTCACTCTTTTCTCTTCTATTTTTTTTCCCTGACTTTTCTTGGCTTTGGGGAACATTTCTGAAAATTATCTGGGTGCTTAGCAGAGCACATAGCTAAAAAATATAAACCAAGTTTCTCCCATTCCAGACATTTAGAGCTTCCGTTAATGCGTTGTGACATTCAAAGAACATTATGATAAACAAAGAAAACATTTTTTCCTCAAATATATAGTTTTTATTCTCTAATAATGCTTAATAGGACTAGACAAATGCTTTTTATGTAACTGCTACTCTGAGATATTAAGGATAAAGAATACAAGTCTTAACTTACCTAAACTCACCATAATAAAACATAGAAGCCTATCTCCTCCTTCCCTACCACTTGACATAGGCTAGCATGCTGATCTTATTTATTATATGTGTGACTATAAGGATAGGTTATATTGGAGAACAGAAAAAAAATCACTATACATTAGTAAAAGAATTAAAGCTACAGCTACAGTTCAATAATAAAAATAGAATTATTTGCTAGCTTAAATAACACCTTTTTACCTTCATTATGGATATACTATGTAAAAACCTTGAGTAGAGTGTTGACTGTCCCCCTTTTTTTTTTTCTTTTTTTGATCCTATGCAATGGCATCCCTTTATCATATAGCAAAGCTCAACATTTTAGGTAATAGTAAATGATGAAAACCCCCAACTTCCCAGCACTGAATTGAATTAGTCCCTAAATTCTAGTTCTTAGAATGTCCTTTTTTATTTTTCTCCTCTTCACTCCACTGAGACGATCACCACGTCTGACCTGGTATTGTTGCCGCCACATTTTAGTTGGCCAGATTCTTCTCTTATCTTTTATTATCAGTCTATCTTCAATTCTATCAGAGTTTTATTTCTAAAGTGAAGCCTGAATTATGAGGAAACTCTGCTTAAAGATATCCAATAGTTTTAAAATGTCTGCATCAAGTCCAAATTATTTACAGTGATAATTTAGTCCGTTCATATTCTTATCCCAGCTATATTTATCACTTGGTTTTGTATATTCACTGTTTCAAACATAGCTAAAGCAACAGTGTCCTAAAAAGCATCACACTCTTTGATACCATTATACCTTTAGTATTTCTATTTCCATTTCCTTTTTTTTTTTTTGGTATGTTTTCTTCTAATGAACACATTATAATACCATGATTTGACACTTAGTTCAAATAACTACCCTATGGTGAAGGCTTTTCTTCTCTCACCCTCTTCTCACTCACACCCCTTAGAGCACTTATAATTTTGTATTATAATTGCAGTATTTGTTTCTATTCATGTCTCCCACAAAATAAGTTTAGCTACGCAAAGTCACCATACTCAAAAACATTGATTACATGTGATTATTCTTGAGTATCCATAACTTGGCACAAGGCTTGGTCAGCAGCCTGTTTAATTTTTTATATATATATATATATTTACTTAGAGTGAACTAATGTGAAAACATGCCTTAGCCATTAGTAGGAACTGTGAATCAACATATGCCCTTTTCTCCAAAAATATCCTAAGAACAAACGGGTCTCGGATCCTGCTTATATCATTTACCATTAGGGTGAACATTACTGAGAAATAATCATTTTAACAGATATTTCTAATTGTCCTTCTATATCTGATTTCCCCTTGCTCATTTTAGCAGCAGCATCTATTACTCTGCTATTGGATTGCCTGGCTAGAAGTAATCTATCCAAGCTTTCCCTAAACTCTAGCCATTGCTATATTAGTGGAAATAATAGCTTCAGCTGCTACATTACAATCTTAAAGAGGAATGAATTTGCCCTCTCATGCCTTAATTTCTCCACTAAGTAGGAAGAAATGCAGATGTAGTGCTGGTGAGTCAGCTTCAACCACGTGGAGGAGGATAAGCCCTCAGAGATGAGGAATCATTTTCAACATAGAAAGCAGCATTCCCTGGATGTCCTCATGAGATGTCTACCAGCCCCAGGTCGCTCACTATTAAAATTTGATATTTAAGAGATGTAAAATTTTCTTTTGTTTGAGGCACTATAGATTTGAGGTTCTTGGACATAACATCTTAGTATATACCATAAAAAAAATAAAATATGCTAACATAGTGAAACCCCGCCTCTATTAAAAATACAAAAATGAACCAGGCATGGTGGCCCACGCCTGTAGTCCCAGCTACTCGGGAGGCTGAGGCAGGAGAATCACTAGAACCTGGGAGGTGAAGGTTGCAGTGAGCTGAGGTCACACCACTTCGCTCCAGCCTGGGTGACAGAGTGAGACTCCATCTTGAAAAAAAAAGAAACAATAAAATAAAATAAATATACTAGACTTCTTGATTTTAATTTCTGACCATTTTTTCACTGCTTACCCAGAATTGTAATATCAAAAAATTTGAGCTCTGTAACCTAATTTTTATATCCAAGATTATTCTTGGATTACAAAGATGACTTACAAAGATAACTTATTTATTACTTTCTTCATTAGTAGTTGTGTGTAAAATTTTATAAACATTATTGCTACTCCATAGCAACATTACCGACAATACAAAGTAGGTCTCACTATTCTTCCTGTTTTTCATATGAAGAAATAGAGAAAAAGAGTAGTTGACACTATAAAACTAGGCAATTTTATTTTAGTCTTCAGATCTGTGCTCAATCAACTACATTAAAGTTTTCACGAGTCAATTTATTTTTGAAAATGTCAAAGGGAGCTAGCACAGGGTTTTGTGCCCGGAGACGTGCCCAGGGCTGCACAGATAGAAAAACCTTCAGCCTATTTGGATAAAAACTTGCACAAACCTCCAGCTCACTCAGATAAAGGAACAAGACCTTGCATAGAAATGCTTTTGTCCTTTGAATAATCAGCGGGCTCCCAGGAAAAAGTTTCTTCTCCTTTGGTGGGCATGGGCGCAGAGGGCTCTGGTGGGTTCTGGTGGGCAGTCTACTTTCCTTGTTTTGGACTGTAAGTCGGGCCTCTAGGAAGCATCACTTCAGCCTTTGATTGGTCCGAGGCCAAGCTGAGTCACACGTTCTCCCAGACAGCTCGTGGACTAAGCCCATTCCTTCCCCTTTGCAGTCCACAAAAATCCTGGACCCCAGACTCATAGGGGGCACCCCATTTGGGCACCCCGCTCTGTTGGCAGAGAGCTTTCTTCTTTCGCTTATTAAACTTTCGCGCTAACCTCAACTTGGTGTCTGCACTCCTTAATCCTCTTAGAGGTGGGACAAAGAACTCCAGGTTTTATCTCAGACAGGAAACTGTTACATCTTGATGCATTGCTGAGACCACAACACGAACAAGCAGTCTTGGGTCCGAAATCTAAAGAGAGATTGCCGTACTAGAAAACCTAAAACATGAGAAGGCTTTTTACAGAGATATCAAAACATTTTTTATGTAACAAAAGACTTATTGGTATGATAATTTGATGGTATCTTTATTATAAAACTCCAGGCAGAGAATTAAAATTTTCTCATAGTGTTTTTGGGGCTATAGATCTAATCTAAGCCTTAGATATTTGGTAACATTATGAATTTATTCAGAAAAATTAACAAAAAGAGCAGTTGATAAATCTCAAAATGTAGAAGTGTTAAAGATTATGCAGTAAGAACAGTTGTTTGCTTCACAGAATCTGAGAATATTGGGCTAGCAAGGAGTTTAGATGTAAATCAAGTGCCATTTCTTTACAGAGAAAATACTAGGGAACTGACTTCTGGAGCCATGAAATTCATATTTAAAGTCACACAGCCAATTAGTTGTAGAGCCATTATTTGAATCTTATCTCCTTTATCATTTGCTTGCATTTTCCCACATAGGTCTATTTTTATTAGAAAATACTGCGACTAATTCAACATTCTTTCTTATCCTCTTCAAAATACATTCCCCAGTCCCTCTCCTCACTTTGCCCCCAAAATCTACCTAGAATTTAGTTTCCTGACTAATAATAAGCTTCCCATCCAGGTTTTTTGGAAATTGGTTAAACTTTTGTAGGACCCTTTTCTAGTGCCTTGTAAATACATTTATGAGCAAGTTCATGCTGTAGAACAGGAAGCTGATTAGTTAAATTTCATATACAGATTTTAAAGGCAATTTAAGTAGTAGTATTATTTGCAGGCATGTTGTAAATATTTTCTTTTAAGAAGAAATGGCTGTCAGAGTAAGGTGGCTCATGCCGGTAATCCTAGCACTTTGGGAGGCTGGGAGAGCAGATTACTTGAGCCCCGGTGTTTGAGGCCAGGACGTGAAAACCCGCCTCTACAAAAAATACAAAAAATTAAACTGTTGTGTAGTACGCGCCTATAGTCTCAACTACTTGGGAGGCTGAGGGTGGTGGAAGGATCACCTGACCCCAGGAAATTGAGGCTGCAGTGGGCCATGATCACACCACTGCTCTCCAGCCTGGGCCACGGGAGTGAGACTCTGTCTCAAAAAAAAAAAAATAAATAAATAAATAAATAAATAAATAAATAATTTTTAAAAAGGGTTATATATTTCCAAACTTAGTGATCATTAGATAGTTACTTTTATCATTATTGCTTTTCAGTTTAAAAAACACAACCCATGACATTCTGTCCTCAAGAAGAGCGGGAAGAGAGGTAGGGAGGTCAATTGACAAAGATAGTTCATGCATTCTCACGTAGGCTGTCTCCAAAGGATGGATGCATATTTAGTTAGGCCTTTATGACTTATAAAAGCATTGAAAAGATTTGCATTTGAAAACAAATTATCTGTTTATGGTGCAAATTAATATACTAATGGTCCTACTGTAACATACTGCACTCCTCACATAATTGAAACTTTTCCATAAACACTACATTAAAAGATTATCCTCATAAGAAAAAATTTAAACTTACTTTAAATCATTGTTAGAATTAGTGGTATTTCAATTCAAAACACCAAAGGTTATATATATCTCAATTTAAATATTTATTGATGTATGTAAACAGAGTTCACACTATCAGCTATAGTTTGGTAAATACATATATTTGAATTGTCATTAAATGTGCACTTTAGGTGTTAAATTACTGGAGAAATATGCCTAATCTACATAACAGCAGGATTAAAAAGTACTTCCATTCATTTCTATTTTAATTTCAGAGATTAATAAAACAAGATTCAGTAAAATATACAGTATTATATACTCAGTGACTGGCCAGGAACAAAATGATGATGTCGGTTTGAAGACACTGCTTGTAGGGAAAACTGGTTTATATGAGCTAAAAAAAATCTGGAACATTTAGATGCCAAACATACAATAACAGCATTTAATTCAAGAGAAAAGACTATTAAAAACTTCAACGATTATAAGTAAAATAACCATTCCGAAATTACGTATTGTTTAAATGGCAAATTCACATTCTATACCTTAGGAAAAATATTCTTAAATTCTCATCCCTTGAAAAACATAAGATTCTGTAACTTACTTTTCTCATTGTAACTCTTAGTCACTGAGTGAAAAAATAATTTGTGAACTATTGGAACAATATTAATTTAAGGATGAAAATTTATTATAATTTTATATAATTACAATTTATAGTAGAACATATATATGAAATTAGTCTTAAAATCAGCACTTCAACTGGTCTGATGTCTTGTTCATACCTCAGCGCCAGAGAATGAAAGAATATTTAAAGTAATTTAGTGCCAATGTGTTTATTTGAATTGCCTTTTCTAGGGAATTTTTATACTTTCAGAATTCATAATAGAGTATACAGGAAATAGATTTAAAAAATAAATCAATAAATGTTATACTTCATTCCTATATTTTACCAATATTATTGTTAGAAATTGATGCTTAAAAATGGTTTAACCTATGTACACTATGACCATATATAACAATATTTCGGAAGTAGCCTTAGAATAGAGATATTGGCCCAACATGTCTTTCTATTCAGCTTCTATTCTAGCTTTATCATTAATTATGAGTAATAGTGGTGGTAGTCATAGTAATAGGAGCAGCAATAAAATTAGCCAAAAAGGGCTGAGTAGACTTCTATTTGGTGCTTTCAGCTTTTACCATGATCTCATCTATCTGTGTGTATGATAAATATGAAGAAAATATAATTCTCACTTTAACATGGCTGAACATTGATAATCAATAAACTGTCTTTTATTCACCCTTTCCAGATTCAAGTTAACTTACATCACTTTTAAGGTTAGCATGTAGGCTCCCTGGGAAGTTTCCTGGGACTTACCTAGCTAGGGAGAGCTAAGTCCTTCAGGACTCTACTACGGTGGAGAAATATTCAATGTTGCTGCTCCTGCTAGCCTCTTGGTACATTAATTGGTGATACTTTAGCACACCTTGACCCATGAGATGCATTAAGCTGATATGTCATGGTTGTCAGAAATAACAGTATACATGCATGTGAAACACGTAGGAGAAAAAGAAAATAAGTAGTCCTGCCATACAATATGCGGAGAACTGCTTGAGTATTTTATGTGACATGGCTTTGCTGCTTGTTACGTTGTGTAGGTATATACTCAAATTTTGTATTGATAACACTTTTATTTTTCAGTAAGTCCTTTCAACAATGAGCTAAAAAAAACTCTAGGCAATACGTTTACATTTCCCAGAAGATTTTGATGAATCTGTACCTTATCTAAATGTATAGCAATATTTACAATCAGAGCCATGGTCATGTCTCCCACCACATAAAGAACAAAAGATGCGAAACTACTGAGGATGAAGCAGCATCAACTTCAAAACAGTACTGATTTTAAGAGACTCTGCCAAAATATAATGATTACTAGGTAGAACACTAGAAGGTGAATTTACGTATCACTCTGTGAACTACTATTTTTTGATTACATCAAGTGGCTGTTTTTCATTATTTCAACAATATTTAGTCACAAACCTTATGGTGCATGTATAAAAGTAAAGCATTAGTTGTTAATAGATTTGCTCCATTTGTAGTTGAAAAAAGTCATCAGTTAAACTAGGCCAGTTTTATATTAGGGCTTTCAAGTGATGAGAATAGGAAATCAGTAATTCCAATAATGGTTTGTATTTTTTTTCACCTAATTCATAGAATAAACTAAAATATAGTTCATTTATTTGTCATGTCCATTGTAGCCTCACTGGTTCTCAGGATGCAAATAGGTTGCAATAAGGAATAACTTGGAGAAAGTGGAGTTTATTCTATAAATATAATTCTTTTGCATTTATATACATTTTACAAATATTTCAATAGTTTACATATTTTCTTTCTCATTCTATTTATCATCTCTTCTTTTCCTATTCTTTCATACTGCTTCCCTCGATCCCTTTCCATCAGCTGTATGCTATATTTTTTCACAATTTTTTTTTGTATTTTTATGTAGTTGGACTTGTAGCGCATCACTAAAAGTGTCATGCAAATTTACTATGACACTTCCTAGACTACGGTAGTGGCGCAAAAAGTACAAAATGTATTCCTTTAGTTCCCCTAAATTACCGATCTTAGATTATAGATTACCAAATTCATTAACAGTTTTACTTAACAAATATTTATCATGATTCGTTTTGTTCCAAGCACAAAGATTAATAAATATGACTACTGTCCTTAAGTAGCTACAGTCTAATTGGTGATTCTAATCCATAAAAGTAATTATAATTTAATGCAGTAAGTGGTCACATGAAAAGATGATAAGAGAGAATTGATCATGGCCATGCAATTTAACTTCATATTTTAAGGAAGGCATTCTGGATGAAAAAACAATGAGCCTAAATAATGTTTAAAATTCAGCCACTTAATGTTGGAAATGAAAAACATCAGGTATAAATGTCATTCCATATTATGAGCAACCTGATATTACTAGAGAATAAAGGAAGCACCAGTCAATATTTGGGGAAATGGAGTTAGAAAAAATAAAAAGGAATTAAAGAAAAAATTAATGAGGAGACTTTGTGTTAAAGAGCTTAATTTTTATCACTGTATATAATGATAAAAAATTATTTAAGTAGTTTAACAATTGGTATTTAATAACTACTGTGTAATAAAATATCCCAAACCATAATGTCTTAAAACCACAACCATTTTTATTTGTTTTCTGTTAGCCTAGATTCTATGAGTCAGCAGTTTGAGTTCAGTTTTGTGGATTCTTCATCTAGTCTCAGAAGAGCTTATTTATGTCTGCATTGACTGCTGGTCTACCAAGTCGCTCTGTTTGTGGTGTTGGTTGTCTGGGATAATCAGGTCAGGGAGCCAATTACCTAGCACACTAGCCTGATTGATTCTCATGGTGCTGGTAAGTTTCCCAGAACAGAGAGATTTGATATTACAAGACTTCTTGAAACCTAGGTTCAGAATTGTCACATTGTCATCTATTGGTCAAAGCAAGTTCCAATGCCAGGCAAGATATAGCTTAGGGGGAGAAAGATCTACCTCTTAAAGAGAGGGACTGCAAAGATTTGTGGCTATTATTGAAATCAACCACAAGCAATGAGTGACATGATCAAAATTATATTTTAGAGTGTGCGCATTAGAATAATGTCTCTCTCCTCATTTGCTGAACCAGAATCTCCGAAGATAGAATCAAGAAATGTGTATTTTGAAAACAGTCATCCAAGCATATTTAAAGTATATGAGAAATACTTGGTTGAGAAATACTAGCATCAGATCACTCTAATGGCAATATTAGGAGACTACATCTGAGTAAATGGGTTTTATTTTTTATTTTATTTTTGGATCTACTAAATCAACTCCCTCTATATCAAGCAAAATGATACACTGGCTAAATATTGGAGTATCCAAGGGTGATCTGAAAAACTAAGCCTTGAGAAGTAAGACATTAAGGATATTTGTGAAGAACTCAACTGTGAGAGTTAATAGATATGACTTTCTATATTAACACTGTCATTCAAGTAATTTAACTTCCAAGTCTTTACATTCAAAATTCAATATACTGGGAAAAGAGAATCTGGTAGGCCAACTTTTTGCTATTTGTTCACAAGATCAACTATGGAAAGGACTATTTAGCAGAAGTTTGGCCACTTTGAGTTCAGCACTGTGAGCAAGAAAGGTAGATGTTTGAGAAAAACATCTGGTTTACCAACTCTAATGTTGTCCATTAGACCAGGGTTCAAAGAAAAGAGTTAGGAAAATATTTTAGGGAACTACTGCAATAATTCAGTTATAAAGATGACAAACAACTCAAGTTTCATAGGAAAGAAGAGCAATGCATTCTGGAAACCAAATGTAACTTTTAATAATATGGAAGGTTATTAAGCTATTCTGAAGTACAGATTCATAACCTAGAAAGTCAGACAATCAATCAATATTCATAGATTTGGCTTTAAAGATTGAAATATTTTATCACATACACATATATTGCACATCGATCTCTTATTCATTTTAAGAATAGTGCAATCTGAAAAAATAATTAAACAAAACCAGAAAGTATTATCACTCCAAGGTACCTTAATAGTTTATTTTTTCAACCCTTTAACATATTATATAGTAGGCACATAGCTTGTATTTAATAAATATAAAATAAATGAGTGAAACTGTATTATAAATTTAAATATAAAATATTATAGAAAAAGGGTTTTTTTAAATAGCACTACAAACATTTTTGAAGTGCTACTTTATATTAAGTAGATTTCTGGAAATAGGAATTATAAATTCTTCAGATATAAGAAAATATTCTAAATAAAATTTATATATCTGCTAACATAATAAAAGTATCTTGAATTTTGGTGGATGTTGTAGAAACAAGTTAGAATGAGACCTCAAGAACAATGCTAACTGTGAATTTATTTTAAAGCATTGAAATAGCAGTTTAATAATCCCCCATAGGTTCATATGGAAGCACTAAACTATGAAGTTCCTTGGAAAGGTTGCAAAGCTTAAGACAAGAATATTTTATTTTGACAATTTTTGTATTTGAATATTTGTTGGCCATTCATGAGTGTGTGGGGATAGGGAAAGCAGTCATTTTTGTATTTCAGAGCTGTCCAGAAAAAGATGTAAAGGGGTTCATAAAAAGACAAAAGAGAACTATATTGCCTTGATGTACTGACTTTCATTTTGAAAGATCACATAGCTTTTTACAGATTTAACAACCTGACATACAGAAATCACTTCAACCTCTGCTGAAATACAATCAGCCTAGGGGTGAAACTCACCTGTTATTAAACTGACTCTGGCAGTACTACAAAATAGTTTAGTACAGAAGATAAAAGAGAAGGTCAAGCTTCATTAAAACTTATAGGAGAAGTTTCCATAGGGCTAGTGAATCTTGGGGAAGAATTGGTTCCAACCACAGTGAAACTGCATTATTTGGTAGAGGAGATTGTGTTGAAAAAGAATAAATCATTCAATTCTCTCAGTGACAAGGAAGTAGATATGTAGGAATCGGTAAAATGCAAACATCTACAACTTATATAAATGCATCTTGACCTCTCTTCTCCTTCACAAGTGTTATCTATTAGCAGAAGGAGAGGAGTTGGGAAAAGGGGACTATACTATCAGAAAATAAGACATTATAGAAAAATAATTTTACTGTTGTTAGAACATGAGATTGAAAGTATTTATGGTTACCAGATTAAACCACACATAAGAAGGCATTGGCCATATGGCTTATAAAAGTCTTAAGAAATGCTCATTTACAGTCCTTTGTGTTCCTTCAGATGTCACTTAGATGGAATTTGACTGTAGTACAGTGTAGGGGATAAATAATCAAAACACCACTAATTGTTTAAGAATTGGTTAAGAAAAGTTAAGAATTATACTTTGCTATTTTTTTTAAATTCACATGGTTCATCCATCACTGGATTTCCTTTCTAACATCCTAAAATTCATGAATGATCTGTGCATAGAATATTCTGGAGTGATTACTATGCTAATACAATATTGCATGTTAAACTTATTTGGGAGAAAACTGCCCCTTTTAGGAAACTCAAACATATGCATCTCGTAATTATGATAAGCCACCAAGGGAGAAAACAGAGACACATCAGTTGTGGGAAACCCATGATCAGAGTACTTGTAAGTGGTCAGTCTAAAAATTCAGATCACTTCACTTTAGGAAAGATCAAGACTCTTTAATGAGGAGTTCATTGTGGCTACTTGCCAAGAAATCAATCAACTGATCTCCTTTTCAGAGCCTATCACTCACTTCATTAGGCTAGTGGAAAATGGAGCAAAGACTGTCTGAACTTCATTCCCCACAGACTTCTGACCCATTGAAGGGCTAATAGCGAACACTCACTCTGAATTGACAGTAATACATTCCAGGCTAGATATGATACACTTCCGAAGAGTTTGAAGTCCCAAATCTCTGGTTTTACTCTATATCCCCAAAATTAATAAAAGTAAGTAAATAATAAATATATCAAATTAAATATTTTCTGGACAAACTCCCAGTTAAAGTGCTTTTACTTTTTTTTTCAAGTCATCTGTCTTATAATCAGAATTTAGCTACTGAAGCCTTAAGGGTAGTTTATTCTCAATGATCTGTCATTGAATATGATTCACTATTTAGATTCGCATTCTTTCCTTTATTTTCCTCCTGTAACACTTTTACTTGTTATTCACCAAACATTATTCTAGGCAGATAGTTATTATCTGACTCAGAAACTCTGTTCATTCTTTTATGTAAAAATTACTATATTTTAGACATATTTTATTGGCATTTAACATATGTACAAAAAATATGCAAATCATTACATGATCATCACATCATGAAAACATCTAGGTAAATCTTATACAAATAAAATATTAATAGCACTGCAAAAACATGCCTTTTTTCTCTTTCTGATCACTATTGCATTCTCTATGAAAGTAACAGTATTCTGATGCCTAACACTATAGATTTGTTTTGCCTGTTTGAACTATGAAAGGGCATAATAGATTACCTAATCTTTTGTTTTTACATATTTTTTACTCAATATTTTTTTGATATTAATCGATGCTATTACCTGTAGTTCTAGAATGGTCCTTCTCTTGCTGTATAGTGTTTGATAAAATGAATACGTCTTAATATATTTTCTAATCTGAAATTAATGGATTTTGGTTGTCCTGAGTTTTGGGACATTGCAAAAATGCTCCTATAAATATACTTCTCATTTTTCCATAATGATTTTTGCTGTGTTCCATATTTAAGGGTGAAATTTCTGGGAAATAAGATATATTTTTATTCAGCTTTAGTAGAAATTAAACAAGCATTTTCCAAAGTGGTTTTACCATTTCACACTTCTACTGATAGTGTTTAAGAGTTCCATTTGTTATATATCCTTGACAATTACCATAATATATTTTTATTTTTTTAAAGTAAAAATTACACCAATTAAAAATAAAATAGGAAAAAAAGGTTTATAATGAAATAAAAAGTACCCCATTCCAACAAATTAGCCACACTGTTATTCTCCACATATAACTCTCTGTTTTCTGTTTCCTAGTGTCTACTTAAATTTCTTTTATGACTAATAATTTTTATACCAAATCATGCCATTTACTTTCCTATTTTTCTCAGTTTATTTATAACTAAAGTATCACATTATTTATTTTCTAAACTTGTATACATCTGAGAGTAAAAGAGTGTGCTAACTGGATGGTACTGTTTTGGGAAAACCAATTTGTAACATTACTCTTGATAACTCCGCTGATTTCCCCTGAAGTTTCACATGGCATGCTGGAATTGTTCTTTAATCCATCAACCATAGACCATACCTCTAATCTTCTAATTTTATAAGAGGAGACCATTAGTCACTCAAATGCCTCGCCATCTCCTTAATCAATGTGTCTCTCAGCCGCTTTAGTTATCTGCAACTTGATTTTGTCAATGGTGGTTACATTTATATTTCATTATTTACCTATTCGTAAATTCTTATAATTCATATATAAATTGTTTTAGTCTACGTATTTTTCAATAAAAAGTAGTATACCATTTTTATATTTCCTTCTTTATAGAGAAAATATCAGAACCCTGTATATCTCAAACAGAATGTTACTATAATCATAGCAGAACATATTCTTTTTATTTATTTCACCACTTTTCTTTACCGTGTCCTCATTTTTTGAAGGAATTTTACCATTTATACTTAATACTTACAAGAGATTTCCTTTCTGAGTGTCCTTTCCTTCTGTTTTACAATCCTAATTGATTGGATCTTGAGCCTCTACAAAAATGTCATGCTTGTACAGAATGTTATTCCTCAACTAGATAGATTCATGGATGAATCTGGATGTTTTCCAGATGTCACTTCTTTCTGTTCATTTTATTTACATTTTTTGCTAGTGTGTATGTTTAAGTGACTTTAAAAAAAAGGATAGAGAAGAATTAAAATTTTCGAGTTTAGATTATCTGAAATACATTTATTTTGTTCTCATAAAAGACTCATTCAATTTTCTAGCTCGGCTCAGAATAAAACTATGAAATAATTTTTTCCATGTCATTTGATGGCCTTTCATCTTTGCTTCCTACTACTAATTATTACTGTTAATAAGTCTGATGGTGATCTGATTCTTGGTTGTAGCTGATCTGTTTTGTTTCTCCTCTGAAAGTTTTTAGGATGTTCTCTTATTTTTGATATTTTGAAATTTTACAATAATGTGTCTAAATATGCATTATTTTTCACAAAGTGAATGCATGATGAGCATTTTCATTTCTGGATTTTTTTTGTAATACCTCTGCTAACTTTTCCCTACCCATTCCCTCTTTTATCTCTATCCCTCTTTTATGTATAACTCTATTTAGTATTTTACTTTGGGGATTGATGTTTAACCTTTTCTTCCTATCACATTTTCATATCTTTGTGTTTTGTTCAACTTTCTGAATGACAACTTTAACTTTTTTCTAACCTGTATACTATCTGCTTTGGGATATATATATACACACACACACACACACACACATATATATGTGTGTGTATATATATGTATATATATATGTATATTTATGTGTGTGTATATATATATATATGAAAGTTCTTTATTATACTTTATTTTTCCCCAAGGTATCCCATTCTTTTACATAGATGCAACATACTCATTTATCTAGGATATTAATTATAGCATTCATATATTTACCTTAGCTTCTTATAGTGACTTTTTCAGGCTTACAGTTATACTATTTTTATGTTTAGGCTAAGCCTTGGGAACTGCTTTTCCCAACTGGAAGTGGGTAGATCAGGCAATGGGAGCTGGAGGCTCATCATGAGAAAAATCTAAAAGAGAATTGCTAAATTAGTTTTGGGTATTTAAAAAGATAGTTGTTCTTCATAGACAGATCTTTTGGAGCAATTAAATTACTCTCAATGAATATATAAAGTATGTGAATCAGATGTGACTAATATTTTCATAATAATAACAGGAATGTATATGTTAAATTCAAGAAAATCTTTGTAATAGAGTTACAGTGTTTTCTTTTTAATTCTGTCAAATTGCATGGAAACATTTTATCCTGTGATGCTGCCCCCTCATTGTCTCAGAATAAAGACTTTGTATTTTAAAACACAGTACATTTGCTCTCATTTGAATATGGTCTCAGGAGCTAGAATAAGTACTTTCATGTAACCAGTCTGCCATCTTGTACCAGAAGTCTAACACTGCATTTTAATTTTCTATTCATATTCCTTTCTCTCCAACTAGACTGAATTATGAAAAACAACATATCTATCTTTGTATTAACAGTGCCTGCTCAACACCTATGACTTTATTGAATTCTGATTATTTTATTTAAAGTACTGTGCACTAGCCCCTTTTTTCAACCCATTCATTTGACAGACATGGCTTCTTCCACTCAGTCTCTTATAGCTTCTTAAATGCAGTCAGAACCTATCGTTATCATTTTTCACATGAATTCATAGTTTTTTAAAAAGCTCTCATGGACTACATATAACATTTCCTCTTGAAATAGTCTATTTATATAAGTCAGTATGTATTTAAAAAATCATAACACAAAGATCTAACATAAAAGCAATAACGCAAGGATCACATTTCAAATGTATTCAACAAATTTGCAAAAGAAGTTTATGGTCATAAATTGAGTTGGTTTGCTCTACA
This sequence comes from Homo sapiens, assembly GCF_000001405.40. Lineage (NCBI taxonomy): Eukaryota > Metazoa > Chordata > Mammalia > Primates > Hominidae > Homo > Homo sapiens. The sequence continues at coordinate 102,565,902 of NC_000001.11, read as the reverse complement.
GTGTTTTATCACTTCACTCACTTGATATAATTTTAAAAATCTTAACCAAAATATTCTTCTAATTCTGAGATTTTATGATTCTGTAAGTTTTATTGGCTAAACTTTTTTTTACATATTTATATGGATTGTAGTTATAGACTGGTATTGATAATTGTAATATTTTTAAATGAGATATAGAATAATAAACTAGAAACTTTTTAATAAGGGGGTTTGTCATACAGCCGTAGTTAATGCAAACGTGGCTTGAATTCAGACAAAATAAGAATCTGCATTAGAAAGCAACTATAATAAATTGAGTAGTGGGCAATGTGATCCAACATTTACCAAGTTTGAATGAAAACTAAAGATTTTTTAGAAGATATTTTGTAGCCCTCATTATCATTTCATATCAGACATTAATGTCAATACCATGAGATTTTATTAGTTTGAAAGGGTGAATTTTCATCTAGGCACGATCAGTAAGGGGTCAAACATAATCCAAAGATCATTTTTTATATTGGCAAGCAAACTCATCAGATGAGAGTCCTGTGAGCCTTACCAATTTAATGCTAATGTAAATGACACAGTGTAAACTCTATTTTATTCTGTGTGCTAGAACCCATTAAGTTAAAGTGGGCAATAAAAATGTACTTTCAAACTCATCTATCTCTGTGAATAATGTCTATAAAAGACTTTCTCTTTTTTTCCTAAAACAAACATATCAAAAGGCAATGATCAGGGTAATATTTTAAAATAATAAATGTTTTCTTTTTAGAAGGAAAAATAAGTATATGAATTCTAAAAGATTTCTGGTATTTAAACACTTTTATTTAAAAAAAAAAGCTACAAATTTATCCTAGCTATCAGCTCAATTACGAAAACTTGAGCACATTTAAAAGGCAGCAATTCTACCAATAGTACAAAATAATTAATATGTATTCAAACATTTGCATTCTTTTATTTTTCCATTTATTCTTACTGCTTTATTTGCTATGCATAGAGAACTCAGGACTTTTGCTAATTGAAATGAACATTATTTTAGGAAAGTATACAGAAAGAAATACAGAAAATTGTTAATAAACAAATGTTCTAGATAAAGTTTGATCATTGTAAGTGCTTCAAAGAAAGTATACACATAACTCAAAGATAATGTAGGTTCAGTTCCAGACCACCACAGTAAAACAAATATTACAATAAAGTGAGTCACAACAATTTTTTTAATTTCCCAGTGCATATGAAAGTTATGTTTACACTTTACTAGTAGTTTATTAAATATGCAATAGCATTATGTCTTAAAAAAACTTACATACTTTAATTGAAAGTACATTTTTGCTAAAAAGTGCTAACAATCATCTGAGCCTTCAGGGAGAGACAGTCTTTTGGCTGGGGGAGGCTCATACCTCAGTGCCGATGGCTGCTGACTGATCAGGGAGGTGTTTGCTGAAAGTTGAGGTGGCTGTGGAGATTTCTTAGAATAAGACAGCAATGAAGTTTGCTACATTGTCTGACACTTCCTTTCATGAAAGATTTTTCTGTAGCACATGATGCTGTTTGATAAGATTTTACTCACAGTAGAACTTTTAAAATTGAAGTTCATCTTTTTAAAACCTGTGGCTGCTTCATCAAATAAGTTATGAAATATTCTAAATCCTTTACTTTCACTTCAACAATTTTCATAGCATCTTCACCAAGTGCAGATTTCAAAAATACACTGTCTTTCCTTATCCATAAAAAGCAACTCCTCATCTGTTCAAGTTTTACCATGAGATTTCAGCAATTCAGTCACATCTCACATCTTCACCTCCACTTCTAATTCTAGTTCTCTTGCTATTTCCTCCATATCTGCAGTTATTGTGTTTACTGAAGTCTTAAACCCCTTGAAGTCGTCCATGACGGTTGGTATCAACTTCCTCCCAACTGCTGTTAATGTTACTATTTTGACATTCTCCCATAAGTCGCTTTTTTTTTTTTTTTTTTTGACAGAGTCTCGCTCTGTCACCCAGGCTGAAGTTCAGTGGAATGATCTCGGCTCACTACAACTTCTACCTCCTGGGTTCAAACGATTCTCCTCCTCAGCTTCCGAAGTAGCTAGGACTACAGGTGTGTGCCACTACACCCAGATAATTTTTGTATTTTTAGTAGAGACTGTGTTTCACTGTATATTGGTCAGGCTGCTCACAAACTCCTGGCCTCAGGTGATCCACCCGCATAAGTGCTGGGATTACAGGCATGAGCCACCATGCCTGGCCAAGTCACAGATACTGTTAAAGGCATCTACAGTGGTAAATCTTTTCAAGAGATTTTCAATTTACTTTGCCTAAATCCATCAAAGGAATTGCTATCTAGGGCAGCTACAGACTTACAAAATGTATTTCCTAAATAAAAAGCATAAAATTTATATTTTTTTAACCATGGGCTGAAGAATGGCTGTTATGTTAGCAGGCATGAAAACAATATCAATCTCTTTGTACATCTTCCTCAGAGCTTTCAAGTGACCAGGTGCAATGTCAATGATCAAGGAATGAAATGAAAGAAATCTTTTTTTTTTTTCTGGCTAGTAGTTCTGAACAGTGGGCTTAACATATTTATTATTATTTTTTATTATTATACTTTAAGTTTTAGGGTACATGTGCACAACGTGCAGGTTAGTTACATATGTATACATGTGCTGTGTTGGTGTGCTGCACCCATTAACTCATCATTTAACATTAGGTATATCTCCTAATGCTATCTCTCCCCCTCCCTCCACCCCACAACAGGCCTCGGTGTGTGATGTTCCCCTTCCTTTGTCCATGTGTTCTCATTGTTCAATTCCCACCTATGAGTGAGAACATAAAGCACACTGTAAACAGACATGCTGTCATTCAGATTTCTTGTTGCATTTACAGAACACAGGCAGAGTAGTTTTAGTAATTCACAAGGGCCTTAAGATTTTCATAATAGTACAAAGCATTGGCTTCACCTTAAAGTCACCAGTTGAATTAGCCCCTCAGAAGAGAGTCAGCTTGTCCCTGGAAGATTTAAACCTGGCATTGACTTTTCCTCACTGGCTATTTTGTATTGCTAAAAAATACTAATACTCATCTGAGCCTTCGATGAGACATCATCTTTTTTCTGGTTGAGGACTTGCTGCTCCACCTTGCACTTTTACGTGATGGAGATGGCTTCTTTCCCCAAAACACATGAACCAACCCCTGGAAGCTTCAGACTTTTCTTCTGTAGCTTCCTGACTTCTTTTGGCTTTTATAGAATTGAAGAGAGGATCTTCCTCTAGATTTGATTTTGGTTTAAGATAATGTGTTAGTTTGATCTTCTATCCAGATCATGAAAAATGTCCATATCAGCAATAAAGCTGTTTTGATGTATTATCATTTGTGTTTTCACTGAAGTAGCACTTTACTTTCCTTCAAGAATATTTCTTATGTTTCCTTTGCATTCATAACTTGGCTATGTCTTAGGCACAATAGAACTAGCTTTCAGCCTACTTTGACTTTTAACATATCTTCCTCAGTAAGCTTAATCATTTCTAACTTTTATTTAAAGTGAGTTATGTATGACTATTTCTTTCTCTTAAGCACTTAGAGACCATCATAAGGTGATTAGGTGACCTAATTTCAAAATTGTTTTGTCTCAGGGTATAGAGAGATCTGATGTGAGAGAGAGAAATGGGGAAATAGCCAGTTAGTGGAAGAGTCAGAACACACACAACATTTATCAATTAAGTTCACCATCTTATATGGCACAGTTTGTGTTTCTCCAAAACAATCATAACAGTAACATCAATGATCACTGATCATAGATCACTATGACAGATAATAACTAAAAAGGTTGAAATATTGTGATAATTACCGAAATGTGACACAGAAAAATAAAATGAGGACATGCTTTTGGAATAATGGTCCAATAGAATTGCTGGACACAGAGTTGCCATAATCTTTCAATTTAAAGAATACTGTATCCTCAAATTGAAATAAAGTGAAAAACAATCAAATCAGGTTATGTCTGTAAATCAGAGAGACATAGAGATGTGTGTGTGTGTATGTATGTGTTTATCTGTGTAAGAAGAATAATTAAGTGGCAGAGACACCTTTAAATTGGATGGTCAGAGAAAACTTGTTTGTGATCACCTTTGAGCTAACCACTTAATGATTTGACCACAGGGTGCTCTATGTTGAAGATAAGGTAAGGGTAAGGGTGTATGAAACTGAAATAAATTTGATGTATTCAAGGAAGTAAAAAATAGCCATAAGACTGAATCATTGGAAACAGATGGGAGGAAAGGTGGTATATTATGACGTTAAAAATATGTGTATAGGCAGTTTAGAGTCTGTAGCCTATTGTTCAAGTAACAAAATGATGTTATTAATGACTTTACCCCCTCCATAATCTCTGTTTCAAACATCACACTCACCAGTTGCCCTCAATCTTTCCAGGTTTCTCTGACTTGAAGCCTGAATCCAACAATACTATGACCCCACTGGACGTCCTGTGGGGTCATAGTATTGACCGTCCTGAACGGTTTTACTCTGTCACTGACCTCTCATGTACTCCCTTCTTCACCTAACTTAAAGTTAGTGAAACTTCATTCATTACAGTCACCATTAAACTGTGGATGTTGGATGCAACATTAAACTCCTTAACTCTCACTTGCTTAATTGTACTCATTTTATCAGAACCCCAGGCCCTTTTCAAATCTCTCTCTGCCCACCCCATGCATAATGCAAGTGACTGTAAAACAGCACAGTATAATACTATCATACTGACTGATTTTACTCTAAAAGTGTGACAATAAGCCTAAGAAGTTTTCAATGGCTTCAGACAATTATACTGTTTTCTCATATATTGACTCTTTAATTCTTCCAGGTTTCCATTTTACACATTTCAGATCCTAGCTTTAAATCTTCATCACTTCATCTTACTCTAACTGAAAATATAGAAACAGGTGAATGGCTGAGAAAATGGCAAGTAGGCATCTCCATGGGCCCATCTCTCCACAGAAATAGGGAAAAATCAAGCGTATGTTGTATCAAGGAAAAGACAACCTAAGAAAGAGTAAGAAAGCTTTGTGGCATTTTGACTTGCTCTTTCCCCACTCATCGGTGGTGTTAAAGAGAGCAGCTTGTGTTCCAAGTAGGACACCCTCGATCCTAGTCTGGAGGAACAAGAACATATCTTATTTGCAAAGAAGAGTATTTGTCTGTGGGCTCCCTGAAGTTCTGACACATACTTGTCTTTGTTTCATCTAACTCAGAACTCAGTTATGGCAGAGAAAAGCAGAGAACATTACTCAAAAACTTAAAGTGAAAAAAAAAATTCAGTAACCAGGAACAAAGGATTGTCATCAAGTAATAAAACAGAGCATCAAAAGCCTAGGAAGACAGGCCAAGGATACAGTTTCTTGGAAAAATTAGGGCATTAGAAAGCATTCATGTATACTGGGGAATTTAAAAAACCACACATGTACCCAGGACAGGACATATGCAGAAAAGACCTAAGAACTTCCTAGCTTTTACCTCTGGCTGATCTCTAGGCTCAGTGTAAGGGGGAAAAAGAAGACTAAGGCAAAGCTATGCATAAGCAGGCTTCTCTCTTTTTCTATTTCCTTTCTCTCTTCTCTTTTGGCTTCAGGCATTCAAGAAAATGTCAAAACACTAGCTGAACATAACTACAGAACCAGAGACTTCAGATAACACAAATTATAAAGAACTCAGACTTTATTATAAGAAATAGTTTACAAGTCTGACTAAACAAACAACTACAGCCTATTAGCAATTGATGAAGACAAATCTGAGGAGAGGCAAGCATTCGATTTCCAGAGTTACCAATTATGACATTCAAAATAGTTCGTTTTCAACAAGAACAAGAAAATTATGAAGCATGCAAAGGGAAAAGAGAGTGCAGGCTATTTTCAGAAGAAAAACTATCCCTGAGAAAGCACAACTTTTGGACTTCCTAGACAAAGACTTCAAATGAACTATCTTAAATATGCTCAAAGAACTAAAGAGAAATGATTGTCAAACAGCTAAAAGAAGCCAGGAGATTGACATATGAATCCAATAGAGAATATCAATAAAGAGATTGAAATTATAAAACTAACCAGGCAAAAAATTGAGAGCTGAGAAGTAAAGTAACTAAAATGAAAAACCAACTGCAGAATTTTAATAGTATTTTTAAGCAGGTAGAAGAAAGAATCAGTAAACTTGAAGATATACCAGTTAAAATGATCCAGTCAGAGGAACAGAGAAAAAAAAGAAGGAAGAAAAAATTAACAGAGCCTGAGACCTGTGTAATATTATCAATGTACCAGTAAGAATCCCCAAAGAAAAAAAAAGAAGAGAGAATGTTTAAATCAATAATAATCAAAAGCTTCCAAATTTAATAAAACACACAAATCCACAAATTCAAGAGTTCAGTGAAACCCAGGAGGATAAACAAAAGGAGACCTGCACCAACATACATTGTAATATAATGTTCAAAAGCCAAGGACAAAAAATCTTGAAAGTAGTGAGAGAGGCAACTTACAATATACAAAAGATGCACAGTAAGATTAACAACAAATTTCTTATCAGAAATGACAGAGGTTAGAGGAAGTAGAAAAACATTTTTTAAAGTGATGGGGGAAAAATATCAACTGTCAACCAAGAATTCTATGGTAAGCAAAATTATATAGAATACTGTATAGATATAGACAGAGACATTAATATAAGTACAGGGGTATATATATACACACACAACCCTACGTATGTACATATATACACCCATATACATACAAATGTATGTATATATATGTGTGTATCTATATGTATACATGTATATATACTTATATACTCTATGTGTATGTATAGAAGTATGTAGAAACATGTATGTATAAGTTTCTATATATGTGTATATATGTAGTTACATACAAGTATATGTATATAAGATGTATAGAAACCCTGTAGAAGGAAACTTTTGCAATATAATAAAGAATATTTATGAAAAATTCACAGGTAGCATCATATTCATGGGTAAAAGACAACATTTTTCCCCGTGGAATCACGAATAAGACACTATTTTCTCACTGTTATTTATTGTACTGAAAATTCTGTGAGCCTAATTAGGCAAGAATAAGAAATAAAAGACATCCAGATCGGATAAATAGAATTCAAGCTATATTCACAGAAGACATGATCTTGTACATAGAAAACCTCAAACAATCCACAAAAATATTACAAGTTAAAGAAATTTAGCAAAATTGCAGACAACTCAAAAATCAGTTATATTTTCATATACTAACAATGAGCTATCTAAAAAGGCAATTAAGAAAATAAATTCAAGTCCAGCAATTCTAAGTAATAGCATACAAAAGAATAAATTTAATAAAGAAATTGAAAGAGTTGTAGACTAGAAATTATAAAACATTGCTGACAGAAATTGGAGAAGATTTAAATAAATTGAAAGGCATCTCTTGTTCATAAATTGGAAGACTTAATGTTAAGTAGCAATATTGTCCAAAATGATCTACACATTCAGTGTAATCTTAATTAACATATCCATGACATTTTGTGCAGAAATGGAAAAGGTAATCTGTAATTCCAGTTGGAATCCAAATAGTCAAAATTACTTCAAAAAATGGTAAATCTGAAGGACTCAAATTTCTGGATCTTAAAACTTACTACAAAACTATAGTTATCAAAACAATGTGATACTGGCATAAGAATAAATATATTAGAAGAGTAGAAAGAAATTAAGAGTCAGAAGTTAAACTATACATCTGTTGCCAACTGATTTTGAACAAATGTTGCAAGACCATTCAATACGGAAATAATTGTATCTTCAACATATGGTTCTGGGAATATTGGATGTCCAAAGGCAAAACAATGTACTTTGACCTCTACCTCACACTATATACAAAAGTTAATTCAAAGTGGATTAATGGCCAGCAATTGCCACCAGATTGCCACCTGGACACTTTGGGCTCCCCCTACCTTTAAGTCAACAAGCCACGGAGAGAGTTACAGTGTTGTCTGGGGTGATTGACCCAGACTATCAAGATGAAATCAGTCTATTACTCCATATGGAGTTAAGGAAGAGTATGCATGAAATACAGGAGATCCATTAGGGCATTTCTTAGTATTACCATGCTCTGTTATTAAGGTCAATGGGAAAGTACAACAGCCCCATCCAGGCAGGACTACAAATGGCCCAGACCCCTCACGAATGAAGGCTTGGGTTGCTCCGCCAGCAGGACCTGCTGAGATGCTTGCTGAAGGTGAAGGGAATACAGAATGGGTAGTAGAAGAAGGTAATCATCGATACCAGCTACAACTACATGACCAGCTGCAGAAAGAGGACTGTAACTGTAATGGGTATTTCCTCCTTCTTTTATTAAAAACATGTTTATGCATGTATACCCTTGTACTAAGAAAATATCTTCTATTTTCCTTTATCATGTGACATAGATTTATTGACTTCATATCAGCATTTAAGCATTGTTAACTTTATGTAATAGTATTTGGGTTGGGGATTGGTATGTTTCCGGTTGTACAAAGGATAGTTGTATTATGTTATGCATAATTATGACCTTATTATTGTCTTTACTTGAACATCATGTATGATCTCGGAGATGTGCATGGGTTCAAGTTGACAAGGGCTGGACTTGTGATGGTTAATACTGAGTGTCAACTTGATTGGGTTGAAGGATGCAAAGTATTGTTCCTGGGTGTGTCTGTGAGAGTGTTGCCAAAGGAGAGTAACATTTGAATCAATGAGCTTGGGGAAGCAGACTCACCCTTAATCTGGTGAGCACAATCTAATCAGCTGCCAACAAATATAAAGAAGGCAGAAAAACATGAAAATGCAAGACTGGCTTAGCCTCTCAGCCTACATCTTTCTCCCGTGCTGGATACTTCCTCCCCTCAAACATCGGACTTCAAGTCCGATGTTTGAGACTTGGACTGGCTCTCCTTGCTCCTCAAGCTTGTAGACAGCCTACTGTGCCAACATTTGTTCTTTTTTTTTATCATATCCATAGTATTAGGTGTTGTATTAGTTAGGGTTCCCAAGTAGAGGTGATTATTGCACCAAATTAAATTTACTAAATGCCACTGAATTGTTTAAGATGATTTCTTTTATATTATATCAACTTCATCTAAAAAAGAAATAGCAATCAGGAGAAAATCTCAAGCTCCACTCACCATATCAGCACACTTACCAATGGTTGTATCCTTCTATATTCACTTCTGTTAGCAAAGATGAACTGTCTTTGCTGTTGTTAAAGGCCAAGCTCTCTCCTTGTGTACTAAGTGCTTACTTATTTATTCAAGGTCAGTTCCTCTGTCATTATCATTTTACTTTCCTGGATCATAACTTTTCCCTCTACTGGATCGTTTCCATCAGGATCTAAGAGGCTAACTTTTGGCCTGGCACGGTGGCTAATGCCTGTAATCCCAGCACTTTCGGAGATGGAGGCAGATCATGAGGTCAGGAGATCAAGACCATCATGGCTAACACAATGAAACCCCATCTCCGCTAAAAATACAAAACATTAGCAGGGCATGGTGGCATGTACCTGTAGTCCCAGCTACTGGGGAGGCTGAGGCAGGAGAATTGCTTGAACCCAGGAGGTGGAAGATGCAGTGAGCTGAGATCATGCCACTGCACTCCAGCCTGGGTGACAGTGTGAGACTCCATATCAAAAAAAAAAAAAAAAAAAAAGAGAAGCTAACTTTTTTCTATTCAACAGTTTTATTTAAATATACAAAGAGAAAGGCTTACACTCACATTTTTCACCACTTTTCATTCATTCCTTTGCTTCCCTTGACAACAAAACTTTATCTACTAAAATTAAATAAATATCTCATATTATCTCCTATTATTTTTCCTATATATTCCCTTAAACTTCTTATAATTAGGTTTTAATCCCTATTACTTAAACATAACCACAATTATTATTGCTAACCGATACATCCATGTTTCTAAAACCTAGGCTCATTTCTCAGGCCTCATCCAATCTGACCCTTCAGTAGTGCTTGATATAGTTGATCACTCTGTTCTCTTTCTTCACTTGGCTTTCAAAAGAGCTAGATTTTATTCCACTTTTCCTTGATACTTTTGTTTAGCCTTCTTTTTTGTATACTACTGTCTCCTAACATGGGTGAGCTTTTATGCTCAGTCTCTGGACACCTCTTCCCTATCTGCACTACTTCCTTGGGAGAATTCTTCCAGTCTCACCCATGTGAAGGACTCCTACGTTTCAGTCTGAAGTCTTAACCTCTCTCCACAGTTCCCAATTTATATGTTCACCTGAGTACATAAAGATATGTGTGAATTCCTATTAAACAACTTATATTAATATATTTGAACTGGTGACCTGAACTTTTTTCCCAAATTGATGATCCCTCTTATCATTCCCATTACAGTGAGGACAAATTCATCTTTCTAGTTACTTGGGACAAAATCTTAGTGTGATCCTATATGGTTATCATGATCATACCTTATTTTTAATGTGAATGCTTTCTACTAGTTATATCTTCAAAATATATCCAGAATTCAACTAGTTCTTTCCACTGTCACAGCTTCCCCTCTGACTTAAACAAACATAATAAAGTGGGAAATTTATCCGACCCCTTTGTGAGTGGGGAACTGGAGTGTGGGTGATGGAGCTAGCTGGTTGCTTAGGCACCTGCAAAAGAGCAAAACTCCACCGATTACAACCCATTGCCCTCAACCTCTCATGAGAGAGAGAGCACACAGGTGCGTGGGTGCAGGAGCCAGGGCAAGTGCTTTTGGATGCTGACAGAAGCAAAACTCTGTGCGGGCCCCATGGCAGCATCAAGCAGGGAGTACCCATGACCCTTGAAGCCCCAAAGAGTGTTTTACAGTGCTCTTTAACTTTCCCATCTGTGGACAGCTTAAGTATTAAACAGTTCATTGGGCCCTCTGCCTTTTTGCATGAGGTGGTTGCTTGCCATCAGCAGGAGCAGAGGGTTAGTGTGGCAGCCTTTAGGATCTGTACCCATGGCACCTGAGGTCTTGTTTGGCATCCAGGAAAAGTTAATGAATGCAGAGGATTTTATTGCTGATAGAAGTGGCTCTCAGCCAGAAGGGGTGCTGGAAAAAATGTGGAATAGGCAGGTGATCTTCCCCTGGAGTCTGGACGAACTCCTCTCTGAAGCAATACCATCAAACCATTCCTCTAACATCAAGCTGCTTCTGTCCAATGTCAAATCATAGTCTCCGATGTCTAGCTGCTTCTCCTCTTCTCCTCCTCTCCTGCTCTGCTGGCAAAGCTTGGGGTTTGTGTGAGCACAGAATGGGGGTGGGGTATTAGGGGAACCCACCCCCAATATTTCAACATAGGTTCTTTTTATTTTCCCAAAGTGTTGGCCCGTCTGAGAAATAAAGAGAAAGGGTACAAAGAAAGGAATTTTACAGCTGGGCCTCCGGGGGTGACATCACATATCAGTAGGTCCGTGACGTCCACCTGAGCCGCAAAACCAGCAGATTTTTATGAAGGACTTTAAAAGGGGAGGGGGTGTATGAACAGGGAGTAGGTCACAAAGATCACATGCTTTAAAGGGCAATAAAGATCACAAGGCAAAGGGCAAAATTAGAATTACTGATGAGGGTCTATGTTCAGCTGTGAACGTATTGTATTGATAAACATCTTAAACAACAGAAAACAGGGTTCGAGAGCAGAGAACCGGTCTGACCTCAGATTTACCAGGGTGGGATCTTTTCCCCACCCTAAGAAGCCTGAGGGTACTGCAGGAGACCAGGGCGTATTTCAGTCCTTATCTCAACCATATAAGGCAGACACTCCCAGAGCAGCCATTTATAGACTTCCCCTGAGGAATGCTCCTTCCCCAGGGTATTAATTATTAATATTCCCTGCTGGGAAAAGAATTCAGTGATCTCTCTCCTACTTGCATGTCCATAATAATAAGAGTATTATTAGAGAAGTGATAAATGTCCATGAGATCTTCACAATTTATGTTCAGAGATTGCAGTAAAGACAGGTGTAAGAAATTATAAAAGTATTAATTTTGGGAATGGATATGTGTCCATATTAAAATGAAATCTTCACAATTTATATTCCTCTGCCGCAGCTCCAGCCGGGCCCTCCGTTTGGGGTCCCTGACTTCCTGCAACAGTGGGGTGGGTTAAGGGTGGTTTTAGAAAAGGCAACATTTGAACAGGAAAACAGGAATGCATGTTCTCACTTTGGGCCATGGTTCTAGGCTTGAGGGTGGGACCCTTGCTGGGTACCTGCATTATTCTGCCCAGAATTTTTCTGCCTCCTGTCCCCATCAATAATTTCTCACCTGGATTATTTTTATGGCCACCTACCTGAACTTTTTGCTACCATTCTTGTCTGATATGATTTGGTTGTATCCCCACACAAATCTCATCTTTAATTGTAGTTCCCATAATCCCCACATGTTATGGGAGGGACCCAGTGGAAGGTAATTTCATCATGGGGGCAGCTATCCTCATGCTGTTCTCATGATAGTGTGTGAGTTCTCACAAGATCTGATGGTTTTATAACAGACTTTTTCTATTTTATCATGCTTTCTTGCCTGCTGTTATGTAAGAACTGCCTTTGCTCCTCATTTGCCTTCTACCATGATTGTGAGGCCTCCCCAGCCATGTGCAACTGTAGGTCCATCAGACCTCTTTTTCGTTATAAATTAGCCAGTCTTGAGTATGTTTTTATTAGCAGCATGAGAACAGACTAATACAGATACTTGGTACCAGGTAGTGAAGAACAGCTGTAAAGACACCCCGCAAATGTGAAAGCAACTTTGGAACTGGGTAACAGGCAGAGATTGAAACAATCTGGGGAGCTCAGAAGAAGACAGCAAGATAGGAAGATCTGGGAAGTTTGGAACTTCCTAGAAACTTGTTGAATGGCTTTGACCAAAATGCTGACGGTGATATGGACAGTGAAGTTCAGGCTGAGGTGGTCTTGCAAATAAGGAAGTTATTGGAAACTGGAGTATAGGTGATTCTTGCTATGGCTTAGCAAAGAGACTGGCAGTATTTTGCCCCTGCCCTAGAGATCTGTGGAAATTTGAACTTGGGAGAGATGATTTAGGGTGTCTGGCAGAAAAAAATTCTAAGCAGCAAAACCTTCAAGAGGTGACTTAGGTGCTCCTAAAAACATTCAGTTTTATTCATTCACAAATATATGGTTTGAAATTGGAACTTATCTTTAAAAGGGAGGCAGAATGGTATTGCCTAGGTTTTCTTCTATGGCTTTTATGGTTTTAGGACTTATGTTTAAATCTTTAATCCATCTTGAGTTAATTTTGTATAAGGTGTAAGGAAGGGGTCTAGTTTCAGTTTTCTGCATATGGCTAAGCAGTTTTCCCAACACCATTTATTAAATAGGGAATCCTTTCCCCAGTGCTTGTTTTTTTTCAGGTTTGTCAAAGATCAAATGGCTGTAGATGTGTGGTATTATTTCTGAGGCCTCTGTTCTGTTCCATTGGTCTATATCTCTGTTTTGGTTCCAGTACCATGCTGTTTTGGTTACTGTAGCCTTGTAGTATAAAGTCAGGTAGGCATGGGCAAAGACTTCATGACTAAAACACCAAAAGCAATGGCAACAAAAGCCAAAATTGACAAATGGGATCTAATGAAACTAAAGAGTTTCTGCACAGCAAAAGAAACTACCATCAGAGTGAACAGGCAACTTAGAGAATGGGAGAAAATTTTTGCCATCTATCCATCTGACGAAGGGCTAATATCTAGAATCTACAAGGAACTTAAACAAATTTGCGAGCAAAAAACAACCCCATCAGAAAGTGGGCAATGGATATGAACAGATACTTTTCAAAAGAAGACATTTATGCAGCCAAGAAACATATGAAAAAAGCTCATCATCACTAGTCATTAGAGAAATGCAAATAAAAACCACAATGAGATACCGTTTCACACCAGTTAGAATGGTGATCATTAAAAAGTCAGGAAACCACAGATGCTGGAGAGGATGTGGAGAAATAGAAATGCTTTTACACTGTTGGTGAAAGCATAAATTAGTTCAACCATTGTGGAAGACAGTGTGGCAATACCTCAAGGATCTAGAAACAAAAATACAATTTGACCCAGCAATCCCATTACTGGGTATATACCCAAAGGATTATAAATAATTCTACTATAAAGACACATAAACACATATGTTTATTGCTGCACTATTCACAATAGCAAAGACTTGGAACCAACCCAAATGCCCGTCAATGTTAGACTGGATACAGAAAATGTGGCCCATATACACCATGGAATAGTATGCAGCCATAAAAAAAGAATGAGTTCATGTCCTTTTCAGGAACATGGATGAAGCTGGAAACCATCATTCTCAGCAAACTAACACAGGAACAGAAAAACAAACACCACATGTTCTCAGTCATAAATGGGAGTTGAACAATAAGAACATATGGACACAGGGATGGGAACATCACATACTGGGGCCTGTCCGGGGGCAGGGAGCATGTAGAGGGATAGCATTAGAAGAAATACCTAACGTAGATGATGGGTTGATGGGTGAAACAAACCACCATGGCACATGTATACCTATGTAACAAACCTGCATGTTCTGCACATGTGTCCCAGAACTTAAAGTATAATTTAAAAACAAAGGAAGCAAAGCATAAAAGTTCAGAACATTTGCAGCCTGATGATATGATAGAAAAGAACAGTCTTTTTTCTGATGAGAAATTCAAGCTGGCTGCAAACATTTGCATAAGTAATGAGGATCCAAATGTTAATTATTAAGACAATGGGGAAAATGTCTCCAGAGCATCTCATAGGTCTTCAAGGTAGTCTCTCCCATCACAAGCCAGGAGGCCCAGGAGGAAAAATATGGTTTCATGGCCTGTGCCCAGAGACTTGCTGCTTTTTGCAGTTTGGGGACTTGGTTGGAGCCCTCACACAGAGTCCCTACTGGGGTGCCACCTAGTGGAGCTATGAGAGGGCCACCGTCCTCCAGATCCCAGAATGGTAGATCCACCAACAGCTTGCCCCATGTGCCTCAGAAAGCCGCAGACACTCAATGCTAGCCTGTGAAAGCAGCTGGGAGAGGGGCTGTGCCTTGCAAAGCCACAGGGGGCAGAGCTGCTCAAGCCTGTGAGAGCCCACTTCTTGTATCACATGACCTGGATGTGAGACAGGGAGTCAAAGGAGATTGTTTTGGAGCTTTAAAATTTAATTACTGCCTTGTTAGATTTTGAATTTGCATGGGTCCTGTAGACCCTTTGTTTTGGCCAATTTCTCCCATTGTTAATGGGTGTATTTACCCAATGGTTGTACCTCCATTGTATCTAGGAAGTAACTAACTTTTTTTTTTTTTTTAACTTTACAGGCTCATTGGCAAAAAGGACTTGCCTTGTCTCAGGTGAGACTTTGGACTTGTACTTATGAGGTAATGCTAAAATGAGGCAAAACTTTGGGGGACTGTTGGAAGGGCATGATTTTGTTTTAATATGTGAGGACATAAGATTTGGGAGGGGCCAGAGGTAGAAGGATATAATTTGGTTATGTCCCCACCCAAATCTCATCTTTATCTGTAGTTCCCATGATCTCCATGTGTCATGGGAGGGATCCAGTGGGAAGTAATTTCATCATGGAGGCAGTTACCATCATACTGTTCTCATGATAGTGAGTGAGTTCTCACAAGATCTGATGGTTTTATAAGGGACTTTTTCCCTTTTGCTCATGCTCTCTTCCTTGCTGCCTTGTCAAATATGCCTTTGCTCCTCCTTCACCTTCCCCTGTGATTGTGAGGCTTTCCCAGCCATGTGAAACTGTGAGTCTATTAAACCGCCTCCTCTTTATAAATTAGGTGTTCTCAGATATGTCTTCATTAGCAGCATGAGAATGGATTAATACAGTCTCACTGTATTTTATTTTCAGTATAATCTCCCATGTTTCCTCTGCTTCAACCACAATAACTTTCTGTTTTTGTTTCATCACAGTCATTGGTCTTCTACTCTAAATTTCTCTGGGATTCATTCTATTACTTACTTCGGAGCCATTTTCAAAACTAGCCTTCTCAGTCATGTTTTATCTGACTATATTTATATCTTAGACTCCTTCCTTGATCTCCTATTCTCTTTCCCTGCTTTCGTTTTTGATAGAATATTCTAACATACTATGCAATTTCCTTATTTATTTTTATTTATATTTGTAGGTCCCAGAGCTTTAGATGCACATGGGCAATAATATTTTCTATTTTGTTCATTGATATATCCCAAGTACCCAGAAGAGTACATAGCACATAGTAGGTGCCAAAAAATATTTGCTGAAGAAACAAATTATTACCAGAACATATTTGCTTTATTTTAAAATACATGTGTTATGACTTTAACCATGTAAAACTTTACATGGATAAAGGAGGGAAAGAAAAATTACCATGTTTGCCACTGGGTATCTTTTTTTCAGGGGACTCTAAGTAAACTTTTTCTTCTTCTTATTGCTCAGCATTTTTTATAACAAAGGTGTATTACCTTGGTAATAATAAATAATAAATTATAGTTTATTTATTCAGTAATGAACAGGTATATATAAATATCAAATGCATTCCTTAAAATAATAATACATAACTAAAAATATTATTATCACTTTCAGTCATTTATTTTCTCTTTGTTATATTTTTAACTATCCAGAGGCATACTATTAGGTCATACATTAGATTCAGAAGACAAGCAAATAAAAATATCATCAATGTCATGTTGAAAGTGACTATAGTAATTAAAAGCATTATCCATCATTAAAATTTTCTTATGATATTGTATGACTTCAAGGTGTGATACATTGACTTAAATTTTAGAAAATACCAAGTAAATTTCCAGTTGCAACAAAATCTTTGTTAAGGGTTTTATGTTGATAAAGTCTTAATACAAAGATGGGAAATAAAGTATGACATTACATTGCCAGATAAATAAGAGATTAATAAAATGCCTTTTTCTTTGAAGCACAGGAATATTCTATAAATCAAATTTTCTTAGTGTATATGTCTAAATGTGATTTTTAAAATTCATTCCTGTATGTCAGCAGCAAACATTTCCTGAGCTCTCATTGTCTAGGCACTATAGATTAAAACTATCTGGGCACTATATATTAAAAAAAAAGTAATAAAACTCTATTATCACTTCAAGGAGCTTTCAGGCAAGAAGGAAATGAATAGAGAAAAACATAATCAAATGCAGTATAGTAGGTATTATGATAGACATGTTTGCAGGTTTCTGCAATGTTTATAGAAGAGGTCCCTAAGCCAGTTAAGTTCAGGAGTTGCTTACTGCTGGAAATAAAAATATTCTCTTTAGTATGTACAGTGCACTGAAGAGCAATAGATATTTATTGACTGAAGTTTGGTAATCTCATGTTAGCATCCATAACATCAATATTTATTATAATGAGTTGTGAGAAATTAGACTGAATCTTTACTATTTCCTGGGCAATTCCTGGAAGTTTGTTTTCTGTAACATTCTACTGCCAGCTTTTTTATATTTTATTTGTGATTTAAAAAGCTAAGTAAAATGTGGAAAAACTTGAGGTAACTTAAAATTGCAGTCAGTTGTATACAATAAAAGCATTTGAAGATATTCTAACTTTAAAAACATCACTTCTGTGTTTTTAAAGACAATCCAGAATTGCTTTTGCTTTCGAAAGCTTTTAAATTGTTTTTCAATAGCTTTTAATTTGGAAAATTCCAATTATTTATTAAAAATTTTCAAAATACATTAATGTATTTTTAAAGGATTCATATAGCTTACACTTAACAAGAATTCTAATTTTATTTTACATAATGAAGTGTTTATAAGGCAAATAAAAAATGCATCACCTACTCATGGAGATCAAGAGTGTATACTGATCTAGGGATATAATGAAATCATCATGATCCTCATTTGAAGGTTGCTTAAATACCAATTTTTACAAAACTGTCATTTTATGCATTACTTTGTGATATATGTGATTATTTGTGGTTTTTCATTTGTGTGTATACCCTGAATGTTGACAGATAAGAGGAGTATTTCAAAAGATTTAGATTACTTCCTCTCAGCTATAAGCCCTATGTCCTAAAATATACAGAGATGGAAGGGTAGATGACTCAGGAAAACAAATCGGAACCTCTGTCATTGCTGTGAGCCCAGACTTGCCTGAGGATTGTACCAAATTAAGTGTCTGTAAAAGAGATTCTAATATCTAATGTGGAAGCAAATTGTATTGGAAGTATTTATCACTGATGTGCTGTTGATCTATGCTTCATCCTTTTGAATTAGGCAGAACTTGGGATTAAGTGACAAAAACAATGAGGAAAAAGCATAGAATAGTAGCTTTCTAATATTTATTATCAAAACATTTAGAAATTTAAAATGGAACTGCTTTATTTGAAAATGTATTTTATAATAAGCTTTATTTTAAAATATGAAATATCTCATTAAAAACATGCCCTAAGCAGTTGCCTATAAGCAATCACCTACTTATTCAAATGTATCCTTATGCTGCATTGAGCTGGGCAGAAAGGCCAGAAAAAAAGAAGTAAATACAGGTTGTACCCTCAGAATGCTTATCATCTGGGAGGAAAAACTACAGTTATACAAAGTAGCACAGCACAGGATAAAAGTGAAGAGAGCTACCAGCAAGTTTTAGATGAAGAAACACGACCTAAAGCCTTTTATATCTGTATGAGCTTCAGGTTAAAAGTCACCTCCTTAGCCTCTCCTCCCTTACTGTATACTAATTTACATCCATATTTAATTACTGAATTTGAGTAAGGCACTATACTTTTTTTAGGTGTGTGCTGTCATTTGACTGTGCCCTCCATAAAACGTGTGTTGGAAACAACTCTTAATGCAATATTGTTGGGAGGAGAAACCTAATGGGACATATTTAAATCATGAGAGTGGAGTCCTCATGAATGGATTAATGTCAATTATAAAATAACCTGAGGTTTCCAGTTTGATCTCTTGCTTTATTTCACTCTCCTTTTGACCTTCCGCCATAGAATGACATATCAAGAAGGCCCTTACCAGATGCCAGCCTTTTGATCTTGAACTCACAAGCCACCAAAATCATGAGCCAATAAATTTCTGTGTATTATAAATTATACAATCTCAGATATTCTGCTATAGCAACAAAAAATGGACAAAGACAGAAAATTGGTACCAAAAAGTTGGGCTATTTTTACAACAAATACCTGAAAATGCAGAAGTGGCTTTGGAAGTGGGTAATGGGTAGTGCCTGGAATAATTGGAGGAGCAGGCTAGAAAAATGTCTAAATTGTTGTAAACAAAGCATTAAGGGCAATTCTGGTGAGAGCTCAGAAGAAGAGCTTTAGGGAAAGTCTGAAACTTCTTATAAATTACGTAAGTTGTCATAATCAGAATGCTGGTAGAAAATGAGACCTCAGATGGAAAACAGAAATATATTTCTGGAACCTATAATAAAGGCCTTTTTTGTTGCAGAGGGCTTGGCTGAATTGTGTAAATGCTCCAGGACTTTATGAAAGACAGATTTTAGGAGGAATAAACTAGGATTTCTGGAGAAAGAAATTTCTAATCAGTAAAGTGCTCAGGGTACTGTGCGGCTTTGTTTAGGCATGTTTAGTAACATTCAAGAGGAGAGAAATTACTTAAAGACAGACTTTATAAGTAAAAAGAAAACAAAGTGAAAATGTTGGGAAAACTCTCAGACTGGTCAAGTAAAGATTAAAAATACATACTCAGGAGAAAATGCAAAATGTGTTTCCAAGAGACCATTTGTTAAAGAGATTAATATGGATAATATGATGAAAGCTATGTTCTATTCAACCAACCAAAGGGAGAATTACGTCAAAAGCATTTCAGAGATGTTTAAGGCAAGCTAGGATCTTGACAGAAAGTTTTCCAGAGAGGTGCCCACAGCATCCCAGCATTGGCTGCTCTGTGCTACCTCAAGTCAATGCTTTGAGCATTTTGTGCTCTTTGGCCACCACAGCGATGACTCAAGCCAGCCCAATATGGCTGGGGCCACCATTCCAGAAGATTTAAGCAGTAAACCTTAACAGTGTTGACATGGGGCTAATTCTGAAAGACGGAAGAATGTTCCTGTGGAGGCATAACTTTCCCCAACTAGATTTTCAAGGTTGTCTCAGACAGAGAATTATCACAGTGGCAGAGCCATGTCAGCGACTCCTCACTAGGGTTATACTTAGTGAAGCTATGGGAGTGAGGCCTCCTCCAAGACCTCAGAATTGTAGAGCTACCAGCGTTGCAGGCACAATATTTCAACCTTTCAGAGCTACTGCATGGGCTGACTTCAGCAAAGCGTAGGGGTGGGGCTGCCTGAGTCTTTGGGGGCCTAGCCCCAACTCCAGTATGCCCAGAAGGCCAGACATGGAGTCAAGGAAGATTATTCTGGAGCTTTAAGAGTTAGTTTTGCTTTTCCTGTTGGGTTTTGTAGTTACTGAGAAACTGTTACCTCTTTCTTTTTTTCCCTTTTGAAATGAAAATGTCTATTCTACACCTGGTCCACCATAGTTATTTTCTAAATAGCTAACTTGTTTAATTTCATAGGCTTACAGCTGGAGAGGAATTTTCTTCACTGTGATGTGAGCCTTGAGTTTCACCCATGCCTTGAGTTTCACCCATATCTGATTTAAGATGAGACTTCAAACTTTTGACTTTTGAGGTAGTGCTGGAACCATCACAGTTAAGACTTTGAGTGTCTCGAGATGAAATGAATGCATTTTACATTTGAGAACTACATGAATTTTGAGGCCAGAGACAGAATGCCATAGTTTGGATGTGTCTCCCAAAAAGCATGTGTTGGAAACTAAATCCCCAATGCAACAATGTTGGGAGGTGGACCCTGATGGGAAGTGTTTAGGTCATAAGGGTGGAACTCTCATGAATGTATTAATGGCTATTGTAAATGGGCCTGAGGCTGCAATTTGGATCTCTTGCTGTCTCTTGCCCTCTGTTTGCCATTTCACATGGGATGATATAACAAGAAGGCCCTTCTTGATCTTGGACTTCCCGTTCTCCAAAATGAGCCAAAAAATTTATATTAATTATAAATTACCCAGTCTCAGATATTCTGTTATAGCAGCACAGAGAAGACTAAGACAATTTATAAATTTACCCATAAATAAAATTACATATTATTAAATGTTAGTAGGGTTCTCACATACAAAATTATTTCTTATGACTTTAGCATCCTTAAACATACACATTCTCTCTTTCCAGAAGTTCATTCCCATAATAAACATACCCTGCTGTCAAGCCCACAGTCATATAATACTCCTGGATTTAATTATAATTATCTTTGCAGAGCTCAGTGTAAACAGTTTATCTTGTGGGATATCTATACTCATTCCTCAAGACTGGGTTAAATTCCCACTTATTTCACATAACACCCTATGTTTGTTCATATTACAATACTTAACACACTCTATCCATAGTTTTAAATTTATTTGTCTGAGCCGTCACTAGATAGTGTGCTTCATCTAGGTATAGAATCTTTTCTGTTTATCAAAGATACTTTAATCCATAGCTAAGTTCATGGATATCAATTTAAGGATATTTTTCCAATTTTCTATGTGTACATATGTAGAATGCACACAAACAACTGAATATTCAAACATTAGTGCAGACTCTATTATATGATATCCATTATATGTATATTAAAAAGGATAACACCTGTTTTCAGAGACTCGAGGTATAAATGAAAGAGATGTACTCGTAATTTTTAATATGAAAAATCTGTGGAATTGTGAGTTTTTTTACATGAGGTTTATTCTTATTAAAAATGTTGAAAATAAATTATTAAAATATTTAGGTGATATGGTTTTATTAATAGAAAAAATATTTCAAAAATTAAAAGATTTTTGTGTATGTTATATACAGTTAGTTTTTATCTCATCACTTAGTGTGCATCAGAAAACCAGCAGTGTGGCAGCAAGTAAGAAAAAAACCGGTAACAGATGTATCTACTACATGCAGGTACTGGACAGTCTGGATTTGCCAGGCAAATTAGGTGGAGCGTACTGGAAGGGTACAATTTTAATACAAATGAAATAAACAGTCCTTATAAACATTTCACTAATGCCTTAGGGCTTTCCCTAATAATAATTTTCTAAAAAAAAAAAAGTCAAGATTTTGACTGTAGGGGATTTTAAAATCATAACGATGTTGAATTATTAATGATCTGAACTGATCTTTTTTATTTTCCTTTCTAATCCAAGAAATCTTCAGGGTAGCTGTTTGAAGAGTATTCCTTTTTCTATATTCTGCTTTAGGCATTCATAAATATACTTAAAAACACTCTGTCAGATACCACACAATCAAATAATCAAGGTCACTTAGGAGACTAAATTAAACTTCTGATACACATTCACTATTGTCGTTTCAGCACATTTTTGATGAGGCTGTGGAAGTGCTTGCTTGAATGTCATTCCTACTTGCTCTCTAATGGTTTGTCTGCCTGCTTATTGCACATCAGATTTCAGAGCCTCACAGAATGAAATGAAGTTGTCTTCCTTAAAGTCATTTTCCTTTATACTATATTAATTCTTTAAGACAGTATATTAAAGATTTACTTTATATTACAGTGTAATTAGTGAAGCTCTTGGGTTACACTGTCATTCAAAATAAAACCCCATCCCAATTGCCCCATTTACTGGTGGAAAAGCTCTGGCAAGGATTTACACTAAAGCACAGCTTGTTGACAGCATATGAAAATTAGAAAGATATAGTTTGGTTTAAATGACTGTAAAAGTAGGGATCAACATCTGTGGGAATGATTTTCAAAACTGCAGTGGCATAGAAATCATTGCAAGTGTTAAGTAGTTCCAAATAGAAGCCTGGTAACAATTCAGAAATATATTTTTCCCTTTCCAAATAAGAGAAATGTCCAAATTATTTTCTGGTTTGGGATTAAACACTAATGATAGATTTATTATTACTTTTTAAATTTAATGAATTCTGAGTTTTACCTTCTTTTCCACATCTTCCTGGGAATAATTAAGTGAGCAATGGAAGAAGAAAATAGCAACACGTTAGGATACAATGAAATGCAACATAACTAAGTATTCTACAACTTATATTAACAGAAGATTAGTGTAATATGAGTTTTCAATCATAAAATGTTATCTTTAAAGAATAAGATTTTTTAACCGAATTCATTTTTTAAATATATATGTAAGCTTTTCCATGAAAAGTAAATATATTCTTAAATTTAAAAAGCATTAAATGTGCTATTAAGTATTAATTATATTATGTCATCAAATGAATGATAGTTACAGTCAGGAACAAATGAGATTCTTCTTTACCCATTTTATTTGTATGAGTAAATGTGTTGGACCTGATAAAAACCAGTACATTGACTTCACAGCTAAATTCTTTATTTTACTTCTTTCTATTTTTTTAGTGGAATATTTATATATTATAAAATATAAATAATTTTAATAGGTTAAAAACTAATGAACAGGCCGGGCGCGGTGGCTCACGCCTGTAATCCCAGCACTTTGGGAGGCCGAGGCGGGCGGATCACGAGGTCAGGAGATCGAGACCATCCCGGCTAAAACGGTGAAACCCCGTCTCTACTAAAAATACAAAAAATTAGCCGGGCGTAGTGGCGGGCGCCTGTAGTCCCAGCTACTTGGGAGGCTGAGGCAGGAGAATGGCGTGAACCTGGGAGGCGGAGCTTGCAGTGAGCCGAGATCCCGCCACTGCACTCCAGCCTGGGCGACAGAGCGAGACTCCGTCTCAAAAAAAAAAAAAAAAAAAAAACAAAAAAAAACTAATGAACACAAATATACAAATCACCAGTTTAAGAGTCTATTACCAACACTTGAAAACCCTGCATTTCGTCTTTGTATCAACCATTAGTCAATTCATATGTAACCACTATCTAGAAATTTCACCTAATTCTTTTATAGGTTTACTGTATGTATATTATATACTTCCAAACATCATATTGTTTAATTTTACATAGAATTAAATATTTTATAAATTGTACAATATGAATGTATTCTTCTGCTATTACAGTTTTCTCCTAAATGCTATGATGTTTATATGTGTATTTATGATTCATTTATATTCATTGCTATATAATTGCTATAGTTTGAATATGTTCCCCAGACTTCATGTGATGGTAACTTAATCTCCAATGCAACAGTGTGGAGAAGTGAGACTGCTAAGAGGTAATTAGATAATGAGGGCTCTGCCCTCATAAGTTAATTAATATTATTATCACAGGAGTTTGTTAGTTATCACAGGAGTGGGTTTCTGGTAAAAGGATGAGTTCAATTCCATTTATTCTCTCATGTGCATTCTCCCTTGCCCTTCTTCTTTTGCCGTTGGATGATGCTGCAAGAAGGTGCTCACCAGATGTGGGTTCTATGGGACTTAGCCCACAGAACTACAAGAAATAAATTTCTGTTCTTTACAAATCACCTAATTTCAAGTATTATGTTGATATGGTTTGGATTTGTGTATCCCCACCCAAATGTAATGTTCAACTGTAATCCACGATGTTGGAGTTGGGGCTTGTGGGAGGTGACTTGTTCATGGGGACAGATTTCCCTGCTTTGGTGCAGTTTTCATAATAGAGTTTTCATGATACCTGGTTGTTTAAAAGTGTGTGGCACCTCCTCCTACCTTCCTCCTGCTCCTGCCCTGTAAGACATGCCTGCTTCCCCTTCTGCCATGATTATACGTTTCCTGAGGCCTCCCTAGAAGCAGAAGCTGCTATGTTTTCTGTACAGGCTGCAGAACCATGAGCCAATTAAACCTCTTTATATATATATATATATAAAAAAATTACCCAGTCTCAGGTATTTTCTTATAGCAATGCAAGAATGGACTTATATATGTTATAGCAACAAAAAATGGACTAAGACAATAGTATTACAATTGCATCAATGTGCTGCAACTTATTCATCATACATTTGACTTGTTTGCAATTTTTAATTTTTTTAATTACAAATAAAAAATGTAAAAAAGCCTCAAAACTCATCCTCAAAATGTAACTTTATGTTCCTCTAAACAATTCCTTTAAACTTTGTGTAACATAAGCAAACTCCCTTTATTCCTGGATTCACTCTACTAGGAACATGCTTTTTCAATCTACTTTTGCATGCCCACATGATTTTTCAAACCCAAACTTGCATCAGTAATTAGACCATCAAGTCCAAAATATTAATCAAATTTTTAATTTAATTGATTTAGTGTTATCTCTCATTCCTCAGCCTAGACACAGAAAATTTGAAGTGAAGAAAAAAATTTTTCTTTATAAATTTTCTGTTTGAAAATATTTTTATTTTAAATTTTGTAAAAGGTAGAGACAATCAACTGTGGTTAATCTCTGATGCTTAACTGAAAATTCTTTTTCTCTTATTTATAATTTTCTCAATTTTTTGTCCACTGTCCATAACTTTTCTCATTTTCTTTTTTTTCAATGCACATTTTCTCCAATTTTAAAGGGAATTCATAATGATTTGGCCAACACAAAACTTCACTTGACTTTTCAAAACATCTACTTTAAAAAATAATTTTATTTCCTTTGAAAGTAATATAATTGAGTAGATATGGTGGATGCTAAGATATGCCACTCAGATTCTTTTCAGAAGCAAAAGATTTTCCCAGTTGTTGTGAGTTTTGGTGCTGCTAACAGAAGTCAGATAATAAACTCAGACATAAGTAAAGGTAGACTTTGTTCTAAAAGACTATTTCCAAAAAAAGAGAGGTATAGAAGAACCCTGTTGGAATAGGGAAACTAGAACTACTTCACAAAAGAGAATGCTTCAAGCATAAGATCTGTAAATGTCTCGAAAGTAAGGCAGAAATGACCTTTCTATTGTAGGAAGAGTAAACAAAGCTAAAAAGAACTGGGTATGTGGAGTGATCATATGATCATATGATCAGACAATAAATCAGAGAATGTTTTATTTATCTGAGGTTGGCCATTTCTTGGGAGAGCATTAAGGAAGGATGGTTCTGCATGCTAAAGGGTGGTTTCAATTTCAGGAGACTTGGGAAAGGGGAAAACCCTGACTAAAATTTGGATAGGTCAAGTTAGCACATATTTTATTCAGATTGATTGGTGGAGAGAAAAAGCTCAGTTGATCATTTATAAGACAAGAAATATAAATTTAGAAGGACTGTGTCTAGGCTAATCATAGTAAACAAGAATAACATCTATAAGTCTTACCCAAGTCACATGTGAAAGACTGTTTTATTGCATTAAGCCCCTTCTGGGAACACAAGGTGTGTGAAGATTTCTTAACTGTAGCTATTTGACAGGCACACAGGCCTCAGGTGAAGTTCAGCATTGTCGGGGTATCAATGAGAAGCCAGTCATTTTGTTTGTAAATTTGCTTGTTTGTTTTGAGACAGAGTCTTGCTCTGTCACCCAGGCTGGAGTGCAGTAATGTGATTGCAGCTCACTGAAACCTCCATCTTTCAGGTTCAAGTGATTCTCATGCCTCGGTCTCCCAGGTAGCTGGGATTACAGGCATGTACCACCATGCCTGGCTAATTTTTGTAAGATGCCAGTTCTTTAAATAATTTTTCATAGCTCAAATCCAATGACTCATTGATAAGGGGATTTAAAAGCCTAGTCCCTTTACCCAAGTTATCCTAACTTCAGAACCCCTGTAGGGTTGACTGGAACAACCATTGAAGCTGCATCACAGTTTAATTTTTCCAATGTCCTATTCTATTTCCTTCCTTTCCAGTAGCACACATGTTAATCCCTCCTTTTTTTTCTCATAGGTGTTGATCTGCAAGGCACTCACTAATTAATTTCTTACATACTAATCTCTAACTCAGAGTCTGCTTGCTGGGGAATCCAACTTAATAGGGCAGTGAGAAAACATGCTGTTTTCCTCAAGCTAATTAATTATATATAATGAGTTTTCTCAAACCATTTTAAAATTTCCATTTCATAACATATTTGCATGAATTTTAATAGAGAAATTTTTATTGCTATATTTCAGTCCCTAGAAATATGACTTATGTTTATCTTATTTACTTTTTTTACTCCTAATATGCAGAGAATAGGGACATTAGCAGTTTAGAGCAGGAGGACCAAAGTTACCAGTTGTTCAACTGACTGAAACTTGCTCTAATTTGAATCAAAATATTTAGAAAGAAAATTACCCACTTTTATGCTTTGTACTTGCATTAAATACATTTCAGCAAACATGCCTGAGAATTAGTTATTTGAATTTTCATTTTATCTTTAGGGGAAATGACTTTTTAGTGTATAATAATTTTACCTAAGAAACTTGCACATAATATTTCTGATTTTCTTAATATATTTAAGATAATCTGTACATTTTTGTTTAATGTATATTACATCTCTTCAAAATAAAATTGATTTGCTTCAAATTGACACAAAATCTAATAATTCAGTATTCATCTGTTCTTCAGTACTTTTGTGAGCTATCATTTAAAATATCTGAATTCAATAATACTTTTTGAACAAATAATCATATGGTTTGGCTCTGTGTCCCCACCCAAATCTCATCTCAAATTTTAATCTCCATATGTCAGAGGAGGGGCCTTGTGGGAGGTATTGAATCATGAAGATAGACTTTCCTCTTGCTGTTCTGTGATAGTGAGTGAGTTCCCACAAGGTCTGGTTGTTTGATAAGTATGTGGTGCTTCCTTCTTCTCTGTCTTCCTCCTGCTTTGACATGTGAAGATATGCTTGCTTTCCTTTCACCTCCCACCGTTGATTATAAGTATCCTGAAGCCTGACCAACCATGCACAACTGTGAGTCAATTAAACTTCTTTTCTTCATAAGTTATCCAGTCTCAGTTAGTTCTTTACAGCAATGTGAGAATGGAGTAATACAGAAAATTAGTATTGAGAAAGTGGGGCATTGCTATAAAGATACCTGAAAATGTGGAAGTGACCTTGAAACTGGGTAATGGTCAGAGGTCAGAACAGTTTGGAAGTTCAGAAGAATACAGGAAGACTAGTGAAAGTTTGAAACTTTCTAGAACTTGTTGAATGCTTGTGACCAAAGTACTGATAGTGATATGAACAATAAACTCCAGGCTGAGGTGGTCTCAAGTGGAGATGAGGAACTTACTGGGAACTGGAGTAATGATTACTTTTGCTATACTTTAGCAAAGAGACTGACAGCATTTTGCCCCTGCTCTAGAGATCTGTCAAACTTTGAACTTGAGAGATATGATTTAGAGTATTTTGTGGAAGAAATGTCTAAGAAGCAAATCATTCAAGATGTAACCTGGCTTTTTCTAATAGTGTATGCTCATATATGTGAAGAAAAAGATGGTCTGAAATCAAAATTTATGTTTAAAAGAGAGAGCATAAAATTTTGGAAAATTTGCAGCCTGACCATGTGGTAGAAAAGAATATCCCATTAGCTGGAGAGGAATTCAAGCCTGTTGTGTAAATTTGCTTAAGTGAAGAGGAGCAGATGTTAATATTCAAGACAATGGTGAAAATGTCTCCAGGGCATTTCAGAGATCTTCAAAGCAGCCCCACTCATCACAAGCCCAGAGGCCTAGAGGGGAAAAATGTTCTGTGTGGCCTTGGGACATGGCATCCTATGTCCCAGCACCTCCAGCTCTAGCCATGGGTAAAAGGGGTTGAAGTATATCTTGGGCCATTGCTTCAGAGGGTTCAAGACCCAAGCCTTAGTGGCTTCCACATGGTGTTGAGCCTGTTGGTGTGCAGAAGGCAAGAATTTGGGAACCTCTGCCTAAATTTCAGAGGATATATGGAAAACACCTGGATGCCCAGGCAAAAGTCTGCTGCAGGGGTAGAGCGCTCATGGAGAACCTCTACTGGGGCAGTGCAAAGGGGAAATATGAGGTTGGAGCTTCTACACAGAGTTCCCACTGGGGCACTGCCTAGTGGAGCTGTGATAAGAGGGCCACCATCCTCCAGACACCAGCATGGTAGATCCACCAACAGATTGTACTATGCACCTGGAAAAGCCACAGGCATTCAACCAGCCCATGAAAGTAGCCACAGGAGCTGTACCCTGAAGAGCCACAGGGGAGGAGCTGCCCAAGGCGTTGGGGGCCCACCCTTTGCATCAGCATTCCCTGGATGTGAGACTTGGAGTCAAAAGATATTATTTTGGAGCTTTAAGATTTAACGACTGCCCTTCTGGATTTTGTACTTGTATTTGTCCTGGAGCCCCTTAGTTTTTGTCAATTTATCTCTTTTGGAATAAAAGCATTTCCTTCATTCCTGTTCCTCCATTGTATCTTGGAAATAACTTATTTTTAATTTGCAGACTGATAGGCAGAAGGGACTAGCCTTGTCTATAATGAGATATTGAATGCAGACTTTTGAGTTAATGCTAGAATAAGTTAAGACTTTGGGGGACTGTTGGGAAGGCATGATTTGTCTCAAAATGTGAAAAGGACATGAGATATGGGAGGAACCAGACGTGGAGTGATATGGTTTAATTCTTTGTCCTCACTCAAATCTCATCTCAAAGTGCAATCCCCATGTGTTGGAGGAGGGGCCCGGTGGAAGGCGATTGAATCATGGAGGTGGACTTCCCCCTTCCCTCTGTTCTCATGATAGTGAGTAAGTTTTCAGATATCTGGTTGTTTGATAAGTATGTGGCACTTTACCCTTCTCTCTGTCTTCCTCCTGCTGTGACATGTGATGACATACACACTTTCCTTTCACCTTCTGCCAGGATTATACGTTTCCTGAGGCCTTCCAGCCATGTGGAACTGTGAGTCAATTAAACCACTTTTCTTCATAAATTACCCAGTCTCACGTAGTTCTTTATAGCAGTGTGAGAATGGACTAATACAACCAGCATATGTCAGATAGTGTCACTATTTTATCATTATCCTAAAATTGTATGAAATATGACAAACATGTTTTAAAGCTTGCAACACTATAAAATATATAATGATTATGCTTACTAATCAATTTAATAATTTATTATAGAACACCATTTCATGATGTGCTTTTTAGTAACTGATATGGTTTGGCTCTGTGTCCCCACCCAAATCTCGCCTTTAATTGTAATAATCCCATGTCAAAGGTGGGACCAGGTGGAGATAATATAATCATGGGGGAGGTTTCCCCTATACAGTTCTCATGATAGTAAGTTCTCATGAGACCTGACGATTTTATAAGGAGTTTCCCACTTCACTCAGCTTTCTTTCTCTGTCCTGCCACCCTGTGAAAAGGGGCCTTCCATTATGATTGTAAGTTTCCTAAGGCCTCCCCAGCCATGTGGAACTGTGGGTCAATTAAACCTCTTTTTTTTTTTCTTTTTGAGAGGGAGTCTCGCTCTGTTGACCAGGCTGAAGTACAGTGGCGCGATCTCAGTTCACTGCAACTTCTGCCTCCTAGGTTCAAGTGATTCTCCTGCCTCAGGCTCCCGAGTAGCTGGTATTACAGGCACCCACCACCATGCCTGGCTAATTTTTGTATTTTTAGTAGAGACGGGGTTTCACCATGTTGGCCAGGATGGTCTCGATCTCTTGACCTCGTGATCTGCCCACCTTGACCTCTCAATAAATCTCTTTTCTTTATAAATTACCCAGTCTCAGATATGTCTTCATAGCAGAATGAGAGCAGACTAGTACAGTAACTGCTGTAAGATGTCTTTTATGAAATCATGCAAATAATTATTCACATTCTTTTTATGTAAATTATTCATTATCTTTTATTTATTTATTTATTTATTTATTATTATTATATTTTAAGTTTTAGGGTACATGTGTACAACGTGCAGGTTTGTTGCATATGTATACATGTGCCATGTTGGTGTGCTGCACCCATCAACTCCTCATTTAGAATTAGGTATATCTCCCAATGCTATCTCTCCCCCCTGTCCCCACCCCACAACAGGCCCCAGTGTGTGATGGTCCCCTTCCTGTGTCCATGCGTTCTCATTGTTCAATTCCCACCTATGAGTGAGAACATGCAGTGTTTGGTTTTTTCTCCTTGTGATAGTATGCTCAGAATGATGGTTTCCAGCTTCATCCATGTCCCTGCAGAGGACATGAACTCATCATTTTTATGGCTGCATAGTATTTCATGGTGTATATGTGCCACATTTTCTTAATCCAGTCTATCATTGATGGACATTTAGGTTGGTTCCAAGTCTTTGCTATTGTGAATAGTGCCGCAATAAACATACATGTGCATGTGTCTTTATAGCAGCATGATTTACAATCCTTTGGGTATATACCCAGTAATGGGATGGCTGGGTCAAATGGTATTTCTAGTTCTAGATACCTGAGGAATCGCCACACTGACTTTCACAATGGTTGAACTAGTTTACAGTCCCACCAACAGTGTAAAAGTGTTCCTATTTCTCCACATCCTCTCCAGCACCTGTTGTTTCCTGACTTTTTAATGATCGCCATTCTAACTGGTATGAGATGGTATCTCATTGTGGTTTTGATTTGCATTTCTCTGATGGCCAAAAAATGGTGAGCATTTTTTCATGTGTTTTTTGGCTGCATAAATGTCTTCTTTTGAGAAGTGTCTGTTCATATCCTTTGCCGACTTTTTGATGGGGTTGTTTGTTTTTCTCTTGTAAATTTGTTTGAGTTCATTGTAGATTCTGGATATTAGCCCTTTGTCAGATGAGTAGGTTGCAAAAATTTTCTCCCATTCTGTAGGTTGCTTGTTCACTCTGATGGTAGTTTCTTTTGCTGTGCAGAAGCTGTTTAGTTTAATTAGATCCCATTTGTCAATTTTGCCTTTTGTTGCCATTGCTTTTGGTGTTTTAGACATGAAGTCCTTGCCCATGCCTATGTCCTGAATGGTATTGCCTAGGTTTTCTTCTGTGGTTTTTATGGTTTTAGGTCTAACATGTTAAGTCTTTAATCCATCTTGAATTAATTTTTGTGTAAGGTGTAAGAAAGGGATCCAGTTTCAGCTTTGCATGCTTATGGGTAGGAAGAATCAATATCGTGAAAATGGCCATACTGCCCAAGGTAATTTATAGATTCAATGCCATCCCCATCAAGCTACCAATGACTTTCTTCACAGAATTGGAAAAAACTACTTTAAATTTCATATGGAACTGAGAAAGAGCCTGCATTGCCAAGTCAATCCTAAGCCAAAAGAACAAAGCTGGAGGCATCACGCTACCTGACTTCAAACTATACTACAAGGCTACAGTAACCCAAACAGCATGGTACTGGTACCAAAACAGAGATATAGACTAATGGAACAGAACAGAGCCCTCAGAAATAATGCCGCATATCTACAACTGTCTGATCTTTGACAAACCTGAGAAAAACAAGCAATGGGGAAAGGATTCCCTATTTAATCAATGGTGCTGGGAAAACTGGCTAGCCCTAAGTAGAAAGCTGAAACTGGATCTATTCATTATCTTTTCAAAAGAATTGAGAATTATTTCATATAAAGTTATATATATGTGTGTGTAGCTGAATAAAATAAATGAAAAAAGTAGTAATAGCAGAAATTTACTAAAGACTGATTGGTGTCTGGTATTGTTCCTTGAAAATGGTTCAATCTAAAGCATTTTATACTCTTGTATGTTAGAAAAAAATAGGAATATCTAGTAAAAATCAAGAAATAAACGTATCTACCCTTTGATGTACAATGAACATAACAAAAATAAAAAATAGATGAAATAGAAAACAGGAAAAAAATTAGTTTTCAACAAAACAAGGGCTAAAATCAGAAAACAGAAGTTAGCCATCACTTAAAAAAAAAGTAAAGCAAAATCTGGGCCAAAGAGGGAGAAACTGCAATGGATCTTTGTCTATAATTATATATCTATCTGTATACATTCATTTTTTCCCTTTATAAGAGTGTAGATGGATGTACTGAGAGAGATATGATAGAGACAGAAATAGATAGAGATACAGATAAAGGGGTTAGAGTTACAGCTAGAGATAGAGGTAGAGGTAGAGCTAGGGATAGAGTTAGAGATAATAGATTTGAGATAGAGATAGATAGAGATGAGATAGAGATAGACAGAGATAGAGATAGACATAGAGATAGAGATAGACATAGACATAGAGCTATCACTTCAAAACTAGAGGATAAGGACTTCTATACAGGTAGTTTTAATAGTCCTCAAGGACTACCTTTTAATTGCAGATATCTAGAGAGTAGGACCACACCTGGAAAGCATTGTTAAACCATCATTTGAGAAACCCACTTGCAGAGGTTAAAAAGGCAGGAAAGGGATCTGTGTCTGGGATCCCTAAGATCACGCTGAGGCTCAATAGTTTGCTAGAACTCACAGGGCTCAAAAAAGCTGTTATACTCAAACTTGAAATTTATTATAGTTTCTTGTTACAGATTAAAATTAGTAAAATAAAACAGCACATTGTGTGAATGAAATCAAGGAGAAACCAGGCTCATTCTTTCAGGTGTCCCCTTCCAGAGGAGTTGCAAGGGAACATGCTTCACAACACCATTTGATCAATAGTATCAGTAGTAGCATATCTTATTTACATAGGTAGTTGAATCTTATCAACAATGCCAGTGTTATACCATACTGTAGTATGATCATAGCACAATTTAATTTTATTATAGAACAAATCAGTAAGGATCATATAAATTTTTGCTATGCCTTCCCACAGAATGAGCCTTTGTCCAAATACCATATATTTTTATGAGTAGTAGTTATTACAGTTGACCCTGATTTGGTTATTTCTAGATTCCAAGTCAGTTGGGGATAAAGCCACCCTCCCTGTCTTAGTTCAAAGGCTTGTACTGAAACTAGTTTCCATTGTGCACTGCTATATAGCAGGGCCCATCTCCACTTATGAGAGAACATGGGTGTTCAGAACAGTTGCTATCCTTGTTTACCATATTATAGTTATAGAATACGTCTTATTTTGACCTATTCTCCAGGCAATGACAGTCATAGTGCATTAATGTGAATAACAAGTGTCTTCAGAGAACTTCCATAAATTTGGAGATGCATGATTCCTAAAAAATATGACCTTTGATTCTCAGCAGCTAAGATGAAGA
Organism: Homo sapiens; assembly: GCF_000001405.40. Classification (NCBI taxonomy): domain Eukaryota; kingdom Metazoa; phylum Chordata; class Mammalia; order Primates; family Hominidae; genus Homo; species Homo sapiens. The sequence goes on along the minus strand of NC_000001.11, from coordinate 102,531,975 downwards.
GCCATTGCCCCATGGCTTTTTTGGTATCACAGTAGTCAAGAAGCCCTGCTTAGGGGCTTAGGGTACAAGCCCTTTCCCAAAGGTACAACCTAGCATCATCCATCAGTATTGGTTGAATCAGCCTGATCCACTTCACTGAAGTCCCATCATCTTTCCAGGCCAATTCCCATCTTTGTGCCTTGCCTTCCTTCTAGAAGATAATTTAGTCTAATCTGTTAATTCCAGTTAACAAATATTTTTATTCCCTCTGAATGTCATTTCTAATTAAAAGCAAATTGAGCTTGTGCCATAATATCTAGACTAGTATTTATTTCCCCTGAAACCGTTTTCTGTCTTGTGGGATAATGTTTAATCCACCATGAGTACTGTTGCCATTATGTACTAGTGGCTTGAATGCAGTTAAAAGACATATTTTGTATCCAAAAATGTTGGGTTCCATATAATAGAGTTAGATGTGTCACACCTACATTTAATATAGTCTGAGTATGCTATACTACTCTACACAGCCTTTTACCTCTCAGGCTAGGGATATTCTCCAGGAAAATTTGAATTCACTATGCGATACCTATTGCTTTATTCCCATGAGAAATTCATTGTGTTTTTTTTTCTATTCTGTTTAAGACTAAAAATAAGAGTGATGTATACGTGTGCATAGCACATTGTGGCATGTTGGGAATGCCACTGGCATATTTCATTCATTATGACCAGGGACGTTTCTAAGCATTTGGTCATTGAGGTTTATAGCTACACGGTAATCATTCTGATGAGAGCTGTGCACTTCATGATTCAACAGACCAGTAGAGAGTAGTTCCTGGAAATTTCTTCCCAAATGATGCCTTTTTCAGTAGATACAATCTGAAAAGTAAGAGAGAAAAGATACTAGAACATTTCTAGAGTTACACTCAGTTATTAATAATTGGTGCAACTCATCATCATATTATGTGACTAAAGTATCTCAGAGTTCAAGGTAAATCAGGTTTATAGGCTTCTGTTTGACTTTGTCAGGTTCCAAAAGCAGGATTGTACTTAGTAAACATATGGCTTCATCCTTTAGGTTATATGGTATAATTGTATTAAAAGATAACATCATTCTTTTATTCTGACTCTCTCTTGGTGCATCAGTCTCCCTTGTTTTATAACTGATATATTTCTTCCTTTACCCTCAGCTATTATCTCTCTTTTTCACAATTTGTCATTGATTTTAACTCCACGTTTTCCAAATTTGGAAAGGATGTTATGGTAAGTCACTAAGCTGGTTCAAAATGCTGGCAGCAATACCAGTCTATCCAAAGTTTCTTCTACAATATATTCCCATTCATGTAGAGTCATGTTATATAGGCATAAAACTAGTGGTCTATCCCAACCACCAGGCAATACAGCTGCATTCACTATTCACTGTCAACCTAAATTTTGCCAGACAGATGAAGGCATATTCCATAAAACCAGGCTCTTTGTAATTCTGGTACAAAGAATTAAAATGATACAGTTACTTATTTCGAAATTATCCCTACTTCTGACACCCACAGCTGTAGCCCTGGTCGTAGGCCTATGGCATCATATTGGAAAAAATAAACAGGATGTAGGGAAGAATTGTATATTTATACCTGTATTATCTCTTATCCCTGGTGTACTGTTCAGAGTACTCCAAAGAAACAGAACCAATAGGATACACACACACACACACACACACACACACACACACACACGGGTATACATATACATCTGTATATATTTATATATGTGTGCACACACATCTATACATATATATTTTTTTACGAAAGGAGAGATTTATTAGTAAGAAACTGGTTCATGATTGTGAACACTGGCAAGTTCAAAATCTGTCAGGGAGGGCAGCAGGATGGAGGCCCAGGGAAGAGATTCAGTTTGTGCTTGAACGGAAGGTCATCTGCTGGCAGAATCCCCTCTTCCTAGGGGAAGGTCAGTCTTTTTTTAAAATAAAGTATTCAGTGAATTGGATGAAGCCCACCCACATTATGGAGCTCAATCTGCTTTACTCACTGTCTACTGATTTGAATGACAATCTCATCCAAAAAAATATTTTCACAGAAATATATAGAATAATGTTTGACAAAATATCTGCTACTATGGTGAGAAGACTTGTGTTTCCCCTAAATTTATAGGTCAAAACCTTAACCTCCAAGGTGATGATATTAGAAGGTATGGTCTTTGGGGAGGTGATTAGGTTATGAAGATAGAGCCCTCAATAGTGGGATTAGTGCCTTTATAAAATAAGCCCAGGGGAGCTCATTTTCTCCTTCTGCTATGTGATGACACAGGGAAAAGGCACTCTCTATGAATCAGGAAATGATCCTCCACCAGGCACTGAGTCTGCTGGTGTGTTGATCTTCGACTTCCCAGCCCCCAGAACAGTGATAAATACATTTCTGTTGCAAGCTACCTAGTCTACAGTATTTTGTTAGAGGAGCCTGAACAGATTAAGATGTGGGTACTATGGCCTAGCCAAGCTGACACATCTATTTATCTATCACACCTTCTTAGCCAGTTACCTCCCCAACAAAAGCAGAGGGATCTATCTAGAGAGGAACTCCCCCCTGCTGCCCCTCACACTCATGAAAGCGTGTAAGCCAGTCCTTCATTCTTTTATCTTCCCCCATTTTACACAAAACATGTTACTGTGAGGCTAATATGAATCATGATATGTCCATTTAATGTAATGTCTTTTTGCTCATTGTTAGACACTATAAGCTGTTAAATGGGTTCCTTGGTTTGAAGAAATATAACTCAGCAGTTCAAGACTTCAGGCATACAAAAACAGTCATATCAGGCAAAATATATCAAAAGTTCTGATACTTGTCCTGGAGATTATCCAAGGGACAACACTGAAGACAAACATTTCTTTGGAATGTGCAAAGTTTGAGCAACCAAGACCTGCTGAGTTAGCCCTTCCCTTCTCAAGAGTTTAATAAATCATATACTCTTTTATTATATAGCATGCTTTTTCCTGGTAGGAAACTCTGATGTGAGGCAGGTGAAGGAAGAAGAGTAAAGAGGTAATAGCTGGATTATCTGATTGAGTCTTTTTGCCTTAACAAGCTTCATTGTACAGTACACAAATCATCTTCTCACCAGAAAGAAACAATAAAATCTGTTTTAATGTAATTTTAACACAGTTTATTCAGTTGCAAATACATAGTTTAATTTGCAATAATGACTGTGTTTGAAAACCAGCTCACATAATTACTAAAAATCTAACCATTAGTTCTCCCTAGACAATACAAGCTGCTACCAGAAGAGCACTGCTTTTATTTTATGTAATTATTCTATTTTACTTTTTCACGCCTCTCCTGAGTACTGCAAAGACACTCTTAGTTCTAATCTTTTCGGTATTTTCATCTTTTGTTGGGGTCATTTTTTTCACAAAGAACTTTATTATGTTCAAATGCCTATAATTTCATTGAATCTCTTCCTTTCTGGAATATTTTCTTAATTTGCTTTGTTTAGACTCACTTTTATGTGAAATTGTAAAATATGATAAAGTTGGCATTTCATTCGTAGCACAGGGAGGCTTTTCGTGGTGTATTACTTTGTACTTCTTGAATTTTAAACCATATAAACAAACTCTTAAAAGATAATTTTCAATAATTTTTATATCATTGACTCATTTGTATAACCATTTATTTATAGATATATGTCTCAAATTCCTTTTTATTTTATAAACATTTATTAGGTTCTTCTCATGTGCCAGTTTCTACTCTAGAGGATGAGGATTCAGCCTATGCAAACCTTTAAAACTCTGTGTTCTCATGTTGAGACAAATTATAAACAAAAAGAAAAAAATAAGGAAACCTATAGTATACCTAGTAGTGATTGCTACAAGGAAAAACAAAGTAGAAAAAAATTATAGAAAATATTAGTACAATTGATCGTCATTATTTGTAGATTCTCTGTTTACAAATTTGCCTACTTCCTAAAATTTATTTGTAACTCCAAAATCAATACAGTGTGTTGTCAGTCATTCATGGCAGGTGCAGAGTGACAAAAATCTTGGGTCATCTGTCACACACACTTTCTCAAAGTCAAATAAGGCACTGCTTGACAGCTAACATACAGCACACAAATGTTTTTTCACAATCTATTTTGTGCCATGGTTTTTACTTTGTTATGCTTTTTTTGGTAGTGATTTCACTATTAAAAATGGTCCCAGAAATAGTGCTGATGTGATGTCTGGTGTTGCTAAGCACAAGTAGACTGAGATGTGCCTCACAGAGAAAACATGACTTGTAATACTGCTGACTATGAGTTCAGGGTGAATGATCAATATTATCCATTAGGTGAGTTTTCTTCTAACAGAAACACACATAAAACAAAATTATGTATTGATCAGATGATGAAAATTTCATGACTAGAAATTTGCAGGAACCTCACCCTCTCCTCCTTCTAGGAGCAATGGTTCAGTGTTCTTGGTGATTCAGTTTCACAGTGACTTCATAAACATAAGGATTGCAAATATTGAGAATTAACTGCAGTAAAATTGCCCAAACATAGATTCTGAAAATATTTTAATGTTAAAATCAATAAAATGTGTAGAAGAAACAGAATCTAAGTGTGAACGAAAGAAAAGTGTAAATTCTTTATGTAGGAGATTCTGGAAGGATGGACTCATCCTACTCTGAGGTGGGAAATTTTGTGAAACAACAGGCTTATGAGCAGATCATAAGTTAGTATTAAGACGTTAACTTTATAGATGCATATTAAATATAGAAGTGTAAATCTTGGAGAGCTACTTAAATATATAAATCTCTTGTTTGGTTTATGAGATTACATAAATTCATTAAGGGTGTGAATTAGAGACATCAAGAGACACAATTCTGAAGCCTTCTAATATTTAGAGATCAAAGAAATGGAAAGGAGCAGTAAAGGCACTTAAAATGATATAAAGAAAAAGGAGAAAAATGAGGTTATTTGTCTGAGTAGATAAATGACCTTTTAGAGATGTAACAAAATAGCTATAACAAGCCATCTACTATCACCTAATAAAGGGCTTTGCCCATGCAATTGCTTTCACTCTAGACACACAATTTTTCTCCTTTCTGTGGGATCTTTCACATTAGCATAAATCATGTTACATGATCTTGCTTCTTCAAAAAGTATCCTTTGTCATGGTACCTTTCAGATACCTTCTTAAAGAGAACTTTTATACCACTCTATTCCTCATCTCCCACTGTCTTTCAAACCTATGCCAATTCATCTTTCATTCCTAATACTCCACCAAAATAGAACTGATAACCTCCACTGAAAACCTCCAGGCTTCAAAACCCAATGACTAGTTCTTAATCATTATCTTGCTGGTTTCCTAACTATACTTGAAACCATAAATCATTTTTTTCTTGATACACTTTCTGGATAGTACACATTTCGAGTATCTTTCATTCTTAAAAATGTGTTCAGTCTCTTTTCCTGGCCATTCTTCCTCTGGACATGCATATTTCCACCAGTTCCCTCCATAATTTCAACTTCTCTAAATACTTGGATAGCATAATCTTGTCTTATGGTTTTGAGCACCAATATATACTGATGACTCCTCCAAGTATATCTTCAGCAATCATTTATTTCTGAACCTCAGTGTTAAAAACCGAAATAATCCCTTTACATATGCTACTTGAATGTCAAATAGACACCTCAAAGAATATCTGTCCTAAGCTGAATTTTTTCTTTCTTCCCCCAAACCATGATCTTACCCTAATGTTTTTCAACTCAATCAATAATACTCCCATTTACAGAGTTACTCAGGGCAAAAGTCTTTAGAGTGATCTTCAGTTTTTTTCTCACACTGCACTGCCACTTAAACAGCAAATGCTTTAGACTATACTTTCAAAATAAACCCAGAATTCAACCACCTTTTATTACCTCTGTCTTATCAGCCTAGTTTAAGCCATCATATCCTCTCATCCAGACCATTTCAGTAGTTCAAGCGTGTCGAACCTGTGGCCCGCGGGCTGCATGCAGCCCAGGATGGCTTTAAATGCGGCCCAACACAAATATGTAAAGTTTTTTAAAACATTATGAGATTTTTTTTTTTTGCAATTTTTTAGCTCATCATCCATTGTTAGTGTTAGTGTATTTTATGTGTGGCCAAACACAATTCTTCCTCTTCTAATGTGGCCCAGGGAAGCCAAAAGATAGGACACCCCTGCAGTAGTTTGTTAATCTGTCCCTTTGTTTCTAAGCTTGGCCCTTCTCTTGAAATTAATTTTTTACAAAACAAAGAGACATTTAAAAATATAAACCAAGTTGTATTATTTCCTGCTGAAATGTTCAGTGTTCCCTGTTTAATGGCTTTGAAGAGTATAATCCAAAGTATTTACCAAAGCTTACCAAGCCCTATGTGATTTGGCTTCTGCTACCAATCAGTTTTCCTTTGCTCATCATGCTGCAGCCACACTGGCCTCTTTCCAAAACCTGGAAAATCCCGGTCATGAACCTGACTTTGGTAATTTGTTCTTATGATTCTTTTGCCTTAAGTTCTCTTCCATCGACTATTTTTGTGAGACTGCTTTACTCAGAACTCCGGTCAAATGTCACCTTTCAGGGTAATCTTCTCTGGCCAACTTGTGTATTTTTATTTTCTCTATCTCATCCAGCTAAACGTAAGCTCAAAAAGGTAAAGATTTCTTTGTTTACCACTGTACTTGCAGTATTTCCTTTTTAATATCTCTATCTGGTTTACATTTAATATATATTCCTGATTGACCATTGCATTAGCTATTTTATTGAATATGTTCCAATTTCTTATCAACAGTAACGTCTACCTAATACTTTTATTTATTCAGCAAAGTTCTTTATAGCTTATAAAGATTATAGATGCTTTAATGCATATGACTTGAGGAAAACCATTTCAGGAGGTAATATAATAATGGCTACTCTTGGCCAAAATTAAGTCAAAATTTTCATAACTTTTTTATTTATTTATTTTTTTGGCAGGGTTTCTCTCCTGTTGCCTAGGCTGGAGTTCAGTGGCATGCTCCTGGCTTACTACAACCTCCGACTTCCTAGCTCAAGCAATCCTCCTGCCTCAGCCTTCCGAGTAGCTAGGACTACAGGCATGTGCCACCATGCCCAGCTAATTTTTGTATTTTAGGTAGAGAAGGGGTTTCTCCATGTTGGTCAGGCTAGTCTCCAAATTCTGACTTCAAGTCATCCACCCACCTCAGCCTTTCAAAGTGCTGGGATTACAGGTGTGAGCCACTGTGCCCGGCCAAAATTTGTATTACATTTTTTAGAAAAGTGTGGAAGATACGACAAATGTTTTGTTGTATCCAGATCATGACTTCTTTAGTACTCGCATCAATCCAAAAAATGGTGTAGGTTGGTATGTGAGAATAAATAAATAGAGGCACATTATGTGCTAGTATGACTATTTTTTTGTTGTTATAATCTTCCATAAAAATTATCAAAACATGAGAACATATTCAGTTCTGTGATTTCCAAGTGCATGTGTAAGTCTGTTTTTTGTTTGTTTTTTGTTTTTGTGGGTTTTTTTTCTTTTGGCATGCTGCTTAATACATTCTGATGCTTGGCTGATCCATTTAGGCCAAATATAAACAGAAAAATAGCAAATTGGTCACTGAATTGTTGCTGTATCTTGGAATGTTATAGAATTGGCATTTCTTAACTCTGCTGTTATACAGCTAAATTATGTTCTAACAATATAGCATGATTTATTCATACAACTTATTTTGATGGACATATTTGACAATATTTTGGATGTGTTAACTTGAAGATACCATTTAAGGATTTTCTTATTGGTTTTTAGTCTAGAATTAAATTAGAAACCATCTTGACAGACTAGTACTTTTAAGTAACTATCTAACGTAATGTTCACTATCTGTACTCTACCTATATAATTCAACCAACCCAATTAGGATAATGGAAATTATTTGATCTATTCTCATGAATAGTTAATTAAATTAATGATAGAGACCATTGCTTCATGCCTGTATCATATATTTAAATGGCAATCAAGCTATTTCCTTGAGAACATGAAGTTCTCATCCTTCTTGTTGCAGTCCTCTTACCTTGTCCATATTAAGGAGGGAACTGCTCCCAATTTTAGCTTCCATTTTCGAATTAGCCTTCTGTGCTTTCCAGTGAACCCCTGTTGGCTACTTTGAAAACTTTCTTTCTTCAGATCCAACACTTGCTGCCATTTGCTTCTTTCTTCCTCCCACATTATACTGATATCATGTAATTATGTGGCTGTGGGAGGTTTATATCCATCTGCTTATTTTGGAAGGTTTGTGTGGATACATTTGTTGTGCTTGACCCCTATTAACCTCAACAGGGATGGTACCAGGTTCAAGAGGCTAAAGAGGAGGTCTGGAGCCAGCAAACAAGACATAGGATTTTATTAGCCAGAACATTACATACAGAGATGGTCCAGGAGTGGCAGGATGGACAGGAGAAACTTATAGCCCAGTGGTGGTGGGCTGGGTAGGAGAACAGCAACTGCTTTCAAAATACGTACAGTTTATTTGGTATGTTCACTTAGCACCCTCACCCTAACAACCTACACCTGGCAACCTTCATCTACCCCCCGCAAAGAACTTAGATAGCCTGTATGGTCCACATTACACCAGAAGGGACAGGGGTTTAGATGTTCCTCATAGTTGAGGAATGAATCTCCAAGTTGGCTACTATCAGATTCCTTAGCTGCTAACTCCAAACATACACTCAAGTGCATCTACCATAGAGAGTCATTCACGGGGTATACTTCAGTTATCGCTGTCAGGTGTATCTGCCTTACAACATTGTTTCTTAGTTTTGTTGTAAATGTGTTTCATGTTTTTTTTTCTAGTTGTTCTGTCCATTTTCATTTGAGAATTTGGAGAGACTTAAATAATGCTGTTTCCACAGCATCCTTCTAGAGTACCCTCTTTATTTTTAAAAAATCTGAATATAGGCATTTTATCCTCCTACAGAATGGAAAACTTTATGAATCCAATGTCAGGTAGATACGAAGTTGTGCCACTATAAAATTATTGCTATTTATAACATAATATTGACTTTCTCTTCTATTCTTTCAAACTGCCTGTGGAAAAGGCATTTTGAATGTAATGTTAACAGCAGGGTGCCTAGATTATTATAAATTCTACATTCTTTACAGGACATTAGGAAGATTAACATTTTTCCCTCCTAAATCAGTTATCTCAGTGTGTGGTGTTTTGTTCCTAACAGCAGTAATATTGTAAGAACAGGCAATTCAATATAGCTATTGTGATACCTACCTTGTTGTTTAATACTGAATTCAACCAAATGTTTGAGAGATACACAAACCAGAAGTTCTTAAAACCTCTTCAGCCCTTTGTACGTATCATATTTCTTGTCGTGACCTCGTTTTCTGTCTGTAGCATAAATCTGTCAAACACCTCCACAGACACTTCCATAATAGACCTAATTAGACTACATAATTACTATAGTTTGTTTGCATGTAATATTTGTTATTATGATGTTATCTCAATATAAGTGCATTATTACTAAGCCAAATTGGAGAAGATTATTTGAGTAACTGGCTTTGACCTTCTGTAATCTTGGCTATTATTGCTCTTGAGGTTTATGTTATTCAAACAAATCCACAGGTATGCTTAATCTTGCTTTGCTTCTTTCTATCTGAAAGACCTCTCTCTTATTCTTTCACAATATCTCTGAAATGTACTAATTTTAACCTCTGGTTTCTATTAGATCTTATTCATTTACCATTTTTCTATATCATGTATTCGCTCTGATCAATACTATCTACTCCATATACATGATGATTAAGTGATAACACCATTTGGAGTAGTAGGTTTTGCATTAATGTAAGTTTGTTTCAGGGCTCCACAAATTAGTAGATGAATTCTTTGGAGGAGGGTAGTCAGACCCTTCAGAAGAAGACCAAAGACAATTGGTCCTCTTAAATAATTGTCTAATCTTAGAGTAATTTCTGGCTTCTGTAGCTTCACCTAATTTTCATTGATTGTAGAATAAAGTGTTTCAAAAAGATTTTTCTACTTTCCTAAGGGAGGATCACAGCAAGCTTCAGGAACTGATCACAGCAGATTTTTCCATGTGAGATGACAATATCACATTCTGGTCTCTTATGTATAACGTGGGTGAAGAATGATATTAGCATGCCATATGCAATATTCCTGGAAATAAGCTGTGGTGTTTCAAAGCTGAAAACTTTGAATAAAACTAACTTGTACATGTCTCTATTTTTGAAAATGTTAAAGTATATGCCTCAAAATAAATGCTTATTCATAGCTTACTTTAGATAATGATGACTAAAATTACATGATTACTTTATAAAATTGAAATAATATATTCTTCAGACAGATAGAGGTATAGAAAGATTATTCAATACAATTTCCAAAATACAATCATATTTTTAATGCACAGAAGTATAGTAGTCCCCAAAAGAAATTACACATAAAATTGTTTTGCATATCTGACAATAACAAAATAATTATCTCAATGCATTATTTTCTAGGATTGACCTTAAAGTTATTCAAAACTTTACACTCATGTTTTCTAACTTCCTAAGAACTTTATATTCTAACCATTAGCAATTTAACAATATCATGGCTATATTAAAAACAGAAAATGAATATTTGTCTATGAAGAAATTATATAATATACAATAATTTAAGAGATGTTCTAATTAAACATTAATGTTTGCCAATTTTTCAGATAATTTTATGCAAATGTGATCAAGTATTTGAATGAATCTGAATATTTAGTGTAAGTGTTCTGGTAATCATGAATTTCTTAGATATAATGTCAAAGATTTGGCTATGTTTAATTAGTCTGCATCCAAAATACTTGTTTAAAAATTTTTGTCAAAAATTGTTCTAAGGTACCTTTTTCAAATAATAATATTTGAATACATTATGGATGTTAATGTCAGTCATCATAGAAATAATTAGCGATTTGGGGAGCTACCTAGCATTTGAATTCCTGTACCATATTGAGAAATTAACTCACTTTATGGGTCTTAGTGGAAGATAGAAACACTAGAGAAGCTGAGATCCCCAGGTATTTATTTATCTTCCCTCACTTGCAATGGAATAAATACACACAACCTAAGATAAACCTAACCCAGAAATTTGAAATCAATATAAAGCATTACTCAAGGCTTGGGTGACAGATTCTGTGGATTAAAAACACAGGTTTTGGATCCACTTACTAGCTGTGCACCATGAACAAGTTAATTTACTGATCAGCACTTCAATTTCTTCAGTGTAAAATGGGAAGAATAACCAATTCAATGGCAATTGTAAAGCTCATATGAGTTAATATATGTCAAGAACTTAGAACAATATCAAACACAGAAATAATGCTATATAAAAGTTATTAATATATTAGTATTCAAATTATTACCTGGCTCACTGGAGTGAAGTATCTGTTGAAGCTAAGTGGTTGATGTGTGAACTAGTCATTGCTATGGGAGAGAATGAAAGAAATAAATAACAAGTACTCTAGAAAGCATGAAGTGCAGAAGGTGAATGGCTTGATACATTCAAAGGATGGACTGAAATCCAATGTCTTTTGGTTACTAAGGTACAACAGTCCCTCATTGCTTACAAAATCAAGTGAAACTGTATTCTTTTAAGTGGCTAAATTATGAAGTCTGTTGAATTCATTCCCCTGCCATGTCTTTAATGTGAATGTTAAAGACAACAATTGGAAAAGTTGAACCCTGAAAACTTGGTTACTTATGAGAAAATGTAAAAGGTGAGTCACTTTTTACTGAATTCCCAATCACTGGACCTCTCTTGAAGATTGAAGCAGATTCCCCTATTATGTGTGATAAGCCTATTTCAAATTGCTTGAAGACTCCATAATTACTTATTGGTGAGAGTTACTTTGCAAGAAAAACTACGCCACCCTACTTCCCAACTTCAAACACTTTTCCTTTTCTCCAGTACAAACCTGACCAATTGTGAAATTACAATGTAAACGCTAGGAGCAAAAACTTTCTTAAAGTTATGTAAGGGGCAATTTATATTCACAAAAATGTTGTGAATATACATGGGAAACACATATATTTGCTAGATTAATAAGAGAAGAACAAAAGTTTAACTCAGTTGAAGTTATAATATAGATGCTAGTTACTAGAGTTTCCGGATTCAATTTACCAGGTTGAGCAGCTGGGGTATTTGTAATTGTTTGCTTAGTTGGTTAGCTGAAATCCATAGTCAATTGTGTCCTGTGATAAATGAAAGTGAGATATAAGAAATAATTTCTTATAATGTATGAGAATAAATCAAAAGTAGGGAGATAGAAACATAGATTGATATTATGAGATATCATTCATACCCCTTAAATATTATCCCAGAATTAAAAAAAAAAACAGGAGATACTTCTTTTATTAAGGCACTAAGAAATAAACACTAAAGTGAGGACCTGTGTCTTTAAAATGCTATGTAGTTTGGATGTTTTTGGAAGTCTGAAAATGTTTAATAGGGTGTTGCAATTGAAATGGATCCCAAGATTCCAAAGCATATATCCACATGTAGTTTGTTGCAGAGGGAAAGGAGCAGCACAATTTTAAAGGCAAGTTTTGTATTATTATATTGGAAGGAAATGACAATCAAAATGGGTTCACCAACAGGAATCCTGATAGTAGCTATATATTCACGACATTTTTAAGGACCAAAATAGATAAGGAGGCCAGCAAAGTTAAAAAAAAAAAAAAAAAAAGAGGTTCTCAAGGCAAATAGAAGCAAGATCTGAGCCCCAGGATACAGAGCCAATGTCAGTCATACAACCAGGCCATAGTCAATTCACGTCAAAGATCCTTCAAAGAAATAGAGGCTTTTCTCTTGAGGAAAACCCCTGCAAACATTATAAGTTCATCATGTAAATTGCTGTTCTAGCTCTTCCTAAATGTGTCTCCTTTGTATCATTCACCAAAGTAACTATGCGATAGAAAACGGAGAGTCTCAGACAATCTGGAAGTTATTATGCTCTGGATCTAAGTTTATATATTTTCCTGGAGAAACATAACATCACTTCTACGCATCAAAATGATAAGTAGAGTGCCAAGACATAAATGCAGTATTTATTTTTATCAAATTTGCTTCATGGTAGGTCGGTGAGAACAGAACTTTCCTCAGTTCCAGAGTTTAATGGCAGGAAAATCAATTACATTTGTAACTTGACTCCCAAAGGAAGGGCTATACTGTTCAAGAAAAGCTCATGAAATTATCTTTCTCTGTCAAAGAAAAAAACAAAACAATAAACATACCTGAAATAATTATAAAGTTAAATACCATCACCAAGATGAAATATTAACAGTGGGTGAGTCTTATCAAATCTTCATTTACTTGCCAGTTTTACAATTACTGAAGATTGATTGATTCAGCACAATGACAATGAATTATTAAAGCCTTAATCAGGTGGTGACTCCCATTACAGCTGCTATTCTAGGTTTAGTTTTCTTTGGAAAAGCAAATCAGCACATCTCCTGGCGTTAGGAATGCAACTATTGAATTGGTACGTGCTATTTTTCTGAAAATCAATAAACAGAGAAGGCTAGTACTTTGTTCCACTAAGCAACAACAATATACCGTTACAGTCTTTTCACATAATTGAGCCAATGTGCTGGTCCTGTAAAAAAATTGGGTCTACAGGGACTCTAATTTTTTCACCACTTTAGAATTCAACATGCTAGTCCACCACCAGGATGACACAATAATGACAGAAGATATTTCATATAAAAGCATGAGAAGCTTATGTAATTATTGAGGCACAGAAAAATAGTCTTTTATTTAGAGGGGATTTAATTTCATATCAAGGACCTATTAGATATATCAACTTACTTTTAATATTAAATCAGTTTTGAAATATCAAATAATCTTTCAAATTATTTGTATTAGGATGTGTGCAGTGGCTCATGCTTCTAATCCCAGCACTTTGGGAGGCCGAGATGGGTTAATCACCTGAGGTCGGAGTTCAAGACCAGACTGGCTAACATGGTGAAACCCCGTCTCTACTGAAAATGCAAAAAGTAGCCAGGCCTGGTGGTGGGTGCCTGTAATCCCAGCTACTTGGGAGGCTGAGTCAGGAGAATCTCTTGAACTCGGGAGGCAAATGTTACAGTGAGCTGAGGTCGCGATATTGCACTACAGCCTGGGCAACAAGAGTGAGACTCCATCTCAAAATGAAATAAAATAAATAATAAAATAAAATAAATAATTTGTCTTAATTTTTAAATTATATTTTTGTACATATTTTGGTATAATATGATGTATTGAAATATGTAGCTACATACATTGTAGAATGATTCTATCAAGCTGCTTATCACCTTACATACTTATTATTTTCTACGTGGTGTAAACTTTAAAATCTACTCTTTTAGCAATTTTCGAATATACAATGTATTATTATTAACAATAGTTAACATGCTGTACAATAGCTCTCCAGAACTTATTTCTGCTATCTAACTGAAACTGCATCCTTTGACCAATGTCTCCTGTTCTCCCATACCAGAGCTTCTGGTAACCACCATCTACTCCCTACTTTTATGAATTCCAGTTTTTTAGATTCCACATATAAGTGAGATCATGCTGTGCTTTCTTTCTCTACCTAGTTTATTTCACTTAGCATAATGTCCTACACGTTCATCCATGTTGTTGCAATTGTCAGGATTTCTCTTTTTAAGGCTGAATGTATTTCATTGTATATAAACATTTTTTTGTTGCCATTCATCTGATGATGGACACCTATATTGCTTTCATTTCTTAGATATTGTGAATAATGGTGCAATGAACAAGGGCATATAGATATCTCTATGGCAAACTGGTTTAATTTTATCATCCTTTCTGGTGATGTGTTTAATTTTTGATTTATGTTTGTACTGGGTTAACCGTCTTCTTCTTATCACTATACCAGTTGTTTATGTATTCTGGATAAGAGTCCTTTATTAAATAAGTATATTAAATTATTCTCACATTAAAGACCGGAAAGCTTGAACTTGCTTGAACATATCTGTTATTGGTGAAATCAGTTTTTTGGTAGGCTATTCAAAACTGACCCATATTAACATTTAGGGTTTATATAACGATACTATTTTTGCTCAGGGTCATGAATCAAAAGAACTTTGTATTGGTCAATATAAGCTTGTGAGGAGAATGCTTTAATCTCTTAACTTTTCTAATATTTTTCTAAACCTTCAATAGTGTTTTAACAGTAAATAATAGTTAACAGATCAATCCCTGCTTTGAATGTTTCATACTTGGAGAATTAGCCATATGCAAGTGTGCTTCTAATGTAGAGGAAATGGGAAGAAAAGAATAATTTAATAGGTCTAAACCCTAGCAATTGGATGGGTCTGGCAAAAGCAAAGATTGTCACGTTCACATATGAGCAAGTAAAGGAATCAAAATAAGGCCACTAATGTGATGATTAAGACAATTCAACTTTTATTTATTTGCATCCTAAGAATGAAAGTGAAGTTTGTAAATTAGCTTACATCAGATCAAAAATACAATTTTGTGGTATAAGACTAGATCCTGACTTTCTTTAAAGTCTAGATACCTAAATATATATGTTTATTTTCATTTGTAAGGAATTATTTTCACTTGAAAGTACTAGTTTAGGTTTTTTTTTCATGCTTTAGTTATTTACAGTGTGTAGGTATACAAAGATTTTTTTAGAAGATAATTGTAATAATCCAAGTTAAACTAGTTTTGCTCAAGGAATCTTTCTGACAAAAGCCTGTACTATCTGACTACATTTATTTCTTAGCGCAACTGCACTCGAATCCCCCAAGTCATAATAAACTACACAGGATTCTATTAAAAGCAGACTGCTGTTTCATACCTGAATGAATTGCTAATCTGCTCCTTGTGCATGGAATCTCTTCCCTTTCCTTCCCCAATCACTATATCTATTCAGATTTCCCTAAAAACTTTTCCCAATAAAAAGAAATGACCAATGATTCCTTTGTGTTTTTATTGTACTCTATGATGTGTTAATCAAAGCATGTGTTATTTTGTTGTATATTTTTATTATGTTTATTTTTAATTGAGACATATTCGTGCATATTTATGAAGATAATGTGGTGTTGTGATACATGTATACACTGTGTAATTATCCAGTCAAGGTACTTTGGATATCCATTACTTCTTTATAGTAGAAACAAACAAAACCCTCTTTTCTAGCTATTCTGAGATATACAATGTTATTGTTGATTACAGTTACCTTACTGTACAGTAGGGAACCAGAACTGATTCTTCCTTTTTAATTGTAACTTTGTACCCATTGCCCATAGTCACCGCATCTTCTCTTCCCCAGTCCTTAGTAACCACTATTGTAATCACTCTTCCTACGAGATCAAATTTTTTAGATTCTGAATATGAATGAGAATATGCAGTATTTGTCTTTCTGTGTCTGACTTATTTCATTTAAAAAAAAGTCCTCTAGGCTCATCCATGTTGTCACAAATGGCAGGATTTTATTCCCTTTTATGGCTGTATAATATTCCATTTTGTATATATGTCACATTTTCTTTATTCTTTAGTTGTTAAACACCTAGGTTAATTCAATATCTTGGATATTGTGAATATGCTGTGATGAATATGGGAGTGAAGATATCTCTTTGACATACCAATTTTTTTTTAAATTTACTTTAAGTTCTGGGATACATGTGCTGTATGTGCAGGTTTGTTACATAGACATACACGTGCCATGGTGGTTTGCTGCACCTATCAACCCATCAACTAGGTTTTAAGCCCCATATGCATTAGGCATTTGTCCTAATGCTCTCCCTTCCCTTTCCCCGTACACCCCTCCGACAGGCCCCCTTTGCAGGGACATGGATGAAGCTGGAAACCATCATCCTCAGCAAACTAGCACAGGAACAGAAAACCAAACACCGCATGTTCTCACTCGTTAGTGGGAATTGAACAATGAGAACACATGGACACAGGGAGGGGACATACCAATATTATTTCCTCTGGAAACAGTATTGGAATTACTGGATTGTATGATAGTTCTATTCTTAGTTTATGAGGATCCTCCATACTGTTTTTTATAGTGGATATAATAATTTGTATTCCTACCAACAGTGTATAAGTGTTTCCTTTTCTCTGCATCCTTGCCAACAATTGCTATCATTTGTCTTTTTGATAATAGCCATTCTAACTGGAGTAAAGTAATATCTCATTGTTATTTCTATGTGCATTTCTATCATGATTAGAAATATTGAGCATTTTTCCATATAACTGTTGTCCTTTTATATGTCTTCTTTTGATAAATGTCTATTCAGGTCTTTTGCTCAATTTTTAATGGTACAATTTGTTATTTGTTATTGAGTTGTTTACATTTCTTATATATTCTAGATGTTAACTACTTGTTAAACATATAGTTTGCAAATATTTTCTCCCATCCTGTACGTTATCTCTTCACTGTGTTGACTGTTGCCCTTTCTATGCAGAAGCTTTTTAGTTTGATGTCATCACATTTATCTATTTTTGCTTACATTGCCTGTGCTTTCAACGTCTGTTTTTCCCCAGTCCAATGTCATGAAGCATTTCCACTATGTTTTCTTCTAGTAGTTTCATAGTTTCTAGTCTTACTTTAATTTACTTTCTTTAATCTATTTTGACTTTACTTTTGTATATGATGAGTAATAGGGGCCTAGCTTTCTTCTTCTACATGTGAATATTCAATTTTTCTAGCATCATTTATTAAAGAGACTGCCCTTTCCCCAATATGTGTTTCTGGCATCTTTGTCAAAAATCAGTATACTATAGATGTGTAGATTTATTTCTGCACTCTCTATTTTCTTTTATTTGTCTATGTGTTTGTTTTCATGCCAGTACCGAGCTATTTTTGGTTATTATATCTTTGTAGTATATTTCAAAGTGAGTTAGTGTGAGGCCTCCAGCCTTTCTTTTTTTTTTTTTATTTTGTCTTATGATTGCTTTGGATATTAGGATATTTTGTGGTTACATATAAATTTCAGGATTTTTTAAATGTCTGTGAAGAATGTCTTTGACTGGATTGCTTTGGCTAGTATGGATATTTTAACAATATTATTTCCTCCAATCCACAAAAATAAAATATCTTTCCATTTATTTGAGTCTTCATCCATTTCTTTCATAGATTTTATTTTAGAGATTTTTTACTTCCTTGGTTAAATGTATTCCTGGGTGTTTTATTATTCTATCCTTTGTAAATGGAATTGATTTCTTGATTTCTTTTTCAAATAGTACTTTTTTTTTTTTTTTTTGAGACAGCGTTTCTCTCTGTTGCCCAGGCTGGAGTGCAGTGGCATGGTTTTGACTCACTGCAACCTCCACCTCCTGAGTTCAAGCAATTCTCCTGCCTCAGCCTCCCAAGTAGCTGGAATTACAGGTGCACGCCACCATGCCCAGCTGATTTCTGTATTTTTAGTAGGGACATGGTTTCACTATGGTGGCCAGGCTGGTCTCGAACTCCTGACCTCAGGTGATCTGCCTGTCTTGGCATCCCAAAGTGCTTGGATTACAGGTGTGAGGCACCATGCCTATCCAGAGAGTACATTATTAACATATAGAAATGCTACTGATTTTTGTATATTCATTTTGTATCCTGCAACTTTACTAAGTTTTTTTACTAGTTTGAATAGTTTTTCGGTAGGTCTATAGACTTGGCTATATATAAATTCATGTCATTTGCAAACAGGGACAATTTGATTTCCTCTTTTTCAATTTGACTGCTTTTTATTTCCTTCTCTTGACTCATTGCTCTAGCTAGGACTTCCAGTACTGTGATGAATAGAAGTGGTAAAAGTAAATATTCCTGTTTTGTTTCAGATCATAGAGAAAAAACTTTTAATTTTACCCCATTTAGAATGATGTTAGCTGTGGATTTATCATTTGTAATCTTTTTTGTGTGTTGAACATACTTTCTATACCTAATTTGATGAGACTTTTATTTATCATGAAAAGATGATGAATACTGTCAAATAACTTTTCCATGTCTATTGAAATGATTATATGTTTTTTAGTTTTCTTTCTGCTAATGGGATGTACCATATTTATTGATTTGCTTATACTAAACCATCCTTGTATCCTTGGCATCAATCTCACTTGATTATGGTGAATGATTTTTTTAATGTGCTTTTGAATTTGGTTTGCTTGTATTTTGTTGAGGAATTTTGCATCTGTGTTTATCAAGAATAATGGTCGTGTGTGTGTGTGTGTGCGTGTGTGTGTGTGTGTGTGTGTGTCTTTGTAGGGTTTTGATATCAGGATAATGCTATCTTCATAAAATAAGATTGGAATTATTTTTTCTTTGACTTTCTGGAATAGTTTCAAAAGAATTTGTGTTAGTTATTCTTTAAATGATTGGTAGATTTTGTCTTTTGTTGCCATTGCTTTTGGTGTTTTAGAAATGAAGTCCTTGCCCATGCCTATGTCCTGAATGGTAATGCCTAGGTTTTCTTCTAGGGTGTTTATGGTTTTAGGTCTAACGTTTAAGTCTTTAATCCATCTTGAATTGATTTTTGTATAAGGTGTAAGGAAGGGATCCAGTTTCAGCTTTCTACATAGGGCTAGCCAGTTTTCCCAGCACCATTTATTAAATAGGGAATCCTTTCCCCATTGCTTGTTTTTCTCAGGTTTGTCAAAGATCAGATAGTTGTAGATATGTGGCGTTTTTTCTGAGGGCTCTGTTCTGTTCCATTGATCTATATCTCTGTTTTGGTACCAGTACCATGCTGTTTTGGTTACTGTAGCCTTGTAGTATAGTTTGAAGTCAGGTAGTGTGATGCGTCCAGCTTTGTTCTTTTGGCTTAGGATTGACTTGGCAATGCGGGCTCTTTTTTGGTTCCATATGAACTTTAAAGTAGTTTTTTCCAATTCTGTGAAGAAAGTCATTGGTAGCTTGATGGGGATGGCATTGAATCTGTAAATTACCTTGGGAAATGGGATCTAATTAAACTAAAGAGCTTCTGCACAGCAAAAGAAACTACCATCAGAGTGAACAGGCAACCTACAAAATGGGAGAAAATTTTTGCAACCTACTCATCTGATAAAGGGCTAATATCCAGAATCTACAATGAACTCAAACAAATTTACAAGAAAAAAACAAACAACCCCATCAAAAAGTGGGCGAAGGACATGCAAAGACACTTCTCAAAAGAAGACATTTATGGAGCCAAAAGACACATGAAAAAATGCTCATCATCACTGGCCATCAGAGAAATGCAAATCAAAACCACAATGAGATACCATCTCACACCAGTTAGAATGGCAATCATTAAAAAGTCAGGAAACAACAGGTGCTGGAGAGGATGTGGAGAAATAGGAACACTTTTACACTGTTGGTGGGACTGTAAACTAGTTCAACCATTGTGGAAGTCAGTGTGGCGATTCCTCAGGGATCTAGAACTAGAAATACCATTTGACCCAGCCATCCCATTACTGGGTATATACCCAAAGGGCTCTAAATCATTCTACTATAAAGACACATGCACACGTATGTTTATTGCGGCATTATTCACAATAGCAAAGACTTGGAACCAACCCAAATGTCCAACAATGATAGACTGGATTAAGAAAATGTGGCACATATACACCATGGAATACTATGCAGCCATAAAAAATGATGAGTTCATGTCCTTTGTAGGGACATGGATGAAATTGGAAATCATCATTCGCAGTAAACTATCGCAAGAACAAAAAACCAAACACCACATATTCTCACTCATAGGTGGGAATTGAACAATGAGATCACATGGACACAGGAAGGGGAATATCACACTCTGGGGACTGTTGTGGGGGGGGGAGGTGGGAGGGATAGTATTGGGAGATATACCTAATGCTAGATGACGAGTTAGTGGGTGCAACGCACCAGCATGGCACATGTATACATATGTAACTAACCTGCACAATGTGCACATGTACCCTAAAACTTAAAGTATAATTAAAAAAATAAAAATAAATAAATAAATAAATAAATAAATGATTGGTAGAATTCAGTTGTGAAACTATCAGTTCCTGGATCTTTCTTTCATGGGAAATTTTTTTATTACTGATGCAATGTCATAATTGATTAATGATCTGTTTAGATTATCTATTTCTTCATAGGTCAATCTCTGTAACTTGTATATGTCTAGGAATTTATCCATTCCTTCTAGATTATCTAATTTCTCAGCATATAATTGGTCATAATAGTGTCTTGTGATTCTATTTCTTTAGTGTCAGTGATAACATCTCTTTTGTCATCCTTGGCTTTATTTATTTGAGTTAATTTTTTAAAGTTTAGCTAAAAGATTGTCGAATTTGTTTAACGTTTCAAAAAACCAACTCTGCTTTGTTGATGATTTGGATATTTTTATTCTCTATTTTGTTTACTTTTTCTCTGATATTTATTATTTTTTCTTCCACTAATTTTGGATTAATTAGTTTTTGTTATTCTAGTTCCTGAAGTGCAATGTTAGTTGGTTTATTTGAGATTTTTCTACTTTTTTGATGTAAGTATTTGTTGGTATAAACTTCTATTGGAAACATTTTTGCTGTATCTTGTAAGTTTTCATGTTTTATTTTAAATTTTCATTTGTCTGAACAATATTATTGATTTTTTAAATTTTGTCTTTGACCCATTGGTTATTTGGGAGCATGTTTTTTAATTTCCATTTATTTTTAAAGTTTCTGAAGTTTCTGCTGTCATTGATTTCTGGTTTTGTACTATTGTGGTAAAAATTATAAACTTGATATAATCTTAATCTTCATAAATTTGTTAAATTTTTTTGTGCCCTACAGATGATATGACCTGGAGAATGTTTCATTTGTAGTTGAGAAAAATGTGTATTCTGTAGTTTTTGGATGAAAAGTTATTGTGTATCATTTAGGTCCACTTGGTCTAGAGTGTAGTGTATTTCTGCATTTTTTGTTGTTGATTTTCTTTCTGGATGACCTGTCCATTTCTGAAAGTGAAGTACTAAAGTCTCCTACTATTATTAAGTATTAGAAGATACTAGCATATTGCAGTATCTTGTATTTTAGACCTAATAATACTTGTTTTATATATTTGAGTGCTTTGGCATTGGATGCATATATATTTACAATTGCTGTATCTTCATGATGAACAGATCCTTTTATCATTACATAATGACATTCTTTACAGTTTTTGACTTAATGTCTATGTTATCTAACATAAGTATAGGTACTCCTGTTTTCTTTTGGTTTGTTTTCACATAAGTATAGGTACTCCTGTTTGCTTTTGGTTTGTTTTCATCCAATACCCTTTTCAACCCTTTCATTTTTAGTCTTTGTGTTTTTTACAGGTGAAGTGAGTCTCTTGTAGGCAGCATAAAGAGAACCAGCCTGATTTCTAAGAATGTAGCTAAATAATCATTGATAAAAAGATGAGTATGTTTTTTAACCATGCACGTACTACTCCCATCTCAACAAAAGCCAGGAATAAATATGTGATTATACCAGCAGAAACACTTCCAGCTGGCACTAAATAAAACAGAGAAAATGAGATAGAATGAAGACAGGCTGCAGATATGCATTATCATTAAAGACAAGAGGAATTACCCCTAAAGGTGATGCAGAGGCCATCAGGGTTACCACTCCCACTACAGGCCCAAGAAGCAAAACTTCTTCCTCTTTACCTTTGGAGGATGAAGCCATCTCTTTGGCTTCCACAGGCCTGAAGGACACTGAAGAGTGCTGCATGAGTGGGACCACCACAGAGAGCTGTTAGGGCAGGGCTTACCCCACAGAACTGTAGTTCTCTGCCACCCCAGAGGGCCACGTGGGCAGATCATTGAACCAAAGACTATTCTCAAGCTTTAAATTCTAATGATATTTGCCTTGCTATTTTTTTGAACTTCTTGGAATCTGTCAGTCCTTTCTTCTAACTTCTTCTTTTGAGGATACAAATGTCTATCCTATGCTTGTCCCACCATTATATTTTTGAAGCACACAACTTTTCTGGTTTTACAGGTTCACATCTGGAGAGTAATTTTACCTCAGGATAAATCTTACCTTTAGTCTCACTCATATCTGATTTCCATACTAGTCAGATTAGACTTTGAACTTTAGAGTTGATGCTGTCATGAGATAAGATGTTTGGGATGTTAAGATAGAATATATATATCTTGCAAGTCAGAAGAACATAAATTTGTGAGGTTAGGGTAAAATGTTAAGAACTGACTCTTTATTACCTCCAAAATAATGTATTGAAGCCCTGACCTCCAGTGTGGCCATAGTCGGAGATGAGATCTCTAAGAAAGTAAATGGGGTAGAAGGATAGGGCCCCTGACCCAATCTGATTCATCTCTATAAGAGAAAAAAAAAAGCCTGTTTTTCTCTCTCTCCACAAACATACACCGAGGAAAGACCATGTGAGGACACAGCAAGATAGCCATTTGCAAGCCAGGAGAAGAGCCTTTTCCAGAAACCAAATTGGCCAGAAGCTGAGTCATGGTTTTCTAGCCTCTAGAACTGGGAGAAAATAAATTTCTGTTGTTTTAGCACCTAGTCTGCAGTATTTTTTTTTTGGCAGCCTGAGCAAACTAATACAATATTTTATATTATGCTTTCTCATAAATGCTTTTTATTTAAACAATTTTACAGTAATCTTGAGAAATCAGAATTAAGTTTACATTTTATGTAGAAGTAAATTGAAACTCCCATAAATTTAAAACCTTCTTGTATAATGGTATGGACTTTACCTTCTGCCCTATCTGGAAGAGAAGCACAGGAAATTTTCTAAAGCAAAACAAATTGGCAGAAGAGGCAAGTTGAAGAGAACAAGCTTTGAATAAAGTTGACTCTTACCAAGTGCAACATGCCAATTAATTTCCACAGGTTTAAAAGTGGATTTTCTATAAATTTTCCTCTACACACTGCTTTAAATGTGTCCCAGAGATTCTGGTATGTGGTGTCTTTTTTCTCATTGGTTTCAAAGAACACCCTTATTTCTGCCTTCATTTCGTTATGTACCCAGTTGTCATTCAGGAGCAAGTTGTTCAGTTTCCATGTAGTTGAGTGGTTTTGAGTGAGTTTCTTAATCCTGAGTTCTAGTTTGATTGCACTGTAGTCTGAGAGACAGTTTGTTATAATTTCCATTTTTACATTTGCTGAGGAGTGCTTTACTTCCAACTATGTGGTCAATTTTAGAATAAGTGCAACGTGGTGCTGAGAAGAATGTATATGCTGTTGATTTGGGGTGGAGAGTTCTGTAGATGTCTATTAGATCCACTTGGTGCAGAGCTGAGTTCAATTCCTGGATATCCTTGTTAACTTTCTGTTTCGTTGATCTGTCTGATGTAGACAGTGGGGTGTTAAAGTCTCCCATTATTATTGTTTGGGAGTCTAAGTCTCTTTCTAGGTCTCTAAGGACTTGCTTTATGAATCTGGGTGCTCCTGTATTGGGTGCATGTATATTTAGGATAGTTAGCTCTTCTTGTTAAATTGATCCCTTTATCATTATGTAATGGCCTTCTTTGTCTCTTTTGATCTTTGTTGGTTTAAAGTCTGTTTTATCAGAGACTAGGATTGCAACCCCTGCTTTTTTTTTGTTTTCCATTTGGTTGGTAGATCTTCCTCCATCCCTTTATTTTGAGCCTATGTGTGTCTCTGCATGTGATATGGGTCTCCTGAATACAGCACACTGATGGGTCTTGACTCTTTAAATGCCCAAAAGAGAAAGCAGGAAAGATCTAAAATCGACACCCTAACATCACAATTAAAAGAACTAGAGAAACAAGAGCAAACACATTCAAAAGCTAGCAGAAGGCAAGAAGTTCTGCTCTTAGATCAGAGCAGAATTGAAGGAGATAGAAACACAAAAAACCCTTCAAAAAACAAATGAATCCAGGAGCTGGTTTTTTGAAAAGATCAACAAAATTGATAGACTGCTAGCAAGACTAATAAAGAAGAAAACAGAGAAAAATCAAATAGATGCAAAAGAAAATGATAAAGGGGATATCACCACGGATCCTACAGAAATACAAACTACCATCAGAGAATACTATAAACACCTCTCTGCAAATAAACTAGAAAATCTAGAAGAAATGGATACATTCCTGGACACATACACCCTCCCAAGACTAAACCAGGAAGAAGTTGAATCTCTGAATGGACCAATAACAGGCTCTGAAATTGGGGCAATAATTAATAGCCTAGTAACTAAAAAAAGTCCAGGACCAGATGGATTCACAGCCGAATTCTACCAGAGGTACAAAGAGGAACTGGTACCATTCCTTCTGAAACTATTCCAATCAATAGAAAAAGAGGGAATCCACCCTAACTCACTTTATGAGGCCAGAATCATCCTGATACCATAGCCTGGCAGAGACACAACAAAAAAAGAGAATTTTAGGCCAATATCCCTAATGAACATCGATGCAAAAATCCTCAATAAAATACTGGCAAACCGAATCCAGCAGCACATCAAAAAAAAGCTTATCCACCATGATCAAGTTGGCTTCATCCCTGGGATGCAAGGCTGGTTAAACATATGCAAACAAATAAATGTAATCCATCATATAAACAGAACCAAAGACAAAAACCACATGATTATCTCAGTAGACACAGAAAAGGCCTTCAACAAAATTCAACAGCCCTTCATCCTAAAAACTCAATAAACTAGGTATTGATGGGATGTATCTCAAAATAATAAGAGCTATTTATGACAAACCCACAGCCAATATCATACTGAATGGGCAAAAACTGGAAGCATTACCTTGGAAAACTGGCACAAGACAGGGATGCCCTCTCTCACCACTCCTATTCAACATAGTGTTGGAAGTTCTGGCCAGGACAATCAAGTAGGAGAAAGAAATAAAGGGTATTCAGTTATGAAAAGAGGAAGTCAAATTGTCCCTGTTTGCAGATGACATGATTCCATATTTAGAAAACCCCATTGTCTCAGCCCAAAATCTCCTTAAGCTGATAGGCAACTTCAGCAAAGTCTCAGGATACAAAATCAATGTGCAAAAATCACAAGAATTCCTATACACCAATAACAGACAAACAGAGAGCCAAATCAGGAGTGAACTCCCACTCAGAATTGCTTCAAAGAGAATAAAACACCTAGGAATCCAACTTACAAGGGATGTGAAGGACCTCTTCAAGGACAACTACAAACCACTGCTCAACGAAATAAGAGGACACAAACAAGTGGAAGAACATTCCATGCTCATGGGTAGGAAGAATCAACATCGTGAAAATGGCCATACTGCCCAAGGTAATTTATAGATTCAATGCCATCCCCATCAAGCTACCAATGACTTTCTTCACAGAATTGGAAAAACTACTTTAAAGTTCATATGGAACGAAAAAAGCCCACATTGCCAAGATAATCTTAAGCCAAAAGAACAAAGCTGGAGGCATCACACTACCTGACTTCAAACTATACTACAAGGCTACAGTAACCAAAGCACTTGGTACTGATGCCAAAACAGAGATATAGACCAATGGAACAGAACAGAGCCCTCAGAAATAATACCACACATCTACGACCATCTGATCTTTGACAAACCTGACAAAAACAATAAATGGGGAAAGGATTCCCTATTTAATAAACGGTGCTGGGAAAACTGGCTAGCCATATGTAGAAAGCTGAAACTAGATTCCCTTCCTTACACCTTAGACAAAAATTAATTCAAGATGGATTAAAGACTTACATGTTAGACCTAAAACCATAAAAACCCTAGAAGAAAACCTAGGCAATACCATCCAGGACATAGGCATGGGCAAGGACTTCATGACTAAAACACCAAAAGGACGGTAACAAAAGCCAAAATTGACAAATGGGATCTAATTAAACTAAAGAGCTTCTGCACAGCAAAAGAAACTACTATCAGAGTGAACAGGCAACCTATAGAATAGGAGGAAATTTTTACAATCTACCCATCTGACAAAGGGCTAATATCCAGAATCTACAAAGAACTTAAACAAATTTACAAGAAAAAATCAAACCACCCCATCAAAAAGTGGGCGAAGTATATGAACAGACACTTCTCAAAAGAAGACATTTATGCAGCCAACAGACACATTAAAAAATGCTCATCATCACTGGCCATCAGAGAAATGCAAATCAAAACCACAATAACATACCATCTCACACCAGTTAGAATGGCAGTCATTAAAAAGTCAGGAAACAACAGGTGCTGGAGAGGATGTGGAGAAATAGGAACACTTTTACACTGTTGGTGGGACTGTAAACTAGTTCAACCATTGTGAAAGTCAGTGTGGCACTCTAGATCCTCAAGGATCTAGAACTAGAAATGCCATTTGACCCAGCCATCCCATTACTGGGTATATACCCAAAGGAATATAAATCATGCTGCTATAAAGACACGTGCACACGTATGTTTGTTGTGGCACTATTCACAATAGCAAAGACTTGGAAGCAACCCAAATGTCCATCAGTGATAGACTGGATTAAGAAAATGTGGCACATATACACCATGGAATACTATGCAGCCATAAAAAATGATGAGGTCATGTCCTTTGTAGGGACATGGATGAAGCTGGCAACCATCATTCTCAGCAAACTATCGCAAGGACAGATAACCAAACACCATGTGTTCTCACTCATAGGTGGGAATTGAACAATGAGAACACTTGGACACAGGGTGGGGAACATCCCACACCAGGCCCTGTCATGGGATGGGGGTAGGGGGTGGGGGGATGGATAGCATTAGGAAATACAGCTAATGTAAATGTCGAGTTAACAGATGCAGCCCATCAACATGGCACATCTATATATATGTAACAAACCTGCACGTTGTGCACATGTACCCTAAAACTTAAATTATAATAAAAAAAGTGGATTTTCAGGTTTATTGGTAGTTTTGTAATAAGAGTGAATCAGCAGAATTTAGGGCTAGCAAAGTGAGTTACCCTACTGTAGAAACATGTGAGCTGAAACCATGCTGTTTTCTTTTGGGTTTAGACAACATATTTACAAAATAAAAATAAAAAAAATACTAGCAAAGAAAAAACATGAGTATTATCAATACTGTTAATTTACAAAAAAAAAACACTCTTTTAAACCTTCTGAAAATGTGATTACTTAAGGATTTTGGTAACATGTCCTTGGATTACACCTAGTTATTTTTAATATTATGTAGTAATTCTGTGTGCATGCATGCATATTTATAACACTTGGAATTCAAAAATGATAAACAGAGAACTTGAATATTATCCTAATGGAGATTAGTGATAGAACTAAAACCAATTACATAAGTAAACAGTAGGGAAAAGATTTTAAAAAGTAGTTATTTTTCAAGATTGAAGTTATTTTGTAAATTGAGTTCTAGAATCATACTTAAATAATTATTACAGTGTATATTTTTATGTTAAAACTTTAAATGTGTCATATATATATATATCTTAAATAAAAGTTGCAAGTGAATCCAACTTAGATTTTGAAAATGATGCTAATAGAATTTTATGTAGTGTTTTAAGCTTGTTTTTTACGTCTGCAGGAAACACTTGAATTTATTAATTGATATTTTGAGCAGCAAAGTTGATGTTCTAAACACTCTTAAAAATACAAACATAAAAAAGAAATTAAATGAGAAAAAATGTTGATATAAAAGCAAGTCTGGAGTCTACATCTAATGAGTCTACATCTGAGAATAAAGTAAGGAGAAGAGGCAGGAATCTTGTTCTTAAACCTGTATATGGCAGAAGAATCTATTCCCTCAAGCTGGTGACACACGTAGTAGGTTCTCTGCTATATGAATAAGCAACATGATGCAGTCACTCACCCAACCATGATCCTTACCTGCACTTGATCTTTACTATATGAAACTTCAAGGTTGGAATACAGCATCTATACTTTTTCTTTCCACTTGCTTCCACTTTCCTCTAGGCTTGTTCTCTGCAAGGCAACATTCTAGTCTCTTTATAATAGATTCTATCATTAAACCCTCAAAACTATTCTATTGCACATCTAATATTATCCTCTTCATTTTATAGAGATGAAAATCAAAGCTTAAATTACTCATTCAGTCACAAAAAATGACAAAAATGAAATTTAAAACTCATTTCCAAATCCACTTTCTATTTTTTATATAAGAGCAGCTTAGGATGTACTAGTAAATCTCCGTAATACCAAAAACAATGCAATTTACCTTTGTTTTCTTTACTTAAGAATCTGTGATTCTGCTTCAGGTGTTCCTATGAGCCAGCTTTACAGAATCTAAACTGGCAAATTAATTAATTAAAAGTTTTTTATAAGTCCCTAGCTCCTTATTTACTCCCCCCTTACCTATCCATAACTGATACTTGCTCTACCCCAAGCACTGTGGTTTAATTTTTACTCTTCTTTTTTTGCCCAACCATATCCTCAATTCAAGAGCTGAAAATCAATATCAGACAATACAAATGACCGATATAAGCTTGTAGTCTTAAATTTGCAGGAAATATTTACATTTAAAAAAAAACTTCGAAGCCACAAGACAATGACTTTGTAGGGGAATCACTCATCAAGCTTTGAATAGAAAAAATGCTTCAGGTTGAGTAACAGCAGTCCCCTCAGACAGTCCAGAACTGACACAATTCAAAAAAGTAATCAGATTTTCTGCCTAAATTAAAACAACAATTAAAACTGGGTTACTCCTTCGGGTACATCAACATTCTGATAAAAACATGTCAGCTAGACTGAAAGTATGTCAAATCCAAAACATGTAGCTAATTCAAAAATAAATGTGAAATAACCTCACCAAAATGATAACTAAACTGAATACTCAAGGAATATATTAATAGGGTTTTTTTTTTCATTTTTATGTTCATTAAGGAATCCAATTTTAATACGGGTAACTATCTGGAATTGTCTTTCTATTAACAATACAATATAATACAATACACAATTCTACCATATTTATGTAAGGAAACATAACAAAAAATAGTGACTAAAGTAGTCCATTTCAATACCAAATGAAAACTAAACTTTAAGAATGTTAAATATTTTAAAAATTATTCTATAAAGTCTAAAGATGTAGAGGTCAAAATTGTAAGCATGGATGATACAAAGCAACATGACAGTGTGATACTACACCCAAGTTCAAATGGCTATTGGTGATGTAAGATAATCTTTATCATCTAAATTCACAGAATGGTTAGATTCAAACCCTAAAGCAATAAAAACATGATAATGCAAAGATAAATGTATGTCATTGTTAATCACAAAAACTTTGTAAATATGAATATGTTGAATTAATTTTCTTTGCAATTTGTAATTAAATTAATGATATTTCTCAAATCAGATTATGATATAGAGGAAAAGAAACATGGGAATTCTCCTTTTTTGTTAATTGTCTGTCAATTCTTGGGTTGTTTCACTAAAGTTAAATAACTCCTCCAGCATAATTTCCACCAATTGGACTACTCTATTTCAATGGAACCTAGTACATTTTTTTCCAGCTGACTGGCATTCGATTGAACACAAAAGCTAATTCTATAACTAGCACCAGCAAATCTTACCTATACTGCTCACCTCACGTTTAATCTCAAGGTAGCAATAAGAAGTTAAAATGTTTCACTGTTCCCAATTACTATGTATTTACACGGTCTTTGCATTCTAAAAAATAATGTTAGGTGCCCAACATGATATTTGTGACTTTCTTAAATGTCAAATAGCAATATTAAATAAAGTAGCCTTCACATTATGCCAGGCCTCCCAATTGAGTTTTTTCTAATGACACATTGATGAGGCTGTTATCGTTATTCCTACTAACTCCCAGTTTTCTGAAGTCATATACAGAATATTTCACACTCCAATCATTCACAGCATTACTGCAACAGGAAGATTACAGGAATACTGCTTTATGCTGTCTAACCAGTAATTAAACCTCTCTTAAAATGAATAGTGCATTTTTAATAGTTTCTCTGGAGGTTGCATGAACAACATATGTTCTTTTAAGCAAGAGTTCATCTTTCATCAACACCTAAATTCACACCAAGGCTCAGTGGCTCTTTGCAGTTGGACGCCTGCACATTATATCATCCATCATCCTGGCACAGCCGCAGTCATGGAACAGAGGCATTAACCTGTCTCAGTGTGATTCAGAAAGAAATATGGTTTTCAAAGAAGCCTCAGTTTGGTTACCAGATCAGAGCTATAAAGTGTGTGAGGTATGTGCATGTGTGTGTATGCAAATATGTGTCAAACCGAGATTTAAAATTCACACTTGAAAAAAAAAAAATCACAGACTGTCTAAAAAATAGCTTCAAGCAGAGGTGAATATTTAAGCAACAAAGTTTACCAACAAAGCTAATTCCTTATATCATATTTTATTCTTCTTTTGCTTAGCACGTTTCTATTCACCTGTGATCACTGAGCTAATTTCTAAGTTTATATACAAACAAGGAAAATGGTCTCACAGACTTAGTAATAATAGTTCAAAAGATACAGGCAGCCTAAGGTGTGCATGCAACACAGAACACCATCCCTAGGGGATGCAAAGAAAATATATATTGTTATTCCAGCCCAGATCATGGTGACCTTCTGTTCTATAACAGTCTGTTTACTGATATCCTGAATAAGGTTGTCAGTAAATCCAGTTTGAAATATTTTAACTAGCATAAGTTTTACACAGAGGTCTGAGAATTATTAATTTCTGGGACCTGTACATTGATTTATAAAGAAACTATTTGGTTACAATCCTGGTCCTAACACCTTCTAACTATGTGGCCTTGAACAATTTACTGAAGTTTTCTGTGCCTCTGTTTTACCCTCTTTAAACTAGGAATAATATCTGCACCTACATCATGGAGCTATTGACAGTATTAAATTGTTTTCTTCCTTTGCCATAAAACATACACAATCCATCAAACATAACAAATGGGAAGCAAAAGTAACTTCAGTGGGTTATTTCATGTGATAGTAGTAACCAATCATTTTCCACTGCTGATCAACGGACCCATGCATTTTGTGTATGGGAAGGTGTTTTGGGTTGAGTTTTCCCCCAACAGAATATGTTGAAGTCCTAAACCCTAGTATCTCAGAATTTAACCATATTTGGAAATAGGATATTTTTAGATGTTATTAATTAAGATGAGGTCATATAGGAGTAGGGTGGCCCTTAAGTCAATATGACTGGTGTTCTTACAAGAAGAGAAGAGACACATAGGAAAGATAGGAATATGAAGATGAAGCTGAAACTAAAGTTGTGTTGCTACTACCCAAGAAATGTCTGGAGCTACTATTTTTTTTTTTTTTTTGAGATGGAGTCTGGCTCTGTTGCCCAGGCTAGAGTGCAGTGTCGTGATCTCAGCTCACTGGCTCACTGCAAGCTCCACCTCCCGGGTTCATGCCATTCTCCTGCCTCAGCCTCCCTAGGAGCTGGGACTACAGGCACCCACAACTGTGCCCGGCTAATTTTTTTTTTTTTGTATTTTTAGTAGAGATGGGGTTTCACCATGTTAGTCAGGATGGTCTCGATCTCCTGACATCGTGATCCACCCTCCTCAGCCTCCCAAAGTGCTGGGATTACAGGTGTGAGCCACCACGCCCAGCCTGGAGCTACTATTACTGGATCACTAGTCTCATTTACCTGCTGTGTGGTAACAGACCAAGGTACTGAAACAGCAGGAGTTACAACAGGAAAAGAGTTTAATAATCATCAGGCAGCCTAATGGACGAAGAGGTAAGAAGTACTCTTAAACCCGTCTCCCTGAGGGGTTCTAGGCTAGAGCCTATAAGGGAATTGTGGCAGGCAAAGGGCTGGAAGATTGGGTTCACTGATTGCTCAGAATAAGGGGGTAAAGTTACACTCTTATTGGGGTAATGTGGAAACTGCATTCTTCACTTGAGTCATTTCCTCAGTGGGAGCTCTCAGACTAGTTGGCAATGGTAGTTTTGCTGGAATGTGAGATCTGAGAAGCATCTTAAATGGAAAACTTGAGATTTCTCAACGTAAAAGATGTTTTCTGTGGGAACAATTAAGGGAAGTTAGTGCCTTGTGACCTGGTCTACTTGACTTATGGGCAAAAAGCAACTGTAAGGAAGTGAACCAAAGGGCAGGCTGGTTAAAAGTTAATGCCAAGCCATAACTCTATTCTACACTTATACTTTTGTCAAAAACACCTGGCAATGGATTATATTAACTTTATGAGGATGTTTTCACTACTGGAAGCTAAATGAAGAAAAGAGTGATCCTAACCTAGAGGATTTAGAAGGAGCTTGGCCTTGCCAACACCTTGAGTTTGGACTTCTAAGCTTCCAAAACTGTGAGATAATAAATTTCTGTTGGGTTAAACCATCCGGTTTCTGTTACTTTGTTACAGCAGTCCCAGCAAACTAATCCAGATTTGCCATCTATTTACTAAATCTTAGTTGCAGAGCAATGTCTTCTAATGTGAAGATGGGGTCAAATTGCTAGTATTTTATTAGTCTATTTGCGTTTTTCACATCCTCTTCAAACAGTTTTCTCAGAACATTATAAAATTAGCAAAGACATTAATATATTTTAGGAAGAATTTTAGATAATTTTTAAATTAAAATAATACATATATAATACATACATATATGTATCAGGGGAACCAGCCCCCAATATGTCAATGTAGGTTCCTTTCTATTTTCCCTAAGTGTTGGCTGGTCTGAGAAATAAAGAGAAAGAGTACAAAGAGAGAAATTTTACAGCTGGGCCTCCAGGTGTGACAACACATATTGGCAGGTTCTGTGATGCCCCTTGAGCTGCAAAACAAGCAAGTTTTTATTAGGGATTTGAAAAGGGGAGGAGGGTACAAACAGGGAGTAAGTCACAAAGATCACATGCTTGAAAGGGCAATAAAAGATTACAAGGGCAGAGAGGCAGAACAAGATCACAAGGCCAGGGTGAAATTAGAATTACTGAGGAGGTTCCATGTCCCACTGGGCACGCATTGTCATTGATAAACATCTTAATAGGAAACAGGGTTTGAGAGTAGACAACCGGTTTGACTAGAATTGGCCAGGCTGGAATTTCCTAATCCTAGCAAGCCTGAGGGTGCTGCAGGAGACCAGGGAATATTTCATCCCTTATTTTCAACTGCATAAGACAGACACTCCCAGAGTGGCCATTTGGAGACCTCCCCCTGGGAATGCATTCCTTTCCCAGGGTTATTCCTTGCTGGGAAAAGAATTCAGCGATATTTCTCCTACTTGCAGAAGAGAACAGAAGAGAAATATGACTCTGTTCTGCCCAGCCCCGCAGGCAGTCAGACTTTATGGTTATCTCCCTTGTTCCCTGCAAATTGCTGTTACCCTGTTCCTTTTTAGGATGCCCAGATTTCATATTGTTCAAACACACCTGTTTTACAATTTGTGCAGTTAACGCAATCATTACAGGGTTCTGAGGCAACATACATCCTCAGTTTACGAAGATGATGGGATTAAGAGATTAAAGTAAAGATGCATAGGAAATTATAAGAGTATTGATTGGGAAAGTGATGAATATCCATGAAATCTTCACAATTTATGGTGAGATATTGCAGTAAAGACAGGCGTAAGAAATTATAAAAGTATTAATTTGGGGAACTAATACATGTCCATGAAATCTTCACAATTTATGTTCTTCTGCTGCGGCTTCAGCCGGTCCCTCAGTTTGGGGTCCCTGACTTCCCGCAACATATATGTATACATTATTTTAATTAGAAATATATTATTGTACATTTTTAATTAAAATAATTAAAAGTAAAATACTGAAAATGTATTTTTAATTATTTTATATATAATTATATATATATAAATTATGAGTAAGACTATGGTCTTTCTCATTTATAATGTATTATTTAATGTTTTGTTTTATTTTTACCTCTTTTTTGTCTTAGCTTTTTTTATATTTTGTTAGTTTATTGAACTTCTCAAAAGTCTTTAGTATAGTTTGATCTAGTACTTTGTTTCTAAAGCTTTTTGGTCTTTATTGAGGTAGAGTTTATTTACAAAAAATACATTTTAAATTAAAGTATAGTGACTTTAGTTACATATTTACATATCTATTTCAAAAATTCAGAATTTTAATGAAATTTTATCTTTAGAAATCCAAGTGCATAAATGTTGTAAATTGTGAGCATTTCCTAAATATTATTTATATTATAGCACTGA
Organism: Homo sapiens; assembly: GCF_000001405.40. Lineage (NCBI taxonomy): Eukaryota > Metazoa > Chordata > Mammalia > Primates > Hominidae > Homo > Homo sapiens. The sequence goes on along the minus strand of NC_000001.11, from coordinate 102,496,908 downwards.
TATTTTATATCCATCAAATATTAGTCCCAGTAATATTTCAAACAGCATAGCTTATCTTCAATATATTTAATGGCTGGTTGATTAATTTATAGTATAAATTTTTAACAAACAATAGTAAATGTAAGGATTTGTTTGTTTGTTTGCTTGTTTTGAGAAGGAGTTTCACTCTTGTTGCCCAGGCTGGAGTGCAATGGTGCAGTCTCAGCTCACTGAAACCTCTGCCTCCCAGGTTCAAGCAATTCTCCTTCCTCAGCCTTCCGAGTAGCTGGGATTACAAGCACCTGCCGCCATGCTCAGCTAGTTTTTGTATTTTTAGTAAAGATGGGGTTTCACCATGTTGGTCAGGCTGGTCTCAAACTGCTGACCTCAGGTGATCTACCTGCCTCGGCCTCCCAAAGTGCTGGAATTACAGGTGTGAGCCACCGTGACTGGCCTAAATGTAAGTTTTTAAAGTATGATTAGGTTAGAAATGTTAATCTTACAGAGAATTCTATGTAATTTTAAGATGTACTGACTTCTTTATTAAAATCATTTAAAAAAATGAAGTTCAGAACTAATGAGCAAAGGAATGAATTTAATAACAAAAGGGAACTATGGTTACAGAACTTAATTAAATAGCATTGCTTGAGAAAAATCATATTTGTTTTGTATTAGTACCAAAGAAAGTAATAGAACTCATCTGTTCTGTGTTGATGGTATTTTATTCTGAAGATTTAATTCACTTGCTAAAAGTGAATTTAAAATATTTATGTCATATATTTTCTTCTAAACAAATCACTTAAACTTAAAAATGTCAATTAACAGCTTTTTGTTAGCAATAACTAGAGCCATACTATAAGTAATTAATATGTTATGCTATAATTTTTAAACATTTAATGATAAAGGAAATAATATCTATTCATTTGTTGAAAATATAGTTTTGCCATTTTAAATAAATTTATTGATCAACAATTAACAGAGTACATGACACATTATTAAATTGTATAATTTGATAAATTTAGAGTTATGTATAAACCTGTGAAACCATCACCATTGTCAAGATAATGAACATATACATCACCCTATTTATTTTTGCTTTAAAATCATATTGAAGAGATGCCACTATTTAAAAAAAAATCATACTCTCATATATAACCAAGTCATTAGACATTTTCAGTCCTCTTTATTAGTTCGTGTAAACACAGTTTTGAAGCAGCCTCATTGTCTGAAGTATTATCTAGAGTTCATTGTCTCACGATCAAGGAAAATAAGGAGAATGACACCAAGGGTGAGTTTGGAGCAAAAGTTTAATAAGCAAAAGAGGAAATCTCTCCACAGCGGAAAGGGGGCCCAAAAGAAGGGTGTCAACTATGAGGCTGAATCAGGGGTTTTTATGGACTGAAAAAAGGAGGAATGTGCTGACTGGTCTGCAGGCCATTTTGGACAAACCACCACTAAGAAAGAGGTATGAGAATGTGAAGAACCAATTGGAGGCCGAGGTGAATGCTAGGCCTGGGAACTTGGCCCAGGACCAATCAGGGGCTGAAGTAATAATTCACCGTATGTAAATGAAGCCTTAGCCAGCACCGATTATAGAAAGATACGCATATGTTAAAATTTGAAAAGTAAAAGATCAGTAGGTGAAAGGTAAAAGATTAAGGTGTGCCAAGGAGAGATAAATGTATCCAAGAAAGGGTGGAATTTGTTCATCTGGGTTCAAATACTAAGTGTTTCCATTCAAGGACATGGGCTCTTTCTTATTTGGGGCCTGCATTTTGATTTTCAGCCTGTTCTTTGTTTGGAGGAATTTTGCCAAGGACCTACCCTAACCACCTACCTGATAAGTTTTTTATTTTCTTCTCTCTCAGTTTGATCTGGTATAATTTTCTTCTTATTGAAAAGTTTTAGTTAACATTTCTTATACTGTAGGTCTGATGGTCATGAACTCTGTAAGCCTGCGCATCTGAAAACTTTTTTTATTCCACTTTTTCTTCTCACAGTGCCTTAAAGATTTTGTTCTACTCTCTGTTAGATGACATTGTTTTCTATGAGAAATCTGCTGTTATCCTTATCTCTATTTACCTGTAATTAATTTACATTTTATCTGTCTCATCTATATATTTTCTTTTTAAATCATTAACTTTGAGCAGTTTAAGTAGAATGTGCCTTATTGTAGTTTCCCTTATGTTTTTTTGTATTTCAATTTAATTGACCTTCTTAGGTCTGTGAATCTGTAATTTTTATCAAATGGTGAAAACTTTCAGCATATTTCTTCAAATGTTTTTGTACCTCCCTGTACTTTCATGGACTATATGTTTGTGTGTGTGTCTGTGTGTGTATATATATATATACACAAACACACATGATATATGCACACACATGATATATATGTACATGTGTGCATATGTATATACACACACAATATATATGTGTATATATACACACATATGTGTGTGTATATAATAGATGATATATAAAGTGTGTATATATGATATATAATATGTATAATGTGTGTGTATATATACGTATATACACACATATATATACACATATATAATATATCTTATGTATGATATATATATACACACACACGTACGTGTGTGTGTATTTGGTTACTATTAACAGTCCATTGATACCCTGTTTATTTTTTTCTATCATTTTCTTTCTGTGTTTCATTTTACAATTTCTATTCTGATGTCTTGAAGTTGCTAAGTTTTCCTTCCGCAATACCTAATCTGATGTCAGTCCTGTCTGGTATATTTTTCATCTTAGGCATTATGTGTTTTTCTCTCTTAAAGTTTAATTTAGGTTCTTTTTTGATATCTTTCATGTCTTAATGTAACAGGTTAACTCTTTATTATAGCTTCTTGGATATTTGAAAGATAATCAGCTAAGAACTGAAATGTGTCACTCCAAAATACATATTTTATAGGCCTAACCCCTAATGTGACTATATTTGAAGATAGAGTTATTTTGGAAGTAATTAAGATTAAATAAGGTTTCAAGGACACAGTCATGATTTCACAGGATTTTTGTCCTTTTAGGAGGAGGAAAAAAGACGAGAGCTCTTTCTACAAACACACATACACACACACACACACACACACACACACACAATGAGGAAATGACATATGAGGACATAGCAAGAAGGCAGCCGTCTGCAACCCAGAAAGAGAGCCTTCACCAGAACACCAGACACACCAAGTGTGCTGTCACCCTGTTATTGGAGTACCAGCTTCAAGAACTGTGAGAAAATATTTTTTTGCTATTTAAGCCACCCAGTCTATGGAATTTTATTATGATGGCCTAAGCAGTCATAGTTATAAGACACAGTTATAATCATAGTTTTAATTAATATCCTTGTTATCATCTACCCAATTTCTGGGTAAGTTTTGATTGAATTATTATTCCTTTCCCCATCATTACAGGTTGCATTTTTCCACTTATTTTCATGCCTAGTTAGTTTTTGATTGACTACTAGACATCGTGAATTTTACCACCAGAATGCTGGATATTTTTAGGTTTTTTACATTTGTTCTGAGATATGGTTATTTGGAAAAAAGTTTAATTTGTTTATTTCTTTCTTTTGTTAAGCAAAATTGAATTGTATTTACTCTAGGGTTTTTTTCCCTTACAACTAAACAGCATTCCTTATTTCCTTCCTTCCTTCCTTCCTTTCTTCTTCCTTTCTTTCTTTCTTATTTTCAACTTTTATTTTAGACTCAGGGGTTACATATGCAAGTTTGTTATCTGGATATATTGTGTGATGCTGAATTTTGGGGTACAAATAATCCTATCACCCAGGTACTGAGTATAGTACCCAATGGTTAGTTTTGAACCCCTGACCTCTCCTTCTCATCCCCCTCTAGTAGTCTCCAGTTTCTATTGTTGATATCTTTATGTCCATGACTATCCGATGTTCAGCTCCCACTTATAAGTTAGAACATGTGGTATTTGGTTTTCTATTCCTGTGTTAATTTTCTTAGGATAATGGCCTCCAGCTGCTTCCATGTTGTTGCAAGGGACATCATTTTATTCTTTTATATGGCTGCGTAGTATTCATTGGTATATATGTATCACATTTTCTTTCTCCAATCCCCTGTTGATGGGCACCTAGTTGATTCCATGTCTTTGCTATTGTGAATAGTGCTGCAATTAATATGCAAGTGCATGTATCTTTTTGTTAGAATGATTTGCTTTCCTTTGGATATATACCCAGTAATGGGATGCTGGGTGGAATGGTAGTTCTAACTTATTTGAGGAATCTCCAAACTGCTTTCCACAATGAAAACAAATTTACATTCCCACCACTGTATATAAGTGTTCCTTTTTTTCCACAGCTTTACAAGCATACATAGTTTATTGACATTTTAATAATTGCCATTTTGGCTGATAGGAAATATCTCATTGTGTTTTGATTTATATATCTCTGATAATATCAATATGGAACATTTTTCATATGTTTGTTGGATGCTTGTATGTCTTATTTGAGGAGCATCTGTTTATATATTTTGCCTACTTATTAATAGGATTTTTTGGGGTTTTCTGATGATTTTGTAAAGTTTCTTATAGATTCTGGATATTAGACCTTTGTTGGATGCATAGTTTGTAAGTATTTTCTCTCATTCTGTAAGCTGTCTGTTTACTCTGTTGAGATAAGCAGCACTTTCAAAGTATTTTAACTATTTCCCCCTGATTAGTACTCAACGGATCAGTAGCATGTGATAGTTAGTACTAAACTGAGTCCTCTGAATGTAAAATACTCTTCTCTCTGTGGTTCTGCCTGGTAAGCTCTAGGCATCTTGTCTTTCCCAGTCTTCCAGATCTATCGCTGAAGTGCTTTTATAGCATTTCAGCATTCTTTATTAGTTTTCTCTTGAGTTATTTCTGAGGTTTATAGTTGTGTCTAGTGAAGAGAATCAAAGAGGAATAAGTCTATGCCGTCTATTCTGACTGGAATTAAAAATTAACCTTTAAAGTCAATTCAGGTTAAGCACAGCACAAAAGCATATCACTTGCTAAATGGTATTTGATGAATGACTATTTGTGTTGCTTCTGAAAGTAATAAAGCAGACACAATGATATATTTCAAGAGTCAGATACACAAGCAAAAGTGGAAAGATGAATAATAGAAACAGGTATTTCTATAAACACAAACGTATGCAGTAACAATGTACAGCAGAAAGGTAATTTACCTACTGTTCAACCTTGTAATAGAATCTTGGGACCTCCCAATCTCACTCCACAAAGAAATCATCATACTTAGGTTTCTTAGCCCCCTAAAAATTTTCTCAAATCTTCGAAGAACAATATACAACTCAGAATTGCAAAATGCATAGGTTTTAAAGTAGAAATGTTTATTCATTGCATGAATAAACTTTGCCATAATTATCTTATCAAGTAGAAAAAATATTTATTTATTTTTATTCCTATTTGGTTAGTTTTCTAGAAAACAGAGTTATTCTCTTTCAAAACAAGACTGATTTTGTAGACTCAAAATATCAATATATTAGGTCAAATGTTGATTTTCTTTATCCTGAGCTATAGGCGCTTTCTTCTAGCTTTGACTCTAAGAAATCCAGAATAAATCTCTATTAAATTCAGGTCATAACCAAAGCTTTGCTACTTGATAAAACAAGAAAAATGACCACAAACTTAATACCTTCAAGCGTTCATTATTTACTCTTACTTTACTACAATTAGAACTTTTGCTAGAATTATAGTTTAGGGTTAGAAGCAATAGAATGTTCAAGGATGTTTCTGCTTGTTTGAAGCTGCAAATACATTTGTAAAATAAAACAAGTAAAGCTGGTGATCCATGATCTTAAACGAATAGAAAGTTTGTGAGATTAATATCAACATTGTCAAATTTTTCTAAATAGAGTAATGAGAGTAAGAAAGCCAGAAAGTAATATTGAGTTTTTGAAGGACAAATGTGTATATATATTTTAACAATTAGAACACTGTTTATTTCATGTCAGGGCTTCTTTGTGAAGTAGTTGAGCTTAGATAAAATAAATAACTAAATGATGAGCTTCCTTCAGTGGAATTTGCTTAAGTACACTCTAAAGTACTTATTCAAAAATACTATGTTACATGGCAAGACATCTATTTAAAACTGGCATCTGAGAACATTGTACATGAATAAATACGCTAACTCATAAGAAACTCTCACTTTTCTTGATGTGAAAGTGAACATTTGGTTCAGTGAACAAGATTTCTTTAAAATTTTCTAAATTCCTGATTTAGAGTGAGCAACAAGTAGAAAAATCAAGCAGGCTCTTGTGTTTCTACATTGTAGTTTTAAGTTGTGAAGTATTTCTTTCACGTCAAGGGTCATAACATAGAAATTCACATAAAGCAATGAGTGAAGCATCAGTGTAAGTATTTCTTGTTATTGAATAGAAATATGCTGAAAAGTTTGTTGGAGCAGAGTAAATTATCAAGAGTTTTGCAGAAATTATTATTGCTGCCTTTGCTGACTTTTGATAACCCATCAAGTCTATCTTTCTCATACAATGTACTATTTATGTATGCCACCTTTTTATGTTGTAAAAAAGAAAGATAGATCACCCATAAGGTTTGCGTGTGTATGTGTGTGTGTGTGTATTTATATGATAGTGTTATTTTTTACAAAAAGACATTATTAAAGGTACATTATGTATAATTACATTACTTCTATGTGTGGAAGATAGACTCTAAAGTCTAATTTTTGTCTCCTGATGTGTGTGTAATCCCCCCTTGTGTGATGGCTAAACCAGTGTCTTGCTCTTAACTAGAATATGGCATATGGCAAAGGTGATGGGTTGTCACTCTCAGTATCACATTTCTGTATGTGTAATCTATCTTCCTGGCAACTCCCATTCTCTTCTGTGATCTAAAATTTATAAGAGGCCATTGTTTTGGACTGAGCTTCTGCATTAGGCATAACAGACCAAACCAAAATTGAGTCATACATGTTAAGTGCCATGTAATCAAACTGTAATTTAAAATTACAGAAAAAACCCCAAAACATGCCAGTTTTTTCAAAAACCAGAAGCTTCACAGCAACCAAACAGGGCCCAGTAAACCTGAGCTAGTATCATAAGAAAGTCCCCCCTGTTATAACCTTTATAAAGAGAGTGACCTGAAGTAAGCTGATATTAACCAATCTGTCTTTTTGCATTATGCTGTTTTCTTGTTTCTGCTCAAACAACCTTAAAAACTCTACTGCACTACCATGGCCCCCAAAACTTTTATAAATGGGATGCTGACCAATTCATAAATCAAAAACAAATGTCAATTTGACCTTTAAAATAAATTTATCAAAATTTTGTTTTGAAACACTCCTTCATTCCTTTGTAGAACTCATTTAATTTATTTAACAACCTAAAATCACAACTAAAAGAACTAGAGAACCAAGAGCAAACAAGTCCCAAAGCTAGTAGGAGACAAGAAATAACCAAAAAAAGAGCTGAATTGAAGGAAATCAAGACATAACAAACCACTCAAAAGATCGATGAATCCAGGAGTTGGTTTTTTGTTGGCTTTAAAGAGATGAGATGTAATAAATTTTCCATCTTTAAGTGTTCATGTGGTAAGAACAGAAAGCAGCCTCTAGGACCTTATGATGACTTGAGAAAAAGCAAAGCAGAAGCCCTCAGTCCAGCAACTGCAAGGACATGAATTTTGTCAACAACCTCTGATAACCAAGCAGCCTGAAACAAAAGCTAAATTGCCATAATTATTTATTATTGGCTTATTTTATGTATCTCTTTTTCTGTTTTTTGAACACATTAGTCACAATTATTTAAAAGTTATTGTTGGATAAATCTCATATCTGGGTTGTTTATAATCTTTTTATATTTACTCTTTTCTTGGATTTTATGTCATATAGTCCAGTATCTTGGAATGTGGACTAATCTCTTTTAAAACATGAAATATTATTCCCATTGCATAGGCTCCAGATGATTTTATTATTTCCTAGACAGAGTTAATCATTTTTCTACTAAGCAGAGAGAGACACAGGAGTGAATTACTTTAATTTAAACATGGTCTGAGCTGAGTCAAGCTCAGAATAGTAGTAAACCCATTCTACCTTTTAGAAGATTCTGCTCCCAAGATTTGGCTCTCCATGGCTTTAGAAAGAATTATGGTCTCAGTGGTCACCCAAAGTCCTTCCCCTGTGAGGACTTTAACATCAATTTTTATCGTTTTAGCACCACAAGCCAACTGGGAACTCCATTCTGCTTTAAGATGTTTTCTGCTCCGTGTTAGGCATCTACTCTATTTAACATCAAAATTAGAAAACATACCAATAGAAAAAAAAACACATAGGTTTTAATTCTCCCAAGTTTACAGTTTTGTATGTCCAAACTCTGCTGGAGACTATTAAAGCCTTTGCTGTTTTCTTTGTAATTCTGGGAATAACCTTTGTTTTGGTAAATTCTGCATTGAAGATACCTGGGTTCTCATTCTCCTGTTTTGTACCTAGAGAAAAAAGTTCCCCAGGGGAAATTGTCTACTGTCAGTTCACCTCTGCATGGCTCTTCCCTCTTCAGATTCATGGCCCATCTATTTTTTATGTCATATAATCTCTCCAATGCCTTTGAAGAGATAATTTCTATATTTCCTTATTTTTTTTAGTTTTCTCAGTAGGTTCATTGGCCTCCTGTAAGCTACTTCCACTCGCCTAAAAGCAAAATCCCTTCCGCATTTATTTTCATTTTCTAACACAAGTGATAGATAAATAAATAAATAGTTTTTGTAAGCATCAATGTTTGGAAAGCTTATTTTCTTTAATGCTTTTGGACTTTAGTGCTTTCTTTAATGCCGATGCACTTTTAATAAAGGCATTAAAATGATACCTTTTATTGTTATTTAGAGATTCTTTAACAAGTTTGTGGATGCTTACAGATTGTCTTACAAAACATTTAAGTATGTCTTCAGCCTTGCCTAGCTTTATTATTTATATTCCTGAAAAAAATTACAAAGCAATTTATCCTATAAGTGTCATCTGCATAAATTACTAAGACACACTGACAATATACTGATATTTATCTTTTTAAAAATTTTTAATTTTTGTGGGTACATAGTAGGTCTATAGGTTTATAAAGTATATGAGATATTTTGATACAGGCATGCAATGAGTTTTGTACCCTCATGTGATTGCTTTTTATTCATTAATATTATATTCTTTATGATTGAAGTACTCCCTTTAGAATATCTTGTAAGGTAAGTCTGGTGTTGATGAAGTCCCTCAGTATTTTTTGTTTGTTTGTTTGTTTGTTTTTTGTCTGGGAAAGTTTTCATTTCTCTTTTATGTTTGAAGATTATTATTGCTGGATATACTATTCAAGGGTAAAAGTGTTCCTTTGTTTCATTTTGTTTTGTTTTTCAGCACTTTAAATATGTCATGGCAATATCTTCTGGTCTGTATGGTTTCCACTGAAAAGTCTGCTCCCAGAGATATTGGAGCTCCATTGTGTTATTAGTTTTTCTTTTTTTTTCCCCTCTTACTGCTTCTAGGATCCTTTTTTTTAATCCTTGATCTTTGAGAGTTTAATTTTTAGATGCCTTGATGTAGTATTCTTCTGGTTAAATATGATTGGTGATCTATAACTATCTTGTACTTTAATATTGATATCTTTCTCTAGGTTTGGGAAGTTTTCTGTTATTTTCCCTTTGAATAAACTTTTTATATCTTTTTCTTTACCTCCTTTTTAAGGTCAATAATTCTTAGATTTGTCCTTTCGAGGGTAGAGCCTAGATCCTATAGGCTTTCTTTAGTTTCTTATTCTTTTTTTCTTTTCTCTTCTCTGACTTTGTATTTTCAAATAGCCTGTCTTCAAGCTCTCTAATTATTTCTTCTGATTGGTCAGTTCTGTTATTAAAACATGCTGATGTATTCTTCAGCATGCCAATTGTATTTTTTATCTCCAGAATTTCTGCTTGATGCTTTTTAATGATATTAGTCTTTTTGTTAAATTTATCTGATAGAATTCTGAATTCCTTTTATGTGTTACCTTGAATTTCTTTGAGTTTCCTTAACACAGCTATTTTGAATTCTCTGTTTGAAAAGTCACATGTTTCTGTTTCTACAGGATTGGTCCCTGGTCATTTATCAGAAGGTAGCAAAGCTAGCCAGTCCTGTGTCCTTCCCTGCAGGGCAGTGACTTTCCCTAACCCCTAAGTGGGTCCAGAGATGCTTTCTAGGAGTCAGAGACTAGGGTCAAGATCTTGTAAGTCTGTCTACCTGGTGTTCTATTGTAGTGTGACTGAGCTGGCACTCAAACCACAAGATGCAGTCTTTCCCACTCTCTCCTACCCTTTACAAAGGCAGAGGAGCCTCACCCCATAGCAACCACCATACAGGCCATGAGGAGTACTGCCAGAGTACCACTACTGTTCTCTTAGTGTCCAAGGGCTCTTAAGTCAGCTTGTGGTGAATACTGCCTGGCCAGGACTCACCATCCAGGGAAGCAGGCTTTCTTCTGGCCCAGTGCTGGTCCAGAGAAGATATCCAAGTGTCAAGTCCTGGAATCAGGGACCCCAAGAGCCCACTTGGTGTTCTACCCCCCTGTAGATGTCCTGGTACCTAAAGTGAAAGACAAAGCCCCTTTACTTTTCCCTCTTCTTTTCTCAAGCAGAAGTTTCACCCCATAGCCAGCACAGCCAGTAATGTGCTGAGTCTCACTCGATGCCAGCAAGTTTCAGAGGCTTATCCAAGGCCCTCAATGTAGTACTTGGGCATCACTGCTAGTTATTCAAGGACCAAGGTCTCCTCAGTTAGTAGGTGATGAATGTTTCCAGACTAGGTCCTTCCATTCTAGAAAGCTGGTTCCCTTCTGGCAGAGGGTACATCTAGAAATGTCATCTGGGAGATAGGGCCTGGAATGGAGGCCTTATGGCTCTGACTAGTACCCTATCCTGCTGTGGCTGAGCTGATAATCAAGATGCCAGATAAAGTCCTCCCCACTCTTTCCTTTCTTCTTCTCAATCAGAATAAAGTGGTCTCTTTTTGTATCCAGGAGTTGTGCAGCCTGAGGTTACGGGAGGGTTGATGCAAGTACACCCTTAGCCACCCAGCTGGTTTCTCAGTAGGTCATGGTGCCCCACAAGTCCACTGTCTCTGGCCCGGTTTAGCACTAGGACTCACCTAAGAGTTGCGATCCTAATGACCTAGGCTGCCTTTCATGTTTTCTTAGAGACCCAGGGCTCCATTACCCATTACCTTCGGCGATAAGTTTTGCAGAAACTCAAGTTCCAAGTGCTGGGACTGGCAATTACCCTCTGGCTAGCGCTGGTTTAAACACTTCCTCTGTGTGTAAGTGCCAGCTGAGTTTGGTCTGATGGCTCTGTCAGGACAGTGCTGACATCATTGCTTCACATCGTTTCTGTTCTCATCCATTGCTCAGAGATTCTCTCTGTACCATATTGCCCCTGACAGGTGGTGGGAGAAGGATGGCATAGGTGATTCAAGACTGTTTTTTCCATCTTTTCCGTGCCTTTTTCAGTGATACAAAGTTAACACTAGATACTATGGTGCTCACCTGATTTTTGGTTCTTGTGAAGGTTTTTTTTTTTTTTTTCTGTGTTGGTAGTTGTTAAATTGGTGTCCTCATGGGGGTTGCGGGACTGTCAGTGGAGCCTTCTATTCTGCCATCTTGTTCTACCTCCTTAGCATTTATCTTTGATGCTCTCCCATGTCCCATATCCTAATTCCTGGAAATTATACTGTTCCTCTTCCTTCATTTAATTATCTGTTTTATTCTTGTAACAATTTTGAGTAGCTTCCCAAAAAAAACTGCGTGATAAAAAATATTTGAAGTTTTATAACTCTACACATCTTCAATCTATCCTCACAAATTGTTGGTATTATGCTGAAATTGTTGTCTAAAAAATAATTATTTTCTCTTATTTTGAAGACATTGTTGTACTGAATTTAATATTCAAATGTCTTTTTTTATTTTTGCTTCTTTCTCTATGGCCTGTTATTTTCTTAAAAAGCTGTTGATATATGTACAATACAGAATTAACTTTGACCAAAGAGAGGTCTGGCCTTTGCCATCAGCTTCTGGGAAGTAATCTCTAAGCCCTTGGAATGTTCTGCCTGACAAGATGTCATTGTAGGCCTGGGGACTTGGGCCACATCAGATGGTCTATCCTAGCATTGTGATTTTCAGTGAGATCTTACCCTCATGCGATATTAACTCGACGTCCAGAAGGGTTGGAAACTAATGTCAGCCAGGCAGGTGACCTGAACCATTTCTTCATAACCAAACCCCTACAAAAGTTCTGCATACCAAAAGTTGGGTGAGCTTCCCTGGTTAACAATACTTCATGGATATATTCCCACATTGTTGCCTTAAAGGAGTTAGCACTGTCCACAACTCCACTGAGAGGCAAAGGCTCTTTGTGAACACTTTGGACTCTGGTCCATGTATCTGCTTCACTTGTCTAATTTTTATCTGTATTCATTCCACGTTATAAACTAACCATTACTATATCAGCATTCTGTGAGTTATATGAGTACATCCATAGATTAAGCAAACCCAAGGCTCATCTTGCGGACTCCCAGATTTGTAATTGGTGTCAGAAGTGAGAGTGGTTCTGGAGACTTCCCTCAAACTCTTCAATATGTAATTTGTTATTATTTCTGGTCTTATATATTTCATCATAATGACTTTTTGTGTTCTTTCCTTTCTATTTATATTTTTTAATGTAAACATTTTTTATTTCTTCTTAATTTTTATAAAATTCAGTTACAAATTTTTGTTTTTGGATTATTTCTTAAAGGAGGCTCTCTTAATGTTCTCTATTACCTTATTATTAACTCTTGGATTATTTCTTTTCTTTTATAAAGTTATCTTTTTTCTCTCATTATTGTCTTTAATTTATTCTCTTTTCTAATTGTCTGCAACTAATATTTCAAATCTCATGTTAATCATATACATTAATTCATATAATTATATTTAATTTATGTATGTATATGTATTTATACATATATTTTCAAAAACATTTGTTCTTGATTATTACTGCTTGTATTCTATTATTTCTTCTCCTATTTCTATAAGCATATAAATAATAGCATGTTTAGCGGTTTTCTTTGTTCCCCATATTAAGTTTTCTCAATTTCTTCAGAGAAGAATCCTTCAAACCTAGTCTCAATGCATTATACAGGGAGTAAGACGAGAGAAGTAAGATAGAAAGAGGTGTGTAACTGTTCAATAATTTTTCTTAATCCCAACATTTTTGGCCAGATACCTTAGGCGTTTCCTCCTGTTTTTCAGGTGTGCTGGTCCAGAGGCTCTGAAGTTTTCCAGAGAATAACACTCCTGTATTTTGTAAGGAGGAGAAATAGTCACTTCTCAAGTGAAAGGGAGGAGGGAATTTGTTGGTCTAACTTTACGTTATACCAAATTCTAATCTAATTTTCCATTTGTCAACCCTAATTCCCTCCTGTTTCCCTGGTACCTGGTACTTTACATCCCTTGGGCTTTTGTGTCCTATAGGGAAACTTACCTAGTTTTCACTCATATTTCCGTCTGAGGGCATTTACATATTTGCATTTTCTGTTCTGCTAAGTAATTTACTTGCTATTTTTACTTTCCGTCTTTCTAAACTTGTCATCTGTTTTCTTCTCTCCATTTTCCTTGCCTGTATGAATTTATACCTTTCAACTGTTGATTTATGATAATTTGGTATAGTTAAAAAGGGAATTCACGTATTTTATTTTTTAAATTGTAATGCTTTGAGAGTAAAAGTAGATATTATTAATATTTAACAAAATCAAACTAGCCAGTAAAACTGTAAGATCCCCTTATATGTGTAGAAAGAAAAACATAGCCATTTATTTGATTTACTGCATTTTAACCTTTGGTCCTTTGCATGGTCTCTAATTCCACAATTTTTCAACAGTAATATAAGTGTATTTGGATTGGTTTAAGCCAATCAATGATTATTTTTTGATGTGTAGAAAGGAATACTTCTTCCTATACTATATAGCTATAGATGGGATTTAGTTTCAATTTGATTTATTCAAACATATCAATGCTAATGATTTCAAAATAGTTGTTTTAATCATATAATATGGTTAGGCTTTGTGTCCCCACCCCAAATTTCATCATGAATTATAATCCTGGTAATCCTCACCTGTCAAGGGAGAGACCAGAGGTAATTGGATCATGGGAGCAGCTTACCACATGCATTTCTCATGATGGTGAGTGAGTTGTCACAAAATCTGATTTTTATATATATATATATATATATATATATATATATATATATATATATATATTTTATTATTATACTTTAAGTTCTAGGGTACATGTGCACAACATGCAGGTTTGTTACATATGTATACATGTGCCATGTTGGTGTGCTGCACGCGTTAACTTGTCATTTACATTAGGTATATCTCCTAATGCTATCCCTCCCCCCTGCCCCCACCGCACAACAGGCCCTGGTGTGTGATGTTCCCCTTCCTGTGTCCAAGTGTTCTCATTGTTCAATTCCCACCTATGAGTGAGAACATGCGGTGTTTAGGTTTTTGTCCTTGCGATAGTTTGCTCAGAGTGATGGTTTCCAGCTTCATCCATGTCCCTAAAGAGGACATGAACTCATCCTTTTTTATGGCTACATAGTATTCCATGGTGTATATGTGCCACATTTTCTTAATCCAGTCTATCATTGTTGGAAATTTGAGTTGGTTCCAAGTCTTTGCTATTGTGAGTAGTGCCACAATAAACTTATGTGTGCATGTGTATTTATAGCAGCATGATTTATATTCCTTTGGGTATATACCCAGTAATGGGATGGCTGAGTCAAATGGTATTTCTAGTTCTAGATCCTTGAGGAATCACCACACTGTCTTCCACAATGGTTGAACTAGTTTACAGTCCCAGCAACAGTGTAAAAGTGTTCCTATTTCTCCACATCCTCTCCAGCACCTGTTGTTTCCTGACTTTTTAATGATCGCCATTCTAACTGGTGTGAGATGGTATGCCATTGTGGTTTTGATTTGCATTTCTCTGATGGCCAGTGATGACGAGTATTTTTTCATGTGTCTGTTGGCTGCATAAATGTCTTCTTTTGAGAAGTGTCTGTTCATATCCTTCACCCACTTTTTGATGGGATTTTTTTTTCTTGTAAATTTGTTTGAGTTCTTTGTGGATTCTGGATATTAGCCCTTTGTCAGATGAGTAGATTGCAAAAATTTTCTCTCATTCAAGCATTCTTATACACCAATAACAGACAAACAGAGAGCCAAATCATGAGTGAACTCCCATTCACGATTGCTTCAAAGAGAATAAAATACCTAGGAATCCAACTTACAAGGGATGTGCAGGACCTCTTCAAGGACAACTACAAACCATTGCTCAATGAAATAAAAGAGGACACGAACAAATGGAAGAACTTTCCATACTCATGGATAGGAAGAATCAATATCATGAAAATGGCCATACTGCCCAAGGTAATTTATAGATTCAATGCCATCCCCATCAAGCTACCAATGACTTTCTTCACAGAATTGGAAAAAACTACTTTAAAGTTCATATGGAAACAAAAAAGAGCCCACATTGCCAAGACGATCCTAAGCCAAAAGAACAAAGTTGGAGGCATCACGTTACCTGACTTCAAACTATACTACAAGGCTACAGTAACCAAAACAGCATGGTACTGGTACCAAAACAGAGATATAGACCAATGGAACAGAACAGAGCCCTCAGTAATAATACCACATATCTACAACTATCTGATCTTTGACAAACCTGACAACAACAAGAAATGGGGAAATGATTCCCTATTTAACAAATGGTGCTGGGAAAACTCGCTAGCCGTATGTAGAAAGCTGAAACTGGATCCCTTCCTAACACCTTATACAAAAATTAATTCAAGATGGATTAAAGACTTAAATGTTAGACCTAAAACCATAAAATCCCTAGAAGAAAACCTAGGCAATACCATTCAAGACATAGGCATGGGCAAGGACTTCATGTCTAAAACACCAAAAGCAATGGCAACAAAAGCCAAAATTGACAAATTGGATCTAATTAAACTAAACAGCTTCTGCACAGCAAAAGAAACTACCATCAGAGTGAACAAAATCTGATATTATTTTAAGGTATTCTTTTCCCTTTGCTCAGCACTTCTCCTTCCTGTTGCCTTTGAAGAAACTGCCTGCTTTTCCTTCACCTTCTGCCATGATTACAGGTTTCCTGAGGCCTTCCCAGCCATGCTGAACTGTGAGTCAATTAAACCTTTTTCTTTTATAAAGGAAGGGTCTTGGGCAGTTCTTTATAGAGGTGTGAAAATGAAGTAATACATGATATTTAAAAATTATCTTTTTTTGCTAATTGAGAAATTGTTAGAAATGCATATTTTGGTATCCAGTAGAGTGTATGAATTTTTCCTTTGACTTAATATCAAATTGTGTTAAAATTTTAATATTAAAATATTTATGTCTTTATGAAAATTGCTCTATTTAACCATGGTAGTGAGTTTTAGAGCTGGAGGACATACTTTGATTTTAATTTGCTCATCTCGTTTCATACTATTTTTGCTACTTTCTTACTAGATTTGTTATATATTTTGCTATATTGTTTAGATTTTCATTTTTCTACTTGTTCTTTTAAATGTGGTTTGGATATTTTATAATTTCTTCATTCTAGTATTTTTTTTTTTTTTTTTTTTTTTTTTTGAGACGGAGTCTCGCTGTCGCCCAGGCTGGAGTGCAGTGGCGCAATCTCGGCTCACTGCAGGCTCCGCCCCCTGGGGTTCACGCCATTCTCCTGCCTCAGCCTCCCGAGTAGCTGGGACTACAGGCGCCCGCCACCTCGCCCGGCTAATTTTTTGTATTTTTAGTAGAGACGGGGTTTCACCGTGTTAGGCAGGATGGTCTCGATCTCCTGACCTCGTGATCCGCCCGCCTCGGCCTCCCAAAGTGCTGGGATTACAGGCGTGAGCCACCGCGCCTGGCCCATTCTAGAATTAAGTGTGTCTTTGAAACCAAATGTTTTCTTCATTGTCTAGAATAAAATAACAATATAAAAGCATATGTTACTTTTTGTCTTTAACACCATACATATTTTTGGAAAACTGTGTAATTTTAGATGCATATTTCCATAATTAATTTGCTTTTAAAAGTTATGTATGTTACTTTAAATAAACTACGTAACTTAACATATGCATTAATTATCACACTACAATGAAGGGTTTAAATATTAACTCTACATTTTACTGGTTTTGATATTCACCACCGTTTCTTTTATACTTAGCATTCCTCATACCTGAGTTCTTTATGTGATTTATTTATCAGAATGCTAGAATATTTGACATTTTTATTTTCCAGAAATATAATACTTTCTAGACCATTGTATCTGTTTCTTTCACAAATTTATATTAGCATAACTGTATATATATACAGTTATTTATCCAGTTATTATATATATACTACTATATATTATACATATATATATTTTTTGCAATTACTGCAGATATATAGTTCT
Source organism: Homo sapiens (assembly GCF_000001405.40). Classification (NCBI taxonomy): domain Eukaryota; kingdom Metazoa; phylum Chordata; class Mammalia; order Primates; family Hominidae; genus Homo; species Homo sapiens. Next base: position 102,479,440 of record NC_000001.11, on the reverse strand, counting down.
GGGATAGGCCCTAATCGTCATCTGTTATACTGATTTTCTGCTCTCCTGAAGGATATATTTACTTTGCAATAGTAACAGTGATAACAAAGTGATGATGGTGTTGTAATGTTAGCATTTGTAAGTAAAGGGAAGTTCATTAGAAATCACCAGAGGGTTGAGACTAGTAAACTTTCCCAGAATTTTTACATATGACCCCTCTTTGGTGTTTGGGGACAAGAAAAGTAATAGTCATAGGTTATTTATTCTGTTACTTTTGCTTATGTAGGAGAAATTGGATGCCAACCTAAAGTTTTGGTGTGTGCAGGGAGGGAAAATTGCATGTTATTTTTGGCTTCTATTGTCTGGTTATAGAAGTTTCACTTTCAATCTGAAAAAATAAACTGTAATATAGCTGTGTTTATAAATGTTGGTTGACAATATGTGGTAATTTTGGACAGTTTTTAGGTTAGAAAAATTTTCTTCTCCAATTCTTTAAGTAATTACTTCTTGTAGGCTTTCATGTTTTTTTCATTTAATCATTCTTATAAATAGCTGAGTTTTGCTGGCTTTCTTCTTTGTATATTTTATCTTTTTGCACATCTTTTTTTTACCTCTCTATGCTTTGTCAATAAAATTCTATTGAATCAATTTTTTAAATTACTGCTTTCTTCTGTATTTAATGTATTTAATATTAATTATTGAAATAGATTCTTTTAAAGATTACATAATATTACTTTAGAAAGAGCTATCTCAAATTTATAATCTTTGGTGACACATCCCTGATTACTCCTGGCATGCTGTATGAATGAAGAATAGAGAGAATGGGATTGTGTCAGCAGGCATTTGCAGAGTGTGCAAGCAATGAGGCAGGTATCGATGGCATTCGCTTTACCACTTATTGAATGCCCCTTATTTTGACATTAGTCTCATCTATTTTTTTTCTGAGTCTATGCTTTTGGTAGTGGTAGTGGTTGAAAAACTGTTTATATGGGGGGAAATATTGTCTAAATTTGCAGTCAGTTTTCCTTTGTCAAGTGATTGCTTAGTAATTTAGTTAAATTTGGACAGCATGTTATAAGAATGTCTAGGCCGGGCGAGGTGGCTCATGCCTGTAATCCCAACACTTTGGGATGCTGAGACAGATGGATCACCTGAGGTCAGGAGTTCGAGACCAGCCTGACCAACATGGAGAAACCCTGTCTCTACTAAAAATACAAAATAGCTGGGCATGGTGGCACATGCCTGTAATCTCAGCTATTCGGAAGGCTGAGGCAGGGGAATTGCTTGAACCGGGGAGGCAGAGGTTGCAGTGAGCCAAGATAACACCACTGCACTCCAGCCTGGACAACAAGAGGGAAACTCTGTCTCAAAAAAAAAAAAAAAAAAAAAATAATAATAATAATAATAATAATAACATAAATAAAAAATTAAAATAAAAAAGAATGTCTAAAAGTTTTTGGCACATTGTCATTCTTCATTTTCTACTCTAGATGAAGCTTCAAGTGCTAGAAGGTAAATCTGCAGGTATAAATAGAAATACTAATATAGAATTATGTAACTTAAAATAACTAAATCTTAGTAAACCTTCCTTCATACAGCTTATTTTGTTTTGATTTGATGTTAAAAGAGAAACCAGGAACAAATACTACTATAAAAAAGAATGGCCATGTCTATTTTACTTATATTTATAAAAAGTCAGAAAATAAAGATATGGCTTTAAAAGAAGAAAAAAATAGTGATTTTTCTGATGAGGATGATTGCTCTAGGGATTATGAAGCACAGATGCTTAATTGATTAATTAATTTCATCAAAATGTATGGTATATGTATGGAACAAAGTAACAAGTACTGAATATATAGAGATAATGTGATTTTCATTATTAATTTTGGCACTGTCCCTTAATGTGTACAATATTGTTCATTGTCATTTAACTTATTCATTTATGTATTCTAAAACTTTAATTAAGATTTTGCCATCTGAAAGTTATAATTAGACTATGTTGCTTAATATTCTTTATCATTTTAACAGCTCATTGCTTTCAGGTGTAAGGTGATTTATTTTTAATACTAACCTGTTAGCACTCCAGTGGCATTCTCTGTGACTTTTACTTTAAACATCACTTGCTTCACTAATAGCAATGAAGCCTTTGCAGATGAAATCAGTATGTCACCTTTTTAATTCCAAGTGGAATGAGATGATTTTTTTCCAAGAAAATCTGTCTTTATTGTAATTTCAAAGATGTCAAATAATTATAACAAATTATCTTATAAAATGTCTTCAATATGTGTCAGTTACTGAGAAATATTAAAAAATTGTACTACTTTAACATAAAATTAAGAAATAAGATTGAGACAGTCACCTGCAGCATAGATTTATCTGATTCTCTAAAGTAATGAATAATGAATTAATATGGAATTGTGCACAATGTCATAGGACAGGAGACACAGTTGGGTATATCAGGACAACTCTATATTTCACTAGTGTGCCATTTTAAGGAGAAATGGGCATATGAATGAATGTTGACTGAAAACAATTCCACAGATAAATAAATTTTATCCTGAAAACTGCATTGGCAAAGCATTACGTGGAAAGTGAATTATGGTTATATAATTTGAATTTAAAGGCATTTATTTTATGGCAAACAAGGTAGAACATTAAAAATTATTGGGATTTTTAAATAAAATCAACACATTCCTAAAGTCTGGCAAATAATCTTGAAAAATTGCAGACTTATGAAAGTTATTTGAAGGATATGTTCACATGTGTATCCTAAAAAAATCACAGGTAGTTGCTGAAATATTTCACTGTATTTGCTTCAATTTTAGGATAGGCAAGGAAATCTTCTTTTAAAAAGTGACACTTGAATATAAACCTGAGTATAAGCTCACTTGTCCGAGCTCAGCAAGTTTAATAAACATGAGAAGTAGTGAGAAAGAGAGAGAAGAGGGAGCAAGATGAGAGTGGTGAGTGAGGCAGGGAGCAATCAGACAGGCTGTATATAGATCATTGTAAGGACTTCGACTTTTACCCTGAGTAAAAGAGAAAGCCATTGGTAGGTTTTGTGCAAAGAGTGACATGATCTGACATATATTCAATAATCATTTTGCAGAGGATTCTTTTTTCTTAGGTTTATGAAACTATCAATTTATACAGTTAAATTTCCAAATGCACATGAGTTCCCAAAATTCCTGATACCAATTATATATCTCAAATTTATATAATCTACCCACAGTTTCTAGGATTTATATAACCAAAAGTATTACATAATTTTTATACAGCACAAAAGATATAGTTTTACAAAAATTATTCTACAAAGATACCTTAATCACAGTTTTTCTTTAATACCGCAGAGCAAAAGTTAAATACCAAATTAGAAAAGCCATTGACTGAGAAGTTTTTACTTACACAAAATGAGGTCTGAGATATCAAGTCAATGCCTTTAAATAAATCCTTTATAATTTATACAAGCTGCCAAGAATTATTATTAACTTTTATTTCACTTTTACTTTTATGACTACTGATTTTTATATACTAAAAGTCTTTTCCTTACCACAAGATGGTGAATATGTATCTTATGCCATTTCCCTAAAATATGTTTATAGTTTCAGCTTGCTTTTAGGTCTGTCTCATTTTAACAGAAGTATATGTGTGTGTGTGTGTGTGTGTGTGTGTGTGTGTGTGTGTGTGTAATGTGAGGCAAGGTTCAAATTCATTTATTCGACAGGTGAATATCCAGTTGTTTCAGCTCCATTTCTTGTAAAAAAAAATATTTCCCCATTAAATTGTTTTAGCACTTTTATTAAAAAGCAATTAATCATGTGTTCATTTATTTATAGGCTCGCTCTTATTTTAACTGTATAAGGAAATATATTTGTATAAATAGAAATAAGAATGTCAAGAAACTTTAAACAAAATTCATTTGGGTGACATAGATTGAAAATATTAATCAATTTTAGTCACATATTCCAATTATTAATACTTAAATACATGCTTTTTATCTTAAACTTATTAAGTTTAAGTATAATGTTAAATGAATAAAAGTTTGAAAGCTTATTTTTAAAACATAATTTTCTCATGGAAGAAGTAAAATAGCCCCTTTGAAAGATCAAATTTTCATTTTCTACCAGTCAACATTTTAAAATTTCTCTCAATATTAATTAGTTTGAAAAGATTAATTCATAATGTTTGTTGAAACACCTGAAGAAAATATTTACCAGGTCATTTTGAAATAAATATGCTCATTTTAATGCAGATTTATGGCTGATTTATCTGAAAAAAATGTTGAAATCAAATTGTCTTCTGTGATCAGTTATTACAGCTGCAAACACATCTATTGAAATCACTTAATATAAATTTGTTCTTAGGGCATTTTTTGTCATTTCTCTATGGCCTTTAAAGATTAGACGTTTTAGGAAATACAGCATCAATCAAACGTGTAAATATATTATACTTAATCATTTTGTATTTATTTTTCACACTGTCAAAACAGTACTTGTTTTTTTATGCTATGTTAATGGACTTTAGATATCATTTTGTATATGTTACAATTATGAGATATGTTTAAACAACTAATGAAATCAGTTTATATCAGTTTATTAGGATATTATTTTCCAAATGCAAATAATTATAGATTTTTTTGAACTGTGATTTTTACACTTTGGAGACATTTTAGCTTCAGTGTCCGAAAGATTTGACATTGTTTTCTGATAGATCTGGCTCAGGCATCATTTGTAAAACATCTATGTTCTAGACACTACCAAAGTTCTGGAAGTACAGTTGTTAAACAAAATACCTCCAAAATGTGGGGAGTAGGCAGAAAACAAGCAATTATGTACATAAAGTAAATTCAGATGGAAATAAAAGCCACACATAAAACGGTGATATGATAGAAAGTAGTTTGGGATGAGGTAAGGTTGCTTTAGATGGACAGTTAGGTAAAAAAATCTTCTGAAAAAATAACATTGAGGAGAGAACAGAATAACAGGAAGAAACTATCCATTAAATAATCTGGGCAAAAATTATTCCAGATAAAGGGAATAATATTTGAAAACACTTAATTAGGGGTAGCTTGGAAGAGTGGGAGTTCATAGAGGAGGAGGCTAGGTGAAGCTCAGTGGGCCAGGGAAAGAAGGCAACAGGTGAGGCTGGAGATTTTTGTGTACTAAAGTATTTTCTTTTTGGGACACATATTCAGAGGCCATGGTAAGTATTTGAATTTAATTCCAAGCTCTGTGAGAAGTTACTGGAAGATTATGTGTAGGGAAGTAAGATGATCTGGTTCATATTATAAAAGATTATTTTAGCTGCAGGAAAAGAAAGTATAGAAGTGCAAGATGAATGCATACACACAAGAGAAACTATTACAGAAGTAAAGACTTTAGATAAAATATTGGTTTATTATAAAATTATTTCAGTGGGGATAGAGAGAGGAAGGAAAATCAAGGACTACACTCTGGTGTTCAAGTAAATAAGACTTACCTAGGATTGGACTTAAAAAGTGAGAGTAAAAAAAAGAAACAAATATAATTGCTAGGGTTTTAACTTGAATAATTCAATGCTTTTGAAAGAGATTAAAAAGGAAACATGATGGGCTGAAAGGTGGAGGTGGTTGGAGAATTAATCTTGCAGCCATTAACATTAATACACTTGTTATATACACTGCCATTGTTGAGGTTGGATGCACAATATTGGAATCACTGGCATCATTCAGTATAAAGCCACAGCGCTGGTTGAGATCCTCAAGAAAGAGTATATTAATAAAGGGAGAAAATAAGGTCCAGATACCATTCTTTAATTTGAGGTGTTACATTAAGAGCCTTATTGGCACGATAAATTCCAGGCATTATCCGAATTTAATCAAATTACCATTGACCTAATATTTGTGATCCTGTTTATTGATCAATAATAGCTAAAATATACTAGAAGGCTATTATGTTCCCAGTAGTGTCCTACGTGCTTTGCTTGTTTGAACAAGGTGAAGTTCTGTGGTATGTTTTAAAATTAGCCCCATTTAAAAGATTGACCAATGCAGGATAGATAGAATACATAACTTTGTCAAAAGTACTTACTTAGTAACTGGTAGAACCAGGACTGGGATCTAAACAGTTTAACACTAGAACTCACTACCTTATTCCACTTCAATAGTTATTATGTTTGCCTAGTACACATATTGGGCTTAGTGCATATATTACCCTCCCAAAGACCTAATAGCAACTTTCCTGGAGACACTAAAATTTTTGTTAGCTAGATTTTAAAATCTGTTTCTAATTTTCTACCTATATCCACACCTGCTGCACTTTGTGAGCTAAGTTTGTAGCTTAGCTCTTTATATCAAGTTGTGACATGTATTACCCCTCCCTTGAAACTATGAGATCCATGTGATTTACTCTGGCCAGTACAATATAAATAGAATATTGCTATTGAAACAGAATACAAATATAGATTAATGGTAAGTTGATTAATCTCAGATTCTACTCGTAATTCAATTATGCCTATAGGATCTTAATGTAATCCTCAGATTAAAGAATTTTATATGGACTCTCTTTTCTATCTATGTGGTAGAAGTCATAATGTTATAGACTATGCCTTAAGAGTCTTTTCATGCTCTTGTTTTCTCTTTCAAAATCTTGCTATCACCAAAAAACAAGCCTGCACTAGCCAGTTGGAGAATGAGAAAACAGATGGAGGCAAACCCAGCTGTCCAAGCTGAAGTCATTCTAAATCAGCCCAAAAACAACAGCATCCTCAACATATGAGACAGCCCAGCCAAAATCATCACATTTGCCCGCCTAATTCACTTACAGATGATCACAAATAAATGAGTGAGCTCAGCCAAGAACAGAAAGTCTGCTCAGCTGATCTCATTCTCACTAAATAATATATTAATTTATTTACTCACTGAAAGTTATAGACAAGCCTGTAACTTTTTAAATAGATTTTTTTAATTTCGTTTAACCCAGGAATAAAATGAAAAAGTTATAACATTTAGCTACGTATATAGATTTACTGATTAAAAAACAGTACATTAATATTGCAGTAAACTTCAACACAGATGTTTTTAAAATATAATAAAAAGGTAACAAATCAAATTGAATGTTAAATTTATGAATAATTATTGTTTTACATAGCAGACATAATATTGATGACACAACTTTTTCATTCAATATTTGATCATATTAATAATTTTATTGAAGTAAAGTTGGATTCCCTGACTATATTTATTTGCAATTCTTAATTATTTCCATGGTTTAAACATTTGTTCTTTGTAAATTTTTAATTAATTTTCTCTACTTAGATTTCTTAGCAATAGTTTCATGCTGCTATTCAGTTTGCAATAGCCTTTAACTATTGTGATTAAGAATCCTGTTAAGTTTTGTGAAAATATATTCCCAGGTATTCTGTCTTAACTCAGTAAATATGTACAGCATTAATTACATATTGTAACATTTGTTCATATATATATTTGTTCATATATATATATATATATATTTGAGACATAGTCTCATTCTTTCCTCTATCACCCAGGCTGGAGTGCAGTGGCATGATCCCAGCTCACTGCAGCCTCTGCCTCTCAGACTCAAGTGATCCTTCCACTTCAGCCTCCCATGTAGTTGGGACTACAGGTGCGTGCCACCACACCAGCTAATGTTTTTTGTATTTTTGTAGAGATACATTTTCACGGTGTTGCCCAGCCTGGTCTCAAACTCCTGGACTCAACTAATCCTCCCAACTTGGCCCCCCAAAGTACTGGGATTATAGGCGTGAGCCATCATGCCCAGCCTGTTCTAATATTCTTTGCATAAAATATTTTCATTTCAAATAAATCAAATCAAAAAATTAAATATATGTTTACTACTTTTTTTAATTTTCAAATTTTGATTCCATTTACATTTACTTAATCCACATTTAATTTGCTTTTAGGTATTATGTTTGGTGATTATATGAATTGAATATTTTTCTGGTTACTAGCAATCAGTTTGCCTAACTCAAGTCATTGAATCCTTGTTCTGTGAATGCTTACATTGCCCTTATACCAAAGACTTAATATATACTAGAAACTTTTGCTGACTTGTATTTTATATATTTTTTGACTCATCTATTTCACTTGTTAATCAACATCTCATTCTTTTAAGCATTATAGATTGTTGCATAATTGAAAATAATTTTACTGAGGTATACTTTATATATGATAAAAATCACCCTTTGTAAGTATAAAATGTATTAAGTACAAGAATATAACCAGCACCATAATCAAAATATAGGACAGATACAACCCCAAAATACCTTTTAACTCCTTTGGGCTGCTCTCCTCAGAGCTGTTCTCCTCCTCCAACTCAATCATATATATGGTTTCTGTCACTATACTTCTGCCTTTTCCAAAATATCATCTAAATGTACTCACACATTTTAATTATCTTTGCTTGACTTCTGTCACATAGTGATATGGTTTGGCTGTGCCCTCACACAAATTGTAGTTCCCGTAATTCCAACGTGTCAAGGGAGGGAGCCAGTGAGAAGTGACTGGATCATGGAGTTGGTTTCTCCCATGCTGTTCCTGTGATAGTGAGTGAGTTTCATGATAGCTGATGGTTTTGTGAGCATCAGGTGTTTCCCCAGCTTGCACTTACTGTCTCTCCTGCTGCCCTGTGAAGAGGTGCCTTCCACCATAATTGTAAGTTTCCAGAGGCTTCCCCAGCCCTGTGGAACTGTAAGTCAATTAAACTTCTTTTCTTTATAAATTACCTAGTCTCAGGTGTTTCTTCATAGTAGCATGAGAACAGACTAATAAACCTAGTATTATGCTTTCAGATTTATGCATATTGTTGCATGCTTCAGTCATTTGTATATATTTATTTTTAAATAATATTCCTTTATAAGAATAGATGGTGATTTGTTATCTGTTCAGCAGTTAATGGGCCTTTGGGTTGCTTTTTTTTAGGACTATTATCTAAAAAGTTGTTATAAATATTTATATGCCACTTTTTATGGACATATGATTTTCACTTCTCTTGGGGAAATACATGAGAGAGATTGCTGGTTCATATGGCAATTCCATGTTTAATTTTATGAGAACTAGCCAAAGTCTTTGCAAAGTGGCTATACTATTGTACATTACCAGAAGCAATGTGTAAGAGTTGTAGTTGCTGCACAGCCTTGCTAACACTTATCATGTTTAAATCTTTTTTATTTTAGCCATTCAAGTGGGTGTGAAGTAATATCTCATTATGGTTTTGATTTCATGATCAATAAAGTTGGTTAACTGTCAATGTGTTGTTAGCAATTAGTATATTTTCTTTTGTGAGCAATTCATTCAAATGTGAGAATTATTTACATACTCTAGATATAATTTTTTGACAGAAATATATTTTTCAACTACTTCTCCCAATCTATGCCATATATATATATTTTTTTTTTATTTTCCTAACAGCATCCTATGATAAACAATGTTTGTTTTTCAACAAAATATTGCAAATAGTAAACCAGATAAATAAAAAAACCACATCCAGGTCCACTACAGTAAAGTGGTTGAAAAAAATGAAAAGAAAATCTTAGACCCAGTTAGATAAAATGATAAAGTACCCTCAATTGAGCATCAATAAAATTGACAGCTAATTTCCAAACAGAAACCATGTGTATTAGTTTTCTCTTGTTACCATAGTAAATTACCATATACCTAGTGCTTTAAAGCAACACAAATGTATTATATCACAGTTCCGAAGGTAAGAAGTCCAGGTTGGTTCATCTGGTTTCTTTGTCAAGTGTTTCCCAGAACTGAAATCAGTGTCAAATGCTGTACTGGTATTAGTAGAGTCTGGCAAGAATCAAGTTCATTCAAGTTGTGGCAGAATCAAGTTCCTTTCAGTTGTAGGACTGAGGTCTTAAATTCATGTCACTCTGTAAGCTTAGGCGTGCCCTTATTTGCTAGGAGGCCTCTCTCTCATCCTTGCCTGTGGGCCCTGACACATCAGAGTCAGTAATGGTGCATCAAATTCTATGTTTGTAATCTCTCTGAACTTCCTTTGTGCCAACTCTCTTCTGTCTTTCTTCTTCCATAACATATTTCTGACCCATCTGCCTTCCTCTTCTGCTCTTAAATATTTAATTGGGCCCACCTGGATAATCCAGGGTAGTCTCAGTAATTTAAAGGCCACCACTAGTATCAATTACAACCTCACAGTCCCTTCACTTAAGCACCAATATTTGTTTGATTGAACAATCAGTAAACAAGAATCATTAGAGGACATCTTCAAAGTTCTTCCTCCTACATCATAGAAGCCAACCAGATAGTATCTTCACAAAATAATTATCAAAAAGCTTGAATGGAGTTTGACAAGAAAAAATATCCATATGACCAATATACATATTAAAAAGTATTCAATTTTATTAGTCATCAGAGAAATGCAAATTACACCAAAAGCCAATAATAACCTACTTCCAGCTGGGTTTTAAAAGACTATTAGCACCAAGTTGTGGTAAATGTAGAACAACTAACATATTGCTAATGGGCATACTAATTGGTAAAACTACTTTTAAAAACTGCTTTATATTATCACATAAAGTTGTATACATAACCTTGGATCAGCAATTCCACATCCAGATATACATTATCCCCAAATTCTGATGTACATTTACTAAATAATTTGTATAGGAATATTTTAAGCAGAATATTTCATAGTATCCTAAAATTTAAAAAATACCAGAAAAATCCACATTTTGGGATATTCATATAAGGAAATGAAATATTATGGCAAGAATGAATAATCTACAATCATATGCAACATTATAGATGAATCTCACAAACATAAACATATGCCAAAGTGGTCAGAAATGAAACGATATACTATACAATTTTATTTATATAAAGTATAAAAAGAGTAAAATATATTGGATTTTTAAAAAGTTTTAGAAGACTAATTAACAGAGATTGTGGTGAATCTGTAAGAAGACACATGGGAATTTTGGGAAGTTTATATTTTGTTTCTTAATTCGATGTTGTTTTTAATTTGAAGAATTCATCAAGCTGTATATTCTGTTGTACTTTTTAATGTGTATTAACATTGAATACAATTTAATGCAATTGTTATAAAATTTAGTACAATTTTAATATAATACTCTAAAACATTATAACATTCAAATATCTAAAAGCACTAGAGAATGTAGAAAAGCAGGCAGAAGCTGCAATAGAAAATTGCATGTAGGAAAATACACCTGGAGAGCTTCCTGGTTTATCTTCTTTCTCTCCCTCTCCCTGACTTTCTCCAACATTCTAAATACAAACTCTTCTTGGTCCTCAGACCGACCTCTGAACTATGTAGTATAGGGACAGATAAAAAAATAGCATAGATAATACATAATAACTGACCTGAAATTTATGATGCCAAAACTTCTAGTGCTGAAAATACAAAATTTACTAGATTGGCTAAAAAACATTTTAGAAATAAAAAACATATGAAAGAGTTGTTGATAAAACTGTATCTATAGAAGTCACTCAATATGAAGAACAAGAAAAAATAGACCTACAGTAATAACAAATAAAGGAATACAGTCTTAGAGACCTGTGAGACAAAATTAAGTGGTCTAAGAAATGTGCATTGGAGTTGCAGAAAAAGAGACTACAGACAACAAAACAATTATTTTAAGAAGCAGTATGCAGAGGAATATGAAGAAGTTGGATTGGATAACAGAGAGGAAGCAAAGAAATTGAAACTGTAACATGTAAAAATAGTGAAAATAAAAAATTAAAGATGATTGTGTATATATATACACACACATAAATATGTTAGAATATATGTAGTGATCTCAAATTTTTCATTTTCATTATTTTAACATTTACTGTGTTTCTGTGTGAGTGTGTGTGTATTTGCCTGTGTGTTATTTTTTCCTAGAAGTAGCCTGAACAAAGGGAAAAGACAACTGGAAGAAAATGCAGTATTTATTTTCAAATGGGGAAGTCATGGATAAGTATGTGGATGTATACATATATATTTATACCTATATATGTATATATCATACACAATTATATATATAAATATAATGGATACATTCATACATGCTGGTTATGTTTGTGTATATACACACATACATAGGCATACATGTCCATGACTTTCTCATTTGAAAATAAAGTAATTATTATAATACTGCATTGTCTTCCATTGCCCTTTTCCCTTTTTTCAGCCTACTTTATTGAAAACAACATCAGTAGGACAAATGGTTAAAAAAGAAAAGACAGAGTATAATTGAAAGACCAAATACTTGAAGAGGATGGGAAGAGTAGGTGAGGTAAAAGCCACAGAGTTTAATGCTGAGCTGTGCCCCATCTTCCACCTGAGTTTGGCCTAATGCAGCTGCAACTGCCACCTAGCCAAGGAGAGAAGGAGAAGCCAGGCTCTAGTGGACATACCTAGAATAATGCCCACTGCCGTGCTATGGACCGTGGTGAGACCAAGACATGAGTGGAACACACTCCTCACAGCTTCTTGCCCATGCTGGTTCAGAGGGCCCCAGCCTTTCTGGTCACAAGCCCATAGCTGACACCATTTTGAAAGTTTAGACACATTATTTGATGGCCTGGCAGTGGCTGCCATAACAGGCATTTTAATCTCAGGCCAGAGATTGGAGCACTTGCTCTGAAATGAAGGATGAGCCCACAGCCAGATTTAAGCAGTGTGGAGAGTGCCCTAGCAGTAGGCTCTGAAATGAGGCTCTCTCCCATTGCAGGGCTGGAGTAGGAGGAGAGTTGCCAAACACAAGCTTTCTCTCAGTGGCAAGACTTGCAGCTAAAGACAGTTGTGCAAGCTGGAACTGGCCTGCATGTGTCATTGCTGGGTGCCCCAGCCTGCTCCCTTGGTTAGTTGGGAGACAGTGCTCCACCAGCTCTAAAGATCAGGAGGGAGGTAGGAGGAAGGATCCATTACTTTTGCTATTTTGAAATATATTGTATATGTATATATAATATACATCGTATATTATATTATATCAGATAATTTATTATATATAATATATACACATTATATATGTATATATTATATATAATATATACATATATAATATAGAGTATATATAATATATATTATATAGTATAGATAATATATATTATATCTCAGCTCACTGCCATATATATTATATATAATCTATATTTCAAAAAATATATAATTATATATTATATAATATATTTTATATAATACATAATTATATAATTATATAATATATAATATACATATTATATACTATATATAAAAGATTATATATAATATACATATATGCTATATAAAATATTACATAATATACATATTATATACTATATATAAAATATTATATATAATATACATATTATATATAAAATAAATTATCATTAAGTATAGTCGCCCTGTTGTGTCACTGAACCCTAGATCTTACTTCTTTTATCTAACTATGTTTTTTATACCCATTCACTATTCTTCTTTATCCCCATCAACCCTTCACACCTTCTGGTAACCATTATTCTTCTCTCTGTATCCATGAGATCGGTGTGTTTTAGCTTCCACATATGAGAAAGAACATGCAATATTTGTCTTTCTGTACCTGGTTTATTTCACTTAACATAAGGTTCTACAGTCCTGTCTAGTTTATTGCAAATGATAGAATTTTATTCCTTTTATGGCTAAAAAATATTTCATTGTGTATATGTTCCACATTTGCTTTATCCATTCATCCACTGATGAACGCTTAGCTCCATATATTGGCTATTCTAAATAGTGCTGCAATAAGCATAGAAGCATGGATATATACTCAACAGTGAGATTCCTTTGTGAATATTAGGAAGATTTTTTTTTCAGGTTTTGTCAGCCCAACTTCTTTCTAAAGTGTAGCTTCTGGGAAGAAAGGACTTATTTGTTAAATGAAAAGTGGTTTGTAAAAAGCAGTATCTTACCAATCCCCTTTTATATTTTTGTTAAAAAAAACCTAAGATTATTTTATTTCTAGGAGGCTTTGTGTTAAGCCTTCATCTGTCTAAATTTTATTTTAAACATAGGTAATTCTACTATTTTGTAAACATACTTAAATAGCTTCTGATTTCAACTAAATTTTCTTTGAAAAATTATTTTTGATGGTTTAACCAGGATTTATTTTGTTTTATATTAAATAAATACTATCCTCCAATTGCCCAAAGATTGGTCAAGTAAGGCAAGTCTTTAATCTATGATCTAGAAATATGTACTGTGTCTTTTTGAATAATGGCCTCAAAAAGATGTCTAATACCTTATCCCTGGAACCTACAAAGGTGACTTTATTTGGAAAACGTTACCTTGCTGACATAATTAAGTTAAGCAACCAGAATTGAGATTATAAGAAAGAAAAGGGAAGATGACATGTAAACAGAGGAGACACAGGAAAGAAAGCCACGTGAAGAAAAAGGGAGAGACGGGAGTTTTGCTGCCACAGCCAAGGAATACCTGAAAATACCAGGAACTGGAGGAGTCCCCAAAGCAATCTCCCCTTGTGGCTTTAAAAGGTAACCCTGCTAACATTATGATTTTGAACTTCTGGCCTCAGGAATTACAAGAGAAAAATTTCTGTTGTTTTAGTCTACCAAGTTTATGGTAACTTCTTGCTGCAACCTTAGGAAACCAATACATGTATTCTGAGTGAGATCCTCTTCCAAATGCAGTGTGATTTGTGGTCTATAAATTCTCTATTCCAATTGGGGGCAAGCAAAATTTATTACTGTCTCTGACTTATCCATTCTCATCAATTCTTCATTCCAGATTTTGGGAATCTCAAAAGGTAGCACAATGATATAATACAACTAGAAACTTTGGAGACAAAGTTTGAATTAGAGTTTTAACCTTCCTAGCTCTGTGACCTTGAATGTGTTTCTTAATATCTCTTTACCTATGTTTCTACACCAGAAAGTGGCAATAATGACTGTACCTACCTTATATGTTGTTATAAACAAACATTACTATAAAGTACTCTGAACAGTATCTAGCACATTATTATTGCTATTATAATTGGGACAGTCATTTAACTAGTATAATTTTGCAACTGAATGGGAGAGCAGTTATTTGAAGGATAAAAATTTCACTGAGGATGAAAATCATAATTTTTAATCTCTTTTAGCATAGGCTACTGAAGTGTGACTGTTGATTAAAAGTTAATATTGTTGTTTAAGATGGTAGATGAATTGTGTCCTCTGCCTCTCCAATGGAATAAAGTTTAATCTTATAAAAATGTAATAATAAATGATATTGAAAAGAGTTGCCCTTTTAAATTCAGGAAATATCTTTAGACAAGTGGATCACATTACATAAATCTTCTTAATTCCACAAATATTGAACATGAAATAAATCTAATGCCAATTTCAAAATGTAATTACCTAAAATATGTAGCACATATAATAAAGAAGTTTTGATGTTATTAAATTCAAAAAACCATCTATTTAATACAAGACACATAAGGATTTAATATGTATAGAATTAGGGCTAATTCATATTCTTGGACAAAATCCCAGAAATCTGTACCAGAAGTATAATATTGTCAAATTATTAACATTGTACAGAAAGACCCCACCAGTTTTAGCGTAATAACATACATTTATCTAACACATTGTAATTGTAATTTCAATACATTTTAACAACATGGACACTATGGACAGTGAATAATCCCAATTATCTTGTATTCTTCTATGGTAGAAGTCCATATTACTGATAGCAAAAATTAGGCTTATAGAAGTCTTTCCCAAGAATTCTTGCCCTCTGATTCATTAGAGGAAATCCTAAGTTAATTGATCATCCAATTTAATTAACTCTACAGAATGGGATGAGTATAAACAGGATTAATAGAACAAATAGCATATAATTTGAATAATAGTGCTATTATAGAGAATGACATTTTCCTATTCAGTTACCTTTGGGCTAAGGCTTATTACTCTTCTGGATACAAATTACGAGACTCAAATAAATTGCAAGGGGCTGTCACTTTAGATGGGTTCCAGAATCATGAGAACTTTCACGAGCAAAGTTCTGCATGTCAAGTAGATTTAGCTTAAAATGGGGTCTGACAAAGCATCAAGGAATTCAACTAGGGATAAAAGCATTCAACAAAGATTTATTGAGGACCTACTGTGTGACAGAAATTTGGCATATATAATGGAGAACAAATGTTTTTCCTGCTAGCCTGAAAGTTACAGTTTGGCAAGGAAATGCCAATGTAGTCTACTCATCTTATATCTAAGATATTACAACTGACTTATCATTAATTTAATGCAAATATCCCTTCCTCACGGACTCTACTATCAATGTTATGTACTTAAAAGAGAAAAACGGTACCTACAGTGAACACTATTTCAAAAATATTTCATTTGAAAAAAAAAGCAATTAATTTTTTACCAAAATGAGAAAACGACTTTCATATTGGTCCTTGCCACAAAGTTATTTATCACTATACTCAGAGTGACATTAACAAGATAGTAAAACAGGAGTTTTCAACTCTCATTTGTCCACAGAACCTAGCATGGATGAGAGTGCATTTGGGGAATCCACCAGATAGATCCCAGCACTTGGTTGGAACAAAAATATCTAAAAACAGACAGATTAAAAAGAAAGAAAAACAAGCTGGGCATGGTGGCTCAGACCTGTAATCCCAGCACTTTGAGAGGCTGAGGCAGGTGGATCACCTGAGGTCAGGAGATTGAGACCAACCTGGCTAATATGATGAGACCCTGTCTCTACTTAAAAAAAAAAAAAAAAAAATAGACCAATGGAACAGAACAGAGCCCTCAGAAATAATGCCGCATATCTACAACCATCTGATCTTTGACAAACCTGACAAAAACAAGAAATGGGGAAACAATTCCTTATTTAATAAATGGTGCTGGGAAAACTGGCTAGCCATATGTGGAAAGCTGAAACTGGATCCCTTCCTTACACCTTATACAAAAATTAATTCAAGCTGGATTAAAGACTTAAATGTTATACCTAAAACCATAAAAACCCTAGAAGAAAACCTAGGCAATACCATTCAGGACATAGGCATGGGCAAGGACTTCATGTCTAAAACACCAAAAGCGATGGCAACAAAAGCCAAAATTGACAAATGGGATCTAATTAAACTAAAGAGCTTCTGCACAGCCAAAGAAACTACCATCAGAGTGAACAGGCAACCTACAGAATGGGAGAAAATTTTTGCAATCTACTCATCTGACAAAGGGCTAATATCCAGAATCTACAATGAGCTCCAACAAATTTACAAGAAAAAAACAACCCCATCAACAAGTGGGTGAAGGATATGAACAGACACTTCTCAAAAGAAGACATTTATGCAGCCAAAAGACACATGAAAAAATGCTCATCATCACTGGCTATCAGAGAAATGCAAATCAAAACCACAATGAGATACCATCTCACACCAGTTAGAATGACGATCATTAAAAAGGAAACAACAGGTGCTGGAGAGGATGTGAAGAAATGGGAACACTTTTACACTGTTGGTGGGACTGTAAACTAGTTCAACCGTTGTGGAAGTCAGTGTGGCAATTCCTCAGGGATCTAGAACTAGAAATACCATTTGACCCAGCCATCCCATTACTGGGTATATACCCAAAGGATTATAAATCATGCTGCTATAAAGACACATGCACACGTATGTTTATTGCGGCACTATTCACAATAGCAAAGACTTGGAACCAACCCAAATGTCCAACAATGATAGATTGGATTAAGAAAATGTGGCACACATACACCATGGAATACTATGCAGCCATAAAAAAATGATGAGTTCATGTCCTTTGTAGGGACATGGATGAAGCTGGAAACCATCATTCTCAGCAAACTATCACGAGGACAAAAAACCAAACACCGCATGTTCTCACTCATAGATGGGAATTGAACAATGAGAACACATGGACACAGGAAGGGGAACATCACACACCAGGGCCTGTTGTGGGGTTGGGGGAGGGATAGCATTTGGAGATAAACCTAATGTCAAATGACGAGTTACTGGGTTCAGCACACCAACATGGCACATGTATACATATGTAACTAACCTGCACGTTGTGCACATGTACCCTAAAACTTAAAGTATAATAAAAAAAATTAGCTAGGCCTGGTGGTACATCCCTGTAATCCCAGATACTCAGGAGGCAAGGCTGGAGAATCGCTTGAACCCGGCGGGGTGGAGATTGCAGTGAGCTAAGATTGTGCCATTGCACTACAGCCTGGGAGACAAAAGTGAAACTCCATCTCAAAAAAAAAAAAAATTATATACATCACCACTCTCCCCAAAGGTGGCACAGCTGAATGCCAAGAGAGAGCCCTTCAGCCCATAATAACTCCTACAAGGAAAAGTAAGAGTGTATTGAACACCCAACCATGTGAGATACTGCACAGGAGCTGCATGTTTTCCTCACTCCACTTTAAAGGGCCACAGTTTCTACTAATCGTCTTATGGACTCCATCATAAACCTTTCAGGATGCATCGGCTGTGAATCCCCCCCAGTTAGTCCATGCATGCCTTCATCACTGTATGTACCCCATGCCTTTTAGAAGAAGATGGCATATGTGAGCCTCTGCAAATCATATGCCCAAAGAAAGCTGACTTCAGTCTGCAGGATTAGGAGAAGTCATATACCTTGTACAATTCAGGGCACTGTTCCAGAGAAAATAAGTAGTAGGTTCTCATCATGCAGCATGGTTTTTCAGAATTGAGAGAAAAAATACACTCCTAACACTCCCCCACAAAGTGAACAAGAAGAAGGGAGTAGGTCTTTGGTTTTAGAGTCTCACAGAATCCCTAGATACTAAGCTGATTGATGAAGATCTTTCTCTCCTAAAGCCAGTCAGTAAAGACTGAAGAAGGTGGCTGCTTCTTTAAATGTGAAGATATCAATGTAAGATTTCAAAGGAAAAAAAAAATCAAGGAAACATGACACTAGCCAAGGAACACATTTTTTTTTTATATTTCATTGCCCCAATGGAGATCTACTAATTGCCTAACAAAGAAGTTAAGCGAAGATATAGATATAATAAAAGAGAACAAAACATAAATTCTTTAGCTCAAGAATACAATAAATAAAATTTAAAAATGCAATACATGTCTTCAAGGACAGATTAAGCAGAAGAAAGAATCTGTGAAAACAGGTAAGTCATTTGAAATTATGCAATCAGAGGAGAAAAAAGGAATGAAAAAGAGTGAAGAAAGTCGATGGAATTTATGAGACATCATCAAGCAAACCAACATGCATTATTGAAATCTCAGAGGAAAGAGATAGAGAAAGGGGCAGGAAGCTTATTTAAAAAAATAATGGCTGAAAACATCTCCAGTCTTGGGAGGGATGTGGACATTCAGAGTAAGAAACTTCAAAATTCTCCAAGCGGAGTCCATGAAAGATTACACTGAGATATAATCAACTTTTCAAAAGTCAAAGACGAAGGTATAATTTTTAAAGAAGCCATAGAAAAGGTTTCATCACATAAAAGAGAACTCTTTTGAGGCTATCAGTGAATTTCTCAGCAGAAACCTGGAAGGTCAGGAAAGCATGGAAAGACATATCTAAAAAACTGAAAGAAAAATACTGCCAGTTAAAAAAAAAACTATACCTGGATAAAATGTCCTTTAAAAATGAATGAGAAATAAAGGCTTTTCCAGACAAACAAATTTGAGGTAGTTCATTGCCACTAGACCTGCTTTACAAAAGGGAGTTTTTAAAATTAAAATGAAAGGATGCTAACCAACAACACAAAAGCATGCAAAGACATACATTGTATTGATTAAGGTAAATATATAGAAAATACAGAATAATGTAAAATTGTACTGGTGTTGTGTAAATCACTTTTAACTCTAGTACAAAGGTTTAAATATGAAAGTATTCTGAATAACTATAATTATAAAAATTGAATAATGGATATACAAGTATAAAAGGATAAAAATTGTGACATCAGTATCATAAAATATAAGGAGAGGAGAAGTTGAAGTGTAGAGATTCTGTATATGATTGAAGGTAAGTTCTCACCATGAAATAGACTGTTATAATTATATGATGGCCTGTGTAAGCCTTGTGGTAACTACAAAAAAAAAAAAAACTTCTAGTAAATATGCAAAAAGGCCACTAAATCACAAAGGAAGACAGAAAAAATAAACAACAAAAAAGTAGCTATAAAATAGTCAGGAAACAATGAAATGGCAATTCTTAACCTATGAATACTTATTTTAAATGTAGATTAAATTTTTCTATCAAAAGACACAAAGTGATTGAATGGAAAAAGGAAATACACAGAAAAATAAAACAAAAGAATAAGCTAAAACAATAAACTGATTACAAGATATTAATTTCAGCTTTAAGGACACACATAGGCTGAAACTGAAGGGATGAAAAAATGTACTCCATAAAAATAATAACCAAAAAGAGTAAGAGTAGCTGTATTTATGTCAGAAAAAATGTACTTTAAGTAAAACATATCACAAAAAAATTATTATGTAATTATAATTTATCATCATAAAGAGTTTATTCATCAAGAGGATGTAACAATTTTAAATATATATGGCATTCACATTGGGGCACCTAAATATGTATTGCAAATTTTAACAAATGCGAGGGGAGATTAAAATAGCAATACAACCATAATAGGAAAAGCAGAGTAGAATGGTAGTTGTCAGTGGCTGTGGGTAGGGGAAATGGGAGGATGTTGACCAAAGAGCACAAAATTTCTGTCGGATGAGTAAGTTCTGAATCTCTAGTGTACACAACATGATGACTATAGTTAATACTTTATTATATAGTTGAAATTGGCTAAGAATATGGATCTTGTTTTCATCACAGTAATTATGTGAGGTGGTATGTGGATTAATTTGATTGTACTAATCATTCGCAATGTATACATATATCTAAACGTCTTCTTGTATGCTTTAAATACATGCAATTTTCATTTGTCAATTATGCCTTAATTAAGTTGGGGAAAAAGCTACCTTTGTCAATTGTTTATGTATAGCATTAATAATACAAAGGTTAAAAGAATAGTACAATGGATAAGAATACAACTATTATCTAAAATGAAAATACACTCACTTTTGTAGTATGTGCACATAATTATTTATAGTCATATATGTATTGTTTGCTAAGTGTCTGCAAGTACATTATACTTATGATACTTTATCCTAAATAGTGCAGCATGAGTCTCTTCAAAACAATAAATTTTCTGCATAACCAAAATTCCATTGTAACACCTAAGAAAATAAACAATAACTTACTAATATAATCAAATAACAACTTAATATTTAACACTTTTATATTTTATTTTTGATTTAAAATTATATTTCATTTGATGCCTTCTTACAGAATGTCCTTTGGTAATCTGGGTTTTATAAATTCTAAGTATGTGCCATAGACTATTATCATTTTTGGCATAAAATCTCTTCAAAATTTCTTTCCTCAAAATATTTAATATTAATTAGAGATTTAGAATATTTTAGAAATAGGAGGTTGTTTACATTAATCTTTTTTTTATTATTATACTTTAAGTTCTAGGGTACATGTGCACAACGTACAGGTTTGTTACATATGTATACATGTGCCATGTTAGTGTGCTGCACCCATTAACTGGTCATTTACATTAGGTATATCGCCTAATGCTATCCCTCCCCACTACCCCCACCCCACAACAGGCCCTGGTGTGTGATGTTCCCCTTCCTGTGTCCAGGTGTTCTCATTGTTCAATTCCCACCTGTGAGTGAGAACATGCAGTGTTTGGTTTTTTATCCTTGCAATAGTTTGCTCAGAATGATGGTTTCCAGCTTCATCCATGTCCCTACAAAGGACATGAACTCATCCTTTTTTATGGCTGCGTAGTATTCCATGGTGTATATGTGCTACATTTTCTTAATCCAGTTGATCATTGATGGACATTTGGGTTGGTTCCAAGTCTTTGCTATTGTGAATAGTGCCGCAATAAACGTACGTGTGCATGTGTCTTTATAGCAGCATGATTTATAATCCTTTGGGTATATACCCAGTAATGGGATGGCTGGGTCAAATGGTATTTCTAGTTCTAGATCCCTGGGGAATTGCCAGACTGTCTTCCACAATGGTTGAACTAGTTTACAGTCCCACCAACAGTGTAGAAGTGTTCCTACTTCTCCACATCCTCTCCAGCACCTGTTGTTTCCTGACTTTTTAATGATCATCATTCTAACTGGTGTGAAGTTTTCAATTAAAAAAATCCCCTGAAATCCACAGGGAAACATTCTTTATTAATTCTACAAGCAGCTTATAGAAAACAACAATTTTCAGATAAATATATAAAGATATTTCAATATCAAATCAGTGTATTATTTTAATTAAACTAAATTGTTAATAAGCAATGAGTTTCACTACAATATTTTAATGCTTTCTATATTTCAGTAAATTGATTTCAGATTTTAGTTTACATTGCAACCATTGTTTTTGAACATCGTTGTCTAAATATGAAGATTTACTAAAGGTTTTTGTTAATTTTAAGGACTGGTCAATATGAACATATTTACTTAAAGCCTTGAAGATTTTGCTTAAAATATAAACAGAAATTCTTAATCTAGAATATCCTATGTATTTTTCAGGTTTCTATTTACATTTGTTAAATTGAGGCTCACTGTAGGAAAGAAAAGTATAATTCAATTTATAATTTAGGTATATTACATTAGCAGACAGTATATTAGAAGTGGTTATATTAGAAGTGAGTACTAGTCATAAAGAAATTCAGAGACAAAATCAAGTAAATATTATTTCTTTTTTCAATTACAAGCTTTTTGAGTTTGTGAATCACCGTAGCTTAAGTGTTACCCATTATGCAAAATTATTGGTATTTCTTTTGGTCATCTATTTAAAAACCTAAAATATTTAGACACATGGACATGCAATGTCTGAATATTTTGATACTCCATGATCTGATGATACATTGCTGCATAATAAATCACATCAAATCTTGAAGTCTTAAAATACCAATTTATTATTATCATTCACATTCTATGGGTTGAGTGGCACAGCGGGGTACTTTTTGAGCAGAGTCTCTCATGTGATTGCTTTCAGACAATGACTTAGGGTACAGTCTTCTAAAGACTAGACCCAACAGAGCTGAATGTCCTGGATGACTCAGTCACATCATACTGGGCCTGTTGGCCAACTTAGCTGAGGCTATTTGCTGGGGCAACTCTGTATGTCTTTCCTTGTGGCTTGAGCTCCTCGCAATATGGTAACTGGATTCTAAGAGTGAGTATTTAAAAGACAGCAAGTGAAAACTGACAGTCTCTTAAAGATAGGTTCAGAAAATTAAACAGTGTCATTTTTCTTATATTAGTCAAAGTAGTCAATAGTCTGCCAATATTCTAACAGGAAAGCTATAGCTCCTACCTCTAGGGGGGAGATGGTGAAAAAATTGTCACCTGTAATGGGCATATGCTGAGAAGTTACACACTAACCCTAAATTAATTTTAAGTGTTTCGCTACATATCCTTTGCTCCAGCAATATCGATATGTTTCCTTATTCTTACATGTGTTTACATAGGCTCTTCTTTCTGACTGGAATGATTTGTTTCTTTCTCTCTTCTTTTTAACCTAATTTATCCTTAAATACCTGGGATGAAAAATAAATGCTATTCTATCTAATAGTGAAGTAATGAAATTTAGGAGAAATCAAACAAGAAAATAAAATAGATAGAAAAATTAGTCTAATGTTAGACCTGTGACTCAAAGTTCACTCATCTTGACTTAAAAAATATGTTATGACCCCTGCAGCCATAGCTTCATTTAAAATGTTTTCATCCCACCTGCTTATTCAACTTGGGTTTAATAGTTAGAAATGTAGTATAGATTGCTTGATCATATTAGTTATTACAGAACAGGGTTGCCAAACTCTTTTTTAGAACACAAGATAGTAAATGCTTTCTGCTTTGTAGACCATACAGTCTCTGTCATAATCACTCAACACTGACATTGGAGCATTAAAGCATCCATAAACAATACGTGAATAAATGGGAGTGTCTGTGTTTAAATAAAACTTTGGTTTCAAAAAATTTGCCAGCCAAGGTAGGCCCACTGCCCCACAGGCCACTGCTATAGAAAAACTTCACAGAATTGTTGCAAATTATCTTTCAACAAGTTAATGTTGATTAAAGGAAAAGAGAGAAAAAATCACAACTCTAATGAAAATGAAGAGCATGTAATATTATTGAAGGCTCTTGAAATTTTCTTTCCAAAATATGTTTACTGAAAAAAAAAAAACGTAAAACACAATAGAACTTGCCAATATTTTTAATTAACTCTAAAACATTGATGTGACATAATGCATTTGATTTTGAGTTATCTAGTCTTAAAATGTGATTTCTGTCAGCTAACATCAAGGATGATTGTTGAAAATTGATACTATTTTGGGGGTATTTTTTCTTCTGTCCTGATAATATAGAGTAGTTATGAGCTTCACATGAGACAATTAATGTAAATATATTTTGTGTACTATAGCATTTACATGAAAATATTAACTACATTCGTAGCATTGTTTTAAAGGCAATTTAGTATTTAAATTAGTTGTATTATTTTGAAAACAATGTCAGTTGAAAATTAAGAAGCAATTTGTAAAAAAGACCTAATTGATATGAAGGTGTGTTATATAAAGGTTAAAAAGAGTAAGATTGGTTTGTAAGTATATTTCTGTGTATCTTGTGCAAAAAATATATGAAAAAATAGCTTAACCAAATGAGACCATTGGTCTTTGCTTGTCTTAGACAGAACTCTGCTCATTCCTTTCCTAGGAAAAGAAAAAGAAATATCACAGCAGAGGGATGCAGAGCTACACAACAGTATTTTTTTATTTTTCTTCATTTATGGTTTCAGTAGCTATAACTTCAGATAGCTTTTAAAAAGTACTGCAATTAGTATTCTATGTAATCTGAATGCCTGAACATTTGAGAACAAACTGTCAAAAGTTTTAATCATTAAAATGTTATGGTGACAGTCAAAGTGGCTAAAGGTTACCTGTTTCAGCTGTGTAGTATTAAAAAGCGAGCAAGTACTTCTAATTACAATAATTAGCACAGGAAATTGAGAGGAAACAGTTATATTGGGCTCATTATTGTTTTATTTAAAAATAGTCTTTAAAGTATCTATTAAAAATTATTTCATTAAAAGGAATAAAATTTCATGGTTACAAATTTGAGTCAATTTGAGCAGAGAAATAGTCCTATTGAAATTGCTGTTCAATTGATGAGAGCAAGGCTTATCCAAACACAATCTGAGAGGAGATATTTGGGTTTTAAATGCAGTCTCTCAGGCTTATTATTCACAGTTACACATTTAGTTTTTGTCAAATTTCAGAATTTCTACATTTTCCTGAACTAACCTATAATAATAGCCCCTCTTTACTACAAAACTATTATTCTACAAATTAGCAAACTTTCTCCATCCATGATGCCCTTAGGGTCTCAGTAATTTTATTCATGACATCTGCAGCTCAAAAAAAAAACTATTTTTTTAAATGTGAAGCCTTTTTATATAAATATTATTTTTAATAATTAGTGTTTAGACCAATAAATCAGCATGTTCCACCTCCACCCATCTCTTATTATGGGCCCAATTACATGACTATGTTGCAAAATAATTTATTTTGCTAAGGTTTCCCTTGAACGTCATGAATTTTATGCGTCAAGATAGGTTTTTAAGAAATTTTTGGATTTTTTTAAGTAGATAAAATAATATATACAACATAGCCAGTATGTCCAATATGAAAGCAATAACTTCAGAGTCTTGCTGCAGACAACAGTTTTCTACTTTAAAAGCTGAAAGAAATTACAGTATCATGAACAGCATGAAATAAATACTTTTCATAATGTGACTATGTGATTATTGGTCTCAATAAATACATAATTGTCCTAAGGTGCATAGCTCATTAGAGAAATGCTGTCAGTTTTTAAACACATATAAAAACCATTAAGCTTAAAGGTCAACCTAGATCAGGAGAATATATGGCTCAAATCCCATATATCCCAAATCATGGGTAGAAAAAAACAAATATGTAATGGGAGCTTTGAAATAGGGGGATATGTTTCTTTCATTGATTCCTTTAAAAAAAAGTGTAAGTTTTTTTATAAAGAGATAATAACAATCAAATTTTAGCCATTTGATCCTTATAAACTGTCATTGACTTATTGGAAAGATGCTCAGAGCAGGCATGATTAGCCTATTAAAATTGTTTCCATAAGAAATAACAAATCATTGTTATTAGAAGTTACAAAAACAAGACAGTGGTTCGTTAAAATTTCTCTTTTGTTGCAAGATTATTAAATAGGTGAAAATAATGTAATTAAATTTCTTTCTTAGACTACAACCAGGAAATATCGGATGTCAGAATTGTGTTTAAATATCAGTTCTGTCATATATTATATGTTTATCTCTGAGATTGCTTATTTACAAATCTATGCTATGAATAATTAACATTTGGATTTGTTATATATATAAAATTGTATGTTTCATTTAAAACACCAAATTTTAGGAAAAGTCAATAAAATGTTAAGTGATGTTAATGCTGATGACTATCTTGCAAAATAGAGGTACTTATTCTGCAAAGGATTTTGTCTGTGTTCTGCTATCCCTCTTTTTGTTTCATCGTATTTTTCTCCCTTTATTTCAGTCTTATCACTGCCATTATCTCATTTAGGTGGCTCATTTTCTGTGATTAAAATAATTTCTGTCAAATGCATAATTTTATCAGTAGACAAAATTATTGTTAGTAGTGCTAATTCAAGCAGTGATCTGACTACACAGAATTTAAAAAAAACACACCTGTATGAACATACTTTGGTAATATTAAACACATGTAACTACTCTGGTGGAAAAACCAAAAAATATTATTAAATTGGTAGGTTATGTCCATCTGACAATTATTTTCCATTCAAAAGCTAGAAACTCCATGAGCTGACCACTTTTCAGAATTAAAAAATGTGTATTTAGTAAAAACCAATTTTAAACAGTTTTATTTACACTTTCTCAAATACCAATTTGATGATATTGCAGCTTATAAATCATGATACTATGTTCTCTGTTTTAAGTTCCACATTTAAGAGATGGAGATCTGCTCTGACAGTGTAGCTTATGCCAAACCAATCATTATCCCAAGAACTAGAAATGCTGAATATTAATTAAACATTTTTAAAAAGTTTTTTAAATGCAGTAGAAAGTGACTAGGATAGCCAGGCCTTTGGGTGCCAGGATCAGAGAGAGGAAAGAAACATTAAGTCTAGATTTCATGCTTCTTTTTTCACTTGGTGCATTGGTTGATTCCTTGGCTGTGCTTCTTTCACTTACATAATTATTTTGAGATTAATCCATGTTGTTGCATGTAGTTGTTAGTTCTGTTTTTATTGCTTAAATACTGTTCTGTTGTATGGATATTCCAATTTGTTTATTCATTCGTCTGTTGAAGGATATTTGGTCTTCCTATTGTATTTGGCTATTCTCAATAACATGATTTAAACATTAGGGAAAAATCTTTCTTTAAAGAGCCTTGCTGCAGACAACAGTTTTCTACTTGAAAAGCCGAAATAAATTACAGTATCATGAACAGCATGTAATAAATACTTTTCATAATGTGACTATGTGATTATTGGTCTCAATAATTACATAATTGTCCTAAGGTGCATAGCTTTTTAAAGAAATTTTCCATTTTATCTAAGTTTTTCAATTAAAGACATGAAATTTTTTATAATTGTAGCAGACAAACTTTAGGGTGACCTCTAAAATTCCCACCTCCTGATGCTCTTCCCTTGTATAACCTTCTGCCTTTGTTTTATGGGTAAGATTCTGTGACTTGTGTCTAGCCAATAGAACATGGCAAAGTTGAAAGAATTCTGCAGGTGTTAGATTCCTCTCACAAAGCTGCAACATGAGAAATTCCTTCAGACGGTAAAATGGGACAATCATAAGCTCACCTCAGTTAGTTTTCACCTTTGAAAGATTACCATTTTTACTTGCTTAATATTCATTGTCTTAAAAACCATTTTTTCTCCCTTTTTTTTTTTCAGGGTTTTTCGTTGTTTCTTGTGGAAGGCCAAATCTGGTTCCGGTTATACCATCTTTGTCAGAGGCAGAAGCCCCCTTAGTTAATATTTTGAAGCATAAAATCTTGAGAATATAACTTCTGCCTCTCGACCCTGCTTATGAGCTTTTACTATGGTTCATCAAATAAATTAATAAAATAATATGTTATATTATAAACATTTATAATTGCATAACAGATCAAACTTTTATTTTTATATTGGTTGGTTAAATAAACTTTGAGCCCGGGCGTGGTGGCTCACTCCTGTAATCCCAGAACTTTAGGAGGCCGAGGCAGGCGAATCACCTGAGGTGAGGAGTTTGAGACCAGCCTGGCCAACATGGAGGAACTCCTTCTCTACTAAAAAAATAAAAAATAAAAAAATTTTTTAAGAAATACAAAAACTAGCAGGTCTGGTGGCACACACCTGTAATCCCAGCTACTTGGGAGGCTGAGGCAGGAGAATCATTTGAACCCGGAAGGCGGAGGTTGCAGTCAGATGAGATTGCACCATTGCACTCCAGCCTGGGCAACAAGAGTGAAAGTCCATCTCAAAAAAGAAAAAAAAAATTAAACTTTGACTAACCACTGATGAATATTGAATTTTTTGTTATTTTAGTTGTAAATTGAAAAAATTATAATTGTATGTATTAATGGGGTAGAAAGTGACATGATTCATGAATAAAATGTGAAAAAAAATCAAATCAAGCTAATTAACATATCCATCACCTCAAATACTTCTCATTTTTTGTGGTGAGAACATTTAAAATTTACTCAGTGATTTTTCAGTGTAGATTTATTATTTATTATATTCAGTGTGCTGCGCAATGTAGCTCAAAGAAAAAGAGCTGTTTCTTTTGTCTAATTGAGGCTTTATACCTTTCATCTCCCCCTTATCCCCAACCTCTCCATTTCTGATAACCACCATTCTACTCTCTTTTTCTTTGTTTGATTGTTTGGTATTCCATATATAAGAACATGCAGTATTTTCTTTCTATGCCTGTCTTCTTTTGCTTAGCATAATATTCTCCAATTTCATCCATGTTGCAGCAAATTTCAAAAGTTTTTCTAAAGGCTGAATAGTATTCCATTGTGTATATGCCACATTACCTTTATCTATTCATCTGTTGATGGGCACCTAGGTTGATTCCATAACTTCGCTAATGTGAGTAGTGTAGCAATTAACATGGGAGATTTAATAAACATACTGATTTAATAAACATTTTGATTGCTGAAATCAGC
This sequence comes from Homo sapiens, assembly GCF_000001405.40. Classification (NCBI taxonomy): domain Eukaryota; kingdom Metazoa; phylum Chordata; class Mammalia; order Primates; family Hominidae; genus Homo; species Homo sapiens. The sequence goes on along the minus strand of NC_000001.11, from coordinate 102,450,188 downwards.
AATAAACATACTGATTTCAATCATTTTGGGTGAGTACCCAGAAGTGGAATTACTGGATCATATGGTAGTTCTATTTTTAGTTTTTTGAGGAACTTCCATACAGTTTTCCTTACTGACTATTCTAATTACATTCCCACCAACAGTGTACATGGGTCCCTTTAAAGCCTTTTTCCATTGGTAATATCTTTTATTAATTCACCTCATTTATTTATTTTTTTCAACTATAGTACTTCTATTTTGACATTCTATTGAATTTTTAATAGGTATTAGATACCTCTACATTTTGCCGCCTCTCTTCTGTTGATGTCCCACAGACGAAAGATCTACATTCATTATACATCCCATATCTCAAAGACTAAAGACGCAACTAATCTTAGTGAATGCTTTTGAGTGTTCCTCTCCAATTTTGGATCCCCCAAAACAAACAAAAAGACCTCTGTGACAATTTTATAGATGAATGTCAAATTCCTTCAATTAATCCAACTCCTAGTAGAGTAAATTTCCTAGATTACCCTTTTTATTGCCTCTTCTACTAATGATGGAAGACCATTGTGAGACTGTGACTGTGGTAATCAGCAGAGAAGGACTCAATGCTGTATTTTTCCACTGTCTTAACACTGTGGTTTATTCCAGTAGTACTAAATTGGAAGAAATAATTTAATATTGAAGAAATTCTTCAGGCTACTTTAATTACACTCTAACTTTATTACTAAATTAAGTGTAATTTAACCTCCAGCTATGAAATTATAACTATCCTATGATTAATTATTTTATCCAATGAGATCTAGGTTTTTTGTTAGTGATCATATGCAAAGTTAACGAATAAATTATGCTTAGTTATATTCTAGAATAGTGAACTAATTAACCAATTCATTATTATCAGTTAATGATTATTATAGAGGAAACATAACTGCTTGTGAAAATATCGAATAACAATTAAAAAAAACTATGGTACCAAAATGAAAGCTTGTTTGGAGTGCTCTCGATGGAACAGAAATAGTATACTCATGCCTGATATAAGAAAAATATTACCATCTCTTGAACCTTTCTTCCTTTGTCCTTCCCTAAATGTTACAGATCAGGAGGAAGAGTCTTTTTAATCCATAAGAAAGTTTCCCTCAGGTGGTAAAAATAAAAAATATCAGAAAACAGAATTAGTGAAAAATGTGTGACCTCGGAAAAAGGAAGAAATTTACTCTTTGTAGGTATGCAGGGGGAAAAAGTAAATTAACAAATTTGTAAATATCTTCAATAAAAATCTTATCCTCACATCTCTTAAGCCTTATGCTCTTGGAAGACAGCGATAAATAAAATGCATCATTAGGTATTAATAAAAATTTGGTATACAATTATTTTATTTCACTATTTTTTAACTCTGAGAAGTAATATTATTTGATAAAAATAGACTATTTCAGCAAGACCTTCATTAGCCCAACATTCCTTGAAATAATAAAAGATGTATTTTAAGTAGAAAAGTATTCCCATAACAGCACTGAAAAAGGAGTGTGTCTTCAGTAGTATAAATGTGTTGTAGCAATATTATAACACAGCTTTAAAAACCCAAGATTAAAGAAAAATGCAAATATGAGTATAGACAAAATAAAAATGTTTTCTATTTAATTATCCAATTCATTTTTTAGTTTTTGAATGTTTTGTCATTTATTGAAATAGTATAGTATAACACAGAAAAATACCCAAATCATAATTATACAGCTCAATGTGTTTTTACAAAATGAACTCATTCACCCATATAATCAGAGCCTAGTTAAGCAAGTGTACTATTATCAGCATCCCAGCATACTCATTTGTATCTCCGTCCAGTTACTACCACCATCAATATTAATGATTGCCCTCCTGAAGATGGAATTGTGATATTGTAGTTTGAAATTGCTTTCATTTTATAATGACTAAAATGATAAATATTTTTCTCAGATGCTTTTTGGTCATTCTAATATTCTCTTTTTTATTATTATTATACTATAAGTTTTAGGGTACATGTGCACAACGTGCAGGTTTGTTACATATGTATACCTGTGCCATATTGGTGTGCTGCACCCATTAACTCTTCATTTAGCATTAGGTATATCTTCTAATGCTATTCCTCCCCCCTTCCCCACCCGACAACAGTCCCCCCGTGGGTGATGTTCCCCTTCCTGTGTCTATGTGTTCTCTTTGTGCAATTCCCACCTGTGAGTGAGAACATGCGGTCTTTGGTTGTTTGTCCTTGCGATAGTTTGCTGAGAATGATGGTTTCCAGCTTCATCCATGTCCCTATAAAGGATATGAACTCATCATTTTTTATGGCTGCATAGTATTCCATGGTGTATGTGTCCCACATTTTCTTAATCCAGTCTATCATTGTTGGACATTTGGGTTGGTTCCAAGTCTTTGCTATTGGAAATAGTGCCGCAATAAACATATGTGTGCATGTATCTTTATAGCAGCATGATTTATAATCCTTTGGGTATATACCCAGTAATGGGATTGCTGGGTCAAATGGTATTTCCAGTTCTAGATCCCGGAGGAATCACCACACCGACTTCCACAATGGTTGAACTAGTTTACAGTCCCACCAACAGTGTAAAAGTGTTCCTACTTCTCCACATCCTCTCCAGCACCTGTTGTTTCCTGACTTTTTAATGATCGCCATTCTAATTGGTGTGAGATGGTATCTCATTGTGGTTTTGATTTGCATTTCTCTGATGGCCAGTGATGATGAGCAGTTTTTCATGTGTCTTTTGGCTGCATAAATGTCTTCTTTTGAGAAGTGTCTGTTCATATCCTTCACCCACTTTTTGATGGGGTGGTTTGTTTTTTTCTTGTAAATTTGTTTGAGTTCATTGTAGATTCTGGATATTAGCCCTTTGTCAGATAAGTAGGTTGCAAAAATTTTCTCCCATTCTGTAGGTTGCTTGTTCACTCTGATGGTAGTTTCTTTTGCTGTGCAGAAGCTGTTTAGTTTAATTAGATCCCATTTGTCAATTTTGTCTTTTGTTGCCATTGCTTTTGGTGTTTTAGACATGAAGTCCTTGCCCATGCCTATGTCCTGAATGGTATTGCCTAGGTTTTCTTCTAGGGTTTTTATGGTTTTAGGTCTAACATTTAAGTCTTTAATGCACCTTGAATTAATTTTTGTATAAGGTGTAAGGAAGGGATCCAGTTTCAGCTTTCTACATATGGCTAGCCAGTTTTCCCAGCACCATTTATTAAATAGGGAATGCTTTCCCCATTGCTTGTTTCTGTCAGGTTTGTCAAAGATCAGATGATTATAGATAAGCGGCATTACTTCTGAGGGCTCTGTTCTGTTCCATTGGTCTATATCTCTGTTTTGGTACCAGTACCATGCTGTTTTGGTTACTGTAGCCTTGTAGTATAGTTTGAAGTCAGGTAGCGTGATGCCTCCAGCTTTGTTCTTTTGGCTTAGGATTGACTTGGCAATGCAGCCTCTTTTTTGGTTCCATATGAACTTTAAAGTAGTTTTTTCCAATTATGTGAAGAAAGTCATTGGTAGCTTGATGAGAATGGCATTGAATCTATAAATTACCTTGTGCAGTATGGCCATTTTCATGATATTGATTCTTACTACCCTTGAGCATGGAATGTTCTTCCATTTGTTTGTATCCTCTTTTATTTCCTTGAGCAGTGGTTTGTAGTTCTCCTTGAAGAGGTCCTTCCCATCCCTTGTAAGTTGGATTCCTAGGTATTTTATTCTCTTTGAAGCAATTGTGAATGGGAGTTCAATCATGATCTGGCTCTCTGTTTGTCTGTTATTGTTGTATAAGAATGCTTGTGATTTTTGCACATTGATTTTGTATCCTGAGACTTTGCTGAAGTTGCTTATCAGCTTAAGGAGATTTTGGGCTGAGACGATGGGGTTTTCTAGATATACAATCATTTGATCTGCAAACAGGGACAATTTCACTTCCTCTTTTCCTAACTGAATGCCCTTTATTTCCTTCTCCTGCCTAAATGCCCTGGCCAGAACTTCCAACACTATGTTGAATAGGAGTGGTGAGAGAGGGCATCCCTGTCTTGTGCCAGTTTTCAAAGGGAATGCTTCCAGTTTTTGTCCATTCACTATGATATTGGCTGTGTGTTTGTCATAGATAGCTCTTATTATTTTGAGATACGTCCCATCGATACCTAATTTATTGAGAGTTTTTAGCATGAAGGGTTGTTGAATTTTGTCAAAGGCCTTTTCTGCATCTATTGAGATAATCATGTGGTTTTTGTCTTTGGTTCTGTTTATATGCTGGATTACGTTTATTGATTTTCATATGTTGAACCAGCGTTGCATCCCAGGGATGAAGCCCACTTGATCATGGTGGATAAGCTTTTTGATGTGTTGCTGGATTCAGTTTGCCATTATTTTATTGAGGATTTTTGCATCAATGTTCATCAAGGATATTGGTCTAAAATTCTCTTTTTTTGTTGTGTCTCTGCCAGGCTTTGGTATCAGGATGATGCTGGCCTCATAAAATGAGTTAGGGAGGATTCCCTCTTTTTCTATTGATTGGAATAGTTTCAGAAGGAATGGTACCAGCTCCTCCCTGTACCTCTGGTAGAATTCGGCTGTGATTCCTTCTGGTCCTGGACTTTTTTTGGTTGGTAAGCTATTAATTATTGCCTCAATTTCAGAGCCTGTTATTGGTCTATTCAGAGATTCAACTTCTTCCTGGTTTAGTCTTGGGAGATTGTATGTGTCGAGGAATTTATCCATTTCTTCTAGATTTTCTGGTTTATTTGTGTAGAGATGTTTATAGTACTCTCTGATGGTAGTTTGTATTTCTGTGGGATCGGTGGTGATATCCCCTTTGTCATTTTTTATTGCGTCTATTTGATTCTTCTCTCTTTTCTTCTTTATTAGTCTTGCTAGTGGTCTATCAATTTTGTTGATCTTTTCAAAAAACCATCTCCTGGATTCATTGATTTTTTGAAGAGTTTTTTGTGTCTCTATTTCCTTCAGTTCTGCTCTGATTTTAGTTATTTCTTGCCTTCTGCTAGCTTTTGAATGTGTTTGCTCTTGCTTCTATAGTTCTTTTAATTGTGATGTTAGGGTGTCAATTTTAGATCTTTCCTGCTTTCTCTTGTGGGCACTTAGTGCTATAAATTTCCTTCTACAAACTGCTTTGAATGTGTCCCAGAGATTCTGATATGTTGTGTCTTTGTTCTCATTGGTTTCAAAGAACATCTTTATTTCTGCCTTCATTTCGTTATGTACCCAGTAGTCATTCAGGAGCAGGTTGTTCAGTTTCCATGTAGTTGAGCGGTTTTGAGTGAGTTTCTTAATCCTGAGTTCTAGTTTGATTGCACTGTGGTCTGAGAGACAGTTTGTTATAATTTCTGTTCTTTTCCATTTGCTGACGAGTGCTTTACTTCCGTCTATGTGGTCAATTTTGGAATAGGTGTGATGTGGTGCTGAATGTATATTCTGTTGATTTGTGGTGGAGAGTTCTGTAGATGTCTATTAGGTCTGCTTGGTGCAGAGCTGAGTTCAGTTCCTGGATACCCTTGTTAACTTTCTGTCTCGTTGATCTGTCAAATGTTGACAGTGGGGTGTTAAAGTCTCCCATTATTATTGTGTGGGAGTCTAAGTCTCTTTGTAGGTCACTAAGGACTTGCTTTATGAATGTGGGTGCTCCTGTATTCGGTGCATATATATATTTAGGACAGTTAGCTCTTCTTGTTGAATTGATCCCTTTACCATTATGGAATGGCCTTCTTTGTCTCTTTTGATCTTTGTTCGTTTAAAGTCTGTTTCATCAGAGACTAGGATTGCAACCCCTGCCTTTTTCTGTTTTCCATTTTCTTGGTAGATCTTCCTCCGTCCCTTTATTTTGAGCCTATGTGTGTGTCTGCACGTGAGATGGGTTTCCTGAATACAGCACACTGATGGGTCTTGACTCTTTATCCAATTTGCCAGTCTGTGCCTTTTAATTGGAGCATTTAGCCCATTTACATTTAAGGTTAGTATTATTATGTGTGAATTTGATCCTGTCATTCTGATGTTAGCTTGTTATTTTGCTTGTTAGTTGATGCAGTTTCTTCCTAGTCTCGATGGTCTTTACAATTTGGCATGTTTTTGCAGTGGCTGGTACCAGTTGTTCCTTTCCATGTTTAGTGCTTCCTTCAGGAGCTCTTTTAGGGCAGGCCTGGTGGTGACAAAATCTCTCAGCATTTGCTTGTCTGTAAAGTATTTTATTTCTCCTTCACTTATGAAGCTTAGTTTGGCTGGATATGAAATTCTGGGTTGATAATTCTTTTCTTTAAGAATGTTGAATATTGGCCCCCACTCTCTTCTGGCTTGTTGAGTTTCTGCCAAGAGATCAGCTGTTAGTCTGATGGGCTTCCCTTTATGGGTAACCCGACCTTTCTCTCTGGCGGCCCTTAACATTTTTTCCTTCATTTCAACTTTGGTGAATCTGACAATTATGTGTCTTGGAGTTGCTCTTCTCGAGGAGTATCTTGGTGGCATTCTCTGTATTTCCTGAATTTGAATGTTTGCTTGCCTTGCTAGATTGGGGAAGTTCTTCTGGATAATATCCTGCAGAGTGTTTTCCAACTTGGTTCCATTCTCCCTGTCACTTTCAGGTACACCAATCAGACGTAGATTTGGTCTTTTCACATAGTCCCATATTTCTTGGAGGCTTTGTTCATTTCTTTTTATTCTCTTCTCTCTAAACTTCTCTTCATGCTTCATTTCATTCATTTCGTCTTCCATTGCTGATACCCTTTCTTTCAGTTGATCGCATCGGTTACTGAGGCTTGTGTATTCATCCTGTAGTTCTCGTACCATGGTTTTCAGCTCCATCAGGTCCTTTAAGGACTTCTCTGCGTTGGTTATTCTAGTTATCCATTTGTCCAATTTTTTTTCAAAGTTTTTAACTTCTTTGCCATTGGTTTGAACTTCCTCCTTTAGCTCAGGGTAGTTTGATCTTCTGAAGCCTTCCTCTCTCAACTCGTCAAAGTCATTCTCCATCCAGCTTTGTTCCATTGCTCGTGAGGAGCTGCATTGCTTTGGAGGAGGAGAGGTGCTCTGATATTTGGAGTTTCCAGTTTTTCTGCTCTGTTTTTTCCCCATCTTTGTGGTTTTATCTACCTTTGGTCTTTGATGATGGTGACGTACAGATGGGTTTTTGGTGTGGATGTCCTTTCTGTTTGTCAGTTTTCCTTCTAACATTCAGGACCCTTAGCTTCAGGTCTGTTGGAGTTTGCTGGAGGTCCCCTCCAGACCCTGTTTGCCTGGGTATCAGCAGCGGTGGCTGGAGAACAGCGGATATTGGTGAGCCGCAAATGCTGCTGCCTGATCGTTCCTCTGGAAGTTTTGTCGCAGAGGAGTACCTGGCCGTGTGAGGTGTCATTCCGCCCCTACTGTGGGTGCCCCCCCCCCTTAGGCTACTCGGGAGTCAGGGTCCCACTTGAGGAGGCAGTCTGCCCATTCTCAGATTTCAATCTGCGTGCTGGGAAAACCACTACTCTCTTCAAAGCTGTCAGACAGGGACATTTAAGTCTGCAGGGGTTATTGTTGTCTTTTGTCTGTGCCCTGCCCCCAGAGGTGGAGCCTACAGAGGCAGGCAGGCCTCCTTGAGCTGTGGTGGGCTCCACCCAGTTCGAGCTTCCTGGCCACTTTGTTTACCTACTCAAGCCTGAGCAATGGCGGGCGCCCCTCCCGCAGCCTCGCTGCCGCCTTGCAGTTTGATCTCAGACTGCTGTGCTAGCAGTGAGGGAGGCTCCGTGGGCTGAGGACCCTCTGAGCCAGGTGCGGGATATAATCTCCTGGTTTGCAGTTTGTTAAGCCCGTTGGAAAAGCACAGTATTAGGGTGGGAGTGACCTGATTTTCCAGGTGCCATCTGTCACCCCTTTCTTTGACTAGGAAAGGGAATTCCCTGACCCCTTGCGCTTCCTGGGTGAGGTGATGCCTTGCCCTGCTTCGGCTCACGCATGGTGCGCTGCACCCACTGTCCTGCACCCACTGTCCGGCACTCCCCAGTGAGATGAACCCGGTACCTCAGTTGGAAATGCAGAAATCACCCATCTTCTGCATCACTCATGCTGGGAGCTGTAGGCTCTAGCTGTTCCTATTCGGCCATCTTGTCTCCACCCCTCTAATATTCTCTTTTTGCATATATCTTCATAAAAGATATTACTCTGTAGTTTGTTGTTGTTTCTTATAAAGTCTTTGTCTAACTTTGGAATCAGAGAATATTGGTCTAATAAAATAAATTTAGTAAGTTACCCTCCTGTTCAATTTTTTTGGACAACTTTGAGATGGATTTCTGTTTTAAATGTCTGATATGATTCAACTATGAAGTAATCTGATTCTGACCTTTCGTGAATTGGAAACTTTTTTTTTTTTTTTTGAGATTGAGTCTTGCTCTGTCGCCCACACTGGAGTGCAGTGGCACAAGCTTGGCTCACTGCAGCCTCTGCCTCCCAGGTTCAAGTGATTCTCCTGCCTCAGCCTCCTGAGTAGCTGGGATTAGAGGTGCCTGCCACCATGCCTGGCTAATTTCTGTATTTTTAGTAGAGACAGGGTTTCACCATGTTGGTCAGGCTGGTCTCAAACTCCTGACCTCATGATCTGTCTGCCCACCTCAGCCTCCCAAAGTGCTGGGATTATAGGCGTGTGTCTAATTACTGATTTTTAATTATTAATTCAATCTCTTTGTTGTAGGTCGGTTAATATTTTTTATTTCTTCTTAAGTTTCAATACTATGTGTGTTTTAGGAACTTGTCCATTTGATCTATTTTATCTAATATGTTGGCACAGAATTGGTCTTAGTAGTCTTTTTCAATTCTTTTCATTTCTGTAAAGTCATTAGTAACATCTCTACCTTCATGTGTAATTTTAGTTATTTACATCTTTATTTTTTATTTCTCAGTATAGCTAAAAGTTTATCAATTTAGTGGATCTTCTCAAAATCTAACATTTGCTTTTATTGATTTTCTGAATCATTTTTCTCTACTTTATTTTCTCTATCTTCTCTAATATCTTACTTCTTTCATCTGGTAAACTAGAATTTAACTTGCTCTTTTTTTCTAGTTTCCTTAGGATAAGGTTAAATTACTGATTTGAAATTTCTTTTTTTTTAAATGTAGGTATTTACAGTAATAGATTTTCTTCTGAGCACTAGTCTCTTTACAACTCATAAGTTTTGTCATGTTTTCATTTCCATTAATCTCTGAGTATATTCTAATTTCCCTTGTGATTAATCTTTGAATTCAAGAGTGTGTATTAGATTGTTCTCACACTGCTATGAAGACGTATCAAAGACTGGACAATTTATAAGGAAAAAAGGTTAAATTGACTCATAGTTCTTCATGGCAGGGGAGGCCTCAGCAAACTTACATTCAGGGCAGAAAGCGAAGGAAAAACAAGTACCTTCTTCATAGGATGGCAGGAAAGAGAGAATAGAGGGCAAAGGGGGAAGAGTCCCTTATAAAACCGTCAGATCTCATGATAACTCACTATCATGAGAACAGCATGGGGGAAACTGCTCCCTTGATCCAATTGAAATAGCTATGATGTCTGGAGTATATACCTGGGGTACACTGTCACACGCCAGAAAAATTTAGGACACAGACACACATGAGTTTAGGAGCGGAGGTTTAATAGGTAGAAAAGAAAAGAAAGAGAAATAGCTTCCTCTGTGGAAGAAGGGGTCTCCAAGCAAAAAAGACTAGCAGGAGGTGAATGTGCCGAATGTTGTAGTTTGGTTTGAGGATGTGGTGCTTGATTTACATAGGGCTCAAAGCTTGGTTCAATCAGGTATGATATTTAGATAGTACACGGAAAAGGCTGCTTGACCCACCCTAATCTTATTATGAAAATGGGTTTTCCAGTTGATCAGCGCCATGTTGTCTGCTCCTTACAGTACAGGTGGCTAGCAGAGAAGGGAACATGCCTAGCCCTTAGTTCCTGCCAACATTCACCCATGCAAGCTCCCAGCTTGCTTGTCTATGCCTGCAGCTCAACTTTACAAGCTGCTTTTTGTTAGAAAATGATTTGGGGCTGCTTTTAATTAAAAAGAAAAACCTTACTGAGGACTCCTATAACCTTGCTGTCTGCCTAAGTGATTTCTTATTAACTCCTATATCACCCCTCATTCTGGAGTGCTAACCCTAACTCCTCTTAGGGGGTGTTGGGTGATTACTCTTTCTGGCTACTTCCTACTGAAAAGGGGCATCAGGTGAGGAACAGCAGCTAGGGCTCCTCCTGTGGTGGATCTAAGGGTCCTCAAAAGAAAGTCCTGTCCATGTGTGGTTTGGTGTGCAGCACCATTTGGAGTGTGATTGCTTCTAGGTGAGAGGAAATAATTCAAGTTATAGTATTGAGTAGATAAAGTCCAATTATTAATATAAAACATATGAGCAAGAGAGGACTTAATACTGGAGCTAACCAGTTCCACAAATAAGACTGAAATTCATTTAAAAAGGATTGTAGCCATCCAGGTGTGGAGCCTGCATTTTCTCTTAATCTGTCAATGATTTTCACTTGATCTTTAAGCACCTGTATGTTTTCTTCTACTTGACTAGAAGTGTTGATCCAGAAGCAGCATATTTCATTTAAGACTGCACAGGTACCCTCTACCTCAGCTGTAAGGACACCTTGGGCCCACCTATTCTGTGCTACTACTGAGGCTAAGGAATCCATGGATCGTTGTTGTGCTTCTAAGGTTCCAACTGCTGCCTTGCATCCTCATTGCATCCAAATGGAAATATTAAGTACTGACCTTTCAAGGAGAGGAATACCAGCAAACCAGAAGAGGTCTCTGTTTATAGAAGTCCCCAGCCATGGTTTTCTAAGATGGGATTGTCAAGTTCTTGCCCTCCCAAATCTTCTCTTTCAGTTAAATCTCCATATGAGGGCATGGAAATGATGGATCTTTTTGTTTGGCCTCTCCGAGATAATGCAATTTCTAAAAAGGAACCTAGGTTAGGGATGTCCCCAAATGATGTGGTCATGTCAGTGGAATTTAAAAATAATAGGTTGGGGATCACTGCTACTATAGTGCAGGTTCCTTTCCAGTACCTAGGGAGAATTAAGTGTAGCCAGGAGCCACAAAGGAAATATAGTCCTGTCCCTTGAAAGGGTGGTTCTAAGTTGTGACCTTTGAAGGGCACACACAGATCTTTCTCATATCTTAGGAGCCTTACCCCCTTACATATAATAGGAGCATCTTTAGGATAGGGATATCCATATAGTCATTCACAACGCCATTTTGAATCTTACATGCTAAATGAGAAGGGTCCACCTGAAAAATGGAGTTTAAAAATATTAGGGACATAATATGCCCTGGCCAATATCTCAGATGATCCTCGTGGCAAGGGCTGTTTGTCCAGACAACTCCACTTTGCCCACAGATTTGTAGGCTGCTACTATTAGCAAACATCATACAAGGGTCTGGAATTCCATGTGAGGGCATGTTTGGAAAGGCCTATATGTTATTCTTTACATTATAGTAAAGGCGGTTACTTAGAGCATGCTATTCCCATCAGGATTTTCAAGCAGAAGGAGAGGCTATATTCTGAGAACCCCCCAAAAGGGCTTCTGATTTATTAGATCATGCTTATTACACTTTCTTGGGAACCTGTGACTTTCCAAATACTTGAACTATCAGAAATTGCAAGTGTGATGTTACAATATTTGAGATCTCCCCAATAATGTCCTTCCCCACTGCTTTTAAAGCAGTGGGAGGCATTTGCTATTACCTGGTCAGCTTTTCCCAGCCAGAGGTTGTGAAGCTTATCTGTGGGGAAAGTGTTATTTGGTTCTGGAGGCAGAATGTTTTCCTGAGAGGAGTTAGTTACCCAGTTGAAAGTGTTCCCATACTATATCCAATTTATGCCTGATAAGTCTTTAAGGGTCAAAGGTTAGGCTAACAAAGAGAATCCTAAGACAGTAAGTTCTGGGTTATTGAGAAGTTTCTTATTTTTACTGAACTGAGCAAACTGCTCAGAACAGACCCAGAAATTAGTCTTGTTGTACAAGTGGGCCATGGTTGATACTGGAGGAGCTAAAGAATGTGCTGTATCATTAAACCCAATAACAAGTCCTAGCAGACTCAGTGATAATAAAATTTTCATGTTCCCTTCTTGTAACTATTATCCCTACAATTTTGTGTCAAAAAGAAGCTCCAGTATTTGACAGTAAATCTTGAGAAAAAAATAGAAATAACTAAATGGTAGAGGTGGAACTGAGTAGAATAAATAGCTCTTGCTCATTTGCTTATCTTTCATGATTTTCAGCTTAAGGTCTCCTATTTCTTCACATTGGTATCCAGGATGTTCCTCTGGGCTGTCAGGGGTTGCTCACTCAGCTTTCCAGGCTTTGACTTGAGTTGATACATCCAGGAATTGATACCTGGAACTTTTACTGCTAAGGGGGTTGAAAGGAGAATGATTTAATTCCCTTCCCAGCTTGGGCTTAGGGAAGGAGAGAGAGAAGGGAGAGCTTTTACAAATACCAAATATCCTGGGTTAAATAAAGGTGGTCCTACTTCTTGGGGTTGGGTTTCTGCTAGTTGAGTTAATTCCTGTTGAAAGCAAGCCAGAGGGGTTACATGCTTAACCAATTCAGAGGTCTCTTTGTCTATTAAGAAATCATTGATGAGAAAAGGCTGTCTGTACGCGTCTCAAAAGGGCTTAGACCTAACTTGGAAGGGGTGTTTCTTACCGGCAGTAAAGCCGTGGAAAGAAAAGTAACCCAAGGAGAGTGAGTTTCTTAGGACAGTTTCCTGAGATGTCTTTTGATGATATCATTTGTCTTCTCTATCTTTCCTGAAGACTAGGGTCTCCAGGTGCAATGGAGATGATACTGTATGCCTAGTGCCTTTGAGAACCCCTGTGTGATGGCTGCCTTAAATTAGGGGCTATTGTCACTTTGGAGGTACTTAGGTAGACCAAAAGGGGGAATAATTTCATTAACTAACACCTTTACTACCTCAGAGGACTTCTCTGTAAGGCATGGAAATGCTACTACCCAGTTAGTGAAAGTATCTACCCATACCAGGAGGTACTGAATGGCCTTCGTCTTTGGAATGTGGATGAAGCCAATCTGCCAGTCCTCCCTTGGAGAGCTTCCCATCCTTTGGGTTTGAGGAGGAAAAAGCTGCCTGTTCAGGGAATTATTTTTAAGACAGACTTCACAAGCATTAACAACCCATTTTGTTGTTAGTAAGGTCTCTCCTGAAAACAATCTCTGAGAACATTGAAAGTTTTATCCTTTCCCAAGTGAAAAGCTCGGTGAAGGATTTTAAGGACTTTCTATTGGCTGCAGCCTGGCAAGTGGAGCTTGCCATCCTCTGATTGCAGCCCTCCTGAGGGCTGGAAGGTGTCCCCTCGAGAAGTGGCCCACTCCATTTCTGCATGGGAATACTGAGGCTTGATTTCTCTTATAGAGCCTTCCCAAGTTAGAGAGGCTTCAAGCATTTTGATGCCATGAAGCTTTCTTGCTGCTGACTTGGCTGCCTGATCAGCTAGCTTGTTTCCTTCAGTTATTTCATCCACTCCCTTCTGATATCCCTTACAATGCATCACTGCTACCTCTCATGGAAGGAAAACTGAGGATAAAAACCTGTTAATTTCCTGATGGTATTTTATAGGAGATCGATTGGCAGTAAGAAAGTGTCTTTCTTTCCAAATGGCAGCATGAGCATGGAGAACTAGGAAAGCATACTTGGAGTCAGTGTAAATGTTAGCTACCTTTCCCTTGCTTCACTCAAGAGCTCTTGTAAGGGTTGTCAGTTCAGCTATTTAAAAGCGTGTGCCTGGAGAGAGAGACACACTTTCAGTAACATCATTCAGAGTGACCACTGCATATCCTGCTTCACAGACTCCTTGCTCTACAAAGGAGCTTCCATCTGTGAAGAGGGTCCAGTCTCAATTCTCTAGGGGTTTTCCGGAGATCTTCCCTGGCTGCATAGGTCTGTACCACAGCTTGTTCATGTTCTAGTTCCCCCATTCCCTCAGGGAGGAAAGTGGCTGGGCTTAAGCAAGAGTAAGTCTTTAACTGGATGGTGAAAACTTCTAACAGCAGAACTTGATATTTAAGGAGCCGACTGTCTGTTAACCAAAGGCTTCTCTTAGAGGACAGTAATCCCACCACATTATGCGGAGTATAAACAGTTAAGTCATTTTCCTGGGTTAATTGAAGGCTTTTGGGACTAGTAGGGCCACGGTGGCAATGCTGGCCATCCTTTAGTCCCAAATCTTGTTTCTTACTCAGGTTACTCATAGGCTGTTGAGCTGGTCTTCAGGCCTGTGTTAAGACTCCCAAGGCCATTCCCTTCCTTTCTGATGCATACAGATTGAAGGCCCTTCCTACAGGGAGGCTGAGAGCCAGTGCCTTTACTAGGGCCTGCTTTAGCTGGTTCCAGGCCTTTTGAGCTTCAGGTTTCCAGGTTAAGAGATGAGATTTAGCTGCTTGAGTTTGTCTTATGAGGTGATACAGAGGATGAGCTATCTCACCATACCCAGGTATCTATAGCCTGATAAAGAGAAGTGAGAAAAAGGGGCCCCTTTAGTCTCCTTCCTTGTGGTGTGAGCCAGGGTGGAGAGGAAGGCAGTGGAAATGTTCTTCTTGCTCTTTTCCCTCTGTGGTTCCTGGGTCCTGGCACCTTGTTGAATGTTCCACCCCTGGTTGTAGGCGTGACCTCCAGCCATAGAACCAGAGAAACTAAGCAATTGGGGTTATTCACGCCCACCCAAGTGGCTCTAGTCCACTGCTTATGATTTCCTTTTGACTTCCTAGACTTGTGTGACCTGCCTGTCTCTCTGAAAAATGGATCTCAGGAAAAACTATGTAATAGTTTTTAGGGGCAAGGCCCCTTTAATGGAGACAGCATGCTAGGTTGAACTCTGTATCCTGCTATTATGACCAGTGCTGAAGCGTTTACCCTTAGAGAATGGTTTTGGTTAACTCCCGAACTTCAAATCCCCTTACTAATGAAGTACCACTCTAATTGGAGGTCGAATAGGTGCCTCAAAAGAACGTACGGGGCCAGGCGCAGTGGCTCAAACCTGTAATCGCAGCACTTTGGGAGGCCGAGGCGGGCGGATCACAAGGTCAGGAGATCGAGACCATCCTGGCTAACACGGTGAAACCCCGTCTCTACTAAAAATACAAAAAAAAATTAGCCGGGAATGGTGGCGGGCGCCTGCAGTCCCAGCTACTCAGGAGGCTGAGGCAGGAGAATGGCGTGAACCCGGGAGGTGGAGCTTGCAGTGAGCCAAGATCGCGCCACTGCACTCCAGCCTGGGCGACAGAGGGAGACTCCGTCTCAGAAAAAAAAAAGAAGAACATAGGGACCAAATGGCCGTTTTCTTGATAATTTGGCCTTGGAGGATATTTTAGCCCTAATTGCTGAAGGCAGAATTTTCCTATTTACAGAAGCAGCATGTAGCCTAGCTTTTAATAGCCACAAAAAGGGGAGAGAATCGGGAGGCTACCATGTTTCAGTGAAGGACCGACAATGTGCCTCATGGAGAGGATCCCTATTCCACTAGGTGGTGCTGTTGACCTTGAAATACCATGTGCTCTCTAGACCAAGGGCAGAGTGACCTTGACATGCCATATGCTCTCCGGGCCAAGGTCAGAAAGAGACCTGGAAATGCCATATGCTCTCCAAGCCAATGGCAGAGAGAGACCTGGATGTATCATGTGTTCTCCAGACCAAGGGCTGAGAGAGAGAAATGCTCTCTTTGGTTGGTTTGGGAGCGGGGGTGGACTCTGTTCCTAGAAAATCACAGACACCTTCTCTTGAGCTATATCCCTGGTTAGTACAACATTTCTTAATCTTGCCAAACAAGATTATGTCCCCGAACTGTAAAACTTCCCACACATTGAATACATAGAAAGGATGAGAAATACGATGGCCCTGGACAGGTAAGGAAGAAATTACAAAAGGAAAGTTGGAGAGCCCATTGCCAACACCGCACTGGGGCCATTGGAGGCTGGGGTAAGTACAGAAGCCTTTGGATAATACCGAGGGGTAGCCCTGATTGGAAATCCTCAGTTGTCCCAGGACTTCTTCCAGTACCACATGATGTCTAAGTCCTCCATGAAAGAAAACTGGTTTAAACATGGCTCACTGAGAACTCCCATACCCTTGCTATCTGCCTAAGTGATTACTTTTTAACTCCTATATCACAGTTACCTCCCACAAGGTCCCTTCCTCAACACGTGGGGATTACGGTTTGAGATGAGATTTGAGTGGGAACAGAGAGCCAAACCATATCATAGTGTGTTGCTTAATTTTCAAATATTTGGAAATTTTTTATTATTCCTTCTGTTATTGATTTCCAGCTTCATTTCATTGTGGTTATCAAATTGTATGCATTAAAACATTTTTAATTTATTGAGACATTTCATGGACTAACATATAGTTTATCTTGAAGAATATTACATGTGTTTTTGAGAAAAATGTTTATTGTGCTATTGTAGGGCAGACTGATGAGTGTGTGTGTATTTGTTTGTGTACTTTAGGTATTGATGGTTTATGCTATTGTTCCAGTCCTCAAGTCCTCTATTTTTAATTCATTTTCTGTTTAGAAGTTCTATTCATTATTGAAAGTGGGGAATTGAAGTCTTAACTAGTACTGGACAGTAGTATGTTTCCTTCTTCAATTCTATAAATGTTTGCTTCAAATTTTGAGTCTGTCTCTAACATATATGTGCTTACATTTGTCACATCTTCTTCATGATTTTACTTTTTATTATTACATAATGTCCTTCTTTGTGTTTTGTAACAGTCTTTTTGTGTGTGTTTTGTTTTGTTTTGTTTTCGCCTATCTTGTCTGGTATTATTAATTTAGAAATCTGAAATAAAAAATGTTCCAAAATCTGAAATGTTTTGAGGTTCAACATAATGTTAAAAGAAAATGTTCACCGGAGCATTTGGGATTTCCATATTTTCAGATTAGCTATACTAAACTAGGAAGTATAATGCAAATACACCAAAATCTGAAAAAATCAGGTATCTGATTTTTTTTCTAGTCCTGAGCATTCTGGATAAGAGATACTCAACCTATATAGCCATCTCCAGTTCTTTTTTGGATACTGTTTAAGGGTTTGTGTTTTTTTTCTTCCCCCCATCCTCTTACATTCAGCCTATTTGTGTCTTTGGCTCTAAAATGAGTCACTTTACACAGCATATAAGTGAAGCATGTGTTGTATTTTAATCCATTCTACCAAACTCTGCCTTTTGATTGTAGAATTTAATCCATTTACATTGAAAAAAAATGATGGAGAAGGAGTGACCTCTAAAATTTTGCTATTTGTTTTCCGTACTTCTTATGTCTTTTTTGTTTCTCTTTACCTTCTTTTGTTTTTAATTTTTTGTAGTGTACCATTTTGATTTCTTCTCATTACTTTGTGTGTATATTTTTAAAATGTTTTCATGGAAGTTACTATGAGAAATAATATTAATATCCTAAATTTATAATAATCTAGCTTAAAATAATATTATATTAGCCTTAACAGCACACAGAAACTCTGCTCATATTTATCTCTGTCTTTATTTTGTTTTTGTCACAATTTATTGTGTGTGCTCATTAACATAGCTTTATAATTACTGTTTAATGCATTTGTGAAATCACTTAGGAAATAATAGAGGAATTAAAAATAAAAAATACAGCAATACTCCTTTTTATATTTACCTATGTTGTCATATTTAACAGAGTATTTTATTTTCTTCTTGTGATATTTAAGTTTCTGTTGATTGTTATTTCTAATCAACCTTAAGTTCTCCCTTTAACATTTTTTGTAGGGCAAATTGACTAGTAACAAATTTCTTCAGCTTTTGATTATCTAAAACTGTCTTATATCTTAATTTCTTCCTTATTTTTGAAGATAGTTTTGCCAGATGTAGAATTGTTGATTAATGGGTCCTCCTTCCCTTCCCTTCCCTTCCCCTCCCCTCTCCTCGCCTCCCCTCCCCTTCCCTTCCCTTCCTTCCTTTAATCTTTCCTTCTTTCCTTCATCTTTCCTTCCTTGCTTTAAAAATGTCATTTCACATCCTTCTGATGTCCATGGTTTATAATAATAAATCTTCTGTTATTATGGATAATCTTAAGTGATGAATTGCTTCTTTCGCTGCTTTTAAGATTCTATCTTTGTCTTTGATTTTTGAAAATGTGATTATAATATATCTTGGTGTTGATCTCCTTGCATTTACTTTCTTGGAGTCCATTGAGTTTCCTAAATTTGTACATTGTGTGAGTTTTTTAAAATCAAATTTAGGGAGCTTTTTTGCCATTGTTTTTTCAAAGATTATTTTTGTCTCTTTCTTTTCTCCTTCTGAGATTTTCAGTACGTGTATATTCTATGTATATTGGCATGCTTAAAAGTATTCTGCTTATCTGTTAGGCTTAGTTCATTTTTTTCTATTCTTTTTGTGTTCTACTCCTCAGACTGGTTAATTATAACTGTCTTATTTTCAAATTCTCTGATCCTTTCTTATGCCTGCCCAAATTTACTTTTGAACTTTTCCAGTGAAGTTTTTATTTGTTATTATACTTTTCAGCTCCAGAATTTTTTTGAATAAAATTACTTAAGTCTCCATTGATAGTCCCTATTTACCACATATATTACTCTGTTTTCACACTGCTATAAAGAAATACCCAGGAGTGAGTAATTTATTAAAAAACAAAGATTGAATTGACTCACAGTTCTGTATGACTGGGGGGGCCTCAGGAAACTTACAATCATGGTGGAAGAGGAAGTGGCACATTTTACATGGCAGCGGGTGAGAGAGAATAGTGAGCAAAGGAGAAACTTACCAAAACCATAAGATCTTATGAGAACTCACTCACTATCATGAGAATCACATGGAGGAAATCTCCCCTATGAGCCAATCACCTCCTACTAGATTTCTCCCTCAACACCTGGGGATTACAATTCAAGATGAGATTTGGGTGGGGACACAAAGCCTAACCATATCACCACACATTACTCTCCTGGTTTTCTTTAGCTCTTTGTTCATCATATCCTTTAACTCTTTGAGCATATTTCAGATAATTAAGTTACAGTCTTTATCTATTAACTCCAATATCTGTGCTTCCTGTGAAATAGTCTCTGTTAACGTTTTATGTGAATGGGTCATATTTTTTTCTTTCTTTGAATGCTTCATATTTTTCTGTGAAATCTAGGCATTTTGAATATTATAATGTGGTAATTCTTAAAATAAAACTCTTTCCTCTGGCTTTTTATATTTATTTATTTATTTATTTATTTATTTATTTATTTATTTATTTTGAGAGGGAGTCTCGCTCTGTCGCCAAGGCTGGAGTACAGTGGCACAATCTCGGCTGACTGCAAGCTCCACCTTCCAGGTTCATGCCATTCTCCTGCCTCAGCCTCCCCAGTAGCTGGGACTACAGGCGCTCGCCACCATGCCCGGCTAATTTTTTTGTATTTTTAGTAGAGATGGGGTTTCACCTTGTTAGCCAGGATGGTCTCCATCTCTTGACCTCGTGATCCGCCCGCCTCGGCTTCCCAAAGTGCTGGGATTACAGGCGTGAGCCACCGGGCCCGACCTTCTCTGGCTTTTTAAATTGCTTTTGGTGAGCTGTTTATATGTTTGTCTAGTGACCTTCCTAAACTATTTTTGTGAAGTGTCTATTATGGGTCATCTGTGGTCTCTTTCTCTCTCTTTTTTTTTTTTTTACAGTAACTTTTTTTAAAAATTATTATTATACTTTAAGTTTTAGGGTACATGTGCACAATGTGCAGGTCAGTTACATATGTATACATGTGCCATGCTGGTGTGCAGCACCCATTAACTCATCATTTAGCATTAGGTATATCTCCTAATGCTATCCCTCCCCCCTCTCCCCACCCCACAACAAATATCTAACAATGATAGACTGGATTAAGAAAATGTGGCACATATACACCATGGAATACTATGCAGCCATAAAAAAGGATGAGTTCATGTCCTTTGTAGGGACATAGATGAAACTGGAAACATCATTCTCAGTAAACTATCGCAAGGACAAAAAACCAAACACCACATGTTCTCACTCATAGGTGGGAATTGAACAATGAGAACACATGGACACAGGAAGGGGAACATCACACTCTTTCCCTTTTTTTAATACCTTGTGTTCAACTAGTGTTGGCAGAGATTTTCCTGAATGCCAGGAGCCAACATAAAGTCAGAGAGAGAAAGAGAGAAGGGATAAAATTCATCTGAATCCTTGCAAATTTGCTCTGTGCTGGGGCAGTTCTTCAAGTTTTAGCAAGGCTGTTTATAATTCTGCCCTATCTACATTCCCCACTTACACTGAGACTACAGAATAGCCAGAAGTAAAAGCTGAAGGTGTTCTTAAGTCTTTTTCTGAGTATATGGTATGCCCTAGATGGCAACGTGACTTTATACATTCCACACTACACTTGGCTACTTTTGAATGCCCTTTTGAATGCTTTTTTTAATTAAAAAAAACCCCAAAACCAAAATACCTCTCTCTAGCTCTTCCTCCTAGAGATTCAGTTCTCTATAATTTATTTGAGCCATTATTATTATTATTATTTGCCCCAGGTGGCTACAGGGTGTCCTTTAGACAAAACAGACAAGTGCCTTGTCTCAGTCCTTCAAATGAAACACAATACTTTGATTAGTTCTCCTCTGTTCCTTCCAGGAACAGGAACCTGCTTTTTATCCTGGGAATATAAAACTACTGTCTTCAAGACTCCCGTAAAACCAGGAAAAGGCATAGAGCAAAGACAAATGAAATGGCCACAGAGCTATTGTATTGTTTTTACATTTCCTTTTTCTTGATTAGCATTTGCTTGGTTGTTATAAATATTAAACTGTTTTTCAGAGTCTTACTAAGTTTATTCTGATAGTTTTTGCTTGTGTCTTCAGTGTTTCTGCAGAGGAAAAGGCTCTAGAACCTACCATCTCTGCCATTTTTGCAGATGCTATTCAGGTTGCTTATTTTTATGATTATATCTTATGTAGGACCCTCATATATTAAAAAAAATTGATGTTTCTTTAAATTGGTGCCATTTAGAATGTGAAGGATAAAATAGAGTCCACAATATCCTCATATAGGCATCCCTTTTGAGGATTTGGCTTTGGAAGCATTTCTTTAGAAACATAGGTATTTTTGACAAACTTTTTGAAAATCAGTGACATAAATCCATTTACAAAAAAAAAAAAAAGAATAAAGAAAAAGAAAAACAACTGAGGCCCAAATATATGAATCAACATTTTCTATCTAAGACCACAGGTAGGAAATGACAAACCTAGGATCCAAACCCATGTATTTTGACTTTTTCTATTTTCTTTAAATCATGATATTATGCCACCTTCTTTCCTCCCTTTAATCAAAAGCTATGGCACCAGTGAATTTTTATTTAATTTTGAAAATAGGAGTATGCATGTAATACCAGCCAAAAAATTATAAATGATATGATCAGTGACATATTATTAAGATAGTTCAGACAAGTAACAGATCATGAAATATTAAGCAAGTCAATAATAATTAAAGTGGAGTAGCTCTGAAATAAAAATTGAAAGTTTGTTGGTAATATTGGACTAGTTTGTATACCTGTGTTCTCCAAATTCTTATCTTGTCTACATTTTATTGCCAAATTTATATTAATATTAAAACCTAAATTTGCCTAGAAAGTGTAAAATAATGAAATTTTGGTGGCATAAAATATACCAACTTTTATTTTATATAAATTTTCTACATTTGTCAAAAATATTCTACTTCTTCCAATTAACAACATGGATTTCCAAAACTTTATTTGGACTCATGAGGTTCCTATGCCTGTAATAAACACACCCATTCTTTTACTTATTCTAAATCTGTCAGAAATCCTTCAATTTAACAAACTGAAACTTTCCACAGCTATAGTTATTTTGGGATATGTTGAACTTGTTATACTATTAATATTGTGTTATTATTGTGTGTAGTCTATGTAAAGCCCTTGCTCCTTCATTTTAGTTATTTTGATCATGTCAGGTACGTTACAAACATTATTTATTTACTGCCATGCTACTATTGCTATATCAATGCTGATTATTTTCCAGAGTAATCAATAATGACATAGATACAAGTACATACACAAGTTACTTGTTCATATATACATGTGATCATAGTCTTATATTACAGATTTGTTTTTTTAAAGCAAACATTTTTTCATTCCCACATCTTTATACACAAGCATTGATTGGTACATCATTTCATAAATCTCATCAGAGGTAATAATTTAAAATTGTTCACCTTGGTGGAATGCTAATATAATTTCAGTTTCAAATTATTACAGAAAATTTTAAGTGATTTTTACGTTTACTGCAAAACCAATGGACTTTTCTGTATGCCAGACTTTTTATTATCTCCTCTAACTTTTCTGCTTTACAATCGTTTCTCACACCACCTTAGTTCTGTACAAGTAATATGACATTATAAAAACTGTCTAAATACATATAAATGTGGAAGATATTCACATTTCAATTTATTTGGAAATTGTAATAGCTCATTTTTCTAGGGATTTCATTGTCTGTTCAAAACCAGAGCTCCATCAAAATAGCTTTGCCACTACTATTCAATATTCATTTGCTGAAAATGGTACAATGAGAACACCACATGATGAAACGTTGTGCAGAAAGAACCAAATGTACTATAACCCAGAAACAAAAGTGAATTTTAAAAGAAATGCACTAAATAAATGAAAGAATGCATTTTCAAAGATAGCATTTTGTATTGTGTCTCATACCACTACTTTAAGTAGCGATGATTCATGAAGTGCTAATTTTTATGGATGCTGAAAAAAGCATGTCTTCTCTAAGAAGAAAATCTTTACTGCTCTTCTTATGTTAATTACAGAAATAAAGTCCAGCTGCATTTACACTCATATTTTACAATATATATTTTTGGGAAAGGATTTTAGCATTTAGGTAATGGATATTATTAGTACTGGGATGAAATAATGGCTTTTTTATTATTATACTTTAAGTTCTAGGGTACATGTGCACAACGTACAGGTTTGTTACATATGTATACATGTGCCATGTTGGTGTGCTGCACCGATTAACTTGTCATTTACATTAGGTATATCTCCTAATGCCATCCCGCCCCCCTCCCCCTACCCCACGACAGGCCCTGGTGTGTGATGTTCCCTACCCTGTGTCCAAGTGTTCTCATTGTTCAATTCCCACCTATGAGTGAGAACATGCGGTGTTTGGTTTTTTGTCCTTGAGATAGTTTGCTGAGAATGATGGTTTCCAGCTTCATCCATGTCCCTACAAAGGACATGAACTCATCCTTTTTTATGGCTGCATAGTATTCCATGGTGTGTATGTGCCACATTTTCTTAATCCAGTCTATCATTGTTGGACATTTGGGTTGGTTCCAAGTCTTTGCTATTGTGAATAGTGCCGCAGTAAACATACATGTACATGTGTCTTTATAGCAGCATGATTTATAACCCTTTGGATATATACACAGTAATGGGATGGCTGGGTCAAATGGTATTTCTAGTTCTAGATCCTTGAGGAATCGCCAGACTGTCTTCCACAATGGTTGAACTAGTTTACAGTACCACCAACAGTGTAAAAGTGTTCTACTTCTCCACATCCTCTCCAGCACCTGTTGTTTCCTGACTTTTTAATGATTGCCATTCTAACTGGTGTGAGATGGTATCTCATTGTGGTTTTAATTTGCATTTCTCTGATGGCCAGTGATGATGAGCATTTTTTCATGTGTCTTTTGGCTGCATAATGTCTTCTTTTGTGAAGTGTCTGTTCATATCCTTCGCCCACTTTTTGATGGGATTATTTTTTTTTTATTGTAAGTTTGTTTCAGTTCTTTGTCGATTCTGGATATTAGCCCTTTGTCAGATTCGTAGATTGTACAAATTTTCTGCCATTCTATAGGTTGCCTGTTCACTCTGATGGTAGTTTCTTTTGCTGTGAGGAAGCTCTTCAGTTTAATCAGATCCCATTTGTCAATTTTGGCTTTTGTTGCCATTGTTTTTGGTGTTTTAGACATGAAGTCTTTACCCATGCCTATGTCCTGAATGGTATTGCCTAGGTTTTCTTCTAGGGTTTTTATGGTTTTAGGTCTAACATGTAAGTCTTTAATCCATCTTGAATTAATTTTTGTCTAAGGTGTAAGGAAGGGATCCAGTTTCAGCTTTCTACATATGGCTAGCCAGTTTTCCCAGCACCATTTATTAAATAGGGAATCCTTTCCCCATTTCTTGTTTTTGTCCAATTTGTCAAAGATCAGATGGTTTTAGATGTGTGGTATTATTTCTGAGGGCTCCGTTCTGTTCCATTGGTCTATATCTCTGTTTTGGTACCAGTACCATGCTGTTTTGGTTACTGTAGCCTTGTAGTACAGTTTGAAGTCAGGTAGTGTGATGCCTCCAGCTTTGTTCTTTTGGCTTAGGATTATCTTTGCAATGCAGGCTCTTTTTTAGTTCCATATGAACTTTAAAGTAGTTTTTTCCAATTCTGTGAAGAAAGTCATTGGTAGCTTGATGGGGATGACATTTAATCTATAAATTACCTTGTGCAGTATGACCATTTTCATGATATTGATTCTTCCTATCCATGAGCAAAAATAATGGCTTTTAAAAGTTTACTTGGGATTTGTTTATCCTTACCAATAAAAACTTTTTATTTCAGCACGTAGGTTTCTATTGTCATTCACATCAACAGGGAAATTACTCAGGTAAGTTTTTTGAAGAAAATACCCTCCAAAAAATCAATCACATTTTGGAAAAAATATTGAATTATGTTATTTGGCTTAACGGATTGATTTTTTAATCTTTATGTTTCTTTTGGGGTTCTAGTGAATCAAGACATTTAGTTTCAGGACTCTAATTTTTGTAATAAGCCTCTTTTCTTCTTTGTAAATTTTTTTTTTTAAAACAGAGGTGGGTTATTGCTATGTTGCCCAGGCTGGTCTTGAACTCCTGGGCTCAAGCGATCCTCCTACCTTGGCCTCCCAGAGTGTTTGGATTACATGCATGAGCCACCATATCTGGCAAACCTCTTTTCTTCTGATAAAGACTTCCAATTTCCTATTCTACAAGTTTATTCAGACAATTTCTTTAACAGGAATTTGACTCTTCAATGCTTGGTAATAAAAACAGGAACAAAACAAAACTAAAAGTTTTTTGCTATCAGTTGAATATCTCATGTATTAAAAAATTCACACATGCAAAAAGTATGATGGTAGCTAGGCTACCACTAATGCAAAATTCTCAAATTCTTGGTATGATGTTTTCAGATCACAGTTTTTTCTTTGACACTTTTTAATTTAGTGGTAAATATATGAGAAGCCTAAAAAGTTTCTCATATTCATAGGTATATTAAGCTATTATAGTATACTGAAGCATCTCCTTTAATATGCTTAAACTCCTTTGCTATTAAAAGCTGTATTGTTGCTATAATACTCACATGATTGATTAAATATACAATATTTTTACAGTATTACAGATGCAAAACATGCCACTTGTGATATTCATTCTAATATATCCAACAATAGTGCAAGTAAAAGTGAAAGGGGTTTTCTGGCCACTCAACGTTGGTCATTTCACTTTTGGAGAGATTGGATTTGCAGAATATATGTAGTTATTAAAAACATATAGCAACGTAGTTTCAGGGAAGATTTGAAATACAAAAATGTAATTTAATTTGCTAAGTAATAACTACAAAATTTAAATGTCAATTACAAATTCTGATGACCATAATTTATTGTTTCATTATGTTAATATATACTTATTATTTATTATATAATAAGTTGATTCACATATCATTTTTAAATACCAATATTACAAAGTGTTTTGGAAATTCTACAGAAATAATAGTAGCTATGTTAAATAATTTAGTAAGGGTGGGTCACTATGTTAATATAATACTTGCAACAAACAGATCAAGTAGCTTTATTAATTCCATACAATAAACACTTTAGCAAAGATTAGAGGATTTAATTCAGTTGTTGCAAGTCACAAATCAATTGAGTAATAGAGCTAAGATTTATGCTAAACTTTGGAACAACATAAAATCAAGGTGTTAAACAGCTAAGTCATCCAGAATCTCAGTATCGTTCTCTTCCATTTAGGCAAAAAGCAGAATGTTAGAGGGAAAAACTGTATTGGACAAAATGATTTACTTGTCATCCAAATGAAAAATAGGAAAGACATTTAAGGTCCAGTTAGATATTGTTACATATAGATGCCTAATCAATCCAGCACCATTTGCTGAAAAGACAATCCTTTTTAAATTGAAATACTTATATTATCATATGTGTATAATTCAGGACTTTATTCTATCCTGTTAATTTCTATGACTACTGTATTCAGTTGATTACTGGGGGTTTATGTTAATTCTTGAAATCAGGTAATGTGAGTCCTCCAAATGTTTTATTTTTGAAAATTGGGTTGACTATTTTAGGTCTGTTGTTTTCTATATAAACTTTAGAAACAGCTTGTCAATTTTTAAAACAAAACAACCTTTTTGCCATGATTTTGATTGGAACTGCAGTATTTCTACAGATACATTTGAGGAGAACTGACATATTAATTTTGAGTCTT
The DNA here is from genome assembly GCF_000001405.40 of Homo sapiens. Lineage (NCBI taxonomy): Eukaryota > Metazoa > Chordata > Mammalia > Primates > Hominidae > Homo > Homo sapiens. Next base: position 102,423,630 of record NC_000001.11, on the reverse strand, counting down.
CTGATCCATATATAAAGTACATTTCTCAAAATTTTTAGATCTCTCTTGATTTTAATCATTAACATCTTGTAGCAACTGACAAACTAATATTGTACACAATTCATTAGATTTCTGCCTAAATATTCTAATTATTTTTATTAATATTGTACACAGTGCTACTATTTCAATTTTCACTAGTTCCTTGCTAGCATAACAGTAGTCTTGATTTTTGTATACTTAACCCATAATCTGTGACCTTGTTAAACAACTTTTTAGTTCTAGAAGCATTTTTCTAGATTATATGAGGTTGTCTAAACAGATAATTTATTGTTTACAAATAAAGACAGTTCTATTTATTTGTTTCTTATATATAAGCATTTAATTTATTTTTCTTATCTGATTGTCATGGCTAAATCCTTTTAGTATAATGGTAAATAGAAAGAATAAAAGTGGATATCAATGACTTCCTCCCAAAATCACTGAGGAAGAATTAATATTTTACGGAAAAGTATGGTGTAAGCTTTATGTTTCACTGTAGATGCTCTTTATCAGACTGAGAATGTATTCCTCTATTCTGAATTTGCTGATAGTTTTCAAGAGCAATGGATACTGACTTTCTTCAAATACGTTTTACATCTCTTGAGATGATCGTATTGTTTTTGTTTTGTTTTGTTTTGTTTTTCTCACATTAGCCTATTATTATCATGGCAGAAACGGTAGTCACTTTTGCACCAACCTGACAGTATGTGACACATTGACTGAATTTTTCTGATGTTTATCCAACCTTTCATTTCTAGGATAAACCCCAATTGATCATGATGGGTTTTTTTTTTTATTTTATTACTCAATTTGGTCCCATGCAACGTTGTTAAATTTTGCACTTATATGCCTAAGAGGCATAGGCACAGAGTTTTCTTTTCTTGTAATATGTCTTACCTTCCTATCAAGGTCATGTTGGCCTCATAAAATAAATTGCAATGTGTTCTATTTATTGAAATAATGATTACAGGATTAATATTACTTCTTTCTTCAATGCTGGGTAGAATTTCACAGTAATGCCATCTGTTCCTGAATTTTCTTAGGTGGAAGATTTGTAACTATGAAATTAATGTTTTTAGCAGATACATACCTATTCAGGTTACCTCCTTCTTCATAAGGGAGCTTTTAGTTAATATTTGTAGGATCTATTAATCTCTCCTCATCTATTCTTACTATTCTTACTTGGTGTCTTCTCTCTTTTTCTCAGCGTTTTATTAGAAATTCATCAATTTTTAAATCAAAGACTCAGTATTTGGTTATATTGATTTTTATTTATTTATTTTTATTTTTATTTTTGCTTTTCTGCAAATAAAATATATATATTATTGCTTTCCTGATCTTATCTTTACTACTTTCTTCATTGTGCCTACTTTGGAAATATCCTCTTTACTACTAGTAATATATTTTGTTCTAATGTCCACTTTGAATGATATAGCCTCACAAGCTTTATCGGTTAGTGTTTTCATGGCATGACTTTCTTTTTCTTTTTATTTTTTTGAGACGGAATTTTACTCTTGTTGGCCAGGCTGGAGTGCAGTGGAGCGATCTTGGCTCACCATAACCTCCACCTTCTGGGTTCAAGCGATTCTCCTCCCTCAGCCTACCAAGTAGCTGGGATTACAAGTACATGCCACCGCATCCGGCTAATTTTGTATTTTTAGTAGAGACGGGGTTTCTCCATGTTGGTCAGGCTGGTCTTGAACTCCCGACCCCAGGAGATACACCTGCCTCGGCATCCCAAAGTGCTGGGATTACAGGCATGAGCCACCATGCCCAGCAAGCATAACTTTCTAAATCCTTTTATTCTCAACTGGTCTGTGACTTTATGATTTACAATTGTAATTACAATTAATTTACAATCAATTATTTTTAAAATAATGTCATCTACAGCATATATGATTTAATATAATGTCATCTACAGCATATTATCTTTTTTTCCACTGATTGTTATTTCATCTTTCTTGTAACACTTTTCCACATGTGGGGGGTCTATGTTTTATCAATTTGTCAATCAGTCTGTATTGTGTCAAGCAATCTTAATTTCTAATGCTTTATAATGAATTTTGTTATCTTTCTATATGTAAAGGTGATGTAGTTTCACATTTATGCACCTAACTTTTATGACATTCAATATTTTTATAATTTTCTCCATAAAGTCTATTCTTAGGTTTATTCTTATGTATTTCACAATTGTTGTGCCATTATAAATGGCATTATTTTTATTTATATGGTGTTTTACTTTGTTGCTCTTATAAAATTTGCTATTAGCTTTAGATATTTAGATATAATATATTTAAATATGTAGGTAATTTCAAATCTAGTAAACTTGCTGAAATTTCTCATAATTTAGCAGGGTTTATTCAGTTTTGATTTTTGGGTTTATTCATAGTTTTGATTTTTGGATTGTTTAATGTAGAAGATGGCAACCAATGATTTTATTTAATTTCATTTACTGTGTGTTGCATTGTTTTTTCTTTCTCATAGACTACCTAGAACATTCATTACAATGTTAAATGGAAGTGATGTAAGTGGACGTCTTTTTTGTTGTTGCTGTTCTTGGTATGACATTGTTTGCATCGTGCTAATATTCCACAGTCTTTTTGTAGATATATTTTGTCTAGTTAAGAAAACTTCTATTTTTTTCACTTCAAAACAATTTCTATTTTTCTTTTTTAAAGGGTTATTAAATTTTATTCAATTCTATTTCTGCATCTATTGATCTGCATCTATTAATATTAGGTGGCTTATTTTTTTTCTCATTTAACTCTTTCAGTGATAAAATATGTGAGTGGATTTTCCAATATTAACCCATACTTGAGTATTTGAATAAACAGTAGGTTGTAATATAAATCATACATTGTTAGATTTTATTTGCTTATTATTGTTATTATCATTTTTTAGAAATTTACCATCCAAGTTAAAAGTGAGATTAACTTAATCTTTTTTATAATATTTGTATAGTTTATTGTTTTTCTATAAAATTTAAAAAAGTAATTAATATATTCATATTCTGCTTAGAAGAGAACACATAGTATTTGATTCTAATAATAATCCCTTTTGTTTTTGTTAGTCTTGTTTTTAGTTTTCATTCTTTCTGAATTAATATTTCCAAAACTAATCATAACCATGATTTTAGTCTTCTACAGTAAGTACTATTTTGTATATGCTTACATATTTATCAATTTCTTAGCCCAATCTTTTGGTCTGGGAGGTAAGATACTATGATTGGCAAGTTTCAAAAAGAATTAGACAACATTAGATGAGGAGTGAGTCAAAACAGTTCCTTCCAAAGCAGAGCATATATCTGGATAAGGGAGACAGATGGACAAAGAAAGCTGAGTGAGCTAAATAATTGAAATTCACTGCAAATGTAACAAGTTAGCCTCATTAACAACTGTACAGCACAAACTCGAAAGGAGGCTGTGATGAATTTACTGTTGATTTGTGTTCTTGTTAGCTTCATCTTCTGGCTTAGTGTCTTTCTCTATGTGTTCACATATCTTTTCTTTTGGAATGTAAATTGCCCTGAACTTTTGTCTTTTGTTTACCTATTATAAATTATTAACCACTACCAAAACAATGTTAATGAAAAACAATTTTTTTTAAAGATTGATTTATAGCATTGCCAAAGGCAGAGGAGGAGAACCTAGAATAAGATAGTGAGGTAGAGAATTTAGAATAAAAGAGATAGAAAGAAATTTTATTTAATGGATACCTGTTTGTTGAGTTTTATTCTTTTGTTGTTGTTGTTGTTGAGTTTTATTCTATCACTTATCTGTTTGACCATTAATTTGCTTTTGCTGTCTTCATAAAAATATGCATAGCATCCTCAATATTACTCTACTAGAGAAATATATTTTCTTTTATTATTATATGGAATTGATATAGAGAGAAAACATTTAAGAACAAAGTGAATGTTAAATGCCTTCCCAACTTACTCCAAGAGCTAATCTAATTTCTCACTTAAGGAGAGCAATAAAAATAGAGGAACGACAGTTTAGAAGTTTTGCTGTTTTAAACTTTTTTTAGTTTTACTTCAGAATAGTATCCACTTCCAAGACTGTCAATTAAAAAAGTTTCATTTTAAAGTTCAGTGTCAAGAACTATTCAAATGTAGTACATGATTCAAGTTTATACAATGTAGTCCATAAATAACCATTTATTCATACTATAACATTATCTATGTGGCAAAGGGTGTTACATTAAGAGAACTAAAAATCCATTAGATTTTCCAAGGTTGAAATCATTCAGTATATTTGAATGAACCAATCTGAGCTATATGAAGGCTTTATTAGCAACTATTTAATTCACCACTTCACATGAAAATGGATCCAATTCATGAATCTTATTTTAAAACCCAGATAAAAAGTCTCTTTGCAATGAAGTTGCGAAGCCATAGAGCTATGAGCTGAGTATCTCTGCAGATCAGCAGGTAGAGAAGTCAACATGTGAGCCTGAAGCTGAAACAAACTCCAAAGGGATAAAATCAGAAAAATTAGACAAAGGAGAAAATCAAATGCACAGAAAGAGAAAGAAACAGGGAATGGTTACTGACCATGCGATAGAGACATGGTGGGACAATTCACTGATACAGGGTATACCAGAAAAATCATTCACAGTGGATCTTTCTGGTAGTAAGAATTGAATTTAAAAACTTGCATTGTACTTTCATAAAGTTGCATAGTTTTAGGCTGAGTTTTTTTTTTTAATGTGGAGAAAAATTGGTCTTGGAAAATTCCTTGAATGAAGCTTTTGTCTCATGCAAGAAGCATGATAGTTTTTGAAGAAATTGGCAATTGTTTTAATAATCATAATCACAATAATAATCAACTATATAATCTAACATATAGGGAAATAAAAATAAGATCTAGACATTTCCATATGGCTTCTTTATATCCCTCAATGCCACATACCAGGTTTAGTTTTATATATATATATATATATATATATATATATATATATATATATACATATATTTATTTATATATTTATATATTTTTGCTAAATCTTGCTCCCATAACCATCAACAAATACAGCCACATTTCATCACTTTCTCAAGCTTTCCATTTAATTATCTCTTTGTTTAGATTATTCCCTGCCTCTTATTTTATAGAGAAAATAAAGAACAAAAATAAATTTCAATTTCTCACTTTGTATCACATATATCATTCTTCATTCTCAAACAATAGTTCTTAATTTTCTAAAAAAATGCAATCTTTCTACTAGGATTAGTGATCTCCAGCACTCTGATTATGTTCTACAATATTGCCCCTATATTTTCTAATTCCACTATTTGATGTTTTTTTGAAACCATAAACATACTCAGCTTCTATCATCATTTTTGAAAAACTCTCCTTCATCCCTGTATCAAAGGAGTTGGAGGGGAAGGAACAGAGTAAAATTGAAAGACCATTCAAACCGGAAACAAAAAATATCATGTTACAGGTCTGTTGCTTTTTAATGTTGGAACACAATAAAGCTACTTATCTTTTCTGATCCTTAGCTAATTAATTTACAAAATGGGGTATCATCTACCCATGTTCTTGTATTGATTGCAATCATTTACATGAAAATCCCAATATATTCTATCTGTCATTGCAGAGAGCTCAACAAATAGAAATTGGTATTATCTGGATGTCAAGTTTATAACCTTATAGGTAGTCTTCTTTTTTCTCCTTCCCAGGCACACACTCCTTTTGGGTCTATTACTTCTGTGGAAGCAGAGTGTGTTTCTCTGATTGGGAGCTGGAGTGCTTTCTGTCTGTCCCTCAGCAGTCAGCCCAGGTTGCTGTGGATCCTTACAAGACTAGACTTATATTGGGACAGGGAGATTTGCTATCTTGTCCTAAAAATATATATATACATTTTGCTTCTATAGCCACCCAATCATTTCCTTGGCTTTGGGACTTCGGGGCAGGTTGTTTTCCTTCAGTTAAGCCTTTCACTTTGATGACAGATGAGTCTAGAAATGGGCATTGCTTTTCTGCCTGTGTACCACTTAAAATGGCTCTGTCCCATCTCCAACACTTACCACAATGTTTGTCATGAGCAAAAGTTAGATGCCTGTGGAAAAGATCTTGCAAGTGAAAGTGTATTTGTTTGTTTGCTTGTTTGGTGTTAACAGAGTTTCTAACTATTGTGTTGGGTGATCCTCAAGATTTAAAGTTTTTAGCTACTTTCTTCTATTTTAATGGTGACCAACCTTTTCTCCTGTATTCTTCCAAGGTTGAAATAGTAAGTATATTTCATTTATACCTGGAGAGTTTATTCTAACTTCTTGGGAGTAAAGTTCATTTGTTTGCTTTTAATGTTAGCTCTCTGATAATCTCAAGAAAAATTATGACTTTTTAGATAACCCAGGCTTTTGTTTTTGGATGGGGATGATGTCCTTTTGGAACTTGCAATATCCTAAGTAGAAGTGATACTCCTGTATTCTTCTCTTCTCATACTCTACTTAGAGATAGCATCGTATCACTTTACATGAAAGTAGAAACTACCATTTTATGAAATCATCTATTATCTTTATATTACATGCTTTAATAGTGCCCCCATAGACTGCTGAAGTTCTATTTATTTTTAAAAGTGTATTTTGTCTGTCTTTTTCAAAGAGACTAACTTTTATTGATCTAAAGTCAAGTTAAATGTCTCTTTTCTTGGTACTCCTCAACCGTTACACAGGAACATTTACTGAACAGCATAAAAATGTATCTTATTTCTGAAGAACTAACTTGCTAATGCCGGATATTTTCCTTGATATTTGTTAATTGCTACTGTTTTTTCAAAAGTTACATTCTTCATACCCAAGATAAGGTTCTCATTCTGGTATTACATTATTAAAGTCACTTTTAATTTTTTAGCTGCATGTACTTTCAACATCAACCTCTTGTTTTGTTGTTTGAGTTTTCTTCCTTACAACATTTTCCTTTATGTTTTTATTAAATTGCTTCATCATGTTTGCAAGTATTATGAAATTTATTATTTTTTTAAAACCCCTGGGTGTTGGTGAGAAAGATATCTTTTATGTCAGTAGGAATAGCAAATTATATGTTTGGTTTATATATATTCAGGTAAAGAGAAAAATCACTGCTTTTTCTGTTGACGTTTTTAAATTTTTTCTTTATTTTTGCTTTTCTGTAATGTAGAAATAATATGTGTAGGAATATTTTTTCTGTTATTAGTCTTTCTTGGTGTCCTCTGAGCTTTCTAGGTCTCTGGTTTTGTGCCTGACATTAATTTACAGAAATTCTTGGTCCTTATTGCTTCGAATATTTTTTCTGTTTTTTTTTTTTCTCTCTTTCTTCTCCTGTGGTGTTTCCATTACACATATGTTAAACATATGTCCCACAGTACTTGGATATTCTATTCCTTTTTTTCTTCTCTTTTTCAGTTCTGGAGGTTTTTATTGTAATATTCTCAAGCTCAGGTCAGATATTCTTTTCTTATCCCTATCCAGTCTACGAATTAGACCATGAAAGACATTCTTCACTTCTGTGGCAGTGCATTGTAACTCTAGCATTTAAAATAATTCTTAGAATTATTTTGTCTCTGATTACATTGTCCTTCTATTCTTAATTCTTGTCTATTTATCCATTAGGACTATTAGCAATATTAGCCATAGTTGTTTTATATTCTCAGTCTGGTAATTCCAACATACTTCCCATATCTGATTCTGGTTTGATGCTTGCTCTTTCTTTTCAAACTGTCTTATTTGCCTTTTAGTATGTCTTATAATTTTTTCTTGAGAATTGTACATGATGTACTGAATAAAAGAAACGATAGAAATATGCCATTAGAAGTGAGGTGGCAAGATGTAGGGGGAGGGTTTGCATTCTGTAGTTTTATGATTAGGTCTCAGTAATGTACTGAGCTTGTACCTCTAGAATGTACATTTTGCATGTGCTCCTCAGTCACCTTCTTTCCTCTTGTAAGACAAGGTATCTACAGTGGGCTGCATTGGGGTATTTCCCTTCTGCTACTTGGAAGATTAGAGGGAATTTGTATTGGGTATTTTTATTCCTCCGTGTGAAATACTATATCTAATTGGAGTTGAGTATTTCCTTTCCCCAGGTCAGTTAGTCTCTGATAAAACACCAGCACTTTAAGCTCTAGTTAACATGTTTTTACTGAGGGCAGACCCTGTTAAGAACAAGACACTTCTCTGGCATATTTCAAAATATTTCCTTTACCCTCTTTTTTTTTTTTTTTTTTTTTTGGTGGAAGAACATCGCAATTTTTCTCTAGTAGTCATTATAAGTACCTTGCAGAGTTACTGGAGGTAAAACTCATAAAACTGTGGGAGCCCCACTATGAGTGATCCCCGCTGGAATTTTAACTCTGAGTTTTCCACACTGAGTCTCCAGCAATTTGTCAGTTACAGTTCAGGTTTTATTACCTGGCACTGGTTCCAACAGAGGTTGTCACTTGTCGGTTCCTGCTGTAGTAAATTGTGATTATTTGTATTTGGGTGTTGGTTTCTCCAGTTTGGGAGGTAGTGGTTTGCCCTGTGATCTCACTTCTTTTATTAAGAAGAGTTGTTAATTTTTCAGGTTGTTTAGCTTTTCACCCTTTCTTAGGATGAAGTGGCAACTTCCAAGCTTCTTACATCACAACAGAAATAAAAAGAGGATCTATAATTTTTATGATTCCCTACTTCTTTCTCCATCTACAATATACAAATGGTAAATTACCTGTTTGGCAGTAGCCTCCTAATCTTCATGGTGACACATCTCAACATTATTTTTGTGTACTTGCTTTTCAGAGCCTTCTCTCATATATTTAGCTAACTTCTGCTAATATCATATATTAAGAAAATTGACTGTTTTTTCCCAGGTTTCCAGGTAGGAAATGCATAAAATCTTCTAAGTGATAGGAGTGTCTTTGTTATTTATGGTGCTATTTTCCACTGCACCTACATTTATGCTTATGAGATCCCTCAGGATGAAGCCTGGTCTTACCAGAAAGACCATGTGTGAGCCAGGTGGTATCACCTCAAATTTCTCCAGAGAGAAGAGCGGAGCTGGAGATTGAATTCGGTCACATGCCCAATGTTTCAATTATGTCAATATTTGTCCAATAAAACCTCCAGAGACATAGCTGAGGTGTGCCTCCTGATTGAACACATGCATATGTTTAGATGGTGACACATCTTGATTCCATGGGGAGCGGACATGGGAGCTCTGAATTCCAGACCTTCTTAGACCTCATTCTCTGTGTCTCTTCATTTAACTAATTCTGATTTGTATATTTTAAAATATAACTATAATCATGAGTACATGACAGTTGTCTGAGTTTTCTCAGCTATTGTAGCAAATCATTGAACATGACGGGGTTGTGGGAATCTCTGAATTCATAGCCAGTTGGTTGGAAAAATGCATGGCCTAGGGACTCTCAAACTTGTGGTTGCATCTGAAATAAGGACAGTTTGTTGGGGATTGTGTCCTTAACTTGTAGGGTTTTCACTAAATCAGGGTAGTTTGTAACCAAATTGCACTGCAGTCTGGAAATCTAAGAGATATTTTAACAATTATTAAATGTCACTGAGAAGACATGTTTCTTACTCCATGTTTCGCTCCTTGTATATGTGTAAGCCTCACTTTTTATGCATAAATTTTTACTTTTGAGAATTAAGTGGAGGAAAAATTTGTAAAGCCTGTAAATGTGTGGCATTTAAAATGCATGTGCATTAAATGAATGAGGTAAACTTTTAGTTTTGTAAATAATTAGCAAAAATTAGGACTTGTAAAATATTAATTCCTACCCCCTTAAGCAACATGAAAGATTGACAGTATTGACAACAATATGACAGATTATTCCACTCACCTATTTGCAAAAGATTGAGCTGATCTGAATTTAGAGTTTTGAATTCATTGGAGTTTTATACTCTAATCACCTGCATCCATTATAAAGTTAAATGAGAAATTGTGTAAGCATATAAAATGAGATAGTTCTTAGTTTGGTAAAGCTAATCAAATTGAAGTATATGTTATTCTCAATGAAACTTTGAGTGCAGAAAAAGAATAAGAAAAATAGAAAATCAACATTAGAATGTAGAGTAATAATTGTCATGACTTAGATTGAAATAGTTGCTAAAATTATTGTGCAAAAATTTAAGCAGAAGAACTATTACATGTTCTCAAAGAAGTCACCCATGAGGCATCTAATCATCAAGCCTCATGGGGGACTTCTTTGAGAACATGTAAGTTGGTTTGGAGATTAGCTCCTAAAATAAAGAGACAATATTGATGGATACACTGGTGAAGTTCCACTAAATTTTCTTAGTTTTAATATGTGTTCTACAGTCATTTGAGATGTTAACAAGAGGAGAGGCTGGATGAGGGCAATGCAACAATTCTATATTGTGTTTGCAACAGTGTATAATTTTAAAACATCTCAAAAATAAACATTAAAGAAAAGCTTAACTTGCTATTGGTTGCTAGCACCTTGTATTGAAAGAAGAGGATGGATTCTACAGGGCATAAGGGAACTTTGACTATGTTATGTATATATCTTGAAGATGAGGGTGTTTACATGACTGTATTCATTTTTAAAAGCTCATTATACTATACATTTAATTAGATTGGATTTTTGTATGTTATAATATAACATTCAAAATGTAGAGATTTACCTTAGAGATATTCCTGCTTTGGTTCTGGACCATCATAATGAAACAAATATTGCAATAAAGCAAGTCATACAAATTTTTTGGTTTCCCAGTGCATATGAAAATTAAATTTATACTCTACTGTAGTCTATTAACTGTGCAATAGCAGTATGTCTATAAAACAATGTACGAACCTTAATAAAAAATAACTTTGTTGCTAAAAAATGCTAAGAGTCATTTGAACTTTCAGCTAGTCACAATCCTTTTGCTGGTGGAAGATCTTAACTCAGTGTTGATGGTTGCTGACTGATGAGGGTGGTGGCTGCAATGGTTAGGGTGACTATTTTCTCTTTCTTTTGAAACTGAGTCTTGATCTGTTGCCCAGGCTGGAGTGCAGCGGTGCAATGCTGACTCAGTGCAACCTCCACCTTCCCAGATTAAGTGGTTCTCCTGCTTCAGCCTCCCGAGTAGACAACTACTTAAAATAAGACAAAAATAAGGTTTCCTGCATCAGTTGACTCTTCCTTTTACAAAATAGTTACCTGTAACTTGTCATGCTGTTTGATAGCATTATACCCACAGTAGAACTTCTTTCAAAATTGGAGTCAATCCTCTCTAACCCTGCCACTGCTTTATCCATTAAGTTTATGTAATATACTAAATCCTTTGCTGTCATTTGAGCAATATTTGCAGCATCTTCACCAGAGGTAGATTCCTTCTTGAGAAAACTCTTTGTTCATCCATAAGAATCAACTCCTCATTAGCTACAGTTTTATTATAAGATTGCTGCAATTAAGCCACATTTTTAGGATCCACTTCTAATTCTAGTTATCTTGCTATCTCTACCACATCTGGAGTGACTTCCTCTACTGAAGTCTTGAACCTTTCAAAGTCATCCATGAGGGCTGGAATCAGCTTCCTCCAAACTCTTGTTTATGTAGATATTTTAACCTTCTCATGTAAACATGAATGTTTTTAATGGCATCTAAAATGGCAAATCTTTTCCAGGTTTTCAATTTACTTTGCCTGGATCCATTAAAGGAACCACTATCTATGGCCGTTATAGCCTTACAAAATTTATTTCTCAAATAATAAGACTTGAAATTCAAAATTACTCATAGATTCATGACATGCAGAAAGCATGGTGTTTTAACAGGCATGAAAAGCAACATTAATCTCCGTGTACATCTCCATCAGAGCTTCTGGGTGACCAGGTGCATTGTCAATGAGCAGTAACCTTTTGAAAGTAATCTTTTTATAAAAATAGAAGCCACACAAAGATCTAAAAGAGTGCTGCCTGCTCAGATCCAGAACAGAGGTACTTAACCTTTGTTTTCCAGTTTAGTTATCAAAGCATTGTGTGAACAAAATGCTGAGTGTCACACTGGCATTACAAATAGGACCAAAATTTTGAGCTTTTAACGAGATTGAGAAATATTTTATGAGATTTAACTCAATATGCCTTAACATATCCATGAGGTAGTTAAGTAAATAGTACTACCCATTTTAATACATAGTAAACAGAAGCATGGGTAAGTGACATGCTCATACTTTAAGCAATAAGAATGAGAAGAAACCACAGAAGCTTGGGGCCTTCTCTCTAGCTCTAACCCCCCAAAAATGAACTTTTTCTTTTTAAGCATCAAATCACTTAAGATTTTCTTCTTCCTCCTCCTCTTCTCCCCATCCTCCTCCCCTCCCCCTCCCCTGTCCCTCCCCCTCCCCCCACCCCCCTTCTCCTTCTCCTTCTCCTTCTCCTTCTTCTTCTTCTTCTTCTTCTTCTTCTTCTTCTTCTTCTTCTTCTTCTTCCTTCTTCTTCTTCTTCTCTACTTATTAGTATGGTATCTTTTTCCAAACCTGGTACTGTTTTCTTCAATAATGTGGTAAAAACTGACTATAACCCTTATTTCAAGCTAGGCCTCTGCTTCTACCTGAACTGGTACAAAATTAAGAAATTATCTTGTAAGAACTAAAATTGTATTTGAAATTTTTATTTTTGGCTGCAGAAACAAAAACAAGCAAACAAACACAAATAACTTGAAAATAGGCGTGTCAAATGATGTAAATTCACCCTTTCCAGGGAAGCAGAAGTTAGACTCTACCACAAAGAAAAGATGCTTAGTTAATGGAAGTTAAATGTAAAAGTACAGTTAAATTCAGCCTAACTTCTGAAAATCCTGATTTATTCACCTCACTGTGGTACCAGTAACTATACTGAGTCAGGTTACTTTAGAGTTAACTATGTCACCTATAACACAATAATCCATTAACAATCTAATACACTTATTGGGTATAGTCATACTGGAAATTCTTAACCATACAGTTGTCTTGCCAAAATGGATGGATGCACTGTTTCGCAAGGTCCAATAATTTTTTTCAGATATTTTTATGACTGTATTGTTGTAAATACTACAGTGATAGCACTATAGTATTGTACTCATGAGACTAACGTGGAAATAAGACTATTTTTGACAAAAGATACAATTAAATTTCAGACTGTAGAGCCACATTTACCATACCTCAGCTAATTAGTGTTAATTTTGGGGTTGAACTTTTTTTTTTTTTTGACAACAGCAAGAATGGACTATTTGATTGTCATTAGAGGAAGGTCTAGATTTCCTGCTCTTAATAAAATTACATTGAATTCATTTTTAGAGGTGATGAAAACTTCCTTTTTGAGAAGTTAGTGTTAAGGTCTTGAAATGTGAACACATTGTTTGTAGTGCTATCCATTCCTCTCCTGAGATTTTAACTTACTACTGGAAACCCTTAACCAATTATAATAGCTTTTTCCTCTTTATTTTCAAAATGATTTCCTTTGCTTTGATTAGATACTCTTTGCTCCTTTTTTGTTGTTTGTAACCATAGTTCATCTAAATGCAGCTTTTTCTGAACTTTAAAGATAGAATCCCATTTTTAATGAAGTTGCAAAATCATCTTTTTCATTGTTTTAGGAAATAGCTATTGCTAAAGTGAAGGTGTAGATCATACCTAGTCTTGCTCTATAATGGGGATGTGGTTTGCAGAAGAATTTTCTTTATAAAATTGAAGTTTCAAGGGATGTCAGTGTTTATGATTCCATTTCATTCTAGAAATTTGAAATATGTAAATTGAAATCCTTAATGAAATTTGAATTTGATAAAATGTAAACAAACAAACAAAAAAACCTCCTTTTTAAATCTAATGAGTAGGTCTCAACAGTGGGCTTATAATATGCAGTAAACCATGCTATAAACAGTCTTTTTGTTTAAGGTTCTTCTTACATCCCAGTTTTGTTGTTTCAATTTTAGAGCACAGGCAGAGTGGATTTAGCATAATTCTTATTCTAATGGCCCTAAGAGTTCGTTGGACATGAGCATTGGCTTCAACGTAAAGTCATCAGCTGCATTAGTTGATCACAAGAGAGTCAAACTGTTTTTTGAAGTTTTGAAGCCAGACATTGGCTTCTCCTCTCTAGCTACGAAAGTCCTAAAAGGCATCTTCTTCCAATAGAAATAGAAGGCTGTTTCATTTACATTGGAAATCTGTTTTTAGTGTAGCCACCTTCATCAATTATCTTAGCTATTTCATCTGGATAACTTGATACGGCTTCTCCATCAGCACTTGCTGCTTCACCTTCCACTTTTATGTTACAAAGATGGCTTCTTTCCTTAAACCTCATAAATCAGCCTCTGTTAGCTTCAAATTTTTATTCTGCAGCCTTCTGACTTTCTTGTAGACTTCATAGAATTAAAGAGAGTTAGGGCTTTCCTCTGCATTAGCATAAGAAAATGTGGCTGATTTGATCTATCCATATCACTCAAACTTTGTTTATATCAGCAATAAAACCTTTTTGCCTTTTATCATTCATGTGTTCACTGATGTTGTACTTTTAATTTCTTCAAGAATATTTTCTTTGCATTCACACTTAGCTAACCTTTTGGCACAGGAGACCCAGCTTTTGGTCTATCTTGGCTTTTTTTAGCCTTCTTCACTAAGTTTAATAATTTCTAGCTTTTGATTTGAAGTGAGAGGTATACAACTCTTCCTTTCACTTGAACACTTAGAGCCCATTGTAGGGTATTAACTGGTCTAATTTTAATATTTTTGTGTCTCAGGCATTAGGGAGGCCTCTTTCCCCAAGAAGAGGGAGAGAAATGGAGGAACAGTCAGTTAGTGGAGCTGTCAGTACACACACACTTATCAATTAAGTTCTCCATCCTATGCGGGCACAATTTGTGGCACCCCAAAACAATTATAATAGTAATATCAAAGATTACTGATCACCAGATTACCATAATAGATATAAAAATAATAAAAATTTTGATCTATTGAGAGAATTACCAAAATGTGAAACAGAGATACAAAGTGAGCACGTGCTATTGGAAAAATGATGCCAGTAGAATTGTTTGACACAGCGTTGTCACAAACCTTCAATTGTATAAAACAAAGTATCTGCAAAGCTCAATAAAGTGAAGCATAATAAAATAGGATATGTCTGTACTGGTTTGTTATGAATATTATATCATAGATTACAAGGTAATATGAAAGATTTTTCTTTCAATGTTACTACAATAAACTTGTAGTTTACAATAACCCATTTTATTTCTAGATCTTTTAATTTGATAATGTTATTTTAATTTATTCAGTATAACAATTCTGCTAAAGCCTAGTGTAAATACACACTAAATTAATGTATTATAGGTTAATTAAATATGGATTCTAAGCAAATGTCAACATATGACCTATTTTTGTGTATTCTGAGCCAGGACAGTATTTAAGGCCCAGAGTTAACTTTATTCATGTCATCCTAATGTAGTGATAACAAAAATCGCTTTCTGTATAGCACTTCCAAGGAATAAGGCATTGCATTTTCAAAGTTTACATGAAATGTTGAAATGTCAGAGCAATTATGAGGGATGAATACTATTATTGTTTCCAACTTAGGTATTAGCAAATTAAAGTTTACAGAAATTAAGTAAATTAGTAAATTCATAAAATTAGTATGCCCTAGAGCTTAGATACAAACCAGATTCTAAAGCCACATTGTTAAGCAGCATTATAACAATCAAACTCTGGGTTTATTTTCTACTGTGTCGTAAAAAATGTTACCACCTTTACTTCTATTTCTATCAAGCTATTTACACACTTCTATTATTCCCATACAGCACAATATTTCAAACTATTTTATAAAGGATGAAACTCCAAATTTCTTTAATTTTTCCCTGTTAAATATATATTAAATCTAAAAACTACAACTGAACGTGGAAGCAATCAATGTAAGAATAATAAATAATGAGAAAAACTATTTGTGGCCAAAATCACAACTTTTGATTATTTTAAAATCAAGACTGTTAAAGAAAATTAGCCAAACCCATCATGTTAATGATTTCAAGTATGGAATTTTAATGTGATAGGAGATAAGTTTTAATGTTAGTATTTTTAGTGCTGCTTTATTTAACATTTATTGAATGCTAGAAATCTTTAAGACTAGTGCAAAATCTGGAATGTTTTTATATATTTTAAGAGTAATGACCTATCTATGCAAATATATACTTATTTGGTACTTAAAGCCCGCAGATTATAGTAGATTAAAAAACCTTCAAATATTGATATTCTTCACTTAAACCCAAGGAGTCTGAGGTGACTTAGAGCAGTTGGATCTATTTCAAAATGTTATTCAAGGCAAGTTTTTACCCAAGCATTATTTCTGTTGCTATGCAAATGAGTAAGATTCGATAACATATATATTAAATTATAAATACTCATTTGTTTTGATCAATATATGCTGTTCTACTCTGCATATGTATATAAAAATAATGTTTATCCTTATTGCAATATAATATATGTAGTATGTTGGTTAAGAGCTAGAATTCTAGCCAATTTTACCCTCACTTCTATCTTTATTTCTCTATTTTCCAACTTACAGGATTCAGATCTGTATTCACTTCCAAATCCCCTGGCCCTATTGTCTCTTTGTCTGCCACACCCATGTAGCAAAATTCCAACTTAGGTTATACCCAATTACTTGCCTATTTCATGCCTCCACCAAAGCAGCTAATTGTTTAACTGATGAACTTGTCTCATGTTTTATGGTGAAAAATGGAAGTCAATCAAATACTCTTGCTGTGACAAAAAGCTAACCTGGTTAGGCGCAATGGCTCATGCCTGTAATCTCAGCACTTTGGGAGGCTGTGGAGGGCAGATCACCTGAGGCCAGGAGTTCGAGACCAGCCTGGCCAACATGGTGAAACACCATCTCTATTAAAAATACAAAAATTAGCCAGGCATGGTGGTGCGTGCCTGTAATCCCAGCTACTTGGGAGGCTGGGCCATGAGAATCATTTGAACATGGGAGACAGAGGTTGCAGTCAGCCAAGATTGTGCCACTGCACTCCAGCCTGGGAGACAGAGTGAGACTCTGTCTCCAAAACAAAACAAAACAAAACAAAAAAACAAAGCTAATGTAACCACTCCATTTGTTTTCTAAATCAAATTCAATTCCCTCTTATTGCCTCTAGAATGCATGTACGTGTACCTCCTCTTCTGTATATTCAGTCATTTTCCCATTTAGTAAACCTTTTCTACCTTCTTTTTCTTAAATACAAGTCACTTCTATATCCTTGTCTCTTAAGAACATTTAATTTGCTTAATCACACTTTTTGAGCCCTTTGTAGATCTTTCCACACATTTTTCTTTCAATATCATCGTGTCATTTTGCAATGGTATATGTTGTAAACATGTTCATTGATTTTCTTTTTTAAAAAATTCCTGCTAAACAGTATTTCCCTTTCATTGGCATACTAATCCATTATATTTAATAGAAAATCTGATGTATTAGGTTTAAATTGACCAATATAAACTGTGTATTTTCTGTTTCTTCATTTTTTTGATATTTTATTCTTCCTTTTTGACGTCTTTTTGATAGTTTAGTATTTTTATTTTATCAGTTTATTCTCTATTATAATTTCATTTAGACATTTTCTGGTTCTTCTTTCATTAATAATCATGACTTACTATAACCTATTTCATTGTTTACCACTTACTAAACATTGTCAGAAACTGGCTATTATTTCAATGAAATTTAAATAATGTTTCCATCCTTTGCACTATTGGTATCATATATTTTACTGATACATATTTATAAACCTAACCAAACATTATTCATTTTTAGTTTGTTGCAGTCAATATTAATTTATATTTACTTGAATTAAAACTCTGTTGATGCTTTTCAGTTGTTCTTTTCCTTTAATTTGTTTTAGTGACAGGGTCTCACTCTCTCACTTCATCATTTCCAGAGGGTATTATCATTAGCTTAGATTTTAATGAGTGTTGGTAGCTTGCTTGTTTGTTTTACTTTTCATTTTTCTTGTTAGGTTTTGTCTAATTTTGTTAAGGTTCCTATTGAGATTGAGCCAGTGGTCTTCTTTTAAGTCTTGTGTCAACTTTCTATGCCCACTTTTAAGATTCTTTCTCCTAGTCTTCATCATTTGCATGTGATATACACAGATGTGGTTTTCTTTCTATTTAACTCACTTTTGGCTCATTGGACGGGGAAAGGATCCCTTATTTACTAATTGATGTTGGAAGAGCTGGCTAGCCATATGCAGAAAACTGAAACTGAACTCCTTCCTTACACCTTATACAAAAATTAACTCAAGATGGATTAAAGACTTACATGTAAAACCCAAAACTATGAAAACCCTAGAAGAAAACCTAGGCAATACCATTCAGGACGTAGGCATGGGTAAAAATTTCATGACAAAAACAAAGCAATTGCAAGAAAAGCAAAAATTGACAAATGGGATCTAATTAAACTAAAGAGCCTCTGCACAGCAAAAGAAACCGTCATCAGAGCAAACAGGCAACATACAGAATGGGGGGAAATTTTTGCAATCTATCCATCTGACAAAGGGCAAATATCCACAATCTACAAGGAACTTAAATTTACAAGAAAAAAAACTGCATCAAAAAGTGGGCAAGTGATATGAATAGAGACTTCTCAAAAGAATATATTTATGCTGCCAACAAACATGAAAAAAAGCTCAACATCACTGATCATTAGAGAAATGGAAATCAAAACCACAATGAGATACCATCTCATGTCAGTCAGAATGCCGATTATTACAATGTCAAGAACAAAAAATGTGTAGACTAAAATAAATGTTGGATGTAATAAAAAATAACATATTTGTTATTAGGTTGGTGCAAAAGCAATCATGGTTTTTGCAATTACATTTAATTAACTTATTTGTTATTAGGTTCACAGTTAATGATAACTTTCTGTTTCTGGGGAGGGCTGTCTTCCTGGCTTACAGGGGGCTGCCTTCTCCCTGTGTCTTCATATGGCCCTTCCTCTGTTTATATAAATGGAATGAGAAAAAACTCTCGTCTTTCTTCCTTTTTGTACAGGGACACTAATTCTATCAAATTTTTGTTACTGTGGTTTTATTGTTCAACAAAATGTTGAAATTTATGTCCAATGTTGGAGGTTGGACTTCATGGGAAGTATTTTGTTCATGGGGCAGATTTCTCATAAATAGATTAATGCTTTTTCTTGGGTGAATTCTCACTTATATTAGTTCTTGCAAGAGAGAGTTGTTTAAAAGATCCCGGCATCTCCTTACTTCCTCTCTTGCATCCTCCCTTGCCATGTGATCTCTGCAGATGCTGGCTCCCTTTTCCCTTCTGCCATGATCACATAGCAAGTGAGGAAGCAGGAGAGAAAGTGGAGAGTTGCCAGGACCCGACAGGCTCTCATCAAATATAGATGCTGGTGGCACCATGCTTCTTGTCCAGCCTGCAGAACTGTGAGCCAAATAAACTTATTTTCTTTATAAGTTATAAAAATAAATTTATAAATGTATTTTTTATAAATTCTCAAGTATTCTATTATAAAAACACAAAACAGACTAAGACAAGGGTCCTACCCTTATGACCTATTTTATCCTTAATTACTTTCTGACAAGCTCTGTCTCCAAAAACAGCCATATTGGAAATAATGGCTTCAACATATGAAAGTAGGAGGACGTAGTTCAGTCTATAACATAGGTCATACTTTTAAATAGGTCTAACCTCACAGTTGATAACAGATTAATTGCTTTTGATACATTGCTATAGTATTCTGTTCTGATTTAACTGGAATAGTTATTTGTTTAGACAATAAGTAGTCTGTTTTACTCTGTTCTCTAGTCTAAGATTTTGCCTCTGTTGGGGCTGTCTGAGTATATCAAAATTCTACCAACTTTCAATCCCTTCAGCTAGAAACACCCAAAGAACTTTGAAAATACCACGACGTTTTCAAGAATAAATTATACTTTCCATGTTCACAAAGAGTTTTATACCTATTTTCATTTTTAATTGTCTCTTTAGAATAATTGCATTTCTCTTATATGACAGATAAAAAAGGTAAGATGTTTTATAATGGAAATAACTGAGTATGCTATGGGTTAAAGAAAATAAATATAATACAAAAATAATAATGAAAAATATTTTGTTCATTAAAAGATATCATTAACCTTGAAAGGCAGTTGAAATAGAGGAAATATGTTTGTAATATATGTATCGAAAAAGAAACTTGTATCCAGTTTATATAAATAACTGAATAATCAATGTAAGAAACAGCTCAGTTAAAAAATAATAAAATGATTTATACATCTACTTCACAAAAGAGGATTTTAAAATGATTAATAAATGTCAAGAAAAAGTGCACAGTTTCACTGATCATCAGTTTTTGCCTTGTCTTTTAAAAACTGTTTGTAGGAATTATTTATATAACAAATTCTTTGTCATATATTTATTACAAATATTTTCTTCCCATATATCAGTTGTGCTATAGTTTGGGTATTTGTCTCCACCCAAAGCACATGTTGAATTGTAATCCCCAATGCTGGAGAAGGGGCCTGATAGGAGGTGTTTGGGTCATGGGGGTGGATCCCTCATGGCTTGGTACTGTCTTTGTGATAGTGAAGTCTTTCGAGTTCTGGTCCTATAAAAGTTGTACCACCTCCCCCTACCTCACTCTCTCTCTTTTTCTTGATTCTGCTTTGGCCGTGTGACATGCTTGCTGCCCCTTCACCTTCTGCCATGATTCTAAACTTCCTAAGGCTTCCCTAGAAGTCCAGCAGATGCCAGCACCATGCTTCCTGTGAAGCCTACATAACCATGAACCAATTAAACCTCTTTTGTTTATAAATTACCCAATTTCATGTATTTATTTAGAGCAATGCAAGAACAGCCTAACACAACTTGCCTAACACATTTTTTAAAAAGTGTTCTTTGAAGAGTAAATTTTAAAATTTTGTTTAAGTTGTTTATACTTTTTTAATGATACTTTTTCCTTTAGGCTAAAAAAAATATGTCTATTCCAAGGTTGCAGATACAATCTATAATGTTTGTTTCTAGGAGTCTTATAGTTTTTTTATTTTAAGTCTATAATCTTTCTTATGTTAATGGTCTTGTATTTTATGAAGTATGTATCTATGCTAATTTGCCATTGTATGCTGCAAAATTTGTAGAAATAAAGTTTGCTCTATCTACTGACTTGCCTTGCATTGACTTCTTTGTTAAAAATAAATGTATTGGGAGGGATAGCATTGGGAGATATACCTAATGCTAGATGACGAGTTAGTGGGTGCAGCGCACCAGCATGGCACATGTATACATATGTAACTAACCTGCACAATGTGCACATGTACCCTAAAACTTAAAGTATAATAAAAAAAAATAGTAACAATAGAATTTTCAGGAAAAAAATAAAAAAATAAATAAATGTATTGTTATGTATCAGTCTATTTATTGACTCCTTTTTCATTTATCTATTAATCTATAGTTATACAAAACCTCACTAAATTAAGTACTTTATAAGAAGCTACTAATAATTCAGTTATTCCAGTTACCTACATTCTTGGCATTTCCATATAAATTTTAGAACAAGCTTATCAATTTCTACAGAACAACTTTTAAGATTTTTGTTTGTTATTTTGTCAAGTCTATAGGTCTTTCTTAATGGGAGTCAACATAATATTGAATCTTCCAAACCATTTCCATAGTATACAGGCAAATCTATTTAGCTGTTTTAAAATTTGTCTTAATTACATTTTCTTGAACTTTATGCCTCTTTTATTAAATTTATTTTGAGGCATTAATTTTGCATACCATTTTCATTGGCATTATTGTTTAGCCTTATTTTTAATAACAAAAAATAAAAAACAAGGCAATGTCCATCAATAGGAGAAGTTATAAGCAAATTGTGGTATATACATGTAGTGAGATACAGCTCAGCAATACAAAGGAAGAAGCTGCTAATGTATGCAAAAATATACAAGATTCAGCATATAATAGGTTGAGAAAAATAAGCCTGACACATAAAGGATATACTTGTCTTTGTGAATAGAAATCAGAGTGGTGCTTGCTTATAGTTGGGTGGGGGATTGTCTGAAAAAAAGCACCAGTGAACTTCCCAGGATGCGGGAAATATTCTGTAAGTTGACTGTGGTGGAACATGAATGTATACATTTGGCGAATTTCATTAAAAAGCACTCTTCTGTGTATATTACTATATATAATTATACAACAATATAAACATGTTTAAGTAAAGCATTAAAAGTGAAAATAAAAACATTATTAAAAAATGAAGCTGAAAAAGAGGTAGCAAGGTAACATATTAATTTTGGATTTTGAAATATCATTCTTTATGAATATACACAAGGACAGAATGTCCAATGGAAAAACCAGACAAAGGTCTTAGAATCCCCTTAAAATCAGTGGAGCCACTTACGACGGACTTCTTTATTTTCTACCCCAGTTCTATGCACTTCATATTCTTGACCATAAGTAAGACCCAAGAAAACTTCCCACTGCTCCCTTGGTTGAGAAACCAGATCAGTGCCTTTGCCTGCTTGTTGCTCAGGTCAAGGAGCCTCTCATACAGTACCAACTGACGGAGACACCATGGAACCTGAGTGAATGATGTAAGACTCTGGCTTTCCCAGTGGCTGCCTGAAGAAAATTGGTATTGCAATCTTGAAGAGCAAGAGACATACATTCCTGTGAGGAACACGTGGACCAATGAAACAGTAGGTTTAGGTTGAAGCCAGAGAATGTCTATGTTTCCTTTCTTTTCCCTAGATATATACTGTTTTATAACAGTTCATATTCGCCTTTATGATTATATCCCATGAGACTAACGAATTAGCTCTGTTTGTAACAATCCCATGTCATTTCAGTAAGGCACTTCCCATAAACTGTCAACATGTAAGTTTTGCTTTAGGTTCTGTTTTCTACTTAAAGAAATCTCGTTAGCCCAGCATGGGGGGCTTACACCTGTAATTCCAGCACTTTGGGAGGCAAAGGCGGGCAGATAAGTTAAGGCCAGGAGTTCAAGACTAGCCAGGCCAACATGGCGAAACCCGGTCTCTACTAGAAATACAAAAAAATTAACCAGGTGTGGTGGCTCACACCTGTAATCCCAGCAATTTAGGAGGCCGAAGCAGGATCACTTGAAGCCAGGAGTTTAAGACCAGCCTGGCCAACGTGGCGAAAACCCATCTCTACTAAAAATACAAAAATTATCTGGGCATGGTGGTGCACATCTGTAGTCCCAGCTATTTGGGAGGCTGAGGCAGGAGAATCTCTTGAACCTGGAAGGCAGAGATTTCAATGAGTCGAGATCACGCCACTGCACTACAGCTTAAGTGCTAGAGTGAGACTCTGTCTCAACAAGCAGTAATTTTCCTTTCACTTTGGATAAGATTTCTTGACATTCTTCTGAATCTGAACCTCGGAAAGCGTTACTGAGTTGGGATATCTCTGAATCTTGTAGCATGCATCTCCTACCTTTTGATGTACATGTTGCTTACTGTGGTCTCCAGCAGACCGGGTACCTCTTGCTTGCCCTCCTAGGTCATCATGATGCCACTAATATAATAGGACAGCATGTGGTTCTATAGTATGACTAGATGGTTCAGATCTTTTTGGACATTACTTTGGTAGGGGGTGAGAAACATAGGACAATTAAGAGGTGGCTGGTTTTCTGGAGGATGTGCTAATTCACTTGAACAATGATAAAACATCTGATATGGTGGCAATTATAGCTGTTATTTAGTTGAGCTTGTGGTGATCTACAGCCATTCTTCAAGATCTATCTAATTTCAGTTTCAGGGCAAGGTTGATGAATTAAATGGATGTATGGAGAATAATAAAGATTATCTATTCTTTAGATCTTTAAGGGTAGTACTAATCTCAAGATATTTCCTGGAATAAGAAATTGTTTTGGATTTGTCATCCTGACCAGGAGTGAAGGATTGTAGTTTCACATGCTTATACTTGAAGAGGTGGTTGACCCTATAGACCAAGGACCCTATGTAGGGGTTACTCCAACAGCCAATCATGTCACTCCTAATTGTATAATCAGACACCAGGAAAATGATAATAAGGTAGTTCTGTGGAGACGCCGAACTCACTATAAGAAGAATTTTAGACACCAGTTCATTTAAACTCTTATCTCCATATGTCCCCACTGTAACCTGGAGGAATACAATGCTTCAAGTGTCAATGTATCAGTATTGGTCTTGTGTCTGAAATCCTTAAAATTCCTCGCTATTCTCCTGTTCCCATATGAATGTATTTTTTTTTATCCCTTCAGGTTTTTATTGTTATTACCATGAATATGAAGGTCTTTTACATCCTTCCCATCCAAATGGAAATCAACATTATCTAGTTTTTTAGCCATTAGTTTAGCTAAATTTAGTCAAACAAAATACTTTTGCATACCAAAGGCTATCAATTGGTGTAGACTATCCCAGCATGTATTTATTTTCACACTATTAATTGCCTCTAGATTTTCTGTGTCCCCCTTTTCCTCCAGATTTCTACATTTATTTTCTGCTGATAAAACTTTCACACCTGGTTTACTGTGCTTTCAAATTTGTCTTCTCTAAAAATATTTGTCCAGTTAATATTTGTGCAGTTTACAATAAGGTATAATTGAAGCTTACATAGCTCATTTGGTAGTTGTCTATTTCAAAAGGATGGCAGTTGCCTAAATTAATTGGGATGGTCCCTTAGTTCTTCTTACCTCTTTTTTTAATAACACTACCCTGATTCCTTATCTTGTTTGCTAATGAGAAAAATACACAAAATGTTCTCCACAACTGATAGAATCATTCAGTCTTCAAGTGATTATTAATCTATACTATATATGAACTATGTAAACTTTGAGAAATATTCTTTTAAATGAAGATAGTAATAGATTTCTTTAAATATTATTATTTAATTATGTAATATGTAACAAGTGTTGATCATATATCCTATTTTACTTTAGGACATACAATTCATGTTAAGATCACAGAAACTGCAATTCCTTTTATATGGTGTGACATCTTAAAATTGATGCCAGCCAATTCATCTTTGACATTCATTTTTATGGAAAAACTACATTATCACCCTGTAGTATTTTTTTGTAATCCAAATGTCAATTGATGTTTGGTTCAACTATTTTTTAATGTTTCCCAAGGTGTATGAAGCAAATTTAAATAGTTTAAACCAATTTATTGACACTCAGAAGTGAAAGCTCCAGTGTAATATCATCATGAGACATGTCTTTAATTGGTAGTTCAAATGATATCACCAAGGGCCAAGGTTTTTTCCATTTTTTACATCTTCTTTCTATAAGGTAGTCTTACTCTTCAGAATACATAGGACTTTTCAGCTCCCAACTACACACATACATCATGCCCAATCTGCATGGTGGCTTCAATCTGTCCTCTCACTGTCCATAAATGGTTCCAGTCCTCAAAAGTTCATAGCATGATACTAAGAGTAAGCATTCTATGAATACCATATTCTCTTTCACAGATATTGGAATAAATGTTATCTTGCTTGTCTTTTACCTTAAATGGGTGGTTATAATTTTCAAGAGCCAATCACTATAATTAGGGAAACACATTAAAAAAAGGCAAGTAGGAGCAACATTGGAACTCACATTGAGGTAAATAAGTCCCTCACATAATTTAATTAATTCATTAATTCACTTATTTTATCCCCATCACTCTTTTGAAAGGACTCTTGTCAACGTTATCAAGCACTTTTATGTAGCCAAATTTGACAGTTAATTTATAGTCCTCATCTCATTTGAATATTCAGGAGCATTCATTAAAGTTTATTAGCTTGTCCTACAAATACTTGTTTTACTGAATTTTCAAGACAAAACACTCTCCTGGTTTTGTTTTGTTTTCTGTCATTTTGAATGTCTCTTCTCATGCTCAATGAAAGTCATTTGGTTTGTTTGCAAAAATAATTTGCAATCACCACTTTTGCACATCTTTTTAAATGATAACTGTTGGAGATCCTTAATGCTAGGTCTGTGATTTTCTCTGTCCTCTATTTATGCTTGTTCTATGGGTGGCCTTATCATGTAGCAGCATGACTTTACATATTGTTTTAGCACTAATGAATCCCAAATGCATGTCACCATCCCTGACCTCTACCTTGAACTGTAGATTGATATATTCAATAGTTGATGTGACATATACACTCAGAAAATAATCGTGCTTCAAACTCATTATATCAAAAGTTTAAATTTATGTTTTCTTCACCTACAACCTCCCGCTATCCTCAGTATTACCTCTCTTCATAAATTATATCAACATTTACTCATTTGTTCAAGGGAAGAATCCCACATTCACTTAATGTGCAAATCCTACTGACTGTAAAATTAAAATATATTCCAACTCCAACTACAGGTCACCACTTTCTTAACTATAGTCAAAGTCAAGATCTCTCTCCTGAACTATGTCAGTTGATCTCTCCATGAACAATCTCTAAAGTATATTCTACAAAGAGCAGCCAGAATAACCTTTTATACATGTATCAGATTATGTAATTTTCCTGTTGAAAACCTCCAGTGGCTTCCTGATCACATTTAGAATAAAGCCAAAGCAATTACTATACACTACAAATAATTATATGCTCTGTCTCCTTATCTAGTGCTATTATTTTCTGTGCTCTGATCATATTGTTATCTTTGCTATCTTTGAAAATACCCCCACTTACTCCTACCACAAGGCTCTGTAATGGATATTCTTTCTACCTGCAAAGTTTGTTCATCCCAGTAACTTACACGATTTATTCTTTTACAGCACTCAATTTCTGTAATGCCCCCCAAAAAACCTTTTCTATTCCTGTCTTTGAATAGTATTCTGCTCTATTCTTATTCATCACACTTATTATGTGACCTGGTATTATACAGTATTGTTAATTTGTTTACAGACTCACTCAGTGAAACTCAGGACAAAGTGAAGAAACAGTCCCTTTTATGTAATTCTCTATCCTCAGCATTTAAGAATATGCATGACAGGCACTAGAAACCCCTCCAAAATTTGTCAGTGTGGTATTCATTACTATATTTTAGTTTAATTTACATGCTATTTTAAATAATTCTTAGAGTAAACTCTAGTTAGGATGTCTATATTTGGAATATTGTTGGAGTACCAATATTTTTTTCCTTTTGGCATTGTTGAATGACTAAGGCAAGTATTATTATCTCCTGCATTTACAGATAAGTAATCTGACAGGAAAGGGAGAGGGAAGTTAACTTTTTAACTATCATGTAAAAGTTCAAGGGACAACATACATTTCACTTAATTATCACTATAAGTATGAGAAGTTGGCATAATCATCTACAGCTCATAAAAATTGAAACCATTATTTAATTATGTCTGTTTTAAGTGATTCTGGTTTTTTTCTATCATTCCATGATTACCTGTAACTGGGTTATTTTCATTACAGCATATTTTCTCCTTTTAGATAACTTTTGTAACTTCCATTAAAATAGAGTATCAGTCTTGTGAAGGTACATATTCAACTTCCTACATCTGAATATTTGGAAGGGAAAATGTGGAGGGGCAGCTTATCAGGAAGCTGTAAAGAAGTTATAGCTGGCTTATTCAAGAACATCATTGTGATTAAATTCTCCCTCAATTTGTGAGAAAATATTAGATTATTCACTAATTTTTCGCAGTTTGTTTTATGCTTGTTTCTGATTTTAAAGGGTTAAATTATACAATACTAGTTAAAGTGTGCATTACGTTATGTTATTCTTAGGGTGACTACTGCCCAAATTTTATCAGTCAAAAATAATTGTAGACTTTTAAGTCTAAAGTTGTAAACTTTCTTGATTAGAGTATCTGGAGATAACAGTTTTTAACACAACAGGCCGGTTTAAGAGAAAATTCACATGACCTTTATCATAGGTCACATACAGCCTGACCAGCTGAACTATATACCTACACAATGATTTCTATTGTGTATATGCTTGTGTTTAAGATAGAGGGGTGAGAGTAAAAGTAAAAGGTAGCTGTTGATCAGAGATCAGACTCCCTGTGTGGTTGCAGAAGTCACAAATTGTAAAGACTAAATAGTTCAATAATGTTAGTTTACTACCATAAGAGTATCTTAGTTTGGAGGTCATTCAGCCCAAAATATTTTATAATTTCTCTTGAAATGTTTTCTTTTAGCCAGTGAATTTTTTTTTTGGCTAAGTTTCTTAATATTTGGTCATTTATTGGTTAACTTATTTTCAGATTCCTTATTAAGTTCTACTGTGGTCAGAGAACATACTCTGTATTATTTCAGTATGTTAAAAATTAAAAATTGATTTAGACTTTTTAAAGTTGCAGGTTATAGTTTACCTTGGTAAACATACCATGTGCACTTGAAAAAAATGTGCATTTTGCATTTTGGGGGAAGCGTTCTATAAATATCAATTAAGTCAACTAAATTCATAGTCTTCTGAAGATCTATATCTTTGTTGATTTTTTGCCCAATTGTTTCATCAATTGTGAGGAAGGTGTTAAAATCTCCAACTACAGTTGTGGTGTTTTCTATTTTTTTCTCTTTAAATCTGTCCATTTGTGTTTTGGGCTTTATTTTTGAAATTTCATTTTTATCTTTCTGTTGGTGTTTTTGCTATTATTTTTATTGTTATAATTTTTGCCCTAGAGATTAAAATCTGCATCTTTAGTTATTCACAGTCTACTTTCAGGAAATAAATACTTTATATAAAATGTAGACAGCAAATTTGTTGTTCCATACACCCATACATCCTTTATGTTATATTTGTTATATGTAATACATCAAAATACATCCTAAGTTTCCCAAGACAATGTTAAAATTTTAGACTGTTATATGTTTTATAAATGAATTAAGAGGAAAAAGCCCCCAAAAGGTAATTATTTTCCTTTTCCCTAGATAGTATTTCCAGTACTTTTTAATTTTCTTCTATGCATCTGAGTTTCTATTTAATGTAGTTTCCCTTTAGCCAAAAGAAATTCATTTGGTGTTTCTTGTACCAGAGGTCAAATTTTCTACTTTCCTTTTTTTGGGGGAAAATTATATATTTCACCTTTATTATTGAGTTATATTTTTTTTTTCAGAGAATGAATTCTGGATCAACAGTTGTTTCCTGTTGTTATTTGTTTGTATCACTTTAAAAATTTTCTATTCTCCTTTGGGTTTCTTATTAGAGTGTAGTATAAGACCATATTCTTGTTCTCTCTATGTAATGTGTCGTTTTTCTCTTTCTGCTCTTGATATTTTTTTCTATATCTTTGGGGTGATTTAAATGTGCCTCAGCATGGGCATTTTTGTATTTATTCTGTTTGGTGTTCATTTATCATTTCATACCTTGAATTCAATGGTTTTCATTGAATTTGGAAAAATTGGGGTCATTATTTCTTTGATGTTTTTCCCTTATACACTTTTTCTCCTCTTCTTCTGGTGTTCCAATTACAGATATATTTGATCATTCAATACTATTTGTAACAGGGCCCCAAGGATCTATTCATTGTTTTAATTTTTCCCTCCTTATTTACATATAATAATTTCCCCGTATCTTACTTCACATTCACTTATGCTTTCCTCTATCATGTCTATTGGCCGTTAGTTCATCTAGTTTTGTTTTGTTTTTTTAACATCATATTTTTCAATTCCAGAATTTCTATTCAATTATTTTATTGTTTTTATTTCTCTGCTTACACTTTTAATTTCTCTGCTAAAATTTTGTGAATGGAAAATATATATTTTTTACTTCATTTAGGAAAGGTTTAATATTCACTTTAACATCTTTTTCAATCAGTTTCAACATCTAGTTCATCTCTTTGCAAAACTCAATTATTATTTTTTCTCTTGAAAGTGTAATTCATTTTCTTGGTTCTTACATGTTGGGTTAATTTGGAACTGCCTCCTGAACATTATGAAATAAAATTTTGGATATTCTGGATTCTGTGATATTTCTCTCATCAATACTGTAATACTGTTTTCTTTTTTTTTTTTTTTTTTTTTTTTTGAGACGGAGTCTCGTTGCAGTGGCGTGATCTCGGCTCACTGCAAGCTCCGCCTTCTGGGTTCAGGCCATTCTCCTGCCTCAGCCTCCCGAGTAGCTGGGAGTAGAGGCGCCCGCCACCACACCTGGCTAACTTTTTGTATTTTTAGTGGAGAGGGAGTTTCACCGTTTTAGACAGGATGGTCTCGATCTCCTGACCTCCTGATCCACCCGCCTCTGCCTGCCAAAGTGCTGGGATTACAGACGTGAGCCACCGCGCCCGGCTGTTTTCTTTTTTTTAACAGGTAACGTTTCTTGGTGCGCTTGAACTGCAAACTCTCTGCTACTCTGGTCTTGGGTTGGATCTTTTGTCTGTAGGTAGCTTGCTTTAAATCACTTCTGCACATTCGTGGTCCTAGAAGCGGTTCAAGAAGTGAGATCAAAATTTTGGAGATCCCCTCTATAATTCTTCTACTTTGGAATTCCCCTGTTTTCTTCAGTGTTCATAGTTTCCTAAGTTTTCTTTTCTCATTCCCTAGGCCTGAAAAACTCTTTTTTCTATGTTTATCCCTTCCAACCTTACCACTGCTGAATAGCGCTAGATTAAAAGCCAAACCTATGGGAAATTGCTTGTATGGTAGTAGTTTCTCCTTCTCCTAGTAAGTTTCTTCTCCTAGCATTCTCACTCTTCCTCATAGTCTTTCTACTTCTGTATTGTTGAGTATTTACCGGGTAACAGTTCATAGCTTTGTTGAGATTTTTTTTTTTTTTTTTTTTTTGGCTAAGCTGCTCAGAGAACATTACGTGTTTGTATATTTGAAACATAAATCAGAGGTGTTACTAGGTAGGACTAAAAAACTTTGGCTTTTTATTTAAGCAATCTGCCAATTTCTTCAACATTCATAGGCACCTGACTTCACTTTTTTTTGGCTTCCTGGACCAGAAAGATTAAATGTTTTGCTACATACTTATCCCTCTTGAGTGAGTATAAACTACCCACCAGAGTTTGTCTCCTTCAGGTCACTCTTCTTATATTTAGGTGGTTGCTTTTTATATTATATCTAGGTTTTAGATTTTTTTTCCCCCTTCAGGCAGAGGATTTGCAGAAGAATTATATACTGTCAAACTAAGACTGACACCATCTTTATTCTTAAAATCTTTAATTTTTTTATTTGGGTGGTTTTTTTTTTACCCATTTTGTCATGGACTATGACATACCACGTGAATCAGAGAAGTTTCCTTTCATTATATTTTTTATTTTTAAAACATTATTGAGATTATATATATATATCTCAATATAGATATATGGTTAATTATATATAATATATATGTTACGTATATTATTCTTTTCATTGTTATAAGTACTATTTAAAGTATAAAATTAGGAGGTTTTAATGTATTCAAAGAATTGTGCTACTATCACAGCATTTTAATTGTAGCATATTTTCAATACCACATAAAAACTCACAACCACATTAACAGTAATTTTCCATTCTTCACTCTTCCTCCCTCATCTAGTCCCAGACAACAACTAATCTTCTTTTTTTTTTTTTTTTTTTTGAGAGAAAGTCTTGCTCTCTTGCCCAGGCTGGAGTGCAATGATTCAACACAGCTCATTGCAGCTTCAACTTCCCGGGTCCAAGAGATCCTCCTGCCTCAGCCTCTTGAGTAGCTGGGACCACAGGCACACATCATCACACTTGGCTAAGATTTAAAATGTTTGTAGAGATGGGATTTTGCTATGTTGCCCAGGTTGATCTGGGACTTCTGATCTCAAGGGATCCTCCCACCTTGACCTCCCAAAGTGCTAGGATTTCAAGTGTGAGCCACTGTACCCAGCTGCACTAATCTATTTTCTCTCTGTGGACTTTTTTATACTGGACATTTCATATAAATGGAATAATACAATAAGTGGTCTTCGTGACAGATTCTGTTTACTGAATCTTTTCAAGACTCAGATATGTTATATCCTTTATTGGTCCTTATTTCTTTCTCATTGCTGAATAATTATTTATTGCGTGAATACGATATGTTTTGTTTATCCATTCATTAGTTGATAAAAACGTATTTCATCGTACTTCTTTCATGAATAATGTTGCTATGAACATTAAAATTTTATTATTATTATTATTTCAATGGTTTTAAGGGAACAGGTGGTGTTTGGTTATATGGATGAGTTATTTAGTGGTGCTTTCCGAGATTTTATTGCACCCATAACCTGAGAAGTGGACACTGTACCCAATGTGTAGTCTTTAATCCCCCGCCCCACTACAAGTTTTTGTTTGGACCTATGTGTTCATTTTTCTTGGGTAAGTTCTGAAGAATGGAATTACTAGGTTATATAGTAACTTGAAGTTCAGCATTTTTAGGAACTACCAAAGTATTTTCAGAGTGGCTGGTTCATTTTACATCCCCATCAGCAATGTGTGAAGGTTCCAATTTCTCCACATCTTTACCAACATTTATTAATGTCTTAATTTTAGCCATCCCAGTGGATGTAAATCAAAAAAAGGTTTTATTTTTATGAAGCCCAATTTACAAAGTTTTTTTGTTTTTTGCTATTTGTGTTTTCAGCATCATACTTAAGAAACTCTTGCTTAAGATTATGAAAGTCTATGGCAGTATATTCTAGCAATGCTATAGTTATTATAGTTATAGTTCTTACATTTAGACCTAAGATCCATTTAATTTTTGTAACAATACATCAGTTTATCTCTGGACACTCAATTCTATTACATTTATCTATATGACTATTCTTATACCACTATCACACTCTCTTGATTACTATAGCTTGTAGTAATCATTAAAATAATAAAGTTGATTCCTCCAACTTGTTTTTTTCCCCAAGATTATTTTGACTCTCTCAATCTCTTAACATTTTCATAAGAATTATAGGAAACATAATTTTTTAGGAAAACAAGTAAACAACAACTGTGATTTGGATAAAAATTGCATTGAATTTATAGATTAATATGGGGGACTACTGCAATCTTAGCAATATTGTTTTCTAATTCATGACAATGGGATATCTTTTTATTTAAATGTTTCAATTCTTTTTTATAGTTTTCAGTGTAAATGTATTGCATTTTCGAAATATTGTTATGTATTTTATTCTTTTCATTGTTATAGTAGGATTTTTTCTTAATTCAATTTTTATTATTATAATATGGAAACAAATGATTTTTTATACTAAACTTGCAATCTGACAGTTTGCTTACCTCATTTATTCTAATTTATTTTAATTAATTATTAGCATATTCTTATAATTTTCTATGTATAAGAAAATATTATCTGTATAATTTCCCTGGCTGCCATCTCAAGTGCAATATTGAAAAAAAATGGTTAGGCCAGGCATGTTGTCTCACCTGTGTAATAGCAGCACTTTGGGTGGCCGAGGCAGACAGATCACCTGAAGTCAGGAGTTGGAGACCAGCCTGACTAACATGGTGAAACCACACTTCTACTAAAGATACAAAAAATTAGCTGGGTGTGGTCACACACACCTGTAATCCAAGCTGCTTGGGAGGCTGAGGCAGGAGAATCACTTGAACCTGGGAGGCGGAGGTTGCAGTGAGCCGAGATCACCCCATTGCAACCCAGCTTCGACAGCAAGAAACTCCATCAAAAAAAAAAAAAAGAATGAAATGGTTAAAACAAGCATCATTATCTTGTTTCTGATCTTAAGCAGAAAGATCTTAGATTTTTATCATTAAAATATATTAGCTATGGAATTACATAGGTACTCCTTATTTGATCAAAAAACAACTCTTTTCTATTCCCGGTTTGTTGAGTGTTTATATCATAAGATAGTTAGACTTTGCCAAATAATTGTTGAAATATCTCTATTTTGTATTTTTTTAGGCATTTATTGGACTTTGCCAGTATACCTTCTGTCTAAATAGTTTTAGCCACTTTGATATGTATTAGCTGGCATGGTTGTCTTGACTATGGCTAATAGTCAACCACATTTGTAGATGAATCTGCTTCAGATTTACTTAGGTCATTGGTTAAAAATTTTCATTTCTTAATGATTTACTAAGCTCACATTATGATCTAAAGGGGTCTACATGACAGATAACTTCCTGTCTCTCTTGAATCACAGTAGGAAAACACAAGCGTGAAGCCTCCATTTGGGAAGCCTGCAGAAGCCCCAATCCAATCACAGCACTGCCAGAGGATCTTAGAAGTTGAATATCAATTTAATAACACATCCTGTTTGGTAAGGTACACATTCAGCCTACTTAGAGAACATATATACCATTGTTCTTACAATCACTCTGTCTACTGGGACCTCTTATTCCCCACTAGTCTTTCATTCTTCACCTGCTAATTTCTACTTCTCCTTTAATTATCAGTTTAAATGCCGTTATCTCAAACAGTCCTTCCCTAGTGGCCTAATCTTAATAAAGTTTACCATGTTATTTCTTACATAAAAATACTTTAATGTAGTTTATTTTTTGCCTTCAAAGCAGTTATCACAATCTGTAAATATTTATAAAAGCTGGAATTGGAAACCAAATAGTTTCAAGTACTAGGAAGGATAATTCCCGCCCTTAAACCCTAGCTCTGCCACTTATTACTTAAATGATCTTAGATAAAAAAACTAACATTTTTATAAGATGGGGAAAAGGATAGTACCCACCTTTTAAAGTTACTATGAGTTTATATGAGGCACTGAGAAAAGAAAAAGACACATTTTTTATGCTCAATAAGTATTAGCCATTAGTATTTTGTCTACTCATTTTATTTTTTTGCCTCTTCCACTGTTCTGTAAATCCTATGAGGGAAAACTACATGTAATTCTTCTGTTCTGTGCTTGGTCCCTATTACAGTAGCTGACACATATTAAATGTTCAAATTTTTTGTTGTTGATGAGTGAACAAATGTATTGATTGATAGTATGGAGAAGAATTTGAAATTCCATTTGGTTTCTAGTTATAATTGAGTAATCACTCTTCTTATGTGTGTTCCTCATCTATGTTTTACTATTTATTTTTACTTTTCTTTTTAAAAATATAATAATATAGCATATGTGTATGTTTGCATACATTCCATAATGGTTTTTTCCTTGTTTATTTTTTAGAGATTGGGTTCTAACTATATTGCCCAAGCTAGATTCAAACTCTTGGGCTCAAGTGATCCTCCTGCCTAAGACTCCTTAGTAGCTTGGAACTTCAGGTGCGTACTATCCTGCCCAGCTATGATATTTTCTTTCTTGTTTATATTATATCTTTAAGTGAAAGTTGCATTTTCATTATCACTTTGCTCAATAATAAAGTGGAGAGTAGGTGGGGGAAATAGCCAGAACGGTCAGCAGCTTCCCTTCAGTATATGTTTTCAAAATATTCATTATGCTTCTTGCATTTTAGCACCTGGGGATACATTTTTATACCATCCCCCCAACCAAATTCCATGTGAGCAGAAAGTTTGAGGACTCACATTCCCACAGGTTTAAGTGTCATATGTGTTGATTTACATTTATATTTTGTTTATTATTTTTCAGATGACTTTGATCAACAACTATAGGGATGCTGCTACACTAAAAAGCACCTTTGTATGCACTAGGAAAATTGTCTTCCTTCAGATGGTCCTAAACTGGGCATATGTTTGGCCAGAAAAACACAGGCTGAATTTTTATTCCAACTTGTCTCTTGGCAGTGCATAAACTGTACAAACGTATAACCATAATGCTGATTGCTGCTTCTCTGTTCTTTCCCTTATCTCATCTCCAGGCAGATTTTAGTTGTATTGTTTATATTTGTTCAATTTTTTTTTAGCTGATTTTGTTAATTTTTATTGATTCATAGTGAGTGTACATATTTCTGGAGTGCACATGGTATTATTTTGATACATGCATACAATGTGTAGTGATCAAATCAGGGTAATTGGGCTATTCATCACCTCAAACACTTGTTATTTCTTTGTGTTGGGAACGTTCCAAATATTTCTTCTAGCTATTTTGAAAATACAATAAGTTATTGTTGACTGTAGTCACCCTACTGTGCTATTGAACACTAAAATGTATTCCTTCTATCTAACTGTATTTTGTACCCATTAGCCAACCTCTCTTCAACACCCCCTCCCCAATACCATTCCCAGTCTCTGGTGACCACTATTCTCTCTACCTCCATGAGATCCACTGTTTTAGCTCCCACATATAAATGAGAACACGCAATATTTGTCTTTCTATGTCCAGGCAAATTTTATACGTTAGGAACCTTGGTATTTAAAATAAAGATGGTCTGTCAACATCTCCCCACTCTCAGTCTCTCTTCTTTTGTCATTCTACAGAACCATCTGTCAATGGCTACTTCATACTTTAGATGCTCCAAGAGGAAAAAGTCATTTCAGGTAAGGGGCACCTCTCTGGAAAGGTGGTTATTATACCTCCATGTTCAATTTATTTCACATTTCACTGTATCTTGGAAGAGTTATTTCTCTTATTCTCTTATTTGTTTTAGAATTGTATCCATAACCCAGTTTCATTGAAGATGGAGTCTTCCTTCAGGTATTCAGTTCCTTGATGTGTCTTTTGAAATTCAGGGAGAGAAATAAGGTTTAATTCAGTATCATTTTGATAGTTTACACATTTTCCTACTGGACTTTAAGAAGTTCTGGAAGTCCGTCAGTTAGAAGACCATATATGTTAATCTAGGAAAATTATTTTATACCAGCTATTCAATTGGCATTTTCCTCAATTTATTCAATTTGTTTTTTGGTAAGACATATTGTGTACAGGTGTATGCATGTCCTTTATATAAATATGAAAAATCAAAATTGTTCAATGAGTTATTTCTGGTTTAAATAGTTAAAACATAATTAAACTGGGTGTTTATTGCAAACTGTGATCTCAGAAATAATGATAACTGCTTTCCCTTTTTTATATTTATTTAAAGAGATATTTTATTATTTGATGAACAAGTGTATGTTGTATTCACAGTGACAGTATTTCATCCAACTTGATTAAGGTGTGTTCCAAGTGTTCGAACAGAACGTTCAAGTAAAGTTGTTTTAACAGCTTGGGTCTTTTCCTAATTGAATACCCTTTATTTCCTTCTCCTGCCTAATTGCCCTGGGCAGAACTTCCAACACTATGTTGAATAGGAGTGGTGAGAGAGGGCATCCCTGTCTTGTGCCAGTTTTCAAAGGGAATGCTTCCAGTTTTTGCCCATTCAGTATGATATTGGCTGTGGGTTTGTCATAGATAGCTCTTATTATTTTGAGATACGTCCCATCAATACCTAATTTATTGAGAGTTTTTAGCATGGAGGGTTGTTGAATTTTGTCAAAGGCCTTTTCTGCATCTATTGAGATAATCATGTGGTTTTTGTCTTTGGTTCTGTTTATATGCTGGATTACATTTATTGATTTGTGTATATTGAACCAGCCTTGCATCCCAGGGATGAAGCCCACTTGATCATGGTGGATAGGCTTTTTGATGTGCTGCTGGATTCGATTTGCCAGTATTTTATTGAGGATTTTTGCATCAATGTTCATCAAGGATATTGGTCCAAAATTCTCTTTTTTGGTTGTGTCTCTGCCTGGCTTTGGTATCAGGATGATGCTGGCTTCATAAAATGAGTTATGGAGGATTCCCTCTTTTTCTATTGATTGGAATAGTTTCAGAAAGAATGGTACCAGTTCCTCCTTATACCTCTGATAGAATTTGGCTGTGAATCCATCTGGCCCTGGACTCTTTTTGGTTGGTAAGCTATTGATTATTGCCACAATTTCAGAGCCTGTTATTGGTCTATTCAGAGATTCAACTTCTTCCTGGTTTATTCTTGGGAGGTTGTATGTGTCGAGGAATTTATCCATTTCTTCTAGATTTTCTAGTTTATTTGAGTAGAAGTGTTTGTACTATTCTCTGATGGTAGTTTGTATTTCTGTGGGATCAGTGGTGATATCCCCTTTATCACTTTTTATTGCGTCTATTTGATTCTTCTCTCTTTTCTTCTTTATTAGTCTTGCTAGTGGTCTATCAATTTTGTTGATCCTTTCAAAAAACCAGCTCCTGGATTCATTAATTTTTTGAAGGGTTTTTTGTGTCTCTATTTCCTTCAGTTCTGCTCTGATTTTAGTTATTTCCAACAGCTTGGGTCAATATTATATTTTTATGAATTTTAGATTAATGTTATAATATTCTGGTTTATATATATAAATTTTGTTTTTATGTTGTATAAAACATTGGCTATTTAGAATATAGTCTTTATGTGTGATTTATTTCTCACTTTTATACATTAAAGTTCACGATTAGGAGCTAATAAAACATTTCCATAACAGCTGAATAGAACAGTCACAGGGAATCCTGCCACAACAGTATCATAAGGTATGTGGGAAACCTAATAGGAAGCTTCTTAATTGAGTCAGGGCTGTAATTCCCAGCCTGATATCACTCCTCAGGGTGGCTATGCTCCTGGGCTCTGGAGGCAGACAGCTCAAATCCAGTCTCAGCTCTGCTGCTTATAGGAACATGTGGCCTTGGCCAAATCATTAGCGTTTCTGAACCTCAGAGTCCCTACCTGCAAATCAAAATAGTAACAATAATTTAATCATAAAACTTTGCCATTTTTAAGCTACATTGATTTTTTATTTTTATTTTTTAATTGAGACAGAGTCTCACTCTGTCATCCAGGCTGGAGTGCAGTGGCGCCATCTCCACTCACTGAAACCTCTGCCTCCCGGGTTCAAGCGATTCTCCTGCCTCAGCCTCCCGAGTAGCTGGGTGGAGTCTGCCAACACGCTCAGCTAATTTTTGTATTTTTAATAGAGATGGGGTTTCACCATGTTGGCCAGGCTGGTCTCGAACTCCTGACCTCAAGTGATCCGCCTGCCTCAGCCTCCCAAAGTGCTTGGATTATAGGCATGAGCCACTGCACCAGGCAAAGCTACACTGAATCTTTTAAAAATGAACACATCCTTGTGTCCAGCACTTTGATCATGTAACAGAACATTTCCTGGATCCCGACTTCCTCCTTGTAATCTTTTTCTGTCTCTCTCTCCCAAAGTAATGACCATCTTGATATCTGAGACCATAGATTAGCTTGCCTGCTTCTACCTCATGCTAGTGAAATCATGCAGAATGTGCTATTTTGTATCTGGCATCTTTTCCTTAACATTATGTTCTGAGATTCATACCTTGCATACAATTGTGAATACTTCATGAAGAAGCTCAGGAGAATGGGGCAAAAAGCCCAGAATCAAGGCTATGTCAGTATTGCCTGCCATCTCACATGGTGGGTACTAGAGCTGAGAATATTGACATTGAAGATCAGACTGTAGGTTGAAGAATTCTTGATAGGTGTTATAACAAAGCTTTTAGGTAAGAGCAGAGAAGGAAATGTATCTGCAAGTTTTCCTCTGAGAAAAACAAAACAATTTAAGGGAAGCCAATAAGCTTACAATTTGGAATAATCATCAGTTGCCATCCCTTTCTCATTACTAATGGTAAATTTTAGAAAAGACACCTAGAACTTCTGACCCATTTGATGAATGTGGCTATATTTACATGTGTGTAGTTCAGTCTTATTTGATCAAGGTGGAGATGATACTTAGTAGTACCATTAAAGCTGATCTGCTCAGTTCCTGCTAGAGATGCTGTACTTAGGGAAAATTTATTAACATATAAATAAATCATTACACTGTGATCTGGAGTTTGTTAAAAATTTTTTTTCTATAATCCAAATCTGTCTTTCATTCTGCAAATGCATAGACATAAACACTAATGTAAGTCTTTGGGAAATTAAAGTAGCTACAAATATAAATACCTAATATCTTTTGGGAAAAAATATTAAAAATACTCATTTTAAATTTGTGCTTTCATCCAGAAGCCAAAAAAAGCTGTCCAGCTTTTAAAGAAAGTGTAGAATAGTCTTTTACACAGATAATTTTTCTCACATTATGCTTGGGAGGCAGGAAATGTTAAAAGCAGATAATAAAGTTGTATGATAATATATGGAGTTTATTCAACAACATTTTTGACACAGGCATTTATTAATCACTCACTATGTCCTAACCTTTGTATTGGTCACTAGAGAGC
Source organism: Homo sapiens (assembly GCF_000001405.40). NCBI lineage: Eukaryota > Metazoa > Chordata > Mammalia > Primates > Hominidae > Homo > Homo sapiens. Next base: position 102,383,673 of record NC_000001.11, on the reverse strand, counting down.
TAGAGGTAAAAGGTACAGAGAGCCTGTAGTTTAGTGGGGATATAAATAAAGGCAAAGAATTATGTACAATATGGTAAGTGGTAAAATAGTGATGTGCAGACAGAACATAGGAGTGTTACCTAGTCTTGACAGATAATATGTTATCCATTAGCTAAAAGACTTGCTAGAGGTGGGAAAGTCTGAGAGGAAGAGGGATGGGAAGAAAGTCTGAGATGAAGAGGTCTGAGATGAAGAAGGATGGGAAGCAAGAATATTCCACTCGTGTTTATTTCATAAATACAGAGATGTATTCATGAAAGTACTGATTTGTCACTTTAAATAGCTCAATAGGCCTGCTTCAGGGATCATGAAGGAATAGTAGCGAGAAAAGAGGCTGCAGGTACTGGTCTTCATCAGGTCATAGGGGTGCACTATGTCATACCAGGAAATTGAACTCCTTTGCTGAAGGCAATGAAGAGCCTTGAGAAGATTTTTAAAGAATAGGGACATAATTAGGGTTGTGTTGTTTTGAAATATAAATCAGTCCAATGTATAGAAAACAGACTAGGAGAGAACTAAATGAAAATGATAAAGAGAAATTTATAGGCCATGTCAACAGTATAAGTAAGATATTGGAAAGCCCCATAGAAGACGGTGGCACTGATTTCAAGACCACAGATGTAAAGAGATAATTTCAATTGAACTTTATCATTTTTAAGGGATGGAAGAATTACATAAAAGACAAGTCACTAAATGAAACTCGATGAATCCAATGAAATGGAGCAGATTTGTGGAATGGAAGAAGATGGTTATGAAAAAATTGACTCTAAAATACATGTGGAACACTTAGGTGGAGATGGCCCTATGATATAGGATGAATTGGACCTGTCAGAATCCATATGTTGAAGCCCTAACCCCTAATATGATGGCATTTGGAGATGAGGCTTCTGGGAGGTAATCTAGTTGAGGTTTAGTTGAGGGACCCTCATGATGGGGTTAGTGTCCTTAGAAGATTAGACATCAGAGACCTTGCTTCCTCATTGTCTGTCCACCAGCACACACTCAGGAAAACCCATATGAGCACAAAGTGAGAAGGCAGCCCTCTGCAAGACAAGAAGAGAGCTCTCACCATAGAACCAAGTCAGCTGTTGTCTTAATAGCTGATTTGAACTTCCTAGCCTCCAGAACATGAGAAATAAATTTCTGTTGTTTAAGTTACCCAATATATTGTATTTTCTTATGGCAAAATGCACAGACTAAGACACCCAGCAAGGATTACTGTAGATTTACTCATTCAATTTCATTTCGTGGTCCTTCTACTGGAGAGATTGGAAACCTAAATGGAACATTGCTAAAATTCCCTTGAAGTTAGGGTTTTGGCTGGGAATTTGATTTTACCCATTAGATGCACTTGTGTGAAATTGGAAAGGCAAGAATGAGATGAAAGTCACTTTTCTGACTCATTTGGTCTATTTCTACAGATAATCAGTCATGGAAATGTGAGGTTTCTCTTAAAATGTTTTCCAGAGCCTATTTTCCATTTTGCTATATGTCCAAAAGCAGCTGGAGCTGCAATGGCGCATCTTCTCTGTCTTTTCTTTCTAATCTGGGGATGGTAGTGATAAGTGCCCTTTCTCAAACTTCTTGAGTATTAAGAGGTGACTGCAGTGGTGGCTTCTAGATGCCCTTGATTCCTACATAGCTTCAGTGGTAGCCCCAGAGAAGTCACTCCTTGGTGCATCAGTACCTTATTGCTCTAGAAGTCATTTGGAGGCCTTTGATAGAATGTTATATTAGTCCTTTTAAGATCTGTGTGCACTGAGTCCATTGTAATAATTCACTGCCTACATAAAATGCCTACAGTAAGTAGACATATAAACCCAAATGCTCTTTTTTTACTCTAAAACCATTAGTAAGAACTAACATTTATTGCAGGCTTACCATGAAAGGCACTATTCTAAGTGTTTATATACATATGCATTATATATACATATCTATACATCTATGTATAGATATGTGTGTATAGGTATATGCATATCTCCTCTTAACAGAATTAGTGAGGTATATGTATATGTGTATCTATCTATCTCCTCTTAACAACAGAATTAATGAGGTATTTTTTCAACTCACACTTTACCAATGAGGAAATTTAGACACAGATACAGACAAGTAATTTATATATAAGTAACTGTATAAGTATATCTCAGAAACAGATAAGTAACTTGTCCAACCACACACAACTGTGAATGGCAAAGGCTGAAACTGAACCCAGTCAGTTGTCTCCTGAGCCATTCTCTTACTTACTGAAATATGCTGTCTGGTGATACAATTTTTGATAAGTATATTAAATGTACTTCAGGGAAAGGTTTAAGTGGAAAAAATTGATGCTTGAGTCATCAGCATATAGGCGATAATTCAAACTATAGAAGAGAAATGACGCTATCCAGGAGGGCTGTAGACTAAAAAGTAAAAAGAACAGAAAATGAGAAGCTTATAGAATGCCAGTGTTTAAAAGATGAGAAGATGAGGAATCTATAAATAAGATGAAGAAAGAGCAGTCCAATAAGAAGATATTACAGGAACCAAAAGAAGAGTAACTAGAAGTTAACTATGTTAATGCTGGAGTTGAGTAAGATAAAGCAAGGTTTTCATCAACTATAGCCACTGTAAAGCCATTAATGACTTTTGCAATGATAGTTTCAATGAAGAGGTGGAGAAATGAACAAAGAAAAAGATTAGGGCTTAAAGTTGAAAATGAAGAGGGACAATCGATAGAAAATTAAAGCAGTCTTCTTTCTGAAACTTGGTGAGATTGGAGTTTGGTAGGAAAAAAAGTACAATAGAAAATTAGTTAAAAGAATATGTGAAATGAATATGTAGCGTGGAACTTAACATATGAAAGACAAGGAGAATGAATTCACAAATATATTCTGAAGAGAAAGAGGGATAAGTTGAAGATACAGAAAGAGCAAAAAAAAGAAGATATATCAAACTCTCAGAAGAGATTAAAGCAAATGTAAACCAGAATATGTGTAGATATATTTATCTCTAATGTAGTAGGGAGGAATCACATCTCCCACTGAAATATGAAGGAGTGAGGTTAGAACAAATCTGATCACAGTCCAGACTACTGAGGAAAATGGTAGAGCAGGGAGCTAAAAATATCAGTGAAGCTCTGATGGAACTGACAAAGGAATGTGAAAGGCAGCTGACCAGTGACACACACAAAGACCTCCAAATAGTAATGAGATCTTGTTCAGCTTGGAGGCCACATCTGTAAATGGAGCTGATTTGAATGATTTCTACCCTAACATTGAGTGATCCATATGCAGACCTGAATGTGTAAATATCAGCATTGATCACCCATACTATATTTATTGGGTTGGTGCAACGAAAAAACAAGAGCTAAAGTTATTAAGGAAATTAACTGGTGAATGGATTAAAAAACAGATCATGAGAATTAAGCTAGTGAGTGACGTTACTAAATCCAAGAAACATTTGATTGTTTGATTTTAAAAAAGGGGTGTACAAGAGACTGAAGATGCTGATAAGGCAGGATAAAAAATATTTTTCTGAAAAGGCATTAAAATTAACTTGAAAGGTAGAATATGTGGTCAGAGATTGGATAATTACCACACCAAGTGTGTAGTGATAAAAACTGGTGGTAAAGGAAGACTAGAAAGTAAAAACTACAATATGAAAAGAATGTATAACTATGCAAGGCTTACACATGAACCATAAATACATATGATGAAATCATGTGAGAAGGAGGCCAGAGATTATTCTAATCGTCAAGGTTTACAGGGAATACATTGAAAGATTGGTAGATAGAGTGAAGACTGACAGGACAGACTGTTAGATGCTGTGAGCTTTCAAATAGTAAAGGTTCATATTCATATGAAGTGAAAGCCCTGGTGGAGATTTATAAAAAATTCAATCCAATTCCCACTTATTTTTCCTGAACTAAATAGAGAATGGTAGAGTGAGCATTCAAGAGGATTTATGGACACAATAATCTTAGAGGAAATCTGATTCTAGTTAATGATGAGAGATTGCTGTAGAACTTTCAGGATGCTAATAAATATGTGGGGAACTGTTTCTCATGAAATGGAAATTCTGTAGAGAATAGCAGAAAAACAGATAGAAGAAAGAGAAGTTTGGATGGGCCTACAAAGAGAAAGAAAACACTTAAACAAAAGAAATTTAGACTGCATCAGTGATCAAGTACTCGAGACAAGTCTTCTGCTTCTGGCAGTCAGCAACAGAGGCAAACATCTCATATGTGGTGAAATGTATTGGTCTACATTTCTAACTGAATGTTAGTAAATTTTTTAAGGGCAGTGGCCATCAGCCTGAGGTTTTTAGAGAACTAGCATGGTACACATTCTGAAAACTTTACTGAGGACAGCAAAAAAAAATGTTAAGAAATTGTTACAGTTCTTACAAAGAAGATCCTGGGATTCTGGGGCAAAGTTGTTTGGACATTCACCTGAATGAGAAACAACATCTGTTCCAGGGCTGAAATAGATCTAAATCTCTCTGTAAGGAGTTGGCTGGAACACGGTTGGATTCCACTGGTAATGAGATCTACTCATAGTGTTGTGAAGCCCAGTAGCTTCTGGTAGCCAGGAGAAATCAGACCTAGAGACCTGTTTTTATATTACCTAAGTTTCTGGAAAAATTACCAGAAGTCAGACAAACTGCTTTTTGAATGAAAGCAAAGAAATGAGAATTGGTTAAGGTTCTGGATTTAAAGATTGATGGCCATTTTTTTTTCTACAAATGATGCTGAATTTATTATATTTAGGCAACTCTAAATGACTTACCTACAGAGTATAAAATACAAAATAGTCTAACTATGATTTACAATGTTGGAAATAACAGAGGTGTTAGAGTAAAGCAAACCTCATTAAACGTCCCAATCATGACATACATATTTGCTCTCTGATATAGAAAAATTTATTTCACATCTTGTATTTTTCAGTTACATGTAAAATGGAGGTAATAAAATTATTCTGATAAAAGTGACTAGTAGTTTGCCTGAAATATTGTACGACCTTGCACATTTTGAATATCCTCTGAAATTGTATTGTAAAATAACCAATCACATAAAATTTGAGTTAACATACTATAATATCACAATGTACTATACAAAATTCATATGACATTTTTACAGTTCCTAATTTTTTTGTGTGTGATAACCCAAAAGTTGAAGAATCATTTTCATTATTTATATTTTCTTTAGAAGGGTTTCCTTAGGAAGATTTTGACAAGATTTTTGAGCACTGATGAATTAGATATGCTTATATTTTTCACTCATTTAAAAATACTTCAAAATATTCATAGAGTCACAGGAAGTTGGGAAGATAGTACAAAAAGGTCCTCTGTATCTTTTACCCAAGTTCCCTCAATGTTTACATTTAATATGATTATAATATATTGAAACTGTAAAATTGACATTGGTACAACATGTAGGTACAGCTCTACATGTCATTTTATCACATATGTAAATTCATATAACCACCACCTCAATTAAGATATAAAACCATTGCATCACCACAAAGATTTCCCTGTACTATCCCTTTGTTAGTCACAACCTCACACTCCTCATCCTCAATCCCTGATAACTATTCCTTTTCCCATCCCTATAACGTTGTCACTTTGAGGATGTCATATCAATAGAATCATAGTTAGTGATATTTTGAGATTGGCTTTTTTCAGGACACATATGGCCTTGGCATTTATGCTAATTGTTGCATATACCAATATATCATTTCTTTTTATTGCTGAATAGTATTCCACGGTATAACTATACCATCATTTGTCTAATTATTCATCTCTTGAGAGATATTTTTATTGTTTCCAGCTTCTGGCTATTACAATTTTTGCTACTATAAACAATTGTGTACAGGTTTTTCTGTGGACATAATTTTCAATTCTCTGAAATATATTCTGAGCTGATAAGCCCAGTACATGTTCAGTTTTTCAAGGAAACTGACAAGTTGTTTTCCAGAGTGTTTGTATCACTTTACATCGCCACAGGCAATATATGAGATCCAGTTTTTCTGCATCCTTGCCAACATTTGACATTATAATCATGATTCTTTTTTAGACATTCTGATGGGCATATAATATCTCTTTCTGGTTTTATATTTCCCCATTGACTAATTATGTTAAACCCCTTTTCATTTGCTTATTTCCCATTCATACCTCTGGCGAAATGTCTCTTCTTGTCCTTTTCCATTTCCATTTTCTAATTGATTATTTTTATATTTTTTTGCTGATGACTTTTAAGTGTTCTTTTTATATTTTAGATTATGAGTCCATTGACCTATATGGGGTTAGAAAATATTTCTTCCAGTCTCTAGGTTGTCTTTTTATCCTCTTATTAGGGTCTTTTGCAGAGAAAAACTTTTCATTTTGATTTTTCAAATTTCATTCCTTGGTGGATTGTGGTATTAGTGCTATTCACTAAATGTGCCATTCACTAAAATTAATGTATTGAATTATGTGTGCTTATGTACATATATATGCTTATGTATAAATGAAATGAATGGCAATAATGACACAGGGATGGAAGGGGAAATTAGGGTTATTTTGTTATTATAAGATACTCTTACTGTGCAAAGAGTTGTATAGTGTTATTTGAAAGCGGCCTTGGGTTAGTTGTAAATGTATATTGCAAACTCTAGCATACCACAAAAAAATTTTTAAAGAACTATAACTAATGATAAGAAAGAAGAGCAAAAGGATCATATACAATGCCCAGTTAAAACTACAAAAGGCAGGAAAAGCATGAAAGACAAAATCAGGAACAAAGAACAAGAGAAAAAGATAGAAAATCTTAACAAATATGGTAGGTATTAATCCAACCGTGTCAGTAGCACTTGAAGAACAATGGTCTAAATATGTCAATTAAAATACAGAGATTGTTAGAGTAGATAAAAAACATGACCCAACTGAATGTTATCTGTAAGAAACCCACTTAAAATGTAAAGACACATGTAGATTAAAAGTAAATAGATGAAGAAATCAATTTACTAATCATGCTAACACTAATCAAAAGAAAATGGGAGTAGCTATATTAATTTTAGGTGGAGCAAACATCAGAACAAGAAACAATATCAGGCATACAGAGATGCATTATAGTAAGAGTCAATTATTCAAGAAGATACAACAATCTTTAACGTGTGTGAATCTGACAACAATCTTTAATAGGTATGCACCTAACAGCAGAGCATTAAAGCATGTGAGGCAAAAACTGAGAACCGCCAGGTGAGGTAGATGAATCCATTATGATATCTGGGGATGTCAAGACACCTCTATCAGAAATGGGAAGAATTGGCAGGCAGAATATCAGTAAGGGCATAGCTAAACTCAACACCACGTTCAATAAACTGGAATAATTGACATCTATACCCTATTTTATTCAACAACAGAGGAAAACACATCCTTCTCAAGCTTATATGAAAGATTCACCAAGTTAGACCATATTCTGAGTCCTTAAACACATCTAAACAAATTTAAAAAATAAAAATTATACAACATTTGCTTCCAGATCACAATGAAATTGCACTAGGATCAGTACAAAAGATAGCCAGAAAATTTCTCAAAGACTTGGAGAAACACAAATCTAATTAATATATGGGTCAAAAAATAAATCTCAAGAGAAATAAAAAAAAAATTGAACTAATGAAAATATATCAAAAATGTGGTATGCCACGCCTGTAATCCCAGCACTTTGGGAGGCCGAGGCAGGCAGATCAAGAGGTCAGGAGATAGAGACCATCCTGGCTAACACGGTGAAACCCCGTCTCTACTAAAAAATAAACACACACACACACACACACACACACACACACACACACACACACACACACACACACACATTAGCCGAGAGCATGGTGGCAGGCGCCTGTAATCCCAGCTACTCAGGAGTCTGAAGCAGGAGAATGGTGTGAACCCGGGAGGCGGAGCTTGCAGTGAGCCGAGATCGCGCCACTGCACTCCAGCCTGGGCTACAGAGCAAGACTCTGTCTCAACAACAACAACAACAAAAGTGGCATGCAATGAAAGTAGTTTTAGGAGGGATATGTATAACATTGGATGCATTTGTTAGAAAAAAAAATCCATCAGCTTCCATCTGAGGAAACTAGACAAAAAGAGAAAATTAAATTTAAAGTAAGCAGAAGAAAAAAAAAAGAGAGAGCAGACACCAATTAACTGAAAATAAAAATCAATAGAGAACACCAGTGAAACCAGGCCAGGCACAGTGGCTCATGCCTGTAATCCCAGCACTTTGGGAGGCTTAGGTGGGCAGATACTTGAGGCCAGGAGTTTGAGACCAGCCTGGCCAACCTGGTGAAACCGCATCTCTACTAAAATAAATAAATAAATAATAAAAAATAAATAAATAAAAAAACTGAAATTAAAACAAAAGCTACTTCCATGAAAAGATCGATAAATTACATAAGCCGCTAGCCTAACTATGAAGAGAGAGGAAGAATAAACACAAATATCAAAAATCAAATGAGGGACATCACTGTACCCATGACACTAAAACAGTAAAAAAGGAATACTATAAGCAACTCTATGCCCACACATTTGGTAAGCTAGATGAAGGACATAATCTGCCAAAACTCACACAAGAAAAAATAAATTCTATGAATAGGCTATATGTGCTAAAAACAAAATGTCATTAACTAATAACCTTTCAAAACAAAAAGCCCTAAGGTCTAATGAGGTCTTTCAAACATTTAAGGGAGAAATTATGCCAATTTACCTTCCATTTTTCCTTTTTTCCTTCCTTCCTTTTTTCCTTCCTTCCTTCCTCCTTCCTTCCTTCCTTTTGTCCTTCCTTCCTTTCTTCTTTCCTTCCTTCCATCTGTCTTTTGACACAAGGTGTCACTCTGTTGCCCCAGCTGGAGTGCAGTGATATGAACTGCAACCTCAACCTCCTGTACTCAAGCAATCCTTCTACCTCAGTCTCCTGAGTAGCTGGTACCACAGGTGCACCCCACCATGCCCAGCCAATCTTTATTTTATTTTTGTAGAGATAGGGTCTTGACGTGTTTGCCCAGTTACATGTTTGCCCTGGCTGGTCTCAAGCAATCCTTCTACCTCAGCCTTCCAAAGTGCTGGGGTTACAAGCATGGCCCTATTTTTCATTATACTTTGTTATTTAATGAACTTAGGACAAGATCTAAATCATTTGATGGTGGACCATTTCCATAAACTTTGCAAAGCAATGCAAGTTTTTACTATTTTTTGGTAGAAATACACTGATTGCTTCAAATTCAAATTGTCTTTAAAATATTAACAACAATAACAATATAGATTATATTTTGACCATCTATGCCATTTACTATGTGACGGGCCACTGTTATGAGATAACCCATGCAGTATTACTTTCAATATTTACAACAATCACATAGATTATGTACTACTATTTGCTCCCAATATCAATAGCTAAAGTTTACAAGAATTAAGTATTCTGATTATAATACTAAGCATCACACCTAGTTTTGACCTGGTTTGTATATAAATAGTCTATGAGAAGGTATAGCTCTTCTTTTTCGTTGCTTTCTTATTTTATTTGCATTCCTACATGGCATTGAAAATCCATTCTGTTTAATAACAAACCAGAGTTTCAGAGAGTTTATTCTGCTAATCTATTTGATTCCACTGGTGTAGTCATTCAAAATAATTTGATTTTAGAAATAATAATTTGGCTATAGAGAAAATATGACTGGGTTTGGGTTAATTTCTCTATGAAGAAATAAATATGATGATTCAAAACTTAGTTGAGTAGACAGATGATAAAAACAACCACACGAGTTACAAACGTTCCACTTCAGTCCTATTTTGTTATTGAGGGTAAGCTGTTTCAAAAACTTTTGAGAACATTTTTCAAAATTACTATTTTTCATGAGAGAAATTGTTTACCATTAAAAGTTATAATAATTTGTGTCATGATTTATTATATATAAAAAATAAATATAAATGTGATTTTCCACCACTATTGCTTTCAAATCTGTCTTCTAAAGATTGGTCATTTCTCATGTCCTCAATATCTATCTTTATTGGCTAATTGACCAAGAAAACTTCTATTAATTTGGAATACCCTAGATTTTTGTCTTTGTACTTTTACATTTATGGAAACCTACTACATCAAGCAGTTTACTTCACAACCCCACCCGCTAACCCCCTCACACACACAGGGAGCTCTTAATGTATGTAACTTTAATCCATAAAATGTCACAGTGAAGTTACTAGAATCCCTGTGTATATTTCATTGGTATATCACAGAATATTACCAGTGATTTCTACCTTCTTGAGTGTGGGCCACTTTCAGTTGTCAAAAGAATTAACAATTCTTTTCTCAAAAATGAAATATGGCAGAAGTGATAGGCTGTCATTTCTAATATTAAGTTATACAAGAGATCTTGGCTTTTGATTTGGTTATTCTCTCTCACTTTCTCTTGAATTACATGCTTCTGGAATAAAACAACCATATACCATAAGGAAGCCCTATGAGTCAACTTAGAAGGGGAATTTTTGAGACCTACTAACATACAAGTGAGTGAGCATGGAAGCAGAACCTCTCCTGGCTAAGTGTGAGAATGACTGCAGTCCTAGTCAATATCTTAATTGAGGACCCTTTAGAAAGCCTGTGTCGAACTATCTAAGCTGTCCCTGGGTTCCTGACCCTCTGAGACTGTGAGATGATAATGTGCTGTTTTCAGCACTTAGTTTGAGGTAATTTGTTAGGTAGCAATAAATAATATGGTACTCAACAAAAAAATACATATGGAATAAGTGAATAAATGAACAGCTGAATAAATAATTGGGCTTTATTTGAGCACAGTGTCTAGATTTAATTCTGATACTGATTGCATAAGAAAAAGAAGAAATTCATCAAAGAGAAATAATTAGAAAATGTTATTTTATCTAACCTTTATTATTTGATGGTCTACAGATATTATAAAATTAAATGCATTGAAAATTGGATTAGATTTTAAAACAAGGAAAGTTTTAAAACAAAAATAATCATAAATTGATTTCTCAAAAAACGGTTTCAAACTCAGACAGTCTCTCTTCTATCTAGGATGGTTTAAGCTTGATGCCTGAGGGCTGGATTAGATGAGGTGCCTCTTACCCTTTGATATTATGATAATTAGCACTTATTGAGCCCCCATGGGGTGTATATCCCATCGTAGGTGCTACTTGATAGCTAGTTTAGACATGATCCTTTTGATTTGATACACAGAATACTCCATACATATTAATTCAAAAAATTCTTTCCAACTCATTTCATTTGTGGCCTCTTATTTTTCTGAACTTACTGCACAAATTGTCTGTACAACTCTTTTGTCAATCACTATGTGCTGGCTTGTAACATTGCTTGAATTGTTGTTTTATTGATATTTAATTTGTAATATAACAAAATCTTTTTGACTCATTATTTCTTAACATGCAGCTCTGCATTTCTAACTGAATTAAGCTATGCAGTCAAAGATATAGCCAGTGAATTCTAAATATTCTGATATAATGACCATAGAAATGCCCGTCTTGCTGTCACATGTAGGCTTTGCTATACATTTGTGCAATATGCCTTTGAACTTCAGCTCACATTTGCATTCTTTCCTACTTTTTGGTTGAACTCACCTACAGACTCCTAGGTCACTTTTCATTCCTGGAAGACTAGGACCATGGCTCAGTGTTATGATTTTCCATGATGTCAATATTGATGTTGATGAGGAAATATAATTAGAAATTAAATCTTCTCTCAGCCCAGTAAACCTCCCTATCTAGGTAGTAGGAAAAATAGTTTTATTATTGAATAACTATTAAACCAGAATGTTTGTGATACACATCACAGGCAATCCTCTAAGAGAATGCAAAAACAGAAATCTTATCATTTATATTGTCAAGCATATACAACCCATTACACACATTTTCAAGATAAACAATAACTAGTCCTCAAATAAGAGGACTTGACAGCACCATTTGTCACACATAGTTGAACTTACATTCATCTGGTAATTGGGATGGCCATCTGTGTTTGCTGATTTGTTTATACACAAGAAAAACAGACATCTCAACTCTTTATGATAGGATGTAGTTTTACAACCAGGATCAAGGCATCTACTGAAATTAGGCTCCTACCCTCCCACAGAAACAGGGAGACAGGGATGCTATCTCTCTTGGGGTTTACATTTTAAAAAGATGGCTCCCTGGTTCCTGAGAAAGACATTCCTGGATTATAAAGATGGCAGGAGGCTTATATAGTTTCCAAAACATTTATACTCATTTCAAAGAGACAAAGAAATCACAAGTTTTCTAAAGTAAATGATGTGAAAAAAAGGGATGGGGGGAGAAGTTTCATTTCCTATTTCCAACAGGGACAATTAAGCCTCTCATTTTTAATTTTTATTTGTTCTTACAATAACATAATCTTTTCAACATGTTGGCTTCTCTGATTATGTGCAACTACCGCAGTTTATCACTCCCTGAGTAATGGCTTTAATATCTTCCCTATCAAGTATCAAACATATCATTCTCCAGCAATCACCTTCAATTTTCCAACTCACCTCCTTGTGTACTCCACTCAGAAAACAAGTTTGTCTCTACCAGGACCTAAAACCCATTGATCTATGCTTCAACCTCATTATATCCCCATCAATGTGCTTTATACAGCTTTGATTCAATGGCCCTTCATTAAAACCATTCCAATGTGTATATTTTTTTTATTTTCATCAAGAAACTTTTATTGTGTTAAGCTCCTGTAGTGTTGCATTTTTCTTAACTTCTTTATTCTTATTTTCCTTTAGAGACAGAGATTAGTACTGTATAATTCCAATTATCTGTTCTCCTCTTCACATACAGCTGAATGAAGGGGGAAAGAAACACACAAGCATGCTGTTCAGTCTCACTTTAAATTCATGACCATTAGCTTTTAAGGGGAACTTCGTACTACCTAGCAATCTTACTACATGTTATTAATCCATTCAGTATGGTTCTTTTCTAGAAGAGCTTTCACACTTTCTTCTCTTTCAACCATTTTCCTTATTCAGTTTTTTTTTCCTATTTTACTAACAAAATAGAGTAATCTTCAGAAAACTGTTCTATGGTCCAACATTTACTAAGCTATCTTTATTTTGACAAATATATTCTTTCTAGCTTCTAGTTACTATGAAAGAGCTTTCAACATTCTTTTCAGCCACGATCACCTCTATTTATACGATTAATCCATTTTTCTCTTGCCTAGTCAATAACATCAATCCAGCAATTTCCCCCTCTATTCTATATGTACATCACCATTTAAACTGGCTGTAATAAATGCTTATCTTAAAAATCAAAGCAATATACAAAAAAACAAAAACAATAACTACCTCTCTTTAACCCACATTCTCTCAAACTGCTTTTGTATTTTTCATCTCTAGTAACTTAAACTCTTTTGAGTTATCCGTTCTTGTTGCCTCTTGTTCCTCTCGTGATTTTCTTCTTCATATATGCCTAATATACATCTCAATACGCTTTTGTTACCTTCAAAATTCTAACAGTATTTGTCAAGATTGTTTATGACTTCCCACTGAAAAGTTTATTAGCAATAATCTACAGAATTATTTCCTATGGTTATTCCTTTGCTTAAAATTCATCAATATCTTGTAATCTCATTCAAAATAAAAGCAAACGACTCCAAAGTGGCCAACAAGGCCCTGTGTAATATACTTTGTTCCAGCCTCCACACACATATGCACATGAACCAGAATCAGTGCCACTCATCTCTCTGCTGTCAGCTCTGGCTCCTCACACACTCATTACATTTCAAGCTTCCTTATCTTCCTGATTTTTGCACACATTAAGTAATATCCTGTATCAAAATTTTCATATTTGATATCCCTTGTGTCTATTATTCTTCTATATGTCTGTATTATTCATTACCATATTTCAAGGCCCCTGCATAAATTTAATCTTAACAATTAAGACTTTCCTGAGCATTCCAAAGAAAATACAAAACAAAATAAAAGAAACAAAACAAAACAAATCAAATATCTTCCAGTCCCCTCTCTGATACTTCTTCCCTGTTTCCTGAATTAGTACCACGTTATGTACTTTTTTTTTCTTCTGCCCCCACCATCCATGTTAGAAAAGATGTATTTATCTGAGAAAGATGTTGCTTTCTGTTTGTTTTTCTGTTCTATCTTCCTAGAACACTATCTGGCATAGAATGAGTACTTGTATTTGTCTGTTTTCACAATGCTATAAAGATACTGCCTGAGACTGGGTAATTTATAAAGGAAGGAAGTTTAATTGACTCACAATTCTGCATGGCTGGGGAGGCCTCAGGAAACTTGCAATCATGGTGGAAGTTGAAGGGGAAGCAAGGCACATCTTACGTGCTGGCAGGAGACGGAGTGGGAACAGGGGAAACTGCCACTTTTAAACCATCAGATCTTGTGAGAACTCCCTCACTATCAGGAGAGAGAACACCATGGGGAAAACCATCCCCATGATCCAATCACCTCCCAGCAGGTCCCTCCCTCAACATGTAGAGATTACAGTTCTAGATGAGATTTGAGTGGGGACACAGAGCCAAACCATATTATTTTACCCTGACTACTCACAACTCTCGTATCCATTTCACATTTCAAAACCAAAAATGCCTTAACTCCACCAAAGTCTTAACTCATTTCAGCATTAACTCAAAGTCCAAATTCAAAGTCTCATCTGAGACAAGGAAAATCCCTTGCATCTATGAGCCGGTAAAATAAAAATCAACTTAGTTACTTCCAAGAGACAATGGGAGTACAGGCATTGAGTAAATATTCTCATTCCAAATGGGAGAAATTGGCCAAAACAAAACAGCCTCAGGCCCCATGCAAGTCCAAAACCCAGCTGGGCAGTCATTAAACCTTAAAGCTCCAAAATATCCTTTGACTCCATGTCTCACATCCAGGGCATACTGATATAAGGGGTGGGCACCCATGGGCACCCACTCCCATGGCTCTGCAGGGTACAGCCACTGTGGCTGCTTTCATGGGCTGGCATTGAGTGCCTGTGGTTTTTCCAGGCACGTGGTGCCAGCTGTCAATGGATCTATATTTCTGAGGTCTGGAGGATGGTGGCCCTCTTATCAAAACTCCACTAGAAAGTGCCCGAGTGGGGTGCCTGAGTGGGGACTCTTGTAGAAGCTCCAGCCCCACATTTCCCTTTTGTACTGCCTTAGCAGAGATTCTCCATGAGGGTTTTATGCCTGAAGTAGACTTCTGCCTGGACATCCAGGTGTTTCTATACATAGTCTGAAATCCAGGCAGAGGCTCCCAAGGCTCAACTCTTGTTTTCTATGCATTTGCAGGCCCAACACCACATGGAAGCTGCCAAAGTTTGGAGCTTGCACCCTCTGAAGCAATGGCTCGAGCTTTACTTTGGTCCCTTTTAGCCACAGCTGGAGCTGGAGTGGCTGGGATGGAGGCTGCCAGGTCTTGGGGCTGCACAGAGCAGTGGGGCCTTGGGCCCAGCCCATAAAACCATTTTTCTCTCAGGTCTTTGGGCCTGTGATGGGAGGGGCTGCCACAAAGATCTCTGGCATGTCTTGGAGACATTTTCACGTTGTCTTGACTATTAATATTTGGCTTGGCTCCTTGTTGCTTATGCAAATTTCTGCAGCTGGTTTGAATTCTTCCCCAGAAAATGGGTTTTCTTTTCTACCACATGCTTAGGCTGAAAATTTTCCACACATTTATGTTCTTCTTCCCTTTTAAACACAAGTTCCAATTTCAAATCATCTCTTTGTGAATGCATATGACTGAACACTTTCCGAATCAGCCAAATTACCTCTTGAATGCTTTGATGCTTAGAAACTTCTTCTGCTAGATACCCTAAATCATCTATTTCAAGTTCAAAATTCCACCGGATCTCTAGGGCAGGGGCAAAATGTCACCTGTCTCTTTGCTAAAGCATAGTAAGAGTGACTTTTGCTTCAGTTCCCAATATGTTTCTCATTTCCATCTGACACCACCTTAACCTAGACTTCATTGTTCATATCACTATCAGCATTTTGGTCAAACCATTTAACAAGTCTCTAGGAAGCTCCAAAATTTCCTACAACTTTCTGTCTTTTTCTGAGCCCTTCAAATTGTTCCAACCTCTGTCTGTTACTCAGTTCCAAAGTCACTTCCATACTTTCGGGTTATCTTTATAGCAGTGCCCCACTCTCAGTATCAATTTCCTGTATTAGTCCATTTTCACACTTTATAAAGATACTACCTGAGACTAGGTAATTTATAAAGAAAGGAGGTTTTATTGACTCACAATTCAAAATGGCTGGGGAAGTTTCACAAAACTTACAATCATGGCAGAAGCAAAGGGAAAGCAAGGCATATCTTTCATGGCAGCAGAAGAGAAAAAGAGCAGAGGAAACTGCCACTTTTAAACCATCAGATCTTGTGAGAATTCCATCACTATCATGGTAACAGCATGATCCAATCATTTCCCACCAGGTCCCTTCCTCAACTCATGAGGATTACAACTGGAGATGAGATTTGAGTGGGCACATAGAACTAAACCATATCACTACGCAACAATTGTTTGATGTATTGGTTAATGTTAAACCATTTATGATAACAATTTATACTGTATATTATATCTAATCATTTTCCTTCACCTAGTAATCAAATAGTACAAAACTATTAATTTTAGAAATCTCTAGAATTTTTCACATTAATAGAAAAGCTCTTGATTATTTAACAATCAGCCATTTAGAATATACGCTTATTGAAGACACAGTCATTACCTTATATTTTTCATGATGTCCCACATTATCTATCACTAGATTTTTATTCAGTATGTGCTCAATAGAAAATGATTACTGTTTCATTGCTTAATTAGTTTGTTTTCTTAATTTAGTGAAAACATAACTAGAAAATTAAGATCATCCCTTAAAACATCATTTTTAAATATTTCCTCAGTTCAAGCACTGTAATGGCTCTATTAAATATTTTTGTGCTATTTAATAGCTTCCACAATAGATTTTGTTGCTTCCTTGTTAACACCATCTTACATCATTTTCCAACATTCTCATTGGAATCTTGTCAAACTGCTTTCCTCTATGTCCTAAATATGCCATGCTTGCCAGCTCCACTACTTCATATATTCAAACAGCTGCAGAATTAACACATCTCTTATACTAGTGTATGTCCTCTACACCCTTCAAGGCTCAGGTTAACTTCAAATATTTCTGTGATTATACCAGTCTACACAAATCTAATGCTTCTCCAAACACCTACTACTTTTGTAGTCAGTATGCCTGTGGCTTTTTAATTTATTTTTTCTGTAATCGTAGTATTATGTATGTTATATTCAACCTCCCAATTGAGAATCTGTTACTTTTCCACTGAACCTAGCATTGTGCTAAACACATTGTAAATTGTAATAAACTGACTAAGTTATCACTAAAATACTATAGCTAAATTATAATAATTGGTGGAATAATAATTCAAAATGAAAGTTCTTATTCTATTTGTGTATAAAATAAAATGTTAGCCTAGAGCATCAAATAGGAAAAAAAAAAGATCCTAAATATCCCCTCCTTCTAAATTAAGGCAGATATGTCCTCCAACAGAATAGTAAAATTTCTCATGGGACATTTACCTCATAATCTAATCCATCCTATGTAAGCCAAAAATTAGATATTTGGGAAAAAATAATTAAGGATGACTGTGTTTTTGTTTTTATAGGGAATACTGTAGAATTTTTCCAGCTTTCCTCATGGAGGAAGGAAAAAATGGTCCTTTCAAAGGCTAGTTGTTGAGAAATTGAAGGAATGCAGAAGACAAAGAGAGTATTTTATCTGAAATCTCATTGTCCCCGCCTGGTGTGGCCACAGAAATAGGGCATGATAATAGAGTGTTTGCAAGAGTTTGCTATTTGAATTCTGGAATTTGGAGATAAAGTTATAGATGCATAATGATGTTTAAGCCAGTGACAGATGGCATATTATGGTAATGGTCATATAACATTCTAATGGAGCATATATAAAAAACTGATATATAGCACTTGATATTGACATTGAAGATTAAGCAGTGGAAATTATTGCTAGTAATGGTGCTAGTACATTTGATTTTCCATATGAAAAAGTGTATATATGAACACATATATCATCTACGTATATTTATGTACACTCTATAATGTTCACACAAGGGAATTGTTTATGCATTTCTCAGAATGTATTGTAATCATTAACGGGGCATGACTCTATATATAAACATAAAAACTGGTGTGCGCTTTTCACCTGGAGGGTTCTAAAGTTTGGAAACAATACAGAACTGCTACCAATGTCTGGTTGAGAAGAAAGGACAATGGAGAAAGCATGCATTGTTCCTTTTTAGCATGACCGGATGAATACAGCAGACATTAGCCAGGCTTGAGCCCTAGAGAGATGAGAGGAGTCAGGCTGAAAAAGAATTTCAGGAGGACAGATGGAGAACATAGACTGTGCTCATGTCAGGGACTTGCAGTGTGAAAGACCTCATGGGGACTTTTGAAGAACCATTACCTGATCCTCATGAGAGATATACATTTAAGTGAATACTACAGAAAAAAAAAAGCACTGGAAGCCAGCCATGGATAGCAAAGATAAAGCTTCATAAGAGGAGAAACTAAGAAAATATTATTTTTGGTAAGTAGTTTTCACTTACTGAATCTTTTTTGATAATTGTAATATATCTACATGTTTGCTTGATGCAAAGTAATTTTTCACACAGCATGAAAGTAATTACAGTAAACATTTTATTTTCACATTTATTAGAAAGTGTTGGTGCTAAGACTAATATGCAAAGAAGTTAAAAGGAGATTCTATAAGTGTTTGAAATTAGAATAATGGCTCTGATGATTTCACTTTTACATATTTGTATTTTTATTCTTAAGAGGCAATGTACTAAATTCAAAAGGAAGAAAAAAACTGTTACCAACTTAATATATCTTATTGAAATTTATAATTTTAAGGTAAATATAATAATCCCAAAATAATAAGATAAAGTTATTTTATAATAATATATAATAAAACATAACAGTTCATTGTCTCCAAACTGAATCATAAGTGATCTTTAATTTAATCTAATAGCTTGCTTGCTTGCTTTCTACTCAAATATAAATTGCCTATGGGGTTTTATTAAATGTGGTTAATTTCAGATAGTTGTCCTTGACATTTATATAAGTTGTGACAGACTCTAGCCAAGATTTTACCAAGGATGGTGCAAAGTAAGTTCAAAAAAGAAAATGAACAGAAGCAATCCATTTCCTTTATCATTATGTATTTACTCATAAGAAAACCAATCTTCAGGAAGTGAATCATGCACCTTGAAAAGGAGTAGTGAATCCCAATAGTTATGTTCTTAACTCTGCTAAAATGTCTTTTCGCCTTGATAATTTTACTTCCTTTGCTGAAACCAAACTGGATAGGCACAAGAAAACCCAAGTATAGCATATTCTTTTGGCTGCCATTATTTCCAGACTGATTAAATATAGAGTTGACTGATTAAATCTAGGCGAGTTTCCTTATTACTACTTTTAAGTAATTAATTGATTTCTTGATATCCGCTCTTCTTCTACAATGCATATAAGAGTTCACTTTTTGTCACATTATCCTACTAAAGGGGTGACACATGTTTCAGAGATGTTTTTATGTAGCAGGATGCATTGTCTTCTGGCTATTTTCCCAGTATTATGCCACACATTAAAAACAAGGATAGCACTATTGCTTCCGAAATACTCTAAAGTGGTCCTGGCTGCATTATATGCCAGAAAGTCAGCTAAATACTGTGCTGGTGTTCCTATCATGATCTGTCATCACCTTATTTAATATTAGATCAAAAGCTGCTGAAGTAGCTGAATTAGATTAGCTGTTTTGCCTTCTGCCATCATCAATACCATTTGGCTCCAAACACAGTTTTTTGGAGTATAGTGGTTTAAAAATCTCTCTCTCTCTTTATCTCATCTTGCATTATAGCTTTTAACTGAAAGGATTTTATAAGTTATTATAGGTAATTGGTATCTTCCTACGTGGTATTCACTGAGGCTTATACATAAGATTTTCTGGAGAAATAATATACCTCCTATATCCAAGATTCCCTTTAGGAATATAGGGAATTTTGTAACCCTCATGGCCAAGACCATGTTATATGTTATAACTAATTATATAATTATATATGTTATTTTACCAGGAGTAAGCAACCATGCATCAGTGCAAGCTGAAAATAACTTGTTGGCTGACTTTTTGAAAGGATTAAAAAATTCCCAAATTGTTTGTGTGCTTTTTTTTTTTTTTTTTTTTGAGAAGAAGCTTATCTTTGCTTGGGTGAAGGAAACAGCATACAGGGATGGTTACACAAGACTAAAGGAGGAAGAGGAGAATGGTCACATTAAGTTGGAAAATGATTATGCATGTTTCCATCAATACTGACTCAATCAAGCAGTCCATGGAGGTCTCTGGACAAGCATACCAATGTCAAAAATGCTTAGCCATTCAGAAAGCATGGGAGGAACTCCTTTGGATTGTGTCTCCCTATTTGTGATGAGATGTTCAGTCTCTGTAATGAACACTTACTTAAATGACTGACCTTAGATAACCTTTCTCTTGAAAGCACCGGTAAGCAAAAGTTTGTAATTTGGAAAAGTGATCAACAACAAGTCTGTTGTTTAATTCTGAATGCAGCCTTTTAGAAAAGTTAGAGAGTGGAAAGGCCTGCAACAAGTCACAAGAAGAACAATTTTAGAATAACTATTCTCAAGCGCACAAGCTCTAGACTGGGATCCTGGGAACGTGGTTAAATTAGATATTGTTAGAGAAGATGGGTAGTACAACACTCCTACCTTTCAGGTCTGAAGTTTATAACAGGCTAGAACCTCCAGGCACCAGCCATAACCGTAGAGCAGAATGGGTAAGTGCCCTGACTTTTGACCTTTCTGATTGTGATTACTACACTTGGTATTTCCTGAATTTCTATTAGTTTTTTCTTAAAATATTGCTGGAAATTTTCACATACTTTCTTTGGTTTTATGTTTTCATTTCTATTCTGGTGTATTTAATCAAGTTTCTCACATTATTAGTGTGCACCCATGCTTTTTTATTTATCACTTATAGATTTATTACTTCATGTGTAATTGTGGATTACAAAGCTATCTTTAACAGAAATTGTATTTGAAATAATTCTGCATAGTCTGAGTAGAGCACCTGTTTGTCCAAGAAAGGTTAGATTTACTTCTGTAGGCTCCTGGGAGTTTATCACTGGAATGTTAAATTTTCAATTTGATGAACAAAATCTATACTTATTATAGGACCCTTTATATTCACTCTTAATTTATATGACAATGTGCTTCAGAGTATACTCAAGGTGGCATATTCAAATTTCAAGTCTTTTTTAAAAACATCCTTAGCACAGGCTAATAATTATGAATTGTTTATTAAGGTCACTTTTAATCAATCTTTTTCTTATAAGGTGTAGGTTTAGAAGTCTTATACTATTAGAACAATCTCCTTTTTCTACTTTCCAGTTCATACAAGATCTAATTAGTTGTGTTATATATACGTGTCAAAAGTTAAACCCCTGATTTTTCTAAACTAGCAACTTCTTCTCAATCTGGGTCAAATCAAGGTCATGTGTTTTTATTGTTTATTTTTTAAATCTGTAATTTTTTCAGATATTAATTAAAAATCCGTTGCTTCTATTTTATTTTAGCAGCTGCAGATTTTTTTTTTCTAGCAGCAAGCTTTTCAGTTTATTCAGTCCACACATGTCCGGAAACTGATGCCTCTCATTTTACAGGTGTATCTACTTTGACAGTCCTTAGCTCTGTGTCGCCAACATGACTCACTTAACCTACCAGTGTGCAAAACCTAGTAGAATGCTGAAAAAATTATCAGAATGGTTTAGAATACTGAAATTCATATGTTGTTTATTTCCAATCAATTTCCCCATATAACTATCACTTAATATTTGCTATCTTTCTTAGATTTTCAAATTCTCTCACATACTAATTCAGGCAATGATGTCCATCTTATGATATTTTGAGCAGAAGTCCAATCCATTGTAAAACACATAGCAAGCAATTCAGTTGCTCAAAGAACACTGAATATTGTTTTTGTCCTCACATAGTAGTCTGTGTTGAGTACAAGAACTGTTCTACTTCGCAAGTTCTTTCATGGATTCAGGAGACTAACCTCACATAAAAATGCCTACAATATTGTCATTTCACTTTCTGCCTTATAACTGAGCCTACCATCCTGTAATTGCTTTGCCAGAGAATAAGCGTATTTCTGAGGGATTTGATGAATTCTTTTTTACAAAGATAGTACTTTCAATTTTCATCAACACTTACCCAACATTAGGTATTAATATTTTTCCTACTTTTGTGGTTTTTTAGATGATGTGATATATGATTATTATTTTAATTCTCATTTCTTTGAGAGCAAATGTAGTGTTTTAGAATATATCTACAAATTCATTGATATAACCTCCTTTAAGAGGTGGAGGCTGATTTTCCCTTTCTTATATATGCACTAACTGAATAACTCAAAAGAGTCAAACATGGTGGAAATTACTGCATTAGGTGTCCTAAACCAGGAATAGAGGCCATTAGGAGTCTCTTGCTGTCACTCATGGATCATTGGCTCTGAGAAAAGCCAGCTACCATGTCCTGAGGCCACTCAACCAGTTCTGTGGAGAGGCCCACATAGTGAAGAAGATGCCTCCTGCCAACAACCAGCTAGGAATTGAGACCTCCTGCCTAAAGTTATAGAATGCGATGAGTTGAATTGTGTCACCCCAAAATTCATGTGTTGATGTTCTAACCCCCAGTACCTCAGAATGTTACCTTATTTGGAAAGAGAGTCATTGGAGATGTAACTAGATAAGGTCATTAGGGTGAAATCTGATTCAATATGACTGATGTTTTTATAAAGAGAAGGACATTTAAATACAGAGACAGACACACATACAGGGAAGGCAAGGTATGGGGACACAGAGAGAAGACACTATCTACAAGACAAAGAGAGAGGCCTGGAACATATCCTTCCCTCACAGCCCTCAGAAGAAACCAACCCTGCTGATACTTTGATTGTAGATTTCTAGCCTGTAGAACTATGAGAGAATTAATTTTTGTTGTTCTATGGCACTTAGTTTGCAGTATTTTGTTATAACAGCCCTAAGAAACTAAAATACATTAAGTGAGGCATTTTGAGAGCAGACAAGATCATTACTACAGCCTCATAAAAGAACCTGAGTCATTCAGCTAAATTCTTGATCCACAGAAACTATGAGATAATAAATGTTTATTGTTTGAAGCCAGTAAGTTTTGGGATAATTTTTTATGGAGCAGTAGATAAGTAATAAAAATGGCTAAATTGAATAATCTCATTAATGTATTTACATGTGTCATATCTATTTTTAATTATATAATTGCACATTTTTATTGTCATCTTTGTTCCATTCTTGATAAGTAAGCACTTTCTATACAAACCTTTTTAAGGACTGCTATAATTTTTCTTCTGTTAATAAGTTGTCATTTTTTTAAATTATACTTTAAGTTCTGGAATACATGTGCAGAATGGGCAGGTTTGTTAAATGGGTATACACGTGCCATAGTGGTTTTTGCACCCATCAATCAGTCATCTAGGTTTTAAGCCCCACTTGCATGCATTAGGTATTTTGTCCTAATGCTATCCCTCCCCTTGCCCCTTACCCCCCGACAGGCCCTGGTGTGTGATGTTCCCCTCCCTGTGTCCATGTGTTCCCATTGTTCAACTCCCACTTATGAGTGAGAACATGCAGAGTTTGGTTTTCTGTTCCTACATTAGTTTGCTGAGAACGATGGTTTCCAGCTTCATCCATGTCCCTGCAAAGGACATGAACTCATTCTTTTTTATGGCTGCTTAGTATTCCATGGTGCATATGTGCCACATTTTCTTTATCCATTCTATCATTGATGGGCATTTGGGTTGTTTCCAACTCTTTGCTATTGTAAATAGTGCTGCAATAAACATAAGTGTGAATGTGTCTTTATGGTAGAATGATTTATAATCCTTTGGACACATACCCGGTAATAGGATTGCTGGGTCAAATGGTATTTCTGGTTCTAGATCCTTGAGGAATTGCCACACTGTCTTCCACAATGGTTGAACTAACTTACATTCCTTCCAACAGTGAAAAAGCATTCCTATTTCTCCACATCCTCTCCAGCATCTGTAGTTTCCTGACTTTCTAATGATCACCATTTTAACTGGCATGAGATGGTATCTCAATGTGGTTTTGATATGCATTTCTCTAATGACCAGTGTGAGCTTTTTTTCATATTTTTTGTTGGCCACATAAATGTCTTCTTTTGAGAAATATCTGTTTATATCCTTCAACCACTTTTTGATGGGGTTGGTTTTTGTTGTTGTTGTTGTTGTTGTTTTTTATTGACATAGAGTCTTGCTCTGTCACCCAGGCTGGAGTGCAGTAGCGTGATCTCACTCACTACAAGCTCCGCCTCCTGGGTTCACACCATTCTCCTGCCTCAGCCTCCCGAGTAGCTGGGACTACAGGCGCCTGCCACCATGCCCGGCTAATTTTTTGTATTTTTAGTAGAGACGGGGTTTCACCATGTTAGCCAGGATGGCCTCGATCTCCTGACCTTGTGATCCACCCACCTCGGCATCCCAAAGTGCTGGGATTACAGGTGTGAGCCACCGAGCCCACCTTTTTTTTTTTTTTTTTCTTGCAAATTTGTTTAAGTTCCTTACAGATCCTGGATATTAGACCTTTGTCCGATGGATAGATAGCAAAAATATTCTCCCATTCTTTAGGTTGCCTCTTCACACTGATGATAGTTTCTTTTGCTGTGCAAAAGCTCTTTAGTTTAATTAGATCCCATTTGTCAATTTTGGTTTTTGTTGCAATTGTTTTTGGTGTTTTAGTCATGAAGTCTTTGCCTATGACTATGTCCTGAATGGTATTGCCTAGCTTTTATCCTAGTGTTTTTGTGGTTTTGAGTTTTACATTGAAGTCTTTAATCCATCCTGACTTAATTTTTGTATAAGGTGTAATGAAGGGGTCCAGTTTCAGTTTTCTGCATATGGATAGCCAGTTTTCCCAGCACCATTTATTCAATAGGGAATCATTTCCTCATTGCTTATTTTTATCAGGTTTGTCAAAGATCAGATGGTTGTACAAGTGTGGTGTCACTTCTGAGGCCTCTGTTCTGTTCCATTGGTCTATATATCTGTTTTGGGCCCAGTACCATGCTGTTTTGGTTACTGTAGCCTTGTAGTATAGTTTAAAGTCAGGTAGCATGATTTCACCAGCTTTGTTCCTTTTGCTTAGGCTTGTCTTGACTATAGAGGCCTTTTTGGGTTCCATATGAAATTTAAAGTAGTTTTTCTAATTCTGCGAAGAAATTCAATGGTAGCTTGATGGGAATAGCATTGAATCTATAAATTACTTTGGGCATTATGGCCATTTTCATGATATTGATTCTTCCTATTCATGAACATGGAATGTTTTTCCATTTGTTTGTGTCCTCTCTTATTTCCTTGAGCAGTGGTTTGTAGTTCTCCTTGAAGGGGTCCTTCACATCCCTTGTATTCCTAGGTATTTTATTCTCTTTGTAGCAATTATGAATGGGATTTCACTCATGATTTGGCCCTCTGTCTTTTGTTGGTGTATAGGAATGCTTGTGATTTTTGCACATTGACTTTTTTTCCTGAGACTTTGCTGAAGTTGCTTATCAGCTTAAGGATTTTTTGGGCTGAGACAATGGGGTTATCTAAATATATAATCATGTCAACTGCAAATAGAGACAATGTGACTTTCTCTCTTCCAATCTGAATACCCTGTATTTCTTTCTCTTGCCTGATTGCCCTGGCCAGAACTTCCAATACTATGTTGAACAGGAGTTGTGAGAGAGGACATCCTTGTTTTTTGCCAGTTTTCAAAGGGAATACTTCCAGCTTTTGCTCATTCACTATGATAATGGCTATGGTTTTGTCATAAATAGCTCTTATTATTTTGAGTTATGTTCCATCAATACCTAGTTTATTGACTGTTTTTAGCATGAAGGGGTGTTGAACATTATTTAAGGCCTTTTCTACATCTATTGAGATAATCATGTGTTTTTTGTCATTGTTTCTGTTTATGTGATGGATTATGTTTATCGATTTGCCCATGTTGAACCAGCCTTGAATCCCAGGGATGAAGCTGACTTGATCATGGTGGATAAGCTTTTTGATATGCTGCTGGATTTGGTTTGCCAGTATTTTATTGAGGATTTTTGCATGGATGTTCATCTGGAATATTGGCCTGAAATTTTCATTTTTTTTTTGTAGTGTCTCCACCAGGTTTTGTTACCAGGATGATGTTGTCCTCATAAAATGAGTTACAGAGGATTCCTTCTTTGTTGTTTGGCATAGTTTCAGAAGAAATGGTACCAGCTCCTCTTTGTACCTCTGGTAGAATTCAGCTGTGAATCTGTCTGCTCCTGGGCTTTTTTTGGTTGGTAGATGATAAATTACTGCCTCAATTTCAGAATTTGTTATTGGTCTATTCAGGGATTCGACTTCTTCATGGTTTAGTCTTGGGAGGGTGCATGTGTACAGGAACTTATCCATTTCTTCTAGATTTTCTAATTTACTTGCATAGAGGTGTTTATAATATTCTCTGATGGTAGTTTGTACTTCTGTGGGATCAGTGGTGATATCCCCTTTATCATTTTTTATTGTGTCTATTTGATTCTTCTCTCTTTTCTTCTTTATCAGTCTGGCTAGCAGATTATCTATTTTGTTAATCTTTTCAAAAAAAAACAGCTCCTGGATTCATTGATTTTTTGAAGGTTTTTTTTGTGTCTCTATCTCCTTCAATTCTGCTCTGATCTTAGTTATTTCTTGTTTTCTGCTAGCTTTTGAATTTGTTTGCTCTTGCTTCTCTAGTTCTTTTAATTGTGATGTTAAAGTGTTGATTTTAGACACTTTCTGATGTGGGCATTTAGTGCTAAATTTCCCTCTAAACACTGCTTTAGCTGTGTCCCAGAGATTTTGGTACATTGTCTCTTTGTTCTCATTGGTTTCAAAGAACTTCTTTATTTCTGCCTTAATTTCGTTATTTACCCAGTAGTCATTCAGGAGCAGGTTGTTCAGTTTCCATATAGGTGTGCGGTTTGAATGAGTTTCTTTCTTTTTATTTTATTTTATTTTATTTTTTAGATGGTATCTTGCTCTGTTGCCAGGCTGGAGTTCAGTGGCGTTGAGTGAGTTTCTTAATCCTGAGTTCTAATTTGATTGCACTGTGGTCTGAGAGACTGTTGGTTATGATTTCCGTTCTTTTGCATTGGCTGAGGTATGTTTTCCTTCCGACTATGTGGTAGATTTTAGAATAAGTGCTATGTGGTGCTGAAAAGAGTGTATATTCTATTGATTTGGGGTGGAGAGTTCTGTAGATGCCTATTAAGCCCTCTTGGTCCAGAGCTGAGTTCAAGTCCTAAATATCCTTGTTAAATTTCTGTCTCATTGATATGTCTAATATTGACAGTGGGGTGCTAAAGTCTCCCACTACTATAGTGTAGTAGTCTAAGTCTCTTTGTAGGTCTCTAAGAGCTTGCTTTATGAAACTGGGTGCTCCTGTATTGGGTGCATATATATTTAGGATAGTTACCTCTTCTTGTTGCATTGATCCCTTTACCATTATTTAATATCTTTCTTTGTCTTTTTTGATCTTTGTTGGTTTAAAGTCTGTTTTATCAGAAGCAGACTGTTTATCCAATTTGCCCGTCTGTGTCTTTTAATTGGGGTATTCAGGATATTTACATTGAAGGTTAATATTGTTATGCATGAATTTGATCCTGTCAACTAGCTGGTTATTTTGCACATTTATTGATGCAGTTTCTTCATAGTGTCATGGGTATTAGTTATCATTTTTGCCTTTTAATATTATTTGGGATATTATGTATGTTTATATATTCTAAACATTATGCACTTAATAAGTCTATTTTACTTTATAAAGTATAAAAGATAGTTTTGCTGATTCTAATTTGTCTCAACCTAAAAATAATAGGTTTAGAAGATAAAAAGATTTATAAGATTTTCTCAGGACGATAACTAAATATTTGGTTTTAATATTATGGTTCTAGTCAAAATTTCTCATATTTGATTTTGAGATAGAAAAGAATCCTGTTTCAATAAACTAGTATAGTTTTGAGAAAGGGTTATTCTATAACTTGCTAAGTAGAAATGAATTACTTACAAACCTTCTTTCATAAGGAAACATTCCAATTATTAGCGTCTCTAAAGATAAGGAGGTTAAGTGTAGACACCTTTAACAAATTCACTGACCACAGAGGCAAATTTTTTCTTTGTCTCTAGGATTTAAACCTGGGAACACAGATTAGTTATTTTAAGGGCTTAGCAGAAGGATATCATGGAGTATGTATTTTTGAGTCTGTTTCTTTTTTATTATGCATTTTAAAATGGTAAGCTTTGACTTGATATCTTTCTCCAAGAAATAGAGATACTTCCAGGAAGAAGCCATTACTTGTAACTATGAATCATTTACATTAAAATTTAAATTATAATTTAGAATGCATAAAAACAGTTTTAAAATGTAAAGTATTAATTCTTATCTTTCTACTCATTTAATATCAAATCAATTAAACCGACTAAAGTAGCCAATAAATTACTTTAAAAAACAATTGCCAATAAAATATAACAGTAAACTTATAAACATATATTTGTGTTCTGGGTTGCAAAAACGGATAATTTCATTAAAAAATTAAATGTGAAACTGATAGCCAATCAATATTTTTATCTTCCAACAGTGTAAAATAGTGAAAATGGAAAACATACTATATTAAACCTATATAAAATATAATATTCTAATGATGCCTAATTATAATCATTTTCTTGTATTAATGTAGTTGATATTATCTTCTTATCCTCTCAAAAGAATTGAACTTTCTATGAAGATTAATGCAGCCTTCACTTCACTGCACATTAATGTGGAAGATATTATTACTTTGAGCTCCAGTAATTCCCACTGGCAAAGGGCATTAAATCATACCATCTACACACTGCCTTTTTAGTTCTTCTGACATGTTAGCCTTAGAGGATCTCTAAATTCAGCAGTGACATTGTGATGTGACTTTGTGCCCAAAATTTGATTGGAATAGCAGCAGATTTGTATTTTAAAGAAAATGTACCATAGCTACTAGATCAAATTATTGAAATTTTATTATATTTATTATTTCTTTACAAGATGTCCATGGAAACAGCTAAGTTTCATTTTTAAACAGTCATAAAAATGCATTAAATTTTATATTTCTTATTTTTATGTAACTTAATATCTTCAATCTATTTTATTTGTTCCTACTTTATAGACATTGCTAATGTACAGATGAATCTTTTTTCTAATTAAAAAGAAGTTTGATATTTATCAGTTAATGCTATTTTGACTCAATTTTAAATATTTTACTAGATATATGTATGAACAAAATGCACACAGTTTATATAGACCTTGTATCTTTTAACAAAAATGATTTTCAAACTAGGTGAGATCCCCTCATAACTTTTATTTCTATTTTAGTTAACAAAAACGTTACTTGACAAACTAAGTAAATGTTTTCTCTCTAACATTTTAAAATGCCTACTCTCCTAAATATCTGTTTTTTTTTTTTTCAATTTTCATAACATTATGAGAGTGGAAAACAAGAAGTAGAAGAGAAGAAAGAGCTAGAGAAGATTTTAGCCTTAGCATGCCATGGGGAAAAGTCCATGATTCCTCATATGTTCAGAGGTTGAAGTGAACCTTCAAACACGGGAAATTTTATGAGATTATTTTAGGTTTTGTAATTATATATCCCATTTATTTTTATCTTGTTGGTTTATAATAGGAAACGTTATCATTATCCATAACTGTTTCATTAGAAATAGGTACTCTGCCCAATGATACATTGGAGGTGTAGGAAAATTAAAATTGTGAAAGACTTTAAACTGACCGAAAAGATCATGACAGTTTTCTCTAAGTCACTCTTCCAGGCTATCTCATTCTTTCATTATTTTTGAGATATTTCACAACTCCGTAAGTGTAGGCACTGATAACATTGCAAATGTTTCTTTCCCATAGAAATATGAATAATTTTATCAGTAAAACTGAATTAACTATTGCCGTGCAGATAAGCCCATTTTGCATCTATTTGCAAATTTATTGTAGCTTGACTCTTTTACACTCTTAAAATTTGTTGAGTATTTTAGGAGCTTTAAAATGTGTGGGCTATAAGTGTTTATGTTTATTATGTTGAAAATAGAAATAAGAAATCTTAAAACGTTTATTGGTTCATTTTAAGGTAACAGTAATGAACACATCACATGATAGCAGAAATAACACTTCAATGTTATGGGTAGACAGGCATGAGTGGAGCAAGAGAGGGCTCTCTCCCCACACACGAGAAATGTTGGGTGATGGTTTGGCAATTACCACATTGCTTCTCTAAAAGTGATAAATTGGCAGTCAGCACCTGGGAGACGACAGCTCTTGATGGCCTACATCTGTTATATTAAAGTTTTAATTAAAGCAGGTTCCCAAAGAGAAGCAACTTCCTGGGCATGCACGTTAAGAGACGAAATTGGTGAAGTATGATCTTCTAGGTACACTCCACTGGAAAAAGGAAGGAAGCCTCAGATGCACATGCATATAAATCCCTAAACACGCTGCACTTGCTCAATTCCAAAGGGTGAGGAGGGCACTGCACATGCAGAAAACCCACCCTCAGGGAAGAATCGTGGGAAAGAGGTGAGTGATAAAGTCCCAGGATCAAGGTTAAAGGCCCTTATTTTTCTCTCTTTGACCTTCAGTCACCCACTTGAATACCTTCCAACGGTTCTTTCCTTTCTTTCCTATTCTAAAGCCTTTTTAAATAAACTTCTGCTCCTGCTCTGAAACTTGCCTTGGTCTCTTTTCCTGTTTTATTTTCCTCAAATTCTTTCTTCTGAAGAGGCAAGAACTGAAGTTGCTACAGACCCATATGGATATGCCTCTAGTAACTGAGGGTAATTCAGATCTCTTCCACAACTAACATAAGTTCGAGTATAAAATTAGTTTTGACCACAAAGACCTCCTGTAATCTAAAAAAAAAAAAAAAGTGGCAGTTTGTTCTGGACTATAAAAGAATATAATGAAGGACAAAATATGGAAAGTGAATCTGTCTGCCTTAGTTTACAAGAGTCTGAAAGTAAGTTATGCAGTATGTTAAAATCTTAGCAAAGTTTGATAAAATTATATGGGCTTCTTTCCTTAGTTTACCAATTAATGTCTTTAGCTAGAATTTGAAAGAAACTTTTTAAACCTGTATAATCTACCTAGATAACAGATTTTGTGTTTTACTAGAATAAGTTTTATTTATTATATTGATTTTATTATATGCTTGATTATTTAAGAATAAAAAATGTGATCCTCCTTAATAAAAGAACTAAGTTTCTTTATAACTGTTTTAACCTCTCTGTTTACTTTTTTTTAAGCCTTTTTAAGGGTAATCAATTATTGCTTCTTATGCACTCATAATCTTATTTTAATCAAATGTTTAATTTTTGTCAAATGACTTTAATTTTGCCTCTCTAAATTGAATTTGAAATGTGGGGGAAAATATATTTGAAAATTCACAATATCATTTACAGATGAAACTTAAAATTTCCTCCGTAGAACCCTGGAAAATCACAAGTATTTGTTCTTTCCCCTCAAAAAAAAAATGATGTAATACCACCAAGAAGCACATTTTATAGGAAGTCTTAATCCACTCCCCCCTCCAGCCCACAAACTCATCATAATGTGCTTTAGCCTGAGGGAAGCAGTGATCAAAATTTTTATAAAATATTTCTGTTGAGTTTTTCTATATTTTTCAGAGTTTCAATGATTGTTTGCTATTAGACAAAGCAAAAGACTTACTAATCGTAATTAGTCTGTTTTCATGCTGCAGATAAAGACATACCTGAGACTTGACAATTTACAAACGAAAGAGAAGTTTAATAGATTTGCAGTTTCACATGGCTGGAGAGGCTTCACGATCATGGTAGAAGGCAAGGAGGAATAAATCGCATTTTATGTTGATGGCAGCAGGCAAAGAGAGCAAGATTGTGCAGGGAAATTCTGTTTTTAAAACCATCAGATCTCATGAGACTTATTCACTATCATGAGAATAGCACAAGACCTGTCCCCATGACTCAGTTATCTCCCACCCGGTCCCTCCCACAACACGTGGGAATTATGGGAGCTACAAGATGAGATTTGGGTGGGGACACAGAGCCAAACCATATTAATTATTTAAATAATTGTTTAAAACTTTAATTTTAAAAATGAAATAGACATGTTTGTAGGCAACTAGGTCCTAATTGATGATGCACATGATACTTACCCATGGAGTTTTATAAAAATTCAGATATCTAAGTCATACTCAAGACTTACTGTATCTCTTTACTTGATATTCATGGTAGATAAAGTATATAGCTTCAAATAAACTATACATTGTATTAATATTTTCCCCTTATTAAAATTGTGGTTTCAGAGCTGATAGTGTGTAGAAAACATTCAGGCTATAAACTGAGTCTGAATTTCCAGGATTGTTAGTTGAAAAGCAGATGACTTCATAAGACTATTTACCCCAAATCCAGCAGAACAAGAATTAAATACATAGGACTGAAGGAACCAATGAGGAAAACTTTATTGTGTTTGAAATACAAGTGATTCATGTTAATTTTGTTTTCTAGTTACACAAAGAAATTGTTTTTCTCAATCTATCAACTCACAAGTTACTAAATTCTGTGTTTGTAAAATGAAGTGAAATATTTTTAGATACGGTCACGTTCTCACTAACCACTGCTGGTTCTGACTCTAACTCTCTTTACTTTCTCTAAATGACAATATATTTATTTATTTCAAAGATTTTTAAGTCTTTTTGAGAATCTGTTCTTATATTTGCCAGGATATAATTGGACAAGTTGATTGGGCAACCAAGGTTTTAGCTGGAATTTCATATTTGAGGATAATTTACATTGACTCAGATATGACCAAGATACTTTTAATGATGTAAGACTACTTAAATAATGGATCTAATGTCTACAAAATTCTGCCATGAAAATGAATCTAGTGCAGGTGTATTGAGTCCCAGACTACGGGTAGTCAAGAAAGTAACTCCTGGAAATCCTGGAACTGTGACAGATTTGTGGGAGCGGGCTTCAAAAAGAGAAGAACACATATAAATTTATATGTATTGCAGATGAAATGTTACAGAGTAGTTCTTCAACTTGGTTTTCTAGCCTGGAGATATCAAATATGGCTTTTAAAAGTTCAATAATATATTCCTTGTGAAAACTTATGGACTAAAATGAATGTTATGTCCCTAGTATTGAAACTTTGGGGGCTCAAGAGTTATATTTGAGATTTATGATCAAAAGAGGGAAGGAAGATACTTTAAGGACAAACTATAAAAGACTGAAATTATCTAAAAAGATTATGGTGTCTTAACCAGCACATCATTCCTAGTTATCTAAGCCTTTCATTGTCTTTGAGGTATTTTTAAAACTTGTAAAATGTGGAAACTTGATTATTAGTGCAAATGATCCTTGTTCACAGAAGTGCAAATTCATTATGTTCCATGAAATACAAATGGTTTTTGCCGGTGGATACTCCCATTTTACACCTATTTGTAAATTGATTTCAACATTTCTTAATTTTCTATCTATATGTGGTTCTATGAATTTACTTTTGAACCTGTTGTAACATATTTCTGGTTCTCTCATTAATTACTAAATTAAATAAAATATTTGGAAAGTATTCAGTTTATAATTTTATGAGAGTTATTATTTTACCTGTTAAAAACATTTATTCCTTAGTTGTGGTTAGTTTTTTGCTTCATTGCTTTCTGTGTGTGTTTTGGTGGAAGCCAATAAAGAGCTGAGTTTCATATCTCAATCTATAGGTGAACCAAAGACACATATAGGCACAGAATTAAAGGGGGCCACAGGAAACACAGTATCAGGAAATAAGAATAATCTCGAGGACATATTTGGATTACTCAGGCTCTAGGATTAGGAAATTAAACATAAGCATTTCTAGATTTTGGAGGCCTAGGTAGCTAAAAATAACACATTGCTAGCATGGTTCTTGCTATTTTTATTATTATTGTTGTGACCATTACAATTAATTTTATAATTATTGTTAGAAATTAAGTAAAGTCTTGACAAATAACAGAAACATAAAGAAAGGAAAGTACAAGTTAATCACAGAATGTTTTCCTGTTTAAAACACTGACTTTTACTGAACCTTGCAATTTTAGGTTTTTTGCAAACTTAAAACATCCTCCAATGGAACATGAAGTTAAATTAACTTCAGTTATAGACATACAAACCCAAGAAAATATGAACAAATCACCTCTAACATTTTAACATTTAGAGAACTATTTAGCTGAAATATAAGATATCGCTTTAACATGAAATATTTCATCAGAACAAGAGGATTTTAAATTTTACTAGAAGAAAAATGAAGCTGGAGTATGACTTTGATTTAAACCACTTGTAAATCTACCAAGAAGAGGAAAAGCATCTCTTGGGAACAAACCTGAATCATTAATTATTCTCAGCTAACACTCCAGAGATGAAAGATAATAAAGGCTGATAAACTTCATGTTCCTCAATAATATTTTTAATAATAGTATTAAATATTATAATAGCTAACATAGACTGAGGGCTTATATGCTAGCTGTAGCTGAGTCATTTACTTATTTTTTTAGAGACAGAGTCTTACTATGTTGCTCAGGCTGAAGTACAGTAGCTATTCACAGGTGTGATCATGGCACAGAACAGACTTGAATCCCTGGGATCAAGCAATCCTACCTCAGCCTCCCAAATAGCTGGGACTACAGGTGTGCACCATCATGCCCAGTCAATTTAGGTTTTATTATTTATTTTAATACTAATATTTTTTACAGATGAGGAAACTGAGCTATGGTTTGTAACTTGTACAAGTTTGCTCAAGTAATTATAATCAAAGCTTGGGGCCTACCTGAGTAAACTTAATCTATTCATTCAGTTAAACTTATCAAGCAAATACTATGCTCTTCAAAGTGGACATTAAGAATATTGTTGATTAAAAATAATAGAGCCTGAATATATATATAAATTGTTACAACCACTGGCTGACACACCCTATATTTTTCCATTTTACCCTTATCTTCCCTATGGGCATGAAACACACACACACACACACACACACACACACACACACACACACAGATATTGTAGCTGCCTCTCTGATTCTGGATACAATACAAAGGGTATAATGGTCTGGATAGTATTAAGGCATGGATAACATTAATGTACAAAAGTGACAAGAGTACCAAATTGTGGTAGAGATTTTCCAGTCATTCAGTGATTTCATAAGTATAGACAAAGGCATCGATTACAAACAGATTTTTTTTTGGCCCGTATTATCTGCTTTAAAAACATAGTAAGAACTAAAACCATTCATATCCACATACATGTCTACATTAACATAACTCTACTATTACACTGCCTTCATCAAATTAATTTTACTATTCCTGAAAACTTTTACTGAAAAATAGAATAGTTGTTTATTCTAAGAACTTTCTGAAAGATTTATTTGTTTATTGAAAAATATATGACATGTTATCTGGAATAAATTTTGGAAAAGGATACATTATTTTTGTATGTCATTCACAACAGAGAAAGACCTAAAATTAGTGTTATGCTATATGTGACTTCTAGAGTTTGTTTAGTTTTATCAGAAGATTTATATATTTTCTTCATTATATTGTATTATTTTTCAAATATTATTGTGCTTCTGAGGCAAAGTATGAGTATAAATGCCCAGCATAATGTTTACTTAGTTTCTGCTAGAGTAAGTGAAATTATTTCCTGATAAAATATCACTATGCACAAAGATAAATTTCTCTTTTGTATATGTCACATATAAATGTTAAAGCAGTCACTCTTCTGAGTTTATCTATAATTAAAAAAAAAAAAACTATGTGAGTATCCACTTAGAGTTTTTAAAACATTTACATACTTTCTTATCTAACATAACCCTGAAGGGTTTTTATTGATTTCAGGGTTTTAGCCTGATTCGGGAAAAACTTGCATTTGGATTTTCACAGGCCAATGAATATTAAAAATTCAATGTTTAAGACACATTCAGAATGTGAAAGACAATCTTTTTTCCTTGACAAATCTAATTAATCCTATCCTTCTCCATGGTAATACCAGGAAAGTCAGAGAAGCCTGAAAGTCATCTTCAAAGCTCTTTTTTAAAATATCATTTCCAACTGAATGGGTCATGGGGACATATAAGTTTTACCACACTAATATCCTTCCAACCTGGCCTATTTAAAAAAAAAATTCTATTGCCATTTTGCTAAATTTAGTTCCTCATTTTCCCTTTTTTTTGCACCATTGCTATAATTTTCTGAAAGATCTGTCTTTATTAAAACTTATCATCAAGAATATATTCTCTATACTACTGTTAGACAATGTTTTTTGGTTTGTTTCTTTTTATTTAATGAACTTTGGATAATTTCATTTCCTTATTAAAACCCCTTGATAACTAAAAGAATAAAGCTCAACATCATATACATGAGGTCCTGACTCATCTGACCCTGCCTCCCTCATGCCTGTATGCCTGTACAGGTGTCAGTCACCGTCAAATGTCATCACATATGTTCTTATGGTGGGGTCTACAAGATTCTATAGTACTTATTCATTCCATATTTATGGTCTCTCCTGGAATATATATTTTTCCAAGATTAGTACTATGTATTTAAGTCCGAAATACCAACACACAGAGTTTGCTAAGAAATAGTTTATAAATGAGTGGTTTATTAATCAAATAAATGAGTAAAAAAAAAGCTCTGGGACATTTCTTTCACTGAAATTGGGAAGCTGTTCCAACTTGTGGTCATTAAACTGGTACAAAACACATATTCAAGATTAAAGTGTTGAATTGACCAAGGGCCACACCTCTGCCTTTCAAGCTCTTGGAATTATTAACATGCCTCTAAAACTAACAGCTCTGCACTGCTATGGGACTATTTCCTGGGAAGGAAGCACAAAAGTGACTTGAGTTTCAGAAAACTTTAGAGAACACACCTGAAAATACAGTAGTCCCCTGCTTGTCTTCAGGGAAGATGTTCGAAGACCTACAGAAGATACCTGAAACCATGGAATGTACCAAACCCTATATATACTATGTTTTTCTTACATATAATTACCTATAATAAAGTCTAATTTATAAATTAAGCATAGTAAGAGATGAACAATAATTAATAATAAAATAGAACAATTATAACCATATGCCATCATCACCTCTTTTTTGCTTTATGGCCATTTATATATTTTACTTAATGTAAAATTTTACCTAATGGTAATTGAACATGCCACTGAGATACTGCAACAATAGATCTGATAACCAAGACAGCTAATGACTAAGGGTGGATAGCGTATACAGCAGTGGCTGCACTAATCAAAGGGATCATTCACATTCTGGGCTTGTGTTGCCTATGCTTTTGTTATCATATCCAACAATCCTTTGTCCAAACCATGTCCTTTATGGTTTTATCTAGTAGTTTTATAGCTTCAGAACTTATGTTTAAGTCTTTAATTCATTTTATATATGGTGTGAGAAAATAGTCTAATTTCTCTCCTGCATGTGATTATCCAGTTTTCACAGTGCCATCTATTGAAGAGATCATACTTACCTTATTGTATATTTTGGTACCTTTGTTGACAATCAATTAGCCATATATTCATGGGCTTACTTCTGGGCTGTCTAGTCTGTTCCATTGGTCTATGTGTCTATTTTTAGGCTAATACCATGCTGTTTTGATTGCTATAGCTTTGAGGTAGTTTTTGAAATTAAGCAGTGTAATGTTTCTAGCTTTGTTTGTTTTATTCAAGATTTATTTGACTATTCAGGGTCTTTTGTGGTTCCACACAATATTTAAGATTGCTACTTCTATTTATGTGAAAAATGCCATTGGCCATTTTATAAGAATTGCGCTGAATCTGTAATCACTTTGAGTAGTAAGGACTTTTTCACAATATTAATTTTTTAATCTATTAACAGAAGATACCTTTTTATTATTTGTGTCTTTAATTTTTTTCATCAATGTTTTATAGTTTTGAGCATACAGGTCTTTAATCTCTTTTGTTAAATATATTCCTAAGTAATTTTTGTAGCGATTATGAATGAAATTTTTTCGTGATTTTTTAAGGTAGTTCGTTATTAGTGTATTTAAAAAGCTACTGATTTTTGTAGGTTGATTTGTATGCTGCATCTTCCTGAATTCATGTTGTGATTTTCGTCTAATTTCATCTTGAGGACTCTCTTCGGAGAGTGGCTATAAATGCTGATTCTTCCCTGATGGGCTTCCAGGGGTGATGTTTTTGGATGTTATAGTGTGTCTTTCATAAGATCCTTCTTTATTTTGGTGGACAGCCTAATTCCTATGTGTTCAAGCTGTGACCAGGTGTTCCTCTCATAGGAATCTTATTTATGCTGACAGACAGCTTTGGCTCTTGTCTGACCTTTGTTCAGTTTATTTCTAACAAGATAATCACTCTCTAGGAGAACCCTTACCAGGAGGTGAGTTATATTTAGGTGTGTTGGTCAGACAAAACAAAAACACATGAAATAACAAGCATCGTATTACTTACAGGTCCCAGAATGAAGAGGGCAGGATGCCTTGCAAAATCAATGGGAAAGATAGAGCTGTTCAGGACACACACATTCACCTAGGAAGTGGGGAATTAGAGAGAAAGCAAGGGACCTGAGGGCCAGTGACTTTATGGGTCACATGGCATTATCCCAACAGGTTTCTCATGGAGAGGCCTAATCAGTGGCTTTAAAGTAAGCAGGCATGAACTTTGCCGAGACATGCTGTGACTGAGGAGTTGCCACTGTGGCTTCTCTGTTTAGTCCATGCTGGATGTAGGGCAAGTCAAGCAGGTTGTATCCAGCTTTGCCATAGGGAGATGGTCTCCAGGAGGGGGTGGTATAAGGAAGATATGTGAATAGAGCATATTGATGGTAAATTGGGTAACTGAGAGGAAGTATAGAAGTGGAAACTGTGTTAAGGATGACTAAGCCCTGCTTCTGATATTAGAAAGTCCATTTATATTCAAAATGAATGCTGAGGCAACAAAAGTTATAAGAATTTACTACAATTAATTTACCAGTTCCATTAGCATGATGCAAAAGTAATTGCATTATTTTTCCATTAATAACAATTTTTGGTGGAGTCATTAGGGTTTTCTACATATGCAATTATGTTGTCTGCAAACAGGGACAATTTAACTTCTTTCCAACTTGGATTTTTTTTTATTTATTTTTATTTTTTATTTTATTTATTATTATTATACTTTAAGTTTTAGGGTACATGTGCACAATGTTCAGGCTACTTACATATGTATACATGTGCCATGCTGGTGCGCTGCACCCACTAACTCGTCATCTAGCATTAGGTATATCTCCCAATGCTATCCCTCCCCCCTCCCCCCACCCCACAACAGTCCCCAGAGTGTGATGTTCCCCTTCCTGGGTCCATGTGTTCTCATTGTTCAATTCCCACCTATGAGTGAGAATATGTGGTGTTTGGTTTTTTGTCCTTGCGATAGTTTACTGAGAATGATGATTTCCAATTTCATCCATGTCCCTACAAAGGACATGAACTCATCATTTTTTATGGCTGCATAGTATTCCAGGGTGTATATGTGCCACATTTTCTTAATCCAGTCTATCGTTGTTGGACATTTGGGTTGGTTCCAAGTCTTTGCTCTTGTGAATAATGCCGCAATAAACATATGTGTGCATGTGTCTTTATGGCAGCATGATTTATAGTCCTTTGGGTATATACCCAGTAATGGGATGGCTGGGTCAAATGGTATTTCTAGTTCTAGATCCCTGAGGAATCGCCACACTGACTTCCACAATGGTTGAACTAGTTTACAGTCCCATGAACAGTGTAAAAGTGTTCCTATTTCTCCACATCCTCTCCAGCACCTGTTGTTTCCTGACTTTTTAATGATTGCCATTCTAACTGGTGTGAGATGGTATCTCATTGTGGTTTTGATTTGCATTTCTCTGATGGCCAGTGATGGTGAGCATTTTTTCATGTGTTTCTTGGCTGCATAAATGTCTTCTTTTGAGAAGTATCTGTTCATGTCCTTTGCCCACTTTTTGATGGGGTTGTTTGTTTTTTTCTTGTAAATGTGTTTGAGTTCATTGTAGATTCTGGATATTAGCCCTTTGTCAGATGAGTAGGTTGTGAAAATTTTCTCCCATTTTGTAGGTTGCCTGTTCACTCTGATGGTAGTTTCTTTTGCTGTGCAGGAAGCTCTTTAGTTTAATTAGATCCCATTTGTCAATTTTGGCTTTTGTTGCCATTGCTTTTGGTGTTTTAGACATGAAGTCCTTGCCCATGCCTATGTCCTGAATGGTAATGCCTAGGTTTTCTTCTAGGGTTTTTATGGTTTTAGGTCGAACGTTTAAGTCTTTAATCCAACTTGAATTGATTTTTGTATAAGGTATAAGGAAGGGATCCAGTTTCAGCTTTCTACATATGGCTAGCCAGTTTTCCCAGCACCATTTATTAAATAGGGAATCCTTTCCCCATTGCTTGTTTTTCTCAAGTTTGTCAAAGATCAGATAGTTGTAGATATGCGGCGTTATTTCTGAGGGCTCTGTTCTGTTCCATTGATCTATATCTCTGTTTTGATACCAGTACCATGCTGTTTTGGTTACTGTAGCCTTGTAGTATAGTTTGAAGTCAGGTAGTGTGATGCCTCCAGCTTTGTTCTTTTGGCTTAGGATTGACTTGGCAATGTGGGCTCTTTTTTGGTTCCATATGAACTTTAAAGTAGTTTTTTCCAATTCTGTGAAGAAAGTCATTGGTAGCTTGATGGGGATGGCATTGAATCTGTAAATTACCTTGGGCAGTATGGCCAGTTTCACAATATTGATTCTTCCTACCCATGAGCATGGAATGTTCTTCCATTTGTTTGTATCCTCTTTTATTTCCTTGAGCAGTGGTTTGTAGTTCTCCTTGAAGAGGTCCTTCTGAAACTATTCCAATCAATCGAAAAAGAGGGAATCCTCCATAACTCATTTTATGAGGCCAGCATCATCCTGATACCAAAGCCAGGCAGAGGCACAACCAAAAAAGAGAATTTTAGACCAATATCCTTGATGAACATTGATGCAAAAATCCTCAGTAAAATACTGGCAAACCGAATTCAGCAGCACATCAAAAAGCTTATCCACCATGATCAAGTGGGCTTCATCCCTGGGATGCAAGGCTGGTTCAATATACCCAAATCAATAAATGTAATCCAGCATATAAACAGAACCACAGACAAAAACCACATGATTATGTCAATAGATGCAGAAAAGGCCTTTGACATAATTCAACAGCCCTTCATGCTGAAAACTCTCAGTAAATTAGGTATTGATGGGACGTATCTCAAAATAGTAAGAGCTATCTATGACAAACCCACAGCCAATTTCATACTGAATGGACAAAAACTGGAAGCATTCCCTTTGAAAACTGGCACAAGACAGGGATGCCCTCTCTCACCACTCCTATTCAACATAGTGTTGGAAGTTCTGGCCAGGGCAATTAGGCAGGAGAAGGAAATAAAGGGTATTCAATTAGGAAAAGAGAAAGTCAAATTGTCCCTGTTTGCAGACGACATGATTGTATATCTAGAAAACCCCATTGTCTCAGCCCAAAATCTCCTTAAGCTGATAAGCAACTTCAGCAAAGTCTCAGGATACAAAATCAATGTACAAAAATCACAAGCATTCTTATACACCAACAACAGACAAACAGAGAGCCAAATCATGAGTGAACTCCCATTCACAATTGCTTCAAAGAGAATAAAATACCTAGGAATCCAACTTACAAGGGATGTGAAGGATTCTTTTTTAAATTTATCTTGCATAATTGCTCTGGCTATGACTTTCAGTACTATGTGGAATACATCTGATTAGATTGTGCGTCTGTTTATTGTTGAGCATGATGTTAGCTGTGTGTTTACCATATATGGCCTGTATTGTGTTGTGGTACTTTCCTTCTACATCAAATTTTTAAAGAATTTTTATATGAAAGGATGTTCAATTTTCTCAAATTTTTTTTCTGCATCTATTGAGATGACCATATGGTTTTTGTCCTTCATTCTGTTAAGGTGAAGTATCACACTTACTCATTTGCAAATGTCACTTTCCTTACATTGCAAGAATAAATCCCATTGATCACAGTGAATGATTATTTCATGTGCCTTTGAATTCAGTTTGCTAGTACATTGTTGAGTATTTTTGCATCTGTGTTTATCAGCCCACTATCTGATGGTTCTTTCACCAATTGTGGACAACTTCTAGTGTCTGTACACATTAGTACAATCACTCCGCCAAAAGACTTGAGAGGACACCTCTGCAGATTTCCAAAGCACTCTCTCTCTTGTGTAGCTTCCTCCTCTCTGATAATCTGTACTGCAGAATATAGCCATCTGAACCTTCCTGAACTCTGATATAGGTCTTCTCCATTTGAGAGCACAAGGTTCTGTTTTTAATTTTTTCCCCGGCTGTGACATGATAACCACCTCCAAGCCACAAAACTGGGACAACTGTAAGGCTGACCTGTTGTTTCACTTATTTTAGGAATCACAGTTTTATAATACCTGTTATCTGTAGCCTGGAAACCACTGTTTCTCATATTTTGTCTAGTTTTCTAGTTATTTACAGAAGGAAAGTAGTTCCTTTAAGATGGAAGCAGAAGTCTTCCTCGGACTATTTTTAATGTAATAAGTTTATTCTTTCTTTTCAATTTTGTAAACAATGTGGCAGTGGCTCTCTTAGGTTATAGTCACACATGCACATACACATATGTATATTTAGAAATGTTTACTTACTTGTTTAAAAATGTTGCTATTTCCTAAGTCCATGAAACTTTTCAACTTTATTTTTTGTTTCTTGAAATTACTTAACACATTTGTAGATTCAATTCTCAAATTATACAATCCATTGTGAATGTTTTAGCATAATTTATGTTTAAAAATTTGCATTTTAAGCTTTATTTGCATGGCATGAAGGCATGAATATCCAACAGTAATTAGTAAGTATATGAACATAAATTTAGTTTCCAGTTGATGTCTGTATATACATCAATTTTGACTGATTAGAGATGTAGCAATGCAGTTGTTAGAGTTTCTTAAAAGACATTTGAGAAAGGAATTTTCATAAT
The DNA here is from genome assembly GCF_000001405.40 of Homo sapiens. Classification (NCBI taxonomy): domain Eukaryota; kingdom Metazoa; phylum Chordata; class Mammalia; order Primates; family Hominidae; genus Homo; species Homo sapiens. The sequence continues at coordinate 102,340,371 of NC_000001.11, read as the reverse complement.
GTTTATATCAAGATGAGGAAATAAAGTCTTTCAAATATTAATCTTTAGAAGAAAGTAACGTTACATAAAATAAAAATATGACATAAAAAATCACTATAATTTCTTTCTAAAGATAAAGAATGAAAGGGAAGCAATGATCACTGTGTTTTCTCCATAATAGCACTTTAACTAACATCACATAATATTGGAGTGTAATTAAGCATTATTCCTCAATAAGTAGATTTCTTATAAATAATGCAGAAATTACCTTATTATTAGGTTATTTTTGCATTATTTATAAGAAATCTACTTATTGATTTATTATTAGTCTTAGTATTTGTAAATTATTCTGAAGCCTGCTTGGAATTGTTCAGATTTAACTCCTCCTGCTATGGCTTCCAAAAATAACTTCTAAATTACCTACCATTTTTTAAATTATCTTAGATATTGAGGTGAATCAAGTAAAATATATGATGCATAAAAGATAAAACATATGTAAAATATATATGACCTTATCCCTTAAATTTTATATAGCGACATTTATATGCAGAATTGTTTAATTAAATTGGGATTTGGCAAACAAAGAGTAGCAATAAAAATAATATAAATGGAGAAACAGGAGGGAGCCATTATGTTGGAAAAGCATATTAATATAGGAAGGCAATTGCAGATTTGGTAACTCAGCATGGAAAGGGAGATGTGGATAGAAAAGTTTGGCATGCAGTGTCAAAGAATTCAAACAGTAACTTGGATTTATACAACAATGTGCATAGTAATATTCTTCACAGTAGCCAAAAGGTAGAAACACACAAATGTCCATCAACAAATGAATGGATAAAGAAAATGTGGTACATACACACAATGGAATATTATTCAACTTTAAGAAGGAATGAAATTCTAATAAATGCGACAACCTGGATAAAACTTGAAAACATTATGCTGAGTGAAATAAACCAGACAAGGGAGGAGCACATATTGTATAATTTACTTATGTGAAGTGCCTATAATAGTCTCAAATTCAAAGAGATTGGAAGTAGAATAGTGGTTTCCGGGGGCTGGGAGAGGCAAGTAATGGGGAATTAGGAGAGTTACTGTTTAATGGATACAGAGTCTCAGCTTGGCATAATGAAAAAGTTCTGAAAATGGATAGTGGGGCTGTGCGCCAACAGTGTGAGTGAACTTAATGCTAGTGAAATGTAACTTAAGAATGGCTAAAATGATAAATCCAATGTTATGTATATGCATATCTTAACCTCAATAAGAAAAATTTATATAAGTAATTCACCACTGGATCAGGGAGGTCATTGAATATATTTGTTAAGAAGCTTAAGTTTTTCTCATATATCAGTGTTCTCCATATTGAGATACAGTAGAACTGAAGTACATAAAAAATTTCCCAGAGGTATGCAGAGAACTAATTTTCATATCTTTCACTTCCCTCAGGATCTCCATTTTCACCTTGCTTCTCAGTTGCTTTTCTCACACTTTACAAAAGAAAGGCAAGCCTCTCAGCAATCCAGAATCTTACTCTGATGTATTACTCTTGAGTATAAAAATCTCCTGGGTATCACTCAAAGAAATACATTCTGGAAATTTTTCTTTAAAGGCATTTCTTCCTCCATCACAGTCAAAGAATATATCACTTGAAGAGAGAGTACCAGGAAAGTAAAATAAAAAATTCTTAAAAAGAGATACTGAGTCTACCTAGCTTTATTAGTACCCAGACAACAACCTAGCAGCAAGGTTATACCTTTTGTTGTTTTATCTCTCTTAGAATTAAATTTTAGAAATCTTACATTTCTTATGAGTATGCATTATGTTGTAATTTTGAACTAGAAAAATCAGATGTCTAAGTTTGCTTTGACTAAATAGAATTATAGTCTATCTTTACCAAATGGTTCATATGCTGAATATTTTTCATAAAATTAGATAAATATGAAATTTCATTTTTGACAAAATATTGAAGGAAGTAACAATTAAAAGTATATGTAAAATGTTTTATTGACAAAGGCATGATGAAATCCGTATTATTTCCATTTTTGTAACATTTGGTCTATCAGGGATAAAAGATGCTTGTAAACACAATCAGTTACCGACTTCTTTGTTCCATCTCCACTCCCAATGCTTTATTTGACTAGAAAAAAAAGAAGAAAAAGAAAAGAAAAATAGGGGAAAAGGTACCTGTAAGTTTAAAAAGTATAATTAATAATAATTTGATTATATTGGTGATATTTTGGAATATCTTTTTCTCAGAATGTGTTACAGTCAACGATTCTAATGACAGGGTTATGTACTTTCCAAAAGTAAAGTAGTTTCAAATTATCTTCCTTCTACTCTCTGTAACTAAAAATAAAACTCCTTTTATATTATATTCAATACAAACTTAGAATGAGTTTTAAAAATAGATACATTGTTATAAAAATTTTCTACAATTCCAATTGACTTATTTTTGCGAATTTTTTATAATTAACATCTTCAATTGTTGAAAACATTAGAAAATGAATTGATATCAAATATTGTCTTTTTCTAGCCATAATTTATTTTACAAATGCATGCACTGATTAAGAAGCAAAACAAAGCAAAACAAAACAACCTTAGTCATCTCATTAAGCAAATCACTTCAGATACTACTTTGTTTTTTATGTTTAATAATTACCAAATTATACAGTATTTACATTTTACCAAATTAGACACTAATAATAATTGTAGTATCACCTCAATCCAGGAAAAACAATCTGTCAACATAGGCGTATTATAATCATAGGAAATAATTTTTCTAATTCAATTTATTTTTGCATTGTTATTATAGAGAAGCATGACTAAAATAATTAGTAGATGAATTACTAGAATAAAAATATGGTACAATAACATGTGAGGCAAATAGAAAGTGAATATGTGTTCAAAGAATAAAAGGAACAATTTAAAATTTATTTTAAACAGTTTATGTAAATGGGCAAAAATGGGAATCAATGTACTACAGTATTTATATTTCATTAGATAGCTTTCCAAAGTAATATATGCTTTAAGGCTAATAACACAAAATGTATGTTATTTTGAGTTAATTTTAAGTATGATGAAAATAGTTAATGCTAATTTAAAATATGCAATTTTTATGTAGATTTCAAAATTATTTTAAAGAGTTTGCTGAAAATTTAGGAGACTGTCATTGACCATATACACTAATAAAGATCTTTAAGGAGATGCTCACATAAAAGACTAAATCGAATTGATGTTATATAGTCATTTATAAAGGGCTAAATTTAATTGACGATGTAATTGGGTTATCTATCTGCTTAAGGTAAACTGCAGAAAACGAGTTCCAAATATAATGTTCAAAATATAAAATTAAAGTTTAAGACTTGAAAATTATTTGATTATTAACTTATATGCAAATATCCATATGTAACTTAACTCGGCTTACATTTTTCATTCTGGTACAATGAAATAATACATATCAATTTGTATTTATTTCTATATAATATCACTGTCATTTGTATACACTTAAGCATAAAATACGTCTATTTGTTAGAATCAAACTATTAAGAAAACTAGAGAACAAAATTATTTATTTATTTATTTATTTATTTATTTATTTTATTTATTTATTTATTTGAGACAGAGTTGCACTCTGTTGCCCAGGTTGGAGTCCAGTGGTGCTTTCTCAGCTCATTGAAACCTCTGCCACCCGGGTCCAAGCAATTCTCCTGTCTCAGCCTCCCGAGTAGCTGGGATTACAGGCATGCACCACCACACCTAAGCTAATTTTTGTATTTTTAGTAGAGACGGGGTTTCACCATGTTGGCCGGGCTGATCTCCAGCTCCTGACCTCAAGTGATCCACCCCTGCCTCAGCTGGAAATACAGGCATCAGCCATCATGCCCAGCAGAAAACAAAATATTTAAATCTCCTTATAGTGCGTTAGATAAATGATACACATTGTTTCATTATCTATTTATAATCACTTTCAACAATACTATACAACAATTATGATTATAAGTTAGGCAAGATCAGTTATAAAATATTTTCCTTCTTAATGTAATTTTAAAATATGACTGTATAATAATTTATACTTTTTATCAAAGGTTGATAACAATTTCTTAAGAGACAGGTGTCATTATTTTGCCCAGGTTGAAGTGCAATGACTATTCACAGAGACTACTCACAGGTGCAATCATAGTACACTACAGCCTCAAACTCCTAGGCTCGAGCAATCCTCCTGCCTCAGTCTCCCAAGAAGCTGAGACTACAGGTGCATGCCACCAGTGTGTCAATATTACTTTAAATAATTGTGTTCACAGTACATTTGGGCTTGACTGATACTTTCATAAGAGAATTTCAGGATGCTTTCAGTGATATCAAACTGTATCTAACTTCATAGCAAACTTCTCAGAAAGAGGAAGTACCTCAGTTTTTACCTAAGATTCACTGATTAATGGCATTAAAAAACTGGGATGCTTATTCCACATTTACCCATGTTCAGTCAAGTTATTTTTTTAATGTGCTTCGCAAATTTAACTATTAAAATTGATAGAAAACCTGAATCCAAATAACACTCCAATTTCCAGAGGCAACTTTCTCACCACTGGGAAATCACTGGGCAGAAAAATCACATGAAATATTATGCCTACTTTCTTCAAGGAGCATAAATGGTAGGTCCAGGTGCTTTCTATATCTAAACTATTTCTTATTTATAAATTGGACCTCTCTGAAAACTCTATGAACTCTTTCAGTATATTACTGACACCCTAGATTCCTGAAAAAAAAAAATTCTGTCAGAGATACTCTAAGTAAAATTAGAAACACTAAATACTCTTTTTGATTTTTCTCCTGTCCAAAATGTGTTCTTCTGAGTTACTACTAGAATAAACTATATTGATCAATGCCAAACAAATCAAAATTAAAAAGACAGCAACAACAAAAAAACACCCAAAATTAAATCAAATTAAACCAAAAATATCTGTATAAGAGAAGAAATCATGAAATGAATTTTGCTGCTGTAAGTATGCATTTTTTATTAAAGTAGCCGCCTGTTAGAAACTATTTTATATGCCTAAACAGTCCTAAACAATAAAATGAACTGTGTTTTCAAAATGCAAATACTTGAAACAACTGAAAAAAGTAAACTTAAATGCATGGCAATAAAAAAATGGTTCAATGAAAGGCTTTTCATCAGTTTCTTAAACATTTTTGTCATTCTATACATATTGCATTTCAAATGTGTTAAATCTGGTTGTTAATCACTTATTAGAAAACAAAAAAAAATTGAAAGTATGGTTAAAATGAAATATCCACTTCGAGAGCAAAGTAATTTTGTATTTGTCCGCCATCAAGCAAAACACTGAAATTATAAAATTTGTGATATGAAATCTCTGTAACTGGCAGGCATTTCTAATTAATATTGAAAATATACATATGTGATATAATAGATTAATAGTCCAAAATATTACAGACTAAATTCAGAAGACATATTTTCCTAACAACATAATTCAAATCTAAAAGGATTAATTTGGGTCTAAACAAGCTAAGGGCTTTTTCAGGACAGTAAAATACCCACACATATACACACACAAAATAGAATAATAATCTGTTCAGTATAATAATATTAGAATGTTATTTTTATTGCTTTCAAATACATTTTTAAACTACCATATATTACAATATATTTAAACAAGATCTTAGAAAATTCACTACTGCTTACTGCTTAACTATTTGGATTTCTAACCTCTGACCTCAACTAGGAAAATTCTCGACAGATTACAGATTACATTTAAACAATGTGTGACTTTTTTGAAGCCTCCTGAGGCTAACATTTCACGGGGTAATATGTATTGCTGGTTTTGTTTTGTTTTTCTGAATGAGATAAAAATAATATTAAAAAGACAATTCTAGATTTGTGGTATATCTTTATAATTTTAAAATGCCACCTGATGCAAAAATAAAAAGAAAAGAAAATCCAGTATGAGTGTTTGAAACCCTATTTGCTTCAAATAGAAAGGTCTATTTTAAACCTGAAGCTCGTTGCACCCTTCATTGCAGACATGTCTGTGACTAACAGAGTTGCCAGGCTTATTATTTTCACCAGACACAGACACTCAGATTGAACCACTGGGCTCATTAGAACACATAAAGCAGGGAATATCTTTCAACAACTCATACCAAGAAATTACTGAGACTCTAGAAAACTTGCTGTCCACAAATTTAAATGGAGTAAAGAGTGATCACAGGGAATAAAATAATCAGAGCAAAGCTGTGTCTTAACAGATGTTGGACTTCTATGAGTCTGGTAACTGTCAGGAGGAAAGAGGGAAAGCTACTATTTTTTCTCCCTGTCCAAGTAAACATGGAAAGAATTGTTAGAGTGACATGAAGAAAAAGCAAGTTGACAAAGATAATTAGAACACATTTTCAGTGGGATGTGTGTGTGTGTGTTTGTGTGTGTGTGTGTGTGTATGTTTCCCTGAAGGAGAAAACCTCGAATTTTTGTAGAAGTCATCACATCTTTACACTATCTTACATCATTATATAGAATAGAAAACTGACTGCCAGCAAGTCACTTTAGAGGGTACTGGGATGCTACACTGAGAACTGTCTGTAAGAGTCCTCTGACTAACAAAATGATAGAATCATAATTATGATCAAGATTCAGAACTCTCAGGCAGATATAGAAAACATACCACTATTTGGCTTTAAAATATATTTCAGGATAATAAATATAACAATTTATTTGACCTAAATTTACCTAAACTCATATGAGATAATTTTTACCAAAAATGTACATCTTAGGTGTTATTTTCCCTTCTGTTGTCAATATTTTCTACAGATAATATCCTTCTTAGGGTAGATTAATAGACTTCTGAATGATTCTTACTCCAGGGTGTAAGCCGTCTTCTCATAAGATAAAATATTTTCAATGCTTAATCTTTTAGTTGCTTTGAGTTGTTTTATTACCTTAAGATCTATTATTATGAAAAATAATTACCAACTAAAATATTTTAAAACACGGGCTAAAATAACCAAACTTGCAGCTATATTGCTAAGTGAATTTAGATATATAACTGAATTTCCTACATCTTTAATTTCTTTCTCTAAAATATAATGCTGTGACAGTGATTTCCAAGATTCACCTCACTACAACACACTGGAAAAATCTAGAACCATCCCATCATTAATAGTGTTCATTGAGGCTAGGTGCTTTTTACCATTCTTTGAGGAGGAGAGATGACAATCAGGATAGGAAGATGCAGGGTGGTCATTTGTGACTTATAGGTTCATTCATATTCATTCATTCATTTGTTGAGGTATAATTTACAGAAAACAAAATGTAGCACTCTTAGATGTTCCGTTACATGACTTTTGACAACTGTAGACACCTATGTAACAAACACACAAGATAGAAAACATAACAATGTTCTCAGCAAGTTTGAATGTATCTTTTCCAGTCGCTTCCCCCACTACTAGACAATCATTTTCTACATCTATGACCATGGACTATTTTTTCCTATTCAGGAACTTAATATAAATGGCATCATGCCTTATGTTCTACTTTATGTCCATCTTCTTTCTCACAGAATAGTGCATATATGATTCATCCATGTTGTTCATATTAGTAGTTTGATTGTGTTTATTGCACAATGTCCCATTATATGAATATGCTACAATTTGCCTATCATTCTCCTATTAACAGATATGTAAGTAACTTACAAATAAGTTTGTGAATATTATGAATAAAATTTCTCTGAATTAGAACACATGAATCTTTGTGTAGATATATGCTTTGCTTATCCCTTTCAGAACATTATGCTATTTATTTGTTTTCCTTTCCTTACAGCATCAGCCTAGACTTCCAGTGTACTAGTGAATAGAAGTGTACAAATGTGCATCCTTCCTTTATTTCTGATCCTTATGAAAAAGACTGTGCAATGTCTAACTATTAAGGGCAACATTATCTTTAGGCAGTTAGCAGTGCCCTTCATCTGAATGAAGAAATACCAGGCAATCTCTACTTTGATAATTTTTATAATACTTTGCTGAATTACATCAAATTTTACATAATTTTCTGAGTTATTTATATTTTTATTCTCATTTTTATTAATTTGATTGATTAATATGATTTATGACAAATCAAGCTTGCTTCCATAGAACAAACACAATGTGTTTGTAATACACTATCCTTTCTATATATTACAGGATTCTATTTCATAAGATTTAATTAAACATTTTGCTGTCTGTGTTCATGGAAGATATTGGTCTATAATTTTCTTTCTTCATAATGTCTTTGTCTTATTTTTGTATTAAGTTTATGATGCCATCATAAAATGAATAGGGAACTGTAGCCTTCTTCCCTCTTTTCTGAAATAATGTATTTAATATTGGTATAATTTTGTCTCTAAATGTTTGATGGTTTATACCATTTTATGGGTTGAATTTTTGTTATGGGTTGAATTGTGCCACCATTCTCCCAAAATTGATATATTGAAGTCCCAAGTCACAGTACCTCAGAACATGACCTTATTTGAAAATAGGGTTGTTGGAGATGTAATCAATTACGTTACAATGAGTTTATACAGGAGTGGGGTGGGCCTCTAATCCTATATGACTAGTATTCTTTTAAGAAGAGTACATTTAGACACATACAGAGAGAGAGAGAGAGAGAGAGTGCCATTTGAAAATAAAGACAGAGATTGTGGTGATGCTTTTACAAGCCAATGAACATCAAAGATTGTGAACAAATTACCAAAAGCTAGGTGATTGCATGGAACAGATCCTTCTATGAGACCCCTCAGAAGAAACCAATTGTGCCAAAACCTTGATCTTGGACTTCGTGCTCTAGAACTGTAAGACAATAAATTTCTGTTATTTAAGACAACCAGTTTGTAATACTTCGTTATGGCAGCCCTAGTAAACTAACACTACAGACACCATATTATACCTCTGACTTAATCTCATACCACCCTCCACATCATTCACTTTGTTACAACTACGCTGGCCTCCTTGCTACTCCAAGAACCCATAAAGCATGCCCCTGTGTCTGTCAGAGTGTTTGCATATGCTATGCTTCTATCCATAGCATTTTATTCACAGGTATGTAAATGGTTAATTCTCTTATCATTTCAGGAGTTTATCTCATTTTCAGTAGGGCCTTACCTGACTATTCAAATCCAACCTCCATTTCTAATATCTGTATTACTACTACAGACCAGTTAAACTATCTTGGGCTAAAATAGAGTCTTATGCATAATTCCATTTACAGGATATACTGGGAAATGCAAACTGAGGTACAGAAATAGAGAGCAGGTCAGTGGTTACCTGGAGAGACAAAAGGCCTTAACAGTTGTGATTATCAAGGGTGGTCATAAGCAACCTTTGAGGGTTACAGATATGTTCATCATCTTGATTATGATAATGATTTTACCAGTGTATGCATATATTAAAATGTATTAAATTTTATAAACTTTAACCACGTGCAGTTTATTTTCATCAATTATATCTCAAAAAATGATTTACATGTTTCAAAATGTAGCAGGGAGTTCAAGAGTGGAGAAGGAATTATTGGGTTCAGTTAATCATTGATAAATAGTTTGTGAGACATCATAGTTTCTGCAAAACATTTACGTGGAAATCACAGGGCAAGTATCAAAGAGAAATTAGAAGATTATGTCAATATTTTAAAATATTTTTAAAAATAATTATTAGTTCTTCAATCCTAACCACCATCCCGTTTTATATTCAATATTCAAAATATATGTATATATGTGAATTTTTAATCTGTTCAGTAATAAACAGAAGACCCTTATATTTATTTAAGGCTTAACAATTAAAATATAACATTTTCAAAAACTAAAGAAAAATTAAAACAGGATAAATTAAGAGGGGTTTTATTATAACCTTAATAGAAACAATTCATGATAATTTTTAATAGATCAGAATTGTGCTGTGATACAAAGAGGTTTCTGTGAAAGTATTAGAACTAAACATGATGCTTTGTGTGAAAATTGCCCTTCAAATATTGATTGAAAAGGACTGAGTTGCAAGGTGCTGAAAGAAATATTAGACAGAAGGAATCTTAAAATCTAAGCAATCTAATGTCTCCAACACTGATTATAAACTCCAAATCACACATTTATTTAAACATTTGTGGCAAATAAACAGATTACATAAATTTGCTAAGCAATATAATCTTACTGGTTAATTATTGCTTCAAGTTCAAAGTATCATTTTTCAAGGATAACTGAAAGTTAAAATATAGACTCGTAATCTTTTTTATCATTTATATCTGAGCGATTATATTGCATTTCAAATTGCCAAGAGGACCTTCCCTGTGCATTTTTAGTCAAGAACAGTTATATCCCTTTGGAATTATTAGATCTTGACAGCTATACATAAAGTTGATATAATGGGATTTGTCATCTGAGAGCTTCTTAGTCTTCTTTCATCAATATAGCTATATAATTGAAAATGTCAAGTTAAAATGATTTCAAGCTACAGACATCTGTCACTTATAATCATAAAAATTTAGCTATGATTACTAAATGTATGCATCATTTCATAGCCTATTAAATAAAGCATAATTATTTGTAAAGCATAAAAAGCATGTATCATTTTATAGTAATTATATAAATGTGTGATACTTATCGATAATCAAAATAGATGATATGGTATGTGAAGAATTTACAAGTAACAAAATGAGTCACATTTCTACGGGTCCAGGAAGTGGGAAGCTACTCTATGTTCCTGGTCTCCAGACATAGAAAAAATAGAACAAAACTTTTGATTTATAAAGTTCGTCAATCCCATTGAGGACCTTCAAGAAAATTTTGACATAATTTAATAACTTTTCCTACTATTTTGTTTTTCTGGTGTATAATATCTTTTTGAAATTACGTGTTCTAATTTTGTAATGCTAATGTACAAAACTATGGTTTATTGTTATATATTGAAATTTTTATATCTAGGAGATTTTTAGATATTTTTTAGACATTTTTACCAAGCTGTCTAGAGATACTTTTTTGTTTCCTATGTAGTTCATATGTCTGTATTTCTATGAGAATAATGGCAACTCTATTTCTTCATTTCCAATTTTTAAGCTTGCATTGTTGCCTCCTTTATTTAGCTAATTTAGACATTCCACACTAGTTTGATTAGAAATGCATCAGTGGTCATCCTTGCTTTTATTTAATTTTTCCTAAATGTAAAAAGAATTCTAATAATTACAAAGTAACTGGTATAGGTTTAATAAATTTGTTGGAACATCAATGAAACAACAGCACTGATTGAAATCTTGGTTTTCTTTTGATAACACCCTAAGCAGAGGTGCAACCAAGCTATGCTTGGACTCCTCACCCAAAAAACTGCTAGATAATAAATTTGTTTTGTTTATGTTGCTTACTAAGTTTGTAATATTGGTAAGTGGCAAAAAATAACTAATCTTCAGGGAATGCTAGGAGTTTGTAATTTGAAGGAGTTTTCCTTTTCCATCAAAGTTGTGAAATTTAAGAGTTTACAGCTGTTCACGCTATTGATTTATGCTTTCAGTATCTGCAGAAAACTTTAATGATATGTCCATTTTTTATCAACGATATTTGTAATTTGTTTATTTTATTTTTATTCTTGGTCATCTGGCTGAAATTTTAAAAAGCTTATCAAATTCTTTTAAAAAAACAGCTTTCTGCTTCATTGATATTCTCTATTATTTTTTCTTTCTAAATTTTATTGCTTTCTGCTCTTTATTATTATGCTCTGGATGCTGTAGGAATTCAGTTTAAATGGCTCTTGTCTTGTTGTTTTTTGTTGTTGTTTGTTTGTTTGTTTTTTCTTTCTTTCTTTCTTTTTTTAAATGGAGTCTTGCTCTGTCGCCCAGGCTGGAGTGCAGTGGTGAGATCTCCGCTCACGCAACCTCAGCCTCCTAGGTTCAAGCGATTCTCCTGCCTCAGCCTCCCGATTAGCTGGGACTACAGGCAGGCGCCACCGTGCCCAGCTAATTTTGTTTTTTTCTTTTTCTAGTTTCTATGAGGTAGAAGCTTACATCAATGACTCGAGACCTTACTTCTTTTCCAATATAAGCCTTTTATGCGATAAACATCCCTCTAAACATTGTTCTTTCTGCATTCCACACAGTTCGATATGTTGCATTTTTATTTGCTTAGAATTAAACCTTTTTTTCTATATTCCTTTGTGGTTTTCTCTGTGACCAATGTGCTACTCAGAACTGTGTTTCATGCTAAGATATTTGAGAATTGTAAAGATATCTTTCTGTTACTGATTTCAAGTATAATTTGGTTATGAACCAAAAATATACATGATGTAATTTATATTATTTAACTTTTGTTAAAGTATATTTTATGGCACAGAATACTGTATATGTTGATGACTTTGTCATATGCAGATGGGAAAAAATATACTTTCCCCTGTTGTGGTCAGTATATTATAATAATGTCATTAGATTAAGTTGGTTGATAGTGTTTTTCAGATATTTTTATAATCTTACTTGGTTATATGGCTTCTATCATTTGTGTGTATTCAATCTACTTGTGTATATTGGTTCTATCAACTACTGAGAGAGGAGTGTTGACGTCTTGACTATAATTGTGAACTTTCAGCTTTTATTTTCAATTCTCTGAGGTTTTTACATTTATTTATTTTTGAAGTTCTGTTGTTAGGTGTATAAACATTTAGAATTGTTAGTTCTTCTTGCAGAATTGACCAATTTATTGTTATACAATGTCCTGCTTCATTACTGGCAATATTTCCTTTTTCTAAACTTTACTTCGACTAATATTACTATAGTTATTTCAGCTTTGTTTTGGTTAATGTTGATGTGGTATATATTTTCCCATGATTTTACTTTGAAACTTACTTTGTCTTTGTATTTACAATTGGTTTATTAAATATAGCATAGAGTTGGCCCTCAATTATTTAACCAATTTGATAACCTCTGTATTTTATTGTTTAGATAATTTGTATTTAAGGTAATTTTTATATGGCCAGATTAAAATCTTCCATCTTTATTGATATATTCTATTTTGTTAATCTTTCTTGTGTTTTTGCCCTCTTTTTCTGTCATCTTTAGAATTACTTGAGGGGCGTGTGTGTGTGTGTGTGTGTGTATGTATTGGCATTTTTTTAATCGTCTCAACAAATGTTCAAATGACCATTTCTGTTCCCCTCTCTTTATAACTTGGAAACAACTTAATTTGGCAATATCTTATTTTTTTTTCTTCTGGTACATAAAAAAGAGTCATATTATTAATTATTACTTGCTAATTTTTTATAACATCGAGTATAGTACATTATTGTTAATTATAATTACAATGTTGTACAGCACATCCCTAGAGCTTATTCCTTTTGCTTGACTAAAATCTTATGCTCATTGATTAATAGTTACATATCTCCCCCTTCTCTCAGCCTTTGGCAACTACCATTCCAGTCTGTGATTATACAAGTTTTCCTATTTTAGATACCTCAGATAAGTGGAATCCTGCAGTATTTATCACCTTTCTGTGACTGGCTTATTTCCCTTACCCTAATGTCCTTAAGGTTCATCCATGTGGTCACATGTTGAAAATTTCTCTTTTTTAAGGCTGAATAGTATTTCAGTTTATTTGTATACTAAATTTTCTTTATCCATTCATCTGTCAATGGACATTTCCAGGTCGTTTTCACAACTTGGGCTATTGTGCATAGTGCCACAATGAAATAGTGTCTCTATTTCTTAGAGATTCTAATTATAATTTATTTGGATAAACACACAGAAGTAAGATTGCTGGATCATACAGTAGTACTATTTTTAATTTTTGAGGACTTCCATGCTGTTTTCCATTATGTATAGAATTTTTATTTATAATTTATAGAAAATTAAATCTGCCTCACAGTGTGTATAGGCTCCCACCTGGCACTGAGGCAGATCTAAAAGCTCAGTCCATGGGTACTGGCCTGGAGTCAGAGGCCATGAGAGTCTGACCAACCTAGGTTTTACTGTAGCAAGCCTGGTGTTAGGGTCCAACTAATTAACCCCTATGCTCATTTCCCTCTCTCTTCCCCAGTCAGATGGTATCTCTGTCCATGCTGTGCTTCCTGAGGTTGGAGGAGGGTCCACATAATGTAAAACTATCCTTCCCACCTTCTTTAATGTGCTTTTTCTTATTATTTTATTATAACCAGGTACTGTGACCTCTTACGTGGTCTTATTAGCTCCCGTGAAGGTATTTTTGTACATGTTTTTAGTTTTTCAAATAAATGTTTCTGCAGATAAATGTTTGCTGGAGAGACATATTTGACCATTTTGTACCCTTTCTGTTATGAACATGAATGGCCAGCTACTCAGAATTAAGTTATTTTCAACATCAGCCAGATCCTTTTTAACGATATCTTCCTCTTTCTCATGTTTTTAATTACTGATTTTATTTCTCTATGTGTATTAAGTATAATTAATTTACAGTCATGTAATTCCAATGTTCTCTGTTTAATTATCTAGGGTCTAATACTGCTGTTTCCTTGTCTATTACTTGAGAAGCAATAATTTGGTTCACATAGAGGAGGTGACTTCTTTCAGATCATCAACACTGCCTTTGAAAACTTGAGGTGATACAGAGTCAGAATGGGGTCTATGGGTAGAAAATGATCATGTGAGAGAAGATACTGTGAGTTATCTGTATGTGAACACCTATCTGCAGATGAACTGAAGGATACCCCAGGTACTCAAGGTACTAATAGATAAAGCAATTCAGCTCATTGAGTGAAGATTGGAAAAAATAGTGTGCAGTAGCAAATGTCTCTCTCATAAGGACCTGAGCTTATACAAATTTTATTTGAACCTAGAAAAAAAATTTAAAAGTCCAGAGATAAATTATGAAAAAATATTTATCCACAAGAAATTGAATAAACTGGAAGAGGTTATGATTCCTTTTAGGCTACAAAATTACCTTCCCCTTACTGACTCATCAGTCTCATGAGTATATATATTTCAAAAAAATGAAGCCTATTTCTCCTCATACAGTTTGTAATTCTCATTAAGTTGCATATTTGTAAATTAGATTCAATATTTATAGCAAAAAAAGTCATTTATTTCAATTTCAATGAGAAAAATCTCTATAAAATTATTTATAGAGATTTATTTCAATTTCAAGGGAAATAATTTATTTCAATAATTTATTTCAATTTCAAGGAGAAAATCCCTGTGAAATTATAATTATGAATTATGAATTCTATTATTGTTTTATTTTTGTTAACATGACTTTTAGCATTAATATTACTATTACATGTGTTTTAAATCTTCAAATGACCATTTCCATTCCCCTCTCTTTATAACTTGGAACCAACTTAATTTGGCAATATCTTATTTTTTTCTTCTGGTACAGAAAAAAAGTCATATTATTAATTATTACTTGTTAATTTTATAACATTTATACTTTTCCAAGGTCTTCAGTTTAAGCAATAATAGTATTATAGCTTTAACCTTATATTATTTTCTGCAGTTTGTAGTACATTTCCAAAAATAACATTGAGAAAACAAAGAACATGCTTTCCTCATTAGAGATACATAATGTAATTTTTTTACTTTCAGATTGCACCTCACTTTCTCTATTAATGAATTCCTAATAAATTTATATTCAAGATTCATCATTTGATTGTATTCATTTTTCCATATACGATTTTATAACTAACAGTTTTCACCTTCTCTAATTTCATGTATTTCAAAAGATAACTCTTTTTGTCTGAAGATTCATCTTTATTAGGGACAGAGAATAGTTTATCTCTTTTCTTGGCAATCCAGGATTTGCTGCTTTTCTATTTTTGTTTGTATATTATCTTCGGTTGAAAGAATACAACTTTCCATGTAGAAAAATGATGTTGTTTTCTCTGTGTCAATTCATATTTCAAATAGGTTTTTAAAGATCGCACATGCTAAGAGTTGAAGGAAATAAAATAAGATGAAAGAGTGATAATTGAAAATTTTTACCTAAACATTATCAACGTACAAAATTTGTACAAGTTACCCATATCTTTCCCTGAAACCTGTATGCACACTAAATCAAAGTTTCTTTTTCAGACTTAAGCAATGTAATTGTGATTTAAAATATTACCTCAGTAGTATGTTGCCTCAGTAGCATATTGTCTTTGGAGGTATACTGTCTACTAATTTATCCATTTTTAGCTATGCATTACTTGCCCTGAACATTATAGAAGGAGCAAAGAGATTATATTTTACCAAGATATATTTCTTAATCTAGCCTGCTCATTGAAATTATCTGGTGTGCATTAAAAATAATCTTGATTATAGTGTCTTCCTTTTTCTACTCATTCTCTTTTCATTAGTCTGAAGTATGGGTTGGACATTTGAATTGTTAAATATGTATGTAGCCAAGATTGAAAACCACTGCTTAGAGAAATACAATTTTTATATGCAATCTTCTGAGCAATACCCAGGGAATTCAAATAACTTTAAGGGTATGTAAATTTTATCTAATTTACATTTCTGTAATAGTTGAGCCTATGAAATTTTTGAAAGAGAGGAGAAATAAAAATATTTTAAATGTTTTAGGGGTTAGTAAACTTTATGTAGAAGTTAATAAGTATTTTCAGTTTTGGAAACCATACCGTCTTTGTTCACAACTGCACAACTATGCCATTGTAGTGTGAGAGGAGCCAGAGATAACACATTAAAAATATATCTCAGTAAAACTTTATTTGCAAAAATATTCAGTTGGACATATTTGTCCTCTGGACTCTAGTTTGCCAACACATGCTCTAAATTGTCTTTATCTTCTGAAAAAAAATCTAATTCTAACATATAAGTTGAGGGACTCCTGAATTTCTTACTTTCTTTTTTGACTCTTATAAGGACCACTAGGTTCCTGTTTCTGAAAGCTGTTATAACATACATGTAATTTCCTCATATGCCTATGAGTTTTGCTATTTTTTGCTCCTGTTAACTTTTAGAAATAATATAAAAAATGTTCTTATAATTGTTGTTACAATCTCTAATGTTCTTTGCTATTTACTTGTTTACTGTTCTTCATATTTTGCTGCTCCACTGCCTTTTCATTTGCATTATTTCCAATAAGCATGATGCATTGTCATATATTTATTTCACTGCACCTACCATTATTTTTCAAAATCTGGTTGCTTTGAAGATTTTTTTTATTTATTACTGATTTTGTGCAATTAGATTATGATGTGCCTTTTTGTAGTTTTCCTCATGATTTTTATCCTTGGAAATCACTATTTTTCCTGCATTCGTGACCGCAGAGTTTTTATCCAATTTATGTATATATATGTGTATATTATATGGTTTATTTGGATATGGATTATTATATGGATATGGTTTATTTATATATGGTTATTATATGGAAATTATGTATATGTGTATTATATGGTTTGCCTGTTTTTTTCCTCCAAATGTCATGTTGAAATATGATCCTTAGTGTTGGAGGTGGCACCTAGCGGGAGGTGTTGGGTCATAGGAGTGGAGCCATATTGAAGGGCTTAACACCATCACCTGGGTGCTGAGTGAGTTTTCACTCAGTTCACACAAGAGCTGGTTGTTTAAAAGAGGATGGCATTTCTCTGGCTTCCTCTCTTGCCATGTGATATGCCAGCTCCCCCTTTACCTTCCACCATGACTGTAAGCTTTCTGAGGACCTCACCAGAAGCAGATGACAGCACTATGTTTTCTGTATAGCCTGAAGAGCAGAACTGTGAGCCAAAATAAACCTCTTTTCTTTATAATACAGTCCTAGGTATTCCTTTATAGCAATGCAAAGCAGACTAACACAGTATGTGTGTGTGTGTGCAGCAATACAATTATATATGTGTGTGTGTGTGTGTGTGTAAAATATGTATCATGGACATGTATTTTAGGCTACATAAAGCTTTCCCACAACTTAGTGATACTCTGTAGATTTTTTTGAGTGCATCCTCTTTCTCTCTCTGCAGCTAGTTTCTGTTGCTATGTTATCAAGTTTACTAATACTTTCTCCTGTAATGTCTAAGCTACCTTTATTTCTATGCAGTATTACTGTCAGTACAGAAATTTGGTTTTCATTTTTAGAAGCTGGGTCATTTTAAAAACATCTATGTCTTCCATGTCTCTATTTAACCTGCTCAGTGTTATGTCTGCCATTCTGAATAAAATACAGTTATAACAACTTTTTTATTTTCCTTGCGTGCTAATTCTAACATCTTTGCAAATTTGAGTTTGTTTGTATTGAATTATATTATGTTAGTTGTGGGGTTATATTTTCCTGCTTTTTTTTTCCATACTTAGAAAAGTTTTATAGAATGGCAACCATTGTGAAGTTTGCCTTTTGCAGGTGGAATATTTCTGTATTACCATATATATTTTTGAGCCTTGTTCTGGGCTGCACATAAGTTACTAGGAAACAATTTGGTGTTTTCATTCTGTTTTTAGTTTTTCCTTCAAATGGTAGAACCAGTGTAGCATTTATTCTGGAGATAACTGCCTCATACTATGGAGGAAAGATGCTTTTTAAAGTGCTCTATTTGATGTTTCATGAATTATGAGGCTTTCCATTCTGGCTTGGGGGAATAGGCACTATTTCTGGCCTTCTGAGCTCTGGGTACTGCTTTCCCATTCCCTCTATTTTTTTTCATGTGCTATTCTACCCCCTCACCCCACCTCACCCCTGCTTTTGTATCCAATAGTTTCCTCACATGCAGGTGTGGGTCAGCACTCTGTGAACTAGTTGACTAAGATATTTGGAAGATTTTCAGAGGTCTTCTCTGCTTACCTCTCCCAGCTTCTTTATTATTTTTCCTGCAAACTCTAGGTCTCCTTGGACTCTTCACTCTGGCATCTCAATGTAAGGGCTCACCAGGTTTCAACATGGATTCTCCACCCTTTCATTATGGTCTGGAAAAGATAATAAGCTGAGGAAATAACAATTTTTAAAAACTCAGTTCATTTGTTTCCCATGTCAAAGGAATGACTTTCCTTTATTATTTGTTTCCAATATTTTGAAAAGAAAAACATTGTTTCCTATATTCCATGTGCCATCAAACTATGGCTCACAGGCCAAATTTGGTAATGCCTATTCACTTACATATAGTCTGTGACTGATTTTGAGATATAATAGCAGAGTCAAATAGTCAAATAGTTGCAACAGAAAGTGAATATCCCTCAAAGCTGAAATATGTTATATTTGCCCCTTTACAGAAAACATCTTCTAAGTCTTGATGTATTATTTTTACTTTTTTTTCCAGACAGTAAAGTAGGTTTCAACCCTGTTACTACCTCTTGCCCAGAAGAATAATTTTTTTATTGACAACTCCTTTGACTATCTTAATTCTTAATATAGATAGTATCAATCTCTGTAAATATTAAAAAGAAAAAAAGTCCATGTATATTTTAATGTCTATAAGTAACCACTACCAATTCAGGAGCCTAGTCTATGGAATAATTTTGCCAAGTCTTATTTCTGTGTTCTTTACTCTATGTCAGAACGTTTTACTGTCCTGACAAATCCTTAATATCTAAGATAGTAGACAATGCAGTATTACTTTACAGTGCTTAAACTTTTGAGTTGTGTTGAGTTGAAATTTGATTCTTGCTTCTTTAAAGAGTTCTGTTAACTACTTTCCTGTTTAAACAAATGCAAAATGATACTTTTTTATTAATTCAAAGCTAATAACATGTCATGCATTACTGATTTATTTAATTCCTTGGAATTTTTGGTCTTTCTGCATAATTAAAATTAAGCCCAATGAAGTCTCTACAGCTGTGAAGAAGCTTGTATATCTTAAGAATAATACTATTATTCATTGTTTTCCTCCATCCTTTTTCAGTCTAGTTGAATATGAATACTAAATTCGTAATAGTTCCCAGAATGTTCCATGAGTAATTTGCTCCAAATGATTAACTGCTGCGATTTTTAATTACCTTTCTTTTTTGCCTCCCTAACTTCTATCCCTGCTTTAAAAGCTTGAGAGCAGCTCATTTTACTTGTTAATGTGTAAGCATGTGCTCTACTGTCCTTGGAATAATTTAACCTGTTATATTGGATCTTGATTTTGACTATTAAACATTAGAGATTCTCAAGACTTTTTTTTTCCTACTAAACCATTTTCCAAAAATATAATTATAAGGCACTTTGGATTCTAATTAGTACAGATCTGATTAAATAGCCTATGATCCAAGTTAAATCCTATAAAGCACTGCAATGAATGTGTACAGTCATGAAAACTAGCTTAAACTAGGAAATGTTAGGATGAATCACTCAGATCAACTTCCAAGCAGTAAAACAGCAACTTATTTTCTGTTACCATCTGCTGATGAAGAATATTGAGATCTTCGTTTTATTTAACTAGCCGTTAAAGGATCTGAGCAGAGTGACATAATCTGATCTTCCATTTTCAAAGGATCACTTTGACTGCTAAGTTGAGAATAGACTTTAAAGTTATACAATTCTAAGTACAGAAACCAGTTAAAGGCTATTGAAATATTACAGTAGGAGATGATAGTGTCTTCACCCGCAAGGTAAATATGCATATAGTTGTGTTGCAAAGTGGCAATATAGTAGATGTATTTCAGTGGATTGCATATAGAGCATTAGGAGTGTCAAAGATGTTTCTAACTCCAACTGTCCGTCTATCTTGTATACTTGTCTGCATATCTATCTTTTCATTTACTTGTTTATTTATGTTCCCCAAGAAACTAAAATGATGGAATTGTTATTAATTAAGGCAGGAAAGAGCATAGGTTTGGAAGAGAGAGGGTAATTAAGAGATTTAGTTTTGAATAGGTTAAGTTTAAAATACCTACTATTTATACAAGTAGTGATGTAATGTAGAAAGTGAATACCAAAGTTCAGAGAAAGATATGAGTTACAAACATAAATTTTGGAATCATAAGCATATAACATTTTATCAGGCCATGAGACTGGATGTGATCCAAGAGAGTGAGTGTGGAGTACAGACATCCAAAGGCAAAACCCCATGACATACTAGTATTACAAAGTTTGAGGAACGAGGAGGAAGACTCAAAGAAGACTGAGAAGAGTGGCCAATAAGATAGGAGCAAGTCAGCAGAATATGGTGCTTCAGATCCAAGTGAAAACAATTGATTCTGAAACCAAAAAGGAAAGAGAAGAGAGTTTCTGGTTCCTCATACCTTAAAATCTCTACAATATTCATTAATTTGTATCTGGGATTCTGTATGGCATTTATGCACCAGAATCAACTGTGGAAGATTATTGAGGAAGATGAAACTAAACTGAAGAAGAAAAATATTCAAGATATCCTAAAGCTTATGAAGACTTGAGTAAAAATGCCCATTAACATTAATAATAAATATGACAATAAGCCTGATTTTTCTAGATTACTTTTTATAACACTGCTGACCTCACATAGTGTCACTTCAATCACAAATTTGTTTTCACAAAACTAAAAGTATGTAAATTACATTTCCAAGTAAATTAACACAGAAGAGGCACAATGGATACATAATTAACTTTAGGAATGTTTACTCAGATTTAAAAATTAAATAACTAAACAATTCATTCATTTATTTTTTCCCATATTCATTGAACTAACATTAATTATTTATTTACTATGTCCTAAGTGAAAATATTATGGAAGCAAATAAGATTGAGCAGAGGCGGGGGCAAGGTAAGGCACATCTGACAATATGACCTTCAGGCTATATTTTAAAAAGTGAAAAAAAGAATTTTCAGGCAACAAATCAAGCCAGTAGGTACAGTGGAAAACGGTGGGAGGATGCCGTCATAGGAACAGCCCATAGAAAACAATTACAAAACTGAAATGTCAGAAGGAAAGTGACATCATCAACAGCATGTTGTTATAGCAAGGTGGGGAGGATGATAGAAGGTGGAGTAAGAAAAGCAAAGAGTAGACAGTTCTGGAAAGGCCTTTTATGTCAAGCTAAGGATTTTGGATTTTGTCCTCTAAATCATGGATAGATTTTTCAGCATAGATATGGAATGATCAACTTTGTTCATTATAAAGATATTGTCAACTGTTCGATGGAGTCAATTCATCCAGTTGGGAATGAATATCAATCAAGCTGGCTGTTTTAGCATCATGTAGACAACATAACTGGTTGATTGAGTAATTTAAATTTTCAACCAGTTGTTTTGACATGTGTATACATAGCCTCAGAATAAAAATGATATTTTTAGCATGCCTGATTTTGTACATAATTCTTTGTGGCAGCTATCTTTGAGAGTCAGTTCTATCACAAATCTTACAGGTGCAAAATGTGTGTGTGTGTGTGTGTGTGTGTGTGTAATATACTTTAATGAAAGTGAGTATCATGAACTACATAAAATGAAATGGCATTAACAGCTAAACAAAAATGGCACAGTTAAAGCTTTTCAAAAATATAATCACAAGCTTTGTTAAATAGTGACAGTAAAGGATGATAGAACAAAACTTTAGGTTGTATTTTATGTTATCATTCAACCGAGGTGATCCTAAACTTCCTGCCTAGTAGTCAATGAGTAATTCACTTATTTTTATGCACAAAATCATATGCATTTAAAACTGATTCATGCTTTCTTGCATTATTTATGGCAAGTCTAGTTTAAACAGGATATGATGTTGAACACTAGAAATAAGAAAAAGTATTACAAAAGAGGATTGATATAAAATAGACCTAGAAGGATGCTTGCTGCTTATTTCTGTGTCTACATTGGAATTTAAGGGCATAATTAAAGTTAAGTCTTCAACACTTCAATTTGAGAAAACAAGAGAACATTGGGGTTTATTGTCCTAATGATCTCATATGTCATCAGAATAGCAAGCTGCAAATAAATCAACAGCTATTTGGCAGAAATGAGGGGATTTGTAGAAAGGTTAAAAATTGAATTAGATATTTTTACAGTTGCCACTAACACTTTGCTTTTCTTGCTTGCTCACATATTTATGAGCAAAACATTTTGCCTGAAATTTCTCCAATAAGGTATCAACAAGCAAACAAAACATCAGAATATAAATAATGCTAGTGCACAATATTTTTTGTGATTTCAAAAGACTTTAGCCTATAGAAATCTGAAGTGAAGCCCCATCAGATCATGTGAACTTAAATATGGAAGATGTAATTAAACAAACAAACGTAGGGCTGTAACAAAAGTAGGGCTCAGGAATCTGAGGAGGCAAATGATAAATGCTCACTACTAACATATGTATTGGTCTTAATAATCCTAAAGATCTTTTAAGACAGTGGATAACTAAAGGGACTTCAATTATCTGATATGCACTGTGTTTCTTCTTGTCAATAACCTTAGCCCCCTTAATGCTGTGTAACACCCTCTCTAAAAATATCTCGATTTGGATAATAAATTATATGATCAATGATTTATAATGGGTAGCACTTTCTTTAACATTTCTTTTTGCCATCCACTGAGCTTTACCTTTTCCTTGCAACACTATGTTCTCTTATCTTGGAGAGTTTGAGTTGAAATCCTTTTTTTCAATTGTAAATGTGATTCAAGCAACGGTTCTCATTCTCTTCCTATTTTGAAGGGAACGTGTGGGCTAGTAAGGATGGCATGTATAAATTTAAAGCATATTCTTGGCAGCAACCTGCATGAAATAACCAGAATCTATCTGTAGATTTTACAGTGCTAATTGCCAGGTGCTGTATTTTATAAAATGTTCAGAGTCCACACAAATGATAAAAGTGCCAGATGGGGCTTGTCCATCAAGAAACCTCAAAAGCTTTTCCCTTCTCTGAGTACAGCAAATTACTCTAAATATTTTTGTGGGTATTATTTGTAACTTCCATTACGGTGATGGAAAGGAGGTGAATTGAAAAAGAATTAGAAAAATATTTTAAAATTTAGCCCATTTAAATTTCTCATTAATATTACTGCATACATCTAGCCTTATAATGTCCTATCATCTAAACCTATACTGATGGAAGGCATATTTTATTTTTATAATTGTATATGTGCATATAAAGTATAAATTCATTATATAAACATGGAACATCTAAACACATATATAAATGCTCGTGATAAAAACCAATTCTTCTAACACATCACTTTTTATCAATCAGTCTACAATGCAGAATTAAATATTATTAACACTTACTATATTTCCCTATCACATGCTTATTATCTACACCTTCATTGTTCAATGTTAAATATTATCACTGACTTTGTCCTATCAGTAGATGAGAGTATAGTTCTCTTAAACTACATTGACTTTTGTTTCCCAATATGCTGAAAACAGGCATATTACTAGTTAGTTGAAGCAAAAACATTGTTTTCATTGTTTCGATAATGGCCATGATAGTTTCAAATTGGTCACAGCAATTTTTTGTAATGCAATATTGTAACTAAAATTTGTGTTTTAATATCTCTTTGCAATATATTCTTTCATACAAATCCTTACATATGTTTTGCATCAGTGACAACTGGGGCAATCTGACCACTGTAATTTTTTTCTCTCATTTTAAAATAATTTTGTATAATAAACTAATTTTTAGAGCAGTTTTAGGTTCACAGACAAATTAAGTAGGAGATCCAGAGATTTCCCATATCATCCCCTTTCCCACATACATGGAGCCTTCCCCATTATCAACCTCCCTCACAAGAGTGGTACATTTGTTACAATCCATGAACCTATATTCATATATTATCACCCAAAGTACATAGTTTATCTTAGGATTCACTGTTAGTGTTGTGTATACTATGGGTTTTGACAAATATACAACAACATGTATCCACCATTATAGTTCAAATAGAGTAGTTTCATTGTACTAAAGTTTCTCTGTACTCCGCCTATTTATCCCTCCCTCCTTGCTAAGCCCTTCAAACCATTGCTCTTTTTATAGTCTCCATAGTTTTGCCTTTTCAGAATGTCATTTAGTTGGCATCACACAGTATGCAGCCTTTTCATATTGGCTTCTTTCACTTAGTGGTATACATTTAGGAATCCTCCATGTCTTTTCATGACTTGATAGCTCATTTCTTTTTAGCACTAAATAATATTCCATTGCCTGGATGCATCACAGTTTATCCATTCACCTCATGAAAGATAAGTTGGTTGCTTCTAAGTTTTGGCACTATGAATAAAGCTGCTAGAAACATTCAGATGCTGGGTTTTGTGTACAATAAGTTTTCAGCTCATTTGGGTAAAAACCAAGAATCATGATAGCTAGACCATATGGTAAGAGCATGTTTAGTTTTCTAAGAAACTGTCATAATGTCTTCCAAAGTGGCTGTACCATCATTTTGCATTACCTCTGGGAATGAATGAGCATGAGTGTTCCTTTTGTTCCACACCTCATTAGGTTTTTTTGTCAGTACTTTGGATTTAGGTCATTCTCACATGTTTATAGTGGTATCTCTCTAGTTTAATTTTCAATTTGTAATAATATATGATGTTCAGCATCTTTTTATATAGTTATTTGTCATCTGTAAATCCTATTTGGTGAGGGGTCTGTTCAGGTCTTTTGCCCATTTTTTAGTTGGGATGTTTATTTTTTTTACTGTTGAGTTTTAAGAGTTTTTGTAAATTTTGGATGGCCATCATTTATCAGATATGTCCTTTGCAAATATTGTCTCCCTGTCTGTAAACTTTTCTACATTTATATATTGACGATGTCTTTCTAAAAGCAGGGATTTTAATCTTAATGAAGTCTAGCTAATCACTTCTATCTTTCTTGGTGTTGTGTTATATCTAAAAGATTGTTTTCATATACAAGGTCATTTAAATTATCTCCTATGTTATCCTCTAGGAATTTTATACTTTTTATTTATTTATTTATTTTAATTATACTTTAAGTTTTAGGGTACATGGCGATTCCTCAGGGATCTAGAACTAGAAATACCATTTGACCCAGCCATCCCATTACTGGGTATATACCCAAATGACTATAAATCATGCTGCTATAAAGACACATGCACACGTATGTTTATTGCGGCATTATTCACAATAGCAAAGACTTGGAACCAACCCAAATGTCCAACAACGATAGACTGGATTAAGAAAATGTGGCACATATACACCATGGAATACTATGCAGCCATAAAAAATGATGAGTTCATGTCCTTTGTAGGGACATGGATGAAATTGGAAACCATCATTCTCAGTAAACTATCGCAAGAACAAAAAACCAAACACCGCATATTCTCACTCATAGGTGGGAATTGAACAATGAGATCGCATGGACACAGGAAGGGGAATATCACACTCTGGGGAATTTTATACTTTTGCATTTTACATTTACATTCATGATCTAATTTGAGGTTTTTTTGACAGGTATAAAGTCTGTGTCTATATTCATTTTTTTCCATATGGATGTCCAGTTGTTCCAGCATCATTTATTAGAAATGTTGACAGCTGTAGTAAAATCTCAGTTCTTATCTTCTTAGTTAAAAAAAATTAAACAAGAGACACCCAGCAATGGAGAT
The DNA here is from genome assembly GCF_000001405.40 of Homo sapiens. NCBI lineage: Eukaryota > Metazoa > Chordata > Mammalia > Primates > Hominidae > Homo > Homo sapiens. Next base: position 102,313,999 of record NC_000001.11, on the reverse strand, counting down.
TCAGCATAGAACAATTTATTGCCAAGGAGAAAGAATATTCTGAAAGCCAGGTGCAGAATAGACCACCCTGAAAGAGGACACAGGGCAGACTGCTTATGAGGATGAGACAGTATTGACTCTTACTGGGGAAACTCTTTTTATGGGAGTCTTACATGATTATCCATAAAGGGGTGGGAAGAGGTGTTGCTAGTAAGCATGTTCTGGGTGGTCCTCTGGGTGCAAATGTGCAGTAGCTGTACATGCTTGTTCATACATCACAGGATCTTAAATATTCACCCAGTGGTATGTTTTTACTATTATAATGAGCAAAAGGTCAGTTTTAGGGAAGGTAAAATCAAAATGTGCATGCTCTCTGCAGGGGAAATTTCCAGCTGGAGATAGCTTTGCTTTAATGAGCTTGACTAAAATGCTAATGCTGGGGCTCATACAATTGCCACGTCCTGAAGACATGGTTACTTCCTTAAGTACCTATCCTGACTCAATAAGACTATCTTTGCTTCACCATATTGTTTTGTCCCCCTTTTTTTTAAATTTTATTATTATTAAACTTTAAGTTTTAGGGTACATGTGCACAACGTGCAGGTTTGCTACATATGTATACATGTGCCATGTTGGTGTGCTGCACCCATTAACTCGTCATTTAGCATTAGGTATATCTCCTAATGCTATCCCTCCCCCTCCCCCTACCCCACAACAGTCCCCAGAGTGTGATGTTCCCCTTCCTGTGTCCATGTGTTCTCATTGTCAGTTCCCACCTATGAGTGAGAATATGCGGTGTTTGGTTTTTTGTCCTTGCAATAGTTTGCTGAGAATGATGGTTTCCAATTTCATCCATGTCCCTACAAAGAACATGAACTCATCATTTTTTATGGCTGCATAGTATTCCATGGTGTATATGTGCCACATTTTCTTAATCCAGTCTATCGTTGTTGGAATTTGTGTTGGTTCCAAGTCTTTGCTATTGTGAATAGTGCTGCAATAAACATACGTGTGCATGTGTCTTTATAGCAGCATGATTTATAATCCTTTGGGTATATACCCAGTAATGGGATGGCTGGAGCCAAGATGGCCAAATAGGAACAGCTCTGGTCTATACCTCCCAGGATGAGCGACGCAGAAGATGGGTGATTTCTGCATTTCCATCTGTGGTACCGGGTTCATCTCACTAGGGAGTGCCAGACAGCGGGTGCAGGACAGTGGGTGCCACCCACCGGGCACGAGCCGAAGCAGGGTGAGCATTGCCTCACTCCAGAAGCGCAAGGGGTCAGGGAGTTCCCTTTCCTAGTCAAAGAAAGGGGTGACAGATGGCACCTGGAAAATCAGGTCACTCCCACCCTAATACTGCGCTTTCCCAACAGGCTTAAAAAACGGCACACCAGGAAATTATATCCCGCACATGGCTCAGAGGGTCCTACGCCGACTGTGTCTCGCTGATTGCTAGCACAGCAGTCTGAGATCAAACTGCAAGTTGGCAGCTGGGGGAGGGGCGCCTGCCATTGCCCAGGCTTGACTAGGTAAACAAAGCAGCCAGGAAGCTCGAACTGGGTGGAGCCCACCACAGCTCAAGGAGGCCTGCCTGCCTCTGTAGGCTCCACCTCTGCGGGCAGGGCAAAGACAAACAAAAAGATAGCAGTAACCTCTGCAGACTTAAATGTCCCTGTCTGACAACTTTGAAGAGAGTAATGGTTCTCCCAGCACGCAGCTGGAGATCTGAGAACGGGCAGACTGCCTCCTCAAGTGGGTCCCTGACCCTCGAGCAGCCTAACTGGGAGGCACCCCCCAGTAGGGGCAGACTGACACCTCACACGGCCGGGTACTCCTCTGAGACAAAACTTTCAGAGGAGCGATCAGGCAGCAGCATTTGCGGATCACCAAGATCCGCTGTTCTACAGCCACCGCTGTTCTGCAGCCACTGCTGCTGATACCAGGCAAACAGGGTCTGGAGTGGACCTCTAGCAAACTCCAACAGACCTGCAGCTGAGGGTCCTGTCTGTTAGAAGGAAAACTAACAAACAGAAAGGACATCCACACCAAAAACCCATCTGTACATCACCATCATCAAAGACCAAAAGTAGATAAAACCACAAAGATGGGGAAAAAACAGAGCAGAAAAACTGGAAACTAAAAAGCAGAGCGCCTCTCTTCCTCCAAAGGAACGCAGCTCCTCACCAGCAACGGAACAAAGCTGGACGGAGAATGACTTTGACCAGTTGAGAGAAGAAGGCTTCAGATGATCAAACTACTCCGAGCTACAGGAGGAAATTCAAACCAATGGCAAAGAAGTTAAAAACTTTGAAAAAAAATTAGATGAATGGATACCTAGAATAACCAATGCAGAGAAGTCCTTAAAGGAGCTGATGGAGCTGAAAGCCAAGGCTCCAGAACCACGTGAAGAATGCAGAAGCCTCAGGAGCCGATGCTATCAACTGGAAGAAAGGGTATCAGTGATGGAAGACGAAATGAATTTTGCCCCTTTTTTAAATTAGTTGACTATATTTTTGTGGTTCCTTTATGGGACTCGCTATTAATGAATCAAAACTCATTAGTCTGTCTATTCTTTTATCCACTATCTTGATAATCTGCAACTTTATAGTCAGCCTTAAAGTTGGGTGGGTCAGTCCTCTAACTTTGCTCCTCTTTTTTTGTATTGTTAGCTGTTCTGGGTTTTTGCTTCTCCACATAAACCTTAGGATTAGTTTATTGATATCACAAAACAACTTGCTGAAATTTTTGTGATTATGTTGAAATATAGATAAAATGGGAAGAACTGACTGCTTTCACAAGAGTATTTTTGTTTTGCTTGTTTTCCTCACATTGTTCTTGTAAATTTTTTGTCAAATTTCTACCTAAATATTTTATTTGGCGTGTTAATGTAAATAATATCATTTTTAATTTAATATTCTCCTTTTTCATTGCTGGTTGTATTAGTCTGCTTGATCTGCTATCACAAAATGCCACAGACTGGTTGGTTTAAACAACAGGTATTTATTTCTCACAGTGGGGGAGATTTCCAAGATCAAAACTCTGGCCAATTAAGTTCCTGGTCAGGGCTGGCTTGCAGACAGCCACCTTCTGGCTGTGTTCCTGTATTCTCACATAACAAAGAGTATTTTTTATCTCTCTTCCTCTTCTTAATAAAATCATCAATCCCATCATCAGGACCCCAACTCCATGACCTTACTTAACTTAAATTACCTCCCAAGGCCCATTTCCAATTATATTGGAGGTTAAAACTTCAAAATGTATTTATTTTTTCTTTTTTTGAGGCAGTGTATCACTCTGTCACACAGGCTGGAGTGCAGTAGTGTGATCTTCGCTCATTGTGGCCTCAGCCTCCCAGGCCCAATCAATCCTTCCACCTCAGCCTTCCAAATAGCTGGAAATACAGACACATGCCACTATACCCAGTTAATTTTTTTTTAAGAGTCAAGGTCTTACTATGTTGTCCAGGATGGACTCAAATTCCTAGGCTCAAGTGATCCTCCAGCCTTGGCCTCCCAAAGTGGTTGTATTACAGTCACAGGCCACTGTGCCCAGCCCAACTGATGGGATACAATTCAATCTATAGCACTGGTATAAATGAAATGATAGACTTTTGTACTTTAACCTTATATTCTGAAACCTTACAATAATTGCTTATTACTTACAAAAGTTTTTGTTATTTTTTTCAGATTTTCTACATAGACAATTATACCTCTGTGAACAAAGACAGTTTATTTCTTCCTTCCCAGTGAGTATATATTTTACTTTTCTTGCCTTACTGAATTAGTTAGGGCTTCCAGTATGATGTTGAAAAGGAGTGATTGAAAGGAATATTGATATTGTTGCTTTTCTCCTGATATTACTGGGAAAGCTTTTGGTTTTTCACAGTTAAGTGTAATGTTATTTGTGAGTTTTTACACGGTATGCTTTATAAGGTTGAGAAAATTCTCTTCTATTTCTAGTTTGCTAAAAGATTTGTTTTTAACACGAATGAATGTTGGGTTTGGGCAAGTGCTTTTTAGGCATCTGTTAATATAATCATCTAATTTTTCTTCTTTAGCCTGTTTGTGTACTAGATTACATTAATTGAATAAATTATTGAACCAGCCTTGCATACCTGGGATAAATCCCACTTGGTCATGAGGTATTATTCTTTCTATATACTGGTAGAATTCATTTTCTAATATTTTATTGAGGATATTTGTATCTATTTTGATGAGAGATATCGATCTGTACTCTTTTTTTTGTAATGTCTTAGGTATTGGTATTTGAATAATGCTGATCTCATAGAATGAGTTAGAAAATAGCTCCTCTTCTTCTATATTTTGAAACAGTTTGTAGATATTTTATATATATTTTTTTTTAAATGTTTGATAGAATTCACCAATGAACATGTCTAGGTCTGGTGTTTTATGTTTGGAAAGGTTATTCATTATTAATTTAATTTCTTTAATAGATATAGGTCTATTCAAATTATTTATTCTTGTGTTGATTTGTTACATTGCATCTGCAATGGGCTGAATTATGTTCTCTAAAAATTCGTATGTTGAAGACAACCCTCAATATGATTGTATTTAGAAATAGGGCCTTTACAAAAGTATTTAGAGCTAAATGAGTTCATGAGAGCGGGGCCCTGATACAACAGAATTACTGTTGTTTTGTTTTGTTTTGTTTTAAGAAAAGGTCTCCTCAAAATAATAAGAGCTATCTATGACAAACCCACAGTCAATATCATACTGAATGGGCAAAAACTGGAAGCATTCCCTTTGAAAACTGGCACAAGACAGGGATGCCCTCTCTCACCACTCCTATTCAACATAGAGTTGGAAGTTCTGGCCCAGGCAATCAGGCAGGAGAAAGAAATAAAGGGTATTCAATTAGGAAAAGCGGAAGTCAAATTGTCCCTGTTTGCAGATGACATGATTGTATATCTAGAAAACCCCATCGTCTCAGCCCAAAATCTCCTTAAGCTGATAGGCAACTTCAGCAAAGTCTCAGGATACAAAATCAATGTGCAAAAATCACAAACGTTCTTATACACCAGTAACAGACAAACAGAGAGCCAAATCATGAGTGAACTCCCATTCACAATTGCTTCAAAGAGAATAAAATACTTAGGAATCCAACTTACAAGGGACGTCAAGGACCTCTTCAAGGAGAACTACAAACCACTGCTCAATGAAATAAAAGAGGATACAAACAAATGGAAGAACATTCCATGCTCATGGGTAGGAAGAATCAATATCGTGAAAATGGCCATACTGCCCAAGGTAATTTATAGATTCAATGCCATCCCCATCAAGCTACCAATGACTTTCTTCACAGAATTGGAAAAAAAACTACTTTAAAGTTCATATGGAACCAAAAAAGAGCCCGCATTGCCAAGTCAATCCTAAGCCAAAAGAACAAAGCTGGAGGCATCATGCTACCTGACTTCAAACTATACTACAAGGCTACAGTAAACAAAACAGCATGGTGCTGGTATCAAAACAGAGATATAGATCAACGGAACAGAACAGAGCCCTCAGAAATAATGCTGCATATCTACAACTATCTGATCTTTGAGAAACCTGACAAAAACAAGCAATGGGGAAAGGATTCCCTATTTAATAAATGGTGCTGGGAAAACTGGCTAGCCATATGTAGAAAGCTGAAACTGGATCCCTTCCTTACACCTTATACAAAAATTAATTCAAGATGGATTAAAGACTTAAATGTTAGACCTAAAACCATAAAAACCCTAGAAGAAAACCTAGGCAATACTATTCAGGACATAGGCATGGGCAAGGACTTCAGGTCTAAAACACCAAAAGCAATGGCAACAAAAGCCAAAATAGACAAATCGGATCTAATTAAACTAAAGAGCTTCTGCACAGCAAAAGAAACTACCATCAGAGTGAACAGGCAACCTACAGAATGGGAGAAAGTTTTTGTAATCTACTCATCTGACCAAGGGCTAATATCCAGAATCTACAATGAACTCCAACAAATTTACAAGAAAAAACAAACAACCCCATCAAAAAGTGGGTGAAGGATATGAACAGCCACTTCTCAAAAGAAGACATTTATGCAGCCAAAAAACACATGAAAAAATGCTCATGATCACTGGCCATCAGAGAAATGCAAATCAAAACCACAATGAGATACCATCTCACACCAGTTAGAATGGTGATCATTAAAAAGTCAGGAAACAACAGGTGCTGGAGGGGATGTGGAGAAATAGGAACATTTGACACTGTTGATGGGACTGTAAACTAGTTCAACCATTGTGGAAGACAGTGTGGCAATTCCTCAAGGATCTAGAACTAGAAATACCATTTGACTCAGGCATCCCATTACTGGGTATATACCCAAGGGATTATAAATCATGCTGCTATAAAGACACATGCACACGTATGTTTATTGTGGCACTATTCCCAATAGCAAAGACTTGGAACCAACCCAAATGTCCAACAATAATAGACTGGATTAAGAAAATGTGGCATATATACACCATGGAATATGATGCAGCCATAAAAAATGATGAGTTCATGTCCTTTGTAGGGACATGGATGAAGCTGGCAACCATCATTCTCAGCAAACTATCACAAGGACAAAAAACCAAACGCTTCATGTTCTCACTCACAGGTGGGAATTGAACAATGACAACACATGGACACAACAAGGGGAACATCACACACTGGGGCCTGTTGTGGGGGTCGGGGGAGGGTGGAGGGATAACATTAGGAGATATACCTAATGTTAAATGACGAGTTGATGGGTGTAGCACACCAACAATGGCACATGTATACATATGTAACTAACCTGCACGTTGTGCACATGTACCCCAAAACTTAAAGTATAATAAAAAAAAAAACGTCTCAGAGAGTTTGTTCTCTCTTCTGTCATGTGAGCATAGAGTGAGAATAGACTCATCTTCAATACTGAAAGAAAGCCCTTACCAGAACTAAACATTGCTGGCACCTTGATCTTGAACATCCAGGCTCCAGAGCTGTGAGAAAATAAATTTCTGTTGATTAAGCCATTTAGTATATAATGTTTTACTATGGCAGCCTGAGCTGATAAAGACATCTTTTCAAGGAATAAGTCCATTATACTTGGTTACCAAATTTGTATTCATACAGTTGTCATAATATTCCTTTATTATCATTTTAATGTCCATGGGATATGTAGTAATTTTCCCTCTTGCTTTCTTGATATTAGTCATTTGTGTATTTTCTGAGTTTGTTTCTTAGCCTGAGTAGGGGCTTATCAATATTATTGATATGTATAAAGGACTAGTTTTGGTTTCATTATTTCTCTATTGCTTTTCTATTTTCAATTGAATGAGTTTCTGCTCAATTATTATTTTCTTCTTATTACTCTTGGATTTAGTTTGCTCTTCTTTTTCTAGTTTCCTAAGGCTGTAGTTTACCAATTTTACAGGTTTGTTTTCCTTTTCTAATGTATGTATGCAATGCTATAAATTTCCCTGTAAGTACTGCATTCACTACGTCCTACAGATTTTGATACATTGTATTTTCATTTTAACTTAGCTTAAAATAGTTTTTAATTTCTCTTGAAATTATTTCTTGACCCATGCTATTTAGTAGTGTGTTGTTTATTCACCACATAACTTTGGATTTTTCAGTTATCTTTGTGTTGATTTCTAGTGAATTCTATTGTGGTCTGAAAGCAAATATTGTACAATTTATATTATTTCAAATGTGATAAGGTATGATTTATGGCCCAGAATTTGATCTTTATTGGTGAATATTCCACGTGAGCTTGAAAAGAAGGAATATTCTTCTGGCTTCAGAAGAAACAGTCCATAGATGTCCATCATGTAACAGCTGATTGATATTATAGAGTTCAACTGTGTCCATATTGGTTTTCTATGTGAAGTATGTGTCCATTTCTGACAAAAGCCTGTTGAAGTCTCCAACTATAACGGTGGATTGATTCATTCATTTCTCCTTCCACTTTTGTCAGTTTTGCCTCACATATTTTGACACTATATTGTTAGATGGATTAAAGATTATTGTGTCTATTTGGGGAATTGATTCTTTTATCATTAGACAATGCTTCTCTTTTTTCTTGATGAATTCTCTTTATCTGAAGTGGGCTCTGTCTGAAATTAATATACTTCTACCTTTTTTAAATTAGTGTTAGCATGATATATATTTATATAACTCTTTACTTTTAATATATAGGTCTTTATATTTGTAGTGGATTTATCATAGACAACATATAGTTAAGCCTTATTTTTTGGAGTATTTAGACAATTGACATTTAAAGTGATTATTAATATTGTTGGATTAATATCTATCACATCTGTTACTCTTTACATTTATTCCTCATTTTTCCCTAGTTGTGTCTTCTACTCTTGTTCTGCCTTATGTAAGGATTTTCTATAATATTATTTTCTTTATTTTCTTTTTATATCAGTTTGTTATTGACTGAGTGTTTGTGTGCCCTCAAAATTTATATGTTGAAATTCAGTCTCCAATGTGTTTGTATTTGGAGCTTGAGCTTTTGGGTGGTAACTGGATGATGAAGGTGGTGCCTTCATAAATGAGATTACTGCCTTTGTTAGAAGAAGTCAGAGAGGTTACTCTCTGCTCTCTGCCTTGTGAAGATATAACAAGAAGGTGTACATCTGCAAAGATACCAGGAAGTAGATCCTCACCAGATATTAAAAAATTTTGGTACCTCAAACTTGGATGCCAGACTCCAAAAGTGTTAGAAATAAATTACTGTTGTTTAAGACACCCAATTTATAGTATTTCTGTTATATTGTCCCAAACACGGTTATACTTCTTTTTTTTTTTTATTTACCTTTTTAGTGGCTTCTCCAGAGTGTGCAATATACACTTACAAATAGTAAAAAGCCATTTTCAAATAAAACTATACTCTTTCACAGCTGGTTCAAATGTCTAATATAATAACAAAATAATCCCAATTCTGTCACTGTCATTCCTTTCCTTGTGTCACTGCTGTCATTCATTTCACTTATTTATATGTTTACACACACACACACACACACACAAACACACACACACAGAGGCAGACAGCTGAACCTTAAACAACATGGAGTTTAGGGGTGCTGACCCCATCAGACACACTTGAAAATGTACATATAGCTTTTGACTCCCAAAATTTTAACTATGAATAGCCTACTGTTAACCAGAAGCCTACTGTTAACAAAAGCAGTACATTAACATACATTTTGTATGATATATATATTATATACTGCCTTTTTACAGTACAGTAAGCTAGAGAAAAGAAAATATTATTCAAAAAATTATATAAAGAGGAGAAAATGTATTTACTACTAATTAAGTGGAAGAGGATCATTATAAAGGACTTCATCCTGTCACTTTCACATTGAGTAGGTTGCAGAGGAGAAGGAAGAGGAGGGGCGAGTCTTGTGTTATTTGAGGATAACAGAGGCAAAACAAAATATCCATATCTAAGTGGACCCACACAGTTCAAACCCATGTTGTTCAAGGGTCAACTATATATGTGTGTATGTGCGTGTGTGTGTATACACATACATAAGCATACATAAGTGAATACATAACTGAATATTACTATTTTAACAAATTGTTATCTGCTTGCTCAATTAAGAGTAAAAAATGTTTTTATTTTACCTTCACTTATTTCTTCCCTTATGTTTTCCTTTTCTTTATGTAGATCCAATTTCTGACCTATACTGTTTTCCTTTTCTTTGAAGTTTTTTAAACATTTCTTGCAAGACAAGTCTATTGGCAAAAAAGTTCCTCAATTTTTGTTTGAGAGTCTTTATTTCTTCTTAACTTTTGAAGGATAATTTCACAGGGTAAAAATTGTGGGTTAGTGGGGCTTTTTTCCCTTAATATTTTAAATATTATACTCTCCCTTTGCTTGCATAGTTTTTGAGGAGAAGTTCGATATAATTCTTCTATAAGCATGTTGGGTTTATTTCTTCTGGCTTTTTTTTTTTTTTCAAAACTGGTCTTTATTTTTTACTTTCTTCAGTTTAAAGTTGATATGCATAGCTGTATCATAATAAACTATGCATTTGTTGGCATTCATCCTGTTTGGTGTTCTCTGAGATTCCTGGACCTGTGGTTTGGTGTCTGGCATTTATTTGGGCAAAATTCTCAGTCATTATTATTTCAAATATTTCTTTTGTCCTCTCCCTGTCTCTTCTTCTTCTCCTTCTGGGATTTCCTTTATTAATATTTTACCTTTTGTAGTTATCCTAAGGTACTTGGATGTTTGGTTCTTTTTTCCTCAGTCTTTGTTCTCTTTGATTTCAACTTTGGAGGTTTCTCTTGAGACAGTTGTAAGCTCAGTGATTCTCTCCTCAGCTGTGCCCAGTCTACTGATAAGCCCATCAAAGGCAGTCTTTATTTCCGAAATAGTGTTTTTGATCCCTAGCATTTATTTCTGATTTTTTCTTAAGAGTTTTAATCTCTCTACTTATATTGTCCATCTGTTCTTGTGTACTGTCTACTTTATCCATTAGAGCCTGTAGCATATTAATTATAGTGGTTTTACATTCTTGGTCTGATAATTGTAATATCCATGTTATATTTAAGTTTAGTTTTGATTCTTGCTCTCTCATCAAACAACGCTTTAGTAAAAGACTTTTATTAATGTGATGGTAAGTTGTGGGAAGAGGGGAATTTTTCTATAGTCCTGTACTTAGGTCTCAGTCTGAACTGAACCTTTACCTCTGAACTGTAAACTTCACAAGTTCCTCTCATCCTTCCAACCCCCCTTGAGGGGGCCTTATTTAAAACATGTAGAATGCTTTGGCGTATTTCAAAATGAACCCTCCCCCCACCCTCCCTCAAGACAAACTCAAGGTATTCTTCAATATTCATTGTAAGAATTTGGTCAGGATCTTGGAGGTAAAACCACAAAAGGGTAGAGACTCCTCCATGATTGGGTTTTTATTTCTCAGTTTTGTTCACACTAAGCCTCCAGCAATTCGTCAAGTACTTTTTAGTTTTCCTATCCCAGGCCTGGTTCATGCTGGTTTTGCTCTAGTAAGTTTTGATTATCTGTATTTACCTGTCTGTCTCTAATATGGGTTGGGCATGGGACAGCAATTTGCCCTGGGACTTCATTTCTTTGACGAACTCAGAAGGAATTACTTATTTTTTTAGTTTTTTTCAGCTTTTTACTTATTGTTACAAAGGAGAGCCAACATCCAAGCTCCTTACACATGCCAAGCCAGAGAAAAGAAGCTGGCCACTCTCATGTTAAAGTCTGTTAGAGGAGGCATTCTACAGGATTAAGGAACTAAGTCTGGTGACAGTAAGCAAAGTGCATGTCGAATACTTGAGACCTCTTTAATTATCTGTTGTCTGAAAGATAGTCAGTATTATTAACCTCTTTTTGCTTCAGAAATACTTCAGAAACCTTAGAACTCTTCTCCAATGTAGTTGGTTGGTAGTGCTGAGTAGGTCACAATCAGGTCATGATCCACAGCACACCAGATTTAGGACAAATTCCACAAAGATATCCATGACATGGCAAAAAAAAAATAACTCTATGAATGAAAATTCCATTGTTAAGCTGATATTTTTCCATTTAACTTCTTTAAAAAAATACAACAAACAAACAAAACAGTGCAATGGGAAAAGCATTTTGAATTATTACATGTATTCTTGTACCTTTATTCTTTTCTTAACTTTCATCGATAGTTTGTGCATTGAATTTTAAGTTAAAAATAAATTTCCTTAAACTGTATAGAGATATAACTTTATTATTTCTAGAATGCATTTTTCTGTTCCCTGGAGTTGTTTTTGTTTAATTTCTACCTTACTATTTCAGATATTTCTGTTTCCTCCAGAGTCCATTATTTTCTCTCTCCTTAAAACTTGAGTTTTCTGTTTCAATGTTTTTCCTTAAAGTTTTCAAAATCTGTAGTTGTACATTTGCTCTGACCATATAGATGGAAATCTATTTAAATTTTACTTTAAATAAAGGTGATGCTCATGATGTGCAATCCTGAAACTAATTTATCTAGAGAAGAACGAACTATTTGACATCAGAATAGACACCTTGATGATCTTTTTCTAAAAAAAAAGTACATTTTTCCATTTACTATTATTTTAATTGTATATTGAGAGGGAGAGAAGATAATTCCAGTAGATAGCTTAAAGTCAATAAAGTACAGAATTTATATGATGTGAGAACACTATTTCAGTTGCTAGACATTATGAAATTTTATTATAATAATCTCCTGTGCCCCTTTACCCTCGATAACTCTATTCTGCTCTACTTTAATTATAGCTTTCAGCCATGCTCTTCCTCAGTCACCCACCCACTTCAAAGCATCATGGATGTAATAGCAGCCACTGTTAGAGGAGCTATGCTTGATAAAAACCTCAGGAAGAACCCTAGAATTATAAAGACTAATATAAAGAACGCACTGTACAAAGATGGCATCAAAGAGAAGGATACAAAGGGGAGAACTTGTGGCCATATTTCAATTTATAATCCCTATCCATGCAAAAAAAAAAAAAATAACACAGAAGAAACCTCAAGATATAAGACATCTCAAGATAACAGAAGTGATCAATTCTTTATCTTCATTTTTCTCAGTTTCCCTGATTCTTTAAATCCACCCTGACTTTCACCAATTTGTGCTATTTTAACTTATTAAGAACACTCTCTCCTCCTTCTACTCAAAGTTTATATGATTGCAAAACCTAACTATGTTTTGGAATAAATTTTATAACCTGTCATCACATTATAGTCAGCTTAAATAACAAATAAATTGATGTGGACACTGGCTATAAGTGTTGTGATGGAAACTCACATAAGGAAATAAGTTTTTCTCTACACTTCATGAGATGCAAGGGATAAGGTGATGCCTGTACCATCAACAAAATCATTTACCCACTACTGCCTTTTATAAAAACATAAAAAAGCCCTCATATATAAATATGTAAAAATTGATACAAATGTTGAATATTCATCCTTAGAAATATTTAGACACCTACCTGCTTTCTCATTCATGCTGCTTTGTCATCTTTCTTGATACTAAAAGAATTTCCCAAATTACTTTCCTGAAACCTTTGATATATGTAATTGCTCTCAACTTATGTAACATTTTTTCTCTTTTTAAAAAAAATGTCTCTTTTTAAGAACAGTTTTAGGTTTTTTGAAAGAATGAGAGGTTAGGACAAAGAGTTCCCACATGTGCCATAACAAATTTCCCTATTGATGTTTCCTTAGACTCCTCTTTGTTATGATAGTTTCTCAGACTTTCTTTTTTATTGATGACTATCTTAGTCCATTTTCTCTTGCTATAACTGAATACCAGAGACTGGGTAATTTATAAAGGAAAAGCATTTATTTCTTACAGATCTGGAGGCTGGGAAGTCCAGAGTCATAGGGGGAGATGGGCACACCTGATGAAGGCCTTCTAGTTATGGAGATTTTCCTTGGAATCCCAAAATGGCACAAGGCCTGCATGGCAAGTGGGCTGAACATTCTAGTTCAAGTCTCTCTCCCCTTTTATATCCATTAACGTCTCACCCTCATGGCTTCATCTAATCCTAATTACTCCCAAAAGGTTTCAGTTCTCAAATATCACAGTCACATTTATTATCCTCTTTTTCATTTTTTATTTTTAAATTTTGTGTATACATAGCAGGTGGGTACATTTATGATGTACATGAGATGCTTCAATATAGGCATACAATGTGAAATAAGAACAACATAAAGAATGTGGTATTCATCCCCTTAAGTATTTATTCTTTGAGTTACAAGCAATCCAATTAGCCTTTTTAAGTTATTATAAAATATACAATAAATTTATTATTGACCGTAGTCATCCTATTGTGCTATCAAATAGTTAAGTCTTATTCATTTCTAACTTTTTGGTACCAATTAATCATCCTCACTTCCACCCGACCCTCATACTCCCTTGTAAGCCTCTGGTAAACATCCTTCAGGTCTTTATGGTCATGTTTCAATTGTTTTGACTTTTAGATCCCACAAATAAGTAAGAACGTGATATTTCACTTTCTGTGCCCTCTCTTATTTCGCTTAACTTAATGATCTTCATTTCTAATTATATTGTTGCAAATAACTGTATCTCATTCTTCTTAAAGCTGAATAGTACTTCATTGTGTATATGTGCCATATTTTCTTTATCCATTTATCTGCTGATGAACACATAGGTTGCTTCCAAATCTTAGCTATCGTAAATTGTGCTGCAACACACATAGAAGTGCAGATATGTCTTCCATATACTAAATTCCTTTATCTTGGATACGTACCCAGGAGTCAAATTGCTGGATCATATGGTAGCTCAATTTTTGCATTTGTGAGGAACCTCTGATCTGTTCTCCATAGTGGCTATAATAATTTACATTCTCAACAACAGTGTAAAAGCTTTCTCTTTTCGCCACATCTTTGCCAGGATTTGTTATTGCCTGTCTCTTGAATGTGAGTCATGTTAACTGGGGTTGCATAATACCTCATTGAAGTCTGGATTTCCAGTTTTCTTATGGTCAATGATATCGAGCACCTTTTCATATACATGTTTGCCATGTGTATGTCTTCTTTTGAAAAATGTCTACTCAAATCTTTTGCCCATTCTTTGATGAGATTATTAGATTTATTTCTTTAGAGTTGTTTGAGCTCCTTATATGTTCTGGTTATCAATCCTTTGTCAGATGGGTAGTTTGCAGATATTTTTTTCCCATTATGTGGGTTGTCACTTCACTTTACTAATTGTATTCTTTGCTGTGCAGAGGCTTTTTAACTGGATGTGATCCTATTTGTCCATGTTTGCTTTGGTTGCCTGTTCCTGTAGGGTATTACTCAAAAAGTTTTTGCACAAACCAATGTCCTGGAGATTTTCTTCCATGTTTTCTTATAGTAGCTTCATAGCTTGAGGTCTTGAATTTAAGTCTTCAATCCACTTTCATTTGATTTTTGTATATCAAAAGAGATAGGGCTCTAGTTTTATTCTTCTGCATATGGATATCCAGTTTTCCCAGCACAATTGTTTTACCCTAGTGTATGTGCTTGAAATCTTTGCTGAAAATCAGTTCACTGTAGCTGTGCAGATTTGGTTCTGGGTTCTCTGTTCTGTTACACTGGTCTGTGTGTCTTTTCTTATACCAGTACCATGTTGTTTTGGTTACTATACCGCTGTCATATAATTTGAAGTCAGAGAAAGTGATTCCTCTAGTTTTGTTCATATGCTCAGGATAGTTTTGGCTGTCCTGGGTCTTTTTTGGCCCCATATAAATTTCAGAATTGTTTTTTGTATTTCTGTGAAGAATGTAATTGGTATTTTGACAGAAATTGCATTGAATATGTAGATTACTTTGGGTAGTATAAATATTTTAACAATATTGATTATCTTAAATGGACCTGATTGATATCTACAGAAATCCGTATTAGTCTGTTCTCTCACTGCAATAAAGAACTATATGAGACAGGGTAATTTATAAAGAAAACAGGTTTAATCAGCTCACAGTACAGGCTTCTGCTTCTGGGGAGGCCTTAGGAAACTTACAATCATTGAAAAGGCAAAGCAGAAGCAAGCACATCTTCATATGGTCATCAGGAGACAGACAGAGTAAAGGTGGAGGTGCTACACAGTTTCAAACAACCAGATCTCATGAAAACTCTATCATGAGAACACTAAGGGGAAAGTCTACTCCCATGATTCAATCACTTCTCACCAGGTCCCTCTTCTAACACTGGGGTTTACAATTAGACATGAGATTCGAGTGGAGACAAAAAGTCAAGCCATATCACTCTCTATCAAAAGATAATCGAATATACATTCTTCTCATTATCGCATAGCATTTATTCTAAAATAGATTATGTAATTGGAAGTAAGCACTCCTCAGCAAATGCAAAATAAGTGAATCATAACCAACAGTCTCTCAGACCATAGCACAATTAAGTTCAAAATAAAAACTAAAATATTTACTCAAAAACGTACAATTACATGAATATTTAACCTGCTCCTGAATGTTTGGCTAAATAATGAAATTAATGCAGAAACCAATATTTGAGAATAATAAGAACCAAGACACAACATGCCAGAATCCTTGGGGCATAGCTAAGGCAGTGTTAACAAGGAAGCTTATAGCACCAAATACCTACATCAAAAAGTTAGAAATATCTCAAGTTAACAATCTAACTTCACAACTAAAGAACTAGAGAAACAGGAGCAAACAAATCACAAAGCTAGCAGAAGACAAGAAATAATCTAAATCAGAGTTGAACTGAAGAAGACTGAAATGTGAAAAACCATTCAAAAGATCAATGAATCCAGGAGCTGGCTTTTTGGAAAAATTAATAAAATAGATAGACCACTAGCTAGACTAATAAAAAAAGAGAAGATTCAAATAAACACAATCAGAAAAAACTAAGGGAGACATTACCACTGACCTCACAGAAATACCAGCAACAATCAGAATATTAGAACACCTCTATGCACATAAATCAGAAAATCAAGAAGAAATTGATAAGTTTCTGGACATTTACACTCTCCCAAGACTGAACCAGGAAAAAGTTACATCTCTGAAAAGACCAAAAACTAGTTCTGAAATTGAGAGAATAATAAGTAGCCTACCAACCAAACAAAGCCCAGGACCAGACGGATTCACAGCTAAATTCTATCAGATGTACGAAGAGCTGGGGCCATTCCTACTGAAACTATTTAAAAAAAATAAGGAAAGGGACTCTTCCATAATTCACACTATGAGGCCAGTATAATCCTGATACTAAACGCTAGCAGAGATAAAACAACAACAAAAACTTCAGGCCAGTATTCTTGATGAACATTGATGCAAAAATCCTCAACAGGCTACTCACAAATTGAGTCCAGCAGCACAGAAAAAAAAAAAAAAAAGCTTAACCACCACAATCAAGTAGGCTTAATCCCTGGGATGCAAGGTTGGTTCAACATTTGTGTATCAGTCCATTTTCACACTACTGTGAAGAAATACCCAAGACTGAGTATTTTTTTAAAGAAAAAACATTTAATTAACTCACAATTCCACATGGTTGGGGAAGCATCAGGAAACTTACAATAATGGCAGAAGGGGAAGCAGGCACGTTCTTCACAAGGCAGCAGGACAGATAATGAGTGTAACCAGGAGAAATGCCAGATGTTTATAAAACCATCAGATATCATGAGACTTACTCACTATTATGAGAACAACATGGGGAAAACTGCCATCATGATTTGATTACCTTCACCTATCCCACGCTTTACACGTAAGAATTGCAATTCAAGATGAGATTTTAGGTGTAGACACAGCAAAATCATATCATTCATCTCTGGCCCCTCGCAAATCTCATGTCCTCATATATCAAAACACAATGATGCCCTTCCAACAGTCCCCCAAATTCTTAGCTCATTCCAGCAATAAGCCAAAAGTCTCAGTCCAAAGTCTCATATGAAACAAGACAAATCCCTTCTGCCTATGAGCCTGTAAAATGATAAGCAAGTTAGTTACTTCCTAGAAACAATGCAGGTACAGTCATTGGGAAATACACCCATTCCGAATGGGAGAAACTGGCAAATCTAAGGGCCTGCAGGCCCATGCAAGTTCAAAATCTGATAGAGTAATCATTAAACACAAAAGTTCCCAAATGATCTCCTTGGACTTCACGTCTCACATGCAGGGCATGCTGATACAAGAGCTGGGCTCCCACAGCCTTGGGCAACTCCAACCTTGTGGCTTTGCAGGGTGTAGACCTATCCTAGCTGTGTTCGTGGGCTGGCATTGAGTGTCTGCAGCTTTTTCAGGTACACTGTGCAAACTGTTGGTGGATCTACTATGCTGAGGTCTGGAGGACAGTGGCCCTCTTCTCACAGCTCCACTAGGTAGTGCCCCAGTGAGGACTCTATGTGTGGGTGCCTACTGCACATTTCCCTTCTTCACTTCTCTAGCAGAGGTTTTCCATAAGGGCGCCAACCCTGCAGCAAACTTCTGCCTGGATATCCAGGTCTTTCCATACATCCTCTAAAATGTAGGCAGAGAATCCCAAACCTCAATTCTTGACTTCTGTTCACCCACAGGCCCAACATCAAATATAAGCTGCCAAGGGTTGGGGCTTGCACCCTCTGAAGCAGTGGCCTGAGCTGTGCATTGACCCATTTTAGTCACTGTTGAAGCTGAAGGAGCTGAACACAGGGCACAATGTCCTGAGGCTGCACAGAGCAGTGGGGACCTGGGCCTGGTCCAGGAAACCATTTGTTTCTTCTAGGCCTCTGAGCCTGTGATGGGAGGGGCTGCTGTGAAGGTCTCTGACATGTCTTGGAGACATTTTTCCCATTTTCTCAGTAATTAACATTCAGCTCCTGGTTACACAAATTTCTGCAGCCTGCTTTAATTTTTTTCCCAGAAAAATGTTTTGTTTTTTTTTTCCTACTTCATAGTCAGGCTGCAAATTTTCCAAACATTTATGCTCTGATTCCTCTTGAACACTTTGCTGCTTAAAAATTTATTCCACCAGTTACCCTAAATCATCTCTCTCAAGTTCAAACATCCACAGATCTCTAAGGCAGGGGCAAAATGCTGCCAGTCTCTTTGCGAAAGCATAGCAAGAGTCACCTTTGCTCCAGTTTCCAACAAGTTTCTCTTGTCCATCTGACACCACTTCAGCATGGACTTCATTGTCTATATCACTGTCAGCATTTTGATCAAAACCATACACCAAGTCTCTAGAAGGTTCCAAACTTCACCACATTTTTCTGTCTTCTTCTGAGCCCTCCAGACTGTTCCAACCTCTAACTGTTACCCAGTTCCAAATTTGCTTCCACATTTTGGGGTATCTTTATAGCATCACCCTGCTACCTCAGTACCAATTTACTGTATTATTCTGTTCCCATGCTGCTATGAAGAAACACCCAAGACTGGGTATATTATAAAGAAAAGAGGATGAATTGACTCACAGTTCCACATGGCTGGGGAAGCCTCAGTAAACTTACAATTATGGCAGAAGGCACTTATTTACAGGGTAGCAGGAGAGAGAATGAGTGCAAGCAGTGGAAATGCCAGACACTTATAAAACCGTCAGATCTTGTGAGATTCACTCACTATGACAAGAACGGCATAGAGGAAACCAGCCACCCCCATGATCTGACAGGTGGGGATTGCAATTCAAGATGAGATTTTGGGTGGGGACACAGCCAAACCATATCAATATGCAAATCAAGAAATGGGACTCATCACATAAACAGAACTAAAGACAAAAACCACATGATTATATCAATAGATGCAGAAAGGCTTTAGATAAAATTCATATTCACATATTGACAATGCTAAATAAGCTGGGTATTGAAGAAACATACCTTAAAATAATAAGAGCTATATATGACAAACCCACACCCAACATCATACAGAATGGACAAAGTCTGGAAGCATTCCTCTTGAAAACCAGCACAAAACAAGTATGCCCTCTCTCACCACTTCTATTCAACATAGTATTGGAAGTTCTGGCCAAGGCAATTGGGAAAGAAAAAGAAATAAAGGACATTCAAATAGGAAGATAAAAAGTCAAATTATTTCTGTTTGCAGATGACATAATTCTATATCTAGAAAACCCCATCGTCTCAGCCCAAACGCTTCCAAAACTGATAAACAACTTCAGCAAAGTCTCAGGATACAAAGTCAATGTGCAAAAATCACACAAAAATTACATCCATACACCAACAGTCAAACTAAGAGCCAAATCAGGAAAAAAAATTGCATTCACAATTGCCACAAAAAGAATAAAATATCCAGAAATACAGCTAGCTAGGGAGGTGAAAGATCTCTACAAGGAGAACTATAAACCACTGCTTGAAGAAATTAGAGATGATACATCAAATGGAAAAGCATTCTGTGCTCATGAATAAAAAGAGTAAATATCTTGAAAGTAGTCATACTGCCCAAAGCAATTTATAGATTCAATGCTATCCCCATTTAACTATCACTGACATTCTTCACAGAAATAGAAAAACTAGTTTAAAAATTCATATGGAACCAAAGAAGGGCCAAAATAGCCAAGGCAATTCTAATACAAAAGAACAAAGCTGAAAGCATCATGCTACCCAATGTCAAACTATACTACATGCTACCATAACCAAAACAGCATGATACTAATACAAGAATAGACACATAGACCAATGAAACAGAATAGAGAACCCAGAAATAAGACTGCACACATGCCACTATCTGATCATCAGCAAATCTAACAAAAACAAGCAATGGGGTAATAATTGCCTATTGAATAAATGATTCTGGGATAACTGGCTAGCCACATGCAGAAAATTGAAACTGGACCCCTTCCTTACACCATATACAAAAATTAACTCAAGATGGATTCAAGACTTAAATGTAAAACCCAAAAACTACAAAAACTCTGGAAGATAAACTAGGCAATACAATTCAGGATATAGGCATGGACAAAGCTTTCACTACAAAAACAAAAAGCAATTGCAACAAAATAACAATTGATGAATGGGATCTAATTAAATTAAAGAGCCTCTGCACAGCAAAAGAATATCAACAGAATAAACAGACAATATAAAGAATGAGAGAAAATTTTTGCAAACTATGCATCTGACATGGTCTAATATCCAGCATCTATAAGAAATTTAAACAAATTTACAATTAAGAAAACAAACAACTCCATTAAAAAGTGGGCAAAGAATATGAACAATTTTCAAAGAAGACATACATGTGACCAACAATTATATGAGAAAGAAAACCCTCAGCATCACTGATAATTAGAGAAATGCAAGTCAAAACCACAATTAGACGCCACCTCACACCAGTCTGAATGACTATGATTAAAAAGTTAAAAAATAACAGATGCTGGTGAGGTTTTGGAGAAAAAGGAGCACTTACTATTGGTGAGAGTGTAAGTTTAGTTTAGCCACTATGGAAGGCAGTGTGGCAAAGTCTCAAAGACGTAAAGACAGAAATACAATTTGACTCAGTAATCCTATTACTAGGTATATACCCAAAGGAAAACAAATTGTTCTGTTATAAAGGCACATGCATGCATATGTTCACTGCAGCGTTATTTACCATAGCAAAGACATGGAATCAACCTAAGTGCCCATCAATGATAGAGGGGATAAAGAAAATGTGGTACCTATACACCATAGAATACTATGCAACTATAAAAACAAAATGAGATCATATGCTTTGCAGGGACATGGATGGAGCTAGAGGCCATAATTCTTAGCAAACTAACGCAGGAACAGAAAACAAAATACCACAAGTTCCTTTTCTTATAAGAGGGAGCTAAATGATGAAAACCTATGGACATATAGAGGGGAACAACACACATTGGGGTCTTTTGGAGGGTGGATGGTTGGGGGAGAGATAGGATATTGACAAACAACTAATGGGTTCTAGACTTAAAATATTGATGATGAAATAATTTGTACAAGAAACCCACATGACACAAGTTTATTTATATAACAAACCTGCACTTGTACCCCTGAACTTAAAGAAAAGTTAAATATATAGATAATAGATAGATAGATTGACAGATAAACAGATAGATGATAGATAGATAAATAGATATAGATAGATACATAGATTCTTTCAATCCATGAATATGTATGAAATATTTTTTCATATTTTGGTCTCCTCTTTAATTTTTTTCTCAGTGTTTTATCATTTTCATTATGTAGATCTTTCACTTCTTTTGTCAATTCCTAGATATTTAATTTTACATGTGACTATTGTAAATAGGATTACTTTCTTTTGTTGTTGATTTTTTATGATTAAGAAATCAAATTTATAGAATTTTATTATTGAAAGTTGAAACTTAACATGTATGAACCAAAACCAGTAAAAGAATATACTCTTTTCATGGACTATAATATTATGTGAATGCTACATTTATTCTGAACAATTAGGGGCTGCAAAAATTAAATGCATATGACTAGATAGCAATACTGTTTTTTTAGATGGTGTGCTCTTGATGGAAATATATTCTCACTTTTACCAGGTTAAACATATTTGAAATCTTATGTTACACGCTTTTTGATAAATAATAGTGAAATAAATTCAGCTTTGCCATTCCACAGTAAATAAAATTTAAATTTTCCATAGGAATTAAAATTTGAATTTTCACTGAATATGGAATTTCCAAATTAAAAACATATATGTGTACACTCTTAAAAAGGAATTTGATAGTTCTTGTCAAACGAGGAAATTTAAAGGTAAGAGTTATAATTTGTCTTATGCTGCATAGACTACTCACCTCCTAACTTGAAGTTCTAATCATAAGACAATTGTTTTTTTGTGTGTAGTTTTCATCTAAAATTAAGTTTACCAAAGGTAAATAACTGATTACTAGGAACTACCTTTAGCAAAAATTACTGTAGTAAAAATTCAGGACAGTTTGAAATAAAACTCAGGAAACAAGATTTTAATGTGAGTAGTTTTCCAAGATCCTAACTGGTAGCACATAAACTATCGGTAGGAAAAGATAGTACAAAAAGAATTTCTTAAGGTTTAAAAAAATACACTTTCATTGTAGGAGAAAGAGGATTCAGAGAAACAAAGGAAAGTAACATTATTGATTACATTTTTGGTGATCACCCAGAAATTTTTGTACATAGATATAGATATATTTTGTTATACTTTAAGTTCTGGGGTACATGTGCAGAACGTGCAGGTTTGTTACATAGGTATACACATGCCATGGTGGTTTGCTGCACCTATCAAACCATCATCTACATTAGATATTTCTCCTAATACTCTCCCTCCCCTAGACCTCCAGTCCCCAACAGGCCCTAATATGTGAAGTTCCACTCCCTGTGTCCATGTGTCCTCACTGTTCAACTCCCAATTATGAGAGAGAACATGCAGTGTTTGGTTTTCTGTTCCTGTATTAGGTTACTGAAAACGATGGTTTCCAGCTTCATCCATGTCCCTGCAAAGGACTAGAACTCATCCTTTTTATGGCTACATAGTATTCCATGATGTGTATGTGCCATATTTTCCTTATCCAGTCTATCATTGTCATTAACTTTCTTCACAGAAATAGAAAAAAAACTACTTTAAATTTCATATGGAACCAACAAAGAGCCCGTTTGGCCAAAACAATCCTAAGCAAAAAGAATAAAGCTGGAGGCATCATGCTACCTGACTTCAAACTGTACTACAAGGCTACAGTAATAAAACAGCATGGTGCTGCCACCAAAGCAGATATATAGACCAATGGAACAGAACAGAGGCCTCAGAAATAACACCACACTTCTACAACCATCTGATCTTTGAGAAACCTGACAAAAACAAGCAACGGGGGAATGGTTCCCTATTTAATAAATGGTATTGGAAAAATTGGCTAGCCATATGCAGAAAACTGAAACTGGACCCCTTCCTTACACCTTTTACAAAAATTAACTCAAGATGTATTAAAGCCTTCATAAGACCTAAAACCATAAAACCCTAGAAGAAAACCTAGGTAATACCATTCAGATCATAAGTATGGGCAAAGACTTCATGACTAAAACACCAAAAGCAATGGCAACAAAAGCCAAAATTGACAAATGGTATCTAATTAAAGAGCTTCTGCACAGCAAAAGAGACTATCATCAGAGTGAACAGGCAACCTACAGAATGGGAGAAAAATTTTGCAATCTATCCGTCTGACAAAGTGCTAATATCCAGAGTCTACAAAGAACTCTTTGTTTTGGCCAAACGGGCTCTTTGTTGGTTCCATATGAAATTTAAAGTAGTTTTTTTCTAATTCTGTGAAGAAAGTAAATGACAATGATAGACTGGATAAGGAAAATGTGGCACATATACATCATGGAATACTATGCAGCCATAAAAAGGATGAGTTCTAGTCCTTTGCAGGGACATGGATGAAGCTGGAAACCATCGTTCTCAGTAACCTAATACAGGAACAGAAAACCAAACACTGCATGTTCTCTCTCATAAGTGGGAGTTGAACAGTGAGGATACATGGACACAGGGAGTGGAACATCACATACTGGGGCCTGTTGGGGACTGGGGGTCTAGGGGAGGGAGAGCATTAGGAGAAATATCTAATGTAGATGATGGTTTGATAGGTGCAGCAAACCACCATGGCACATGTACACCTATGTAACAAACCTGCACGTTCTGCACATGTACCCCAGAACTTAAAGTATAAACAAAATTACAAGGAAAAAACAAACAGCCTCATCAAAAAGTGGGCGAAGGATGTAATCAGACACTTCTCAAAAGAAGACATATATGTGCCCAACAAATATATGAAAAAAAAGTGCATCATCACTGGTCATTAGAGAAATGCAAATCAAAACCACAATGACATACCATCTCATGCCCGTTAGAATGGCGATCATTAAAAAGTCAGGAAACAACAGATGCTGGAGAGGATGTGGAGAAATAGGAACGTTTTTACACTGTTGTTGGGGGTGTAAATTAGTTCATCCATTGTGGAAGACAGTGTGGAGATTCCTCAAGTATCTAGAATCAGAAATTCCATTTGACCCAGCAATCCCATTACTGAGTATATACCCAAATGATTATAAATTATTCTACTATAAAGACACATGCACACATATGTACATATGTTTATTGCAGCACTATTTACAATAGAACGACTAGGATTACTTTTTGAATTTCTTTTTCATATTGTTCAATGTTGGCATATAGAATGCTACTGATTTTTGAATGTTGAGTTTGCATCTTACAACTTTTCTGAATTTGTTTATCAGTTCTAATCATTTTCTTATTAATTCTTTAGGTTTTTCTAAATATAAAATTTGCAAACAAGGAAAATTTGACTTCTTCCTTTACAATCTAGATGTCCTTTATATCTTTCTCTTTGTCATTGCTCTAGCTAGAACTTCCAGTACTGTGTTGAATAACAGTGGTCACTGTGGCATCCATTTTATGTTCCATATCTTAGAGAAAAGGCTTTCAGTTTTTCCTTATTCAGTATGATACTAGCTGTGGGTCTGTCATATATGAATTTTATTATGCTGAAGTATGTTCCTTCTATACCCGGTTTTTCTTTAGGATTTCTCTCATGAAGAGATGTTAAATTTTATCAAATGCTTTTTCAACATTAAGTAAAATAACTATATGGTTTTTATTCTTTATTCTGTTGATATGATGTATGGCATTGATTGATTGTGTATGTTGAACCATCCTTGCATTCCTGGGATAAATTCCACTTGGTCATGATGAATGATCTTTCCAATATATTGTTAAATTTGGTTTGCTAATATTTTGTTGAGGATTTTTGCATCAATATTCATTATTTATATTGGCCTGTAGTTTTTTTTTTTTTTCTGATTTGTCTTTGTCTGATTTTGGTATCAGGGTAATACTGGCCTCATAGGATGATTTTAAAAGTATTTCCCCCTACACCTTTTTTTTTTTTTTAATAGTTTGAGTAGGATTGGAATTAGTTCTCAAATGTTTGGTAGATTTCAGCATTGATGCCATTGGATCCTAGGCTTCTTTTACTGGGAGACTGTGTTATTGCTTTGATCTCATTATTATTAGTCCGTTCACATTTTGAATTTCTTCCTGCTTCAACCTTGGAAATTTTTGTGTGTCTGAGAATTTCTTTCTTTTTTATTCTTTTAGATTTTCCAATTTATTGACATATAGTTACTCATAGTAGCCACTAATGATCCTTTGAATTTCTGTAGTAGCAGTTGTAATGTCTCCTTTTTAATTTCTCATTCTATTTATTTGGATCTTCTTTGTTTTCTTAGTGATTCAGGCTAAATGTTTGTCAATTTTGTTTAATCTTAGAAAGAACTTTTTGTTACATTGATCTTTTGTAGTGGGTTTTTAATTTCAATTTCATTTATGTCTTTTCTGAATTTTTTTTTATTTTACTGATTTTGGGTTCTGTTTGCCTTTCCTTTTCTAATTCTTTAACATACATCATTGGATTGTTTATTTGTAGTGTTTTCTTTTTTTCGTGTACTTATGATAATAAACTTCACTCTTAGTACCACTTTTGCTGTATTCCTTAGGCTTTGGTATATTGAGTTTTTATTATTTGTTTCATAAATTTTTTAATTTCCCTCTTGATTTCTTCATTGACTCATTGGACAGTGAGGAGTATATTGTTTAATTTCCATGCATTTGTATAATTTACAAAATTCCTCTCATTATTAATTTCCAAGTGAATTCCATTGTTGTCAGAGAAGATGCTTGATATTATTTCAATTGGCTTTCTTTGAATATTTTAAGGCTTGTTTTGTGACCTAACATATAAACTCTTCATGATAACGATACATGTGCTGAGTAAATAAAGGTGTACTCTGCAGCTCTTGGATAAAGTATTCTGTAAAAAATTATTAGAACCCCTAGGACTATAGTGCAAATTAAGTGTGATGTTTCTTTGTTGATTTTCTGTCTGGAAGATCTGTCCAATGCTGAAAGTGGGGTGTTGACATATCCAGATATTATTATATTGCGGCCTATTTCTCTCTTTAGCACTAATAATATTTGCTTTATGAATCTGGGTGCTCAGTGTTGGGTGCATATTTATTTCAAATTGTTATACCCTCTTGCTGAATTGAATGATATAAAATTATACAGTGATATTATTTGTCTCTTCTTAGGGTCTTTGTCTTGAAATCTATTTTGTCTGATATAAGTATTGTAACTCCTGCTATTTTTTGGTTTTCATTGTCGTGGAGTATCTATTTCTATTCCTTTATTTTTAGTCTATGTGTGTCTCTATTGGTGAAGTGTGTTTCTTGCAGGAAACAGTTCAATGGGTCTTGTTTTTTATCCATTCAGCTAGTCTGTGTCTTTTGATAGGGAAATTTAGTCCATTGTATTCAATGTTATAATTGATAAGTAAAGACTTGCTCCTACCATCTTGTTACTTGTTTTCTGGCTCTTTTGTAGTCTTCTCTTTCTTATTTCTTTCTTTCCTGTCTTCCTCTAGTAAAGATGATTTTGGCGATGATATAATTTACATTCCTGCTTTGTTTGTGTGTGCGTTGTGTGTCCATCATATATTTTATGGTTTGAGGTTAAAATAAGGCTTGCAAATGTTGTGTTATTACCAATTATTTTATCCTAATAACAAGACTATTTGCACAAACAAGAAAACAAACAAGCAAAAATAAATCTAATAAAAACTCTACTCCTTAACTTTTTACCTTCACTTTTTAACTTTTTGTTATTTCTATTTATATTTCATTGTACTGATTGTGTCTTGAAAAGTTGTTATAGGTATTATTATTTGTTTTTATTATTTTTTATTTTTGAGATGGAATCTCGCTCTTGTTGCCTGGGCTAGAGTGCAGTGGCACAATCTTGGCTCACTGAAGCCTCTGCCTCCCAGTTCAAGCAATTCTCCTCCTTAGACTCCCAAGTAGCTGGGATTACAGGTGCCCCCCACCACACCTGGCTAACTTTTGTATTTTTGGTAGAGATGGGATTTCACTATGTTGGCCAGGCTGGTCTTGAACTCCTGAACTCCAGTGATCTACCCACCTCCTTGAACTCCTGAACTCCAGTGATCTTCCCACCTCAGCCTCCCAAAGTGCTGGGATTACAGGCATGGGCTACTGCACCCAGCCTGTAGTTATTATTTTTGATCAGTTCATCATTTTGTCTTTCTACTTAGGATAAGAATAGTTAACACACCATGGTTATAGTTATAATATTCTGTGTTTTTCTGTGTACTTACTATTACCAGTGAATTTTGTACCTTCAGGTGATTATTTATTGCTCATTAATGTCCTTCTCTTTCTGATTGAAGTGCTTCCTTTAGCAATTCTTATATAACAGGTCTGGTATTGATTAAATCCCTCAGCTTTTGTTTGTCTGAAAAAATCTTTATTTCTCTTTCATGTTTGAAGCGTATTTTCATCAGATATAGTATTCCAGGGTAGAAGTGTTTTTTCTTCAGTACTTTAAATGTCATACCACTCTTTCCTGGCTTATAAGATTTCAAATAAGTCTGTTGTCAGATATATTGGAGCTCCATTGTGTGTTATTTATTTCTTTTCTCTTGCTGCTTTTAGGATCTTATCTTTATCTTTGATCTTTGGGAGTTTGACTGTTAAGTGCCTTGGGTTAGTCTTCTTTGGGATGAAACTGTTTGATGTTCTATAACCTTCTTCTACTTGTATATTGAAGTCTTTCTCTAGGTTTGTAAAGTTCTCCGTTATTATGCCTTTGAATAAATTTTCTACCCTTATCCCTTTCTCTACCTTTTCTTTAAGGTCAAAAACTCTTAGATTTGCCTTTGTGAAGCTATTTTTGACGTCCTGTAGGCATGCCTTTTTGTTTTTTATTCTTTTTTTTGTCTCCTCTGACTGTGTATGTTTAAATACTCTGTCTTCAAGTTCACTAATTTTTCTCTTCTGCTTAATTCATTCCACTATTAAAGGATTCTGATGCATTCTTCAATATGTCAATTACATTTTTCAGCTCCAGAATTTTTTTAAATTATTTCAGTCCCTTTGTTAAATTTTTCTGAATGAATTCTGAATATTTTCTCTGTGTTATCTTGAATTTCTTTGAGTTCAACAAAACAAAACAGCTATTTTGAATTCTCTTCCTGAAAGGTTTGTTTCTCCAAAATTGGCTTCTGTTGCCTTGTCTAGTTCATTTGGTGAGGTCATGTTTTCCTGGAGGGCGTTGATGCTGGTAGGTGTTCTTTGGTGTCTGGGCATTGAAGAGAGGTATTTTTTTTGTAGTCTGTCTAGACTTATTTTTAGCTGTCCTTCTTGGGGAAACGTTCCATATATTTGAAAGAAGTTGAATGTTGTGACCTAAGCTGTTTCTACTTTAGGAGGTACCCCAAACCCTGTAACACTGTGGTTCTTGCAGACTCATAGAGGTATTGCCTTGATGGTCTTGGACAAGATCCAGGAGAATTCTCTGGATTACTATGCAGAGACTCTTGTTCACTTTCTTTATTTTCTTTCAAACAAATGTAGTCTGTCTCCCTGTTCTGAGGCACCTAGTGCTGGGGATGGAATGACACAAGCACCCCTGTGACCACCACCACTATGACTATGCTTGGTCAGACCTGAAGCTAGCACAGTGCTGGATCTTCACCAAGTCTTGCTATAACCACTCCCTGCCACTGTCTGTGTTTACTCAAGGCCCTAGGGCTCTAAAATCAGCAAATGGCAAATCAAGTGAGGCCTGTGTCCTTCCCTTCATGGCAGTGAGGTCCTCCAAGTCCCAGGTGGTTGCAGAAGTGCTGTCTGGGATTCAGGGACTAGGGTCAAAAACCTTAGAAGTCTATCTGGTATCCTATTTCATTGCAGCTAATCTGACACTTAAACCAAATGATACAGTCCTTCCCACTCCCTTGGGGACAGGGCAGGTTCAGAAATGCCATCCAAGAGTTAAGTCCCAGAATTAGGAACCCCAAGAGCCTACTTGGTGCTCTAAACTTTGACATATGACAGGAAGAAAAAAATAAAGAAAGCATAAACTGACATGCTGTATTCATTTTTTCTATTTTATATTCAATGCTGCTTAATCAAAAAAATTTGTAGTTTTATATGGTTTGGATCTGTATCTCTACCCAAATCTCATGTTCAATTGTAATCACCAACGTTGGAGGTGGGGCTGGTGGGAGATATTTGGATCATAGGAGTGGATCCTTTATGAATGGTTTAGCACCACCCCTTTGGTGCTTTTCTTGTGATAGGGTTCTCATGAGATCTGGTCGTTATAAAGTGTGTAGCACCTCCCCACCCACTTCCTCCTGCTCTGGCCATGTGAAATGCCTCATGCCCCCTTTCCTTCCATCATGACTGTAAGTTCCCTGAGGCCTCCCCAGAAGCTGATGCCACTATGTTTCCTGTACAGCCTGCAGAACGGTAAGCCAATTAAACCTCTTTT
Source organism: Homo sapiens (assembly GCF_000001405.40). Lineage (NCBI taxonomy): Eukaryota > Metazoa > Chordata > Mammalia > Primates > Hominidae > Homo > Homo sapiens. Next base: position 102,284,186 of record NC_000001.11, on the reverse strand, counting down.
CTCTATAAATTACCTGATCTCAGGTATTTCTTGACAGCAGTGTGAGAACAGCCTAATATATAGTTTAATTACTTTAACAGATTTATAAATTGTGTATACATGTTTGTAAATTTTGACAGCTATGGCTTCTGTTTCTTTGGTAGACATTGTAGTTTGTTTAGGCATAATTACAAATTATGCATGCTTCATTTTCCATTTCAAGTATATTTCTGCTCTCCAGGTTCCATAGATTAATAAGAATATTGTGTTTAATCACAAAAGTATATTACACTCAAAATTGGTATTTATATTATATCAGCAAAATATTTATTCAAGTGAGCCACTATCAGGCCATATCCTCTGCTATCAAATGAAACCTTTTGTATAGATTATTCCTAGTTTTTCCCTACTATGATTGGTGGTCCCATGAACCACTTTGGCAAATATCCATTTACAAGATGGCTATCCTGGCATCATCAAATCATAGACTCTTGGCTCTTACAGTCTTATTGTTTTATTTTTTAAAATTTCTTTATAATATGGTAGGCCAAATTTTATTTATCTATGATGAAATCTATTTTTTAACTTTTATTTAAGTTTATGGGTACATGTGCAGAATGTACATAAGCAGAATGTGCAGTTTTGTTCCATGGGAAAGTGTGTGTTATAGGGGTTTGTTGTACAGATTATTTTATCACCCAGGCATTAAGCCTAATATCCACTCGTTATTTTTCCTGATCCTCTCCCTCCTCCCCCATTCACCCTTCAGTAGGCCCCAGTGTGTGTTGTTCCTTTCTATGTGTCCCTGTATTATCATAATTTAGCTCACACTTATAAGTAAGAACATGCAGTATTTGGTTTTCTGTTCCTGTGTTAGTTTACTAAGGATAATGGCCTCCAGGTCTAATAGAATGAGTTGTATTCCTTTGGGTATATACACAGTAATGGGATTGTTGGGTCAAATGGTATTTCTATTTTTAGATCTTTGAAAAATTGCCACACTGTCTTCCACAATGATTGAACTAATTTACACTCCTACCAACACTGTATAAGTGTTCCTTTTTCTCCACAATCTCAGCAGCATTCGTTATTTTCTGACATATGTCTTCATGGACTCCTCTATCTGCTCTGCAAGAGATTCTTGTATAAGTTGAATAACACTTTTTTAGCATAAAAATCTGCTAAATTATTTTCCTTAACATCTATACAACATTCCCTACTATAATCTTGTAGCATTGTAAGAACAGTTTTTTTGGGGTAACCACTTCAGCAGATTTATCTTCAGGTAAGAGATTCACTCTACAACATATGAAATGCTTATTAATAGCATTATCTATTTTCATTTTTTATGTGAGTCCACAAAATAAACTTTCATAAGGCAAAATTTGGTACTGAAGTATTCCAAAAATTTGTTCTATATATGGACCCTTCTTAAGCTACAGGAACATAATTATGAGGTTTTCCTTGAAAAGATAAGGGTAGTAAATTGCTGAATTAAATGTGGTACATCAGTAGATGACAACATGAAAAAAAATTTATATAATTATTTTATAACTTCGTTGAAAAACAGTGTGTTTTATTTCACAATATAGATGTAACTGCATTTATCAACTTCAGAATTAAAGAAAATCCTAGTAGGAGTTCTTGAGATAATTTAAGTAATATGAGGGAAATTTTGTACAAGGTGAGTGCTGATTTCTTTAGAAAATCCTAGAAAAAGGGGGCTGATCATTCAGTAGGCCAGAGAAAAAAATAGAGGGAATAGAAGTGACATAATTTGCTGGTGAAATTAGAATTAAGTAGAAAGAAGCAGACGGGGAAACAAATGACATATTTTAGACAATTCAAAGCTCTTTGGGAAATATTACTTTGGAGTTAGCATTTTGTTTAAGAGTTTTTCCTCTTTTACTACTCTCTGATATTCACCAAGACTTCATGACATTCTCATGGTCATTTATGCCCCCCAATATCGCTGTTCCATGAGAAAATGAATACATAAAATACATAACTTAATTAAAATATAATTGAATCCTTTCAGGTTATGCTGCCTATTTTCCATAATTATTGTTTGCCATTACAAATATGTAAATGTAGATTTAAACCTTTTATTTCTCTGAATTTAGTCAAATTTCAATATATTTGCAGCGTGTTTTTATTTTATTCTAACGATTGAAAATTATAGATGTCTCATAATTTCATTAAGATATTGTATTTTTTTATTTTCCATTTTATTGTGTCACATTTTTGCTGCTTTCTGAGAGAAAAAAATTGGACAAAAAAGAACATTTACTTCACCATATTAATGAAAAATGTTCCATATTCTTATTTACTGACTGTAAAAGATAAAAATTGATTTTTATTGGCACAAATTGTCGTTAAAGCCTCAGTCTATTGAATTCATTTATTCTAGCTGAAAATGACTCAAAAACATATTTGTATTACACTGTTGATTTTTCACATAATGTATAAAGAGTTTGGCATCCATGTGATACTTTTGGAAATACAATATCTACCTTCATTGTCCTTTGAGACTTTTTAAAATCTACTCTTCTGTAGGATACTAATGTTATCTTATGTTACAAACATTTAAAGAACATTATCAGGAAGTTTTGCTATGGTACAGATTGTGCTATTTCATAGAAAGTCAATTGTAAGTGTTGAAAATACAACTATGAATAACAAGATTAAAAATGTATCTCAACAAATTTCCTAGAGGAAATAAAAACATACTATGTCTCACTTTAAGACATTTAGGGTAGTATAATTATTTTGTAAAATGCAGTAGAGCACATGAAATGCCAAACTGCTTGTATTGTTAATAATTTGGCCTTCACTGGAGTGATAATATGCAAACATAAGTGGTATGAAAATATAAATGATATATAACACCCAGAAAGTATGTAATATGGGAGAATAACTAGAGAAAATTTGTAGGAATCATATTTATATATAAAATGTAAAATATCCACAAACAAAATAATTAGTGATTGTTTCCTTATTTTTTGTTGGTTTTATAGAAAAAATATTTTACCTCATGGAGAATAATCTTGATATGTACTTACCAAGGTGCAAGACAATTCATTATGAAACAATAAGAAAAACAGATTGCATGGGCAATATATGAAGTAGTTGGTGAAGTATGATTGGCATAAATCATATAGCTATAAAATATATATTACAGGACATGTAACATGAAATCAAGTAATAATTCATAAAAGAATGTTCTGCACAAAGGAGAGTATTTGATACTGGAATAAATCGAATATTTAAGAATTCTGAAGGATGTTGCAAAATTCAACCAGAGCACAAGCTTCTGTCCTTAGAATGTTATTAAGAACTCCAGCATCTAATGAAAAGAACAATGCTTGTAGTTTGTTACAAATAAGATAAATATTTCATTAGAAGGATACATTTTTCACATCAAATGTTAAGTAATAATATTTAAGGCACAGAAAAAAATTGAAAGGAGATGGAAAAGAAAAATTAGTTATAGAATACAAAATGTTGAAGCTGGAATTTATTTAAAAGGAGAAATGTAAAACTCATTTCCCTATCCTCTTCTATTACTGTGTATAGATACATACCTCTAATATGTCTAAATTCATTATTATATCTTATTTGCACTTTTGAAAAAAATATAAGGAAACTGGGTTAATTTAGATTAACTTTATATATTATCTTATCAGAAAATGGAACCAATAATACACATGGAGATTTTAAAAATAATATATTATAGAGGTAAAAGAATTTGGAACTAAACTTATTCATAGCCATGCCATAAACCAAGCGATAAACAAAATCTATTCTCCATTTTCTAGTTTATGGAAAAGTTCTTTCTCTACTCTAATAGGTTTAATAAGAATTGTAAACACAGATTCAGAAAATAGCAAATTATACACATGATCTTGTTCAGTTTTAAAGCTGTAATAATCCTAATTTTACTATTGGCTTTATTCAGGCTGTGAAATAGATAAATCAGTTTTGTTTAAGAAAATAATTAATTAAAAACAAGTTTAATTTGCAACAAGTATAGTTAAAAATCTCTATTCATAACTACTATAAAGCATTGCCACTTAACCTGTTTCAGTTTCTTCTTCAATCAAATGTAAATATTAATTCAAGCAACTTAACAAAGTTAGCATACAGACAATTTATGTAGAGTTGTTCCTGAAGCATAGTACTTTTTATGTGTTTACAAAATAGAAAAAAATAGAAAATAAACAGATTTTAGTATTCTTAATGTGCTTACCTATTGTTCTTGCTCTTTCTTGATGATTGAGCCATTAAAATAACCACCGATAAATAATTTAAAACCATTAATTATCATCAAAGTAATGTACATGTTTGGTATTATTCATGTATTTATCACTTGATAAATTTCACACAATTTTAGAAAAGAAATGCATGATTTTAAATCTCTGTTTAGGTGTCACCTAATAATCCTATATTAAATGAGAAATCTTGAATTTCAAAGGTAAACATTTAGTTATAATCTTAGGTAGATATTATTATATTTTAAAAAGTAGACTCCAACAATGTTTTCTGTTTGTAACATGTGTGAACATGGAGTGCAGATATCTCTTCCACATACTGATGTCATGTATTTTGCATGTATTCCTGGAAATGGAATTGCTGGGTCACATATATTCTATAATTCTATAGAATATAGTTCTATATTTAATTTTTATTAAATGTAGTTCTATATTTAATTTTTATTAAATGTAGTTCTATATTTAATTTTAGGGGGTATGGACCACCTGTACTGGTTTTCCTAAAAGCTATACCAGGTTATATTCTCTCTGACAGCATACAAGGGTTCCCTTTTATTCACATTTTCACCAACACTTGTTATCTTTTTTCATATATAATAGCCATCCTAATGGGTGTGAGTTGCTATGTCATGGTGGTTTTGATTTGCATTTCCCTGATTATTAGGAATCTTTAGGATCTTTTCATAGATCTGTTATCCATTTACATGTTTTATTTATCAAAATATCTCTCCAAGTCCTTTGCTCATTTTAAAATCAGATTGTGCTTTCTTTTTATTTTTCTTTCCTTTTTTGGTATTGAGTTGTATGAGTTCCTTGCATATATTAACTCCTTATTAAACATATGGTTTGCATTTTTTTCCTTTCCACAAGTCGCTTTTTTACTCTATTGATTTTTTTCATTTGCTCTATAGAAGATTTTTTATTTAGATGTAATCCTACTTGTTTGTTTCTGCCTTTGTTGCCTATGCTTTTCTTGTCATATCCCCAAAAAGATCATTGCGAGATCAATGTCAAAGAGCTTTTTTCATGTTTTTTTCTGAGTTTTACGGTTTCTAGTCTTACAATTTAGTTTTTAATAATTGTAAGATAATCTGCATATATGTTGTGAGATAAGAGTCCGATTTCATTTTTTTGCATGTAAGCCAAATATGAACTGAAGAAATAACAAGTGGGTATTGAAGATCACCAGACTCTATGACACCTGGACAACAAAAGGTCATGCACCAGAATAAAAACCTTTTGAGTAAGAGATGTTCAGAAAACCAGGCAAAGAACCTGGCAAATGAGGATGAGTTCTAATGTATGGAGTCCAAGTGACAGGTAATAGACGTTAGGAGAATAAGGACTTTAGAAACAAATTCATTCATTACTCTCAGAAGGGAAGTTCATATATTGTGATAACTAATTATAGCAAGAGAGTGACCTTGTGATGAAACCCTGGGACTTCAAACACTGGGAAATCTTAAACTGTCAAACCATACCATCAAACATACTTCTTGGTAATAACATAACTGAAAAACATGGGGATATAGTAAGTACAAATGAATCAAACCTATGTATGATGTCAGAGCTTATTTTAGCACTTTATTTATGGCTGAGGTTTATATGGTTATGCTGTTAAATTGCACAATTTATGTTAAATAGTCACCGATTCCTAGTGTCTTTAGAAAGAAATGTAATATTGAAAGATGTAATAACTAAAGATTGGTAAAAAAAAATAAAGTTTTGAAATGAGAAAGCAAAGAAAAAGTAAAACCAAATAAGTTGACAATTTAGGAAGATATAGTCTTATGTAATAATGTTATGTTATGAAAATGTCTAATTAAAGAGTTTAAGATCTATATTGCACCAAATGTGTCCAGGTACATGTTCCAACATTTTCAATTAAATATGTCGGCTAAGTTTTGACCTTAAAGCAGCAGTTACATTAAAAATGTATTCATTTTAAGATTGTAGAATTACATATTGATTTTTTAAAGTTACATAATTAATCCCAGATAACTGCAATTAAAGACATCAAATAGGGCCATCTCAATTTCACTGGGAATTCTGAGTTACTTTACTATATCATGGTTGTAATTTTATATTAACTCAGTCCCTCTAAAAACGTTCATGACTGACTTACGTAGCAGATGCACAATGCCAAAATATTAGTCGTTATGTTTTATTCCTAAGACTTTTTTATCATTTTATTTATCATTTTATTCCTAAGACTTTTTTATCATTTTATCACTATTGTACTTTACCACAACTTTTTGCCGCAGATGCCTGAAGGTTGTTACACAACATATTTGTTTATTTATTCTTCTTTTTTCTGTTCAAATTCCAAAGAGTTTATTTTAATTATACAGTTTTTGCACAAGACAAATATACAGAACATACACAAACATTTCCCCACTTGAATATTCTAAATCAACCATTATAGAAGACAGTGCCACAAAATAATTTTCAATTTATTCAGCAAACACAAAAGAGTTTAGATGTCGTACTTTTTATTCATTATTCCATGTTTATAAGCTACAGAGGACTATTAAGACTAGCTTCTCAATTCCAGGCATGTATTTTAGAATGAAAAAAGTTCATTTACATAAACAAATAAAATGCTATAATAAAATAATGCAAATTATGATAAAAATTTCTATGGGGAAAAATGTAGCAAGTAATCACTTCTTCAAAGGAAAATCATAAGGTCAGGAAAAGCCAAGTAAAAATGATACGTTTTTATTTCTTAACAATACACATCTTACTTATTATAGATAAAATATAGGTGAATGATTTAAAAAAACTAAGGAAAATGTATAACTAAAAAACTAAAGACATAAAAATGTCTAAATATAAGATATGGTCATGTGATGCTCCTGCTTAAAACTTGTGATTGCCTTCAATTATTCATAGAATGAAAACCCTGATGATTTTACAGTTGCCGACAGCTGAATTTCTTCCATGACACTTTTCTGCTCTTCTATATGCTATCCACACTCTCTTATTTTTAGGTGTTTTGGACAATCATGCATTCTAGTTTCAAATCCTTGCACACACAGATTCCTCATCTCAAAAACGAATTATTTTCTTTTATCTAGTTAACTCCTACTTACACTTTAGATCTCAATTCAAAGCCACTTCCATGAGAAAAACTTTCTGCATAGCCTCTCTCCTACACACAATGAAATGAGAACCTAAGTTACAAAATTCTAGAGTTTACTGTAATATCCTCTTATGCTACTGATTGCAGTTAGTAATCATATATTTATATAGATTAATACTCATCTCTCCAAATTATTTAGTGTATCACAATGTCTGGATTCAAAATATATTCATTGAATGAGTTAATCATTTAGATTGATTCTCCCTCAGGCATCTGTAAATGGTCACATGCATAACTTCATTTGAAGTTGTTTATATATATATATATTTTTTTTTTTTTTTTGAGAGGTAGTCTCACTCTGTCACCAAGGCTGGAGTGCAGTGGCACAATCTTGGCTCACTGCAAGCTCCTCCTCCCGGGTTCAAGCAATTCTCCTGCCTCAGCTTCCCGAGTAGCTGGGACTACAGGTACACGCCACCACACCCTGCTAATTTTTGTAATTTTAGTAGAGACGGGGTTTCACCATGTTAGCCAGGATGGTCTCCATCTCTTGACCTCGTGATCTGCCTGGCTCGGCCTCCCAAAGTGCTGGGGTTACAGGCATGAGCCACCGTGTCCGGCCTGAAGTTGTCCATATATTTTAACCCTTCTTCAAATATCTCACCTGTATTCATACAATCTTATCTTTGGCATAAAGAAATGGTTTGAATCAGATTTAAAATACCCAGGGGCTCATCAGTGGACTAGCTAAATAAAATATTTAGCTTTTATTTTTAACAAATGAAAAATTTCCATTTCCGTGGTGATGAAGCACTGATGCTGTAATTCTTTTCTAGTTTAAAAAATTAAAAAGCTTTACTAAGTATATAAAGCAACTATTTCCAAATATTAGACAATAATAGTGCATAATTGTGATAACTTAGGAAAAACTAAGAAGTAGAGCCTTATCATCACCTTAACTTCCACTGAGAGGCCATTTTTGTACCACATGCAGGGAAAGAGATCACAGGCAGAGCATAGTAGTTGAAGAGACAGGTAAGACATACGAGGGGATAAAGTAGGTGGAATTTTGGAAACAAAATGCTAGAGAAGAGGGACCTAAACATAAGAGTTACAGAAATCTCCACAGATATACCATTGATGATTTTGCTCTAAATTAAGCTATATAATCATAGAAGAAAAACTCCAGGAAGCCAGAAAATTAAAACTACTTGGGAGATGTAATCAAAACAATTTCAAATATTTTACTGGGATAGAAAACAGTTAAATTTTGGTAAACCAGAGAGAAGAGACTTTATACAATGCTGAAAGCATCTAGTGCAAACTCAAAAGAAAATGAAAAATAAAAAGGCCCTTAACGTTAGATTAAGCCTGCTCAAGAAAGAAAACAAAACAAAACAAAAAGCTATTTACTGCACTAACAGTGCTTAAATCAAGCCTAGAAATTTGAGATGGCAGAATAAAAAAATCAGCAAACTTGAAAATTTGATTTATTGTTAGATTTTATCCAGTCAGAGGAAGAGGAAAAAAAAAAAAAGAATGAAGAAAATGGAACAGATTCTCAGAGAACTGCAGGATACAATCAAACGTACCAATGTACATATAGTGTGTTTCCCATAAGGAAAGAGAGAAAAGAGAAAAAAAATTCCAAAAATAATAGCTGAAAGCATCTCACATTTGATGAAAAACAATACACATTCCAGAAGCCAGATAGACTGCAATTAGTAATAAACTCAAAAGAGATTAACACCTATACACATCAAAATTAAACTGTTGAAATCCAAAGACAAAAAGAGAATCTTGAAAGCCACTAAAGAGAAGTAGTTCATCACATACAGGAAATCCTTAATAAGGTAAAGTGCTGATTTATAATTAGAAATTATGTATGCAAAAAGACAGTGTGATGATATAGTCAAAGAACTTAGCTAAAAAGACTGTTGACCGTGAATTCTAAGTCCAGTAAGCTTATTCTTCAAAAATTAAGAAAAAAATAAGAGATTCTCAGATCAATAACTGACAAAATATGTGTCTACCAGACCTACCGTACAAGAAATACTAACGGAAGTCTAATATGCTGACACAAAGGGACATTAACTACTATCTTCAATCCATGTGAATAAATAAAAAGCACAGATAAAGAATATTAATAGGTAAATATAAAATGCAGTGTAATGTAAAATTTTTATTACTAGCACTTTTTCTGTGCTATTTGGTCTAAAAGACAATTGCATAAAAAAAAATCACAGATGTCTCTTTGTTTTCCACTCAATTTTGCTGTGAACCTAAAACTGCTCTAAAAAATAGAAACTATTTTTAAAAAATTAAAAAGGAAAATTTAACAAAGAAAACTACTTAAAGTGATAATTATAAATTTATATTCATGTATAAATCTATACATGTAAAAAATTTATACAATGTATAAAAATATTATTTGTACAATAATAACACAAAGGAGAGTGGTTGAAACCACATAAAGTTTTTCTAAACTACTGAAATTGCAATTAATTTGGTAGTAATACAAACTAGATTATTGTAAATTAAGAAATTAATTGTAATCTCTAGAAATTAAAATTTAATCCACTATAGTTAGTAATAGAGCAAAAAGACTCAGAGATTTAAAGAAAAATAAAAGAATGTCTGAAAAATACTATACAATTGTATGCTGTGTGTCAGAAACAAAATTTATATTTTAAAAAATTCATAACACTTGAAAGTAAAAATATATTAAAGATATATTATGTTAATGGTAACTAAAAGAGAATGGAAGTGGCTATCATATTAGATAAAATATACATTGGGAAAAAATAATTGCTACTAAAAATAGGAAATATTTTTATAATGATAAAAGGGCACAGAGTCAATCCATAAATAAGTTGTAACAGCTGTGAACGTAATGCCTAGATATAGAGGTGAAAAGTATGTGAAACAAAACTGAAAGAATTACAATAAGAAACAATTCAACAATAATATTTGGAAAAATCAAAACCCTAATTTCAATAATGGATAGAACAATAAACAGAAGGTCAGCAAGAAAATAAAAGTCTTAAATAACACTAGAAATTATTTAGAACCAAAGCATACAGAACACTTCACAAAATAGACATATATAAAACAGCAGAATACACATTTTTACAAACATACACAGAATGTTGTCCAGCTAGACCATATATAATAGACTTCAAAGCAAACCTCATTAAATTTAAAAGAATTGAAATCAAAGTATGTTATTCAACCACAAAAAAGTAAAAATTTAAAAAAAGAAGAAAATTTGAAAAATTCACAGATATGTGGAAATTAAAGCACATGCTCTTAAACAATGAGTATAAAAAAATGACAAAAGAAATTTGAAAATATTTGGAGATAATTGAAAATGAAAGTAGAACATACAGGGTGTGGCTAAAACAGTAGTTGGGAAGGAATTTATGTCTGTAAATGCCTATTTTGAAAAAGAAGAATAATTTTATGTCAATAGCCTAACATTCCACCCTAAGAAACTAAAATGAAGTGCAAACCAAATCCAAAACAACAAAAGGAAGAAAATAATATTTGGGTGGAAATACATAAAATACATAATAGGAAAACTATAGAGAAAATCAATAAAACCAAAAATTGATTATTTGAAATGATCATCAAAATTACAAGACCTCGGCTATAATGACTAAGAAAAAAAAGAGAGAAGATTCAAATTATTAAAATCAGAAATGAATGAGAAGAAATTAATACTGATCACTTAGAAATAAAAAGGATAAGTAAAAACTATGAACAAACATATGCCTACAAATTAAATAAATTATATGAAATGAACAAATTATGAAAATGACATAAACTACGGAAACTGACTTGAAGAAAGAGATTATCTGAATAGAGCTGTAAAAATTGAAGAGGCTGGGTGTAGTGGCTCACACCTGTAATCCCAGCACTTTAGGAAGCTAAGGCAGAAGGATCATGTGAGGCTAGGTGTTTGAGGCCTTCCTGGCCAACACAGAGAGACCTTTTCTCTACAAAAAAATAAAAATAAAAATAAATAGCCAGTATCGTGGCCTGTGCCTGTAGTCCCAGCTACTCAAGAGGCTGAGGTGGGACGATCACTTGAGCCCAGGAGTTTGAGGTTGCAGTGAGTTGTGATTGCACCACTGTACTCCAGCCTGGGTAAGCCAGTGAAACCATTTCTTAAAAATAAATAAATAAATAAATAAATAAATAAATAAATAAATAATAATACAAACGTTAAAAGAACTAGCAGTGTATTAGTCCATGTTATTCTGTTGCTGTAACAGAATATCAGATGCTAGGTAATAAAGAGGTTTATTTTACTCATGATTCTAGAGTCTGGAAAATTCAAGATAGGGTGGCTCCATTTGGTAAGGATCTCATGCTACTTCATAACATAGAAGAGGTCATCACATGGCAGGATCATGTGTGAAAGCAGCAAGCTGACACCTGCAAAAAAGACACACCAGGGTGACCTTGTTTTATAACAAACTGCTCCTGAAGTAGCTAATTCAATCCCTTGAGATCGAGAACACCCACCTCCGCCCATGAGGTGGGATTAATCACTTCATGAAAGTAGACCCCTTAAGACAGACAGAAAAAGCCTCTTAAATGTCTCACCACCTTTCAACCAACTTTCAACACCACACTGTTACACTAGAGATCAAGCCTCAATATGAGTTTTGGTGGGGACAAACCATATTCAAATCATAGCAACTAGTAATAATGTAAAAACTTCCAACAAAGGAAAGCTCAGGCCTAGATGGATACACTGCTAAATTCTAACAAATAGAGAATAATTAATACCAATCATTCACAAGCTATTCTAAATAATAAAAGAGGAAGGATCACATATCAACTCATTCAGTATTATCCTGATGCCAAACTGAACAACCACATCAAAGGGCAAGAAAATCACAGACCAATGCCCTATGAGAATATAAAAACAAATATAGTAAACAAAATATGAACAAATTAAATCCAGCAACATGTAAAAAGCATTATACAACATGACCAGTTGAAATTTAACTCAGGCATACAAGGTTGCTTCAATATATGAAAATTAGTCAATGTATAGTGTCAAATTAATAGAATAAAAATGAAAATCAAAAGGTCATATCAATAGACATTGAAACGGCACTTGATAAAAATCTGACACCCCTTTTCTCATAAAAATGCTCTACACATTAGGAATATAAGGGAACATCCTAAAGCTGAAAAGGTATCTATGAAAAACCCACCACTAACATCATAGTTTAATGGCAAAACACTGTTTTCCTCCTAAGACCAGAAATAAAACAAAGATGATCACTCTCGTTACTTTTATTCAACATAATACTAGCGGTTCTAGCTAGTGCAATTAGGCAGGAAAATGAAATTAAAACCTCCAGTTTAAAAATGAAGAAATAAAGTTATCTCTTTTTGCAGATAACCGAATCTGTTATATTATATTTAGGAAAAAATATATAACAATGGAGCAGGAAAAAAGATCAATATATAACAATCAATTGTATTTCTATAGCCAATAAATACTAAGATAAAATTAATAAACAATTCTATCTACATCAGTATTAAAAAGAATAAAATGATTAGAAATATATTTGACAGAAAAACAAAAACGTACACACTGAAAGCTAGAAAATATGATGGAAAGGAATTAAAGATTTGAATGAAAAGAAACCTCATGTTCATGGATCAAAAGACTCATGGCAACATTTCACCAGTTCAACACAATCGCTATCAGAATTCCAGCTATGTTTTTTACAGAAATTGACAAGCTAATACAAAATTCATTTGGAAATACAAAGGACTCCAAGTAGTCAAAACAATCTTGAAAACGAAAAATAAAGTTAGAATTTACACACTTACTGATTTCAAAACCTGCTACAAATCTACCTTATTCAAGGCAGTATAGCAGTTGTATGAGGATAAACATATATATCAATGGAATAAAAGTTATAGTGCAGAATTATGTCCTCACAAATTAGTTGAATATTAACAAGGGTTTCAAGGCAATGTTATGTGGAAAAAAATAGTCTTTTCAGCAAGTGGTGCTGAGACAACTTGATATCCACATGCAAAATTATGAAACTGGATTTCTACTGCATATTATATAAAAATTATCTCAAAACAGATCAAAAACCTAAATATTAGAGCTAAAACTTTAAAACTCTTTTTAAGAAAACATAGGCCTAAATCTTTGTAACCTTATAGTGAGAAATGGTTTCTTGGATATGCCACCAAAAGCACAAATGACAAAAGAAAAATATAGATAAATTTTACCTCATCAGAATAGAAACTTCTTTTGAAAGGTTACATTCAAAAAAATGAAAAGACAACTCAGAGAAGTGGCAAAAGCATTTGTAAGTCATATAACTGTTAAAAGACTATTATCCATAATATATAAAGAACTCTCACGACTCAACAAATTAAAAAGACAAAAAAATAGAAAATGGAAAACAAATTTGAATAGATATTTCTCCAGAGAAATACACAAATGACTGATGAGAACATGAAAATATGTACATATCATTAGTTAGTAGAGAAATGCATATCAAATGAGATACCAGTTCACACTCAATAGTATGGTTCTGGTCAAAAAGACAGATAAAACAACTTTTGATGAGTGCAAGAAGAAATTGGAACTCACACCTGTTGCTGGTGAAAAGGTAAAATGGTACCACTAGTTGAGAAAACAATTTGACTTTTTGTAAAAATCTTAAACATTGTTAGCATATGGCCCAACATTTCCACTTTTATATATCCAAGAGAATAGAAAACCTATGTTCATATGAAAACTTGTACACAAATGTTAACTGCAGCATTATTTACAATAACCAAAAAATGGAAACAAATCAAATTTCCATTAATCAATTAATGGGCAATCATAAATTGGTACAACCATACAAAGGAATAGAAATCAGCCATCAAAAGTGAATATACACTGATACATGCTATTACATAGATGACACTTGAAAACATTATATGAAAGAAGTCTGACAAAAAAGGCCACACATCCTATGATTCCATTTATGTGAAATATTCATAATAGGCAAATGTATATAGAGAGAATGATTAGTGGGTGCCATGGACGTTTTTGAGGGTGATGAGAATGTTCTGGTATTAGATATCAGCGATGATTGCATAACTGTAGAATACACTAAATTTCACTGAATTCTACACTTTAAAGGGATACAGTTTATGGCATGTGAGTTATATCTCAATTTTTAAAAATTAAAAATCAAGTGTAGGAATGATCTAGATGTTAGACAAATAAATAATGTTAGCCAAAAATGTATACAATCAAAAATAAAGCAACATAAGGCATGCACTCAGTGTATGATATCACAACATTAATTATGAAAACAGAACTGGAAAGGAGAATGTGTTACATGATTAGGGAAAAAATCAGCAAACAGAAACCAAGAAATTACAGAAATGCTGAAATTAAGCCACAAAGATATTACCACAATTATTAGAAATATTAGTAAAATTACAAAAGAAAACTGGAAGAGGGAATTGGAATATATAAAATATAAAGGTTCTAGAGCTAAAAAATATGACATCCAAAATGAAAAAAAATTCACCAGATCAGCTCAAGGGAAAAATTAGGTATTGCATAATAAAATTGGCATACCAATAGAAATTTATACGAAGTCAAGCAAAAAGAGAAAAAGATTTTTAAAAATGAATAGAAAATAAGTTATCTTTTGAGCAATGTCAATTAATTAAGCAAATGTGTAATTGAAGCATGAATAGAATAAATGAGGGAGTGGGGAAGAAAATTATACTTGAGTAAATAATGCCCAATTTTTCCAAGATTATATATTCATATCCAGATAGCCAAAATCCCATCTAACCTTAAACAGGATAAATGACAAAAACAGAAAAGCAAAGCTAGGCACATTATCGTCAAACTTCTTAAAATCAAAGATAAAGAGAAATATGTAAAGTAATCGGAAGGGGAAAATACACACTACATACAGAAAACCACAATAAAGACATTGACTGAATTCTTAACTATCCAAACAGAAACAACAGAAGCACATTTTATGGAAACCAAAAAGATTGCCAATCTGGAATTCCATATAAGGTGAAAAGCTCCTTTAAATATGAAAGTGTAATGAAGACACTTTCGTGTAACTACAGTTGAGAGAATTTGTTGCCACTCACACTACAGGGCATATTAAAAAAAAGTGTCTCAGGGTAAAGGTAAAAGATCATAGAATAAAACCTGTACATACAAGAAGAAATGGAAAGCAACCTAAATGGTAAGCTGTATGAGTAAATATAAAAACACTATTAAATTTATTAATAGAACATTTTGATTTAAATAAAAAAATAATAACCTTGATTTAAGTAGAGTATAAATGCTGTCATAGTAAAATATATAATAAAAATCATAAGAATTGAGAGTGGGCAAAATATACTACTGTGAGGTTTTTAAATGTTCATGAAGTGGTATACCATTGATTCAGGATAGACTATGAACAAGTAAGGGTACATATTTTAGTCCATAGAACAATACTTTCCACTCCCAAAAGTGGTAAATAGAGGAGATACTTGATAGAACAAGTAATCTGACTAAAAATATCAATAACATAAAATATTTGAATAATTGTAACAACTATAGAACCTGGCACCCAATTGTCAAATGTAATTTTAAATTAAGATTTGGAACACTCATGATGATAGAACATCTGCTGAGCCTTATAAGAGTGTAATTAATTCTGAAAGATAAAATCATACAAAATATATTTTCAGATCACTACAGGATAATTTAGACATTAATAAAAAAGTTTAATGTAAAACCCCCAACTTCAAATAAAATCTTTCCTCAAAGAAAGTTCCTGGCCTAGTTGGTTTTACTGGAAAATTCTATTAAATATTTATAAAGAAAGTAATATCAGACTAATACAATTTTTTTCAGAAAATTGAGAAAATGGGAGCACTACTCATATAATGAGACCAGCATAACTCATCATATAGGGACAATACAGGTGAAGAAAATTATTCATATGAAAAAATATTGGCAAACAGAATCTAGCAATACAAAATAGGCTACTACGTCGTTACCAAATGAAGTTTATTCCAGGAATGTAAGGTTTGTTTAAAATTAGAAAGTCTATCCATGTAATTCATTTCATTGGTGAAATATTGAATGCTACTTTTTTAGTGGAAAAAAGTAGAAGTTTGCTGATACTTATCCAAGATAGTATTAACTAACCTTTTACATGATATTAAAAATAAATTTAAACAGTAGGAAGGGGTGGATGGAGTTACCAAGTAGTTTGAACTATCTGGTTTACAAGATATTTTAATAAAATAATATTTATTGGGGGTTTTTGGTGTAGTGTACCGTTCTCAATTCCCAGTGTTGACATATGTCTACGAGGTTGAATGGTGAACAGGGCAGATAAGGCAGCAAAAGGGGGTTATATTGCAGCACACTATGTACAAATTTTTCTATCTTTTTTCTCCTCATTACCCCTGGACCAACTCAACCTCCTCTTTCATTAGGAAGGGTCATTTCTCATAAAGATTCTAATTCCTCAGTCCACAGATAAATGTTCGAGTAGGTGCTGATTCACCATTTTGTTATCTTCATTTGCCCAAATATTTGCATTCATGAAGTAAAAAATTCATGAAGTAAAAAATGGATTTTTCCATTTCACGGGCATTAATTTATGAGTATTTAAAACTATTTTTTAACATGCAATTCTGCTTATGTTACCAAGTAATGTATTTAGGGGTTTTATCTGGGTCCTCTCAGTATTGCTTACTGGTTCCTCTCACTATTGGGATCCACTACCTGGGTTCTCTCACTATAGACTACTATGTGTTAGAAGGATCTAGTTAAATAATGGATTATGTCATATTTTAACACGTGACAATATGTCCCTGTTAACAATTCAAGAACCTCGATCTGCATGTGATCTGTTCTAATTTCTATGAACCTGTTGCTCCTCTATTCACTTATTTTTTTCCCTTTCTTTGGCTATCTGAAGTTCCAAATATTTATAAAAGTATACTCAATAAATGATTTCACAGTGTCTTTTTATTAGGCTATTTTTCCCTCAGACTACTTTTTATTTGATATTAAATGGAAATGGCTCCTATAATTATATGTATTGTTTTATTTGCTGTTTGCAATTGTGATAATTTTCATTACCTCCTGCAGTACTTTTAATTAATAGTGTTTCATTTCATTTCTTAACATCATTTAAAAATCAAAAAAAGCAACCACTTCTATTTTCAGCTGATATTCAGTGATTTTCCTGAAAACACACATAAGAACTGACTGAAATGAAAATTAAAAAACTGTTTTCAAAGCCATTACTAAGAGCTTCATTTGGTGTCTGTAGCTTTTTTTTTTTTTTTTGTCGTCACAGGGTTTGTAGTATTTGGTGTTATTTCATCTTTATGAAGCATTTATAGAACATATGAGATTTTTAAATATACGAAATACGTACACAAGTGCTTTTGAACTAGATATTCGTTTTTCATCAGAGTTACAATCTCTTTAAAAGAACAATATTTTCAAAACGAGTTACGCTCTATTTTTAGAACATGGAGAAAATAAAGTAAATATGAAAAGTAGTTTTTTTTATTATTATACTTTAAGTTTTAGGGTACATGTGCACAACGTGCAGGTTTGTTACATATGTATACATGTGCCATGTTGGTGTGCTGCACCCATTAAGTCGTCATTTAACATTAGGTATATCTCCTAATGCTATCCCTCCCCCTTCCCCCCACCCCACAAGAAAAGTAGTATTTTGATGGTGGTAATGGTAGTTAAAGAAAATAAATGATGTTTCAAATCAGTGTAGCACAATCTTAAACTCCAACCAGTTTGGATTTTCTCCTAGTTCAACCATGATGTGTTTTTTAAATGTACAAAAAAGTATTTAATATTAGCCATAGTAATTGGCTGTTTACCTGTCACTGCTGTATGTTATTGAAATACTAAGAATAAATGTAGAGCTCAAAATAGGCTGTCTTCCATCATTATTATTCCAGCATTATTAGCAATGCTCTGGGGATGTATACAGCACTTAATAAAAGCACACACATAAACAATGCAAATAAGAATTGAGCAAAAGGCAATTTGTGGTCTTAACTGGAGGTAATTTCTTTTATTTATGCCACCAGATAAAGCTTAATTAGGGAGTAAAACAGAACGGGAGATAAAGGAAGATAAGAACTTGTACATGGTGTACTTGGTAGTGAATGTAGGATCAGATCATCTTGGTAGGGTTTTTCTCTCTTATACATGGTTGGGCACAGCATGGTTTTCAGATATTCACTTTATGCAATAAATAGACAATTGTTCAGCAAGAGCCTAAAACAACAATTTCCCCAGCTGTAATTTTTACAGTATAATTGGAGAGGAGGGTACATGCAGGACATTGACAGGAAATGTGATCGAAAATTTATCCTTAAGATTATCTTCATTAAAAATATATACCATTTTAATGTCTTTCTCAAACCCACTCAAATGAGAAAGGATAATATTGTACTTTCCTCTTTTATAATAATCAAAATATATTTTTAAAAAACATTTGATTCTTATCTTGCCTCACTATCCAGATTAAATTCTCACTTAAACTGCAATTATTAGGGCACCATTTCTTCTTTTTTTTTATACTTTAAGTTCTAGGGTACATGGGCACAACATGCAGGTTTGTTACATAGACACGTATACATGTGCCATGTTGGTTTGCCACACCCATTAACTCGTCATTTACATTAGTTATTTCTCCTAATGCTATCCCTCCCCACTACCCCCACCCCACAACAGGCCCCAGTGTGTGATGTACCCCACCCTATGTCCAAGTGTTCTCATTGTTCAGTTCCCACCCATGAGTGCGAACATGCAGTGTTTGGTTCTCTGTCCTTATGATAGTTTGCTCAGAATGATGGTTTCAGCTTCATCCATGTCCCTACAAAGGACATGAACTCATCCTTTTTTATGGCTGCATAGTATCCCATGGTGTATATGTGCCATTTTTCTTAATCCAGTCTATCATTGATGGACATTTGGGTTGGTTCCAAGTCTTTGCCATTGTGAATAGTGCCGCAATAAACATACGTGTGCATGTGTCTTTATAGCAGCATGATTTATAATCCTTTGGGTATATATCCAGTAATGGGATGGCTGGGTCAAATGATGTTTCTAGTTTTAGATCCTTGAGGAATCGCCACACTGTCTTCCACAGTGGTTGAACTAGTTTACAGTCCCACCAACAGTGTAAAAGTGTTCCTATTTCTCCACATCCTCTCCAGCACCTGTTGTTTCCTAACTTTTTAATGATCGCCATTCTAACTGGTGTGAGATGGTATCTTATTGTGGTTTTGATTTGCATTTCTCTGATGGCCATTGATGATGAGCATTTTTTCATGTGTCTTTTGGCTGCATAAATGTCTTCTTTTGAGAAGTGTCTGTTCATATCCTTTGTCCACTTTTTGATGGGGTTGTTTGTTTTTTTCTTGTAAATTTGTTTGAGTTCTTTGTAGATTCTGGATATTTGCCCTTTGTCAGATGGGTAGATTTTAAAAATTTTCTGCCATTCTGTAGGTTGCCTGTTCACTCTGATGGTAGTTTCTTTTGCTGTGCAGATGCTCTTTAGTTTAATTAGATCCCATTTGTCTGTTTTGGCTTTCGTTGCCGGGGCACCATTTCTATAACATGGGTAGATTCAGAAAATAATGTGTATGAATGTGTGTAGTGTGTGTGTGTGCATGTGTGTACATATATATGTACATAGATTGAGGGAGAAAAAAGAGAAATATAAAACAAAAGCAAATATGGTAACTATTTTGGGGAGAAAATAGTTGAAAGTTATATATAATTCTTTTTTCTTTTCTAACAACTTTTCTGTAAGTCTAAAATTACCTGAAAACAAAAAGTTAAAGGAAAACACTTCCTAAAATTCCAAGATTCTGTTGAACACAAGAAAATAAAAAGCAACAACATGTACTATTCAATGAAATTCTAAAAGGATGACAAATACAGTTTCTTTGAAAAGGAGAATTTGTAAATAATTTTAGATAATAGATTTCTTTCCAACATCTACTATAAAGGGTACAATGAAAAATGAGTATGTATATGAATTCTAGAATATTCCACTTTACACAAGATATTAATAGTTACTAGTTCCTTAAGTTGCCTGCAGTACACCTTTAGGAGGCAGAATGCTGGTTTTTAATAGCATTAAATGCTATTAAATTTAAATGCACTAAGTAGTACTACAAATCTCTGACTATAATAAAATATTAAAAAATGAATTTCTGAATTTTTCTCCTGGAGAACAAAATATGTTTATTTTCCCTATCATCTCCCTGTAATACAGGCTTTATACTCTAATTGGATTCAAGTAATAGTGTTACCGGTGGAGGGTGTCCAGGATCTTGATATTTTGAACAAAAAATTGAACAAACTGCACAAACAAAGCAATAAGAGAAAAGCAAAAATTTTTTGAAATGAAACTACACTCCACAGAATAGGAATGGGCTCAAGCAGCTGCTCAAGAGTGCTGGTTACAGAGTTTTTCTGGGGTTTAAATACCCTCTAGTGGTTTACCACTGGTTACTTGGTTTACACTGTATGTAAATGAAGTAGTGGCCTTCAACCAGTCTGATTGGTTGCATAAGGTGACCAGTCATAGGTTGAAGTAAAGTTACAGAGTTACACATGAAGACTTGGCCTGTGATCAGTCTGATTGGTTGCAGGAGAGGACCAATCAGAGGTACTTTCATTTTTCCATCTGCAACACAGAAAAACAAAGGGTGGGAGTGGGGGACATTGCATAGGGAGTAGCCTCTGATCCTTTTGTTACATGGGTGTTGACAGGTGGGGTTTTCCTTTTTATTCAGTTCTAGGAAGTCTGTGAATCAGCCTTAGGTTCCCTGCCCCCAGACCCTATTCTCCTGTCTCAATAGTAGCTGTGGGAAATTTATGCAACAAGGAAGTCAGCATCAATTTACATTCCAACTGTACTGTTGTCAATATGTCCAGATATAACTTATAAGTTACTGGACAATGTCACTTATGTACTCTCTTGCTTGATTATATTTAAGCTGGATTGATTCTTTTAAACCTAATTCCTGAAAAAATGAAGGATTTTTTTTTCATTCTTTGGTATTATATACAGTTATACTAGTCATGTAATAGAATAGTAGTGATCCTGGTGATAACAGAAAACCTATTCGATTAGAAATAGACCCTCTGAGTCCTCCTATCTTTATAACAACCCAATAAGATAACATAATTGTTTATCAATATTGACTACCTCATTATATAAACAAAAGTGTATGATTTTTATTTATTCTTTTACTTATTTATTGAATATTTTTTGAGTGTGCCCTGTGTGCCAGAGATTGTACACATCAAAGATTCAGAAATGAATAAAGTAGAAAAAAAAACTCCTGACTTTCACTGAGTTTATATTTAAATAGGTGAAAAGTTAAAATAATTAAATACATCATTCACTATATGAGATTATAACAAGTGTGATAGATTTTTTTTAAAAAAAAGCACGAAAGGAGTGAATATGTAACAGAAGGCAAAGCTTCTCTTTTAAGTTAAGTAGTTACAGAGACCTTTTTAATAATGTGATATTTCACTACTAGGGTAATCCATGCAGCTATTTGACAACGCTTTCTAGTACAAAAGTGTTAACACACATAAGAATATTTTTGGACTACCAGGGAACACATAGGCAATGTAGGGAGAGAAAAGTGAGAGAAGAAGATTGCTGAAGACCCAAAGGTGGTAAGGTGTTTGATCATGTAGTGATTCCAAGAGCTTTGGTTTTAACTATGAATGAAATGGGAAACCACTGGAAAGTTTGGAGCAAAGAAGTTATCTCACTCTGGCTGCTAAGTTGAGTATAGTTTATGGTGGGCACAAGTGGAAGAGAGACCATTTGAGACTCTACGGTTGTAATAGAAGAGCCATACAGTAGTGGTTGAATCAGCCAAATACCCACTATTGCAGACAATGTTGGTAACACAAACTCTATTCCTGTTTTCCCATATAGAAAATTAGTGAATCAGATTTGGTGACCTCTTAAGTTGTTTTAAGCCTTAATATCTCAGTAGTCTTTGAGTGTCCTAAATTGGAAGTCACAGCTAATTAAAGTAGAAAATAAGTTCAATTAGACAAGTGAGATATTATTTTGTTTGACAAGATTCCCATTCCTCGTCCTTCTATTAAACACTTGCATTTGTATCTGTCACAGTCATAACAGAAGACAGATGGCACAAGCAAATTAGAATATTTTGAAGGTTTGTAAATAAAGAGACTAATTACTGAGTTGTGGGTAAGGTGTAGAGGATCCACAATGGAGTGTGTAGGAATCTTAGCTAGCAGCCATGGAGCAGCTAAAACCTGTAGGCCCAAAAGGAAAAGGGAGTTAAGGAGGAAGAGTTTATTGAAATTAGAATAGACATTTTCAAAGGAAGAATGACTCATTATATAGAGAAACACCAGTGTAGCATAACCTGTCAAGGATATAATCAGGGCAATAAATACCACAGCCTCACTTTCCTGTCTTAGTGTCCTCCCTCCCTCCAATTTCCATTGTCTGAGTAGAGAGAAGAGCTAGAAACGGATACAATCCAAACATTATCCTCCACCCCAAAGGATAAAGAAAACAGGAGAGAAAGTTAGAGAGTACCCCTGGAGGGGCAACTGGAAGATAACTGGCACAGGAGGCAAGGGAAATGCCTTGGTTTATTTGTTCTCTTATTCATGCACTTATTCAAGCATTCATTTAGTCACTCCGAAAAAAAAGATTATTAAATATAACCAACATGTCAGTACCAGAATAGATATTGGGTTTATGATGATGGTTGAGAGGGAAAAGTTTTCTGAATATAGAGATCACAAAACCCCAAACATTATCCCAACCTACCCTCTATTTCACAATTAATTGCACAAAGTAAAGATAAACAGAAAATGTTATACACTGGAGAAACAGTCTAGTTCTAGTATCACTGTATTTCTATAGCAAAGGTCAAGACCCTTTCTGGAAATCCCTTCTAAAAGTGAATGCAGCATCACTCAAGATTCACAAGAGCAAACAGGTATGAGAAATTTGGGGAGGGAACCCTGTATCTTGGAAGTCAGTGGTTGCACCTGTGTGCGAAAACATAGGATATGATCAACTAGATAATCAGCTGGAATCCTGGGCTCAGTTCTGATTAAACTCTACCCAAACTAATCAAACCTACTAACTAATGGCCATTTCTATTGATTTAAATATGATTTAATTATGTAGCCAAAATAATTGTAAAATAGAAGTCAGATCACATCACTTCTCACTCACAACACCCCAGTGGCTTAGCAGACCCCTGAAAATCAAAGCAAAATTTCTTAATATCATCTGTGAGAACCTAAGTAAGCCGGCCCTCCTCTTCGTACTTCCTCTCCATCACCATGTCCACCTATGCTCCACACTCCCTTGTCTGCCCTGCTTCAGCCATTCCTTTTAACCGTTCCTTTAACATGCCACACTTGCCTCCAACACAAGACTTTTGCAGTCTGTTACGTTAGAAATGTTTGGATTTTTTTAAAGATAGCTGCAAAGCAAATGCCTCATATTTATGCTCATCTGTCACTATATCAGTGATGTTTTCTCTGACCACATGAAGTAAAGTAAAAATTTCTTACCCCAATTGACCCCCAGCAAGATTCTCTTTAACCAATTTCTCTGCTTTATTTTTCTTCATAGCATTCATCATCATTAGTCCACCGTACATTTTACTTACTTCTTTATAGCCTTTTCGTCAAAACCAAATCTTCATTCCTACAAGAGCGTAGATTTTGTTTCTGTTTTTGTTTTGTTCACAGTTTTATCCACAGGGATTAAACATATATAGACTAACAAATGGTGGATGCTCAGTGCAACTTGTAGAATAAATTAATAATAAAAACTTTAAATTTTGGAATAGTATACTGAAAGATAAGAATGATCAACTAATAATTTCACCACTCACTAAAATTTCAGTTTAAAAATTAGGCAGATAAAGGATATTCTTGAAAGTGGTTCATCAAATAAATGATTTCCTACATTATAGCAAATAATGCCAGAATAAAGGTCTACTAGAAATGAAAGAATGAAACTCACAGAAGTAGCATGGTAAATAAAAAAGCTTTTTTGCTTGATAAAGAAAGGCTATTTAACTGTCTTCTGGGTGGACAGTGAGATAAATATGAAGAAAAACTGTAAAATAAAATATGAAATATTTGCTAATAATAATAGAAAGCAGGTTGCAGCATTTTTAACAGCTATGAAAGATTATGGAAAATAAAATAATCACAATCATGCATCACTTAATGATGGGGATATGTTCTGAGAAATGCATCATTAGGCAGTTTCATCATTGTGGAAACATGCTAGCATTTACACAAACCTAGATGATGTAACCTATGATACACCTAGGCCATATGGTATAGCCTGTTACTCTCAGGCTACAAACCTGTACAGCATGTTACTGTATTGAATACTGTATGCAACTATAGCACAATAATATTTGTACACCTAAACCAAGAAAAGATATAGTAAAAAGACCACATTATAATCTTTTGAGACCACCATCATATATGTGGTCATTGACCAAAACATCATTAGGTAGTGAGTGGCTGCATTTTCATTTCTCTTTCTAGCTAATTTGTGTAACTTATATAATTACATGTCTCATTATTTTAAATAATTTCAAAAATAGAAAATACACTAAGTATTATCTAGGGTGAGTTTTTCTCTCAATTATTTTATTCTACTGAAATTCCAAACATTGTTTTCACATGTATTGTTCCATAAAGAGATCTTCTTTACAACCTAAGAGTAAGAATGAAGGAATTATTGCTCTTATTTCACAAGGTCATAAAGTTTAGCTTCAGAGAGAGAGTTCTGCTTACTTAATCATAGACACACTTTTAAAATTGAGACAAATTTAGCTCACCTGATTTTTAGCCAATGTTTATTCATCCATATCTAACATATGGAAACAAATAAGTCTAACAGTAATCACATGCCTATATGCAATATATAGTGGTAAGAAATGTCATGATTTCTTTGGATATTTATAGAGTGCTTCACTGCAAAAAAGAGAATAGTTAATAGATGCTTTTTCTTTGTAAAAAAAAAATGAGAGCAATTTTGGATTTACAGCAAAATTAAGAGGAAGGTACAGATATTTCCCATACAGCACTTGCCCCTACGCATGCATAGCCTCCACCATTATCAACATCCTCCACCAGAGTGGTGCAGTTTTTACAATTTAGGAGCCTACATTGACACAACCTAATCATCACAGTCCATAGTTTACATTAGGAATCACTCTAAGACTTGTACATTCCATGGGTTTGAATAGATGTGTTAACAACATGTATCCGTCATTATAATATCATACAGAGTATTTTCACTGCATTAAAATTCTCTGTGTTCTGCGTATTCATCCCTCCCTCCCCTCAGACACCTGGAAACCACTGTTTTTTCACTGTCTCCAAATTTTGACTTTTCCAGAATCTCATAGGGTTGCAATTGTACAGTAGATAGCCTTTTTGGATTGGCTTCTTTCACTTAGTATTATGCCTTTATCTTTCTACCATGTTTTTTCTTTATTTTATTTTATTTTATTTTTTTAATTATACTTTAAGTTTTAGGGTACATGTGCACAACGTGCAGTTTAGTTACATATGTATACATGTGCCATGTTGGTCTGCTGCACCCATTAACTCGTCATGGGGGAGGGATAACATTAGGAGATATATCTACCATGTTTTTTCGTGGCTTGAAAGCTCGTTTCTTTTTACTGCTGAAAATAGTCCATTGCCTGGACGTACCACAGTTTATGTTTCTACTCACCTCCTGAAAACACCTTGGTTGCTTTCAGGTTTCGGCAATTATAAATAAAGCGACTATAAACATCTGCGTTTGGGTTTGTGTGCACATACATTTTCAACATTTTTGGAGAAACACTAAGGATCATGTTTGTTGGGTAGCACGGCATGAGTTGTTTAATTTTGTAAGAAACTGCAAACTGTCTTGTAGAGTACCTATACCATTCTACGTTCCCACCAGAAAATGAATGAGAGTTGCTGTTGCTCTACTTTCTCACGAGTACTTGTTAATGTCATTGTTATAGATTGTGACCATTCTCACCGGTGTCTGGGAGTATTTAATTGTCATTTTAATTTGCATTTCCCTGATAACATGTAAAGTGACGCATCTTTTCATGTGCTTATTTGCTATCTATATATCTTTGGTGAGGTGCTTTTTAAGGTCTTTGGCCAATGTTTTAAAAAGTGGATTGTTTGCTGTTTATTGTTGAGTTTTAATAATTCTTTCTATATTTTGGATAATATACCTTTATCAGATATGCTTTCTGCAAATATTTCCTCCCATACTGTGCCATGTGTTTTCATTTCCTTGGGAGCCCCTTTAGTAGAAGTTTTGAATTTTAATGAAGTCCAGCTTATAAATGTTTTCTTTTATGGTATGTGTCTTTGGTGTTAATGTAAAAAAATCATCCCTACACCAAGCTCATTTAGGTTTTCTACTATGTTTTCTTCAAAGAGTTGTATAGTTTTGCATTTTGTATTACAGGTGATGGTCCATTTAGTGTTCATTTTTGTGACAAGTTTAAGGTCTGTGTTTAGATTCATTATTTTGCATGTGGATGTCCTATTTTACAAGCACTATTGTTTAAAATACTCTCTTCTCCATTCATATATATATATATATATATATATATATATATATATATATATTGCTCCTTTGTCAAAGATCTGTTCATTCTATTTGTGTGGATCTAAATGGGGCTCTCCACTCTGTTACATTAATATATGTGTCAATTTTTTATTAACACTATACTGTCTTTTATTGAGCTTTACTATAAGTCTGAATTTAAGTAGTGTTAGTGCTTCAACTTCTTTTTCATTATTGTGTTGGCTATTCTGGATGTTTTCCTCCTCCATATAAATTTTAGAATCAGTTTGGCAATATCCAAACAATCTGTTGCTGAAATTTTGATTGGGATTGTATTAAATTATAGGCCTGGTTGAGAATAACTGGGATCTTGACAATATTGAGTCTTTCTGTCCATGAACATGAATATCACTACATTTATGTAGCTTTTCTTTGTTTTCATTCATCAGTGTTTTAGTTTTCCTCATATAGCTCTTATAAACATTTTGTTACATTTATATATGTGTATTTTATGTTTGTGGGGTGCTAATATAATTGGCATTGTCTTTAATTTCAAGTTTCACTTGTTCGCTGAGAAGGCAATTAAATTTTACATATTAATCTTGTACCCTTCAAACTTGCTACAATTGTTTATCACTTACAGGGAGTTTTTTTTCAATTTTTTTTCACATTTTCTGCATAGATGATCACATCATCTGTGAACAAAGACAGTTTTATTTCTTCCTCTTTAATTAGTGTAACTTTTATTTTCTCTTTTGTCTATTCCATTAGCTTGTACTTCCAGTATAAAGTTTAAAAGCAGTGTTGTTCACTTGACATTCTTACCTTGTTCCTAATCTTAGTGGGAAATCTAGCTTCTCACCATTAATTATAATGTTAGCTCTAGCTTTTTTTGTCTGTTTTTGTAGATATTACTATTAAGGTGAGAAACATTTCTTCTATGCTTAGTTGCATAAAAGCTTTTATCATGAACACATATATTGTGTCAGATGCCTTTTGCGTCTATTCATTTGATTATGTAATTTTTTCTCCAGCCTATTGTGATGAATTACATAAATTGACATTTAATGGAAAACTGGCCTTTCAAACCTTGAATAAATTCCAATTGATCATGATATGTAATTCCTTTTATTCATTGCTCAATTAAATTTGCTATTATTTAGTTGTTTTAAAATTCAAACTGTAGAAAATTGGTATGATTTTTTTCTTATATGTTTGTTAGAATTTACCAGTGCATGCATTTGGGCCTGATGATTTCTGTTTTGAAAGAATATTAATTATTGATTAAATTTTTATAGATATAGGCCTATATATATTATCTATTTCTTCTTGTGTGATAGTTGATAATTTCTGTCTTTTAAGGAATTGGTTCATTTAATCTAGGTTAACAAATCTGTGGTCATAGAAATGTTCACAGTATTTATTTGTCATATTATAAATGTCCCTAGAAACTGTAGAAACATCCTGTCTTTCATTTCTGATATTAGTAATTTGTGCCTTCTCTCTTTTTGTCTTAGTTAGCCTGGCTAGGTGCCTGTGGGATTTACTAACGCATTCAAAAAAGCAGCTTTGGTTTCATCAATTTTCTCTATTGATTTCCCATTTTCAGTGTGGTCACTTTCTGCTCGAATTCTTATATTACATTTCTTCTTCAAACTTTGGATTTAATTTACGCTTATGTTTCTAATTTCCTAAAGCAGAATCTTAGACAATTGATTTTAGATCTTTCTTCTTTTCAAATATTTGCATTTAATACTACAAATTTTCCTGTAAGAACTGCTTTCACTACATTCCACAAATGTTGGTAAGTTATGTTTTCATTTTATGTAGTTCAAAATATTTTTAAATTTCTCTTAACTTCTTTGATCTGTGAGTTATTTAATAGTGTGTTGTTTAATCTCCACCTATTTTGGGATTTCCTGTCATCTTTCTGTAACTAGTTTCTAGTTAGTGATATCATGGTCTGAGAGCAGATGTTGTATGACTTCTATTCTTTTAAAATTGTCAGAGTGTTTCATGGTTTAAAATTTGGTCTATCTTGGTGTATGTTCCATGTGAATTTGAAAAGAATGTGTACATTCTGCTGTTGTTGGGTGAAGTATACTGTAGATGTCAATTATATCCAGTTGATTGGTGGCATTGTTGAGTTTAACTCTGTCCTTACTAATTTTCTGCCTACTGAATCTGTCCATGTTTAATAGAGGAATGTTGAAGTCTCTAACTGTGATAGTAGATTCATCTATTTCTCCTTGCATTTGTATTAGCTTTTGCCTCACATAGTTTACTGCGCTGTTTTTGGGTGCATATGCATCAAGGACTCTTATGTCATCTTGGAGAACTGACCTATTTGTCATGTAATCCCCTTCTTTATTTCTGATAACTTCCCTTCCTTTGAAGTCAGCTCTGTCTGAAATTAACATAGCCACTCCTGCTTTCTTATATTAGTGTTAGTGTGATGTATTTTCTTACCATTCATTTACTTTTAAACTATATGTGTCATTACACATAAAGTGGGTTTCTTATAGACAACGTGTCATTGGGTCTTGTTTGATCCACTCAATTTCTGTTGTTCACTGGTACATTTAAATCATTGACATTCAAAGTAATTGTTGATATAATTGGATTAATATTACCATATTTTTCATGCTTTCTATTTTTGGCCCTTGTGCTTTTTTCCTATTTTTGTCATCTACTCTTCTGTTTTTTGTGATTTTAGTTGAGAATTTTTTTTTCTCTCCTTTCTTAGCACATCAATTATGCTTCTGCTTTTACTTTTTTTAGTGGGCACCCAAGAGTTTTCAATATACAGTTATGATTAACCCAAGTACACTTCTCAAATAAGAGTGTACCATTTCACAGTTAGAGTACCTTATAACAAAATAGCCTTAATTCCTAACTAGCTTCTCCAGATTGCAGGCCTCTCTATTGGTAAGGTGTTCTTTTCTCCCTGTGGCTTCTTTCAAGATTTCTGTTCATCTTTCATCTTCTCTAACTTAAAAATGATAAGCCTAGATATGGATTCTTGAGTATTTATCTTGTGTGGTATTCTCTGAGCTTCTTGGGTCTGTGGTTTGGTGTCTGGCATTAATTTGGGGGAAATTTATAGTCACTATTATTTCAAATATCTCTTCTGTTCCTTTCTTTTCATTCTTGTATTTCCTTTACACGTTAGTTATACCTTTTGTATTTGTCCCACAGTTCATATATATTTTGTTTTGGTTTTCTTAGTCTCTGTTCTCTTCATTTTTTCCGTATTCAAAGTCTCTATTGAAATATCCACAGACTCATAGAGTCTCTCCTCAGCCATGCCCAGTCTACTAACAAGCTCATCAAAAGCATTCTTTATTTCTGTTACAGTGTTTTGGGTCTCTAGCATTTCTTTCTGGTAGGTTCTTAGGATTTTCATCTCTGTGCTGACATTGCCCATCTCTTCTTGTATGCTGCCTACTTTATCCATTGGAGCCATTGCATAGAAGTCATAGTTGTTTTATATTCCCAGTCCGATAATTTCAACATCCCTGCCATGGCTGGTTTGGATGCCTGCTCTGTTTCTTCAAAGTATGTTTTTAACCTTTTGGTAAGCCTCGTGATATTTTCTTGATAGCTGGACATGGTGTACTGGGTAAAAGGAACTGCTGTAAATAGGCCTTCGGTAATGTAATAGTAGGCTGTCGGGGAGAGGAAACATTCTATAATCCTATGATTAGGTCTCAGTTGTTTAGTGACCCTATGTCTCTGCACTGTTAACTTCATAAATATTTCACCTTTTCCTCACTCCCTTAGGTGGAATACAAGATGCCAGACTGGATATTTCCTTTCTTTCATGTTAAAGCCTAGAATGAGCTAGAGTTTAGTAGTTCTTTCCTCACAGATTTAAGGCTAGAGCTGGCTGAAGTTGTATATTTTCTTTCCTGTGGGTCAGTTAGGCTCTGATAATATCCCAGCAGCTGAAGTAGTTTCTGCTGATGGCAGGCCTTGTTAACAAGAAGAGTGCTCTGGTCTGGCATATATCAAAATGGTTCCTTTTCCCCTCCCACTGCAGGAAGTATAATGAGATTTTTCTTCAATATTTACTGTGGGATCCTCATCAAATTCCTGGAGGAAAATCTCACAATATGGTGGGAACCCCCTTATGACTGGATTGCCTTGGAGCTTTTAAAGCAAAGACTTGTCTACTCTGAGCCTCTGGCCAGATTCGAGTTTTTCTATTCTGACACTGGCTCCTGTGGCACTTCCTGCTGCTGAGTCTCCACTTCACTCAGCTGTAGCTCCCTGTATTCGCCTGTCTGTATCTCTAATCTTGGAGATGGCTGTTTGCCCTGTGTCCTCACCTTTCTTATGGAAACAAAAAGAGTTGATTTTTCAGTGTGTTCAGCTTTTCACTTGTTTTTAGGACAGAGTGGTAATTTCCAAACTCCTTACATGTGAAACTAGAAATGAAAATAGTTAATATATACATACATATATATTTTTTTTCCCAAGACGGAATCTGGCTCTGTCACCCAGGCTGGAGTGCAGTGACGTGATCTCAGCTCACTGCAACTTCTGCCTCCTTGGTATAAGCGATTCTCCTGCCTCAGACTCCCAAGTAGCTTGGATTACAGTGCCTGCCACCACGCCCGCCAAATTTTTGTATTTTCAGTAGAGATGGGGTTTCACCACTTTGGCCAATCTAGTCTTGAACTTCTGACCTCAAGTGATCTGCCCGCTTCGGCCTCCCAAAGTGCTGGGATTACAGGTGTGAGCCATTGTGCCCAGCCAATAGATTTTTTTATTTGCATGTATAGTTCATTGGAACATAAGGAATATTGTAAATATAGATGTTATATAGGACTTGGTTTTTCAATTACACAGAATTAATTGGTTTTATGCAAGTGTCCAGAACCTAGGGAGAAAATAAAAATTCATGTTAGAATGCTAATAGTCAAAAAAAGTGAATAACTGGAAATAGTCCAACATGTTTAATTTCAGAAAGGCAGATATCAAAAAATTTAAATGTATTTTGATCTTAGTAATGTTTATAGGGTATGTTCATTCTTACTATTACTTAAGTTGAATCTTAGAATCTGTGAATGTTACTGAAAATAATTTGTAATTTAAGTATGTATGTGTGTGTGTTTGTGTAGGAGTGGTTAGTAAATTTCTGCGTCAGGCCGAATTCAGCCCAATGCCTGCCTGATTGTATAAGTAAAGCTTTTGAATACCACCAAACCCATTTATTTAAATATTCTCTAGAGCTACTTTCATGCTACAACTGCTCAGTTGAATAGTTGTAATGGAGAACTTATGATCTAAAAATATCTCAAAAACTTTACTGACACTTTATAGGAAAATATTTACTGAACTCTGGTGTTAGCATTTGTTATATATATAAGAAGCTTGTCCAGCCCACGGCCTGCGGGCCACCTGTGGCCCAGGATGGCTTTGAATGCAGCCCAAAACAAATTTGTGAACTTTCTTAAACATGAGTTTTTTTTTGCATTTTGTTTGTTCTTGTTTTTTTGTTTTTAGCTCAGAAGCTATCATTAGTGTTAGTGTATTTTATGTGTGGCCCAAGACAACTCTTCTTATTCCAATGTGGCTCAGGGAAGCCAAAAGATTGGACACCCCTGAATTGTATAATATATATGTCTGTGTGTGTGTGTATAAGTGAGAAAACTAATCAATATATGAGAGTAGGAAGACTATCGTGTGAAGGAGAGGAAAAGGTAGTAATTGTGAAATATAATTACATATTGCTCTAGAGTGTTCCCCAGTGAGTGCTCTTTTTCTATACGTTAACTTGGCAGAGATTTGCCTGCAGAATTTCAATCATTTAAACAGGGTTTAATAATCTGATGCCTGAATGTCACCCCAGATTTCTGATTTAATTGGCCTTGAGGGTACCTGGAGAGAGTGATTCTAACATATGATCAAGTTGTCAAAACTACTTATTTAGTGTTTTGTCATTTTAGAAATACTTAAAATATAAGATTAACCTTTGCTTACTTTATTGACAGATTTTGTGCTTGTCCCATATTGAAGTTACGGAGCTATCTATCTTCTTACATGATACTCTGTCACACATCCTTTTTAGAGAACTTTAACATATTCTTAATATGAAAGAGGAATATAATGAAAATAATTTCAAATGTATTGTACTTCTATGTGGAAATGCTCAGCCTTGTCAAAAACTTTATAGTCAGATGCCTACATTCATACTGGGGATCACTTTTAGAATCTTCTTGATACAACAGTAACAAAACAGACTGATTGAATTGTATTATCTCCTCAAATATTGTGGGCAGAATTGTAGCCAGGGATAAAATTTTCTGAAATATTAAACAACACTTAGTAAAGCTTTGAAGAATACACTACAATCCTTCCTTGATTTACATAACAGATGCATTCCTGGAAAATTTACTGCCTATTAAACTTTGCAAGAATACTATTTGCTTACATGTAAAATGGAATTAGCTTATACATTCAAATAATTTCAAAAGGGTTTTCCACCTATGTATATCTACAGCTATCATCTTAAAAGCACCACTGATGCAGGAAATATGTCTTTGTGAGGACTGTCCTTAGCATTGTAGGATATGGAACAGTCTTGTTCCTTCATTAGTAACATTCCTCAATGATTGTGGCAATCCCTGTTGTACCACATTTCCAAAATACTCCCAGGGATCAGTGCCACTTTTTCCTGGAACTCACTGGTGTAAGTCATCTTATTAGAAATTATTACTATCATCATTAGTTTTACTTTCAGAGTAAATCCCATTATCACAGGTGAATCAATCAAGCAATCATGTCTATTGAGGCTACTTCATGTAAACTTACTTCCCGTTCTTTGAAATTTTGATAGTTTCAAGCACTGGAGGTGTGTGGTTATCTTGGAGCTCCAGAATAATTCACCCCACGAAAGTCCACATCTTTATCGAAGGTCAAACATCATGTCACTGTCATTACCAAGGTTAACTGAGGTATGTACATAAAAAAGAGTGTACAAGTACCTAACACTCTAAAGGAGTCACTATTCAATCTTTTAGAACAGAAACTCATGTGAAACTTTTAGTTCTAGCACCTTAGAAATTGATTGCACAATACAAACAAATATAAATAATCTTTTGGGGCAGGAGCTCTAAGTAAAGAGTGGAAAATTTACATATCTGGGAAAAAATGAAAGAATCAATCCCCAAATATAAAATTTCAGATTTCCCAAGGTTTGTTTGACTTCATTTTAATTTGTGATGAGATAGGCTATGATATATTGGAGGAAGAGTGTGTGTTCAATAGAACAAGAGATCTATTACCCTTTAAATGTGATTGATGTGGACAGTGGGAACACACCCAGGAGTTTGCCTTGTAGGCATTCTCATGTCTGTCTACTAGGTCAATGTGTAGAGCACAGAAAAGACAACAGGAAAGAGGAAGAATGTGAAGAGGAAAATGGTAACATATTTTCTTAATGCAGATGGCCTCTCTTCACAATCTTGATTAAATTTTTGGTCCCACGCAGTGAGAATATTTGTGTCAAGTTGTGTAACTCTTCCACATTTTTTTCCAAAAATGTCCTCAAATATTCATTATTAAAATATTCTTCCTAAGTGGTGTTTTTCTGCTACTAAGGGAAAATATTACATAGATAAGCTTATTATTATGGAACAAGGAAAACATACTACGAAAAAAAAGACAGAGACAAAGCATTTAGGAGAGTAAAGTAGTTTACTTTTAAAGACTGTGTGCAGGAGAATTAAAAACATATCACATATTCACCATGTTTCTGGGGGTAAAAATTTGCAAATCTGTCTATAGTGGAAAGATAACAATTTTCTAACCATAATTTTTTTTTGAGATAGAGTCTCGTTCTGTTGCCCAGGCTGGAGTGCAGAGG
The DNA here is from genome assembly GCF_000001405.40 of Homo sapiens. Lineage (NCBI taxonomy): Eukaryota > Metazoa > Chordata > Mammalia > Primates > Hominidae > Homo > Homo sapiens. The sequence goes on along the minus strand of NC_000001.11, from coordinate 102,249,269 downwards.
CACAATCTTGGCTCACTGCAATCCTAGCCTCGCAGGTTCAGGCAATTCTCCTGCCTCAGCCTCCCGAGTAGCTGGGATTACAGGCATGAGCCACCGCATCCAGGCTCTACCATAATTTTTATATCTGCAAAAATTATCACATATTTTTGAGGCTTCAGCATCACAAAAGTTAGGGGAAAATTGCTTTGGTTACAGACTGAGTAACTTCACAAAATATGGCTCGAGTTTTAGGGTATTTGGAAAACCAAAAGTAGATAGGGTGACTTTGTGTTGTAATGTTAAAAATTTATCTCAGGGATTAAAGTTTCAAAGTGCCGCCTTTTTAAAACAATCCCTGACTGCTAGATGTAAGATGCATATTAAATTATAATGAAGACAAGAGAAAGTGTCAGTGTTGCTCTCGCAATAAAAATAAAAGGAGGGAGCACTTAGCATTGCTGTCTGCCATCTAAGTTATGAACCTATCATAGCGCATGCAATTCTCACATTAATTCTATTAGTGGTGCTTAGCTTTATTCCCAGTTAAAGATGAGGAAACTGAAGCACTTGATGGACACCTGATTTGCCTGAAGTTACAGAGTGACTAAAAGCAAATTTTTAAAGCAATTGTATATTTATTTTTCATTTAATCTTTTTGTTAAAATGGACATATTCTTGTAAAGAACATTGTTTAATGAATAAAGGGTTATATTTTATGTTTGAAATATAAATATCTATAACTATAGAGTCTATATCTTATACCAGTACCTCAGCAAGTTAATGAGCTATATGTTACTGATAAGAACTAATAAAATAAATTTCCTAACATAAGATAAAATACAAACAAGTCAACACAATACACACATACAGAGACAGAGAGAGACATGGATATGTGTACAGAGGACTTTATGTTGAAAGCTATAATACAATAATCAAATAAACAAGAGAAACTTTCAGTAAATGAAGACACATTATGTTCATGCAGAGGAAGATTTAGTACCTTAAATATGTTATTTCTGCCCCCAGAAAATAATCTATAAAATCAATGCTCTTCTACTGAATTTATGAAAAGCTTTTATCATAAATTTTGACAAGGTGATTCAGAAGTTTATACAGACGGAAAATTACAAGAATAGCTAAGCAATCCTGAAGAAGAATAAGTTGCATGGACTTGTGCAACTAAATAAGAGAATGTATTATAAGTTCTTGTAAAATATTTGCATGATATTTGTGCTGAGTAGGAATATAGACTGATAGAGCAGAGTAGAAATTCCAGAAACAGATTTTCACATATTCACAAATCTGACGTGTTAGCTATGCAAGTGACATTGAAAAAACAATGGGTAAGAAAGAATATGCAAAAGCTGATACTTAAAAAACTGTTTTTCATGTGACAGAAAAGTTAAATTGGATCATTACTTCATATCACACACAAAAATCAATTCCATATAGCTTAAGGGGTTAAATGTGAAAGGTAATTCCTTGAAACTTTTAGAGAAAAATATAGAACATAATTATGAAAGTAAAAGATAAAGCATTTTTAAAATAAAGCATAGAAAATCTAAACCATAGATAAACATATTAATAAATTTAATTATAGTACAATTTTGAGAACTTCCAATTTTCTGTAGAAATAATGCTATTCATAAATTGAAGGAAGAGATTTACAACACATATAGCTTACAAATAATTTTTATTCAAAAAGTTATAAGTTGGGTACAGTGGCTTACACCCATAATCCCTGCACTTTGAGAGGCTGAGGTGAGAGAATCATTTGAGTCCAGGAATTGGAGACCAGCCTGGGCAACATAGCAAGACTCTGCCACTGCAAAATAAAAATTAAAAAAAAAAATAGCTAGGTGTGGTGGTGCACACCTGTAGTCCCAACTACTTGGGAGTCTGAGGTGGGAGGATCCCTTGAGCCCAGGAGTTGAAGGCTGCAATGAGCTATGAGCTTGCCATTACCTTCCAGCCTATGCAATACAGTGAGATTCTGTCTCTTAAAAAAAATTAAAACTTATGAAAAGTCGCTAAAAATCAAAAGGAAAACAATCAATAGAAATGTAGAGAAATTAAATAAACATAATTTCAAAAAGAAGGAATCATGAAAGATGGATTGAGAGAAAACATCCATTCTTGAAGAAAACCAGGTACCCGAGACATCAATGCCTAGTAGTAGTGAACAGAGAAACTCGGTGTGTTGTGCATGATCACGCCTCAAATCATTACTGGGCACACGTTGAGACCATCATCATGTAGTATTAAATGGCCAGGAGTTTCTTGTACTCAGAATAAGATCACTCTTTTAATGGCCTATCTGCCTCTACCTCTCTATCTTTGTCTGATAATGACCACTTCTCCAAAAAACCTTCTGTGAGAATATCTCATCAAGCTTTTCTCCCAACTTTTGTCATTTCCCAAAAGAAACCTGGATGTCACAGATTATCTCTTATCTCTTTAGTTTCATTAAGGCTGTATATAATGCCTCTTTTAAGCATAATTTCCACCGCTTTCCAACACTTAAAAACTTTTCCCTTGCCCTTTGGAACATACAGTATGTCATCAATACGCTTACTTATGTCCTCAACCCCTTCTCTGATCATTCTCTTCTCCTCCTTTTAACTAAGCCTGAATCTCCTGTGAGATCTCATATGCTATCTCTATAAGTTCTCTTATATGGTTGGTGTTTGGATTCTCAAATCAGTGGATCTAATAGGTCCAGATAGTCATTTTTTCTTCTTGTCCTTATTACTATTTTCAAATCACTTTTACTATTTCCCATATAAATCACCCAGTTTTGAGTCACACATCAAAAACTCACTTCCTAGACAACCTATGAAACAGTAAAAAGTATTAGCAAACCATATATTTGATAAAGTGTTAATATCCAGAGTAAATAAGGAACTCAATTCAATAGCAAAAAAAATAACCAAACTGATTAAAATTGGGCAAAAGCCTTGGGTGGATATTTCTCGAAAGAAGGCATACAAATAGTAAACAGGCATATGAAAACATGCTTACCATCGCTAATCATCAGGGAAATGCAAAGTTAAATTACAATGAGATACTACCTCACATCTGTATACAATGAGATAGGACCTCACACCTATCCACAATATTACCACACACCTGTTAGAATAACGATCATCAAAATGATGAAAGATAGCAAGTGTTGGCAAGAACGTAGAGAAAAGGGAACTTGTATACTGTTTGTGGAAATGTAGTTGGGCCAGCTTAAGAAAAACCTTATGAAAAACCAGTATGACGTTTCCTCAAAAACTTAAAAGTAGAACTACCATATGACCCAGCTATCCAATTACTGGGTATATATTCAAAGGTAATGAAATCAGTATTTTAAAGAGGTACCTGTACTCCCATGTTCAATGCAACATTATTTACAGTAGCCAAGATATGAAATCAATCTAAGTATCCATCAAAAGGTGAATGGATAAGGAAAATGTACTATATACACAATCAAAAACAATGCAGCCTTTGAAAGAGAAGCAGATTCTTCCATTTGAGACAACATGGATGAACTGGAAATGCATCATGTTGAGCCAGGCACAGAAAGGAAAATACTGTATTATCTTACTTAGACAAGGAATCTAAAAAACTCAAACTCTCTAGAAGCTATAGTCAAACTAAACTTTACAGAAGTAGACAGTAGAATAGTGATTCCTAGGGGCTGGATGGGGACCTTTGAGGGGGACATTGGTCAAAAGAAACAAAACTTCAGTTAGGAGGAATACATACAAGAGATATATTGTACAACATGGTAACATGGTGACTATAGTTAATAACAACATACTATATTCTTGAAAAGTGTTAAGAGAATCGATTTCAAAAGGTCACATTCTCCATACCTTCTCAAACACTTCTTTGGTTACACCCTAGTCTTTGTAACTACAATAATGGTATCCATTCTATTACCCCAATTTCAAAATACCCATGACCACCATTTCCAATCTTTCCAGCTCACTTTGTTTAATACTATGACTCTGAAAGTAATTTAGAACCCCACTAATATTTGATCTTACTACCTTTTTCATGTCCATTCACTTTCCTCTTATACTCACTTGCCTTTTTTGCTCAGCTTAAATTCACTAGTGTATATCATCATTTTATTTCATATACATTCACCTCTTCATTTATTCTCTTGCTTCCTACACTTACATGACAAAATCACAATTATATTTAATTCTGACTCTATACTTATTGCACATTAGCACCTATAAAATTAAATATGACTGGAGCAAAACAGAACTACACATTTTAAAGTTGTGTGGCCTAGTAATGATACTGTATTTGCTTTATCCATTTATTCTCCTACACTTATCATTATTTTCCATCTTTTTTTCTTCAAATTTCCAAATATTCTTCCAACAATTGCTGTCTAGAGGTAATTTTGCTCCTGAGTTTACTGAGAAAATAGAAGTAAGCATAAGAGAATTTTCATGAGCTTCTACCACCGTATTTATCTACTCACCTACATCCAACTTATTTACTCTGCCTCTTTTCCTATTAACATTGATAAATTGTCCAAATTCCTAAAAGTGAAATGGTTGTGAGGGGAAACTGTTTCACTGTTTTGCTAAATCCTACCCGTTAGTCTCCTGAGTCAATTTTTCTGTCTCTACTGAATTATTCCTATAAGCATACAAACATGCTGTGTCTCTCACATTCAGTGAGACTATGGCAGCAACCATTCCGACTATTCAGGTATTTCCTCTTGAAAAACAGAAAATAACAGAGAACACCATACAGCTGTCAACTTAACAGAACCCACAAACTTTACATCATAAGGAGGCTCCCTAGGAAATACACTGTAAGACAGAGATTGGTCTATTAACAGGAGATTTATTGGAGAGTGCTCTCAGAATAAACACTTTTAAGAAGCAGACAGCAGCATCAGGCAGAAAGAGAAATTGAAGAGTCATATAGCTACAACAGATCTCCATTACTATAAAAGATTATGACAGAGATCACATGTCTGGAGTTAGGATGGCCCTTCAGGATTGTTCCAAGTCAAGGTGAGCCATTTGGGCTTCTGTGGTGCCATGTTGCCCAGAAACTGGATTCAGGCTGTCCTTGGGAAAGAGGCACAACCCTCAGTGAGCCAGGTCCCTTTAGCTGAGGACAATTCCTGAAGAGGAACTCAGCAGTGCCTGGCAGAATGTGCTCCTCCTTTCTAAAAAGATATCTGGGTGATACACCCACAGCAAATAGCTACATAATATTTTCAGAACAAATAAAAAGCAGGAAATTTAAAACACCAAATTGTGTGTAAACCTCCCTAAGGTAGATCTAAATAGGAAACCCATGTGGGTGATACCTGACTCCCCTCTCTTTCATATCCCCAAACAATCTAAGGTGTGTATCCACCTCTTACCATCTCCTCCACTCAAGCTAGCATCCAAGTAATTAATTTGCAAAATTATCTAAAATACAGTAACAGCCTCTTCACTGGTCTCTGTACTACCACCCTTTCCCCCACCTTATTCAATTCTTATTACAGGAAATTAAGTGATCTTATTAAACATAAATTATCTTTGTATCACCTCCCAATTAAGAACCTTCTATTTCATTCAAAATAAAAGATAAAGTCCTTCCATGAACCTGTAAGACCCACTGTATGATATGGCCCTGAACATTGTGGCCTTTCATGATCAAACATCCTCCTTGTCCCTAGGTCCTGCCAACCTGTTTCCTTACTCTTCCTAGAATAGTCCAGACATTGTTTTGCTTCACAGCATTTGCAAATGATGTATCTCCTTTTTTGTATGTCTTCCCTCATGTAACAGCATCACTCGCTTCCACATCTCTTGATCTTTATTCTATTCACCTTCTCAGTGAGTCCTTCCCTAACTACTCAATTTCAAGTTGTAGTATCTTGATACCACTTAATACTACAGATTTACTTAAATTTCTTGTTTATTGCCTACTTTCTCCAAGTATAATGGTAGCTAGAAATCGCCCTTAATTATTGTCTAACTTTCAGAGGAGACATCCAATCTAAAAATTTAAATTTTGCATCTGCCATCAAAATATATCTTGAATCTTCTTGCCATATCCACTTGTACCACCTTGGACCCAGCCACCATCACCTCATCACCTTTTGCTTCGAATGCTGCATTCTTCTCCTAACTGCATTTGGTATTTCCACACCCCTCCCCCAACCCTTCTGTTTTCTCCTCACAGGGCAGCCAGAGTGATACTTGGAAAATATAAGTAAGGCCACATCACATCCCTGTAAAAAAAAATGCTATAATACTGACAACAAAATCTAAATTTCTTAACATGGTCTACAATGCTCTGTCTTTATCTAACTTTGTATCTTATCACTCTTCTCTCCACTCATTTCAATAGGATAAAAAATATATAATGAAGGAAAGTTATTTTTGTCTCTTCTGTTTACTTCTATATTACTAGTGCCTAAAAAGGTATCTAACTCATGGCAAATACTTAACAAATAATTGTTGCATTCAGTTCTCATCATGCATATATTATTTTTCTTTCTCATGTTGCAAATTGTATTTCCAATACTGGCTTCAGCACAGGAACAGAAAACCAAACACTGCATGTTCTCACTCATAAGTGGGAGTTGAACAACGAGAACACATGGACACAGGGAGAGGAACATCACACACCAGGGCCTATCGGGGGGTCGGGGGCAAGGAGAGGGATAGCATCAGGACAAACACCTAATGCATGTGGGGCTTAAAACCTAGATGGTGGGTTGATGAGTGCAGCAAACCACCATGGCACGTGTATACCTATGTAACAAACCTGCACATTCAGCACATGTGTCCCAGAACTTGAAGTTTTAAAAAATTCTAATTTCATTTATTTTTTCATAAGGTGACTTGACATTTCTCCCAATCAAAAAGTGAAATCTGTTTTCTTTCCTTAAAATCTGGATAGAAGTATGACTAGAGCAGAAATGTTGCTATGTGATCTCCAAGTTTAGTCATTAAAAGCAATACAATTTTTTCCTAATTTTCTTAAAACATTCACTCTTAAAACCAGGCCATCAAACTGCAAGGAAACGGAAATAGTGCATGAAAAAGCCCACATATTGAGGAACTGACACATGGCCCATGGTCCTAACTGAGTTCTCATATGTGAGTGAGTCATCTTGAACATAAGTGCTCTAGCCCTTAATTAGCCATTCCAATTAATTCCTCATAAAGCAGAGATGAGTCATCCCCACTAAGAGTTGTCCAAATTAAAGATCTGTGAACAAAATAAGTGATTGTTATTTTTTATACCACTAAGATTTGGGGAAGTTCATTACATGGCATCAGTAACTAGAACACTTCAGTACATTCTACTTTCAATTCCCTCCCACTCTCAGGTCTTTTTAACTGCAGTTTCCTCTGCCTAGAACTTTCTTCACTTATGCTTCACTTGTCTTGTTTCCTTATGAGACAAATGAAGGCACGAGTGATTGAGTCTCTCTGTTCATATGGCACCTTCCTTTTCACTAAATGTTTGGGTTTCGCTGCAGTAACAACAATCAAACCAACAATCTCCAATAGCAGTTACAAAATTAAATGTTTTTGTTTTATCATATACACAGACATCTAAGATAATTAGGTTTTGCATTTGTGCAACGCATCAGAGATGCTATGGAAGAGCTCTCTGTTGTTTTTGTTTCTGTTTGTGATTGTTTTTTCACTTTCAGTTACATATAGAAGGTAAGGATAAAGAATGAAATGCCTCATGTCAGCTCCATCAGCTACCATTAAATTATTATTCAGAAGTGCCATACAATAAATTCTATTTTTAATTAATTGGTAAAAATATGTCATAACATTGTCCTTAATTGCAATGGAAAATAATGTATTTTAAAGAAGGGTATAAATATCTTACTCATAATATTATAGATTATATGTTAAATAACATTTTATATATATTGGGTTGAATAAAATATATTATTAAAAATAACTTTACCTGTTTTACTACCTTTTAAATGTGGCTACTAGAAAGTTTCACATTTTAAATATATGGTTCACATGATATTTTATTGAACAATGTTGTTCTAAATGGATCAAACATCAACATACAAATTTTATATTGAGCAACAGCACAATGTAACTAAAAATCACACATTTTGGAAACAGAGCACAGATAGGTTTGAAATTATTAGGAATATGGACTTAAGCTTATAATTTTTCACTAAGGTTTAGATTATGCACCTGTAAATTAGTAAAATAAATATCAGCCTTGCGAAACTGTCAAGAATAATCAGTTGTTTCCAATAAGTATAATACACTATTGTACTTCAAAACATGCTTTTTCAATAGTATGGTTTCTCACAGCACTAATTTTAGTAAATATTACAGTATTTATTCTGTGTAGTACACTTAGATTGGCACGAGGATATGGCAAAGGTTAACAAAATATGACCTAAGAGGACCTTGTGGAATAATAGGGAATATGCATAATAAGAAACTGAAATGAAATGAAATAATTAAAAACAAGGTGTGTTATCATCATTTATATGGAAAAATAAATGACTAATTTCAGTGGCAGGGGGTAGGTAAAGAAGGCATCACATGAGAGAGGCCACGAAGGATAATATCAACAGTTGATAAATCAGGGATCAGAATGTAAATTATAATTTATTGATATTTATTACTATCTTTACTTGGATTATTTCTTTTGATCTTTACAACCTCTTATAAAATTGTTATTATTCTGATTTCTATAGTAAAGGTGAAGATATGAGCAATTGAAAAGTAAAATAACTTGTTCAGTGTCACCGTGGCATAGCATCTCAGTGGATAGGCATACGACCTGTGGAGAGTTGGCAGCATGCTTAGAAAAAAAATAAAAATCTAGAACTAAAACAATCATTGACTGAAGAAAAGGATGTACTTGATGTTGGGACCAGAAAGGTATGTTGGGGTTGAACAGACAGTCATGCTCAGAGGTTTTTTTTTCTTTATTTATTAGGTAATGGATCATCTTTAGTGGAATTCAGAGAAAGAATGTTATGAATATTTAAAAGGATATGTTGGAAAGGCCTGAGGTTTATAGGAGAAAATAGGTGTTATGCTAGGGCAGTGTTTCGTATGTGGGGCAATTCTCTCCTCTCATCCTAGGAGACGTGTGATAACATCTGGGAACATTTGTGGTTTCCACATCTAGGGGTGGGGTGCTCCTGACATCTAGTGAATAGGGGTCAGGGATGCTGAAGTAATGTGCTATGTATATTAAACAGATCCCCTGCATAAAACAAATCATCTGGCTAGAAATGTCATTAGTTCTGAGTGTGAGATAAAACCCTATATTATGAAATTGGTGTCCCTAGTATGTGCTCACTTAGCACCCATAACTTTTGAATTATACTGAAAACATTTTTATAATTACTTTTGTACTCTCCCACAAGAGACTGTACAAAAGTTCAAGTACTATTTTTTTCATCTCAGTGTCTTTAGTGCCTTGCACAGCTCTTACCACACAGTAAATAATTAATAGATGATAGATGATTTGAATTGAATTAAGGTAATGAGAACCTAAACTAGGACAGTAGAATTGGGAATAAAAAAGAAGAGAGCTTATATGAAAGAGCTGATATGATTTGGCAATTGACATGGATGATAAAGGAGAGTTTAGCATCAAAAACATTTTGACACAGTAAGCAGGCACGGAATAAATTCAACTTTGAAAATGTTTTATTTAGTTGCTGGGAGAATAAGGTTGCTTAACAGGCAGTGACAAATACAAGTCTCAAGTGTAAAGGAATATTCAGAGAAATCAATGCAAATTGCTGCATTTTGTATAAGTATGAAGCTATGGTAAGGTGTAAAATTGTCTAGTGAGATCGTTCAGAGTGAAAAAGAATATCGGCTGAAGGCAAACCCCTGGGAATTCTTATACTGAACTTAAGATGTGACTGGCAGAAACATAGCAAGAAGAGTCTTAAGAATAACAGTCAGAAAAGTGAAAAGAAAATAAGAGTGCTATAATACATAGCTGCAGAAAAATCAAGTATGATAAAGATTTAGAAAAGATCATTACATTAAGCAATTAAGTCTAATCCTACAAACTTTTAAGTGCATAAAGATTATTAAGTGATCAATATGAGTCTTCCCCTTTTTATTATTTAGTTTTATGCAAAAGGATCAGAGTCTACAGTCTATTTTAAAATGGATCAAAATCATGACATTTGACTAGCTACACTTTCTGCTAAAACACATAACAATAAATCTGTCAACTAGAGTCAGTTTATTTCCTTTTCAGTTCTAGTCAGTTTATTTCCTATTATCATAATCTCAAATACATTGGGAAATGCTGACCTACATAAAGGCTTACACTAAAAGTTCAAGTTTTCTTTTCTTATGTCAGAATAAACACTTCAATGCCTGTTTCTAAATATATTTAATTTTAGCAAACATACACAAAATGAAAAAATGCACAGACCATACTTAAATAGGTCCATGGCTTTTCCAAAGTAAATATCCCTGTGCAACCAGTGCACCTTAAAGAAACAGAACATAATCAGCATTCATGAAGGGCCCTTGGGTTTTGTGCAGTAAGTATCCTGCCAAGGATAACCTTTATCCTTATTTCTCACACCATAGATATATGAAATTTATGTACATGGAATTACAAAATGTGAACTCTTTCGTGTCTAGCTTCTTTAGTTTAATATTAGGCTTGAAATTTATCTGTTGCACGTGCCTCCAGTTTGGGGAAATAAGCATTTCCGTGTATGTATTTTGGTCAACCCTTATAGGCATTGCTGTAAGATACATAGCCAGAAGTAGATTTGATAGCTTTAACAGAGACTCAGACTACCAGTTTTCCAGAGAGATATTATCAATGTAAACACTCACCAGCTGGGGAAAATAGTGCTGGTTGCTCCACCTTCTTACCTATTTGCTTTTTTTTCTTTTTAATTGCAAGCATTCTGGTGGCTATGTAGCAGTGTCACATTGTGGTTTGAATTTGTATTTCTTTTCTAATTAATAAAGTGCAGTACATTTTCAAAGATATAATGGGCATCTTGATATATTACTTTGTTAAGTGCCTGCTTAATCTTTTGCCTGCTTTTTCTATTTATCAATTAAATGTTTATTAATTTTTATGACATATATTCTATATTCAAAGATTTTGTTAGGAGTGTGTACTGCAAATACCTCATCCACACTATGTATTTAGCCTTTTCACTGATCTAATTAGATCTTTTCATGGAAACACATTATTAATTCTGATATACTCCATTTTTTTTTCTTTATAATTACTTGTGATTTTACATCGTATAGCCGGGGGTTGTGGGGGGCGAGGTAAGAGAAATTTAGGAATTTTTGCCTACTGCAACTTAAGAAAGTTGTCTTGTTTTTTCTTCTAAAAGCTTTATTGGTTTACCTTTTACGTTTACGCCTGAAATACTGGAATTGACTTTTGTGTAAGGTTTGAAGTTCAGGTCACTGTGTGTGTGTGTGTGTGTGTGTGTGTGTGTGTGTGTGTGTACATATATTCTATATTTTAATATCCAATTGACTTAGTACGTTTGGTAAAGAGACAATTTTTATCAATTGTGTTGTGTCGTTACCCTTTTTATAAATCAAACGATCATACATGTATGGATCTTTTTCTGTACTCTCTACTCTGTCATTGATAAATATATCTATCCTTGGAGTAGTATCACAGTTTCTTAATTTCTTTATTTATTATATACATATATACACAACAATACATGCCCATATGTTATAGATATATTGTTCCTTGTATGTGTGCAATATATACATATTTTATATATAATATGGTAATGTGTATATATACACATATATGTTATATGTGTATATATGGTAATGTGTACATATATACACAAATGTATGTATATACATAGATAGCTGAAAATATATATTCTTTTAGTTAACTCCTTCTTCTTCAAGACTCCCCTAAATTTACTAGGGCATTTGGTTTCATATAATTTTCTATAATAAGATACTGATTTATACACAGATGTACAACTTTTTGGAGTTTCAATGATTTTGTGTTATAGATCAATTGGGGGAAACTGACATAATTATAATATTTTTATTCAAATTCATGACTGTAAGTTATTTCTGTATTTTAGGTCTTCTTTAATGTAAATATGAATATATACACACACGTGTGTGTGTACACACATACATGAATTGGCTTTTAGTAACAAGATCTTGCACATCTTTCATTAGATTTAATCCTAGAAATTTAATTTTTTATTCTATAGCAAATGTTATCTTTTCACACTTTTAAAATATTTTGCTTATTTATAAAAATTAAATTGATATTTTGTATTGAACTACATCCAGCAATAGTACTAAATTTAATTACTAATTCTAATTGTTCATCAGAACATTTCTGTGTTTAATTTAACAAGAGATCTCTTCCTCTCCCAACAGATGACAAAATTGATATGATGTAGGTGCTTCCCACTGAGAATTACCTGAAGAATATTAGTCTGTACATTTTATTTTACTTCATCATCCACTTTTCCCGAGAAGTTAAGTAGAAGAGATGGATAGAGAAGTTGTTCTCATCTAGATTAGAAATGAATTTTTGAAACCATATGCTTGAGAGACTGGGCATAAAGCAAGCTAATGCTTTTAGATTTCTATGTGATCCTTCTCTACTACTTTTGCAAAATTACAAAGAAATGTTTTCTATTTCATCAACTACCTTTATTTCTAAATAACTCTTTAATATTGATTCTTTTCTTTTTTATTCATGAGTGAAATAATTAAATAACCACCATGTGCCTTGCACCAGGGATATTTATGCTACATTTTGGCTAGGATGTTCTTCAACCATTATCATTGTTACTGCCAGACTAAATTGTCTATAACTTAAAGAATCCTCTCCAAATTTGTCTTTCATTTCTTAACTGCTTTTTTTTTTACTAGGTTTTGATAATTTACTCATGCCACAAAGATTTGAGAGAGCATTATATGTTTTAGATATGGAGCTGACCTAATTAGAGTTATTTGCCCTGTAACAGGCTGGCCATAAAAATTTGCCTCTTAAAAGAAAAGTATTCGCCAAAGTTAATCTCCAATTGTACATATTTCCCGTAGATCAAGAACTGCCTCTTACTGTGGATCAGGGTCTTGGTAAGACCTTGTTACTGAGAGAAAAGTGGGTTATCCCTCAGCATGTTGGAGCTGGGATCTGCTGTTCTACTTTATGAAAAGTCAGAGAAAGAGGAAGAGACTTTAGTCTGAAAATGATATTCCCTATTATCTACTCAGCTAAAAAAAATACAATGTGAGAAAAAATATATTTATGGCTATTCCTTATTATTACAGAGAGAACCCAAAATGTTAAAAAAGAAATCTCTGAGAATACATATAATAAGCAGTTGTCATAATAAACCAGGATAATAAAATCAAATATGTGGATAGTCTGCATATCCCACCTGGCTTTACAATAGTGCATAAAATAATAAAACGCCCAGAGACATTAAGTAGACAAGGGGATAGAACCCCAGATGGTATTATTAATGATAGGAATAGTAGAGGTAACTTTATTTGTACAATTTTTAGTTAAGAGCATACAGTTTATTTGAGTCCCGCAAATATCCTTGTGATATTATTAAGCAACTTAAAGTAGAAAGAAACTAAAGCAAAGAAAGGCTTAATGATTTGCTCCTTTTAACTTGCCTCAGGACTGAAAGATTGGATGTGATAGCTGACATTAACAGCAGATGATAGCATAGATAGCAGTTTACAGAACACCCAGTAATAATCATATTATGATTGTAGAATACAAGCCAAAACCTGATGAGTCACTACATTGTACACCATATAATGAGGAAATTAAGACTAATCTGTAAAACTGGCTGGAAAAAACTCAAATTACAATATTACTTGTGTTTCAAGGGCAGGAAAATGCTATGTCATTGTTTTTAAACTCCAAGAAACAGTGAGAGTAGAGAGAGAAAGAAAATAAATGGACACAATCATATTGAGAGGTGACAACGTGCTAGCAGGCCTTGCTCGCTCTTGGCGCCTCCTTGGCCTTGGCGTCCACCCTTGCCACGCTTGAGGAGCCCTTCAGCCCATAGCTGCATTGTGGGAGCCCCTCTCTGGGTTGGCTGAGGCCAGAGCCGGCTCCTTCTGCTTGCCGGGAGGTGTGGAGGGAGAGGCGTGGGCAGGAACCGGGGCTGTACGCAGGCCGGGTGGGCCCTGCATTCGGAGTGGCTGGCCAGCACCGCTGGCCCCGGGCAGTGAGGGGCTTAGCACCGGTGCCAGCAGCTGCGGAGGGTGCTGGGTCCCCCAGCACTGCCAGCCCGCCCGCGCCACACTCGAATTCTCATCAGGCCTCAGCCGCCTCCCTGCGGGGCAGGGCTCAGGACCTGCAGCCCGCCATGCCTGAGCGCCCCCACCACTGGTGGGCTCTGGCACAGCCCGAGCCTCCCCGATGGGCGCTGCCCTCTGCTCCAGGGCGCCCGGTCCCATTGATCACCCAAGGGCTGAGGAATGCAGACGCCTGGCGCAGGACTGATGGGCAGCTCCTCCCATGGCCCTGGCATGGGATCAACTAGGCGAAGCCAGCTGGGCTCCTGAGTCCAGTGGGGACTTGGAGAACTTTTATGTCAAGCTAGAGGATTGTAAATGCACCAATCCTCACTCTGTGTCTAGCTGGAGGTTTGTGGATGCACCAATCAGCACTCCCTTTCTAGCTAATCTGGTGGGGACTTAGAGAACTTTTATGTCTAGCTAGAGGATTGTAAATGCACCAATCAGCACTCTGTGTCTAGCTCAGGAATTGTAAACACACCAATCAGCGCTCTGTCAAAATGGACCAATCAGCTATCTGTAAAATGGACCAATCAGCTGTCTGTAAAATGGACCAATCAGCAGGATGTGGGTGGGGCCAGATAAAGGAATAAAAGGAGGCTGCCCGAGTCACCAACACCAACCTGCTAGGGTCGCTTTCCACAGTGTGGAAGTTTTGTTCTTTGGCTCTTTGCAATAAGTCTTGCTGCTGCTGTTTTGGTCTGCCCTGCCTTTATGAGCTGTATCACTCAGTGCAAAGGGCTGCAGCTTCACTCCTGAGGCCAGTGAGACCTCAAACCCACCAGGAGGAATGTATAACTGCGGATGGAAGGAATGAACAACTCCAGACGCACCGCATTAAGAGCTGTAACACTCACCGCGAAGGTCTGAAGTTTCACCCCTGAAGCCAGTGAGACCATGAACCCACCAGAAGGAAAAAACTGAACATGTCCGAACATCAGAAGGAACAAATTCCGGACACACCATCTTTAAGAACTGTAACACTCACTACGAGGGTCTGCCGCTCCATTCTTGAACTCAGCAAGAGCAAGAACCCACCAACTCCAGACCCAATATGACCATTTAACATTAATGATACTAACTCCACAATAATTTTTTAGTCTCTCCATGTGCCCAGCATAACAGTACATACAGGAAATACAGAGGTAACATCCAGGCTCTTCTCTGACAAAATATTTGTCAAGAGACAAATTATTTTGTCAATTGAATGAGACAAATATTTTAAAATCAAACTATACAATGTTCTGTGAAAGTTTAAATAGCAAAAATAAAAAGAGGAAAGGTACATGCTCAATTTGTCCAAAAATTGTAGTAGGCTGAATAATAGCCCTCAAAAATACCAGCTTCTAATCCCTGAAAAAAATGTTTTCTCATATGGAAAAAAAGGTCTTTGCAGAGGTGACTGTTAATGATCATGGGATGGAAATATCCTGTTTTATAGTCCGTAAATGCAATCACAACTATTCTTAGAGCCTCAGAGATAGATTATGCATGAAAGAGGAGGAGGCACTATGACCACGAAGGCAGACATGAGAGTCTTCAGGCCACAAACCAAAGACTGTTGAAGCTAGCAGAAGGAAGAAGGAAGAAACAAAGAGCTTAGAGCTTCCTGTAGGAGCATGGGCCTGTTCCCACCTTGATTTTTGCCCCAGTAAAACTGATTTTGGATTTCTGGCTTCCAGAACTGTAAGATACTAAATTTCTGATGTCTTAAGCCACCAAGTTTTTGGGGTTTTTGTTTGTTTTTTACATTAGCCACAGAAAATTAATAGCATATATACCAAGAACAAGGAAGCTCAATCTCAAAAATCTGTCTAAACAACTTTAGAGGGGAATTGTTGCTCCTGGCTTTGATATATCTGTCTTTTTGAAGTTGTCAACTCAGCTTTAGTCATGGAATATTCTGATTCCCTCTGGATACTTAGATATGTACAACCCAAACAGAGCAAATACCAACATATATATTGTCTTTTCCTGTTTCCATCATGTAGGCATAAGATCTGAGAAACACTTCATGGAAGGACTAGAATTTCAAGAATGAATTCAGGAAAAATTAAAAGAGAAAAAAATCCTAGGCAAGTAAAATGACATGAGCAAAAGAACAGAAAAGACAAAGGTTCTGTTTATACCATTGATTGACTTGGTTGAAGAGATAAAACAATATTTAAACAGTTTGAAAGGTCTATGTGAAATTGGGAACATAACTAAATGGTAGGAGTGACTAAAGCCAAATTGGGTAATAATACGGAATTGTGATGATGTCTTGTAAGTGAATGTGTTCCAGGGACTTAGAGTTGATGATTGAAGTATAGGTGAGATGACCAACCTTAGCTCTAATTCTGTGAGCATATTGTTTGTGTCTTCCCCATTAAGACATTGACTATGTTTGAAATTCTAATTGCCTGAGTGTTTCTACTAACAGGATGTACCTTGTACAATTGCTATCCCTTATAGCTGACCTCAACTAGAAAAGGATGTCCCAGGCTCTTTACTTCTTGTGTGAGATATCTCTGAGGAGTCTTCTGCACTGACTCCCAGAATCCTCAACAGGTACAAGCTCCAGTTTCCCCAGTGCACCTTGTCAGATCATAGAACTTACTATCTGAATTGCTTTCTCTCTTTTCCTAAATTCTCCAACCCATGACACCTAGGATCACCTATCACCTCCAAGTACCCTACCTGTTCTCTAACCCTGTCTCAAGAACTGAATCAGCAAAGGCCAAACTAAGATCATTTTTTTCAAACTTTATTTTTCTATCACGCTGTCCAATAATTAATTTTCACAGAGTAGGAATTATGTAATTTTGTGTTAACTATAAAGTTTCTGAATAAAATATGATTGACCAATTTAGGTTTGATTTTCTGATAGACAATGAATAATACTAGCAGATTATCTGTTGTGTATCTGTAATTAGATTTAACTGAATGCTTTGTATTTTTATTGCGAAATCTGTCAGCCTTAGGAAATGATAAGTAATAGGTTTATTTGGAAAGAACTTGCATATCAGGAAAAGAAAGAATCTAACCTGAAGCTAACTGTTTGTGCAGGAGACTTTATTAAAAACTAAGTTTTTAACAGAAGTATTTAATATGTCTTCATTGTGTGCAGCTTAGTGTAATTTGACAAAGAATACAACTTGCAATAATTTTGATTGTTTCTCATACAATATCTTTTAGAGAAACCATAGTTATGTTCTCAATTTTTTAATTATTCAATTATTTCAATCAAATTCTGAAGAGTGTCAGAAAGATGTTCAAATTGGTTCATATAAAAAGCATATTGTCCTAAATCTTGAAACTTTTTGTGTGGTTTTATTTTCCACCTCAGATAAGTTTATAAGCATAGAAACAGAATCACCCACTTTTTTTCTTTTTTTAATGTGTTCTCTTTCTCTTCCACACTCCATATGGTTCTTTTCTGCTTTTGTCCTTCTCACCAGCAAGTTTAAAATTATACAGTATTTAGTAGAAGTAGTTATTTTCTTTTTTTTTTTTACATTTTATTTATTTATTTATTATTATTTTTTTTTTATTATACTCTAAGTTTTAGGGTACATGTGCACATTGTGCAGGTTAGTTACATATGTATACATGTGCCATGCTGGTGCGCTGCACCCACTAACGTGTCATCTAGCATTAGGTATATCTCCCAATGCTATCCCTCCCCCCTCCCCCGACCCCACCACAGTCCCCAGAGTGTGATATTCCCTTTCCTGTGTCCATGTGATCTCATTGTTCAATTCCCACCTATGAGTGAGAATATGCGGTGTTTGGTTTTTTGTTCTTGCGATAGTTTACTGAGAATGATGGTTTCCAATTTCATCCATGTCCCTACGAAGGACATGAACTCATCATTTTTTATGGCTGCATAGTATTCCATGGTGTATATGTGCCACATTTTCTTAATCCAGTCTATCATTGTTGGACATTTGGGTTGGTTCCAAGTCTTTGCTATTGTGAATAGTTAGAATGGCAATCATTAAAAAGTCAGGAAACAACAGGTGCTGGAGAGGATGTGGAGAAATAGGAACACTTTTACACTGTTGGTGGGACTGTAAACTAGTTCAACCATTGTGGAAGTCAGTGTGGCGATTCCTCAGGGATCTAGAACTAGAAATACCATTTGACCCAGCCATCCCATTACTGGGTATATACCCAAAGGACTATAAATCATGCTGCTATAAAGACACATGCACAAGAAGTAGTTATTTTCTCCATGAAAATTAGTTTTATTTATTTGCTTCATCTAAGACATGTTGCTGTGTATTATATTCACTGTTATCTTCACCTGGATCCAATCCAGAGTGAAAGTGATGTTTGCAATGGTTTTAGAAGCAGCATTTTAAAGCTTCAAGTTAATTTTCAGAGCCATTAAACACATTAAAATAAAATACTTCAGGCATTTACCTTTGCTATTCTCTGACGTCCCCACTCATCATCTGCATTTTTCCTTTATGTAAAGTAGTAAAAGTACTTCAAAATATACCTGCAGAATTATTCTCAGGTATTGTGTGTTGATTGGTGTGTTTCTTCCCTAAATTTCCATATCACTTAAGAATCATAACATAATAATCTATTATGTACAGCTTTTTTTTTTTTTTTTTTGAGACGGAGTCTTGCTCTGTCGCCCAGGCCGGACTGCGGACTGCAGTGGCGCAATCTCGGCTCACTGCAAGCTCCGCTTCCCGTGTTCACGCCATTCTCCTGCCTCAGCCTCCCGAGTAGCTGGGACTACAGGCGCCCGCCACCGCGCCCGGCTAATTTTTTGTATTTTTAGTAGAGACGGGGTTTCACCTTGTTAGCCAGGATGGTCTCGATCTCCTGACCTCATGATCCACCCGCCTCGGCCTCCCAAAGTGCTGGGATTACAGGCGTGAGCCACCGCGCCCGGCCTTACAGCTTTCTTTTATCATGTAGCTTTGTGTGCCTGCGTTACGACTTCTGAACAAATTATATGCTTCTTAAGAGAAGGATGTATAGTTTTGCTTTATTTTATCTTTCTTTGGCCAAAGAATATTTCCTCCTCTATGTGAAGTTTCCATTCATATGCCGAAAATAGCATGTCACACTATTGTAATTTTTGGTTGCTTGCCCAATTCCTGAGCAATGCTAAGCTTCCTCGTTTGCTTTATGAAGGTAGAAAACTATTTGTTAGTTTAGTGAATGGATAAGTAAACATATTTGTAAACTCATAAAAATACATCAATATATTATTTATAAACTTTAAAAATATTTTCTATTTTTAATTTTTACAGTTGTTTTTACATGATGCTAGCTTATTTTTCTGTTGTGATAATGGCTTACTGCAATTATCTCAGCTGCACTTGTAAAGTAAGGACATTGTCATTCAATTTATTTTCTAATCAAACAAAGCTTTTCCACATTTTGTGTCACATTATAGGAAATTTATGCTGTCTTACTAGTTTTAAAGTTCTCTTTCCTCATTTATCCCCAACTTTAAATAGCTTTCAATCCCTGGTCTCACTTCCCACATTCTTCATTAAAAGAATCTCTTACTTCAAACAACACTAGTGTCCCATAAGATTTCTGCATAAATCAAAATAGGTCCTTATGAATATCCAAATTCCACTTTAGGGAATGATGTTTTTTTTCCGATGCAGTGTGTAGTTCTTCAATTGAAGAGTAATTTGTGTGGAAAAGAGGATGCTAGGAAACTCTCCGCCTTACACATTGGCATAAATTAAAGGTTGTAATGTGCTTCTGCATGTAGAGAATTATTGAACACATTTTCTTAGTAGAACAGTCTGTAACAACCATGTCAAATAGATTATATATTATAGCTGAGTTACTCAACTCATGTAGCAAGGAGATGGCAGTGCTTTTAACTGCAACCCGCTTCCAAGTTTTGATAACCTGTTTTTGTGCTTTAGGACACACTGATAATCTTTGGTAGACCCGGATTTTTTTTTCAAGGCCAATGTTATTTACAAGCAGAGTTAGCAAATAGTTAATGAGCTATAATTTGAAGGTAAATTGAAAAAAATCTTGCCTCACGTGAATTCCATTATTAATGTTGAGGTTAATAGGAAAATAACAGATGCTTTTTTTTTTTGAGACGGAGTCTCTCTGTCGCCCAGGCTGGAGTGCAGTGGCGCGATCTCGGCTCACTGCAGTCTCCACCCCCCGGGGTTCACGCCATTCTCCTGCCTCAGCCTCCCGAGTAGCTGGGACTACAGGCGCCCGTCACCTTGCCCGGCTAATTTTTTTGTATTTTTAGTTGAGATGGGGTTTCACTGTGTTAGCCAGGATGGTCTCGATCTCCTGACCTCGTGATACGCCCGCCTCAGCCTCCCAAAGTGCTGGGATTACAGGCGTGAGCCACCGTGCCCGGCCAACAGATAGTTATTGAAGGTATTTGGCTATGAATTATAAAATTAATACTTATAAAAATACATGAGGTGGGTACTATTATCTTCATTTACTGGAAACTGAAATTTAGAATGGTTAAATGCTTATAAATCACATATCTGAGGAAAATGAAACTCAGTGAAATTAAATAATTTGTCCAGGTAGCTTTAGAGGAAACATTCAAATCCAGGAGCTTCTGACAAGATAAGCTGGTATCAATCACTATCTTGTCTATTTATTTATTTTCTTGTTTCAATCATTCATTCCAAAACAATTCTAATTTTAAAATACAGTGAAAAATGAGACAAATTATCACTTGTCTACAACTTAATGTATGCTGTGAGTTGTGACCTATGACATCTTCATTTTTATTGATTTTTAAATATTCTACAACTTCAACTTTGATTAGCTATAAAGTTTCAGGTATTTGAAACTTTGCTATGATATTGCTTTTCTTGTCCACACATTTATAATTAACTCTCGTTATATGGACTTCGTGAGGAAGAATGTACTCTGTAACACTTTGGTCTTTTCGACTTATTGGAGTTTCTTCAACATTTTGTGCATGGGTAATAAATGTGAATTTATACAGACACTGAAAAGGAGGACTTTCTTATTATTAGTCGATTAAAAAAATTTAACCAATTTATCTACATCTTTATTTTCTTTTTTTGATACAGATTGCTCTTTTAAATCAATATACTTCTGTCATTTTCACATCAATAAATTATTGCATTTCTAACAGTATTTCTAATTTTTTGTGGCTTTTTAAAATAAAAAGTGCCATAAATTTTATAGGTTTTTTATTATAAAATATGTTGCTCTACATAAAATTATTTCAGTTTAATGACAATTTTTCTTATATTAATAATCCTACCACTATATTTAACTTTTGTGAGCTAAAATTTCACAGCTGTTAATCTGTTGTATAAATTTTTTCATGAGAATGATTTTTGTAATTAGTATCATCTGAATGTATGTATGTTTTAAATTCTGTCAGAGAGCCTTTTAAATTAAAATAAAATTTAATCACAAAGACATGTTACATATAGTTACACATTACTGAGTAGTATGAAAAACATAAAAATATATTATTTGCTTCAAACTCATTTGGTTAATCAAATTTATATTTGTTTTGAATTTTTCTGCACCTAACAGTATACTCATATAACCTACTTAACATTATATTCATGTAGTTTTTTTTCTCCTCTTTTTATCAGCAAGGCAAAATGTGCACATTATTCTAGAATATTCTTTTCTTTTTCACTTAACAATCCATCAATGACATTCATCCATACCAATACCTATAGTCCATCTCATATTTTTAGTGCCTGTATCATATTATATAATATGCGTATACTTTATTCACTCAAAAACTAATATATATTTTAAAGCTACAAAACATTTTGTACATAAATTCTTATGATGGTTTTAACTATAAGCTGGAATTCTAAAAGATGACATTGATTGATGAAGATATAAAGTTTTATTTATAAACAATACCACCATATTTCTCGTCCTACCCCCAATAGCATAGTAGTTCACAATCCAGTCAATAGTGTGGTGCACATTACCATGCCTTCCAGAGTATAAAACAAATGTAGCCTTTTAAAATTTCTCAAATATTGCAGTGATTATTATTTTAGTTTGCATTCCTAATGGTGAATTCATATTCATGTTTTAGTGGCCTATTTGCGTTCTTTAATACTTTTTCCTTTGAGTTAATCATCATTTTTAAAAATGATTCCTTTTAGCAGAGCTATATCTCATGTGTATTGCAAATGTTTCTTCTAATCCATTGTGTCTCTATATATTTTAGACGTATTTAACTTAATTATTCAATATTTTATTTTAAGATACCTATGTTTTCTATATTTTTTCTTACTACGGGGTATTTAACTAATTTATACATATTCTTACAACTATTATGTTTGGTTCTGTCTCTGTCATGTTGTTTAATGATTAGTGTTTGTTTCTTTGTACTTTCAATCTTGGCCCTTACTCCCAATAAAATCTTTTTACTTGCAGGTTTCTTCAGAACTGCATCCAAAGTTGGTCATTCTACTTTAATTTTAGTAAAGAGAACAAAGTCATTCTTTTGTAAAGAATATTATGCTATGATAATCATTCATGCAAATGTTTAAGAAAATAAAATTATAACCTGAATATTAGAAATTAAATTGTTTAAATATTTTTCTAATTTTCTGTTGTTAAATCATTAGATATAGAGTAATTTTAGCCATCATATCTTTTTTACATAGGAAAATTAGGAATCAGTTTATAGCCATAGTCATATCAAGTATATTCTACTTAGACAAAATATGCTGAAATATATGGTAACTGCAGTTTGAGTAATTGCTAATCCATTTTTTTAAACAAAGGTTTTAAATAACATAATCTACAATAGGAAAAAAACTGCATCTTCTTGAATATAGCACAACTGCAAATATAAAAAATGTTCTCTCTTCTTCAGGAAAAGACTCCAGTGATATTCTTCACCAGTTTGAATACACAAAAATTTAACAATGTGTATAATATTGTCAGATGTCAACTGGGAATATCAATTTACTGGTTTACATAATTTGTTGGAAAAGTATTTTGCCTTAAATTTGTCTATACATGATGTTTACTGATCTCAACTCTTTTAACTAAACATTACAGTCACAATGTTTTTTTTTCTTTTGGTGATTTTTTCACTTATATTTTCACTGCTTATCCAGTAATTACTTATATCATAGCATTATTATGTTTTCTGGGGCCTTGAGTATCTGAGAATTTATTACTTTCAAACAAAGCTCTAACCCTGCCTGGTTTGGAATTTATGGATCATAACATGTTTTTCTTCAGAACTCTGAAGCTCTAATGTTCCATTGTATTTAGCTCTTCTAAGACAATGTGCTTTGTTCTTTTATTTATAAATAAAAATTTTTGTTTCTTGTATTCTTGGATATTTCTTTATTGTTATAGCTTAACATTTCCAACGAAATATAATTTGGTGTTGTTCTCTTTATTAAGCTTAAAAGACTTTCTTATATCTTTTACATTTTTCGTCTGAATTATTTATTTATATTAGAAATTATTTCTTGATTGTTATGCTGTTAGTATCATTGCTAAGTTTTCACCTTGATTATGGCTACAGAATGATGATAATGAGTGAAGCAAAAATTGAGCAGTAAATGCCAAATGTGACATGCAGGGTCTTCTTTTTGTATGCAGGAGATTGAGAGAGCAAGAATCGTAGATATGATAGCAACTACAAGAAACTTTGGCTCCATTCTACACGACGGTTCTACCTCTGACTTAAAACTAGGGTAGGCTTCCTTATTGCTCCTCATTGCCATTTCTGGAACATTCTCTTCCTTTCTTCCCTAATAACTACTAGCTTTAGTCACATAAGCCACCAACTATTATAATCATCATCTAATTCCTAGAGTCATTTTCTCCGATTTCTCAAAGAAACCCTAGAATACGTCACTCTCCCCGAAACTTTTCCTTATTTAATTCTTACTTATTTTAATGTCCATATAAATAAACTTCTAATCTCCTGGCTTCTTACTTGAACACCTCCACACCAATACTTTTGATTTCCATTCTACTTCAGCAGCTTATCTTCATGAACATGCTCTAACTTTTCCATGTGATATGTCTATTTCAGTGTTAAGTATCCATCCCTCCACATTTACCATCTTCTACTAGTCCTTTGACTCCAACAGTCCTTCAACCACAACAATACCATTGATCTATAAACTTTTCTCTATTGCTCATCTCGTCATATGTTGAGACTTCTCTCCTCACTCAAACTAAAATCCAACGTCATAATTATACTAATTATTTTGAACATAACCTCATAGGCCTTACAAATTTTTGCCCTTTATATTTGCTTGGTAAAATCCCAACCCTGGTTAAATACTAATGAAGCTTAACTTACCTGGAGAAAAATGGATAGCCTTACGGACTGATCTCATTTAAAATCCTATTTTCTTTAATGTGTCTTTACCTATCCAGTTATCCTACTATTTCCCTGGCCCATTCAGTTTTTCACTTCTTAAAATTCTGTATTATTCTTCTCCTTTCTCTTTAAATTTTCAACGCCGTTTCACTCTCACTTGCAACTTGTGCTCATTATTTTATGAGAAAATTATTAAAGAAATAAGATAAGACATTCCACAAGCTTCCCTCAACTCATTCATCTATCCTGTGTTACATCTGAAATATGTTTCCTGCTTCTGTTCTCCCCATATACCAGAGATATTGTGTATGCACCCATAAGAGCAAACCTATTACATTTGCCCTAGTTGATACTTTTAATATCCACTCAATTATAGAATTTTTTCCTTCTCTCTCTAGCATAATGAACTTCCCCTTTCTCTGTTAAAGCATTCCTACCTGCATATTCATCAAATGTTAGTATCTCTCCCAATGTACAAGCAAGAATAAGACTTCTCTCGGCCGGGCGCGGTGGCTCACGCCTGTAATCCCAGCACTTTGGGAGGCCGAGGCGGGCGGATCACGAGGTCAGGAGATCGAGACCATCCTGGCTAACAAGGTGAAACCCTGTCTCTACTAAAAATACAAAAAATTAGCCGGGCGTGGTAGCGGGCGCCTGTAGTCCCAGCTACTCGGGAGGCTGAGGCAGGAGAATGGCGTGAACCCGGGAAGCGGAGCTTGCAGTGAGCCGAGATCGCGCCACTGCACTCCAGCCTGGGCGACAGAGCGAGACTCCGTCTCAAAAAAAAAAAAAAAAAAAAAAGACTTCTCTCAACTGCATATTCTCTCCAGTCACAACTTATATCTCCACTCCTATCTATAGCAAAACTCCTCAAAATATGTGTCGTTCTTCAACACAGCAAGCAGAATGATGCTTTTAAAATGCAAATTATGCCAAGTCATCCTCCCAATGTTTCTTTTTATTATTATAAGGGCTAAACCCCTTATAATGACCTAAAAGTCTTCTAAGGACCTAAGAGTTCTACAGTCTCTGTCTCTGATTGCCATCTTAACCTCACATCCTACCACTCTCTCCCTTTGTAGTTCAATACAACATACTGGCCTTATGCTGTTTCTCACCTGTGCCTGGCTCTCCAAGGCCCCACCCATCTGCAAGGCTCAACTCTCATTTTCCTTAGATAGTTGTCAAATATCATCTTCTACGAAAGTTCTTCCTCTACCCAATGTACTTACAATTGCAATCTCTATAGGACTTTCTATTCTCTTTGACTCATTTACTTTTCTTCATAAAACTTAGCACCTTCTAATATCTAATATCTTACATATAATGTATTAGTCAGGGTGCTCTGGAGAGACAGAATTAACAGGATATGTGAGTATATGAAGGGGAGTTTATTAAGAAGTATTGACTCACATGATCTCAAGTGGAAGTCTCATAATAAGCTGTCTGCAAGCTGAGGAGAAAGAAAGCCAGTCCAAGCCCCAAAACCTCAAAAGCAGGTAAGCAAACAGTGCAGTCTTCCATCTGTGGCCAGGCAGAGGCCTGAGAGCCCCTGGCAAACCATTGGTGAAAGTCCAAGAGTCCAAAAGCTGAAGAACTTGGAGCAAAATGTGCAAGAGCAGGAAGCATCCAGCACAGGGGAAAGATGAAGGCCAGAAGACTCAGCAAATCTGCTCTTTCCAGCTTCTTCTACCTGCTTTACTCTAGCCACACTGACAGCTGATCAGATGATGCCCATTCAGATTGAGGGTGGGTCTGCCTTTCCCAGTGTGCTGACTCAAATGTTAATCTCCTTTGGCAACACCCTCACAGACACGTCCAGGAACAATACTTTGCATCTTTCTATCCAATTAAGATGACACTCAATATTAACTATCACAAATGTACAAAATTTATTTTTTGCCTTCTTTCCAAAGAGTGTGAAAACTTCCAGAGGCAAAGGTTTTGTTTTGGTTGCTGTTATAATTTCAATATTAGGTATAGCAAAGGTTTTGTTTTCTTTGCTGTTGTAATTTCAACATTAGGTATATTCCGCTACATAATTATGTGCTCAATGTATATTTATTAAATGAATGGATAAATTAATTAGTGAGAGAATAGAAATAATCTGCCAGATATAAGCTCTCCGTTTCTCTCTCAATTATGTTGCCTACATCTTTGCAAAGAATGGCTACCAGAACAGTGCACACACCCTGGGGCTTCCTAGTGTTGTGAGTTAAGTCCATTTGCTACAGGTATGAAGTTACAAGAATCTAAATAGATGACAGAAGTTCACATTTCAGCATGCCTGTCAGTTGCTGCAGGAGATACAGCCTCAGGGAGAGAACTAGGGGCAGACATGCCCTGAATTTTCTTGTGCTGGAGCCCTCTAATCACCCACTAGTGGCTTCCACTGGCAAACCCTGACTAGAAAAAAGTTGACACAAGAGCCTGAGGAGCACAGGTAGCAGGAATTTCTCATACCTCCCTTATTTGGCTATCTAATGCAAGATCCTTTGCCATAGACCTTGCATTAGACAACCAAATAGGGGAAGTGTGAGAAGTAGATCTGAGGGCAAAATTGTCCATGACCGGAACACCATTGTTCAAAGATAGTTTAGAAGGGACTGGCAAAAGACAACTAAACACTTATTCTCAAGTTACTGCCTTGCCAGAAAATCCACAGTGGACTTTACATTTTTCCTCTTGGACAAACTATAATTAATACGAGTTAGATTACCTGCAGAATGGAGGACTGAAATATCTATTTGAAAGTAGGAGAAATACCTTGTAATAAGGACCAGATGCTTAGCTTGAACTCTGAATGACATTCATGACAAAAGTTGCATTATTCCACACTAGTTTAAGTAGCCCACTTGGGCCTGGAAGCAGTTTCTCTTTAAAGGAACAATCGCAAGGACAAAAAACCAAACACCACATGTTCTCACTCATAGGTGGGAATTGAACAATGAGAACACATGGACACAGGAAGGGGAACATCACACACCGGGGACTGTTGTGGGGTGGGGGGAGGGGGAGGGATAGCATTAGGAAGTATACCTAATGCTAAATGACGAATTAATGGGTGCAGCACACTAACATGGCACATGTATACATATGTAACAAACCTGCACGTTGTGCACATGTACCCTAAAACTTAAAGTATAATAATAATAATAATAATAATAATAATAATAATAATAATAAAGAACACACAGTATTTCAAAGTCAAATGAACCCTTGGAGTATTTTATTTTATTTTTTAAATAGGTTCTTGCCCCATTGTCCAGGCTGAAGTGCAGTGTCATGATCACAGCTCACCATAGCCTCGACCGCCTGGTCCCAGGTAATCTTCCCACCTTAGTGGAGTTTATTTCATCCCACATACAGCCAAAATTGCTGTAATCCCAAAATTGCTGTCAAACTTCAACTATTTCATGTACTGTAAAATTTCTCCAACCTTGAAATGTCTACTGCATGAAGATTCTTTGAGCTGAAAAAGAATAAATTATAAAGATTAGCATTTATGAACCAAGATAAAAGAGACATTTACGTTTCACCCAGTTGTTGACAGATATTATCACAGAACTGTCAATTGGGAAATTGGTACCCTGACAATCATGGTCATTTTACAACATTTTAAAAAATATCTTATGGATCACCTTGGTTTTCTTTCTATCAGGAATGTTAGATTACTGGATAAATAGATATAAAAGAAAGACATCTTTTTGATACACATTTATTTTTCATCAACAGAGATTTGTACTCACAAAGGGAAAGTACACTGACATAGGTCTGGTTGCACTGTGTGCTGCTGGAATATGAAAGATAATAAAAACTGATCAAAGGATGAGATACTGTGGTGGAGAGCTAGTCAACTAGAGAGGACTGGTCAACTGGCAAACTGATCTGTGAGGCTGCAGGATGAACTCAGAGGACTAATCCCGTTTCTGCACTTTAGTGTATGCACTGACTGCTTAACCTACTCCTGAGTATGTGCTATGTGAGAAAGATAGAATATCTATCAAATACTCAGGTTGTTTGATTTTCCATAATGTGTTGGTTGAAATTATTTTACACATGACTCTTTGCTAGACAAGACTGATTCTGAAATGGAATTTTTTCACAGCATGAGATCTTAAATTTAAAACCACCCTGTTCAGTTTTATCAACGGTGGTTTCCAAAGCTAATGATTTCTTTTATTTTCCCTGTAAAGCAGCAAATCTATCACAGGTAGACAGAGTGCAAATAGGCATGATTAAAATGTTATTTATTCTGGTGAACAACTGGAAGATACTTAAATGTCTAACAAAGGAGAGACAGCAGTATGGTTTAAAACACTACAGTTTGTACATATAAATAATACTATGCTCTTCCATGAAACATCCCTTTTCTTGGACCTCTTTCTGAAAGAAGGAATGCCTATTAAAGTAACTCATATGTCCTCTTTTCCTACCCCTTTGTACATCCCTCCTTGACTGATCAGTTTCACAAAAAGGACACATGTAATTCAATCAATGCTTCTCTTTACAAATCAAACCTGTCTTCTGAATGTATATGTTCCTTGTTCCTTCATGTTATAAACTCATAGGACCAGACTATAACCCTGCAGGATCCAAGGATGTATTCCACTGTGGATCCATAATACAGTATTAGTAAACTTGCTTGGTCACCAATCTAGAGTTATTTACTTCTATCAGATTATCATCAGTAACAGAGGTAATATTTTGATCATTTTCTCTCAACCTTCCCCATCTGCTCATCTCTCAATTAGTTCCTTAGAAAGAAAGGAGTTGCTTTTCATTTGTTTATTTTTGTTTTTATTGACTCAACTGAAATCTGAGTTTTTATCAACTAGGAACATTAAAAAGTAGACAAAAGCTGTAATTTCAATACCAAAGTACATTATGAAAATTGAGGTTTCTGATTTTCTCAAAGCTTTAAATTTGTATCTTACTTTGGTTTTAGTTTGGCAAAACACAGATACAGAAAATGAAACAAAACATATGTGAAACTTAACAAACTATTGTAAGAAAAATACCCTTTTAACCACTACCCAGGTCCTGCCCTGGCCAGGTTAATAAAACTTTGTCAGCCATCCCAAAAGTCATCCATATTAACAGACCTCTTCCGTGCATCAAAAGAAACAAACACCAATTTGTACAATGATTATTTTCATTCATTTATTTACGTTTATATTTGTCTAGGTATGCATGCATAGGCATTAATAGTATAGTTTTGTCCATTGTTTTAACTTCATATGTCATGTCTTTTAACTTTTTATTAGCATTTAGATTCTTCTTCATTATTTTCTCTTTTTGGACTTTTTTTTAGAGCAGTTTTAGGTTTACAGAAAATTTGAGTGGAAAATACAGAAATTTCCCATCTACACCCACTCCCCACACACATATAGCCTTCCATGTTATCAACATTCTCCACCAGAGTGGTATGTTTGTTAGAACTGAATCTATATTAACACATCATTGTCATCCAAAGTCCTTACTTTAGGGATTATTCTGGTTGTGTACATCCTATGGGTTTGGATCACTTTCTAATGACATGTGTCCACTATTATAGTATCACATAGAATAGTTTCATTGCTCAAAGAATCCTCTGTGCTCTATCCTTTCCACCCACTGTCTCCTAGAAAACACTGATCTTTTTACTGTCTCCAAATTTGACTTTTCCAGAACATCATTTTGTTGGAATCATAAAGTGTGTAGCCTTTTCAGATTAACTTGCTAAGTAGTAATATGCATTTAAGTTTCTTCAGTGTCTTTTCATACCTTGACATTCATTTCTTTTTAATGCTGAGTAATATTCTATTGTCTAGATGTAACAACTTTTTAAATATATTTACCTACTCAAGGGCAATGAGATTTGTTTATATATTTACCTATTCAAGCAAACAAATTTATGTTTGCTTCCAAGTTTTGGCAATTTGACATAAAGTTGCTCTGAATAATTTTGTTCAAGTTTTTGTGTGCACATGTTTTTAACTCCTTTGGGTAAATACTAAGGAGTATGATTTCTGTATCATATGAATATTGTATCTTCCATTTTGTGAGAACATGACAAATGTCTTCCAATGTGTTTGCACTGTTTTGCATTCCCCCCAGCAATAAATGAGAATTCTTCTTACCCCACCTCCTCACCAGCATTTGGTTCTGTCCATGTCCTGAATTGTGCCCATTCTAATAGATATATAGTGGTATCTTATATCACTTTGATTTGCATTTGTCTGATGACATATGATGTGGAGTAAATTTTAACGTGGTTATTTAGCATCTACGTCTCTACTTTGATGAGCTCTGTTAAGGTCTTTGACCAATTTTTTAATTGAATAGGTTTATTTTCTTATGGCTTAGTTTTAAGAGTTCTTTGTATATTTGTTATAACAGTTCTTTATAATATATGTCTTTTGCAAATATTTTCTCTTAGTCTGTGCTTCGGTTTTTTTTTCCATTTTGTTGATAGTCTCCTTCACAAAGTGGATGTTTTCAATTTTAAAGAAGTCCAGTTTACCAATTTTTTATTCATTATGTATTTGGTGTCCTATCAAAAAAGTTATTGCTAAGCCCCAAGTTATCTAGATTTTCTTCTATGTTATCTTTAGGGAGTTTTAGAGTTCCTTATTTTGCGTCTTATCTATGTTCCATTTTGAGTTAATTTTGTGAAGAGTGTAAGTCTATATCTAGATTCATTGTTTTGGCATGTGGATATCTAGTTTTTACAGAACCATTTATTTAAAAGACTATCTCTATTGCATTGCCTATGATGCCCATATTGCATTGTCTATATTACCTATATACTGACTATATTTTTGTGGATCTATTTCTGAGCTCTCTCTTCTATTTCACTGATATATTTTTTCCTTCACCATCCTTTTTTGATTACTGTATATTTATACTAAGTCTTTAAGTTAGAATCAGTCTTTCGACATTGTTCTTCTTTAATATTCAGCTTACTATTATATGTTGTTGATATCACTACATAAACTTTAGAATCAGTTTGTAAATACCCACAAAATAACTTGCTGGGATTTTGGTTGGGATTGCATTAAATCTGTATGTTAAGTTGGGAAGAATTGACATTTTGACAACATTGAGACTTATCCATAATCATTGAATATGTCCCACATATAGTTCTTCCTCAATTTCCCTCTTAAGTTTTATAGTTTTCCTCATATTCGTGTGGTATGTATTTTGTTATATTTATACTGATTTCAATTTGGGGGTGCTAATGTAAGTGATACTGTGATTTTAACTTTAAATTACACTTGTTCATTGCTGGTATATATAAAAGTATTTGACTTTTATGTATTCAGCTTGCATCCTTCAACCTTGCTGTAATCACTTATTAGTTTCAGGTTTTGTTTTTTGTTTTTGTTTTGCTAGTTATTCTGTACTTTCTATATAGACAATCATGTCAACTGCAAACAAAGAGAGTCTTATTTATTCCTTCCTGATCAAGGTTCCTTTTATTTCCTTTTCTTGTCTTATTTAATTAGCTATGATTTCTAGTACAAGGTTGAAAAGAAGTGGCAAGAAGGGACATTCTTACTTTTTTCCTGATTTTAGTGGAAAAACTTCTAGTTTCTCACCATTAAGTAAGATATTAACTGTAGTATTTCATAGATATTCTTAGCAAGGTGAGAAATATTTCTTCTATTCTTAGTTTATTGAGTTCTTATCATGAATGACTGTTGGATTTTTTTCAAATGCTTTTTCTGCAACTATTGATGTCATCATGTGATTTTTCTTCTCTAGCCTATTGATGTGATGGATTACATTAACTGATTTTTGAATGGTAAACCAGCCTTGCAAACCTGGGATAAATCCTGCTGGTCATAGTGTATATTTCTTTTTATTCACTGTTGAATTAAACATATTAATATTTTGTTGAAGATTTTTATACATTTATAAGAGATAGTGTTCTGCAGCTTTTTTTTTCCTTGTCTGCTTTTGGTGTTAAGGTAATTCCAGCCTCACACAATGAGTTAAAAAGTTTTCCTGCTACTTCTGTTTTCTGAGAGAGGTTGTGGAGAATCGGTTTATTTTTTTCTTAAGTGTTTGGTAGAATTCACCCATGAATTCATCTTGGCCTGGTGCTTCACTTCACTTTCACTTTTGTTTTGGAATGATATTATTCAATATCTTTAATAGATTTAGTTCTACTCAAATTATCTATGTATTTTTGTGTGAGTTTTGACAGATTGTATCTCAAAATGAATTAGTACGTTTTGTCAAGATTATCAAATGTGTAGGCATACCATCCTTCATAGTATTTTTTGATTACCTATTTAATATCCATGAGATCTGTAGTGCTGTCTCCTCATTTGTTTCTCATATTAGTAATATTTATCTTTTTTCTGTTTTGCTTAGTTAGCCTGGCTAGAGGACTATGTACTTTATTATTTTTTTCAGTGAGCAAGCCTTTTGCTTTTATTGATTTTCACTATTGGTTTTCTGTTTTCAATTTCTTTGACATCTGCTCTAATTTTTTAAAACTTTCCTTTCTTATGCTTACTTTGCATTTAATTTACTCTTACTTTTCTAGTTATGTAAGGTGGAAGCTTAGATGATCAACTTCAAATTTCTCTTCCTTTCTATTAGCTGCATTTAATGCTGTACATTTTCCTCTAAAAACTGCTTTCACTGCATTCTACAAATTATGTTAAGTTGTGGTTTTATTTCATTCAGTTCAAAATATGTTTAAATGTCTCTTAAAATTT
The DNA here is from genome assembly GCF_000001405.40 of Homo sapiens. Lineage (NCBI taxonomy): Eukaryota > Metazoa > Chordata > Mammalia > Primates > Hominidae > Homo > Homo sapiens. Next base: position 102,215,964 of record NC_000001.11, on the reverse strand, counting down.
TTTTTGATTCATGCATTATTTAGAAGCATGTTTTTTAATTTCCAAATATTTTTAGGTTTTCTTAAGGTCTTTCAGTTATTGATTTCTAATGTAATTGCATTGAATTCTGAGAACAGATATTATATGATTTCTACTATTTAAAATGCATTAAAGTATGTTGTATGGCCCAGAATGTGCTCTATCTTGGTGTGTGTTCCATCCAAGCTTGAGAATAATGTATATTACATTGCTGTTGGGTGAAGTAGTCTATAGATGTTAATTATATCTAGTTGATTGATGGTGGTGTTGAGTTTCACTATGCTCTTATTGACTTTCTACCATGCAGGTTCTATCCCTTTCTGATAGAAACATGTTGAAATCTCCAATTATGATAATAGATTCATCTATTTCTCCTCCCAGTTTTATCAGTTTTTGCCTCACATAGTTTGATATTCTGTTGTTGGGTACACACACCTTAAGGATTGTTATATCTTCTTGGAAAATTGACACCTTTATCATTGTGCAATGCCCTTCCTTACTCCTGATAACTTTTCCTGCGTTGAAGTCTATTCTGTCTGAAATTAATGTAGCTATTTCTGCTTTTTAAAAATGTGTTAGGAGAGTATATAATTTTTACCATCTATTTACTTTTATTTTATGTGTGTCTTTATATTTAAAGTGGGTTTTTTGTAAACAACATGTAATTGGTTCTTGTTTTTTGATCTACTCTGACAATTTTTGTTGTTTATTGGTCCATTTAGACCATTGTCATTCAAAGCAATTATTGACCTAGTTGTATTAATATCTACCATGTTTGTTTCTGTTTTCTATTTAGAGTTGTTTGTTCCTGTTTTTGTCTTCCACTCTTTTACTGTCCTTTGTAGTTTTAATTGAGCATTTTATATTATTCCATTCTTTCTTCTTTTAGTACATCAATTACTTTTTCAAATTCTTGCCTTGAAGTTTACAATTACATTTACAATTAACCAAAGTCTACTTTAAAATACTAAACTGTTTCATTATGAGTACGTTATAATAAAAAATTATTAATTTCTCCCTTCCATCCCTTGTATTATTCCTGTCATTTGTTTCATTTATTTATCGTATTATCCTATTCTCACACTGCTATACAGAAACACCTGAGACTGGGTCATTTATCAAGAAAAGTGGTTTAATTGGCTTATGATTCTGTGGGCTATCCAGGAAGCATGGCAGCATCTGCTTGCCTTATGGGGAGGCCTCAAAAAACCTGCAATTATAGCAGAAAGCAAAGGGGGAAGCAGGCATGTCTTACATGGCCACAGGAGAAGGAAGAGAGTGAGAGGGGGTGGTGGTGTTACACACTTTTAAACAACCAGATCTCATAATAACTCACTCACTATCAGCACTGAGAACGGCACTGAGGGCATGGTGCAAACCCATTCATGAGAAATCCTCCCTCATTATCCAATCACCTCCTACCAGTCCCCACCACCAACATAGGGGATTACAATTTGACATGAGATTTGATGAAGACAAAGATTCAAACCATGTCATTTATAATCATACATAAGCATATATATATATATATATATATATATATATGTTTCTATATATACCATACACATAATATTACACATAAGTTTACAAAAATAAAACACATTCTCATTATTATTATTTTAAACCATTATCTGTTACATCAACAAAGAATAAGAAAAAATAATAAAAGTTTTCATTTTATCTTCCCTTATTCATTTTTTTATATAGATATGAGTTTCTGACTTGTTACTTTCCTTTTCTCTAAAGAACTTTTAACATTTCTTGCAAGGCAAGACTACTGGCAACAAATTGCCTCAATTTTTGTTTGTCTGAGAAAGTTGTAATGTCTCTCTCACTTTTGAAAGGTAATTTCACCTAGAGCAGAATTTTAGATTGATGGTTTTATTGCTGTTGTTGTTTTCTCTCAACACTTTAGGTATTTCACTCCACTCTCTTCTTGCTTACATGGTTTCAGATGTAATTATTCCTATCTTTGCTCTTCTATAGCTAAGGTGTTTCCCCTCACTCCAGCTTCTTTCAGGTTGTGTTCTTTACCTCTGATTTTTTAGTAGTTTGAAAACCATGTACCTATGTGTAGTTTTTTTATTTTGTCATTTATACTGCTTGGTGTTCTCTGTGGCTTTGTGATATTGATTTTAAAAAATTCTCAGCCATTATTGCTTCAAATATTTAATTTTGTTTTCTTTATTTCTTCTCCTTTTGGTAGTATTATGCAGTTTTACACCGTATGTAATTGTTTCTGTTATTCTCATTTTTTTCTCAGAATTTAGTCTTTCTTTGTGTAAAACTAGTTTATTCAAGTATTCAAACAGGTAAGTAAAAGAAACTAAATAATATACAATGTAAGAATCATTCCTGGAGGGATACTAAGTTAACTATGTACATTTTCCATGACTAGCTATTTGGTGAATCATCAGGATTAAAATGAAAAACACACATTTAGCAGACACTGCTCATTTTCCTAAGAGGAAAAAACCTTACTTTTCCTACTCACTTCAAGTAGAAACTCCACATTACTAACAAGCCTTTAGTTCACAAACTTTGTTTTGGTCCTATTCAATTTCTCTATAGGATCTTTCGGTCTTTATACTACTTAGGCATTGCTGTGGGTCCCTGGCATTCACTAGCTTTTAGATTAGACCAGTTCCTTTCCCAATGTCAGCAGCTGTTTTGAGCTTGGGTGACTGTACTTTTCTGTAAAAACTCATAGGTTATTTTGGAGTTCTCCTGTTGTCAGGTCTGTCAAATGCCCCTTCCTTTCCTCTGCTTTCTTGCATGCAGATGCCAAAAACACACAGGTCTCATCATTGTATATTCACTGACTTCAATGTTTATGTTCTTGGAGAAAACTTATCACCTAGGTTTTGGTTCTGCTATCTAATTATCTGCTTTTGAATGGGAATCTAAGGAGATTCAAAAATTATCCTGCTACTTCTTTCACCAACCTTCCAGGAGGACCTGCACTTTTTCATGACTTAGAAGTATAGCTTTTGTGAAGTTTTGAATATAGTGAATTATAGCAGTTTGTTGAGGTTCTATTTACAGAGGTGTGATAGTTTTATACAGCTGCACTGTTGAATTTTTACTAATATTTACTAAATACATGCCATAATTCTTCATAAGCAGGGATGGTAACTTGACCTCTTCTATAAAACATAATTTTTATTTTATCTGAAAGGGCTGACCTGAAGCTTTGATTTAAGGGTAATTACATGAGTTTAGCCCTCTAAACCAGTGTATTATTGAAATTTGTGAAAAAAAAGAAAAGTAAAACAAGGCATGTAGATTTTATTACTGAACATATAAGAAAGAACAGCAGGTCTTTGATATGAACAGAATAGCCTATCTTCTTAGTTTGAGCTATAAAAAAAATTCACTAAAATTATTTCAACCCAAACACTAACATGTACATTGAAAGATGTAAAAAATACAGAGTGTTTTAAAAATATGCCTTAGTCTCTACTGTTAGAAAAATAGAAATTTGAGAATTTTTAAAAAGAAAGATAGGCTGATTAGCCTGAAGGAAGAAATAGATTTTCTCAAGACAAACTCACAACCTTAAACTTTGACCTCAATGGAAGAGAAAAAGTGATATAATGTATTTGATTTTAAACATGATACTATAAAAATGGGACATATTTAGACATCACTAGAACAAAATTTACTATGTTTCAAAAACACTTAACAAAAGTACAGAGGTAAGATCATAGAGAGCAGATGGGCATGACTTCTTAGAGCAATCCAGGTTTTGATGAATTATTTAACTATATCCTCTGAAAGCTTTATAATATCTATAGTAGCAATGTAATCTGGTATTATAATGTGACCGTTTCTATCTTGTCTATTCACCTTAGGTCCCCAAACTGAGAATAGCAGAAATCAAGTAATCTTTGTATTGTAAAAAGAGATAATAGTCAATCTATTGGGACTTGCAAAGACGGGGGCCCAAGACAAATCCAGTCACCATTAATGCATCATGCACATTTAAGCTAGAAATCCATTAGGAGGCCAAAACTGTGAATTCCTTTGGAGAGATCAGGAAGACTAATGTTTCCTCTGTCCTGTCCTCTGTGTAGGAGAAAAAAGGGGAGTACTTCACCCTTTCAGACACAGAACAAGGGAAAATAATGTCTGAAAATCATTTGGAGACCTTAACATTTATGATCCCTGGAGTATTAGAGAATTATGGACCTAGCGACTGTTCCTGACTCATACTCATTAAAAATCTAAAAAGAGAGAAGTTGGCTGGAGTGCTTAGTGATCTTTATAAAAGGACAGGACGTCATTGGGAAGATCTTTTTGCCCTAAGAAAATTATCTAATCTTTCTCTCCCCTGGCCACACCTTAGAGAATCCAATCATAGAATAAAGATAGCAGGGGACAGAGCAGCATCTGGAGACTCACATCATGAACTTTTGCTCAAAGAACAGGAACATACCAGGAAAACCAAGAGAATCCAATGACCCTTTAAAGGAACTGGATCCCTGCTGCAGGCTCCCTGAGATGCTGAAAAACTGTGAGTTGGCTTGCTTTCTCAGCAAGGAGGCTCATGGTCTGGGGCAAGTTCTCAGCCCTGGTCACCAGCTGCCTGGCAATAGATTCAGTGCTGTTGGGTGGGGCACTAGGGGAGTGAGACTGGCCTTTAGGGCTGTGGGCTACATGGGAACAGGGTGAGGCCTGTGACTGCCAGCTTTCCCCCACTTCCCTGGCGACCTGTATGACTCAGCAGAGGCAGCCATAGTACCCCTGGGAATATAACTCCATTGGACTGGGAACCACACCCCCAACCCCAGAGCAGCTGCAATAAGCCCTGCCCAAGGAGAGGCTGAGCTCAGACATGCCTATCCCTGCCCCCACCTGGTGGTCTTTATCTACCCACCCTGGTAGCTGAAGACAAAGGTCGTAATCTCTTGGGAGCTCTATGGCCCTGCCCACCACCTGAGAATCCTGAATACTTAACCAGGTGTCCCTAGGGCAAGTTTGCATCCTCCCTATAGGACTGCAGCTGATGCACTCTTGAAAGTGCCACCTTCTCGCTGGAGGCCAACCAACACAAAACCAGCACACTAAACAAAAACACAACCAAGGACCCTCACAGAATCCACTTCACTCCCTTGCCATCTCCACAGGAGCAGGTGCTGGTATCCACGGCTGCAAGACCTGAAGACAGATCACATTGCAGGACTCTTTGTAGACATTCTCTATTACCAACCCAGAACCTAGTAGCTCCACTGGGCAGCTAGACCCAGAAGAGCAAAAACATTTAGTACAGTTCAGCTTTCAAGAAGCCCTATTCCTATGGGAAGAGGGGGAATAACACATCATGGGAGCACCCCATGGGACAGAAGAATCTGAACAGCAGCCCAGATCTTCCCTCTGACATAGCCTACCCAAATGAGAAGGAATCAGAAAAACAGTTCTGGTAATATGACAAAACAACATTCCTTAACACTCCCAAAAGATTATACCAGCTTACCAGCAATGTATCCAAACCAAGAGAAAATCTCTGAATTGCCAAAAAAAGAATTCAGAAGATCAATTATTGAACTAATCAAGGAATCACCAGGGAAAGGTGAAGTCCAACTTAAAGAAATCAAAATCACGATACAGGATATGAAAGGAAAATTCTTCAGTGAAATAGATAGCATAAATAAAAAATAATCACAACTTCTGGAAATCAAGGACACACTTGAGAAATGTGAAATGCACTGAGAAGTCTCAGTAATAGAATCGAACAAGCAGAAGAAAGAAATTCTGAGTTCAAAGACAAGGCTTTTGAATTAACTCAATCCATCAAAGACACAGAAAAAAAGAATTTTTAAAAATTAACAAAGCCTGCACTAAGCTTGGGACTATGTTAAAAATCCAAACCCAAGAATAATAGGTGTCCCAAGGAAGAACAGAAATCTAAAAGTTTATAAAACATATTTGAGGGAATAATCAAGCAAAACTTCCCTGATCTTGCTGGAGAACTAGACACCCAAATAAAAGAAGCTAAAAGAACACCTGGAAAATTTATCAAAAAAAGATCTTCACCTATGCACATAGTCATCAGGTTATCAAAAGTCAAGATGAAAGAAAGAATCTTAAGAGCTGTGAGGCAAAGCATCAGGTAACCTATAAAAATACCCCTGTCAGATTAACAGCAGATTTTTCAGCAGAAACTCTACAAGCTAAAAGGGATTGGGATCCTATTTTAGCCACCTTAAACAATACAATTATCAGCCAAGAATTTTCATCTAGTGAAACTGAGTTTCATCAATGAAAAAACGATATAGTTTTTTCCAGACCAAAAAATACTGAGAATTTGCCACTACCAAACAAGCATTACAGGAACTGCTAGAAGGCACTCTAAATCTTGAAACAAATCCTCAAAATAAACTAAAATATAGTCTCCTTAAAGCATAAATCTCACAGGATCTATACAAAAATAACACAATGAAAAGAAAAACAAGGTATTCAGGCAACAAGTAGCAAAATAAATATAATAGTAGCTCACATCTCAATATCAACATTAAATGTAAATGGCCTAACTGTTCCACTTAAAAGATACAGAATGGCAGAATGGATAAGAACTCACCAACCAAGTTTCTGCTGTCTTCAGGAGACTCACCTAACACATAAGGTTAAGGTAAGGTAAGTTACCTAAACTTAAGGTAAAGAGGTGGAAAAAGTTATTTTCATGTAAATGGACACAAAAAGTGAGTAGCTATTCTTACATCAGCTAAAACAAACTTTAAAGCCACAACAGTTTAAAAAGACAGAAAATCATTATATAATAATAAAAGGACACATTCAAAAGAAAAACATTACAATTCTAAATATATATACACCTAACACTGGAGCTCCCAAATTTATAAACTAATTACTACTAGACCTAAGAAATGAGATAAATGGCCACAAATCCATTTGCTAATGGACTTAACATTTGTTAACAATAAATCACTTAACAAATGTTAAGTCCATTTGTGGGGGGACTTTAATACTCCACTGACAGCACTAGACAGGTCACCAAGACAGAAAGTCAACAAAGAAACAATGGACTTAAACAATACCCCACAACAAATGGACTTAACATTTCTTAAGTTCATTAACAAATGGACTCAGATATTTATAGAACATTCTACCCAACAACTTGTAGAATATACATTCTATTCATCAGCACATGAAACATTCTCCAGGATAGACCATATGTTAGGTCACAAAAAAAGTCTCAGTAAATTTAAGAAAATCAAAATATCAAGTACTTCCTCAGACCACAGTGGAATAAAATTGGAAATTAACTCCAAAAGGAGTCCTCAAAACCAAGAAAATACATGAAAATTAAAACTGCTCATGAATGATCATTGAGTCAACAACGAAATCAAGATGGAAATTTAAAAATTCTTTGAACTGAACAATAATAGTGACACAACCTATCAATACCTCTGGGATACAGCAAAAATCGTGCTGAAATGAAAGTGCATAGCACTAAATGCCTACATCAAAAAGTCTGAAAAAGCACAAATTGACAATCTAAGGTCACAGCTCATGGAACTGAACAAACAAGAACAATCCAAACCCAAACCCAGAAGAAGAAAAGAAGTAACAAAGATCAGAGCAGAATGACATGAAATTGAAACAAATTTAAAAAAATACAAAAGATAAATGGAACAAAAAACTGTTATTTTTTGAAAAGATAAATAAAATTGGTAGACCATTAATGAAATTAGCCAAGAAGAGAGAAGATCCAAATAAGTTCAATTACAAATGAAACAGGAGATATTACAACTGATACCACAGAAATACCAAAGAGTATTCAATGCTACTATGAATATCTTTATGCGCATAAACTAGAAAACCAAGAGGAGATGGATAAATTCCTGGAAATATACAACCCTCATAGATTTAACCAGGAAGCTATAGAATCTCTGAACAGACTAATAAGAAGCAGTGAGATTGAAATGGTAATAAAAAACATGCCAACAAAAAAAAAGAGTCCAGGACCACAGATTCAGAACTGAATTATATCAGAGATTCAAAGAATAATTGGTACCTATCCTATTGACACCATTCCAAAAAATAAAGAAAAAGGGAATCCTCCCTAAATCATTTTATGAAGCCAGTATCACCCTAATACCAAAATCAGAGAAAGACATAACAACAGCAACAACAACAACAAAAACTACAGACCAATATCCCTGATGAATAGAGATGCAAAAATCCTCAACATCATACTAGTGAACAAAATTCAACAGCATATCAAAAGGATAATCCACCATAATCAAGTGGGTTTCACACCAGGGATTCAGGGATGGTTTAACATACATAAGCCAATAAAGGTGAAACACCACATAAACAGAGTTAAGAATAATAATTATATGATCATCTCAATAGATGCAGAGAAAGCATTTGACAAAATCCAGCACCCCTTTATGATTAAAACCCTCAGCAAAATCGGCATAGAAGGGACATAACTTAAGGTAATAAAATCCATCTATAACAAATCCACTGCCAACATTATACTGAATGGGCAAAAGTTGAAAGCATTCCCCCTGAGAACTGGAACAAAATAAGGATGCCCACTCTTACCACTTCTATTTAACAAAATACCTGAAGACCTAGCCAGAGCAATCAGACAAGAGAAGGAAATAAAGGACATCCAAATTGGTAAAGAGGAAGTCAAACTATCACTGTTTGATGCTGATGTGATTGTATACCTAGAAAACCCTAGAGACTCCTTCAAAAAGCTCCTATAACTGGTAAATGAATTTAGCAAAGTTTCAGGATACAACATTAATGTACACAAATCATTAGCTCTGATATATACCAACAGTGACCAAACTGAGAATCAAATCAAGAACCCAGCCCCTTTCACAATAGCTGCAAAAATAAATAAATAAATAAAATACTTAGGAATATACCTAACCAAGGATGCGAAAGATCTCTACAAGGAAAACTACAAAACACTGATAAAAGAAATCAGAGTACAAAAACAATGGAATCATATCCCATGCTCATAGATGGGTAGATTCAATATTCTGAAAATGACCATACTGCCAAAACCAATCTTCAAATTCAATGCAATTCTCATCGAAATATCATCATCATTCTGCACAGAACTAGAAAAAAAAAAATCCTAAAATTCATATGGAACCAAAAGAGAACCTGCATAGCCAAAGCAAGACTAAGAGAAAAGAACAAATCTGGAGGCATCACATGATCTGATTTCAAATTATACTCTAAGGCCATAGTCACGCCAAAATAGCATGGTACTGGCATAAAAATAGGCATGTAGACCAATGGAACAGAATAGAGAACCCAGAAATAGAGCCAAATATGTACAGCCAACTGATCTTCGACAAGGCAAACAAAAACATAAAGTGGGGAAGGGACAGCCTATACAACCCATGGTGCTGGGGTAATTAGCAAGCCACCTGTAGAAGAATGAAACTGGATCCTTATCTCTCACCTTACACAAAAATCAACTCAAGATGGATCAAAAACTTAAATCTAAGACTCAAAACCATAAAGATTCTGAAAAATAACATCAGGAAAACCTCTAGACTTTGGCTAAGGCAAAAAGTTCATGACCACACACCCAAAAGCAAATGCAACAAAAACCAAGATAAATAGATTAAACTAAGAAGCTTCTGCACAGCCAAAGAAATAATCAGCAGAGTTAACAGACAACCCACAGAGTGGGAGAGAATCTTCACAATCTATACATCCAACAAAGAACTAATATCCAGAAACTACAAAGAACTCAAATCAGTAAGAAAAAATAAAACAATCTCATCCAAAACTGGGCTAAGGACACAAACAGACAATTCTCAAAAGAAGATATACAAATGGCCAACAAGCATATGGAAAAATTCTCAACCTCACTAATCATCAGAGAAATGCAAATAAAAACCACAATGTGATACTACCTTACTCCTGCAAGACTGACCATTATCAAAAACTCAAAAGATAATATATTTTGGCATAGATGTGGTGAAAAGGGAACACTTTGACACTGCTGGTGGGAATGTAAACTAGTACTACTGCTGTGGAAAACCGTGTGGATATTTCTTAAATAACTAAAAATAGATTTACCGTTTGATCCAGCAACCCCACTACTAGGTATCCCAGAAGAAATAAAAGTCATTATTCAAAAGAGATACTTGCCTTGCATGTCTATGGCAGCACGATTTGCAAATGCAAAATATGGAAGCAGCCCAAATGCCCATCAATCAATGAGTGGATAAAGAAAATGTGGTATGTATTTACCGTGGAATACTACTCAGCCATAAAAAGGAATGAAATAATGGCATTCACAGCAACCTGGATGGAATTGGAAACTTATTCTAAGTGAAGTAACTCAAGAATAGAAAACCAAATACTGTATGTTTTCACTCATATGTGGGAGCTAAGTTATGAGGACTCGAAGGCATAAGAATAATACATTGAACTTTGGGGACTTCTGGTAAAGGCTGGTGGGTGGCAAGGGATGAAAGACTACACATTCGGTACAGTGTATACTTCTCAGTGATGGATGCAACAAAATCTCATAAATTACCACTAAAGAACTTCTTCATATAACCAAACATGTAAACAAACACCACCTGTTCCCCAAAACCTATTGACATAAAAAAATTTAAAAAATTAAAAAGAAATATTTACTAGTAAAGATTTACCAAAACAGAAAAAAATGCAGGGGAGGACTGGAAGAGGAAAAATCAGAAAAGAGCTACTGCTCTCCTTCTCACTGCAGGCTTCCAAGCAAGAATAGAGCCCAAGCTGTGAAAGGGTAGTGGATCCTTTGAAAGAAATGAGAGAGTAAAGCTGGGTCTGTCTCAATTCTTAACATCTGCAAGCTAAGACTATTAACTACAAGAACAACTAGGGAAAGACCCAATATACTACTTGTAAGAATGTCATTCTACCAGCCTAGGAAACATAGCAAGACACTGTTTCTACAAAATGAAAAAATTAGCTGGGCGTGGTGGCACTTGCCTGTGGTACCAGCTACTTTGGAGGCTGAGGGAGAAGGATTGCTTGAGCCCAGGAGGTCCAGGTTGCAGTGAGCTGTGATCGTGCCACTGCACTCTAGCCTAGGCAAGAGCGTCAGATCCAGTCTCAAAAAAAAATGCATTTTAATCTTACAATTTGGAGAATATTATGTGGCTCTGCCTCTATTATTGAATTGCCTGCAAGCAATAACAGTTTGTCTTCCCCTTTTCCATTCCTTATGTGTTTTCACTTCTTTTTATTGTCTTACTCTACAAGGCAAAATCCTCTACAACAATTATTGGTAGGTGTGATGTCAATTAGCATTCTTATAGGTTTCCTGGAATCTAGGAATAATATTTCAATAACTTTCCCAGAAAGGATGGTGTTTTTTGAAGGTATTGTGTAAATACTTTTAATCAAACTGAGGAAATTCTTTTATTATGCTTTATTGAATACTTTTTATCAAAAATTTATGTTAAATTGTATCAAACATCTTTTACTATCATGTAGATAACCACGTAGAATAGTATAGCATAATAAACCATCTGTTATGTGTATGCAACCTGAAAACAGGCAGTGTGTGCATGTGTGTGTGTGTATATATATATATATATATAGATAGATAGATTAATTGTATTCATCTATTTTATATTAATTTATAGCTTAGTTGCATTTTGGGCAAATATATATATATATACACACACATTCTATATATACTACTATATATACTATATATATACTATATATGCTATACATATACTATACATATATGTATAGGTATATATATATACACACATGCACACATATATGTATAAAATCTCCACCTTCTTATATAAATATATATGTACATTCACCAATTATATGTATTATATAGAATATATAGCAATATATATTCTATGTATAATATAGAGTATAATTGTATATAAGATAATATATAGTCTCTATGTAATATATAATTGTAGAATATTATTGTTTATAATTATTGGGCAGTCATTTTTAAATTTATTTTAATTTTCTTGTTGAGTTTTGGAAGAAAAGTTATAAAATTTATAAAGTGATTTCAGATGTGTTTTTAATTTAACTCTACATTTTTTCTTAAATGTTCACTGGAACCTTCCAGTGAAGTCATTATAGGGCTGCAGTTTTCTTTAAGAGAAGATTTTTACCATTTTTTTCCTATGTTCATTATGCTGATAGGATAATTCAGGTGTTTTGGTTTTGTTTTGCTTTAGTCTGCTTTTCTACCTTATTTATTTTAGGAATATATTAACCTAGTTTATGTTTCATACATACAGTTTTTATTCATAGAAAATTTTGCTCTAAAAAATGCATTGATTATATCCCACCACATTTTAGACTTAGTGTATTTTCTAAAGAATGTTAGGATTTCCTTTTTTAGCTAATTTACTCATTAATTTAGAAATACATTATTTAACTTACAAAAATATAAGATTTTCTATTCATCTATTTTATATTGATTTCTAGCTTAGTTGCATTTTGGGCAAATAATATGCCCAAAATAATTTATTTGAAATTTGTTGAGATTTGGTTTATAAAAAATTTATTATGATTTTTATAACTTTTATGGGCTCTTGGCAGTAATGTATACCCTGCAGTTTCTTAGTTTCAGTTTATAAATTATGTTTAAATCTTATATATCCTAATAAATTACATAATGATGTACATTATATGTTCACTTATTCTATCAGTTGTTGAGTGAGGGATGTTAACTATACTAATTTGTGTTTTCCTATTTTTTCTGTCGTTCTGCCAATTTTTGTTTTGTTGTTATACGTATACAAATTTTAAAAAGTTATATATTCCTGGTAATTAAACATTTTAGCATCATGAAGCTACTCTTTATCTCTGGTGATTCATTTGCTCTAAAGTTTACTTTTGTCAACTTTTCTTTGATTATCACTTCTATGTTAGATTTTTGTGACACTTTTACACGAGAACTTTTTTACTTAGAGTTTACATTTGTTTATATTAAACAAAATGTAGTTCCTTGTTCACCCGTTCAATAATCTTTGACTTTGACAGGAATTTTAAATCCATATTTATTCAAAATAATCACTGTTACATCTGGAAGTAGGATTCTATCATCTTTTATGCCTTCTATTTATGCTGCCTGTTTCATATATTTTCTTCTTTCTTGACTTAATTTGAATTGATAAATTATTTTTCCACTTTATTCACATACTAGTTGGAAATTCATATACCCCGTTAGTTTCATGCATCTTTTTGTTTTGAATTATTGAAGTTTCACTACTATATATGTGATTATCTTTCATAGGTCATGCATGAGATTTTCTGCACTTCTTGAATGTGTAAATTGGTATCTGAAAATTCTCAGCCAGTATCTCTTTATATATTGCTTCTTTCTCATTCTTTTGCTCTCTGCAGGGAAGACTAATTAAACAAATATTGAAATGTCTCACTTTCTACACAGTTTCTTTGATCTGACATATGAAATTTGTATCTTTTTTTCAGTGATTCATTTTAGATAATATTTTGTGTTCTATATCCCAGCCTAATAATTACATTTCCCCATTTATTTTTTATTTACAAATATAATAATGATAAAATATGCATAAGTATACAGATAAATGTTTGTAAACTAAACACAAACATCACAATCATTCAGATCATGAGAAATATTAGCAGAAATCTGTTCATGCCCTCATCTAGTCACAATGTCCTCCTCAAGTATAACCACTAGCAAGGCTTCTACTAGCATATTTTAGATTTTTTTATTTGTATAAATATAATTATACAGTTGTTTTCTATTGTATCTGACTTATTTCATTCATAACTCATATGAGATTCATCTATATTGCCAGGTGAAGTTGTTGATCATTTATTCTCACTTGTTGAGTATTCCATAATGAGAATATTACTTATGCGCTCTACTATTGCTGAACATTTTAGTAGGTTCAAGTGTTTTTCTATTATTAATAATGCTGCTGTTAACTTTCTAGTACACATCTTGTGAAGCACACACATACACACAGTAGCGAATTCTTAAAATTTTATGTTGCCTCAGCATCCATTTTAAATATGACTTGGACTGTCTCTTACCAGAAGTAGGGTATGGTCACCTTTGACACAGTTTCTATTTTTCTGCCTCCTCTCAGTTTCTCAATGTGGTCAATCCACATTTTTCCTGTGCATCTGCTTCCTGGTGACCACTTCCTTATCTGGAACAGCTAGATACAACTCACTGGACTTGTCCCATTGATATTCACTCCCTGCATGGACTGCAAATATACCATAGTGACCACCTCTCAGTCACAGCCTGCCTCCATGGAGCACATGTCTCTTTGCTCTAAACCTACCAATTAAAACTCCCTGCAAGAAACCTGTCTGCATAATGCCCTGGACCCCAGTAAGGGCTTTGGCTGACAGGACCCCCTCTCTCTCTTGGTCCCTACTCACTGATTGATCATATGTGTCCAAGATGGCCTCCCACTTCCCATTAACCCCGCAAAGTGTGCTCCTGTTTTCTCTCTCAGACCTGTATGTCATAAACTGCTTCTGTCATTTTATGTGTTTTATTGAGTTGCCTCCTATGTAACTTATCTGACCCACACAATAAACCTAACTTCTTTCCTAGTCGACGTTGTCTTAGAGAGTGGCTATCTTGGTAAGAATAAACTAGACACAGATCAAATAAGAGCCAAAAGGTCATCCACCAGTATAAACAAGTTTCCTGTGAGAGGTAACCCTGGACATAAGATGAACACTTAGGCATTAGATTATCTGCCAGGATAAAGAAGAACATCCCATGAAAGAACATTGTAAGCAACCATGACCAAATCCCTGGAACCCCATCAGGCCAGAGTTAGAGATTACAACCACTCTTGTGAGGGAAATCTCAAGATCCAGTTAGAGAAACACACACACACACACACACACACACTGTCTCTCTCTCACACACACACACTGTCTCTCTCTCACACACACACACACACATTTCTGTTGAATATATACTTAGTACTAGAATTGCTAGATCATAGATTATTGGTAAATTCTGACCAGAAGTTTTCCTGCAGTGCAAGAGTTGAGGCTTCGAAGTCTCTACTTAGATTTCAGAGAATGTATGGAAAAGCCTGGATGTCTGGGCAGAAGCCAGCTGCAGGGGTAGAGTCCTCATGGAGAACCTCTACTAGGGCACTGCAGAGGGGATATGTGGAGTTGGAGCTCCCACACAGAGTTCCCATGGAGGAACTTCCTAGTGGAGCTGTGAGAAGGGGGCCACGGTCCTCCAGACCCCAGAATGGTAGATCCACCAGCAGCTTTCACCGTACACCTGAAAGAGCCATAGGTACTCAATCCCAGCCCATGAAAGCAGCTGCGGCACTGTATTCTGCAAAGACTTGGGGCTGAGCTGCCCAAGGCCTTTGGAGCCCACCCCTTGCATCAGTGTGTCCTGGATGGAGACATGGAGTCAAATGAGATTACTTTGGAGCTTTAAGATTTAACGACTGCCCTGCTGGTTTTGGGACTTGCATGGGCCTGTAGCCTTTTCCTTTTGGCAGATTTCTTCCTCTTGGAAGGGGAGTTTTTACCCCATTTGCCTATACCTCCATTGGTTTTGGAAGTAACTAACTTATTTTTAATTTTACAGGCTTATATAAAGAAGGTCTTGTCTCAGATGAGACTTTGGACTTTGGACTTTTGAGTTAATGCTGGAATGAGTAAGACTTCAGGGGACTGTTGGGAAGGCATGAATAGATTTTGCAATGTGAGAAGGACATGAGGTTTGGGAGGGGCTGGGGTGCAATGATATGGTTTGGATCTGTGTCCCCACCAAAATCTTATGTCAAATTGTAATCCCCAGTGTTGGAGGTGGGGCCTAGTGGGAGCTGATTGGATCATGACGGGTAGATCTTTCAAGAATGGTTTAGAACCACCACTTTGGTGCTCTTCTAGTGATAGTGAGTGAGTAAGTTATCATCATATCTTGTTGCAGCACCCTGCCACACTTCCTCCTGCTCCAGCAATGTAAAACGTGCCTGCTTCCCCTTCACCTTCCACGTGACTGCAAGTTACCTGATGCCTCTTTCGCCAGCTTTCTGTACAGCCTGCAGAACCATGAGGAATCACACCCCTTTTCTTTACAAATTACCCAGTCTCAGACATTTCTTTATAGCAATGCAAGAATGGACTAATACAGTATCTGTGTAAAATGGAGATGTTTCCTAAGAAAGAATAAACTCCTTTTGGTATAAGTTATGTGACTACAAGCATACTTGGATATCTTAATATTTAATCTGGGCCAGACATACCTTGATGTGGCAAGAAAGTAGCTGGAGAACTGTGTTGGTAGTCCTGGGGCTCTTCCTGCTTCTATTGTTACCCAAACTACTTTTATTCTTTAAATTATTAGTAAATCTTGATTTGTAGTAATATCTTTTATTTGTGTGAATTTGATTTGTCATTCTAATCCTTTATTGTATTTCAAGATTCTGGTAGAATCAAGATATTAGCAGTGGCAAGGTAAAGTAATAATTTGTACTAGACTGAAATAAGAATGCATTCTACAAAATGAAATTCTAGTAATTCTTGATTGCTTTTAGACAATGTTTATTTAACAACCATAGAAAGTTCAGATAATATATCTTCCAAAAAAAAAGGGTTCACTCTTTATTTTGTTAGGCATAAAAGGGTAAGGTACTAATTGCATCAATCCATGTCATGGGTACATTGGTCAAAAATGAGCTATTATATGCTACTTGGTAGCATAAGCCAATTAATTCTTTTTTTCTGCTGTACCAAATTTACTGCCAGATATTTTCAATGAAGTTTTTTTGTTGTTAAATTTAAACTAAATTTATAGTTTCTAAATTTTTACTTTAAATCTTTTATGACCCTTTTCATAATTTTCTGGTTCTTACAAATATTATTCAACTTTTCTCTTTTTCTCTTTTAGCAAGGTAAGCATGAATAATTAGAATATATAAAATATAAGCAATTCTTTTTCTACTCTCTACTTTTATCTGCTTGTTATAACTCTTGGTGATTTGTTTAATTTTATGCCTTTTTATCTTTGACTCAATGTTACATATGGAGGTTTCTGTGGCCTAGAAAGTTATTTCCTCCTGAGAATATTCTTGTTTACTTCTGCCAGGTATTGAGGATACAACTGGTTTGGTACTAATTTCATTGCTTAAGTTAATCATGGTATCGGCCACAATTTCTGGGGGACAATTTTCTTTTCTTCAAAATTCTTTTGTTTTTCCTTCTTTGCTCAACACCATAGAAATATTTTCTTTAGTCACATCTTTGGGTTCAGGCTGTTCTGTAAGTTCTCCACTATTATTTTAGCTCTTTGATACTTTTGAGGTTATTTTAAAATATGTTATTCAGCTTTGCTTATCTATTTCAACGGAAGTTTTGGAAAGACTTGCCTAGTCACTGTATTAGAAATAGAAGCCTATAAAAATTTTAGGACAACATGTTATCTGAACATAAAAATTTTCTACTTTACAAGAAAATATTTTTTAAAAATACAGAACAATACCAATGAAAATTTGGAATTGTTTCATTCTTTTCAGGCCAACCACAAATTTCAGATAAACTTGACTGAAATCTTAATTTTAACCTCATCAACTTTTATTTTTCTACTTTTTTTCTGTTTTTGTTTTATCAGAGCAGATTCACTCCTATTACTAACTTATGTATTTTAAATTTTATTTATTGCCTCTTCTTTCATGCAACAAGAGGACTTTTCTTTTTTAGTCATTTTATTTTTCCCATACCTAAAATAGTGATTGATATATATACAGTAGATGCTCAAGTATCATACAGTGAAGACCAGGATAAATATTTATAAATATTTTGACAAGATTATCAATCAAGTAAGAAATCATATCCCCATAAATAAATAAAGATTGTATTGGTTCATTAGAGTTGATACAAATAATATAGATAATAAAACTTTTTATTAAGAACATTTATGATTAAATGAGATGACTGAATTAACATTAACATGTTAACAAGAATAATACCCTTAAAATATGAATTATAGCACATAGTAATAAAATAACAGTAGTATCATAAAACTTAAAATTTTTACCATTATTCTTGAGATGTGTATGTGTGCTTGAGGACCGCTAGAAAAATTATACCAATTACTGTGAAAAAGAAAACCTATCCTGAAATAAATATGGGAATAATTTCATGAGGGTTAGGTTAAAACAAAATTATGAAATTGTAAAGTATCATCATACCATAAATTTATTGTTAAAATTAACCACACTTACCTCATAGAAGGTATAAATACATGGTTTTTTCTTCTTGGTTTTATCCAAAGTCTCCATTAAAGCAAATAATAGGAATTTATTGAGCAATTACAATAAATTACAAGCAATTATAGCAACAAGCCCTGTGTTAGGATCTAGGAATAGAATGGTGCCTACCCATATGATGACTACATGTCAATTGTTTGGTGACATATAAACCAAAAACAACACAATACGCAGCTCTAAGTAAGTTAGCTGTGTTTCCACATATATTACACATCACATATATTACATAATATGTTTTCAGATATATTACAAGGCTATATGGAGAAAAACAGAAATACATTCGGTGATGATTTTCTAAATCAACTTCATCTTCCAATATGAAAAAATTAGAAAATCCTCCAAAGTCTATCACCAAAAACTTTTTTCAACAAGGAGTACACCATAGTTTAATTTATAAGAAACTTCTTGGCAAACCATTCTAGAGGTTAATAAATCTTTATAATCCTAGTTTTAGTAATTAGTATCACACTCTAATAATATCACATCAAGGGAAATGATTTTTTTATATTGACATATTCATAATTGTACCTGACGCTGCCTTTTGTATCATTTCTCTTTTTCATCAACTTTACTTGACAGCTCTTTTATTTATGGCTTTTGATGACCACATTAGGTTTGTATTTTAACACAAAGGTCTTTGGAAAGCCTATGAGGATTGCTATGGTACAAATAATTCAAAAGATGATCGACAATTTTTATTCACACTTCATTTAATATTTAAAACCAAACAATTCTATCATATAACCTTTGTTTATCTAATTATATTTTAGTTCAAAAAAAGTAGTTAATGTTTATAATATGTATATCCAAATATTGATTGTCATCACAGTCGTACACAATGCCATTTCTATATGGTAACATATATTCTTAAACCATAAATAAATGTATATATCAATATTAAAAATCCTAAGTGTAGTAAATTTACTCCTAAAAATAGCCTCTAACATTTAAGAAAGCTTGGTAATCTATGTGGGCAAAATTTCATTAAGCAGTTGACACTTTCAAGTATTAATATTACCATGTTAGCAATTCCTAGGAAGGAAGAAAAATACTTGCTTTCTGAACCAATTGTCAGTAGTCTTTTAATACAGAAATTTATTATCATATCTGGCATTCATTTGTAGATCATTGTTTAGAGGAAATCACCGTTAAGTGTAATAGACTTTGCAGCCATCCATAAAAATGAGACCAACTCTCACTAAGGGTTTTGAACACAATACCATCCAATGTCACTACAGTTCCCACTGTGGAAATTTGTGATATATGGTTCATGAGATCTCCCATAGTTGCTGTCTTCAGAGTACATTGATTTTTGACTGGTATAGTAAAGTTCTGATTTTGTAAAGCTGTTACTACAATTTTTTTGAGGGTCAGCACGTTGTCATTTGTTGAAGTTAAGTGAGTGTTTGAGGTTTACATTTTGATAATGTGGATATGACAAAAAGAAAGTAAATTGTCTAAAAAACCATTATAATGTCAGTTTAAGACATGATTTTTTGAAGAGCTATTCTTTTCCATTACGGGAAAGTTGATATATACAACCATTTCAGAATTGCACTTCTAAAGTTAAAAAAAATTAAAAACTTCAATTTTCAGAATTTAGGTTGTAAATTATCAGCCCAGAGTAATAGTTTCTTCTTTACTATGTTCAAAATCAATCGCAGCCTAACAAAAATATCTACACTGAGTATATTAACATTTCTCTAATTATTCAATGAATAAAGATATTTTCCCTTGATAACTCATAATTAGATATTTCAAAAATAAATTTTGTTTAGAAAAAAATCCAAAGTTAAAGAGACAAATGCAGATATTCCTTTGTGATGCTAGATTCAGATCATTTTGCAATAGCTTTTCATACAATTAATTTTTATATAGTACTTAAAAACTCAAGAAATTTCCATGAGATAAAGGAAATCAAATCTACAATGCAAAGAATCTTTTTATCTCTAAAGCCTCAAGCAAACAATATTAAAATACATAATTTAGTAATATATTATCCTCTTCTTTATCTGATTGCCTAAAGTGGATTTTCTTCTTTCCTGAAGTTGTAGGATGCTATAAATGAAATATCCTGAATGAGAAAAGAAATAGAACTAGAAGAATTATTTGGTTTAAATATTTGAATAACTAGTAATAAGAAATTCAACAACTTAAAACATCCTTCTTCTATAATTTAGGATATTTATCTACTCCTACAATGTGTGACATAGGTTTTTTTTCACCTTGAGATAACTGAGATTTATAATATTTACATAACTTTTATAAGGTTACTAGCTTAAAAGAAGTTGACTCAGTTTAACACTTTTTAGTCTTTCCTAGCCAATCCATTTGTCTTAGTCCATTTGAGCCATTGTAACAAAATACCATAGACCAGGTTGTTCATAAAAAACAGAAATGCATTTCTCACAATTCTCTTGGCTGAGAAGTTCAAGACCATGTCACCATGTCTAGTGTCTAGTGAGGGCCCACTTCCTGGTTCATAGAAAGCGTCTTCTCACTGCTTTTTCACATGAGGAAAGAGCAAGGCAACTCTCTGGGGCTTCTTTTATAAGAGCATTAATCTTATTCATGACCTAATTAACTCTCAAAGACCTTACCTTCTAAAACCATCACATTGGTAATTAGGTTTGGACATACAAATTTGGGGGAGGACAAAAACATCCAGACCATAGCACCATTTGATTATCTCTCTGCCCTGTTCTTCATCCGAGGTTACAACATTTTCTGGTGCTGGTAGACATTCTTATACAAATGGCACATTTCAATCTATGCTTTAGCATCTCATCTCTTCTGCAATAGTGGAATGAAGTGATGCAGGACTTTTTGCTCCTTAGCTCAGCTAATCTGGGTTCTTGTCTCATGACCAGGGAGAATTAGGCATGCAGACGTGGTGGTCCTGCAAATAGATTTCCACCTCACAAATTGAATACTTGGGCCACCATACACGAGCTGACGAGGCCAGGCTCATTCCCTCCATAAAGTGTGAATTCCTGGTGGCTCCACCCCATTCCCCCAGTGCACACGGGCCTCCATCCAGTCCGCTATCGACATGCCCAGGAAAGCCCCCTGTGCAGCTTCCCTTATCTGCACAAGACATCTGGTGTAAACATTTGTGAGGCAGGGTGGAGATTCTCTGGGACCTTTCCTATATGCCTAGGTTTTTGGCTGTCTCCTGCCTCTATCATTAGTGTCATTTGCTTCATCAAGAAACCTTCCCCTTCCATGAACTCTTTAGTCCCACATATAGACTTTGTTTATAGTAATTAAAGTTCATTTCCCCAGCCCAGTTTTAGAAGCTATAGTTCCAAATCCTAGATGTAGTGCCAAAAGATGCTTAGTCCACCATGCTAGCTAAAGCTGAATTATCTCTAAAACGATCACTGCTACCTCTATTCACAACATTTTTTTCTCGTATCAAATACAGTTTTCACCCTGCATGATTTCTTACTCAACCAGTATCTAGAGAAGCTAGGGATCTAAAAAAGAACCTTCAGATAAATGTCTGGAGATCAGTATTAGATTTCCATAAAAATGTCATTTGTTTATAGTCTCAATACATCCTTATAAAATAGCAATTGGAAGTTACAGGCTGTCAGAGCTTTGGCTCTAAGATTCCAGTTGGCCCACAAATAAATGACTGACTCAGAAATTTTCTGTGACAATGTCATAATTTAGATAACAATAAACCTTGTCTATTTACCTATATTGCTTAAATTAGAGTTACAAATGCTCAGAACCAAACTAGAATCCTGGTTTGGAAACCGCAATGCTGTAATGTTACTATAGAAGAGAGATTTTTATATTAGTTCTAGTTTCATTCAAAAAATGTCCAAGTATGCCTTGGAAAGATTACTCCAGAGTAAAATCACTTACAAGTCTAGTGTTCTGTAAAGTAGTATGCCCTTTTATAGCAGTGAAGTGAACATAAGAGCAAAGCTGTAGAGTGTTAGGATAGATTGTTTCCATATAGTAATCTAGTGATCTTTTAATCTTCTAGTCTGTTTTGAGGTTTTAATATAATAATTGGACAAGCATATCTAGGTTATTTTAGGTAGTCATTGCTGGAGAAATGTATAAAGATTTTAAGTGAATTTTTCTTAAATTGCTCAGATGTCTCAATAGTTCCAGAAATCATCTATCATTTTAAAAGTACCTGAGGTTGGAAGCCTAAAATGCTTGTAGTCACAGAGCCCAACTTTAAAACACTAATTATTCCTTGATAGCCTAAGGTCAGGGGCATGGGGTGAAAGCTATGTTTGTTATAGAAAAACACATTCCAGCTGGTCGTGGTGGTTCATGCCTATAGTCCCAGCCCTTTGGGAGGCTGAGGTGGGTGGATCACTTGAGCCCAGGAGTTTGAGACCAGCCTGGCAACACGACAAAACCCCGTCTCTACAAAGCATACAAAAATTAGCCAGGCATGGTGGCATGTGCCTGTGGTCCCAACTACTTAGGAGGCTGAGGTGGGAAGATCACTTGAGCCTGGAAAATCAAGGCTGCAGTGAGCTGTGATCACACCACTGCACCCCAGCCTGGGTGACGGGAGTGAGACCCTTTCTCAAGAAAGAAAATAAAATGTGATGGAATTCCGAACGTATTTGAGTGAGATTGAATGTAATAATCCTTCAATCGCTCAAGGAAATTTCTTGGCCAGAGATTAGTTGTCATAGAGAGCAGATACCCAAAGATATTTTTTCAAATAAGAGACAACCAAATTCCTGGTAGACTATATTCACCATCTTAAATAACTTTCATTGATTTGCTAGGATCTGGTAATAAGATATACGACATTTTTTATTGTGGCTTGAATAAGTCAGAAAATTGAACTTTTCTTCCTCGCTGAGTTGGCCTGATGGTTAACGACCCCACTGGAAAACATAATGAAGTGTTTTGTTTTAGTACAATCCAAGCTTCCCAGAAGCATACCTGTATTGCACCTGCCAACTTGCAGTCAGATTAATTAGCTTGCAGTGTGAATATGTTTCTCAGTCAGTTTAGCAATTCTGATAAGGAGGTGACAGGTACTTTCATGGCTCTATTTTCATACTGAGGTTTATTAAATCTAAAATGCTGAAGAGAGTGAAGGTTGATAGTGATGTTGATAAGTTCCTCTTATAACCTTTGAATAATTTTCGAACCAGAGTTTATGTGCGGACTTTGAAATACTAAAATAATAGAATGTCACAGTTTGGTAGAAAGTGAGGTTTTGGAAGAAGAGCCAAATATTATCATGGAATTAACTATTGATTCCCATTATAGACTGAAGATGATACTTAACCACATTGGTCAGCTACTACCAAATTGAAGTACAAAAAAAAATAAGCTGTTTAAAACCACTTGATGACCTTGTATTCCCCCTTATATTACATCCCTTGGCTATGAGAGCAGGCTCAGTTATCAGTCTGTGCTTCCTGCCAAGTTTGAAAGAAAGAAAAATGTGTATATTCTTCTTCACTGTATAAAGCCTCAAGCCTCACTTTCATGTGTGTGTATATATATATATACATGCATCACCCTCAGCTATACAAAAGATGAGAACTCAGTATTTCTGGTATTTGTTGGCATAAAAAGCATAGGATCCTTAAGGAATTTATTTAAAAACAAATTACGGATGGCATTAGAAACGGTGATGCAAACTGGGTGTCAGTCTGTGGCAGTCCTAAGTACAGGTCTTGGAATACCACTCAAACTCTTGCCAATAATGTGCTAAGTGTTGAACACTGGAGGGAGCCATTGTGTTGGGAGATGTGGAGGCCAATAAATAGTGTGACATGTTCAGCCATTGCTTGTTCCTGAGAGTTTGTACATGGAAGACCTGTAACAAGGTAGGAAGCACAGGTTTGTTTTTTTTTTGCTTTTTGTTTTGTTTTGTTTTTTCATTTGGGAGG
Organism: Homo sapiens; assembly: GCF_000001405.40. Taxonomy (NCBI): domain Eukaryota; kingdom Metazoa; phylum Chordata; class Mammalia; order Primates; family Hominidae; genus Homo; species Homo sapiens. The sequence continues at coordinate 102,191,768 of NC_000001.11, read as the reverse complement.
GTCAAATCTCTAATGGGAAACAGCTCAGCTAGCTGTTTCCAGGCTTATAAGCCCATGTACAGGATATGCCACTTTGTCCCTATAGTTGCACAGAGAGGAACGTAAAATTATAAGATGGTAGAAACTTGTCACAAATATTTACCTATTCAGTGAAAGCATTTTGGATATGTATTATTTTTAGGTGGTCTTCTAGATTTCAGGGTGTATAGGTGTATAGGCCCCTCTCTCACATATTCCATGAATTCATTTTATACAGTTTATTAGATAGTGAAGTTTTGAAAAGGAGGGGACAATAACTTAAAGGCAGAAATGAGAGGAGCTAAAAGAAAACCAAAACCTTCTATATGCTGTATCCCAGAAATGATAGGTGCTAGCAGATTAAAATCAGGCATGATTAATTTTAGGGGTTAAGCAGGTAATGAATGGGTCAGTACTAGATCGTCATGAACACATGATGGTTTCATTCATGCTTTGGGTGACAAAGTCATGGGAAGATGGTAAAGGTTGATGGCAGGTGATTGTGTGACAAGAGAAAATGTCAGTAAGTCAAAATCTTAGAAGGGAGCAGAGTATCCCTAAAAGGGGCACTCTTTCAAATGTTTATAAAGAGAAACCTGGGATAATTCTTTAGTGTGACTTACCAGTTCTACATAATAGCACCTGTCTCTACTTTCTCTTACCTTTTTGTTGATTCATTTCACATAACAACAACAGAACAAAAACAACCAAAAAAAGTTTTCTTGCAGTCTTAAAGGCTTTAATGTGTATGTGACATTATATAAATACATAATTAAAATACTTTAATAATTTACTCATTCATGTATTCAAAAAGACTGACTAAGCATCTAATAGATATGAGATGTGCTAGGTGATTCAGGTGAAATTATGAATAAAATACCCCATAAGTAATCCTTGAAAGCTCCTTTTCATTCATACTTTTAAAGTATACTTCCTAAATATCCCTCAAGGCCTCCACTTGCTTTTATTTCCTAGATATCTCTAAAGATTTCCTTCACTCCAAACACAATAGAATGAAAGCAAATTTAGAAGGAGCAAAAGCAAACATGTCAATACCACGTTCAAGTAAATAAAAGGGAAATGAACCTTGAGAGTAGTAGGTAGCCATGGGCCAAGGTAAATAGCCATTTATTATTCTTAAGGCATCTAGAACTTTCTAAATATGACCTCAGACACTAGCTTGCCAAACTGCATAAACAGTAGACATAATCATGATGAAGAGGGTTGAATGGAAAAATGCTAAACCATTTTGATAGACATCCTCAATAGCCACACAGAAAGAAACATAAGTGTTTCTGAGAAACTGAGTTACATGTGATGAATGATATTTGTAAAAATCTAAATTTTAGGTGCTTTAAAGTATTAGAGTTAGTTAGCTTTTGTTATTGATGTTCCACTTACTGAATTACTAGTGAGAATACAAATAACATCTGTTGCTTGAAAGCATTTTTATTAGAAAAACACAAGTACCCTAAGATCTTCAATTTCAAATAATTGTTCACAACTAATTTTGTTTCTATGTTATATCTAGGAATTTAATTCCTAATTGAGTTCCCTATTAGATTGAAGGAATATCTTTCTAAAAATATTTCTGTTTTGTTTCTTTAAGGATTTTTTTCACTTTTCATTCATGACTGGATATCCTTTCAGATATAGTTCTAAGGCAGTATATCCATGGGATAAATCCTTTAAATTCCATGAGAAAATATACAATGAAAAGTAAGCCCTGATTTATTCTATATTCATAATTCTCAATCTTGATCCCCAGAGAAAACAGTAGTCATCAGGTTCTTAGATAGCTACTCTTTTATCTTTTCCTCAACAATATATTTAGAAAATTATTTAACATCAGCCTTTAATAAGTCACTTAAATTTACATAAAATGTTGTATGTTTCGCCATTGAAAATGGGTACTAATGAAGACTATGAGAGGCCAAAAATATTTAAAAGTCAGTGTTACTAAGTAATAACATGGTCTTGTTAATAAATTGCCTCACTATTTTACTGCTTATTTGATGTTCTGTTTATCAATTAAGTGGACTGAACACATAATTTCTAATAACATTTTTATAAGTTTATGGGTCTACATAAATTATTACTTTAATACTTATAGCACTACATTGACTGATTCCAAGAAGAAGCAATGTGAGTTGGCAAAGATCTGAATTTGGATCAGTGAATAAATGGTGAATAGGTGCCAGAAAAGTAGAAACAGAGATGATAGGGTTGCTTGAACTCAAAGACTGAGATAACTTGTGTTTAGTAAAGCCATTGAAGAGCGGTTCCCTTTGGTAAAGTGCTTAGTGCAGTCTATTTTTATGGCCCAAGAGAAGATACTTCTAACCACTGCACTTAATAGACTGTTTCCCAATCCATCTGATTTAATCATTTGGATATTGCTTCTTTGATAGTCAGCCTAACATTTTCTTCACTTAATTTTATCTGATTTCCTCTGCTTCTACTCTTTCATCACATTATTCTGGAGGAATAAGACTGACAGGCTTTAATGGATGTGTCTTAATGTATACCCTTAATTTGGGGTATTAAAATAATTATGAAATTAAAAATATAGAATAATTCCTTATCTGTCTCATTAAGTGCCTTAAATATTCTTATTATGATTTCACATTGGTCCCATGAGTAATGATATAAGAAAGAATTCATTACATTATAGAAAAAATTCCTACACATTTATTAGATTTATACCTATAGGTCAAAGTCCATTACAATGTTATCCCTGATTAATATTGTTTTACTTCCCTGAGTTGCAATTATGCTTTGCATAATGGGTGATCAGAATTCAGTGCAATGAAAGAGTCATGGAGGTCATATTTGAACAAGTGGAATGTGGTGAGTAATAGCTCTGAGGTCTAGAGTGATATTTAATATAAGCCCCATTATTTTTCTAATGTATGTATCCTTTTTTATCTAGAAATTAGAACATTATTAATGTTCAATGACATTATGTCCCTTTTATCAAATGAAAGTCTGAGACCTTTGTATGGCACACTGAAAGAGTAAAGGCACTAGGTTTCAATACTGTTACATAAACTTGTACGTGATGAAAAGCTAAATTTTAATTTGAGGAAAAGAAGTAGATCATAACATTCATATATCTTTGAAATCTTACCTTGATAACCTATTTCACTGATCAGCAAGGCACATTTTTGCAAAAAAAAAAAACCCACACAAAACAAAGTACACAAGTATAACTTGTATATATAGTCTATATACAGAAAAGAATCTGGAAGAACATATACTCGCAGTTCTTATTTGTAAGTTGGTTAGCTGGCCCTACTTCAGGGACATTTCTCCCCTGCAAGAAGGCAGATGAGAGTAGTTGGGGGCAGCTGGGAACCCCAACTCCCCAAACCACAATTCTTTTTTTTTTGAAAGTTACTACACCCCTATAAATTGTATTGGATTCCCAAGATAGAAGCAATTAAAAGGACATCTGATTTAATCATTTATTGCACAAAGAATAATTTATATATAGACTTTGTCAGGATATAATGCTAACAAAAGTAAATCTACCCTATGAGATATAATATGAAGGTAGGATTTCTAGAAAACATTCCAAAAGAATCTCCCTATAGAAACAGAAAAAAATAAGCCCTGCTTTCCCAAGCTTCTTCTATTTGGAGTTACTCTTTTTGTCCAAATGCAGTTTTAACTGTACCGTGTACTCAGCCAGTCCAGAAATAGAGAATAAATCAGCAATTTCATATTTAATGACTGATTGTGCAGGGAATTTATTGTACCTTTCTTTCCTATCTTGCAATCTCTTCTAACTTTTCCTTATCTAGCAATTTACTTCCTATGGACTGCAACTCAGAGGCATTAAGCTCAGTTCCCTTAGCAGCAACACCAATGCCATGACAGGTACTTTCTAATCTTCTACACTGGGGTGTTAATTCTCGCCCCCTATACCTCCAGTCACAGACATCCCTCTATTAAATGAAAAGATTGTCTGAAATTATTGATTTTTTTAACCCAAATGTTATCTGTTTTTTTTGAGTATCATTTTCTGCAGGCATTACCTATCACATTGAACAACTTTAGGTTTCTGTGATTAGCCAAAAGTTACCTGAACTTGCTATGCCTATTTGAATATTTTTCCACTGGAATTCTCTGCTGTCCCTCGTGTACCCACAGCTAATTAATATTTTTCCACCCTCTGCTACCTAGAATGACCAGTATGTCTTATGTAGGCACATCATCAGAATAACATTGGTAGTAAACTGATATTCAGATGGAGATTGGTGCTCATTTTCCCTTACCAATTACTTTGCATGTCAAGGGCTCGGGGTTTCTCCAAGAGCAGAAACATTAGGGAAATCTCTGACTATAGGTTTTTGGCTCAATTGCAGCCATTATTAATTTGAGTGGGCATCAGTTTCTTGTCAGACAGAATCTCTGGGCAAAGGTTATTGTAGGAGGACTATTTAACATATCTTTCCACCGTGGTACCCTTTTGAGAATTAAAGGAAGTTGGACAGAGGTTAAATTTTCAGGATGCCTAGGACACCAGTCATAAACCAGGCAAACTGAGTTAATAGTCCCTCTAGTTATTAGGTTCCTGGTTCCAGAATCAGGGAAGAAATTTTTTGCATACGTTTATTTAATGCTTATTTGAATTACAATATACTAGGCAATTTGCTGGGCCCACAAGCTACATGGAGATTCAGGAAGACATATTTACCTTCATGGACCTTGTTATCTAATAGTGAAAGCAACTGCACAGTTATAAGTATGATGAGAACTATAAAACAAATAGAAAAATATGATGAGAAAACATAGCTTGGGAGTGTCAAACTAAAAATAAATTTGAGAAAAATATCTCCAAATATGTTTTTATTTAAGACTGAGAAATGAGAATTAAAATTGGAATGCATGGAATGGCAAACCAAAAGCGCATCTGGTGTTGGAAGATTAAAGGCAAGTTTTTATTGGCAAAAAGGAAGAGGTTCACAGAAACTGCTTAGAACAAGAGTTCATTGGTCCAGAAGCTCAAAACCAGAGTTGTCATCTATTCATTGGTGGAGATGCCATTACTGGGCAAGTGTCATTTTGAGAGCATCTTATCTAAATTACTGCAGGCCTGAAGAATTCCTAGAGATTAAACGTCATAGAAGCATATGTATATGTGCAAAATATGCAAGCCATGTAAAGGAGATGCATGAAGGACATGAAGGGATTTCTTGTGGGGATTTTAGAAAATCCTTGGAAACAGATTCTATCTCACACATGAAAGTGTGAGCCTCCTCTGTCTTCATGCCTTCCCAGCCCTATTTTGTCTGAGTGTGATGGCTGTGATCTCATCCTGGTATCTGCAAGGATGCTAGCCTAGCTTTGGAAATTAGGGAAAAAAAATTGGAAAATTGACATATAAGCCAAAACCTCAAAATGAGAGTGAGACAAAAATATGCAACGCTGACCAAGATGGCCCCACAGCTTGACTAAATTTTAGATGGGCTTTCTACTGACTCTAGGTCCCTGACCTTTTATTTGAGCATTTACTTTAGCAAACTTATAATTACAAATTCTTTCCCTGCCTCCTTTGACATCTAAATGTTCTCCCATCCTCTTCCCAGTTTTCACAAAAATAAATGTTTTTCTCAAGAACCTAGGAGCCACCCCTTTGCAATGCAATTACCAAACGACATAGTACCCCAATCTATCTCCCAGTTTCTGTGGGAGGGTAGAAGCCTAACTTAGATAAGGATAATTAGCAAACACAGATGGCCTAACAACATTGACTACATCCCACCTAGTGTCCTTTAGTGCTTTTCCATGAGCTCACCTCAGCTTTACAAACCCTCCTGCCTTTTGTTTCAGCTGAGCTGAGTTCAGCCACTCTTCTGTATGGCCATAGTCTCTCTTCTCTAATGCAAGAGTTTCAAATAAAGTCTCTCTTGCTTATTTACCTCTATCCAGTGCAGATTTTCATTGATAAAATTCAACTAAAAATAGGCAATGTGGGACTTTAAGGAAGAGAGGGATAATCAGTATGGTTAAAGTATAGAGAATGAAAAGGTTGGTTAGTAGTTTTTGTGTTGATGAAGGGGGCAGAAAAACATTCATTTATTAAGATACTATAGAGAAAATAATTCATTTGTTGCTGCTTTCATTCAACTTCTATAATCTAAGCCCTAAATATTTGCTCCTGATGAATTCTTTCTTTAATACCAGGTTTCACTAAACCATTGTTTAAGTTTTGGCCACTAGTTCAACAACATAATTAAATTATGTATAGCATAAACTATGCTATTTGTATTAGAATGCAGAGGAAAGGAGGAAGGAAGGAAGGAAGGAAGGAAGGAAGGAAGGAAGGAAGGAAGGAAGGAAGGATGGAAGGAAGGAAGCAAGCAAGCAAGCAAGCCGGGAGTGAGGGAGGGAGGGAGGAAAGGGAGGGAGTGAGGGAGGAGAAAATGGAAAATATAAAACAGTTAAAGGAACACTTTCTGACTCTTGGAATTTAAAACTGAAGTGAAGCATTTATATAAAAATATTCCGAATGAATGTTCAATGAGGGACCAAGAAGACAGATATTTTCAGGCTGATGTTGTCTGTTAAAATATATTTGAAACTCATACCATTTCTACTTGTTAAGTATTTTTAGTTATTGGTCAACTTTACAAATTTTTCTACTTATTTCTTAAATTATAGTTTGTTTTTATTGCTGTATAATTGTCTCAACTGAATAGAATTTAATAAATTTCTTAAAACAAATAATTTCTCTTGACATCACCTGACATTACTCAGTAGCACAGCAACTCTGATTCAAATGGTCACCTCCTTTGCCACACCCTCCTTTCTCTCTTCTAAATATTAAGATTTGATCTACTTTTTAAAAATCATCCATTTAGTGAACATTTATTGATATCTACAAAGTATCATTATGGAAGAGCCCCAACATTTTCTCCCCTCAGCCCTACCTCATACTTCAAGAAATAAAATACAAATACTGCTGTGACTCTATGAGTAGGCAGTTAATGAGAATGTATTTGCTACTGTAATACAGGAGAGGGCTTTTGCTTGTGAAATGGAAGAGCTAAGTTGTAATTCTCAACCCTGGCTTCAATTAGAGTCACAGGGAGGACTTTTTCAAATACCAGACAGAATGAGCCACATCCTCAGACATACAGTTGGAATTGTTTTGTGGTAGAGCTAGGGTATCTATATTTTAATTTCATATAATTGTTCCTTGGTATTCATGAGAAATTGGTTCCAGGACCCCCTCAAATACCAAAATCCATGGATGCTCAAGTCCCTTATATAAAATGGTGTAGTATTTTTATATAACCTACCCACATCCTCCTGTTTAAATTATCTCTAGATTATTAATACAATGTAGAAAAATTGTATTGAGTACCTAATACAATGTGAATGCTATGCATATAGTTGTTATATAGTATTGTTTAAAGAATAAGAAGAAAAAATTATCTACACATTCAGTACAGATGCAATTTTTATTTTACAAACATTTTTGATCCACAATTGGTTGAATCCACAGATGTGGAACCCACAGATACAGAGGGCCAACTATATATATATTTTTTCTATTTCCCCAGGGGAACCTAATGTGCAGTCACAGTTGCACACAACCATGTGTCTAAGAGTCTATGTAAGGTAATCTCTCCTGATCTTTGTTTATTAGGAGGGCCGTGTACACTCCTCATGGCTTTGTAGGAGGATCTTCTGCCCTAGTTCCAACCTGGGAGATATTAGGGAGAAAAATTTAGTGTTTTTCTTTCCTCATTACTGATTGCTTCTCACAGCAGGAAGAATGGATAAAGATGTGGTATTCATTAAGCATATCTCAAATACTTGTCTGGAGTTTGTTTTCTAGCCACTTGTAGCTGTTTGCCTTTTAGACTATCATGACTAAGCAGAGTATTTATTTCTCATTGTAGCCTAGCCTAGTTTATTAAAGTTCTGTAAGTTATTTATGGCAAAAGTCTCTGTAGGTAATAACTTACGCCTTGCCAGCATCATTCTATGTAGATAGATTTCTCCCATTTAGATGGGATGAATGGTTCAAAAGAAAATTTGTAATCCTGGAACCCTTGGTTAAATATCATATTAATGTTACCTGCTCTAATATTATCACATAAATTTGCCTATATAGAAGCAATTCTGTCTAAATCAACTCATACTCTAAATATGACATGGGAAAAATTAAAATAACATGATACTACTACTAAAGACAGTATTGGTGATGTTATTGCTATCAATACTAAGAATTACTTATAGCTTCTATTTATTTTCAATTTATATTCATTTTCTCATTTAATCTTCACTATAAATCTATGCAATAAATATATTAGACTCATTTTTAGATGAGAAAACTGAGGCTCAAATAGTTTAGGAAATAAAGCTGGAATTTGAAATTAAAACTGTCAAACTCTAAAACATGATGTTCTTAGTAAATATTAAATTAAGTATAAATTTTTACTATAGTAAATATTAATAGCTACTATTTATTTATTGCCATCATGTGCATGATATTCAGCAGATATTCCTGATTCTCACATTACTGCTATAAATTAGACATTAATATTTCTGTATCACAGACAAAAAAATCTGAAACACTGGTAATTTGCATAAATTGCCCAAGGCCTCCTCACGATTTGGTTACACATCTGAGTCGGCTATCTCTAAAATTGATGCAGGCATAATGACTTGTTAAGAAAAAGTAATAGAAATGCCTGTAGCACCGGGCACAAGCGTAGGAGAATATAAAGAGATGAGCCAAGAAATCATATGATACCAAATTATGAAAAGTCTTTTACAAGTCATTTTTTTCAAGTTTGCATAACAAATAGCCACCCTTATACACCACTTTCATGTACTATAAACTCTTCTAGATGCTTTATATATATATATAAATATAGAGTTCAATCTCTTTATTCCATCACTCTCTTGACCATTGCTTTTCATTTCTGACGTCATGTATTCTGTATCACATAAATTAAAACCCTTTTACACAAAAATAAAGAGTAAGTATTTATCTAATTTGCATGTCTGAAAGGAGAAATATTGATCTGATGACTTGTCTTTTAGGAGTCCAGAGAGGTTGAGCTCATACAAAAGAAAGATGTTTAGATTTTAGGTTCTTAGTAATTTTAGTTTTTGTACACTTTAAACCATGAACAGGGAGAAATAAAGAGGAAAGAGTGTATATTTTTAAAAACTCCCTAGATGACTCAGTACAACTGAAAATCAAATCTATCCCCAATCTAAAGCATTGCAGAAAAAACAGGATCAAGTACACCTATAAGACATGAGATAAGAGAACAACCTGGTTCCACATGCCCATAAAACTGGGTCAAATTTTATACCAGAACATGAATAATAGAGAATTAAAAAGACAATGAACTTCTGGAACACAAGAGTTACTCCTTACGTCTTCCGTTTCTCGGTCAGCATTTTCAACAGTGTGTAGTTAGATGTTCAGTTATCGATTCAAAACTGCGTATTTCTTATATTATACTCAACTAATTATAGAAGGACATTGAGAAAAGTGTTGTTTTAAATTTTCCCATTAGCACTAAGCAGTGACAAATTAGGCCATCTCTAAAGAGATTCTTTCTTGAGTATCCCATATATGCAGGTGCCCTCACTTAATTCTTATATTATTTTCCATTTCTAGCACCCGTTGTTTTCTTTGTAAAACTTACTTATAAGTGTAAATGTATTTATTTGCTCCTGTACCTAATACCTGTTTTCCCCATTAGAAAACCAGTTTCATAGAGCAAAGAAGCAAATCATTTTGTTCACCAGATAATTGCCTAGCAATATACCTTGATATAGAAATGTTCTATAAAATGCCTTGAATAGGTAATTAATCTGTTATCTTCAATACATGCCACCTCTATATTCCTCTAACATTAAAGTAGATATGAAACAAAGATACTAATGGGACAATAAATTAACAAATGTAATTAAAATATCTAAATAAATACATATGCCACATAAAAGGTAAAGGTGAGAATTAAGTCATTAAACAATTATCAGTATAAATGCAAAGGATATGTGTACAATGTTTATTATTATTATTATTGTTCTACTACCAGAAAAGTTAAAACTGATTTTTGAATGCATTTAACTGACTTCTGGGTGACAGATCATGGGTAAATTAAATCTGTCAAAACTTGGGAAAAATTCCAACACCGGAAGCTAAGGAAGAATGCTATTAAAATAGCAGGAACTGAGAAATTAGTGCTTGAAAATGCAGATGGGACCAGACTAAGAAAAGCCACCACTTCCATTTCTAAGGAGATACCAAGTCATTGAAAAACAAGAAAGTAAAAATCTTGGTGGAATAATTGAAAACTGGTTATAGAAACGGTGCATAACCATAAACTTAACTCAGGTTCATCAAGCCAAAACAGAAGGGGAAAAAATAAATAACAGAATAAAAACACTAATATTTACAGTGATAATACTCCTAATAATAAATATAATAAAATAGCTACAATAGTGAATATAATAGCTCACATGTATTAAACACTTCCGACATTCTGAGACTTGTGGCAGTTTGTATGTATTAACTTATTTGTGACTTACAGCAGCTCTTTGAAGTAGATGCTATTGTCATCAATATATTTCAGATAAGGAAATTGAAACACAGAAAGGTAAAGTAATTTGCCTAAGATTTCACAGGTAGTAACTGGAGGATGAAGGTTAAACCTAGGTAATACCTCTCCTACTTTTACTCTCAGGCTGAACTGGTAATAAAACTATATTCCAAACAGCCTTCCAGCTTAAGATCTGGCTGAAGGATGTGGATTAAAATGTGGTAAAATGTAGGGTATTGATTTATTAAAAGATAATTTATTTTGTTTTGGTAGTGATTTTTTAGATATGACACCAAAAGCTCTGTCCATGAAAAAAAATTGTTAGAATTTATTAAAATTAAAAAAAACATTTGCACTGTGAGAAACATTGTTAATAGAATAAAAAGTCACAGGCAATAACAAATATTTGGAAAACACATGTAAAATAGAGAACTTCAATCCAAAATATGCAAAGCACCCTTAAATTTTTACAAAAATAACCCAATTAAATATGGACAAATATCTAACAGACACATCACCAATTAAGAGGTACAGGCTAGGCATGGTGGCTCACATATGTAATCCCAGCAGCTTGGGTGGCCAAGGTGGGCGGATCACCTGAGGTTGGGAGTTCAAGACCAGTCTGGCCAACACAGTGAAACCCCATCTCTACTGAAAATAGAAAAATTAGCTGGGCATGGTGGCACATGCCTGTAATCCCAGCTACTCAGGAGGCTGAGGCAGGAGAACTGCTAGAACCTGGGAGGTGGAGGTTGCAGTGAGCTGAGATCGTGCCATTGCACTCCAGCCTGGGCAAGAAGAGTGAAACTCTGTCTCAAGAATAAATACATAATTAATTAATTAATTAATTAAATAGAGATACAAAAGGCATCCAAGCATATGAAAGGATGTTCAACATAGGAAATTGCAAAAAGAAAGCAACAATGTAATACCACTGCATACCATTAGAATGGGTAAAATCCAAAACTGTTTACAATACCAAATGCTGGAAAGGATGTAGAGCAACAGGAACTCTCATTCGCTGTTTCTGTGAAAGGAAACTTGTATAGCCACTTTGTAGAATGGTTTGATAGTAATTTAGAAAGTTAACATATTCCAATCACTCAGTTTGTCAGTTGAGCACCTAGATATTTACCCAACTGATTTGAAGTGTATGGCCACACAAAAATCTGCATGTGAATGTCTATAGCTCCTTTGTTGATAATTGCGAAAAACTGAAGTTAAAATATCACAACAAAGTGGGATTTATCCCCAATAATGCTAGTCTGGTTTAACATCAGAATGTAATCTATCATATCAACAGGCTAAAGAAGTAAAATCATATGATCATAACAATACATGCAGAAAATATTGACAAAATCCAACACTCATTCATAATTAAATAAAAAAAAAGCTCCCAGTAAACTAAAAATAGAGAGCACAACACCCACAATTTATTCAAGATTATCTATGTAAAACTTGCATCTAACGTCATACTTAATGGTGAGAAACTAGAAGCTTTCCCACTTAAGATCGAAGTCCTAGCTAATGTGATAAAACACAAAAAAGAAATAACATGTATACAGATTGGAAGGAATAACTAAACTGCCTCAGAACAGTTCAAAGATGACATGATTCTATGTAGGAAATGCCAAAGAATCAACCATAGGTAGGGCGGTGGCTCACACCTGTAATCCCAGCACTTTAGGAGGCCAAGACAGTGAAAATAGCCTATATGATAGTATAATTATGAATAGATGTCACTATACATTTGTTCAAACCCATAAAATGTACAACACCGAGAATGAACCTTAATGGAAATTATGGTCTTTGGATAACAAAGTTGTGTCAACGTAGGTTCATCAATTAAAACAAATATCTTTTGGGGGATATAAAAATGGGGGTGGCTATGCATGTGTGGGACAAGAGACATAGAGGAAATCTCTGTATTTTCCATCCAATTTTGTTTTGTGCCTAAAACTTCTCTAAAAAATACAATATACTGAAAAAATCTTAAAGCAAGAGAAATGTCCTTCAGTAGAAGAATGAATATACATCCATACAGTGGAGTACTCTTCATCGATAAAAATAAATGGGCTATTAACTCACAAAAACATGCAGGAATCCTAAATGCATATTTCTGAGTGAAAAAAAAATCACTCTGAAAATATCATATACTATATAATTTTAATTATATAAGATTATAGAAAAGGCCAAACTATAGAGGTAGTAAAAAGATTAGTGCTTGCTAGTGGTTTAGGGTTAAATAGGCAAAACAGGAGATTTTTAGGGCACTGAAACTATTTTATATTCTAATAATGTATGTATGACATTATGCATGTATCAAAACTCATACAATTTACACTACAAAAAAATTAACTTTATGCAAAATTTTAAAATAATATAGGAGGTCGGGGATCCCAGGAAGAGATGTTCCATATGACATGAAAACCTTACTGTATTACAGGTATGTAAACAAACTCAGTAAAGTGAATTGGGGGAAAAGTGCTGACCTAAACAACTTTGGTAATACATAGAATACGTAAGACTGAAGTAAAAAAGACCTACACATAAGCCTGTATTCCAGTTGATAAAGTTTCTTCCCACAAGAGTACAGCTTATTAATTCTTATATTGTTTTACATGTATACTGGAATTGAAAAATTAAGTAAATGACTGGCAGATACTGGGAGCCAGGTTTTTCACTGTTTGAGCTGGAATTTACAGATAAGCAGAGGGAGGAGGCTAGAATGATCCATGTGGTGATATATTAGAGCTGGAGACATCAGCATGAACGCTTGCTTGGACTAATATAGGTGCTGACTACATATAGAAACATTTATAGATAAGAATCGATGCATGAATTAATACACATGCAATGTATTTTCTTGCTGTGTCAGATGAAAATGCCTAGAAGCAATGATACTCCCGTAACAATCCTAGCACCCATATCCTAGTTTCCACTACCATTTTTGAATGGAAGCAACAAGGGATCCTTGGAGAAATGGTTGATTCTAGACTAAGGGAGGAAATATATAAGATGACACCGGAACATGTTGTAGGGCCAGAAAGTAAATATGGTCTCAAAAAAAAAAAAAACAAGAAAGCTTGCATTATTGTGGATATGTCAGAAGTCAGAGGCACACAGGGGCCAATAGAAAGGGCTCCCAATAGCCAAAGCCAGTACAATTTGAGGAAAAAAATCCACAACAATTAAATTAATATTTGATTATAATATAAAATATATATCTATAAAGGCATAATAAAACACAAACTTATTAAATAAATGAGGAATAAGAGACAAATATCTCTTGCAGAAAAATTTCAAGTAGTTGATATAGACACCATATCCTGAAAAACAAGAAGCATAAATCTAAATTTTTTAAGTGTAGGATGTGCATAGTAATTCTTTCTAAAGCATATACAATGGAAAGGGAGCAAAAGATGAAGTTTACATGAGAAAATCTGACAACGCTACCTCAGCCAGATGACCAATATCAATATAAACAGTGATAAATCATGTTGCTGGTATAGCTCTTTGATATAATGGGATAAAAAATGGTATCTTAGTCATGGGTCTTCTTCCACAAACCCACAACATCAATCTTATCATGAGAAAACACCAGACAGATCTCAAGAGAGGGTATCTCACAAAATCCTTGGTCATCAAAATTTTTCAAGGTCCTCAAAAACAAGGAAAGTTTAAGAGAAACAGCTAAAAGGAGTTTAAAGAGACATGATAAGTGTCAGATCCTGGATAAGATCTTAGATCTTTTTAAGTAGAAAGACTTTACATAAAAACTAAAGAAATAAAAATAAATTGTATACTTTTATCAACAATAATGTATTGATTTTGGTTTATTCTTTGTGACAATTGTATTATACTAATGTAAGATATTAATAGGGAAAACTGAGTGAGAGGGTATTTGAGACAGTAAAAATATCAATGATTGCTAGTGGTCTAGGATTAAATACCCAATACATGGAAGGATTTTAGGGCAGTGCAAGCATTTGTTTGACAGTGTCATGGTATACATGACATTATGCATGTGTCAAAACCCACCAACTCCTCAATTTTTTCTTAAATTTACAACTCTTCTAAAATATCTTTATGACCAGGCATGGTGGCACACATCTGTAATCCCAGCACTTTGGGAGGGAAAGATGGGAGCATCACTTGAAACCAGGAGTTAGAGACCAACCTGGACAATATAGTGAGACCCCTGTGTCTACAAAAAATGAAAAAAACAAAACAATAGTCTGGCATGGTGACTTGTGCCTCCTAGTTAGTCTGGAGGCTGAGGCAGGAGGATCACTTTGAGACCAGGAGTTCAAGGTTACCGTGAGCTATGATGGTGCCACTGTACTCTGGCCTGACAGAGTGAGACCCTATGTCAAAATAAATAATTAAACAAATAAATAAAGTAAAATATATTTAAAATGTATTTTTTTAAAAAAACCTAACATTCTACTTCAGGGAAATTGTCTCTGCATGTTCACAGAATTCACCTCTCTACCTCATACAATAACTAAAATGTCCCTGGAGGATGTCAGTGAACTACAGCACTGGAATAAGAAGTAGCAACGATTGTAGCCACCAGTGGCATCTTTGCTAGAACAGCTCAATACATTATATAGCTATTGAGCTTAAAAAAAAAAAAACTCATTATTTTTATCCTTATAAGAAAAGAATATTAGTAATGGTGTGCATGCAATTAGAATAAAAGACATTATCCATTTAGTTTTGGCATGATTCATGAGGCTATATTAACTCTCCCGTCTTCTGTCATAATGTAGTCTGAGGAGATCTGGACTACACGGATATCCCTGCATTCTCTTTCTGTGGCTGCTGTAATAAATTATTACAAACATGGTGGCTTAAACAACAGAAATGGATTCTCTCTTAGCTCTGGATGCCAGGAGTTTGAAATCAGGATGTAGCAAGAACACACTCCTCTGAAAGGAGGGGAGTAGTGAAGAATCTGCCTCTTGACTCTTCCAGCTTCTTGTGGCTGTTGGCAGTCTTCAGCTTGCGGCCACATCTCTTTCTCTGCTCCATCTTCAGATTACCTGTCCTGTCAAATCTGCTTTCTGTTCTGTCTGATATGCTTCTGCCCCTCTCTTATAAGGATGCATGTGATTATATTTAGGGTCCACCAAACAATCCAATATAAATCTCTCATCTAAATATTCTTAATCATATATTTTGCCATGTAAGTTAGTATTATTATATATAATATTATACTTACCATGTGAGTTCATTAGTCAACTTTCACTCTTTTGCCATATAAAGTAATATTTACTGGTTCTAGGCATTAGGATGTTGACATGCCTTTGTGACTACCATTCAGTCTACTGTAATCCCACAGATTATCCTACTAAATTACTGTATGAGTGGCATCATATCAACCAAAGTAGATGAGTAGGAACTAGCCAGCAAATTAGATGCTTCCTTAGTTACACGTGCTCCAAAGAGTTTAAGATAAGCATATGATAATTGAGGGGTCTACTACATAAGTGTAAATTTAAAGATCTGGTGATCTTGGGTAAAAGGTACATCTCCTCTAAGGTAAAGAACAAATAAAGAGGATTCTAGAGAAAAAATATATATATTATTAGCAGACCTGCAATCTATTCTCTCTTTTGTCATTAAAAAGGAAAATATGGCCTAATTAAAAGCTTTTCTATAGAGGCTAATGAAATTCCTCCATATATTATGAACTCTAGAGATAGAGTTCTTACCTATAAGATACTTTCAGCCAGACATACCTGACCTATCCGCGTTGCTTATTGCAATTAAAATTAGGATATTTGGATTTATGGAGTAGCACTCTGGACAATGCCATATAAGCTATGTAATTATCAAAGTATAAAATGCATACTTTGGTCATGGAGTTAGTGAATAAAATAGCTCCTATCTAATTATGTTCTGTATGCATTACTTGGAAACTGCATGTTACATCAGTGCGGGTACTAATGCAGCAAGGAAAGGTCTGGGGAGCAGCACTGGCAGTAGGTCCCAGTACTGCACTTCTCCACATTGTGCCTGATCCTTGTATTATTGTAATCATCTATAAACTTCAGCACTAGGTATATTTTGGATTTTTATTAGTCTGGTTTGGACAATGTGATCCTTTGTACTTTTCCAGGAACAATAATGTAAGGCATACAAAATAGCTTAAATCAATACTATTTATTTTTATAGTGCTGGGACTTTAATATGTAAAATATGTGGGTCTGGAATCCAAGTGGTGGAAATAAGGATAGTTGTGCTTACCATCATCCCAGTGTACTACTTTGGGTGATTGTACTTATTGTTTCTACAAGTCTGGGCTCTGCAGTGTAGGTGACCAGGTCTTGGTTCTCAAAGGGGGAACCCTTCTGCCAGGGGATACAGCAAGAGTTTCAATCAATGGTAGCTACAGCTTCCACCTAGGCATTTTGCATTCCTGTTCTAAAAGAACAATAGAGAAGAAGGGGATTCACCATCTTTGTAATTGTAAGGAATCCAGACTACCAGAAGGTGATAGGGCTGCTGTGATGCAGTGGGAGCAGAGAGGGAAAATCTTGATGTCCAGGTTATCCATCCACTTATGTTCCTCTGAGTACTCTTTTGTCCACTTTTGACAGTTAATGAACAAAAGGACCAACTCTGGCCTGAGAAAGGCACTGTATGTGTGGACTGAAATACCTGAGGATTAAGGGTTTGAATCATACAAACAGGTGAGCCAAAATGACCACTAGAGGCGCTAAGTGACAGTGGGGGTGAACAGGACTGGCCAGAGAAGAGAAACAATGATTATCAGTTCTGGCTTTCAAACAGCCTTTGCTGTAAATTCATCCCACCAGCTTTCCATTCCTAAGTCTCTTCTGGAAAAAAAAGTCCATTGGAAACACTGGAGCGTTTTTCCAAAATTTCTATGAAGAGCAGCACAAAGGGTGGGTGGTAATGGATGCTGAGATAAACTGTCCAGTTAGCCCTTCGGGTAAAAAGGAATTACCCTCCCAGTTCCTGGGATTCCTGGAGAAATATGGCCCTCAACTGTCAACCTTCTTTGGGGATTGTCTCAACTAAAAGAAGCTGCCTCACCCAAACTCACATCTCTTCCCAGGGCAACCCTCATCCAATAACAGATGTTGACGTCAAAAGGTCCAATTGCCTCATCCCAACTGAGATAATCATAGTTTGAGAGCTCCTGATTAGATACATTGTAACCTTCTTTGAGACTACATTAACACTTCACCTTGTCCCTCTGCTCAATCCTGCTTCGTTCCTCTCCCTATAAGTATTCTAAATACTAATGTCTATTTCAGAATCTGCTACTGAGGAAATACAACTTGCAGCAACATCCAAGCCATATCCAAAAATACAATTTATTTACTAATGAGTGTGGTTGTGAAAGAAAAAAAGTACAATTCCCCCTTATAATTTTAAATTTTCCATCTTTCTTCTCCTCCCTATGTCTATTTCTAAAAGGTCAATATAGCCATGAAATTTAGAATCTCGCCCAATACCATTCTAATTTTTCTTTTCCAAATGGTCACTCTGACCTTAATATACTATTTGAATTCATTTCACTTTTCTCTTTTTGTATGACACACCATGTCTCTGAAATATGTCCACATATGTGGTATCCATGAGATTATTAAAGTCTTCAGAATAAATAAGATTGGAGAGAGAACAGAGGGAGAGAGGAAGGGAGAGGGGGAAGGAGAGAGGGAGGCAGAGAGGCAGAAACAGGGACAGAGAGACCGAGATAATAGAAATAGTAAAGAAAGAAGGAAATCAAGGAATAAATATTGGAGAATTTCTACTGTTAGGATAAGAAAGAAGGAAGGGTGAGATCTACTTTTCTTCATTTGCAAAACAAAAGTCTTGGAAAAGTTTTCTATATAAAAAGCTAGATGGAAGAGCTAATATGACAATCCAAAGCCAAAAATCAAAGGTCCAGGATATGAAAATAAGTGTGTGCAATATGGATATGCTTCTACAAAAATTATGACCTAAAGGAAATGACACTATGTGAATTCTTCTAAGATTGCTTTATCCAAATATTCCATGGTTTAAGAAAATAAAATAAAGGGCAGGTATCTCCATCTGAGACAAGCAAAAGTTTTTGCTTTTGCTTTCATAATTAAAATCTGGAATTTCATAGTATTTTGAAATATATTTGAGAGAAAAATACTAAAAATATTTGACTATCAATTTGAAACTTTGTTGAGAAACTTACAACCTTTATTCCTCCATCTATGCCATCATAATTCACTTTTATAGTCATTATGAAGTTCCCATTTATGTGTCCATTTTATTAGCAGCACACTGTATTTTAACCTTCAAAATAAACTATAAACATTTACAGATTCTAATTCCCATAGGTATCTTTAAATCTAATTTATTTTTTCTTGTGTTAAAATGCATGTTTTCTTATTTTCTAATAAGATTTCCTGGGTAATGAAACTTTTATGCTTCAGTGTTTTCATCTTGCATTTATTCAGTGAAATCATTTTGAAAGTCCTCATGTGCACTCAGGCTAATTAATGCATTTAGAGGGTATTATTATAATTTTAAACCTTCCTATGAGGATAAAAAGGGGACCCTCTCTCTTCAAATACTTTCTAAATCTCTTTCCTCTTTTATTTCATCTTAACATTTGTAACTATTATATAATTTTAATGCATAATTTTAAATATATTAAAATGTAATATAGTTTTAAATAAATATATTAAAATGTAATATATAATTGTAAATAAATATATATTTAAATTTAATATAATTTTAAATAAATACATATATTTATTTAATATAATTTTAAATAAATACATTATTTAATATAATTTTAAATAAATACATATATTTATTTAATATGGTGTTGTCTGTCTCTTCCACTAGAAAGCACTCTCTATGGGAACAAGAGACCAGTTTTGTTCTCTACGACAGCACTTAGAAGAACAGAGACCAGCTTAACTTAAGCACTCCATAAATACTTCTGAATAAATGAATAATCATATTTCTGACATATATTTAAAACTAGCTTCATCTTAAGTTCACATTTCTTGTTTTTTAAAGAATCCTACATTAGTACCATGGACATTTTTCCAAATTCAATTAATGTTAAACAATGAGCTTTAAGAGAAAAACTGAATAATAATTTTAATCATAAAACTTTCTTATATGTACAAAACATTAATTTAATTTTGTGAGAATTAATTTTCTAATGTAAATTTAATTTACATTAAGTTTAGGGAAATAAGAACCCTTAAAATTGTAGCAATATAAAAGTTATTTGAATAAGTAGAATTGCATTCTCTAACTATCCCAAATTAGCTTTCATTCATGACTCACCACAATCAAAATTATAATATTTATTAGATTAAGGGATTTCTCTTTTGCTGACTTTTTTCCAGGAAGAAAGTAATATGATTTTATTTGTTATTAGTTTACGTAATTTCTACACTTAGAATTTGTAATATCTTCTTGAAATCACTGATTACTCTTAGTTAAATTATAATATTAATACAAATAAGCCTCAGGTTGCATTTTAATCTGGTTTCCTAAGAACTTGACCAAATTATTAAACTGCCCATATATATATATATATATATATATATAAAATATTTATATATATTTTTTATATTTATATATATATATAAAAATAAACCAGTGTTTCCTAAAGTATATTCTGTGGGACTCTAATCATATCAGTAAGTAGTTGAAAAAAAATTTTCTAAAAGTAAGTTTTGAAAAACATAATTTTACATATATAAATATGTGTATATATATTATAGCATCTCTCTAAGATATTGAAAAGACTACATTGGCATATTGCAAGTTCTACTATAAATTCTACGATAAAATAAGCCTATTTGTTGTATTTTAATAAATATATGTTCTGCATTTTAGTGACCACAAAGCTCTTTTTTATATAAAATATTAAAAGTCTCTGAAAAAAAATTTCTCCTAAATACACTTTGAAAAAGATCTATTGGACACATTGGATGATCAATATCTATTTGGGCATTTTATTTATTGATTAAAAATTATTTATTGAATATCTACTTTGTCTGAGACACTGAATATATAATGAATGACATAATTATTATAATATAATATTATATATAATACATTATTATATATAATACTGTATATAATTATTATATACATTATATATTATATACATTATATACATTATATATATACATTATATATATACATTATATACATTATATATACACATTATATACATATATACATTATATATATACATTATAATATATATTGTATATTGTATATTGTATATTGTATATTATATATATTATATATAATAAATAATACATTATTATATATAAAATAGTATATATTGTATAATTATAATAATGTATAATAATATAATAATTCATCTATTATAAACAAATATAATCATAATTTCTTTCTATCTTCTCTTATAGAATGAAATTTTCATATTTTCCATGTACCCTCCTTAACAAAGAATAAGACTTTCAGTGTGACTATATGAATGATCTCTGTCAAGAACATAAGCTTTCAGTACAAAATTAATATGGATATCTGAACGTTTTAATATATGCATAATTGTTATATACTTATGATGAGTGCTCTCACAAGAAAAACATTTGCATTAAGTTCAGAAATATTTCCGATTCAGGACTCAAATTGCTCTTTGTAGCTAAAAATGAGAAGAAAAATCTCACTTGAGGCAATTCTTAACAGTATTTCAGAATGCAGAAAGAAATTTTAGGAAACCTGAGGTCACATTTTACTGTCACCAAATGGTAAAAGATGCAATTTTTATCTTCGTTGGCATTTTACTAAAATGCTTCTCTAAATTCTGTTTGTGTGAATGGATTATAATTTTAGAAGTAGTATAAACAAAAATATGCTTCTTACAATATACACTCATAATGGTATCTAAGATGAACATTATATTTTAATTTATGCATATTACATATAATTTTATAAGTTTCATAATAGAATAAACATTATAATACTAGCCAGTAAGGTGATATACAACCTTGTAGAGCATCCTTACAATTCAAACTGTGATGCCCATTACAGAAAAACAACGGAGTCCCCAAAAAGTCTGCATGTTAGGGTTGAGCAAATTTAAAAATTGAGTGATCAATTCCAGTTCCATTAACATTTATGAAATTTGTAGTTAAAACTATTCTTTTTTTTTCTAAAAGATGTTTAAAATTAGGTAACATAACAGATGTCTGTCATCACATCCTCTAACTTATTTATGTTCTCCAATGTTTTTCGGTATTTTCAATGCCTTAGATCATTTAGCTTTTACCCTTTGTTGATATTGTGAGTTTGTACAGAGTTGCTATTGGTTAATCTGTTAGTATTTTACCTGATGGATGACCACAGTGACATCTTTGGTGCCAAAATATTTGATTAGCTCATAAATTTTACCAAATACCAACAATTCACAAGCAGAAGACAGAACAAAATTTTCTAAGGCAAATATTTTGGAATTAGATATGAGTTGATATGTTAAGATATTCATATTAATTTATGTAAGAATATTCCTGACTGCTCTGGTAACAGGAAAAGACTAAAACTGGAGAGGACTGTAGATTATTCCAATGCAGCGGAAGAATTTAATATGCCATATAGGAGCCTTTTTGAATACAGGCTTTTAAGTTATGTCCTAAGATGCCTCAGGCCTAGGGACATTAAAAAAAAAAGAAGTAAATAAAAAGAATCTGTAAACCAGGACTATGTTCTTTTATGCTAACTCTGGATCCCAGTATGCCAAAAATTTTTAAAATAAAGATTACATTTTTAAGTACATGCTTATGTATATGAAGTGCTATCATGGGCTATAATCATAATAAACAATTAATATTTATTGAATCCCACAATGTTTGTGATACTCTTTAATTATAAAGACTGAATCATGAAAATTTCATTTTGGATAGCAGATTACAGTAAAAGTTAATTTAAAATGGAGACAACTTGCATCGTTTATCTATTTTCATTATTTTAAAAAGAAGACAAAATAGTGCTAGTAGGAGGAATGTAAGGAAGAAGAGGAGAAAAAGGGCTAAGGAATCCAAAAGGATAATACAAAAAAGCCTGCGAAAAGACAGATGATGGGTAAGTGCCTACAACTATCTTACCAACAATTAAAATGAAAAATGGAAAGGGGAAGGGTCCAGACAGTTCTCACTAATTAATTTTCACTTTGAGAGGAATACTGAAAATACAGTAAAAGAAAAAGACTTTTGGAGTTTCCAGCCCTTCTATAATGAGTGGTCTGTAGAAAAAAAAATGTTAACTTTACAAGGATTGGTGTTAAGAAACATCAGCTAGCTAAAATTCCCTCTGATAGAGAATTCATGGTGGTTATTATCTCCTAAAAAAAACAAACAGCTATCAGTACAGCTGAGGAAACATTTCCAAACTGGAACACATGCAGTATTTTAAGATTTAAGTTAAGATATTTCCAACTCCTAAGCTATCATGGTCCTTGGGGACATGGAGAAATATTTATAACTAAAACACCTTCCTTTTTATTACTCTTTGGCACTGGCACTTCTGGAAAATAGGGCTCTCTTCATTGATGTTTTCTTTCCCTAAGTATTAGGCAGGGGCATGTGAGTGCTGAAAATTTCCACCTAGGTGACATTAATCCTGTCCTTGTGCTTACATCTAGCTTTGGGAAATGTGGTGTAGTAGAATGTATGCTCTCTAGTCCATTTTCTGATGCTGTAAAAGAATATCTAAAACTGAGTAATTTATAGTGAACAGAAATTCTGCAGGCAGTCTAAAATCAAGGTGCCAGCATCTTGCAAGGGCCTTCTTGCTATTTCATCACATAGCAGAAGGAGGAGCAAAGAGGCAAAAGGGGATGAAACCCGACCTTTTCCAACAGTATTAATTCCACCCATGAGGGCAGACCCCTCATGGCTTTCTCACCTCCCAAAGGTCTCACCTCCTAACACCACCACAATGGCAATCAAATTTCAACAGGAGTTTTGGAGGGCACAGACATTAAAACCATAGCATTTTGCCTCCATCTCCCCCAAATTCATGAGCTTCTCACATACGAAATGCATTCATTCCATCCCAATAGCTCCAAAAGTCTTAAGCTGTTCTAGCACCAACTCAAAAGCTCAGAGTCTCATCTAAGCATCATATGAGTGAGACTGAAGTTGCAATTCATCTTGAGGCAAAATCTCATTTATCTGTGAGCCTATAAAATCAAAACATGTAATGTGCTTCCAAAATACAATGGTGGGATAAGCAAAGGATAGTTCTGCCTTCCATAGGGTCCTTGATCATTGATACAATTCAGCCAAGTTCTTTGCCATTTCAAAACAAGGATGGTCTTTTTTTTTTTTTTTTAGTTTCAAATACTTTGTTCCTTATTTTTGTCTGTGACTTCATCAGAATTGCCTGAACCATCTATGTGTCTTCCCAACATTCTGATCAGTCACCTAAGTAATCTCGAATACTTCCTACAGCACACCTTTTTATTTTTTTTCAGCCCTCACCAGAATTGCCATTAATCCTGCATTCACAGCAAAATAAGCTTTATCTAGCATTCAGTTCTAGAAAAAGTTTCCCGTTCTAGCTGACACTTTTCCAACCTCTACCCATTACTCAGTTCCAAAGCAGCTTTTACATTTTCAGATATTTGTTATAACAACATCCTACTTCTTTGATACAAATTTCTATCTTAATGTGTTTTGTG
The DNA here is from genome assembly GCF_000001405.40 of Homo sapiens. NCBI lineage: Eukaryota > Metazoa > Chordata > Mammalia > Primates > Hominidae > Homo > Homo sapiens. The sequence goes on along the minus strand of NC_000001.11, from coordinate 102,167,471 downwards.
CTGCTACAACGGAATATGTAAAACTGGGTAATTTGTAAAGAACAGAAATGTATTGCCTCACAGTGCTAGAAGCCTTGAAGTCTGACATAAAGGCATTTGGAGTTTTGGTGTCCCAATCTTCACTTTCAAGATGGCACCTTAAATGCCATATGCTCTGAGGAAGAGGAATGCTGTTCCTCACATGGCAGAAGGGAAGGAGAGAGCAAACCCATGCCTGCAAGTTCTTTTTATAGTGGCATTAATCTATTCATGGTAATGGATGCTTTTGAACTACCTAAACAACACCTCTTAGGCCCCACCTCCCAAAACTGTTGCATTGGGAATTAAGCTTCCAGTACATGAATTTGCAGGGGCCAAAAACATTTAAACCATAGCAGTAGTATACTGGGTTGTCCTATGACATCAATGATTGCTTGGATGCTCCACCTAAATCCCTTTTCAGAAGGGTGCCCATTCTCCTGCAAGCCAGGATAGTTGACTGCTGATGGTTCATAGATGAGACCCACTTTGGGAATGGAATTCAGCTGAAGGAAGCTTGAACCCAATTTGGGACAACTCGGTAAGGCCTTCTCAGGCCCAGAGCTCCCCTTGGGGCTAACTTAGATCTGTGTCAACAACCACATCTCAGCCCACCCAAATACCTCTGCCTAATCCGGCTTCCTTTACGTACTCAGAGCTTTCTTCCCTACAGCACTTCTCAATTAACGTCCTAAATGCAAACCTTAATCTGATAGTCTGTTTCCCTGGAGACATACCTCAAGCCAGGCCTCAGTTTCCTTAACAGTAAAGTGAGCGTCTTTGGTTTGATCATCTTTAAGACACCTCCTGAATTTAGCATTCTATATTTCTAAACCATACTTCCTCAATACCTTTCACAGTTACATTTGCTTACTTTATTAATTATATTGATTATAATCACGAAATAATATTTTCTTCTTTAAATCTGTATAAACTATACAAATTGTTTAATTTGCATAAATCTAAGGTGTATAAGTTCAGTTTTGATGCATGGATATATTGCATAGTGGTGAAGTCTGGACTTTTCGCATAACCATTACCTGAATAGTATACATTGTATCTATTAAGTAATTTCTCATCTCTCAGTCTCCCATCCTGATTTTCTACTAAGTGAAGAGTGTGAGTTTTAGTGTATGGGCTTTTAGTTAACATAGGTTCTACATAGAGAGATTTTTTTTTAATTACTCCAGGTTTTGGAGTGCATTCTGGCTAATATGGACAGTGGATAATGACTATAAAATAATTACAATTTATTTTGAGCACAAATACTGTGTAAATGGTAGGAAACACATAATAAATAGAAACATCTACACTAACAGCTTTCACAATTTAGAAAAGACAGGCTTAAAGAACTTTAATGGAAATTTCTGTAACAAAAGTGATAACATACAGGATAGTACAATTATACATTCAGTATTAAGAATATTTTTAGTTATAAAATTTAACATTTTATAAAGTAGGAAAATAAACATAGATAATTTAAACCTTAAGAATTGAAACAAAATTTTTTTTGGATAAATGAAGACACCTAGAACAAGAATATTCAAATAATCACAACACTTTATTTGTAGATCATTCTTAATGAAGACGGTTAATATTTTACTGAATCTCTAGAAAGTCAGTGAAAATATGGAGAAAAGACACAGAGAGGGGTTTTAAAATGTAAGAGAAGTTCAAAAGTACACCTGATATATATTGTAGAACCACAATATAAATGAAATACATAGCTTCTTAGGAAACCACTGTTCTTAAAGCTTGATGCATGGTTACTATAAATCTCAATTTTTTAAGATGCATTTAAGGAGTCTAGTGAAGTTTTACAGGTTAGATTATATTTTTGCAATCATATCAATGATAGGATAATTCACAAGTTCCTTAATGTTAGATGCTACCTTCTACTATAAATGTTGATATTTCAAAGTCATTTAACTTCTAGAAAAGGCTACTTTCAAAGTAGTCACAGTTCCCAATGCCTCTTATATGGATTTTAAGTACTGTAGTATAAATGGTACATTACACAAAAATGCCATAGGCTCAGGAGACTGTGTGAATTCTAACAGCCATCAAAAGTTTTATCTGCTAAAATGATGTAACTAGAGACTGACAGATTCCAGGATTAGGGACAAATACAGAAAACTTATTATTGCTTTTGAAAAGGACACATTCAAATGATAAATCTAGTTCAATCAGCTGGACTATAGTGACCCTATTCATAGGTTCATAAGTGACAAGAGGATTTTCTATATAAGACATACGTTACTGGTCTATTTTAAAATGTGCAAACAAAATCAACAGTTATTTTTATTTGAGTAAATAATGTTATCCTCTAAAAAGGGAGACCAATATGATTGTGGTTAAGAAATAAAATTAATCTTATTCTAAGAATTATAAATGACAGGAAATATTTATGTCGCTTATGAAAAAAAGCATTCTAAAAAAGCTTGATTGAATTTAATCTATCAAGCATATATAGATCCTTCGTGAAAAACAATTTATTTTACTTTTCAATACCTTTATCATTGAGGTAAAATAATTTATCCAGGCCATAGATACATTTTTCTTTTTAAATCAACTTACAATATTGCCATACTCTGGGATTTACTGTATTTTGTGACCTTCCTGGAGTCTTTTTGATAAAGATTTTCTTTATTTAGTCTGAACATATTGATAATCTTAAAGTAGAAACTAACTGTCAGAAACTTGGAAGTAAAACTTCAGTAGAAATAAAGCAGAAAATCCCCAACCATTTATCATGTGATTTCAAAATAGTTTCAACCTCAACTTTTTAAAACTGGATACTATCCTAATAAATATGAGAATTCTTGTTTCCTTATTTTTCTGTCTTTTTCCTTTGTCTTTTTTGTCACTCAAAAAAAAAAAATGACACCAAACATAGAAAACTAAATTGAGTTTTAAAATTGTAACTCAAGTTGAAAACCCAGTACTTATAATTGAATTTTTATCAATTAACTTCAAAAAAATCATATATACAAAAATAATATATGTCATATAATCATTATATAGTAATTTTTGTTGAATGGATGAGCAAATGAGTTTAATTTAGTATAGTTTATATTATACACTTTAATGATATTTATTAGTCAAAGGAAAAAATATTTTCCTTGACATTTTTTACATCAGGGTAATATGATGTCTATATACAAAAGCTACTCCTGTTTGAGAAATAGATTAAATTTTTATATTAAAGGCATTGCATTTCTCAATTGGGAAATCATTCCAGAGATATCAAAACAAGTATCCTCTGTCATTTGTCCAACCTCAATCCCTCAGACCTCACCATGATCTTTCCTTAGTTCCATAGATGTATGAGCTCAGAGATTTTACTATGTCTTCCTGAGACTCACTGTTCTTACCTTTAAAAAGTAGATTGTTAACACCTACTGTGCTAATTACCAATTTATTGCCTCTCAGCTCCAAGTTCATGCTTCATTGCCTTTTATGTGAAAATGTAACTGGGCCCTTTAAATAGCTTACCTTTGCCAGCTGCCAGTAAAGAGTGCTGGAGAGATGTTACAGAAGGAATAGGTTTTGCTTATTGGTTCTAGTGTGCCTTTCTACAGGCTCTTGCAGCAAGTGTAGCTCCTTCACTGCCCAGTTCCTGCAGGTACCACGCCTTCTCAAGCATCTGGCTTTTGCAGGGGATGGCAGACAGCAGCAGCCAGCAGGTTCCCATGGCACTCCCTCAAGAAGTTTCAAAAATTTTCTCCAGTAAGACATATCCACCTGAATAGTTTTTTCCTAGCACCCAAAAGAACAAATCTTCAGCAAGTTCCATCACCCTGATATTACTGCAACTTTTCAGCTATTCAGTGAACAGAACCCTCACTGGAAAGTTCAGTATATCTCAGCCCTGGAGGCAAAGTTCTTTACTGGGTGTCTTTCTTAACCGTGGAGGTGGCAGCTTCTCATTATATCTGCTAATATTATATGTTTTAGAATTCTCTGTATTTTTACTAAATAATACCTTTTTATTTCAGTCTCCTGTTCTACTGAATAATCATCTGTATTAAACTTGGACTCAGACTGACACATCTATCTTATATTACTTAAGGGTCATGCCTACTTAGCATATGAAAACTCTCTGATGTGTAACAAGTATTCCACAACTACTATTTATCTTTCTGTCTTGAATTTTCAATGTCATTATATCAATCTCATATTTGTCCTAATCAAAATTTACTTTACTAAATATTAGATATGTTACGTTTATACAGAATGGCAGAGTCTGTCAACATGGATTAAAGTTTCAGTATATTGGCAAATCGACAGTAAGGAGGACTCCAAGGTGAAGTGTATGTGAACAACTACGCTTTAGCGAAAGAGTCTGATAGTTTAATTTTATATTACTAATATTTCTCTTCCCTTTCTATATTCATTCATGTCACCTACTATGTGTCAATCATTACTGTAATTACTAGGAGAATCAGAATAAGAGGGAACTCAGGGTGCAATAATATTAGAGAAAAGTAAAAATATAAATGTAATGTAGTACAATTATTAGAATAAGGGAAGTAATAATAATTAGGGAAATACATGGAAAAGTCTCCCAATCCTGCTTTTGCATATGAAAGATAATGGTGGGGGGCAGTGAGGAAAGGGTTAGCTCAGAGAAGCCTTCCTGAAGAAGGAATTTTCTGAAATGGGAATTTCCTGAATTTTCTTAAATGGTAAAGATAGGCTCAGTCACCTAAGTATTACTGGTCTGCCATTCTAAGTTGTCTGAATTTTCAACTACGGGTGAATGGCAGAGGCCAAGGATATCAGCACAGAAAATGACATCATAAGAGTTACATTTTCAGAAGATTATAACAATAAAATAACAATAAATAAGATAATAACAAATTTTTGGAGAGTCACACAGAGGGATCCAGGAAGTAGAGGATAGAAGATATATAACAAGATTAAGGTCTAAAGTAAGGTAGAAAGTATAAAGGAGGAAGATTAAAGAGACATTTAGGAAATAGAATCAAAGCTCTTAGTTAATCATTGCATGGAATAATGGAGACAGGAAGGAGTCAGTGATGACTCCTATGGTTGTGATTTGGGAAATAGGTAAAATGATATCAAGTGGGAGGGAAATTGAAAAGAGGATGATTTGTGTGGGTGGTGGGAAAAAGAGGATTGGTTAATTGTTGAACTGGTTAAGTTTGAATACAAGATATTTTTTATACCTGATAGGCATTTAGAGATTTTTATTTAACATTCAAGAGATGGTTTAGGTGGGTCTACATGATATGTATTAACTCATCATCAGTATATTTTATGTAGGTGCAATAAAAAATGTTCATAATACAGTCAGCTCTCTGTGTCATTGATTCCACATCCCATAGATTCATCTAACTGTGGATAAAAAGTATTCGAAAAACAAAATCAATTGTTGTTTCTGTACTGAAAATGTTCAGATTATTTTTTCTTGTCACTATTCCCTAAAGAATGTAATAACTATTTACATAGTGTTCACATTGTGTCAGATATTATAAGTAGTCTAGAGATGATTTAAAATATAAGGGATGATGTGTTTGTTGCATGCAAGTTTAAATCAGGGACTTGAGAATCTATGAATTTTGATATCCACTGAGGTTCTACAACCAATCCCCCACAGATACTGAGGAACAACTGTAATTTAGAAAACTGGGAGAAGCTACCTGAGTAGACTATTTACACAATGATACTGCACTAACAACCTAATGATTTTAGTGGTTTGCAACAATAGCATTTATTTTTGGCTCTTAAATCTGTGGATGAACTAAGATTCAGCTGATACAGGTTAATGCATAATGGGATTGCTCCAAGATGCAGATTGGGTCTGGGGCTGCTTTATCTATCTCAGCTGCTTTAGATCAGTGGTTAATCAAAGCAGGTGTTCCTCATGGCAAAAAGCAGGAGTGAAAAAAGGTAAGCCCAAACATGAAAGCGTCTTTCAAGGCTCTACTCACATCGTAACTCTTAACATCACGATGACCAAAGCAAGCCTTGTGGCCAAACTAGAAACCAAGAGGCAAGAGACACTACGGAATCTACATGTTTTACCAAGTGAAAGGAATAAGTAATTCATTGCAGATAATTCATTGTTTTTGGTCAGTGGAATTTTTACTGGGCCTAAGAGTAAGGTTAGTAGAATGGAGGCTTGAAAAATGTGGTAAAGCCTAAGGGAAAAATGCATTTTGCTCAAGAGGAGAATGTTGGAAGGATTTCCAGAAAACTCTGACGAATTAAGAGACAGGTTGAAATCTAATTTACTCTTGTACTAAGACAAAACATCATGTGGATCTGTGAGTCCTGCTCTAACTTTGGTAAATTTTTATAACCCTTGAATTCTTGTTGATGTAGGTTTTTTGCTTAATACTGTTCTTTCAGTGCTGGCATATATTAATTTGTATTACTTGTGGTTGTATGTCAATATTCTCACATTGCAATTACATTATAGACATCTTGATAATTGAGACTGAGTTTCACAACAATTTATTACACCATTGGTAACTTGTCCTTACTCCTAACGATGTTTAATGATGTTTATAGCACCCATTAAAAATATAATGAGATAATGTAAACAAGTACTTAGCACAATGTGTTATAGAGAATAGTTGTTCAATGATTCTTACTTTTCTTCCTCATTATACCTACAAATATTACATCAAAGGATAAATGGAGGAAAACAGCGTATGCAATTAAATCAATGGCAATTTAGTTTTCCTATGGTTAACTTTTATTATTTCATTTTGAAGTAAAAAATATGATAATTTAATGTAAAACAAAATAAATTAGAAAAAGGATAAAGAATACGTATGCTTACATAACCTTGAAATGTACATTTACATAAACATGAAACTTAAAACTTTACAGTCTAAAGTGATAATGTATATTGCTGAAAGGATACATAGAAAAATATTTTCTTAAAGACACATAATAACTGTAGAACAGTCCTCTCTGAGAAGAGAGGAAAGGAAGTAGAAATGAAGAAGGAAATGGATACAACTGCCATGGTATGTGTAATATTTTATTTTTTAAAACAGATTTCAACAAATATGGCAATTATAAAAAGCTTACATCTGTTAAATCTAGGTGGTAGACATATGAGTGTTCTTTGTATTATTCTTTCTAATATATTAATCAAAATAATGTTTCATCATTTTCAAAATTGTAGGAAAGTCATCTAGAACAATAAATATATAAAATAAGAGTAATAACTATTTTAGAAAGGCAAATTTCAAATGAATTTTATCTAGCATTTAACACATACCCTATTTTTTTAGAACTTTAGTTACCTAGGTCCTGATGTTAGTATTATGAAATTTTTGCTTTCAGATAAGTGCTAAAGAGAAGAATACAAGAAAAAGATTAGAGATTTCAAATATTTCATTGAGATTTTAGCTTAATCAATAGGTGAAATTTGACAAGCTTTAATAAGATTAAAGTATGTCAGAATGCTAGAAAAAGTGCTTTATTAAAGTAGTTTATTTAGTGTGATTAGAATATCAATAAAGATATTTATATAGAGAACCTCAAAAAAATTCCAGACGGTATTTATTGATTTGATAAATAATGTGTGAGCTTGCTTGAATTTTATTGTGTTTTTAACTGAAGAAAAATATTTACACAGTAAAATATATAATTTTAACTATACAATTTGATGAGATTTGAGAAATGAACACACTAATGTAATCAGCACCTCAATCAGACATAGAACAGTTCCATCATCCAAGAAAGTTTCCCCATATCACATTAAAATTAATTTCCAACCCCTGAAAGGCAAGCTCTGTTCTAATTTTCACTACCAGGGGTTAGTTTTGTCTGTTCTGGGACTTCATATAGAGTAATAGAGTATGCACTCATTTTTATCTGGATTACTTTGCTCAGCATAATGTTTTTAAGAGTTACCTATTATGTGGCATACCAGGAGTCCAATATTTAATGTCTAAGAAGTATTCCACTATAGGAATATATCACCATTTGTTTATGCATCTGTTTATAACTGGTTGTTTCCAATTTTTAGTTATGAGTTACCACAAACATTCTATATGTCTTTTTATGTATATGTTTTCATTTCTTTTGTGTAAATAAGTAAGACTACAATTCCTGGGTAGATTCAGTTTTAAATTTATAAGAAACTTCTAAACACTTTTTCAAAGTGGATGTACAATTTTACATTTCCACATAGGGTGAAAGAGTTCCAGTTGTTCTCTATTATCACCAACATTTGGTATTGTTAATATATTAAAGTTTAGTCACTCTCATGAATGTATAGTGGTTTCCCACTAGAGGTTAGTATTTATCTTATTATATTTCCTCATATTTTCTGTTGTGAGATATGTCTTCTATTCTTTACCCTATGTTTTAATTAAATTGTCTTTTTATTGATATTTCATTATTGATATATTTATATTATTATTTCAGTATATAAATTCTTTGTCAGAATAGGTACTAAAAATATTTTTTATCAGTATGTGACTTGACTTCTAATTTTCTTTAGGACGTCTTTTGATGAGAAGAATTTCCCGATATATTTTTTTCAATTCTGTCCCTCAGGTTGGAGTGTAGTGGCATGATCATAGTTTACTGTAGGCTCCAGCTCCTGGAGGGAAGTGATTCTCCTGCTTCAGTCTCCTGAGCACCTGGGACTACAGGCATGTGCCACTATGCCTGGCTAATTTTTTTTTTTTTTTTTTTTTGCAGAGACCAGTTTTGCTGTTTCCCAGGCAGTTCTTGAACTCCTGCCTCAAGCTATCCTCCTGCCTCAGCTTCCTGAGTAGCTGGGATTACAGGTACGATCCACCAAGATATTTTTAATTTTGATGAATCATAATGAATCTTTTTTTTCTCTTTATTTTTTGTTTGGTAACATCTATAAGTGTATATAAAGTTTATTTGTCACAGAAAGTATACATCTGGGTTTTTTTTCCAGTCTAAAAATCTCTGCTTTTCATGTGGAGTATTTTGCCTATATATATTTAATATAATTGTTTATGTGGTTGGATTTAGGTCTGTCACTGTGCCAGTCAACTTCTATTTGTCTTATTATTGTTGTTCTTATGCTATATTTCTCATTTCATCTTTCTTTAATTAAATAGTCATGTATTCTATTTTAATTCCTCTACTAGCCTTTTCACTATATATATTTTTATTATTAGATTTTTAGTGGGTACTTTAGGAATTATAATATGTGATCACATCACATAAAATTTAACAATTTTCCAGGTAACTTCCACTTGCCTTCTGGCCTCTGTGTTAGTTTCTGTATATTTTACAACTATCTACCTAATAAATCCTATTATAGTATTACAACTTTTATTTGCTTTTAAATAATCGCTTCCTTCAAATAAAATTTAAGGAGAGAAAAAAGGATGTTTGTTACATTTATCTGCATATCAACCACTTCTGTAGAAAGAGTTTTCTTCTAGTAGTATTCTACTTTATTTTAAAAAAGAGGGCCGGGCGCGATGGCTCAAGCCTGTAATCCCAGCACTTTGGGAGGCCAACGCGGGCAGATCATGAGGTCTGGAGATCGAGACCATCCTGGCTAACACAGTGAAACCCCATCTCTACTAAAAATACAAAAATTAGCCGGGCGTGGTGGCGGGCACCCGTAGTCCCAGCTACTCGGGAGGTGAGCTGAGGCAGGTGGATGGTATGAACCCGGGAGGCAGAGCTTGCAGTGAGCCGAGATCGCGCCACTGCACTCCAGCCTGGGCGACAGAGCGACACTCCGTCTCAAAAAAAAAAAAAAAAAAAGAGGGTTTTTCTGATTGTCTTTTGAGATGGAGTTTCGCTCTTGTTTCCCAGGCTGCAGTGCAATGGCGCGATCTCAGCTTACTGGGTTCAAGTAATTCCCCTGCCTCAGCCTCTGGAGTAGCTGGGATTACAGGCATGTGCCACCACAGCTGGCTAATTTCGTATTTTTAGTAAAGACAGGGTTTCTCCATGTTGGTCAGGCTGGTCTTGAACTCCCGACCTCATATGATCCACCTGCCTCGGCCTCCCAAAGTGCTGGGATTACAGGCGTGAGCCACCATGCCCAGCCTGAGGTTTTTCTTATTGTGCAAGTCTTCTTTTAATCAATTGTTTTAGCTTTTGCTTTACTTATATATTTTCCTTCATTTAAGATTCATAGTCCTGTGTTAGTTCCCGTTCAATGCCTAAAAAGAGTTGAATCATTTATTTTATCCAGATTTATGAATATTTTTAATGGTGTCTAGTGTGGGTGCCAGTCAGGGCTGGTCATGGCTGGAAGTAGAATACATCATTTTTATTTTATAATCACAAATTATTCTTATCACTTTACTGTAAGAAACAATGGCACACACACAAAAAAATCTGCAAATGACCCTGGACTTCTAATTCTAAAGATTACACATGAATTAATTATTGGATCTGTGTGTATAAAAAGAGGTTAATTTAACATGGTTTTTTTTTTCAGTAAGAAATGAGACAAATAATTTAGGCATACTTCTTTTTATAAGATAAATGAGACTTGAGTTCCTGTTATTATATCCTTCTACAAAAATAAAAGAATACTTTTTTTAAGATTATACATGACTTTCTTTGTACAAGTGATTCGACAATGTATCATACAAGGCAGTTTTCTATCTAGAAAGGATAGGACAAGATTAATATTACTGAGAACAAGTGTGGGCCAGGTTCTAAGCTTGATTAAATTTTACATACTTTAAGTCACTAAATTTTTAGAATTCCTATTTTATGCATGAGAGAATTCAGGATCAAAGATGTTCACAATATTTTCTGGTCACCAGTTTATAGGTGTAAACCTGGAATTAGAAAGACAATCACTTTAAAATTAAAGTACATTTGAAACTAATCTACCATGGATAATGATACTGTAACTAGGTAAATGCTTTAGCTAGGATAGAACAAGATTACAAGAAAAAAGAGAGTTGAGACATTGACCTGTGGTTGTAAGAAAACAATAAAGCTTTAGTTAAGAGTTGCCAATTCAGATTCCTTCATAGTCCAGGAAAATGCAAGCCTACATAAATGCAAACTTTTTTTTAGTATTAGTAAAGAAAACAGGTCCACCTGTAGCCATTTTGCCTTCCATTGGCTGGTACCTGTTTCATTCTTTCCAAAGTTTTTCAATAGTTTTCAAACAGTTCTTGACGGAGACAAAGCGATGCTGAGAAATTGCCTGAGAAATGGCCATAGTGGAGGTGCTAGGAGGGAAGGTAGAAATCCCACTTATTTTTTTTTCAAATAGACCTGCTCCACTTTTAACACTTTTATATATTTGATATTTTATTCTTTTTTTTTTTTTTTGTGGAAAGAGCTTTGCTACTTAAAAAAATCAAAACCACTGAACAATGGAATCAAGAGGCTTTCAGATACTTCAGAACCACTTCTATGGTTGGCCCCTACTAGCTCAATGGAAGTATTCTGGGAGGTAGCAGTGGCTTGGCAGAAGGAGGTCAACCAGTGTGAAGTCATTTTATAAAGCACTTCCTATTTTAAGTCATAGAGAAATATGGCCTGTGAGGTCAGATAATAGGCTTCAAAGAGCTGTGCTACCTACAGTAAGTGACTGACTACTGCAGGAAGTAAGCTGGTTGGAACACCAGGATGTCCTGTCCTAAATTAGTATTTCCAACCACCTCCACCCTTTAGCAGAAAATAGTAACAATAATAATAATGATAAATATTTTATAATATCATCTTCAAAAGCAGAGGACTCCCAGGTGTGTATTTTTTAAATGGAAAGTTTTCAAAAATATTTACAAGAAAAACTATGCCACTATTCACTGGAGAATATTCAGGATACAGCTTATTTGTCTATCTGCTCAGATCCTAGAGCAAATTAAATTTTCTAACTTGAAGAACACAGAGCTTTCTGAGAGTAGGACAAGTGAAACATGGTTTTTCATTCTAGACCTAAACTTCATGTTGTTGTTTTATGTTTTGTTTTGTTTTTTGAGACTGCACCATCTCAGCTCACTGCAACCTCTGCCTCTTGGGTTCAAGCAATTTTTGTGCCTCAGCCTCCCAAGTAGCTGGGATTACAGGCATACGCCACTATGCGTGGCTAATTTTTGTATTTTCAGTAGAGATACGCCACAGCGCCCAGCTAATTTTTTATCTTTAGTAGAGACAGGGTTTCACCATGTTGGCTAGGCTGGTCTTGAACTCCTGACCTCAAGTGATCCGCCTGCCTCAGCATCCCAAAACGCTGGGAATACAAGAGTGAGCCACTGCACCCAGCCCAGGTTTTTAATTTCAGTTACTTCAATGTATACACTTAGTTTAGTGATTATTATTTACATATTTTTGAATATATATCTTTAAAATATAAATTAGTTTGACAACAAAAGATACTAAGTTTAAAGGTGCATAATATCCCTAATATTTTTCCTGTTTTCTGTAGGCTTGACATTTAAAGCCTTCTTTAAACTCTGATTAAATTACTGAAAACTCATTTACTGTACTTTTTTGAGACCTGGGATTATCTTGCATTGTGAAAGCCTATTATGGTTTCTGGCTGTGCTCCAGGAACAAGATAAATATTTTTATTATCCCGTCTTTCAAAGAGATGATATGAGTAACAGTACATGGATATAAGGTTAAAAGTTTTCTAGGTTAGTTCTCATTATCCTTTCTTTCTACCTATTAGTAGTTATGCATCGCTTTGGGGGCAGATAATACTGAGAGATTTGTTATGTTCTGAAAGTTAGGGTAAAGTTCTTTTACCATATCACCTCTATCATTTTCCAAAGCACATTGTGAGTAATAGTGCTTGGTACATTTTTGTTTAAAATTGATAGATTCTGGCTGAGGAAAGAGTGGTAATTTAATAGTTTCATATAAACCTAGCATAGAATCAGTATAACAAAATAAATTTAAAACTTCCTGCAACCTGTCAGTAGTGAATCTATTATATTAGCAATGATTCATGAAATTAAGACATATTTAATTTTAAATTTTGAATTTAAAAATTTTCAATTTTAAAAACAACAATATTTAATTTTAATTGATAAGTCAATTTTGGTGATGTCAAAGAGTAAGCTTTGTAAATAATTTTCATTACAATTTTGCCAATTAATATTTCAAGAATTTAATTCATAGTATACAAATCTCTACACAATTTGCAGGAAATAAAAAGAAAGCAAACTGTATTTGTTTTGGGACAGGGCTACAGATATAGTTAGAGATAGGCATGCAAACAATGCAATATGGACATTTCTGTATAAAGGTGTACATATACAATAGTAGACTATGAAGATATGAAACAATGAAGTCAACCCAAGGCAGTCAACTGAACATTTCCTGGGGAGGATGCTCTTGAATAGAAATTAGAAGTAGTAGGAGTTATGAGTATATGTAAGGTCGTGACAGTGTTTTTTAAAAAACAGCAAGTTCAGCGAACATGTAGTAAAGAATACCAAGAATAAAAAGAAAAGACATTCAGTAAAAGAAGTACAAACAATGGCAATGCAAATGAGAATTTAATGAAAAAGCAGGGCACATGCTATGAAGGGCCTTATACAATATATAAATTTGATATTTTACAATAATACAATGATAATTCATTCAACTGAAAAATATTTTAATAGTTTTTTATGTAAAATGCCTCCACTAAAGATGAATAAAAAAACCATTTGAAGAATAATAATTAATGATAAATTCTAAAAACATATACAGTTCCTGACTTAATTGTTTGACTTACTGATTTTTCAGCTTTAAAATGGTGTGAAAGGAATACGCATTCAGTAGAAACCACACTTCACGTACCCATACAAAAATTGTTTTTCACTTTCAGTACAGTATTCAATAAATTACATGAGCTATTCAACACTTTACTATAAAATACACTTTGTGTTAGATGATTTTTGCCCAACTAAAGGCTATGTATAAAGTAAGTATTCTGATCATGTTTACGGTAAGATGTGCTAAGCTATGACGTTCAGTAGATTAGGTGTATTAAATGCATTTTCAACCTGCAATATTTTCAACTTACAATGTGTTTATCAGACTATAGCCACATCATAAGCTGAAGAGCATCTGTGTTAATTAGAATCTGGGGACAATAAGACTTTTTTCCTGAAAAAAAAGTTGAAAGGAAATTGAATTAATGCTTCTTTTGTAGCTTTATTTCCAAATGCATGAATTTATAAGCAAATACACTTCGATCAATTTATTTTATCTTCGTTTTCAACTGGTCACTATGAATCAATAGCTAGCATTTCCCCTGATCCCAAAGGAGTGAGTTAAACATTGCAAATAACTGATTGCTCAGATCACATGAACTCAAATTATATTGCAAAATGTTAATGTGAATATTACTGAAGATGCTTATAATGTTTTATTTGCTTCAAATATAAAATGCCACAAAAATATTAATTTTTTTACTTAGATAATATCAAAAAATTAATATTAGACAAAGCAAAATAGTACCTAAATGCTACTAATCTAGAGGTAATAATCACTATTATTTTCATAAAATAAACTTCTATTTTACTCTAAAAAACCCTTAACTTATGCAAAAATATGATAATTCAATGCTGTTTTATAATTCGATTTATTTTACTTAACATTATATGCTAAATAATTTTCTTGACCATTAAATATACCTCAAAACATAATTTAAAGTAATTGCTTAATATTCTATTATTTTAATGTAATATATCTGTTGTAGGTTATTTAATTTATTTCAAAAATGCCACTGTCTTAAATATAGCTAAGATGAAGAAATCAGTGATTATTTTTTTTGGAAAAAAATTTCCACAGAAGGAATTACTAGATATTTAAGTGTTTAAACTTCTGATATTTTTTGCCAAATACCCCACAGAAATATGGCACCAATTTACATTCTAACTACCTTTATCCCTTAGTTTTATCTGTACTTAAAAGACAGAAAATTGCATCATTAATGGATGCTAAAACTAGTGGGTTATCATTTGACGAGAAATCGGGTATTTAAAATTTATAAAATATCCCTCTCCAAATTTATATGTTAGGCCAAAAAAGTAATTTTACAAAGAAAAATCTGACAGATATAACTCCAACCAAGAATTGAAGTTAATATCACCATTAATGGGATAAAACTCTAAGAGTCAGTAAAAAGCCCAGTCTCAATTCCATGTTATGCCTATCAGTAATCCACATAACCTGAATATAAGCATGAAGAAATATCAGATCAACCCAAATCAAGTGACATTCTTCTCAACAAACTAGCTAATAAGGTTCAGAAATAGCAAAGTCAAGAAACATAAAGGAAGGGGGAGTGTAGGAATATGGAGGAAGGCAGATAGAGGGAAACAGAGAGAGAGAAATGATTATAAAGTGAATGGAGAAAAATGTAAACAATGGCCAAATACGAGTGGAAAGTTTTTAGCAGTTACTTTTACTATTGCATGTTTTCTGTAAATTTAAAATTAAATCAAAACTTAAAAGTACAAAAATGATCAATGTGATAGAAGCAAACCATACTTTAAAAAAAAAAAGCCCAATCTGGTTAAATATGTTCTATATTACAGGGGAGCTTCACTTTGCCCAGTATTGCAAGACCTTAAATTAACCATGCAAGCTAAAGACATGGAAAAAATTCTCAATAATCAATGAAAAAAATTGTGATTGTTCCATGACCCTTAAACCTTTTTCTCAAAACATTAAAAACTTTACTACCAGTTATAAATACATAGGCAAATAAAAAAACTAAACTCATATTTACTTCAGAAATATTTATAAAATTTAACTGTAATTTAAAGCATTAGAAACATTGAGAACTAAAGTGTTTACTTTGTAAAAACTTAGCAAGAGTAGTTTTAAAAAGTGTTTTCTCCAGCCTGGGTAATAGAGCAAGACCCCGTCTCTAAAGAAAAAGAGGACGGGTAGATGTTTGCCTGTCTTATGATTTGGCAAGTTATAATTTTCTTTTCTAAGTTTGGATTACTTTCTAACGTTTTATCCATTGCATGCAATTTCAATGCCATGAAATATCTCCAAGTGTTCCATTAATGTCAAAATTTTTTGCTGGCATCTTTTCCTCTGGGATATCTTCATCATTTTGTCATGACTACTTTCCTCACTTATGTTGATAATTTCAACTTCATTAAGTTCCTTTGGTTGTATATCTAGAGACTTTTGAATGGTAACAATCAACATTTCCAGAGCCATTTATCTCTTCTTTGACAGCATATTCACATTCTATTCAAATTTTACTTCCAGCATCATCTTGTTTCTTTACTAACACTTTCTTCTTTACTGGTGAATTTTCTATTTTGATTATTTGTTTGATGTCAAGTGGATTTATCTTTAAGAGACAAGGAGGCAACACAATTGCATGTATTGCTCTGTGCCTGAACTAAATAAGAAATGGCAATGAACAATCACTGGCAGACCTAGAATAAAGTGGTTAGCTACTGATCACAATTTGTATCTGTTATAATTCATGGACTAAAGAGCTAGCAGAGAAGTTTGTACTTTATGCATTTACTTACTTATTATATTGTGAACCTTGATGTTGAGAAATTTGAACCTTGATGTTGGAGGACTGGTGTTATTAAACTAAAACATGGCAACTGTGTTTGTGCATATCCGAACCATACAAAACAATCACCGCCTTTACTTTCCTTTATGATGTTAGTAGGGAAATGGCTTTACTTTGATAATAATGTAATTTTTAATTAGATAAAAATATTTTGAAAATTATTTGATATTACATGTTTGAGTTCTTACCACTTTTATGTGGCTACTATGGGTTTCCAGAAACTCAATGTGGGTCAGAAAACCAAGGTTTTATTTCTAGCCCTATTACTAGTACATTACGTTAAATATGACAAACCACATAAATTCCTTTGAACTCTTAAATGTCTATGAAAAAAAAACTGATACACATTTTTTCTGTCACAGTCTCATTTAACTCCTGTTTTTCTGGTATTGTTATTTTTAGCTACCTTTTCACTGTCAAAATTGTACTGATTTGGGGCATAAATTATATAGCTAGCCCCACTTTATTCTTTCTGTGTCAAAAGTTTTATGTCTCTATGCTAAACTAGGAATATTATTTTTAACATAGTAGCATTGGCATTGCAATGCTATAATTGCTATCTACAATTACAAGAGCATTCAACATGCTAATGAAAAAGTAAAAAACAATTTTCTGTATATTGTACATTTTTGCAGGTCATATTAATTTTTATAGACAAAAATTAATCTTTTATCACTTCTCAAACAAAACTTATTTTTATCACTAAAAGGAGCTCTGTGTAAGTCACTGGTAAAAGTATACCTGACTCTGTATAAGTCACCTTATATTAATAAGCATAATAAGCTTATAGTATACCTATAATATCCACCAGTGACCTGCCCTATGTGACAGAGCCACCAAACACATACACAGAACTAATCTAAAGCCAAAAGTTTTGTACCTTCCTGATCATCCCTGTTGACAGGTCTAAATTCAGAAACACAATTATATCCCAGTGTATGAACTGAATCATGTTTTTTAGAAAACATTTAGGTATTTTTATGTTGTTGAGAAAAATGAAGCGATAAGTTTAGGAGAAAGAGGTTTACTTTTATGTATAAGAATCTGCTCTTGTAATTTTATTGTAATTATTGCCAACATTTACCTCAAATGATAAACATTGATTAAAATACTAAAAATCTTCCCACAGATCTCAGGTTTCTAAATATGAATTTTTAACACAAATACCCCCAATTATACCTTAACATTCACTCTAATCAATATTCTAGTTGAGAAATGTTGTATGCAATTGGTATACAACCCATAACAAATTTAAGCAAGATACCTACATTAAATTTTAACTTAAATCCTGAAAAACAAACCAACAAAAAAAAAGAGTGTTTATCTGAATGTCTTTATTTCCTATCTAATGTTTTAATATATTTGAGGTGAGACACAATCTTTCTGAGCTTTCTAATCAAATGTAAAAATTTTAAATACTGGATCAAAAGTCAAAATCAACGACATATGAACAGATTTTCCTTTGTAAATTTTATCTCCTGACAAAGCACTCTTACTTTCCTGTGAATTTATTGATAAGATGATTTAGAATTTTCAAGTGCTGCTTAATTCAACATATAAATATTACCTTTACTAAATAGAAAAAAAGTTATATGGACATTGATATGTCCTGGAAATTCCAAGTTACATGTATCTTATAATATTTAATATTATAATTTAATTTTTATAATTTAAATTTAGGGCCAAGATTTAGTATATTGTTTGAAGTTATGACCCATATCATAGTAACTATATTATACTTCAAATATTTTTTTCAATATCACATTTTGACAAATTTTTTGGTTGAAATATTTCAAATACTTTAAACAATATTTATTTTAATATCACATTTTGGCCAAACTTTTTTGATAGAATACATGTGTTTACATGCAATATATTGTAAGTCTGGTAACCTTCAATTATTCAGCCAGGTGTATTTATCTCAGGTGTGTTTATCTTTAAATATTTGATCTGGCCTCCCTTATCACAATATTTCAGTATTTTTAAACAGTGGATGTTACAAAAAGGAACATCATACATTCACATTACCTGGCTTGAACAAACCAAGTAACTTTTCTCAGACTCTTGTCTTCCAAGTGTTAAAATGGAGACATCAGATTACATTATTTCCAACGTTCCCATGTTTTAAAGGTTTGTAAGAGTCTCAGTGGCATTCCCAAATCCTACAGTTGCTAAGGAGTTACGTATGATCATTATTATTTTGTGTTAGATTTTTATTTTTTAATGTATTTATTTATTAATTTAAAATACAGAATGTTTACATATTTTCTCTAAATATTACCCAGTGTCTGTGAGAAATCATTAAAAAATCTCAATTTTCTTAAGGTCTACTATCAGCAATAACATTATGTTGAATAGTCTATATGACTTACATTGTCTCTCTTTATTCTTTCAATGTTTCCAGTGATGGAAATATAATTTTTATCCCCATTTTGCAAAAATAAAAAAAGACAGAAAAGAAAAAAGAAAAAGAAAATGAAGCATAGAGAGGCTAAATAATAGATTTGATATCACATAGCTAGTAATTTGCACTGTGAGGACTCAAGCCCTTAAACATTGAATTACAATATGTGGGGTGGAAGTGACAGTGAATAGAAGATTTTAATTTATTCAAGAACATTTTT
The DNA here is from genome assembly GCF_000001405.40 of Homo sapiens. Taxonomy (NCBI): domain Eukaryota; kingdom Metazoa; phylum Chordata; class Mammalia; order Primates; family Hominidae; genus Homo; species Homo sapiens. The sequence continues at coordinate 102,148,319 of NC_000001.11, read as the reverse complement.
AATATATTTAAAAATATTAAGGCAATTTCGTCTAAACTTGTGTATTAGTCTATTTTATGCTGCTAATAAAGACACACCCGATACTGGGTAATTTATAAAGAAAAGAGGTTTAATTGACTCACAGTTCAGCATGACTAGGGAGGCCTCAGGAGACTTACAATCACGGCAGAAGGGGAAGAAAACACATCGTTCTTCACAGAGGCAGCAAGGAGAAGTGTCTAGCAAAGAGGGAAAATCTTCTTACAAAACCACTGGATCTCGTGAGAACTCACTCACTATCACAAGAACAGTATGGGGGTAACTGCCACCAAGATTCAATTACCTCCCACTGGGTCCCTCCCATGACATGTGGGGATTATGGGAACTACAATTTAAGACGAGTTTGGGTAGGGACACAGCCAAACCATATCAACTTGACTTCGATATGGCATCTAGATAAAAATATTACATATTATGTGTTTGGGCTCAGAATACACCACCCCAAAATATAACTACAGTAAACAAGAATATACCACCCCAGAATATACCTTTTAGTCATATTTTAAGCTGATTATTCTGAGAAACTGCAGATACAAGAGTGGCTCTGACAAGCTGTCCTTTTATAAAAGAAAGCTAGATCTGTAAAGGAAACAATTGCCATGAAAATCTCATGAACTAGAGAAGATGTTATCATAGGAGAGATTACTGAAGGGCAACACTTAGCTCAGATAGACTTTGTCACAGGCTATTACATGTTCTTCTGATGGACTACTCTGAGACAACTTTTAGTACCTGAGAGGCTTTTTATTTGCATAACAAGACAGCATTTGTTTGCCATACATTTCCTCCCCTTACCTTCCCATGACCTGTTGCCACCTCCCCCACAGAAGTCACAAGCCCCTGTTTCTCTGTAGCTCAGAGATATATACACCTCAATCATCTGGCTCTTCTTCAAGTCTCATATTTTGTGAGATGCTGATGTGTATGCCCATAATAAATTTATGTCTTTTCTCCTGTAATGTTTCTACTGTCAGTTTATTTCACAGCCTCGATTACTGAACCTTCAGAGAGTAGAGAGAAATATTTCCCTCTCCCCTACAGATGTTTTCTAGCTGCCAAATCTGGGATATCACAGAAGTCTAAAGAGTTAATTCAAGTATTACATTTATTGTATCAATACTTAAGCCAGTGCAGTTTTAAAAATGTGAAACTTCTTAAAATAAATACATTTTGATTATCCAAAAATAAGTAAAAACTTACTTCATGTCAAATAAAAATGATGAAAAGAAAGGGCTAATTTTAACAGTGTAGTGCATTCAACTTACGATATATTCGGTCTGGGCATAATTTTTAGCAAAATCAGTTTTATCAGTAGCTGAGTAAACAGATTGCTTTAAGAGTTGTAATTACCACTGAAATTCAGACCTTGCTTATTGCTATTATTACATTTTCTCCTAGCCTCAAATTATTATCCTATCAAAAAAAGAAAAAGAAAAGGAAAAAGAAAATCTATTGTACTTCCAACAAATTTATTTTTAAAACACATCAACTAGACCCACACCTTCATCTGTGGAACTTAATTCTACTGGGGAAGAGAGATAATACTTTTAAAAATAAATCATTTTAGACCTATGACCTTGGATATATTGCCTAATAATTCCATGTCTTAAAGTGAAACTACTAGCTGTGATTCTCAAAACCTGTCACTTACCCACAGTCAACATCATACTGAATGGGCAAAACCTGGAACCATTCCCCTTGAAAACGGGAGGAAGACAAAGGTGCTCACTCTCACCACTTCTATTCAACATAGTACTCTAAGTGCTAGCCAGAGCAAAAGAAAGAAATAAAAGTCATCAAAATAGGAAAAAAAAGAATTCAAACTGTCTTTCTTTATAGACAGTATGATTCTATACCTAGACGACCCTACAGACTCTGCCAAAAGGCTCCGGGAACTGACAAAAGACATCAGTAAAATTTCAGGATATAAAATCAATGTACAGACATTAGCATTTCTAAAACCAATAATATTCAAGCTCAAACCCAAAGCAAGAATGCAAACCCATTTACAATAGTCACAAAAACAAAAACAAGAAATACATCTAACCAGACAGATAAAATCTCTATAAGTACAAAACACTGCTAAAAAATCATAGATGACACAAAGAAATGGAAAACATCCTATGCTTATGCATTTGAATAATAAATATTGTCAAAATGGCCATACTGCCCAAAGCAATCTACAGATTCAATGCTATTCCTATCAAACTATCAATATCATTTTTCACAGAACTAGAAAAAAATTATTAATTGTATATGGAACTAAAAAAGAGCCCAGATAGCCAAAGAAATCCTAAGCAAAAAGAACAAAGCTGGAGGCATCACATTGTCCAACTTCAGACTATACTACAGGGCTACAGGAAGCAGAATAGCATGGTACTGGTACAAAAAAAAAAAAAGGACACATAGACCAGTGGAACAGAATGGAGAACCTAGAAATAAAGCTGCACACCTACAGCTATCTGATATTCAACAAAGTTGACAAAAGCGAGCAATGGAAAGGGGCTCCCTATTCAATAAACAATGCTAGGATAGCTGGCTAGCTGTATGCAGAAGAATGAAACTAGGCCACTACCTATCACCATATACAAACATTAACTCAAGATGGATTGAAGATTTAAATGAAAGACCTAAAACTATAAGAATCCTAGAAGAAAATCTCAGAAACACCATTCTGGACAACAGCCTTGGGAAAAAATGTATGACCAAGTCCTCAAAAGCAATCACAAAACAAAAATTGACAAGAGGGACCTAATTAAACTAAAGAGCTTCTGCACAGCAAAAGAAACTATAAACAGAGTAAACAGATGACCTAAAGAATGGGAGAAAATATTTGAAAACAATGCATTTGAAAATACTTTAATATCTAGAACTTATAAGTAACTTATTTCAAAAAGCAGAAAACAATCCCATTAAAAAAAAATGGGTAAAAGACAGACACTTCTCAAAAGAAGACACATAAGTGACCAATAAACATTAAACAAAAATGCCTCAAATGACTAATCAGAGAAATGCAAATCAAAAACACAATGAAATACCATCTCACACCAGTCATTATAAACTGTTGGTGAGAATGTAAATTAGTTCAGCCACTGCACAAAGCAATTCGGAAATTTTTCAAATAACAAACAGAACTACCATTTGACCCAGCAATACCGTTACTAGGTACATATCCCAAAAAATACACAAAAAGACACATGCACTCATATGTTCATCACAGCACTATTCACCATAGCAAAGACATAGAATCAACCTAGGTTCCCATCAATGGTGGGCTGGGTAAAAAAGATGTGGTACTTATGCACCACGGAATGCTATGCAGCCATTAAACATGAAATTACATCCTTTGCAACAACATGGATGCAGCTGGAGGCCATTATCCTAAGCAAATAAGAGCAGGAACAGAAAACCAAATACCACATGTTCTCACTTATAAGAGGGAGCTAAACATTGGGATTCGTGGACATAAACATGAGAATAATAGATGCTGGGGACTACTAGGGTGGAGAGGGAAGAGCAGGGCAAGGGTTGAAAAGCTACCTTTAGGTACTATGTTCACTACCTGGATGAGTGGATTATTTGTTCCTCAAACCTCAGCATCACTCGATATGCTCAGATAACAAACCTGAACATGTACCTTCTGAATCTAAAATAAACGTTAAAAAAAAATTACTGCAACATTAAAATCTTCCACTTAAGGAAAGAATACTGAATTCTTGAAAGAGGAATATACTTTTCTACTTTTATTCATCCCAAAACCCCAACAGGAATGCCCTTCCTGCGCCATATACAAACTTGCCTATCTTCCAAATTTATTTGAGCATTATCTCTTTAATAAAGCCTTCATTGAAATTATTATATTTCTTATCTTTTGGCCTTGCATTGTTTAACTTTCTATTTCCTTGAAAACACTGTGTAGTATGTTTCTTAAAATAAACAGAGTATCTCACAGGGTCTTGTGCATATGACAAATAGTTATTAGTATTTAAAAAAAATCCTGACAACATGACAATGCTAAAATGGTCCGTGAGAGCTAGAAGCAATGACAGAAATTTATTCTGAAATAATAATTATGTTATGTTTTCAAACTCACATTTTTATAATTTTTAAATGAACAGATTAAACAGCATACTTTAATTATTTGAGATCCCTGAATTGTGTATTTTCCACGTCCCACATCCATGATTGTTTAGAGTTGTTTTCTCTTTTTACACATTATTCTGTCCTCCCTAGGTCAAATGCTTTCACTAGCTGAACTTACAGTATATGATGTAGATCTAATGTTCCTGGAAGGAAATCTCAAAAAAAAATTCACAAATCAAGATTCTCTTTATACTTCTTCAGCTGATGTTGATTACTTGCTTGAAATATGGTTTCTGACCTGCTTGATTAGAGTCAATAACTGTTTTCAGAGGAGGTAATTAAGTCTAATCTGTGCAATAGCTTAGAATTAGATAGCTGAACAGCATTTTTAATCCAGAAAACAGTAAAAATACAACTGTTCAACTTTTTTATACGTGTCAGTATCACAGCAAGAGCTTTTATAGTTTTTATTGTTCAATAATTTTCCGAAGATTCAAAGGACCGCAGGCCTGAAAAATCTCTTTTTCCATTTTAAAATGTATTATTTTCATTTGAAGAGACTTTGCAGACCTATTTCTTGTTAGGGGACTTGGAAATATACTTGGAGACCCCTTGGAAGCAAGAAGTAGAATAGCAAAATGAAGAAAAATAGATGAAATCAGGCTGCTATGCTTAAATTCTGTATTGAAATACCGCAGTAGCTGGACAGAGCGCAGTGACAAAAATGTGAGGAGGAAATACTGAGAATTCAAGGCACATATATATGTCTGAAAATCTGTCCATAAATAGCAGGTAGCAAAACGAAGGACCTGAAATATATTATGCACATTGCATACGAGACTCTGTTATTTTTCATAAATATGCAACAATAATATGGCCATTACTGTGCTTATTTTCAAGTAAAGATGCTATCCCAGGGAGGATACGTAACTAATGCAACATCTCACCAAAGTTAAATGGTATCTTCTTGCTATCAATTATGTATTTCCCTTAACAAAGAATTAGCTGTTATTTAAAACAAGGTTAATGTGGCTTCAAAGCACTGGCCTTTTATCCTAGGACACCACCTACATATCTGTTGGTGTTAGGACAGACCTTCAATTCCTAGAAGTAATATAGACATGAGTTAAAATGTAATTCAGTGATTAAACATGTTATTGGAGCCAGAATGCTTCACTGAAACACAAGTCTAATGCATTCCAGTTCTATGAGATTTTGCCTGATTTTTGTTTTGTTCATTACTGAAATTTTGTCTGGTTGTTGTTACTTTACAACTGAACTCTACCACTCTCCTCTACATTCACTATGAAGCACTCTTACAAATTCTATATGCTGTAAATAAGATTTTCCCAATGTTTTCCTCAGTGCTGCATGCATAATGGATGTTGCCAAAATGTATGACACACCTTTATGGATAAATATCAGGTGAAGTTTCAACCTTCTACTTGATATCTAAGCAACCTTATAGACTTTTTATGGAAATAATGTTGCATCTTTAAGTATGCAACATTATTTAAATAAATTTGCAATTGGTAGTTTAGATGTCTGATGAAAAGCTCATCATTACTCCTGTGTTGCTTTATAAATCCATTCCTTTTTTTTCTTTTCTTTTATCATATTTTCTTTTTTTATTACATGTTAAGTTCTGGGATGATGTGCAGAATGTGCAGGTTTGTTACATAGGTATGCATGTGCCATGTTGGTTTGCTGCACCCATCAGCCCATTATCTACATTATGTATTTCTCCTAATGCTATCCCTCCCCTTACCTGCCACACCCCGACAGGCCCTGCTGTGTGTTGTTTCCCTCCCTGAGCCCGTATGTTCTCATTGTTCAACTCCCACTTACGAGTGAGAACATGTGGTGTTTGGTTTTCTGTTTCTGTGTTAGTTTGCTGAGAAGGATGGTTTCCACCTTCATCCATGTCCTTGCAAAGGAAGTGAACTTATTCTTTTTTATGGCTGCATAGTATTCCATGGTGTATATGTGCCATATATATATTTTTTATCCAATCTAACACTGATGGGCATTTGTGTTGGTTCCAAATGTTTGCTATTGTGAATAGTGCCACAATACACATACGTGTGCATGTGTCTTTATAGTAGAATGATTTATAATCCTTTGGGTATATACCCAGTAATAGGATTGCTGGATCAAATGGTATTTCTAGTTCTAGATCATTGAGGAATCGCCACACTGTCTTCCACAATGGTTGAAATAATTTACACTCCCACGAACAGTGTAAAAGCATTCCTATTTCTCCACACCCTTTCCAGCATCTGTTGTTTCCTGACTTTTTAATTATCGCCATTCTAACCTGCATGAGATGGTAACTCACTGTGGTTTTAATTTGCATTTCTCTAATGACCAAGGATGATGAGCTTTTATCATATGTTTGTTGGCCACATAAATGACTTCTTTTGAACATTTTCTGTTCATATCCTTTGCCCACTTTTTTATGGGGTTGTTGGCTTTTTGCTTGTAAATTTGTTTAAGTTCCTTGTAGCTTCTGGATATTAGCCCTTTGTCAGATGGATAGATTGCAAAAATTTTCTCCCATTCTGTAGGTTGCCTGATCACTGTGGTGATAGTTTCTTTTGCTGGGCAGAAGCTCTTTAGTTTAATTAGATCCTTTTGTCAATTTTGGCTTTTGTTGCCATTGTTTTTGGTGTTTTAGTCATGAAGTCTTTGCCCATGCCTGTGTCCTGAATGGTATTGCCTAGGTTTTCTTCTAGGGTTTTTATGATTTTAGGTCTTACACTTAAGTCTTTAGTCCATCTTGAGTTAATTTTTGTATAAAGTTTAAGGAATAGGTCCAGTTTCAGTTTTCTGCATATGGCTAGCCAGTTTTCCCACCACCATTTATTAAATAGGAATTCCTTTCCCCATTGCTTGTTTTTGTCAGGCTCATCAAAGATCAGATGGTTGTAGATGTGTGGTGTTATTTCTGAGGCCTCTGTTCTATTCCATTGGTCCATATATCTGTTTTGGTACCAGTGCCATGCTGTTTTGGTTACTGTAGCCTCATAGTATAGTTTGAAGTCAGGTAGCATGATGCCTCCATCTTTATTCTTTTTGCTTAGGATTGTCTTGGCTATTCATGCTCTTTTTAAATTCCATATGAAATATAAAGTAATTTTTTCTAATTCTGTGAAGAAAGTCAATGACAGCTTGATGGGAATAGCATTGAATCTATAAATTACTTTGGGCAGTATGGCCATTTTCACAATACTGATTCTTCCTATCCATGAGTATGAAATGTTTTTTCTGTTTGTTTCTCTCCTCTCTTATTTCCTCAAGCAGTGGTTTGTAGTTCTCCTTGAACGGATGTGAAGGACCTCTTCACATCCCTTGTAAGCTGTATCCCTAGGTATTTTATTCTCTTTGTAACAATCATGAATGGGAGTTTGCTCATTATTTGGCTCTCTGTTTGTGTACTACTGGTGTATATGAATGCTTGTGATGTTTGCATGTTGATTGTGTATACTGAGACTTTGCTGAAGTTGCTCATCAGCTTAAGGAGTTTTTGGGCTGAGACAATGGGGTTATGTAAATATACAATCATGTAATCTGCAAACAGAGATAATTTGACTTCCTCTCTTACTATTTGAATATCTTTTATTTCTTTCTCTTGCCTGATTGCCATGGCCAGAACTTCTAACACTATGTTGAATAGGAGTGGCAAGAGAGGGCATCCTTGTCTTGTGCTGGTTTTCAAAGGGAATGCTTCCAGCTTTTGTCCATTTAGTATCATATTGTCTGTGGGTTTGTCATGAATAGCTCTTATTATTTTGAGAGATGTTCCATCAATACCTAGTTTATTGAGTGTTTTTAGCATGAAGGGGTATTGAATTTTATCAAAGGCCTTTTCCTCATCTGTTGAGATAATCATGTGTTTTTTGTCATTGGTTCTGTTTATGTGATGGATTACATTTATTGATTTGTGTATGTTGAACCAGCCTTGCATCCTAGGGATGAAGCTGACTTGATCGTGGTGGATAAGCTCTTTAATGTGCTGCTGGATTGGGTTTGCCAGTATTTTATTGAGGATTTTCACATTGAGGTTCATCAGGGATATTTGCCTGAAGTTTTCTTTTTTTGTGTGTCTCTGCCAGGTGTTGGCATCAGGATGATGCTGGCCTCATAAAATGAGTTAGGGAGGAGTCTCTCTCTTTCTGTTGTTTGGAATAGTTTCAGAAGGAATGGTACCAGCTCCTCTTTGTGTTAAAGTCTCCCACTATTATTGTGTGGGAATCAAAGTTTCTTCGTAGGTCTCTAAGAACTTGCTTTATGAATCTGGGTGCTCCTGTATTGGGTGCATATATATTTAGGACAGTTAGCTCTTATTGTTGCATTGATCCCTTTACCATTATTTAATGCCCTTCTTTGTCTTTTTGATCTTTGTTGGTTTAAAGTCTGTTTTATCAGAGACTAGGATTGCAACCCCTGCTTTTTTTTCTTCTTTTTTTCCTTCTTTCCATTTACTTGGTAGATCATTCATCTGTTTATATTGAGTCTATGTGTGTCCTTGCACGTGAGATGGGTCTCCTGAATACAGTACACTGATGGGTCTTGACTATTTGTCCAATTTGCAGTCTGTGCCTTTTAATTGGGGCATTTAGCTCATTTACATTTAAGATTAATATTATAATGTATAAATTTGATCCTGTCATTATGATGCTAGCTGGTTATTTTGCCCATTAGTTGACGCAGTTTCTTCATAGTGTTGATGATCTTTACATTTTAGTTTGTTTTTGCAATGGCTGGTACCGGTTTTTCCTTTCCATATGTAGTGCTTCCTTCAGGATATAAATCTATTTCTAATTGTTAAATTGTCTGCCACTTTGTGCTGGAGGCAGTGAAAGATTTTAGGAAAATCTGATTAATAAAAGCAATAATTTGGGGGTTAAATTTGTGGCAAAACCTTTTTGCAATTAGATCCGCTACGACGGTTAACAATAATAGAGAACATCAGCTTGAATGTATATGTGTGTGTGTGTATATATATATATATATATATATATATATATATATATGTATATGCATCAGTATATGCACAAACATATGTAAGTGTGTTTGTATGCATGGATTCTTGTAAGTCTTGAAATATGTAGTAGTAGAAAACGGCCTTTAATTTTTGGGTTGATTCCAATTTTCTTCTGGTTGCCTTAATAATTCTTTTTTCTGTTACCTGCTCACCATCTCTATATTAACTAAGAACTGAAATGAGGGAGGCATCTAAATTTTCTGAGCAGATATACATAATTATTAAAGTGAAATATTGGAACTAAGCACTGTAATTAAATGAGAAAACTTTGCCTGTACAAAAAATGTGAATAATTTATTTGAAATGTTAAAAATGAACAAAAGCAAATCAGGCTGAAATGAAACACAAAAAGATAATATCCTGCATTGTTTAAGTATTTCATCTTAATTATATCCAGAATATCTACAAGAAAGGAACCAATTTTACCTGATTAAAAAATTTAAAAGATTTTAAACTTTAAGCTTTAAGTGTTCCTATAGGAGGATGACAAATCAGGTAATGACTAGTTCGATGATGGTATTATTTAGCCGTATATTTACAAGAGCTACCCAACTTTGAGAAATTTATTATTGAAGCTTCAGGAAATTTATTATACCACTTTTTCCATTTTAATAGAGAATCTAAAGTAAATAGAAATGTAGCATATAAGAAAATGGTTTTGAAAATTCCCTATATGTAATAAAAAGATAATTTAAGACATAAAACAAATCTGGAGTCATTTTGGGTTAAAAATCAATTTTTAGTCTGAGAAAACATATTTGGCACACCATGTCACAGACGGCTCTCCTCCTAGGTCAGTCTGTTAGAAAGAAAAATATCAGCCAGACGCGAGGACTTTTCCAAAGAGAGAAAGAGGAATAAACAATTGATAGTGAGAGAGAATAATAAACAATTGATAGCAAGAAGATACCCATGTTAGCTCATGTCAGCAAAGAAAAAAGAAAAGGTTTTAAGAATATACCAGCCAAAGTTTCCTCAAATACTTTGGAGTGTGCTAGCTGTCAGTGGTAGTGTAATGTGTAGTGTAAAAATAAAGACAATATGTAGCATAAAAATAAAGACAGGGGTCTGTTCTAGAACTTTGAGGGGCAATAAATACAACAAATAAAGATAACCGTGGCTATAATTTATTGTGTGCCTATTGGATGTTAGTAAATGTGAATGAAGTACTTTTTAAAAAATATTTTCTTCAGTACAGGTAAATATTACCATTTGAAAGACAGAGAAAATGAGGCTTAGAGAGATGGTAACTTGCTGTGAGCCACTAACTGTATAAGTGCTGCAATCAGAACTCGAACCCTGATCTCACTCCAAATCCCATGTTTACTTTACTCCAGGATTATTCTGAGACAGTAATAAAGAGACAATTATGTAAAATTTTTAAAATCTTTAAGACTTCCAATGTTTGCAATTTTTCTAATTTTTATTTTCCATAGTAATAATAGGGAATATAGCAGTAGTAGATTTCTATTGTTTCTGAAACAAATTACTAGTATTATAGTCCTGTAATTCAGAAGTTCAACATAAATCACATCAAGCTAAAATCAAGGTATTGGCCATCTTATATACATTGTTCTAAGCACTTAACATAAATAAATTTATTTCTACCCCAGAAAGGAGAATACAGCAGATTGAATCTCTGTGACTAGAGACATGAAGAAACCAGGCTATGTGTGAGAAATCAATTCAGGGGCTGGATCTCGCTACCTGCTTCCAGACTTGTTGGATAAGGAACACCTGCCAACTTTATTTTCATTTTATTGCCAATTCTATTAATATCACCATCCATTAATAAATTCTCTACTACTGCAATGTGATTTCTACTTGACTACCTGGAAGCCATCACTTTTTGTTTCTCTGACATGTCCTCCTGCATCTGGACTCCACTCCCTGGATAATAAGGTTTTCTTGCCTGACTACATTTCCTCTCACTGCATACACTGGTGTTCCCCAGTAGCATATATTCTTAAGCAGGCACTTGCGGCCATGCCTTCTCTCCCATACTATTGATGAGGAGAGACATAAGCACTGATTGTATCATAAATTGGGAGAGATTTAGACACTCCACTTCTACCCCCTTCACACACACTTCTCTAAAATTATTGATTCTTGGGTTCAAAAAAACAAGCAAACTTTACCAAATGCAAATTAAGAAAACATGATACTTTTTTTTTCTCAAAGATATTTATTAAAATGCTGAAAAGGGAAGATTCATTACAAACTTCCCTTACCCACACATCACATATTTTGGTTATGTTTTACAGTCAAATACAAGTATATTGAACAACTCTCAATTCAGGTAATCATTTCCTGCTATGACCAAAACACACATACACACACACACACACACACAAAGTGACACCTCATGAATGGTGCATTCTTTCTTCAGTGTTAAAAGTTTTAATAGCAAGCCTGGATATATTTATCTCATGCCATAGTTTAGAGGTTTTGATTTTCTTCTTTCTTCCCTAAAGGGGGAGGAATGTGTATTGACTCATCTTCAGCCTCACAACAGTTATCTCATTTTTTATGGTTTCCCAAAGATAAATAACTGGTGGTTGTATAGTGACAATGAAAAGCTCTTTCAGTATCTGATTCATCTGGATCTAGACATATGAACAAATCATAAGTGACTATGCTTTCCTCTACTATTTATCACTTAATTTAGCAATAAATATTCTATTTTATTCTATTTAAAGATAAATATTATTGATTAGAAAGATAAAATAAAAAATATAATTAAATATTTCTACATTCTCTGATACAAAAATGTGGACTCTAAAGCCAGATTTCCATGCTTCAGATACTATTTCTGCTACCAATAGCTGTGTTAACTTTGAACAAGTACCTTTTATTTTATTTTATTTTATTTTATTTAAGTTCCTGAGCACATGTGCAGGTTTGTTACATAGGTAAATGTGTACCATGGTGATTTACTGCACCTATCAACACATCACCTTCAACCCAGCATGCATTAGCTGTTATCCTAATGCTCTCTCTCCCTACCACTCTTGACAGGTCCTAGTGTGTGTTGTTCCCATCCTTGTGTCTATGTGTTCTCATTGATTAGCTCCCACTTATAGGTGAGAACATGCAATGTTTGGTTTTCTGTTCCTCTGTTAGTTTGCCGAGGATAAGGGCTTCCTGCTCCATCTATGTCCCTGTACGGGACATGATCTTATTCCTTTTTATGGCTGCATAGTATTCCATGATGTATATGTACCACATTTTCTTCATCTGGCCTTTCATTAATAGGGATTTAGGTTGATTCCATGTCTTTGCCATTGTGAATAGTGATGCAAGGAACATACGTGTGCATGTATCTTTATAATGGAAGGATTTATATTTATTTGTGTAAGAACTCAGTAATGGGATTGCTGGGTCACATAGTATTTCTGCCTCCAGGTCTTTGAGGGATCACCACACTGTCTTCCACAATGGTTGAACTAATTTACATTCCCACCGATGGTGTAAAAGTGTTCCTGTTTCTAGGCAGCCTCACCAGCATCTGTTGTTTCTTGACTTTTGAATAATTGCCATTCTAACCAGCATGAGATGGTATCTTATTGTGGTCTTGATGTGCATTTCTCTAATGATCAGTGGTGTTGAGCTTTTTTTCAGGTTTTTTGGCTGCATAAATGTCTTCTTTTGAGAAGTGTTTGTTCATTTCATGTCCTTTGCCCACTTTTAACGGGGTTGTTTGTTTTTATCTTGTAAATTTGTTTAAGTTCCTTGTAAATTCTGGATATTAGACCTTTGTCAGATGGATAGATTGCAAAAAGTTTCTCCCATTCTATAGCTTGTCTGTTCACTCTGATGATAGTTTCTTTTGCTGTGCAGATGCTGTTTAGTTTACTTAGATCCCATTTGTCAATTTTGGCTTTTGTTGCAATTGGCTTTTGAAATTTTCATCATGAAATCTTTGTCCATCCCTATGTCCTGAAGGGTATTGCCTAGATTTTCATCTAGGGTTTTTATAGTTTTAGGTTTTATATTTAAGTCTTTATTCCATCTTGAGTTAATTTTTGTATATAATATAAGGAAGGGGTCCAGTTTCAAGTTCCTGCATATGGCTAGCCAGTTCTCCCAGCTCCATTTGTTAAATAGGAAATCCTTTCTTCATTGCTTGTCTTTGTCAGGTGGTTGTAGATATGAGGTCTTATTTCTGAGTTCTCTTTTCGGTTCCAATGGTCTTTTTTTTTTTTTATACTTTAAGTTTTAGGGTACATGTGCACAATGTGTAGGTTAGTTACATATGTATACATGTGCCATGCTGCTGCACTGCACCCACTAACTCGTCATCTAGCATTAGGTATATCTCCCAATGCTATCCCTCCCCCCTCCCCCCACCCCACAACCGTCCCCAGAGTGTGATGTTCCCCTTCCTGTGTCCATGTGTTCTCATTGTTCAATTCCCACCTATGAGTGAGAATATGTGGTGTTTGTTTTTTTGTTCTTGCGATAGTTTACTGAGAATGATGATTTCCAATTTCATCCATGTCCCTACAAAGGACATTAACTCATCATTTTTTATGGCTGCATAGTATTCCATGGTGTACATGTGCCACATTTTCTTAATCCAGTCTATCATTGTTGGACATTTGGGTTGGTTCCAAGTCTTTGCTATTGTGAATAATGCCACAATAAACATACGTGTGCATGTGTCTTTATAGCAGCATGATTTATAGTCCTTTGGGTATATACCCAGTAATGGGATGGCTGGGTCAAATGGTATTTCTAGTTCTAGATCGCTGAGGAATCGCCACACTGACTTCCACAATGGTTGAACTAGTTTACAATCCCACCAACAGTGTAAAAGTGTTCCAATTTCCCCACATCCTCTCCAGCACCTGTTGTTTCCTGACTTTTTAATGATTGCCATTCTAACTGGTGTGAGGTGGTATCTCATTGTGGTTGTGATTTGCATTTCTCTGATGGCCAGTGATGGTGAGCATTTTTTCATGTGTTTTTTGGCTGCACAAATGTCTTCTTTTGAGAAGTGTCTGTTCATATCCTTCACCCACTTTTTGATGGGGTTGTTTGTTATTTTCTTGTAAATTTGTTTGAGTTCTTTGTAGATTCTGGATATTAGCCCTTTGTCAGATGAGTAGGTTGCGAAAATTTTCTCGCATTTTGTGGGTTGCCTGTTCACTCTGATGGTAGTTTCTTTTGCTGGGCAGAAGCTCTTTAGTTTAATTAGATCCCATTTGTCAATTTTGGCTTTGGAAAGTTCATATGGAACCAAAAAAGAGCCCGCATCGCCAAGTAAATCCTAAGCCAAAAGAACAAAGCTGGAGGCATCACACTACCTGACTTCAAACTATACTACAAGGCTACAGTAACCAAAACAGCATGGTACTTGTACCAAAACAGAGATATAGATTAATGGAACAGTACAGAGCCCTCAGAAATAATGCCGCATATCTACAACTATCTGATCTTTGACAAACCTGAGAAAAATAAGCAATGGGGAAAGGATTCCCTATTTAATAAATGGTGCTGGGAAAACTGGCTAGCCATATGTAGAAAGCTGAAACTGGATCCCTTCCTTACATCTTATACAAAAATCAATTCAAGATGGATTAAAGACCTAAACGTTAGACCTAAAACCATAAAAACCCTAGAAGAAAACCTAGGCATTACCATTCAGGACATAGGCATGGGCAAGGACTTCATGTCTAAAACACCAAAAGCAATGGCAACCAAAGCCAAAATTGACAAATGGGATCCATTGGTCTTTGTGTCTGTTTTTGTACCAGTACCATGCTGTTTTGGTTACTGTAGCCTTGTAGGATAGTTTGATGTCAGGTAGCATGATACCTCCAGCTTTCTTCCTTTTGCTTATGATTGGCTTTGCTATGTGGGCCCTTTTCTGGTTTCATATGAATTTTAAAGTAGTTTTTTCTAATTATGTGAAGAATGTTGATGGTAGGTTTAATGGGAATAGCACTGAATCTATAAATTAATTTGGGCAGTATGGCCATTGTCATGATATTGATTCTTTCTGTCCATGAGCATGGAATGTTTTTCCATTTGTTTTTATCCTCTCTGATTTCCTTGAGCAGTGGTCTGTTGTTCTCCTTGAAGAGGTCCTTCACTTCCCTGCTTAACTGCATTCCTAGGTATTTTATTCTCTTTGTAGCAATTGTGAATAACAGTTCATTCATGATTTGTCTCTCTGCTTGTCTGTTGTTTCTGTATAGGAATGCTTGTATTTTGGGTACTTTGATTTTGTATGCTGAGATTAAGCTGAAGTTGCTTATCAGCTTAAAAAGCTTTTGGGCTGAGACGATGGGGTTTTCTAGATAAAAGATCATGTCATCTGCAAACAGAGACAATTTGACTTCCTTTTTTCCTGCTTGAATACCCTTTATTTCTTTCTCTTGCCTGATTGCCCTGGCCGGAACTTCCAATGCTGTGTTGAATAGGAGTAGTGAGAGAGGGCATCCTTGTCTTGTGCTCGTTTTCAAGGGGAATGCTTCCAGCTTTTGCCCATCCAGTATGATACTGGCTGTAAACTTGTAATAAATGGCTTTTATTATTTTGTGGTATGTTCCTTCAATATCTAGTTTACTGAGAGGTTTTAACATGAAGGATGTTGAATTTTATTGAAGGACTTTTCTGTGTCTATTGAGATAATCATGTGGTTTTTGTCTTTAGTTCTGTTTATGTGATGGATTACATTTATTGATTTATATATGTTGAGCCAGCCTTGCATCCCAGGGATGAAGCTGACCTTATCATGGTGGATAAGCTTTTTGATGTGCTGCTGGCTTTGGTTTGCCAGTATTTTACTGAGGAATTTTGCATCAGTGTTCATCAGAAATGTTGGCCTGAAGTTTTCTTTTTTTTGTTGTTGCCAGGTTTTGGTATTAAGGTGATGCTGGCCTCACAAAATGAATTAGGGAGGAAGTCCTCCTTTTCAATTGTTTGGAATAGTTTCAGAAGAAATGGTACCAGCTCTTCCTTGTACCTCTGAAAGAATTCAGCTGTAAATCTACCTGGTCCTGGACTTTTTTAGTTGGTAGGCTATTTATTACTCCCTCAATTTCAGAACTCACTATTGGTCTATTCATGGATTCAACTTCTTCCTGGTTCAGGCTTGGGAGGGTGTATATGTCCAGAAATTTATCAATTTTTTTTAGATTTTCTAGTTTATTTGCATAGAGACATTTATATTACTCTCTGATGATTGTTTGCATTTCTGTGGGGTCAGTGGTGATATCCCCTTTATCATTTTTTATTGTATCTATTCAATTCTTCTCTTTTTTCTTTGTTAATCTAGCTAGTAATATATTTTAATTTTTTCAAAGAAACAGCTCCTGGATTCATTGATTTTTTTGAAGGTTTTTTTGTGTCTCTATCTTATTCAGCTCTGCTCTGATCTGGGTTGTTTCTTGTCTTCTGCTAGCTTTGTGGTTTCTTTGCTCATGGTTCTCTATTTCTTTTAGTTGCAATCTTAGGATGTTGATTTCAGAGCTTTTTTCTTTTTTTTGATGGGGGGAGGGTTTTGTTTGTTTGTTTGTTTGTTTGAGATGGAGTCTCACTCTGTCACCTAGGCTGGAGTGCAGTGGTGTGATCTTGGCTCACTGCAAACCCTGCCTCCCGGGTTCAAGACTTCTCCTGCCTCAGCCTCCTGAGTAGCTGTTATTACAGACACCCTCCACCATGCCTGGCTAATTTTTGTATTTTTACTAGAGACAGCATTTCACCATGTTGGCCAGGCTGTTCTCAAACTCCTGACCTCAAGCGATACACCCATCTCAGCCTCCCAAAGTGCTGGGATTACAGGAGTGAGCCACCACACCATTCCGATTTGAAATCTTTCTAGCTTTTTGATGTGGGCACTTAGCGGATAAATTTCCCTCTTAATACTGCTTTAGCTGTGTCCCAGAAATTCTGGGTATGCTATCTCTTTGTTCTCCTTAGTTTCAAAAAATTTCTTGATTTCTGCCTTAATTTCATTATTTACCAAGGAATCATTAAGGAGCAGGTTGTTCAGTTTCTGTGCAGTTGTGTGGTTTTGAATGAGTTTCTTAATCTTAAGCCCTAATTTGATTATGTTGTGGTCTGAGAGACTGTTATGATTTCACGAACAAGTAACTTTAACTTCCTATGTGTCATCTCTCTCCTCTATAAAAATTAAAATAGTAGTATAATATGTCTCAATTATTGTTAAAATAGAAGAACATAACATAATGCTTCATATGAAGCACGGTTATCATTTTGTATTATTACAACCTTTACCCTAAGCCATAATTTTCTATTTAATTTTTACTTAAGAATAGTATTTTTCAAATCCTTTTACATATTTAGAAAAAGTATATAAAAATTATATTAAATATATTATGATATGTTTGTGTTGTATGTTGACATAAATATGTTATTTTAAAATATTTTAAATAATTCTAGACAATTAAACACTCTTCTAATAGTTTGTGGCATACCTTTTGCACATGTGCCTTAACATTGACCTGATTAGAGTGCTGGCAAAAGTTTCCTTTAGTTCATTATCAATTGTAATTATAATTTATATAATCAGAATTGTGTCCTATAATACTGGTTCATATATTCAATTAAATAATTATATTCAGAACCCATTGACTTCTAAATAACAATCTAAATAAAATATATGGTTTAGCATCAGTAAGCATATTTGTTCAGCTTAAGTGAATTCATCGATTTGACTTATATTTCTTTTGGTTGGGATTAAAGCTTCAGGTATAATTTTTTATAACTTAAAAGAATGGTGTTATATATGTTTTCCTAAGTCAAAATTTTATAAATTCAATGCTTATTTTTAAAGGGAAATTTTGGTATTTCTCCTCTATAGCAAAATTCCTCAAAATATCAGAAAATACCATAAAAGTAGAATTAAATTAATAATAACACAGAATAATAAGGAAGGATGGTTTCATTAAGTTCATTTTGATAAATTCCAGGAACAAAGAAAGCAAAATGGATGGGATTGATTAAGGAATAAATGTAGAGAAAACTTCAGCTTAAAATACCCATGAAAGAAAATGGCTTCAAAGATGACAGTTCCAGAAATAACACAAGCTCAGTTCCAACAAATACAAAGAGCTCAAGAGGTCATGAGGTTTTTAGTGTAAGAAAGTCAAAAACCGTAATATATAAGTAACTGTAAGAACGATAATATATAGTTTAAGGAAGTTAAGAAATATAAAATATTCAAATAAGCTGGGCTTTTGAGGTCCTTTGGATCCCTAGAATGATACTAAAGAGCTACTAGGGGAAGCTTTCTTCCCAAAACTGACAAAGCTGCAAATAATATCTATAAAAAGTGAAAGAACCTTTGGAGATAGCATCTAGATGGAAGACTAGTGTTGGAGATAGCAAAATTTTTTTCCTGGAAATCCACAGAGATACCTACGAAGAAAAAATCAAAGGAGACCAACTGACTTCTTCTAGTTGAAAATTATGAGGATTGTTCTCCAAAAAAGAAAAAAATTCAGAGTTTTCCAGAGGCGACAGGAGCTAGGATTAGAGGTGCAAGGCAGCACCCTCAAGTAGAATTCCTCTGTAGACCTTGAAAGAGTTGTTTAGAAATGAATTCTCTCTCTCTCTCTTAAAATCCACTTCAATCAAGACTTTGTCGATACTATTCTGCTCCACTCAATGTCACCAATAACCCCTACACCACCAAATAGAATATTCAGTTATTCTTGCTCTCAGCAGCATTTGAATAAATTAATCATAATCACTGCCTATTGTTGGAAACATTTTTTCGTTTGATTTCTGAGATATTTACTGCATTTATTACTATCTTACTGCTCCCTACTTTGAATTTTTCTCATCTACCTCTACAGTCATTTGCTAGGTGACTTGGTTCATCTCATGACTTTAATTACCAACTAAGAGATAATGATTCCAGACTTATATCCTGCGAAGACCCTCCCCATCAATTCCAGACTTCTGTACAAGTCTGACAGTTTACATGAAAACTTCATTTAAGAGTCAATTAGGCATCACATACTTATGACGTGCAAAACCAAAATATTAGTTATTCTACAGGAACCTGGTCATACTTCAGTGTGTCATGAATTTTAGTAAATCATCCTAACTTTAATATAAAGTGCTTAAGCAAAATACTTGGAATTATCATTGACTCGTTTTTCTTTCATGATTCCCAATGTAATCAATTACTCCTGTTATTTCTGTGCACATTTGAAAAGTGGACTACTTCTCATTAATTTGTTATCACTATTTCATTCCAGCCTACCGTAATCTCATGCTTGATTGGTGTAATTTCTTTCTAACTCTTGTCTCTCTAATGCTTTATATTTCAAAAATGCTTTATAATCAAACAGATCTTTTGAAAATATAAGTCAGATTACATCCTTCCCTATTACTCTTAGAATAAATAAAATTCAAAGTCCAATCATTGCCTGTAGGATATCTTGTAATCTAGTTTCTGACTACCTCTCTGAGCTCCTTTCTCACGATTTTTTTTTTTCTTTTTCTCACTGATTGGGCTTCAAACTCAGTAGTCTTCATGGTTGTCTTCAAGTTTGCCAAACTTTTTACCCAGGACTGAAATTATGTTCTTCAGAGAGTGAGTGGTTTTCTCCTTTCCTCCATTCAAATTTGAAATCACGCATTGCCTCTTCGAAAAGACCTTACCCAGACATCCTATGAAGAATAATACACTTCACTTCCGTTTTCTTCTGTTACTTCTGGCCTTTTTGTTGCCATAGTAATGTACATTGTCAGGAATTATATTGTTTTCTTGAATTTACTTTTTACTATTACCACCTATAGAATATGAGCCCAAGAAAGTAACTTTGACATATTTTTTATTTTTGTAGCAGTGACTCCAAGAATAACTGTCAAATAATATATGTCTAATGTATTTGTGTTAAATGAAAACATAAAATTATTACTTAGTTTCTTGCAAAATATTTAACATCTTGTTTTCTCTAACTGTATACTTCATATTTTTCTTCTTTGAACAAATATTTTAGAATTCTAGACACTTGGTATTATAAACAGATTTGAGAATAATTTAAACTTTTAAAAAATCATAATTATTCTGCTAAAATTTATTTATTTATTTATATACTTTTTAACAGAGATAGGATCTCCCTATGTTACTCAGGCCAATCTCGAACTCCTGCGCTCAAGGTATCCTCCTGCCTTGGCCTCCCAAAGTGCTAGGATTACAGGCGTGAGCCACTATGCCGGGCTGCTGAAATTTACATTAAACTACAAAATGCCTTTTCCCTTTCATGAACAAGTAATGTGTTCATTTAAATTATTTATTTTATATGAGAATATGTGTATTTTTATATAAAAACCACACCTCTTTATTTATATACATTTAGTTTTTAACTTTCTTTACCTACCTTTAACAAGTAAGAATGTTATTGAATTTTAAATTTTATTTTTATTTTCTTCTTTTTGAATTTTTATTTACTTAAAACTAACTTTAAGAGACTATTGCCATAAAATAATGTGCATTCATTTAAAATGTATAATTTGATGAGTTTAAACATAGGTATACACCTGTGAAAATCAGCACCACAATTGAGATAATGAACATACCAATAACCCCCCAATTTTTTTTCTCCTTGTAATAACTATCTGCACCTGCACTATGCCCCTTCTCCCATTCCTTGGCAACCACTAATCTGCTTTCTGTCACTGTCCATTACTTTTCATTTCATAGAATTTTATGTAAATAGAATTATACTACCATTGATTTTTCTCTGGCTTTTTTCACTCAATAATTATTTTGAGATTTATTTGTGTTATTGAATATATCAATAGTTTATTCTTTTTATTCGTTTGTAGTGATACAATGCACAAAAATATCAAATTTTCCTATTAATGGGCATAGGGTTGCCAGAATTAGGAGAAAAAAATAAAACAGTGTAACCAGTTAAATTTGTTTTGTTTTTAAACTTTCATTTTAATTTACTTTTATTTATTCATTATTGGAACAAATCTTAAGCAATCTCTAAATTTGTAAATTTGCCATTCATTCTTTCTATTTTGTCTTAAAATTTTTCTTGTAAGATTATTTGCTACCACCCTCACAACCAACTCAGTGCATTCTTACAACCTTTTGGCTTAATAGATTTCTTGACAGAAAACTGACAAGTAATTTATTATGTATCCGGAAGATAAAAACAAACCGACAAACAAAAACCTTTCCTATTCTTTATCCAATTATTTCCTTGGATGCTGTTTCTATAATAGATACTCAAGAAATGTTTGTGGATTGTTTATTTCTTTGTTTAATACATCACTCATGTAGGTCTTTTCTACTTGGTATTTGAAAATGGTAGTGATAGGAACTATGCATGAACAATTTAGAGTTGGTGAGCCTCCAATAGTATCCTATGGATAATAAAATACACTGCACATAATTAAGAGTGAAACTAGTACCTCTATGAGTAATTGAAATTTTTCTAACAAAACTTAGAAATGCAATATTTTTCTTAAGCTATATTTATATATATAAGCTTTTAGTATATAGTTAATATATGAAAATTGTACATATTTAATATATGCATTTTGAAGAGTTTGGACATATGCATATACCATATACTCACTATATCACCACAATCAAGCTACTCAACCTATTTATCACCTACAAAAATGTTCTTGTGTTCTTCTGTAAGTTTTTGGTTTGTTTGTGGTAAGAATACTCAACAATAGATCTATTCTCTTTATATTTTAAGGTACATAATACCATATTGTTAACTATAAGTACAATGTTGTATAGCAGAGCTTGAAAACTTAGTCACATTGTATAACTGAAACTTTATACCAGTTGTGCAACAATTCCACATTTCCTCCTTCCCTTCAGCCCCTGGCAACCACCAGTCTATTCTCTGCTTCAACGATTTCGACTATTTAAGATAAGTCAGGTAAGTAGAATCATGCAGTATTTGTCCTTCTGTGACTGGCTTCTTTCAATTAGCATAATGTCTTCTATGATCATCTACATTGTTGAAAATGCTAAGCTCAGTGATATTTGAATTTCAGATAAGCAGATACTTGGATAAACCATTAGTATTGCCGGGTGCAGTGGCTCACGCCTGTAATCCCAGCACTTTGGGAGGCTGAGGCAGGTGGATCACCTAAGGTCGGGAGTTGAAGACCAGCTTGACCAACATGGAGAAACCCTGTCTCTACTAAAAATACAAAATTAGCCAGGCATGGTGGTACATGCCTGCAATTCCAGCTACTCGGGAGGCTGAGGCGGGAGAATCATTTGAATCCAGGAGGCAGAGGTTGCGGTGAGCTGAGATCATGCCATTGCACTCCAGTCTAAGCAGCAAGAGCAAAACTCTGTCAAAAAAAAAAAAAAAAAAAAAACCATTAGTATATTTATTTCCCAAATGTTGCACAGAACATTCTTACAATGAAAATTTTCTGTGGTTCATCTGAAATTCATATTTAACTATATGCACTTTTTTAGTCTGATAACCCTAAGTCATGACTAATACAAATAAAGCTGCCATGAACATTCATGTACAAGTCTTTGCAAGGACATTAGCTAGAAATGAAACAGATTAATCATGCTAGGTTTATATTGAATATTTAAAGAAACTTCTAAACTATTTTTCAAAGTAGTTATAGCAGTTTATATTTTCAATAGTAAGGTATGAAAATTCCATCATTCTAGGCAACATAGAGAGACCTTGTCTCTACTAATTTTTTTTTTTTTTTTTAGACGGAGTTTCGCTCTTGTTGCCCAGGCTGGAGTGCGATGGCACCATCTCAGCTCACTGCACCTCCACCTCCCAGGTTCAAGCAATTCTCCTGCCTCAGCCTCTTGAGTAGCTAGGATTACAGGCATGTGCCACCACGCCCAGCTAATTTTATTTTTTGTATTTAGTAGAGACAGGGTTTCATCATATTAGTCAGGCTGGTCTCGAACTCCTGACCTCAGGTGATCCACTCACAGCCTCCCAAAGTGCTGAGATTACAGGCATGCGCCATTGCACGCGGCCTACATTTTATTTTTTAAAGTAGCCAGGCATGGTGGCATGTGCTTATAGTCCCAGCTACTCAGGAAGCTGAGGCAGGAGGATCCTGTGAGCCTGGAAAGTTGAAGCTGCAGGGAGATACAGTCACACCTCTGCACTTCAGCCTGAGTGATAGAGCGAGACTCTATGTCAAAAAAGAAAAAGACAATTCCAGTTTTTTTCCATATCTTTGCGAATACTTGGTATGGTCAGCTTTTTAATTTGTGCCATTCTAATAGATATCATAATCTCTCATTTTGGTTTTGACTTGCATTTTCCTAATGATGAATGATATTAAGCTTCTGTTCACATGGTTATGTACTCTCCATATATCTTCCTTGGTATAACAGTATTTTGCCAGGTTTTTTCTTGGGTTATTTTCATGTTATTGAGTTCCGAGAGTTACTTATATATTCTAGGAACAAATCCTTTATCACATAGATGATATCACATAGATGACATTCTCGCAATCCATGACTTAATTGTCAACTCTTTTAACAATATCTATTAAAAGACAGAAATTTTCATTTTGATGAAGTTCATAGTATCAATCTGTTCTTTTGTAGACTGTGACTTTGTTGTGATACATAAAAAATCTTTACCTAACCCAAGGTCACTAAGGTTTACTTCTAGATGTTTTATAGTTTTTGGTTTTACGTTATGTCTAGGATCCATTTTTAATTATTTTTATATGATACAAAACATAGATCAAAATTCACATTATTGCATATATCCAACTTTTCCAGCACAATTTGTTAAAGAGACTCATTTCTCTGCTGAATTGCATTTGCAAATTCGTTGCTAGTTAGTTGTCTATACATGTGTGGGTTCTCTTCTTCCTTGACCATTTGTCTGTCTACACCAATACCACACTGTCTTTTTTAATATGGCTTTATAAGAAGTCTTGAGCTTGTAAGTCCTTCAACTTTGTTCATCTTTTTTCATCTTTTTATTATTTGTTATTGTGGCTCTTCTCATTTCATTATACTTATATACAAATTATATTAATTTCTTAAAAAAAACCCTGCATTGTGACTTATAATCGTGATTACTTGGAATCCAGATATCAAGTTGAAGATATTGGTACCTTAACATTATTGAGTCTGCACACACATGAATAGAGAACATTTCTCCATTTATTCTTAGTGTTGATTTATAATTTATAATTTAATTCAATTGTGATCAGAGAGCATAAATTGTTTCACTTGATTTCTTTTAAAATTACTGAGACTTGGTTTTTGGCTCATAATACATACATCTGTGCACCCATGCACATGCAACTATTTGCATGATAATGTATTTTAAGAAAAAGACATAAAAATTGAAAAAGAAAATATAATGTTACAAATGTTTCAAAAAATTATGTTAATTAAAACTTTGAGGCTGGGTGCAATGGCTCACACCTGTAATTGCAGCACTATGGGAGGCTGAGGCGGGTGGATCACTTGAACTCAGGAGTCCAAGACCAGACAGACTGGGCAACATGGCAAAACCCCATCTCTACAAAAAATACAAAAATTAGCTGGGTGTGGTAGTGCACACGTGTAGTCCCAGCTACCCAGGAGGATGAGGGTGGGGGAGGATTGCTTGAACCTGGGAGGCAGAGGTTGGAGTGGGCTGAGATTGCACCACTGCACTCCGCCATGGGAGACAGAGTGAGACCCTGTCTCATAAAATAAACAAACAAAAAATTTTGATTATAAAGTTAAATAATAGTAAAAAAGATATTCATTTATTCTATTTTCAAAGATTTTTTTTACTAATTATCTTTTTTTAAGAATAATATTGATTCCTGACTTACATATTTTTATTGTGTTAATCTTTGTGGTATACCTCTTATTATATTAATTGTTAAACATTATCTTCTCCTTAATACACATATTATGTATTTTTAACACAATATTTGTACATATTTATAGGTTACATGTGATATTTTGTTACACGCATAGAATGTGTAATGATCAAATCTAAGGTATCCATCACCTCAAGTAGCTATCTTTTTTTGTATGTAGGGAACATTTCAAGTCCTCTCTTCTGTTTTGAAATATACAATAGGTTTTTGTTAACTATAGTCATGTTACACTTGTATTAGAATATTACAATTCAAATATTAGAATTTATTCCTTCTGACTGTATGTTTATACTAATTAACCATCCTCTCTTCACCGCCACAGCCACCCACCTACTCCTCCCAGCCTCTGGTAACTATCATTCTACTATCTACTTCCATATGATCAACCTTATTAGCTCCTGCGTATGAGTGAAAACATGCAATATTTGTCTTTCTGTGCCTGGCTTATTTCACTTAACATAACGACCTTCAGCTCATCTTTATTGCTGCAAATGACAGAATTTCATTCTTTTTTGTGGCTGAATGGTATTCCATTGTGTATATATACCACATTTTATTTTCTTTCTTTTTTTTTTTTTTTTTTCCTTTGGAGATGGAGTCTCGCTCTGTCGCCCAGGCTGGAGTGCAGTGGCGCGATCTCGGCTCACTGCAAACTCCGCCTCCTGGGTTCAAGCGATTCTCCCACCTCAGCCTTCTGAGTAGTTGGGAATGCAGGTGCATGCCACCATACTCAGCTAATTTTGGTATCTTTTGGTAGAAGTGTGGTTTCATCACGTTGCACAGGCTGGTTTCCAACTCCTGAGGTCAAGTGATCCACCTGCCGCAGCCTCCCAAAGTGCTGTGATTACAGGTGTGAGCCACTGTGCCCGGCCTCACATTTTCTTTACCCATTCATCCATTAATGGACATAGCTTGATTCTTTTGTTTTTTTCTTTTTATTTTTTGAGACAGAATCTCCCTCTCTCACCTAGGCTATGGAATACAATTGTATGATCATAGCTCACTGCATCCTTGACCTCCTGGGCTCAAGCAATCTTCTGCCTCTTGCTAAACTTGGGAGATTTTCAACTATTATTTCATTTAATAGGCTTTCTATTGTTTTCATATTCTCTTCACCTTCTGGGACACCAAATATTTGGATATTTGGTTGCTTTATAGTGTCCCATATGTCACATAGACTTTGTTATTTCTTTTTTTGTTTTGTTTTGTTTTGTTTCAGTCTGACTAGATTATTTCAAAAGACCTGCCTTCAGGTTCTAAAATTATTTCTTCTTCATCTAGTCCATTTTTGAAGCTTTTGAATGTATCTTGTATTTTATTCAATGGTTACTTAAGCTCCAAAATTTCTGTTGGTTTCATTTTTATGATACCGATCACTGGTAAAGTTCTCATGCACATCCTGACTTTTTTTTCTGCTTTCTTTGTATTGTTTTTCTGAGTTTTCTTGTATGCCACTGAACTTCTTTAATATCATTATGTTTCATTCTTTTCCAGGGATTTCATAATTTGTTTTTCTTTAGAATCTGTTGCTAGAGAATTATTGTGATTCTTTGGAGACGTCACATTTCCTTGCTTTCTCTCTTTTTTTTTTTTTTTTTTTTTGTATTTTTACACTGATGTCTGCACATCTGGTGTAACAGTCATGTCTTTCCATTTTTTTGAATTTGCTTTTGTAGGAGGGGACTTTCCTGAAGATGCATCTGTGGTATTGGTTGGGCAGCATAATTTGGCTTTGATTCTGGGTACATGCAGTAGTAATCTTCATTTGATTTATTTGGCTATAAACAGCATGAATAGTGTCTGTGATATCCTCAGGGGTTTAGGGCATAATTTTTAGTGGAGGCTGTGGTAATTTTGCTGGACAGGGACATCAGATGGGTCAGTCCTCAGAGCCCAGAGGTGGCAGTGGCAGGCTGAGCGTGCCTATCCCTGGGCCCCAGAGTTAGCGTACACTGCCACCAATGTTAGCAGTTTCAGATGGGCCAATTCCTGGACCTCCAGGTGCTCCTGGCAACATGACTGGTTGTGTGGTACAAGCTTCTGTGCTGTGACCCTGCTGCAGAGAAGAGCAGGGTTGCTTTCAGTGGCAACAGTTATAAACCGGCAGCTGGGGAGTACACATTTCAGTCCCAGGTGACAGCTTCAAGTGGGGAAGCCTTTCCTCGGAGCACTTGTAAATGCACAGTGGCCCTGTTGCCAGGGGCAGCAGGGTTGCTGCCAATGGCTTATGCTTTGGCCGTGGCTGCAGGCAGGGCATGTCAATGAAACTACAGGGTTGTGGAGATTCAGGGTCTGCTGGGCTTCAGAACAGGATGCAGCCTCAGGGTGAGGCTCTCAAAATGGTGCCTCGCTATAGCTGTTTAGGACTGGAGGCTACATGGGTTGCCAACACACAGTCTCCAGGCAGCTCTCTACGTTAGTCTCAGGGCCCATGTAGGTTGAGGGGCTCTCCTGTAGCTAGAAGACACACAAGAAATACAAGATAGAAACATGAACTGCTGGGGGTTACTCACTTACCCTTTCCCAATATCATAGAGCCTCCCCAGGCTCCCAGTAAATCCTGGCTGACCAGGCTGCCTTGCTTCGCTCTCCCCTTGCCTAAGGCATTACCTGTGATTTCTCTACTGAATTTCAGCATTCTCTCTTATGTGCTCTATTGGAAGTGTGATTTCTTTTGGTTCTTCTTTATGGGGGAGGTGAGTACCGGATACGTTTGGCAAGCCATCTTGAAGTCTTCATATACATTGACCTTGGTGGATTATTTGCATCTGTTGATTATTGTTTTACCGTTAGTTTTCAAGATGCGTTTTTATATCCCTGAAGCATACACCTATTCACTATGTTACACTTAAAAAAAAAAAAAAAGAAATACTCCCAGGTTAAATTATTGTATATAGGATAATATTACAAATGTCCACGTATCTACTAATCAACTGTCAAATCTTAACTTCATGCCATATTAACTTCCAATCATGTTTAATGGTTTGTAAAAATAATTGCATGGTTAGTAGAAATTCCTCAATTCCTGCCTCAACTCCACAGTTACAGCTCTATTTCTTTCTCTCCAGAGATAACCAATATCCTGTTTTTGAAGTTTAAAAGTATCATCCAGATTTTATACTTTTACTATATGTGTTCAAGGTTTTAAACAATAGCCGTATTTTAAATATTAGGTTAAATAGAAATATATTCATATCTAAATATATATTATTTATATAAATGTCATTTATATTGCCTTATAAACTGTTTTATTTAATTTAAATTGTGATTTTATAACTTCCTCATGTTCATTCACATAGCCCCAGCTCATTAATTTTTACCTGCTAAACAGTATTTCATTATATACATATCTATAATGTATTTCTTCCTTCTAATCTTGGGCAGAAGAAATCAGAGAAGTCTCTAAGAAATAGCATTTGATCTGAACTTAGAATAATACATAGGCTTTTATTAGAGAAATACCGGAGAAAAAAATAATTTGTTCCTAAAAGGCATTTTCTTTCATCGAGAAAAATACAACCTCAATATTTTTTGCTTTTAAAAAATAATCTATCTTTTTTCTTTTTGATGATGGAAAACAATAAGGTTATTTTCAAATCACTGGTCCATTCAAGGTTACAAATAGAACAACAATTGTAGTGACTATATTTCTTTCCAGATATAACCCTAACTTAACTAAAAGAAAAAGTACTTTGCATTTTAATGGTTTTGCTTTGTGGAAAATGAATTTTGTTGAAATAATCAGGCAAAGCTCCAATAATTAGGGTTTCTGTCACTTTTGGTTTGGTTGAAAGCAGTGTTAGGAATGGTTTTTTCAGAACCACCTCTTTGGAATAATAGTGCCAGCTTTAAAAAATTATGTTTTTTTTTTTTCATTTTAAAGAAAAGCTGTCTTACAAACACTTTTGCATCCTTCATTACTGTAAACATTATTTTAGTTGTGAGCTTTTTGGACGCATAGTTTCAGATCATGTTTTCTAGATGTTTCCCCTTAAAATACAGCAGGCTTTCATTTATTTGACTATATTTGAAGTCAAGCAAATTTGATAACATATTAGAAATCAAGTAAATTCAACTATAATAATTTTTAAAGTTATAAATTCAACATGTCATATAATGTATTTTTAAACTTTTTTGCTATTAAATTATTAATGTACATCATTATCATTTTATAGTCAAAAAGATAATCCACCATGTAGATACTAAGATTTAGTTTAAGTTCAAATACTCTTAAGCACAATGAATTGCTTGCCTGTACTCTTATGGATTCTAAAAATTTCTTTCCTTAAGATTTGTTATTTTATAAATTTGCTAATGTTTCTTGAAAGAGTTAGAACAACCTTCTTTCAGGGATAAAAGATGAGAAATATAAAAACATGTAGCATTTTTAATTGAAGTTGTTTTAATTAAACATTTACCTAATTCTTAATTCTTAAAAAAGTCTTTGTTTATCAGTTGAGCCTTATGAATTTAGTCTGGGTTTGGAAAATGATGTTTCATGAGGCTCTAGTGAATACTTCAGTAACTTGATTCAGAATTTTTTCTATTTGACTGAAAAAAAGATGCCTTTACTTTTCTGCTTTTCTCTTAGTCACTTGCTCTTCTTACGTTCTGTTGTTTATATACCACAGAAAATAAAAACAAGCATATTTATATATAATATATAATAATATATCTAATATATAATTTACATAATATAATCTAATATATAATATATATTAGATAAATACATTGTTTTTGTATATATAAATATTTACAAATATATAAATGTATATAAGCCCCCTGGCTTATAACTCCACTAGCCCTTGTTGTAGTCTTTTGTTACACTGTTGGGTATGTTAAACCTCAGAGACAGGCCTCAGTAAACAGAATCTCTCTGACCTTCCCCTACCCTCCTTTCACTTGTTCCAATCTTCCCCAGCCTTTCTGATAGTGGATCTTAAGAGGGTCCCACCCTACTCCCTGGGGGAAGGAATGCTGACGTCATAAAGCTTCAATGAAAACCCAAGAAAACTGGAATCGGAGGCTATACTGCTAAACTAAGAGATTAGTTCAGAATTCTTTTTGTTGTTGTTGTTGCTGTTCTAAAGTGATGGGAACAGTTTCTGCAGTATCTCCTACATGTATAATTTCCCGTTTCTGTTCTTTTAGAAGACATTATAAATTTTTTCTTTATTTCCTAAAAAAGAGATTCATGGTTATATGATTACCTAATTAAAAATAATTTAATGTGCTGGATTAACATGGTGTTGAAGGAAGACTGGAAGAGTTACCTGGCAATTGATCAAGGTGTTTTATCTTTTAGGCCAACACTCACATAAAAATCGCTCATAAATCTGAAAGGCTGATTACTCCAGCAGTAGTGGGAACATTTTTACAAAAGAAAATTGAATTAATGAGAAAGGGCTTTTTAATGTAACTGAAACACAGTATTACTGAGCTCTTCCTTTTAGAACAGGTATTATTATGTGTGTCATAGGCGTATTTCATTGAATGTTTTTAAGAGAGCAGTAAGAACTCTCGAGGTATTTCTCCACAGTATTTTAAAACTAAAGTACTTTAGTATAGGGATAAGCAATAAATATCAAAATAGTTTTAGAACTTTTGAAGTTACATATATTTAATATAAGTAGCATAGTTGTGTATTGACTGTTAATGATCATTTGGACATAAATTAATCGAGCGTTTTATAGCCAACACTAGTGATTTCACTCGAACAGTCTCTGTCATTCTGAGGCAGTAGATGAACATGCCAAATAACCAGATTCATGTTGACTATTTGTCTGCAATAAATGAGCCAGCTTAATGTAGATGTGTAAATTTAATATATAGCTAAGATTTGATCTATTGTAGTATGACAGCATGATCTACAACTTTGGTGTATTCTACACATCTTTAAAGATAGGTATGTCTTCTTCCTTTGAACTAAAATTTACATAACTTGACACAATAAGAAATATTTTGCACATAGATATACATAAAATCATCTTTGTAATATCAGGTGTTCAGAATCAACACCTTTAAGAGGACATTTAAAGGGCCATTAGTGCCCTTGATCAATAGACTAAATGGCATTGGCTGGATAATAAGAAATAATGAGTTATGGAATTTTGTACATAAATATTCTCTGATAAATACAATTTACAGGCTTGATACTATTGGAAATAGAGGAGCTTCTTTCCCCAAATATGCTTTTCCATTACTTAAATCCGTATCTATCCATATAATGAAGCTGAAATTGGTTCCATAATTGCTAATTTTTGTGCATTTTATGTAATTTGATTTAAGAACCAGTCTATGACATTTCTACATAAGTAATGTAAATAGAATATCACTTACAATTATGCCAGAGACAGTTATGACATACCTCTGTTACATGGAGTTATATATAAATTTATGATATAGAAAGGAAAGGACAGCACAAACTTGTAAATCAATTCCAAAATTCAATGGCCCAGCAATGTTGCTTTATAATAGTGTAAGAAAGTCAAATAGAGCTCCTTTATAACAATTTAGTTAGAAGACAAGACAAACACTTGTCATATGGTTGTTGATCTATCTAAATAAAGGGACTTATTACAATAAACAGTTGGCTGAGTGCAGTGTCTCATGCCTGTAATTCCGGCACTTTGGGAGGCCAAGGCAAGAGTTTAACTTGACTCTAAAAGTTTGAGAACAGCCTGGGCAACATGTGAGATCCTGTCTCTACAAAAAATACATAAACATAGTTAATACTATCTTCAGGATTTGTTGCATTACACAAAAAGTGAGTAGGGCTTATATAGTCCTAGCATCTATTATAGTCCTAGCATCTATTATAGTCCTAGCATCTATTATAGTCCAAACATCTATTAAGTGAGATTAGAAACTTTACAGTTACCACTTTTAAGTTTGACAATATGAAGAAAATATCAACAAATATTCCCATTAAGATTATGTTGGATTTATTGAAAAAGATAAAATACTAGCCTGGAAAGACTAAATTTAAAATGATATACTTTTATACACAAAACCACTGAATGAGGTTTTTTAAAAGTATGCTGGTATAGAAATGTCTTTAAGACACTGTTTTTTGCTTCTATGGTCATCCTTAGTATAGGTTAGCCACTTGATAAGGGTGCTGAATACAGAATAAAGCTTGTCACAGCAAAAATAAACCAATCTCTAGAGGAACCACTTACAATAACTCAGCTCCTGTGTTGCCACCTCTGAGGCCATTCTACAATGAGGAGACTGGCCTAAGTATGTTCTTTAAAAACTTCAATCTATTTCAATCTCATTTTGTGTAGAATGTGACCAAGGTACAGAAATGCTCCAAGGGCAAATCACTAGAAAAAAAATACATGCGTATTCATATAACAAAAGGGTCAAGGGTATTTATCTTTTTGATTGCATGGTTTGCATTCTGTTGTGTCTCCTCTATACTATACTGATTTTAATTTTCTTTGCCCTTAATTTATTCCTCACAGCCAATCTATTTAATTACAGTTCTGAAAGATGCTTCCTTTTAATGATTTTTCTTTGCATATTTCACTTCTTTCAATTATAGTTACCTAAGGCATTATTCTGGAATAAAGAAGATTATAGCCCTTAGTTGAAACCATGTTTAATTTCAACAGTGGCAGAAATGTGCAGAAGATTTTTTTCTTTTTCTCTCTTTTTTTTTTAAAGCCAATAGTGTTTTGAGAGCAAAAGAAATATTAGGTAAGACAGGCAATAAAAATTTTATGTGATTTAAGAGCACAATGCCTTCTCTACAGAATTAATATGGTTTGCAGCAAATTCCACATCAACTATGAAATATAAAAGTAGAGAGATCTATTATTATATACTGTTATACCCACATTGCTTCCAAATAGAATATATATTAATTCAGACATCTGACATTGCTTGACATCAACACAGCATGACCTAGCTTCTGAGTTCCATGACTGTTTCTTTTACCAAAATAGAAATTTATTTTCTGTATTTTCTCACATGGTAACAACAGAGAAGTTGAGAGAAAAAGGTGCACCCACTTCCAAATGGTTAATTAATTTACATAAGAAAGGAGTAAGGACAGACCAAGGTACTATTTTGTAACACTTTAATCATCATATTGAAAAAATAAAACATATTTTCTATACTTAGTGTTATTTTTATCTTGCCTACAAGTTTTCTATATATTCAAGGAGAATATTTTTACACTTTAAGTAACTCAAGAAAATATCTAAGTTTGTGTTTGATACAAATATAAGCATCTTCCAAAATCATTATTTCACTTGCTTCATCTAGAAATTGTCTTGATATAGACAAAAAATCTGTCTATGCAAAAATTCATTGTTTAAAAATGCATTCTAAGAATTCAAGGTGTTTTTAAAAATTTAGATATATGTTTTATTGCATATAGTAAAATGGTCAATTGTCATTGAAATTGAACCTTTAAATCTATGTAAGTGGGAAAAAGAGTTAAAAGTCATTCATATATAAAATCTCACTTCTGGCCATAATATTCCTATATGCAAGGCATGAACCAAGTTTAAAGGTGTTTACTTCTATTTCCAAGGTTAGGGAGAGAACCATATTTTTAAGAAAGAGAATTTTTGTACATAATCCCTATTTTTTCCCTAAAGGATATGACCATATAAGGCAACATTCCGTTATCATGAGATCTGAATAACCAACTACAAGTATGTTTTTATTAAAATGTGAATATATAAATTTTTGGTCTTATGTGTAAGTACATTTTTTTTCAGAAGCTTCATGTCACCTGGATTTCTATCAGAAATGGCATGCTTCAGATTAAGCTCGTCAGACATAGGACTGAGACAAGCAGATGCTTACTATGATGGGCATTTGCAACAGTAATTCATTTAGGCCTTTGTTGATAAGACATGAGATCTTGAGAAGAGACTGACATTTGATTAGTAAACTGGTGACAGGACAAAAATTGTTTTTTGCAGTATAGCTGTTGCCATTTGGAATATGCTGAAATAAACCTGTGCCCAAGATTCATAATCATCAGAAAACATGTCTGCGAACTAGTTTTCAAATAGTCATAAAGACACATTACTTAAATGTTCTGTTGCAAAGCTTTTTGTTATTCATAGGCAGAATTTCTGTAAATGCTTTCACCTGATAGGCCAGCAGAGATATTTTTCATTTTTTTTAATATCTCCTCTACTATATTGTGTTAAAATATTGGACTTCTATTATGAAATAAAGTACATAAAATATGGTAAATAAACTTACATTTAAATGATTAAAAAATTCTTTTTCTATATGATTTAGTGAGTAAGTTGGTTAACTTTAAAGAATCATGCCAAAGTAGCTTTCTTATTCTGGCTAGAAAATATTAGCATAAATGTTAGCCAATGGAGACTACGTAATTAATTCTTTTTGGTCTATAGTTTAGCTGTATTTTGAATGTAGGAGAGTCGGCTATAATCAAAATAAGAACCACACTATTAATATCTATCATGGAAATAAGTGAGGTTATCTGAATGAGATGTCAAATCAATAAATGATCTTTTTGACCTAATTGACTTTAATGTTTTGAATGACCACCGTACTTAAAGATGCGATGATGTTGGAAAGCTAGTTATCTTTTATTTCACCAGGAAAGAGTGTAAAATAGGTAAATAGCCACCAGGTTAAAGCCAAGAATGCTTTTTTCTGATATTTTTGCTGCAGCCATAAACAAATACTCAAACATTCAGTCCAATTGTACATATCACCTCTAGCAAGTGATACGTAAGCTTTGTTGTACCTCTGCACTTCTATGAATGTTGTAATTGGCATTTCTCATAGACTTCAGATAAAATATGGGAATGGTTCTTGATTGTATCTTTGGGTTATCATAAATTTAGGCTAAATTTATTTATTAGAGGAGACCCAGTTTAAGTGAAACTGCAAACATTTAAAAATTTTTATGTATAATAAGCTACATGCTTTAAATAGATCTTTAAGATCCAGTATTACAAATCACATAAATCAAAGAAAGATTTCAATTACACAAATGTAATGAGTTAAAAGATGACCATGAGAGTTCTGCTTCCAGCACTGCCATGAACTCCTAACAAAACAATAATACAGCAAATAATAACAATAAACTCTTGACAAAACACTTAGGGAAAACAAAATCCTCCGAGGTACCTGAAGCCACTAGAGACTAAATTAATAAAGGCAGGACTAGAGAGAAGTTGAGACTCAGATAAAGAGAATAGAACTTGAGAGTTTTCTTATTTTATCACATTTAGTCAAATTTTAGGCCTTCCAGTATGCACCACGTAAGTTGGCTGGCTAAAACTCTGATGGAAAACACAAGGTCATGCTACCTGGCAGAATTAAAGGACAGTGTTCAAGGCATCACAGGCACTAGAAAATGAAGAAGATACAAATCTTTGAAAAGAGCAAGCCAGAAGATGGAAATTCAAATTAGGATAACAGCCAAATATCTGATTGACCATTGAACTACACATGCGCAGGGCAGACTCCAAGCAGACAACTAAATCTAATAAGTTGAACGAAAGTTCATTCTGAAACCACAGAAGGGGAGCCAGAAATTGCAATTTATTTTATCAAAGACAAATGCTGTTTACACAATTATACTTTGGTAGAACCTAACATAATCCAAATTCTCAACAACATGAAATTCACAACACCCAAAAAATAATTCAAAGTTGCATGTCACAAAAAGAAACAAGAAAACATTACCCATTCTTAAAAGAAATAAAGAATCAATGCAATAAAGAGCAACAAAATGAACTAAATTTTGGAATGACAAAGACAGAATTTTAAACACAATTATAACTGCTCAAGGAAGATGGAGTCAGATTGTAGCAAAATGGAGAGATGCAATAGATATGCAATAAATAAACATAGTAAAATGTTAATTATAGAATCAAGATATTCACTTCAAATTCTGTTCATTTTTATGTATTTTTATGTTTCATAATAAGACAATGAAAAAGAATACATGTTTTACAAGAATAAAAAGTAGTATAATCCTGAAGATAAACACTTTGTCTATGTTACTGAACTAAAGTATATTATGCTAAATTTGTCATATGCATATAAATATCTCTGTCCTATTGGCCCAGCTCATTCTACCTAGCTGATAATGTTGGGAAGAACATATAAATATAATAAATACATTTAATTTTGTAAATGAATAATTGACTACAATCAGGACAAAGAAAGACTGTTTAAAAAAGTAAACATGTACAAGCTTTGAAAATTAAAGAAAAAACACACTACACAGCTGTTATTCTTTTCCCAGCTGACACCATTCAAGTCAGTTTTCTCTGAGCTTATATTTCTTCAATTAAATCCCCTAGGATTATTGTAAGATCAAATAAGAGAATACATTTGGAAAACATTATATCAACTTAGAAGCATGTACAAAATATGATCATTCTATAATAAGTTTAAAAAAAGACATTTGGCTTATTTCAAAGAGTCTCTTAGTTGTTATGAGAATCAGATAAAGTATATGAGTTGATACGGTTTGGAGTTGCATCTCCACCCAAATATCATGTCTAATTGTAATCTCATTGGTTAAAGCAGAGGCTTGGTGGGAGGTGATTGATCATAGGGACAGATTTTCCCCTTACTGTTCTCATGATAGTACATGAGTTTTCATTAGATCTGGTGGTTTAAAAGTGTGTAACACCTCCTCACTCTCTCTCTTATTTCTTCTCTGCCCACGTAAGATGTGCCTGCTTCACCTTTGCCTTCTGCCATGATTGTAAGATTCTTGAGGTCTCTGCAGCCATGCCTATACAGCCTGCAAAACTGTGAGACAAACCTTTTTTCTTTATAAATTATGCAGTCTCAGGTATTCTTTTAGCAATGTGATATGATTTGGCTATGTCCCCACCCAAATCTCACCTTGAATTATAATAATCCCCATGTGTCATGCAAGGGACCCAGTGGGAGGTAATTAAATCATGGGGAAAGGTTTTTTTCATGATAGTGAGTAACTCTCACGAGATCTGATACTTTCATAAAAGGGAGTTCCCCTGCACATGCTGTCTTGCCTGCCATCGCGTAAGACGTTACTTTGCTCCTCATTTACCTTCAGCCATGATTGCAAGGCCTCCCCAGCCATGTGGAACTGTGAGTCAATTAAACTTCTTTCCTTTATAAATTACCCAGTCTCAAGCATGTCTTTATTAGCAGCAAGAGAATAGACTAATACAGTAAATTGATACTGGGTACTGGGATGCTGCTGTAAAGATAACCAAAAATGTGGAAGTGACTTTGGAACTGGGTTACAGGCAGAGGCTGAAACAGTTTGGAGGACTCAGAAGATAGCAAAATGTGGGAAAGTTTGGAATGTCCTAGAGACTTGTTGAATGGCTTTGACCAAAATGCTGCTAGTAATATAGACAATGAAATCCAGGCTAAGGTGGTCTCAGATGGAGATAAGGAACATGTTGGGAAATGGAGTAGAGTTTACTCTTCTTATACGAAAAGACTGGTGGCATTTTGCCTCTGCCCTAGAGATGTGTGGAACTTTGACCTTGAGATAAATGATTTACAGTTTCTGATAAAAGAAATTTCTAAGCGGCAAAGTGTTCAAGAGGAAGTACAGCATAAAAGTTTGGAAAATTTGCAGCCTGACAATACAATAGAAAAGAAAAACTGATTTTCTGGGAAAAAAATTCAAGCCCGCTGCATAAATTTGCATAAGTAATGAGGAGCACAATGTTAATCACCAAGACAATGGGGAAAATGTCTCCTGGGCATGTTAGAAATCTTCACAGCACCCCCTCCCACCACAGACCTGGGGGCCTAGGATGAAAAAATGATTTTGTGGGCCTGACCCAGGCCCCCAGTACTGTGTACAGCCTAGGGACTTGAGTCACTGCATCCCAGCTACTTCAGATATGGTGAAAAGGGGATAAGGTACAGCTCCGGTTGTGGCTCCAAAGGATGCAAGCCCCAAACCTTGGCAGCTTCCACATGGTGTTGAGCCTGTGGGTGCACAGAACTCAAGGATTGAGGTTTGGGAACCTCCTCCTAGATTTTAGGGGATATGTGGAAATGCCTATATGTCCAGGCAGAAGTTAGTTGCAGGGTGGGACCCTCATGAAGAACCTCTGCTAGGGCAGTGCAGAAGGGAAATGTGGGGATGGATCCCCACACAGAGTCCCCACTGGGGCACTACCTAGTGGAGCCATGAGAAGAGGGCCATTGTCCTCCAGACCCCAGAATAGTAGGTTCACTGACAGCTTGCACCGTGCATCTGAAAAAGCTGTAGACACACAAAGCCAGTACATGAAAGTAGCTGAGAGGGAAGCTGTACTCCACAAAGCCAC
Source organism: Homo sapiens (assembly GCF_000001405.40). NCBI lineage: Eukaryota > Metazoa > Chordata > Mammalia > Primates > Hominidae > Homo > Homo sapiens. Next base: position 102,109,994 of record NC_000001.11, on the reverse strand, counting down.
AGGGGCAGAGCTGCCCAAGGCCATGAGAGGCCACCTCTTGCATCAGCATTACCTGGATGTGAGACATGGAGTCAAGGGAGATCATTTTGGAACTTTTAAGGTTTAATGACTCTCTTATTGGATTTAGAATTGCATGGGGCCTGTAGCCTGTTTGTTTTGGACAATTTCTCCCAGTTGAAATGAGTGTATTTACCCAATGCCTGTACCCCCATTGTATCTAGAAAGTAACTAACGTGCTTTTGATTTTACAGGCTCATAGGTGGAAAGAACTTGCCTTGTCTCAGATGGGACTTTGGACTGTGGACTTTTGAGTTAATGCTGAAATGAGTTAAGGTTTTGAGAGACTATTGGGAAGGCATGATTAGTTTTGAAATGTGAGGACATGAGATTTGAGAGTGCCCATGAGCAGAATGACATGGTTTAGCTGTGTCCCCACACAAATCTCACCTTGAATTGTAATAATCCCCACGTCTCATGGGAGGGAGCTGGTGGTAGGTAATTGAATCATGGGATGGGTCTTTCCCATGCTGTTTTCATGATAGTAAATAAGTCTCATGAGATCTGATGGTTTACTAAAGGGTAGTTCCCATGAACAAGCTCTCTCACCTGCTTCCATGGAAGATGTGATTTTGCTTTTCATTCACCTTCAGCCATGATTGTGAGGCCTCTTCAACCATGGGGAGCTGTGAGTCACCCCACAAGGATAAACTGTGCTGCACCACCAGAATGTTTATGCCAAGAAGTTTCTTGTAGCATCCCCACTTTGGCAACCACTACTGTGTTATCCTTGAGTAGGACAACAGTAAAGAACAGAAAAATAGAAAGCACAACAAAGGACTCATGTGAGATACTCTTAAAGCACATCCAGAGCTGATTCACAACAACCATGACTAGAGTAAAAAACAAACGAGAACAATCACATAAGATGCCATGCACAAGAAAAAAACAAACAACCCTATCAAAAAGTGGGCAAAGGATATGAACAGACACTTCTCAAAAGAAGACATTTATGCAGCCAATAAACATATGAAAATAAGCTCATCATCACTGGTCATTAGAGAAATGCAAATCAAAACCACGATGAGATATCATCTCACACCAGTTAGAATGGCGATCATTAAAAAGTCAGGAAACAACAGATGCTGGCAAGCATGTGGAGAAATAGGAAAGCTTTTACACTGTTGGTGGGAGTGTAAATTAGTTCAACCATTGTGGAAGACAGTGTGGCAATTCCTCAAGGATCTAGAACCAGAAATACCATTTGACCCAGCAATCCCATTACTGGGCATATACCCAAAGGATTATAAATCATTCTACTATAAAGACACCTGCACACGTATGTTTATTGCAGCACTGTTCACAATAGCAAAGAGTTGGAACCAACCCAAAGTCCCATCAGTGATAGACTGGATAAAAAAATGTGGCACTTATACACCATGGAATAGTATGCAGCCATTAAAAAGGATGAGTTCATGTCCTTTGCAGGGACATGGATGAAGCTGGAAGCCATCATTCTCAGCAAACTAACACAGGAACAGAAAACCAAACACCGCATGTTCTCACTCATAAGTGGGAGTTGATCAATGAGAACACATGGACACAGGAAGGGGAACATCATACACTGGGGCCTGTCAGAGAGTGGGGGGCTAGGGGAGGGATAGCATTAGGAGAAATACCTAATGTAGATGATGGGTTGATGGGTGCAGCAAACCACTATGGCATGTGTATACCTATGTAACAAACCTGCATGTTCTGTACATGTATCCCAGAAGTTAAAATATAATAAAAAATAAATAAAGATGTCATGTACAAGCATTATCTGATACAGGTAACCCCTTGTACTACACTTTTCCAAATGTTTCTTCCCTTAAATCCAACACTGAGTCACTGTAAAGATCATGATTCACAAAAATTAATACATCCTCACAAATTTAATAAAATCAGTTGTCAGAAGTTTCTGACAAAAACATCGACTTAGAAGAGAGTTACAGCTTAGCATTAACCATTAACCAACTTACTCTTTAGTTTACTTTCTTAGTTTCTTACTGCCTGTAAGTCACACAGACAAGGTCCCAAGGTACTAATTTCCCTTAATCGTTTCTATAGATAACATCTTTAATGTTGAGAAACCTCAAGTTTTCCATTTGAAATATTTTTTAGATCTTTCATTCCCGTGAAACTACCAATGCCAGCTAGTTTGAGGGCCCTCACTGAGGCACTAACGCAACTGAAGAATGCAGTTTTCACATCCTAATGATCCCTTCCCCCTCACCCTGACTGATCTATGACCCCCAACTCTTTATCCCCTTGCCTACAACAATCACCTTAAAAACCCTAGGTCAGAACCCCTGAGGAGGATGGATTGTAGGGCTCCTCCCATCTCTTTGTTTGGCTGCTCAGTGACTATTAAACTCTTTTTCTGTTGCAACCCCTGCTATTCAATATATTGGTCTGTTATTGTGCAGTGGGCAGATGAAACTGGTGGTCCTGTAACAAATTATCTGCAAAGTCTTGTGGCAAGAAAGTAAACCACAATCGACACTGCAGCCACTGATCTTTAGGTCATATTTAATATTTATTAGATATAATTTTCAACATCCTTCTAACTTTCACTCACCCTCAGTCATCAGTTTGGCTGCTCTGAGTTGTAACAAGACCCAAATTTCCAAACAGTATCAGCTCTTCTTGGCTTTACCATTGTCAGCCTATGGTTGCTGTAATGTGTATTCAAATTTATCACTAGTCCTAAAAGCCTCAAGAGACTCTGAAGAGAGTATCTTGGATTCCAGCATATTCCTCCTCCATTATTTAACAACAATCCTAGTTCTTCATTTTAATTAGAGTCAATTATCCCTGATAGTATAGTAATTTCTTTCTTTGACTGGTAGTCTACCAGAATGAAAAAAACCAAAGTGAACAGGTGATAGTGTTAATTTTCCATATAACAAAGAGTGATTTCCCCAGTAGAGGCATTTTCCACATCCTCAGGAACCAGGAAGTTCACTCTAGCAGAGTCAAACATGCTAGAGACAAAAGTGGTACTATGGTAAAGAAAGGTAAACCCAAATACAAAGTAGATGTCAAATGTATAATCCCTGTCCCTTCTAGGGTGGGGTTTGGGCCATAATCACAGAAGATGTCATAACCCTGAATGTTGAAATTTTGAAAGATCAAAATTTCTAAAGTCTAAAAATCTGAAAATTACAACCCCAAAATATCAAAATTTGAAAAACATAGTTATGGAAAAAATTATTTTAAAAAATTGTTTTAAAAGACCTTCATTTACATTTTTACAGGGAGATGTAATCACTTCTCAGCCTTTTGGCTAAGATCAAGTATAGTATCTGTTCTTATCAGTAAAAGGGAATACATAAAATACATAAATACACAAGAGAAAAACATAAAATACATAAAAACACAAGAGAAAACTTCATAGGCCACTTCACACAGTAGGATAGACAATAGTAATATACATATTTGTTAACCTAAAATAATCAAAACTTCAGAATCTAGTTTAAAGAGAGTTTATTCAAGCAAAATGGTTAAGTATGGCCTCCTGGGAGCATAGATTCAAGTTGCCCTGAATACACACTCCAATTAGCAGCCCTGATAAGTAGGTTTTTGAGGAAAAAAAGAGAGAATGTTTCTAAGTTGTTTACCAAGAGTTTACATTTATTTACATAAGCTATTGATTGGCTATACAATGTTCTTTGTATTACAAATTCCAGGAACATGAAGATAACGGGTGAGGCAGCAATTCAGGAATAAAAATGTTTCTAAACAATTGCCTCCAGGCATGGATACGGGAATATAATTAAAATCCCATACTCATGTCTCTCTGGACCTGATAAATTTTGCATACCTCAAATACCTCAGACAGCTCCGAGAGATTTTTCTTTTATCCTCTCCCCACTTTTCATCAGGGTTTTTCAAAGAAAGCATTGTAGATGAACTCAAACAATTTTGGCTCCTTTTATGTTCAGGAGCTTAGTCCCACATCACTAGAAAAACTCATTCTCAGATGGTCCTATTCCACATGGGTAATCTGGGGAGAATATGTTTCAGTAAGGAATTGTAAGAGCAACAAAAACCAAATTGCGATAGCATCACAGGGTGGCAAAAAAAATAAGATATAAGTAAAGTCACTGATGAATAACTGCTGTCATTTGTCAAATCATCTTTAGTCTTCAGGATCCCGTGAGTATAGTTTTTTTTTTCTAAAGAAGTAAAACAACAAGAGATACATAGTAGAAATATAATGCACATAAGGATTACAACAAAAACAATTTGCATTCTAAACAAACAAAACACACTCACACACTATTCCACTAAGAATCACCTAAAACCATCACACACACAAAAAAATTAAAACCAAGTCATTCTTCAGAGACTTGTAGCCAAGAAATAATTCAAGATTTAGTCCAAATTGTAGGAAAATTATAAAAACTCAAACGATAGACAAAGTTAGAATCTAATAATTGGTGTACTACATTTTTCTTCTGAAATATAATTTTTCTCTCTCCAGTTTCCCAAAGAAAGATGTTAGTAGGGCAAATTTATTTGCAAAATAACATTTATTATTATGCTTTGCCTGATTATTTGCATAAAGTGCAACAAGAATAGTGAATGGCCACATAGGCCCTTTTATGTTGGCTTTGCTGATTTTTTTTTCTTTTTTAGACGATGTCTTACTCTGTCACCCAGGCTGGAGTGCAGTGCCACAATCTCAGCTCACTTCAACCTGTGCCTCCTGGGTTCAAGCAATTCTGCCACCTCAGCCCCCTGTGTAGTTGGGACTATAGGCATGCCACCACACTCAGCTAATTTTGTGTGTGTGTGTGTGTGTGTGTGTGTGTGTGTGTGTATTTTTTGGTATAGGTGGGGTTTCACGATGTTGGCCAGGCTGGTCTCAAACTCCTGACCACAAGTGATCCACCTGCTTCTGCCTCCCAAACTGCTGGGATTACACTCATAAGCCACCTAACCCAGCCCCTACTTTGCTAAAAATTTTTTACAAGTAATCTTAGATAAGACTTTTAAAGCTGCTTGAGACTAGGAAACAAAACCAAGAATTCGTCATCAGAATATGGCTGTAATAGCTGTACAAATTGGGTAAATTCCTTTTCTCTTGAGGACTTAAAATACCTTGAAATAGTTGGTCCTCTCAAAAAGTGACATTCTTTACTACAACAAGGTCAGGAATGTTGTAAGGGAACTTTGTAGAAAAGGCACCAGGCCAGTCTTTTCAAGGAGTATTTTATTGGCTCTAAAAGTCAAACTCAACTACTTAAAGCAGTCTTGTTATATCTGAAAATATGCCACTTCAGCCAAAGCATTGGTAAAATAACCAGCGTATCTAATTTAGTTCTATTTACAAATGAAAACAGATTTTTTAATGAACTTTTGCAAATAACTATATTCCCATAAATTAAGAATACTTATAAATAGTTTTCAAATTCTGCATAACTCAGGTAGAGAGAAAGGTAAATATTTCAATTTTGCTCACAAAAGTATACTTTACTCAATTACTGTAAGCTATAAGTAACTCAAAACGAAAAACTTGTTTGACTCTGGAAATAATAAGAATCAACAATGTTCCAAACAAAAAAATTATGAAATCACTTTAGTCCTCTATCAGCTCAGTCTCAGGTAATCAATTCTTGTACTGTTTGATGTCGGGTTGGCAATCTTCATGAACACTTCAGTTTTATAATAGAGTTCTGGAAGTCTTAGGCCAATGGTATGATCTCTAAAGTTATCAGAGACCTGTATAAAACAAGGTAAAATGACCCAGAAATAAGCTTTAAATTAGACAAAAATTGTTCACCTTTTTAAAAAGACTTTTTTTAGAAATAATGTTTTCCTATAATATTTTATTTGAAAATACCCAAATAATAACATATCTATGATTGAATTTAATATAGTTTTATATTTTAAATTATGACAAGTTTGTCTACAAGTATTTATCTATCGCGTTACATTTACTGAATTACTTCACTTTACTTGTTTACCTAGATTATTTATGGAAACTGTGATAGTCATCATTGAAAGTTATAAAACTTGCCATTGCAAAATTCAGAGACAGTGAAAAAGACATGACCTAACTAAATCCTTCTTGCTTCTAACCTCCAAGCTGTTCTTGTTCATTCCTGGACTTTGGAAGGAACTTAGTTTATATTTTATCTTTGAAACAAAGACGATAACAGCCTTTCCCAAACAAACCTCCTTATTGCCTATGGACTGTACTACCTAAAGCCACAAGATTAGAAGTTATAGTAATTTTACTAAATAATTCAAGATGTAGCTTTTTTCATTACGTCAATATCAATGTCTTATTTATTAAAAATTACACAAGCAAAGATCACTGTTTGGTGCTGGGTTTACAGTTTTGTAACCCCTATGCCAACTTTTGACACCTTATAGTATTTGGCATAGATAAGTATAAAATTGCTTGATTTATAAATGCAAATAAAAATGTATGCTGGCAATTCTTAAGACATTTCTAATATTATTATACTTTACCAATAATTTTAAAGCTAGCTTATTTATTAAAGATTTTACTTAAGTTACATGAACTTGAAAAAGCATTTGACTAGTCTCTTTTTCTGATAAAATATTTGATTTAAGCACTTTCATTTTCTTAAGCCAATTAATGAGAGCTCTTCTATATATTTTCAGTAATGCAACACTGTGTATACAACACATAAATATGTAGATGTATTAGGTATGCTGATAGAAGTACATCTTATAAATTCACAAAAAACTTTTTTTCCCATCTACAACTTTCAATTTCTGGATAACCTGTTTCAATAGGTAACCTGTATCAATTCTTGATAACCCTAGGCAGTTGTCAACTAAATAGCCTTAATTTTGCTATTAAAAGAAACAACTCAGGTGAAAATCAAATAGCAAAATTTACCTCATAAAGTATGAAGAGAAAAAGTCTAGTGTGCTAGAGCAAAATTAAAAGGGATTTAATTGCCAAATTAAATATAAATTATAGAAATTATAAAGGCCTTTAAAATATCTATATATATACACACACATAAACACACACACAAAGATCTTATAGCTTTTATGTCACAACTTTGGCCATGAGATAAATACAAATTCACCAGCTTGCAAACAAAAAAAAACTTGTTGGATCCAAACAGTGAGTTTTACATTAATAGAAAAATAACAGCAGATTTAAACCACATAGAAAGGAAAATAGAGAAAAAGAGAACTTAGGAACTCTATAGTTTGCATGTGGACCTTAGGGCTTTTTTTATGTAAATGTGCACAAAGACCATATTACTTCAATTTTACATAAACTCTGGCAAGTAGAGGTGCCATAAAACCTACTGAGTGCTAACAAGGGGGTCATTCTCCACTAAGCTAAAGGGAGAAGTCAAGTCATCCCTCTATTCAATGAGATACATTCATATCTGATTGCCTCCTTTGGAAAGGCTAATCTGAAACTCAAAAGATTGCAACCATTTGTCTCACAGGATCTCACTCTCTCACCCAGGCTGGAGTACAATAACACAATCATAGCTCATTGCAGCCTCGAACGCCTAGGCTCAAGCAATCTATCCCCGCTCAGCTTCCTGAGTAGCTGGAACTATAGGCACACAACACCATGCATGGCTAATTTTTAATTCTTTTGGTAGAGATTGAGTTTTGCTTTGTTGTCCTTGCTGGTTGTGAACTTCAGGGCCTCAACCAATCCTTCCACCTGGGCCTCCCAAAATGCTGAGATAACAGTTTTGAGCCACCATGCCCATTCCGTCTCTAAGATTTAAATGAGTACAGGAGACAGGCATTATCTTATGTAAAAGTACATCCAGGTGTGCTTGCGTTCCTCAGTATTCTTTCCTAAATAGATCATGACATTTCAGGGAGAGGAAATCATGTAGCTTTTAGAAAGAAGCTTTCCTGGTTAAATTAGAAAATTCTATAAGGAATTATCCCCTGTACTTGGGGCAGAGATGAATAAGTCAAGGTTAAGGGGACCTTGAGTCTGAGGCTTATTTCTGAGGCCTTTTAATTTTCTAAAGCACTCTGCATGCTTAAGCACCATATTTTGGGAAATAATTTTCTGTACCCCAACAATACCACATAAAAAAAGATGTATATAAACTTTAAAGTATGTTTAATGTTTTATATTATAAAGTTATGTATTATAGTTATTATAGTTTGTTTTAATAGTTTTATTTATAAATGACCTCGACATTCAATAAGTATCCATTATGTAATTTCACTTTAAGGTTTCAAATTACCAAAAAGATTTCTGAAACTATGAAGAGTTTGTTTACATGTATTTGTGCCTGATTTACTTATTTTTAACAACCATATAAACTACTCATTACAATTTTATGAGACATTGAATAAAGCTAGCCATTATCTTTAATTATTTCTGGGCTGTTTTTGCAGCATGTAAATGTTAGAAAGGAGCCACCTAAACAAGAACCCTAAAGTTAAATACATGAGTATTTTGCTACTCTGAGGACACAGCTATCTTCATTAAACTGACAATATCCACTAGTCTTATTTACCAAAGATTTATCTAAGTCACTAGCTCAAAGGCATTTGAGTTACTTTCTACTCTTCTGATAAAGTATTTAAGTGCTTCCTTTTAATGTAAGCCAATTAATTAAAATGCTTTGATATATTCTGGCAATGAAATATCACATATACGTTACATATCTAAACATACAGATGCATAGACAGAAGGAGATTTTTGTGGATTTATAAGGTTCTTCATTTGCCAATCTTCAAATAGTTGCTCTTTCTCTCTTTACCAAATTCTAAACAATTCTTAGCCAGCTAGGTGCAGTGGCTCATGCCCATAATCCAAGCACTTTAGCAGACTGAGGTGGGAGGATCACTTATGCCCAGGAGTTTGAGACCAGCCTGAGCAATATAACAAGACCTAGTCTCTACAAAAAATAAATATAATTTTAAGAAAATTGTTAGCTAGACAACTCTAAATTTGCACTTCTAAAGGGATGACTCTTAGGATAAAATTTACATCTCAAAGGCATAGAATTTGGATCTAAATTTCATTATTTACTGAGACAAAAAAAAAGGGGGGTAAGTAAAGCTCAGTTAACACAAGGTTGCCAGCTGGGATTGGTGGCTCACTCTTGTAACCTGAGCTATGCTGGAAGCTTTCTTGAGCCCTGGAGTTTGAGACCAACCTAAACAACATAGTAAGACCCCATCTGTTAAAAAACCTTTTTAAATTAGCTAACTGTGGTGGCACACACCTGTGTTTTAGTTGTTTGGGAGGCTCAGGTGGGAGAATCCCCTGAGCCCAAGACAAGGCTGCAGTGACCTATGACTGCAATACTGCACTCCAACCTAAGGGAAAGTGACATTCTATCTCTAAAAAAACAAAAACGCCATGATTTTCAGGAAGAGAAGGTAAGGATTTTCATGTAAACTTTAAGCTAATGTCTTCTCTATTGTAAAAGTTTCTAGATGCTTGGTTGCAGGAAGATATCCTTAAAAATGGAGATTTTCTTTATAGATGTAAGTTTCTTTTACAAGATAGCCTTGTAAATGCCAGAATGTCATATTATTGGAGACCAATCTAGCTTAATAGGTGGTTTTTTCCACTTAGCTTGTTTATTGATTAGATTACTGACTTCAGGGTAGAGCCATTATGAATAAGGCAAAGAACGTTTTTGCGGTTTCCAGAGCCTAGTGTTTAAATATAAGAAAACCAGGCACAACTGAAAGACAGTACAACTAGATCTTTAAAAATCAAGGATCTCACTTTTACAATGAATCCCAGGTCCCCCCAAATAGGGAAACACCATGAGACTGGGCCACACAAGCTTTCACAGTATACCTCACTACGAAGATATTTCTCCAAGGCTGGTTGGCCGCCCATGAGAATCAGCCTACTCTGTAATTAACCTGTTGCCAAGAGGAGTCTTATCCTTGGTGGTAACAATCTCACGGCCTTCAAGTATTCAAACCTGCCTTTATATCTAAATGTGCAAAGAAATGAGTAGCCCCTTGAAGTAACAACCATTCATTGCAATCTCTGTCAGTCAACTCTAAAACTGCAGCTGTAACTCTCCGTAGGTTCACCTTGCCCACTTCCTAGACAGAACTAATTTATTAAGACAGGGGAACTGCAACGGAGAAAGAGTAACTCACACAGAGCTGACTGTGTGGGAGACTGGAATTTTATTATTACTCAAATCGGTCAATTCGAGGATCAGACTTTTTAGGGATAATTTGGTGGGTAGGGGGCCAATGAGTCAGGAGTGCTGATTGGTTGGCTCGTGATGAAATCATAGGCAGTTGAAGCTCTCCTCTTACGCTTGGTCATTTCTAGGGTGGGGCCAACAGAACCGGTTGGCAGGTCCAGGTGGGGTCATCCAGTTTTCAGAAATGCAAAAACTTGAAAAGACATCTCAAAAGGCCAATCTTAGGTCCACAATAGTATTGTTATCTTCAAAAGTGATTGGGAAAGTTGCAATTCTTATAACCTCCAGAATAATGGCTGGTAAGATTTAGAATTCCAGCCCCTCTCATCCTAACTTGGTGGCTGGTGGCCTTTCATTCATTTTAGGAGAACAGTTTAGCTTTTGGGAAGGGCTATTATTTAAACTGTAAGCTAAATTCCGTCCCAAGGCTAGTTCAGCCTATGCCCAGGAATGGACAAGGACAGTTTAGAGGTTAGAAGCAAGATAGACTTGGGTAGGTCTGATATATTTCACTGTCACAATTTCCTCAGTTATAATTTTGCAAAGGTGGTTTCACAGCCTTTGCCAGTTACACACCAGTCATCGAACACATATAGGTGGTTTTCTCTCAGACTAATCCCTGGCACCCCAAAAGCCAAAGAGATCAAGTAACATAATGCAAAAGGGAACAGAGTATTAGACCTGAGAAGAACCTGTCCATGGCTCTTTAGATTCCACAGGAAAACAGAAGACCTCAAAAAGAGGGTGAGTGGTACATTTTTGTGTGTTAAGTGGTCTGAGTCTTTAGAAATCTCTAAATTTCTTCATGTGTTACTGTAGACAGAAAAGAGGAAGAAGCAGCTTGAATATCAGCTTTTAATTAAGCTGACCTTTGACCATGGAGTTCTTAAAAAAATCATTTCAAATATTTTATTGTCAGATTTTTGCTGGAAAAACAGCTTATATTCCTGCCTTCCACCTTTTTTTTTTTTTAAACAAAATGTACCTTTTGAAGTGACTCACCAAAATCAATAAGCCTTAGCCAAGGTTATGACTTAACCAGGGATGCATGAGGCATCTCCAAAGTGGTGTAACACAGTCCTCACAAGATGCAGAACCACCACAAAAGCAGGCTAAAAATAATTTTGCTAGTCGTAAATGGAGTACAACTCACGTTTTCATCTGGCGATGTTTTCTAGGATCTCAGCTTCCTATCTGAGTGCCTATACATGAAGCCCAAAAGCCCTGTATGCCCCACAGGTGAAAAAAAATAGGAAATCAAAAACTGTTTCTGGAAGGGAAAGGGATCAATAACAAATATTTACTCCAAATGGTCGAGTAAATAATTTAAAACAAATGAGACTGTATTTCAAAGCATGAATTGAACCTGGATATAGCCATGAAAGCACAGAATCTTAGCAACTAGACCACCGTGTGGAGGACTTTTTTGTAAATTCTGCAGGGTATCTCAAGTAGGCAGTTTGAGCATTTAAAGGATTTTAACTTGTTTCAGATCTGATCTCAGCTGGAATGCTACTTAGCTAATTTCCTGGATGTTCACATTTCAAAAACAAGATGTGTATCTCCAAGGAACTGCAGGGCGAATTTAAAGCGTATTGTCTGATATTAGGTCAATAAATCATTGTTATTTATATTAGTGTTTGTTTAATAATTGTTGAAACTATATATTTATAATCTCAGCAGTTTAATTCTGTAGTTGTTCCATGTGTTCCCTCTCTTCCAAATTTAAATATATTTTCCTCCTTTTGAGAGAAGGAAATATGTGTATTGTGAAATTTCAAAAATCTCTGCCTAAGAGATGTGTGGAAGCCAAGGAACAAGTAGAAAAGGGGACAGTTGCAGGCAAAAAGTGTATCTGCCCAATGGGTTCTCCTTGCCCACTGCCTACACAGAGCTAATTTATCAAGACAGGGAAATTGAGGTAAAGAAGGAGTTTAATTCATGCACAGCTGGCTATATGGGAGACAGGGTTTTATTATTACTCAAATAAGTCTCCCTGATAGTTTAGGGATTGAGGTTTGTAAAGATAATTTGGTGGGTAGGAGCCAGTGAGTCCAGAGTGCTGACTGGTTGGGTTGACAATGAAACCTTAGTGATTTGAGCCTGGGTGGCAGCCACAAAACCAGATGAGCCAGTTTACCCTCATGGGTGGTGCCAGCTAATTCATAAGGTGTAGAGTCTGCAAAATATTTCTTAGGTTTTACAACAGTGATGTTCTTCCCATGAGCAATTTGTAGCCTCCAGCTACATGACTGCTAAGCCATAATTTTTAATATTGTGGCTGAATTGTAAGTCCTACAAAGGCAGTCTAGTTTCCAAGCAGGAGGGGGATATGTTTTTGGAAAGGGCCGTTATTATTTTTATTTCAAAGTTAAACTATAAACTCTGTTCCTCCCAAATTTAATTCAGCCTATGCACAGGATGAACAAGGACTTCTTGGAGGTTAGAAACAAGATGGAGTTGGTTAGGTCAGATGTCTTTCACTGTAATAATTTTCTCAGTTATAATTTTTCAATGGCAGTTTCAATCCCTCTCTTTGGGTTTTATAACACCTCATTCTTAAGGTGTGGACTATGAAGATGGGAAAAGGCTGATGATCATTCTGGTTTCTTCCTGCTGAAAGGGGGCAGAGTGGAAATAGAAGTTGATCCCAAGGTGAGAAGAGCAGAAATTCTTTGCAGCTAGCTCTCTGATTATACTCATGCGAGTTGGGCTGGGATTGTAAGACTTTCATGACAAACACGTTAGTATTCTCATCTATAGTTTTAGTACAGAATTTACACAAACAGCATACTATAAGTAAAATAATGAGGCCTAGGATAAGGATTTAAAAATTCCCAGTTTTAAAAGTAAAAATTTGAAAGCATTAGTTTGGGGACACAAATGCCCACAAAGAATTTAGGATTTAGTCAAAATTGCAGAAAATAATAAAAACAGAAGAACAACTAAAAACAGGTGTACTATAATTTTTTTGCAACATAATTTTTCTCTCTCCAGTCCCCATTTTTATTAAAGACAAATCATAGTGGGATGAATTTACTTGCAAAATAAGTTTTAGTATTACTATGCTTGGCCTGATTATTTGCACAAAATAATAACTTAACCATGGATGTATAAGTTTTCTCAAAGAGATGGTAAGCAGTTTCTCTCACACACACATACTCATTTTTCTTTTTTCTTTTTCTTTCTTTTTTTTTTTTTTTACAAGATTTAAAATCTCCCCATAGGTAGTTCAGAGAAAGAAAATTCAAGACAAATCAGAAGCTGTCCATGGGGTAAAAAGAATCAATAATTGGCAAAAGTTACACAAATAATAAACCAAAAAGTATTTGTTTCATAAGCTGGGAATTGAACCCAAGCCACTATTGTGAAGGTGCAGAGCTTTAGCTACTGAGCTAAAACACGGGGTTGTTTACTGCTGCTCTCCCCAGGAGTCTAAGGCAGTCATTTTTGAGCTTGCAAATACTTTTAACAGCTCAAGATAATTTTTAGGACTACCTATGACATGACCTCCAAAATTCCTGTCCTCTGGATGGCAGAGATTAAAAGAAAATATTCCCTACATTATCACAAGATTAAGCTCTCAAGGACATAAAACAAGACAAGAGAGAAACTTATTCTGGTATTGGTTTCAGAGAACCTCATCAAACTTTATAACTGCCCAGACTTCTGGGCTGTCTTGAAAAGGTGTGTATAGGGATCCTAAGCCCATATTCTATCCTGTGATACCAATCTCTCTATTACAGAACAATACAGAAAGACAAATTTATAGAACAAAGCACACAAGATTTTCTACAACCTAAGACCAGTCTCACAAATCCCTTCTTCTATTAACCAAACCTTTGCAGAGGAGGCAAACTGTGATGTTTACCATGACACACACACACACACACACACACACACACACACACACACACACACACACACAGAGGCCAGAGACCTGGCTGGTAAGAAATGTTTATGCTTTTTGATGGCATACCAGGTTTCCAGGTTCCCTTTCTCTGCAGCTTCCAGAAGAATGAACAGTAACCCTGAGTCAGGCGTGTTGAGTTTCTTGTAACAATTGTTTCAAGGTTCAGTGAATGTAACTGGCCAGGATTTCCATCCACGATTTCTTCAGAGATTTCCTCTACATACACAAACACACACAGTGAAAAAGACAAGAAGAATACTTTCCAGACAGAGATTCCAGACAAATCACAAACTAAGAGTGTTCCTTCAAATAAGTCCTCTATTCTCCATCCAATTAGAACAGACATCCAGTCACGGGGCGACAGAGAGACATCCCATGACGGGGCTACAGACAGACACCTGGTGATGGGGCTATAGTTATGGGACTCTCCCCAAGAGTATTTTTTCATTGAAATTGAATCCATGCACATTGGCACCACAGTAGCCCACTGGTAGAGAAGATGCCAGAGACAGCCCCTACTCCAAGAGAACTAGGCGGCCACTTGGCCTGTCTTCTGGATCCATCACCAGAAGAGGGCTACTGAACCACAGGCAGCTGGCCACAAGGGTCATCCCAGATGAGCACCCAAATTTGTAACCATCCAGTAGGTTCTCCTTGCCCACTGCCTAGACAGAGCTGATTTATCAAGACAGAAGAATTGCAATAGAAGAAGGGTTTGATTCACACACAGCTGGCTTTATGAGAGACCAGAGTTCTATTATTACTAAAATCAGTCTCCCTGAGAATTTGGGGATCAAAGCTTGTAAAGATAATTAGATGGGTAGGAGCCAGTAAGTCAAGAGTCATGATTGGTTGGGTTGGAACTGAAATCATAGGGACTGGAAGCCATCCTCCTGAACTAAGGCAATTCCTGGCCGGGGGTCGGGGGGCACGGGGGTGGGGCACAAGACTAGGTGAGCCAGTTTATTAATCTGGTTGGTGCTAGCTAATCTATCAAGTACAGGGTCTGCAAAATATTTCAAGCACTGATCTTAGGTTTTACAATAGTGATGTTATCCCCGGGAGCAATTTGGGTGGGTCAGAAAATCTTGTGGCCTTCAGCTGCATGACCGCTAATCCATAATTTCTAAACTTGTGGCTAATTTGTTAGCCCTGCAAAGGCAGTCTAGTTCTCAAGCAGGAAGGAGGTTTGTTTTTGGAAAGAGCTATTATAATCTTTGTTTCAAAGGATCCTTCCCCAATTAGTTTGACCTATACTCAGGAATGAACAAGGAAGGACAAGTTGAAGGTTAGAAGAGAGATGGAGTTGGTTAGATCAGATCTCTTTCACTGTAATAATTTTCTCAGTTATATTTAATAATTTTGCAATGTGGGCTTCAAAGGCAGAAAGCTTTCAAAGTCTTTTTAAATTTATAAATAGCTCCAAATATCCTTTTGTTTATTTCTTTAATGAAGGCAATGTTTTTCTTTCAGAATTCTTTTAGAAGCTTCTAGGTGATACTGGAAGTAAGCCTCCCATTCAATTTGTCTTGTTCTAAAACAAGATTTTTCTAATTGTGGACACAGATAAATTAACGTAGGTATTTCAAAGGAACCACATTTTAGCCATTGTAATCTGAGGTTATGAGTTGTACATAACCAGTTTCCTAAATATTTGCATTTAGAGATTTTGTAAGTTTTTAACATAAATCCAGCTGGTGTTTATAATGGTTGATTTTTTTCTTAAGCAAGAAAATTTGGTTTTAGAGGCACAATTGCCCATAATTTAGATTTTCTTTCCTGAATGGCCAAAATCCTAGTGGGCCTCATAAATAGCCATATATTATTTTGGCATCTCAAAAAGAATAGTTTTAGATTTGTCAACTGAACCAAGATTCAGATTCTGGGCAGTTGTAAAAAAAAAATATATATATATATATATAAAATTCAGCTATATATATATAAGCTATGTATATATATATAATTCAGCTATATATAATATATATTATATATAATAATTTATATTATATATTATATATTATATATTATATATTGTATATATTATATATATTAATATATTATATATTATATATTGTATATATTATATATATTAAATTATATATTATTATATATTATATATTTATATATAAAATATAATATATATAATATATATTATATATAAATATATAATATATAATAATATATATTATATAATATATATTATATAATATATATTATATATTATATATTTATATATAATATATACAATATATATAATATATACTATTATATATTATTATATATTATATATTATAATATATAATAGTATATATTATATAATGTTATATAATATATATTATATACAATATATAATATATAATATTATATATTATATAATGTTATATAATATATATTATATACAATATATAATATATAATATTATATATTATATATTATATATTGTATATATAATATGTAATATATATTGTATATATCATATATAAATATATAATATATATTGTATATATTATATATGTATATAATTCAGCTATATATATATAATTCAGCTATATATATGAGCTATGTATAGCCTAAGCAAATATATATTTATAATTTAGCTATATATTTAAGCTAAATATATATTTTGTTCCTTAAGCTACAAAAATTTTGCTTTCTCTTATCAAAGAGAAACTCTTTTCTCTTTGACCAAATTTTGAACAAGAGAAAAGCTTGAGAACTCCAACAAGTGAAAACAACAAAACGTTAACCTCAAAGAAAAGTAAAAATCACAGTTCTGCAGTAAGCCAATTCTCTAGAGAATAACAAACAAAATTCCTACCTTAAAGGTTTAAAGTAGAACTTTAATCCCCCTTGAGCATGAAGTCAGGTCATTTGAATATAGTATGGATCTCAAACCAAAAAATCAGGGAGATTTGAAATCCAAGAGGAGACTCAACAGATACCCCTTCCAGCTCATCAAGGTTGGGTGATCAAAGGTTTGTTCATGCTTGCCTGAGATGATGAATTCCTCTTCAAAGGGTTTAACTGTGTAATGCCCTTGTTCTTTGTTCAGAGGCTCAACCTTCTCTTTTTTCTAGCCTGCAAACAGCCCTAAAAGGACTCCAAAGTGAGGTAGAGAGCAATGTAAAAAGAATATTCAAAACTTCCCTTTCCTCTCTACCCCTGGGGAATCAGCTCTGATTCTCTTCCCCTTAAAAGAGGTGCCCCAGGGAGGGGGTGCTATCAGCTTCATAAATACTCCTCTAACCAGTTCAAAAGTTTGAAGCTTTAAAAAAGAACTCAAGCCACTGTTAGATGACCCTCATGCAGTGGCAGATCAGGTCAATTAATTTCTAAGACACTACTTATATACTTGGGCCAAGTTAATGTCCATCCTGGGCATCCTCTTTTCAGGGGAAGAAAGGGGCATGATTCACAGGGCTGCTATGGTAGTTTGGGAATGTGAACACCGCCCCCCCACCCCCCACCGATCAAAACGTTCCTACAGTGGACCAAAAATTCCCTGCCCAAGATCCTCAGTGGGACAATAACGACATAGCTCACTGGGAAAACATGCAAGACCTTAGGGAGATGATAATAAAAGGAATTTGAGAATCAGTACCCCAGACTCAGAATCTGTCCTGGGCATTTAACACACAACAGGGGAAGGATGAAGGGCCTGCAGAACTCTTAAACAGGTTAAAGGGGCAAATGAGAAAATATGCAGGCCTGGATTTAGAAGATCCCCTAGAACAAGGAATGTTAAAGCTTCATTTGTTACTAACAGTTTGCTGGACACTTCCAAGAAATTACAAAAGATAGAGGATTGGAAAGACTATCCTCGAAGTGAACTTCTCAGAGAAGCTCCAAAGGTGTATGTGAGAAGAGATGAAGAAAAGCAAAAACAGAAAGCAAAAATCATGCTATCCACCTGTCAAGAGGGGGCTCCAAATCAATACATATCTAAACAAAGCCCCCAGGGGGCCAAAAACTATAAAGGACCCAAACTTCCATTTAGAGAATCGAAGGCCCCTATTAAAGGATCCGGGACCTCGTTTACAAGACCCTATAAAGAACATGGGGGAGCAAAGCCCAAGAATCCTCAAACAGAGGAAAGACAGGATAGATGTTTTAAGTGTGGAAGAACAGGTCACTTTAAGAGGGAATGTCCTGAATGGGAAAGAGAAAAAGAAGTCCTTCCACTCATGACTTTCAAGGAAGAATAGTGGGGGGTCAGGGGCTCTGTCTCTTTTATCTCAAGTCCCACCAAGAACCCTTGATAAACTTAGAGGTGGGAACCAAATATGAACTCATAACCTTTTTAGTAGATTCAGGAGCAGCCCACTCCTCTGTTTGTTTCCTTCCATCTGATATCAGCTGCTCCTCAGAATTACTTTCTGTCTCAGGGGTAAAGGGAGAAGAATTTGAAGCAAAAATCTTAGAAGAAACAGAAGGGTGGTATAAAAACTGGTCAAATCATATCAAGCTTCTATTAATCCCTGAGTCAGGAATTAACCTATTAGGAAGGGACTCAATGCTAGAACTAGGCATAGGTTTACATGTTGGCCCAGATGGATTCCTCATCTCACTAAACCTACTTACCACTGTGGATGAAAAATACATCCATCCTGATGTCTGCTCAAGAGAAGGAAATCGACGACTTTAAGTCCCTCTGATACACATAAAGCTAAAAACCCCTGGGGAAGTAGTAAGAAGAAAACAATATCCCATTCTCCTAGAAGGCAGAATAGGCTTGAAGCCCATAATTGAAAGTCTTATTCAAGATGGGCTCCTTGAACCCTGCATGTCCCCTTATAAAACCCCAATACCGCCTGTAAAGAAATCAGACGGGTCATACTGACTAGTAGAAGACCTCAGATCTGTCAGCCAAATAGTCCAGATTATTCATCCCATTGTCCCTAACCCTTACACCATCCTCAGCAAAATCCCCTATGACCATCAATGGTTTACAGTAATAGACTAAAAAGGTGCCTTTGGGGCATGTCCCTTGGCCGAGGACAGTCGGGACATATTTGCCTTCAAATGAGAAGATCCTCATTTTGGATGGAAGCAACAGTACCAATGGACACTTTCGCCCCAAGGGTTCACAGATTCCCCTAACCTTTTTGGCCAAATTTTAGAGCAGGTTCTAGAACAACTTCATACCCCAAAACACATATGTCTGCTCCAGTATGTGGATGCTCTTCTCATATCTGGTGAAGATGTAGAGAAAGTAGCTGCTTTCTCTACATACCTTCTTAACCATTTACAAAGTGAAGGATTACAAGTTTCAGAATAAAAACTCCAGTTTGTAGAGCCTGATGTTGAATATTTAGGGCACTTAATAAGTAAAGGTAAATGAAGGATAGTATCCAAATGAGTAGAAGGAATCGTGTCCTTACCTTTGCCTCAAACTAATCAGGAGCTCAGAAAATTTTTAGGATTAGTTGGATATTGCCACTTACAGATTGACTCATATGCTCTAAAAACTAAACTTTTATACCAAAAACTTACCTAGTGGAAACCTGACTATCTTCTGTGGACTTCTGAAGAAATTCATCAACTTGAAGAATTAAAACATATGCTTATATCTGCCCCTGTTCTAGCCTTACCCTCCCTAGAAAAACCATTCCACTCTTGTTAACATGAATAATGGGGTGGCTTTGGGAGTGCTTACCCAGGAACATGGAGGCTGCAGGCAGCCTGTAGCCTTTCTATCAAAGATTTTAGACCCAGTGACATGTGGATGGCCCAAATGCATTCAACCCATTGTGGCAACCATGTTATTGACTAAAGAAAGCAGGAAGTTAACTTTTGGGGGAAAGTTAATGGTAAGCATGCCTCATCAAGTTAGAACTATCTTAAACCAAAAGTCAGGGAGGTGGCTCACTGACTCAAGGATCTTAAAATACATAGCTATTCTATTAGAAAGAGATGATTTAACACTAACCACTGATAACTCACTCAACCGAGCAGGTTTCTTAACAAGGAATCCAAACCTAAAAGAGATCACACATGTTGAGATTTAATTGACTACCAAACAAAATCAGACCAGATTTAGGAGAGACCCCTTTCAAAAGGAGTGGCATTTATTTATAGATTGCTGCTCCCAGGTAATTGAGGGAAAAAGACATAATAGATATTAAATAACAGATGGAGAAGTTTTAGCAGAAATAGAAAGATTGCCTAATAATTGGTCTGCTCAAACTTGTGAACTGTTTGCATTGAGCCAGGCTATAAAATACTTGCAAAACCAGGAAGGGACCATTTATACTGATTCTAAGTATGCCTTTAGGGTAGCTCATACTTTCAGGAAAATTTGAACTGAACGAGGTCTTATTAACAGCAAAGGCCGAGATTTTGTCCACAAAGAGTTAATCACCCAAGTATTAAATAATCTCTAGTTACCAGAAGAGATAGCTATTGTCCATGTCCCAGGACACCAAAAAGGCTTTTCATTTGAAAGTCAGGGAAATAACCTTTCAGATTGGGTAGCCAAACAGGCTGCTATTTCCTCTAAGGTGCTTGTTTTTCACTTAACCCCTTGTCTTCCTCCCCCTACTGCAGTCTCCATTTTCTCTCCCACTGAAAAGGAAAAATTTATAAAATTAGGAGCTAAAGAAAACCCAGAAGGAAAATGGGTATTATCAGATCAAAGAGAAATGTTATCCAAACCCCTCATGAGGGAAGTCTTTTCTCAGCTGCATCAAGGGACCCACTGGGGGCCCCAAGCTATGTGTGACACAGTCCTTAGAGATTATGGGTGTACAGAAATTTATACCCTAGCCTAACAAGTTACAGATAGCTAATATGTAAAAAAAAAAAAAAAAAAACCTAATAAGCAGACCTTAAGAAAATCACCCCTTGAGTGAAGAAATCCAGGACTAAGACCGTTCCAAAGTGTTCAAGTTGATTACACAGAAATGCCTCCAACTGGTCACCTGAAATACCCATTTAGTAATAGTGAATCATCTCACTCACTGGGTAGAAGCTATTCCCTTTACAAAAGTGACTGCTAATAATGTAGTTAAGGCATTAATTGAAAGTATTATATCCAGGTTTGGATTAATAGAAAATGTTGATTCAGATAATGGGACTCATTTCACTGTACATGTTATTAAAAAAGCTAGGCCAAGCATTAGAAATAAAATAGGAATACCATACCCCCTGGCACCCACCTTCATCAAGAAGAGTAGAAAGAATGAACCGGCCTCTGAGGAACCACCTAACCAAATTAGTCCTAGAGACTCGGTTGCCATGGACTAAATGCTTCCCCATTGCCTTGTTAAGAATCTGAACTGCCCCTCAAAAAGATATTCGCTTATCTTCTTATGAAATGCTATATGGGTTACCTTATTTACACTCCACTGCTGGTATTCTTATGTTAGAAACTAAAGATCAATTCCTCAAAAGCTATATACTTGGTCTGTCTTCCACTTCCTCTTTGCTCAGAACTAAAGGCCTTTTAGCACCCCAGACGCCACCCTTGGAGTTCCCAGCACATCAGCACCAGCCTGGGGATCACATCAAAACGGGAAAGAGGGAAAACTCGAACTGGCTAGGGAAGGACCCCATCTAGTGCTCCTGACTACAGAAACCGCTGTCCGCACAGCTGAAAAGGAAGGGACACACCACATGTGAGTGAAAGCAGTGACTTCTACAGCCAGAGAAAAATGAGCCGTCACCCCAGGGCCTACCCCCACCAAATTAACTCTAAAAAGGGCTTAATAATCACTTGTTCATCAATGTGATACAAACTAATCATCCCTTAACCCTCCAGTCTGACATTTGTTCAGTTATCTCATGTGAAGATGAATGAGCTCAAAGGCAGCTATCAAATGTGGGTAAGTGTATATGTCCATACCAGAGTGAGTCAACCAAGTATAAGTATGGAGCCTTAAAAAGTCCCTGCGGTGACTGGACAGATGTTTGGTGGACCACCCAATATGGAGGGTGGACAATCAGGCCCCCTTCTTGTAACAAGTTTCGAGGACTAAAACAGAAGCTCTAACTTATTTGTGGTCCCACCCCACCAAATTGTAAGTCATTACAGTGTAAACCCTTATTGCTAATTATAGATAATCCCCAAAGAATGACCCAAGAACCCTCCATATTCGAATGGTATGGGTTAGGAGCAGATGTTACAGGATGGGACCCCATAGAAATCTTCTATCTGAGGTTAGCTAAACCATCAGCTAAAAAAAAATAAAGAAATCCAGATCCAGAGTCCAGAGAATGTATGGGACCCAACGTTCCTCCCAAACATATCAGGCTCAGCAATCTCCTCCCATCTCCAGAACGACCCAACTAAGGTAGCAGTTGTAGAGGTAAAGGATTTAAGGCAAACTATAGCTCTTGAGATGGGGTACAAAGATGAAGATGCCTGGCTGGAATGGATTAAATATTCCATCTGTACTCTAAACAAAAGCGATTGTTACTTTGTGTGCATGACAGGACAGAGGCCCAAATTGTCCCCTTTCCACTCAGATGGTCCTCCAGCAGGCCAGGCACTAATTTTTTGGTAGTTCTCTTCCAACACCCCACAGCCTGGAGTAATGAATTATCCCAAGCTCTCTCTCTGCTATTCTCCAAAGTCTGGCACCCTGTGGGTCAGCCCCCGAGAGCCATCCAGCTTCCATCTTCTGATGCCAATTTTATCTCGTGTCTCTCAAGACAAGGGGAAAACTTAGCTTTTCTTGGAGACCTAAAGGGATGCAATGAGCTTAAGTCATTCTGAGAGCTAACCAATCAGTCTGTCCTGATCCATCCCCAAGCGGATGTATAGTAGTATTGTGGCAGACCATTACTGGACACTCTGCCAAGTAACTGGAGAGGCACTTGCACTCTCATCCAATTGTCTATCCCTTTCACTCTGGCACTTCATCAACCAAAAAGGATAAAAACAAATAGTCATAAAACAAGAGGTGTCCCTCATGGGTCCTTTGATCCTCATGTTTATATAGATGCCATTGGAGTCCCGAGGGGAGTGCCAGATGAATTTAAGGCCCAAAATCAAATAATTGCAGGGTTTGAGTCCATACTATTCCTGTGGTTAACTCTAAATATAAATGTAAATTCGATAAATTACATCTATTATAATCAGTAATGATTTGTTAACTATATTAAATATGCTATTAAAGGGATAGCTAAACAGTTAGGACCCACCAGCCAAATGGCTTGGGAAAATAGAATAGCATTAGACATGATACTAGCAGAAAAGCGTGGAGGCTGTGTCATGATTGGAACTCAATGCTGTACTTTTATAACTAATAATACGTCTCCCAGTGGAACCATAACAAAAGCATTACAAGGTCTTAACTGCTTTATCCAATGAACTAGCTAAGAATTCAGGAATGAACGATCCTTTCACTTATTTAATGGAAAAATGGTTTGGCAGATGGAAAGAACTTATGTCCTCAATCCTTACTTCTCTTGCCATTATAATAGGTGTGCTTATTCTTGTAGGATGTGGTATCATACCCTGTGCCCCAGGCCTAGTACAAAGGCTTATAGAAACAGTTCTCACAAAAACTTCCCCTACCTCTCCTCCTCTATATTCAAATAAAATCTTGCTTCTAGGTGATCAAGAAGAACAGCAAAGCCAAATCATGTTAGAAAAATTTGAAGAGAAATAGTTATCAATAAAACAAAGGAGGGAATTGCCAGAGATGATGAATTCCTCTTCAAAGGGTTTAATTGTGTAATGTCCTTGTTCTTTGTTCATAGGCTCAACCTTCTTGCACTCTCTTGTTTCTAGCCTGCATACAGCCCTCCCACTCTTGCTGTGTGCTAATATGCTCAGACATGTCTCAGCTTCAGTCTACATTCCTTTCCTTATTTGGAAAAAGTTAGCCTTCTCATTCTCTATAGGCTGTCCTCTTCCCTTTGCTCCATCTCCCCCATCACACACCTACCTTATCTAGAAGGTTTAAGTGTTTAGCCAATCAAGACTAGTTCAGGTTTTGTGGTCTGACTCCACCAAATGGGGAATGACATAGACGCAGGGACTGTGTTAGGAATAAAAACCCTTACTCTCCTTTGTTCGGGGTACTCTTGCAATCATGGCTGATGCAGGCAGCACCCTTCTGCAGAATTAAATTGTCTTGCTGAGAAATCCTTTGTTTCAGTGCTGGTTCTTCTTTGTGGCACTGAGCACTTGTTTTTAACAATGCTGGTACTGAGGCCCTCAATGTACACAAAAATGGGAGATCTCTGGAGGCTTGCTTTAAGATACCTACTTGATTACCAAAATGTCAACCTAAAATAATCAAAAAGGTCAGAGAGTAGTTTAAAGAGAGTTTATTCAAGTACAAAAGTTGAGGATGGCCACCTGGGATCATAGATTCAAATTGCCCTGAATATACATTATAAGTGGGTTTTTAGGAAAAAGAAGAGGCAGTTCTAAGTTGTTCACCAAGAATTTACATTTAAATAGAATAAGCTATTTATTGGCTATCAATTGTATTTTGTATTACAAATTCCTGGAACATGAAGATAGTAGGTGAGGATGTTAGTCAGGAACAAGAATACCTTTAACATTTGCCCCAAGGCGTGTGTGCAGGAGTGTAACTAAAGTCCTATACTCATGTTTCTTTGGGCCTGATACATTTTGCATACCTCAAATAGCTCAGATACCTCTGAGTTCCTTTTTTCTTATGTTTTTGCAAGCATAAACACTCAGTTATATGACAGTTGCTTAGGTATAATAGTTATAACCAGATGTATCATATTCATTTTAAAAAGGTCAAAAAGTAAAATATATAAATACATATCACTATGGTTAGTAATTGCATGAACTCAGCTCTGTAATGGTTGTCATCTGAGATATTGTGATGTATAACCAAAATTTTTTGAGGAGATCAATAAAAAACTGTGATGAGTCACCACTGCATATGTAATGTTATCTTTCATAAATGCAGATATACAGGAAGAACATCTCTTCATTTAGTCAGGAAGTTTCAACATTTTTACATAGGTGTACATTGCTTACACACAAAGTCAATGTTGTGATAATGCACTTCCATGAAGTCAACTTTGGAGAATGTGTAAAATGCATTAGAAATCTCCCAAACTCTTTACACAATGTATACCTTCAGTATTGGAAATGATATAAAGATGAAACACATAGCATAGCAAATTGTAAAAAGTACTGCTGAAAGTTTAAAATCATTGGAAAAGAACACACAAAAAACCAATCCTCCCATCAGAAAAACTAAATAGAAAATTTGATATATGAAAAAGTATATTACAGGGATAGATTTGGAGCAATTACACAGAGTGTCTAAAAGATGGCCAATTTTCGCAGTCATTAACTATATTCTGTTTTGTTTTTGTTTTTGTTTTTTTAGAGATGGAGTCTTGCTCTTGTTGCCCAGGCTGGAGCACAATGGTGCAATCTTGGCTCACTGCAAACTCTACTTCCTGGGTTCAAGAGATTCTTCTGCCTCAGCCTCCCAAGTAGCTGGGATTACAGGCAGCCACCCATACATCTGGCTAACTTTTGTATTTTCGGGAGAGACGGGGTTTCACCATGTTGGCCAGGATGGTCTTGAACTCCTGACTTCAGGTGACCTGCCTGCCTCGGCCTCCCAAAATGCTGGGATTACAGGCATGAGTCACCGTGCCCAGCCATTGACTATATATTGAAGTCAGCATCTTAATGAATAGCACTGTTTTGTCCTAGGGCATGGTTCTCCTCAAAGAATATGTTCACATTCATTTTCTATGTAGCACTTGTTTTTTTGAAATTCTTCTATGATTTGTTTTACACTAACATGCACTTTCCTTATTTTTTCCACTTTCTGTCTCATGTTTCTATGTTGTTTTAATTATGCTGAAATCCATTCTGCATGCACTCATATGCAGACCACATATTTGGCAGAAACAATACTGGTGATCAAAAAACAACATTGTGTCTTCTTATCTTGCTGTACACACAATTATTTTTAAACCAGTAATAATTTTGTTGGCTTCTTCAAGCAAATGCAGCTTTCATTCATTAAATACTTCTAGAATTTCATCAGGTAAAATGTATGGCAGTGCAGGCAAATGAAGCATTTTTGAATTGAAGTTTTCATTATTTCTGTATCTTGTGGCCAATCCACTCATCTAAATTTTGTGCCAAATGCAAATAAAGACAATAATAAGGTAATAGTCCTGTCTATTAATACAACTGTCCTGTGTATAACCAAAGACACATTAATCCCTTCTTCAGAATTTGTCTTTCAGGATTTTGACATTCAGGCTTTCATTTTCTCAGGATTGTGATTTTCAGGATTTTAGAAATTAGGGATTTTAAACTTCAGGGATTTTCATATTTTGGTATTTCAACATTCAGGATTATGGAGTTCTGGATTGTGTTTTTTAGGGTTATAATCTGTACTGTCTAGAGTAAAAGGCATCTGATGCAATCAACCTGCCATTCAATGGCAGGCTAGTCTCCTTAAGGATTGATGCCATGAGAGCTCAGCAATGCTCTCAAGAAATGCAGTGTGCACATTCAGTGTGGCCATAGATCAGCCTTGGAGAGACGGTTGCACAACCCTGCTGTCATGGCCACACACACCAACACTGTGATGACAAAGGAAAGAAGTTAATTGTCACTCCTAGGACAGGTCACCCTCTCGACCTGGTTGTTAAGGGTCTTCTTTGTAGTAGATGATTCTCTTTTGTGGACATTAACTTAATACGCAAAGATATAAGCAATTTGCTCCTAGCCCTATAGGTATGTGCTTGTGTTCCTTCCTAGAATTTCTTTTCTCTAATCTTCGAACCTAACTCCTTCCAGATCTCTGACTAATCTGAAAAGTCATTTGCCTCTGCCCAGTAGTCTGTGCATATCAGTTCATATTTTAGGCCGCTTTTTTGTCTTCATACAAAGTGAATGACAAAATATGATGCCCAAAGCTCTCAATATGATCTCCCAAACCAAATGGGAGAATTTCCATAGTATTTTAGGGCTTCCCAAGAGACAGTCTGTGACACATATCAATATATTATGCCTTCTCACTTGGAAACCAGACTGAGCTCTCTGTCAGTTGGTCACAGACAAGATCCCATGAATCCCTAAATCTGGTCTGAAAAAGGGCTTCAGTAGGAATCTAGGCTACCTGATCATTTAATTATCTTGGTGCTTCTGGATGTTTTTGAATTGACTCTTGAAATGCACCATTTCAAGTGCAGAATAGATTGTTGTTATACCTGCCTGATCTGATGAAAGAGTGGAACTAAATATAGCAAATCTCAGTATTCAGAAACTTAAATAGATGTCCATTATGGCCTGAGGAAGGGATTCCTATTTTATGGAGTGGGTTTGTTAGCATTTCAGTTGTAGTTCCTGCTTTAAAATAGTAGGCTGCTGCCATAACATTCTTCCCTTTCATTAGCCTTCATTTGTAAGAGATAAAATACAAGATACGATTCAATATATACGTGTGTGTGTGTGTGTGTGTGTGTATGTGTGTGTGTGTATATATATACTAAACCTTGTCGAACATGGTGGCTAGGTATTCAATCTTTATAGTACTCAGTAGCATATCAGAAACTTATTTTTCTAATGATACTAACACAGAAGTTGTAGTTTCCTATAGAATCCTCAAGGTCTATGCTACAACTCTTATATTTTTATTCACTAAAATTATCCCTAGCTGTGCCATATTGCCTGTCACTGTACCTTGGATCTCCTGCAGTGTCCTCCCTTTATCTGGATCCATTTAAAATGAACAGATTTTAGAGTCACTAATAATAGGTTGAAGATTAATAGCATATAAGTTGTATGTTGTCTCCAAAATCCAAAGATGTCCACTAAGTACTACACCTTTTTTTCACAAGGTGCAACGATATTCTTTTTTATTCCAGAAAATCCTAGGGGATGTTCCATACCATTGGATTTCTATAAAGTTCACAAATGTGGCAGACAGGAGAGCCCATGCTGTTGTACCTGTGTCTTCCTAAGGCTTGCAGGCTACATGGCATTTTTTTTCCATCAGGTCCAATTAGCAAGATGTGGCACCAGCATTTTGATCTGTGGAATGGCAAGATGATCAATGTCCTGTGGACTGTACTGTTCAGAGAACCCCGAGGCAAGAGAATAAACATACACTATCTTTTCAAAGTGAATGTGAATAGCTTTTGATTCTCTTTGGTGATAGAGATTAGTAAAAATGCTTTGACAAAGTAAATATTGGCAAAACAAGCACCAGACAGCCAGGCGTGGTGGCTTACGCCTGTAATCCCAGCACATTGGGAGGCTGAGGTGGGCGGGCCACCTGAGGTCAGGAGTTTGGACCTAGCCAGAAGTTGAGCCTGGCCAACATGGTGAAAACCCATTTCTACTAAAAATACAAAAATTAGTCAGGTGTGATGGTGGGAACCTGTAATCCCAGCTAACTCAGGAAGCTGAGATAGGAGAATCACTTGAACCAGGGAGGCAGAGTTTGCAGTGAGCTGAGATCATGCCATTGAGCTCCAGTCTGGGTGACAAGAGTGAGACTCCATCTCAAAAAACAAAAAAACAAACAAAAAACAAGTACCAGAAACTGTGTTGATCTGCTGTAGTCAAAATACTGAACTGAGCATGCAAGTGAATATCTAATTAAATTTTCAGTAGTCCAACACAATTCATCTATTTTTACCAGGGACAAACAGGTAGAAATGAAAACATCATGACCGCTTTCCATAACTTCTTTAAGTCTTTGAGGAAGGTATAATGTGGTATGGCTTCCATTTTATAATCTTGACTTGTTGGAATGACTTTCACTTGAACCTTCCCATTTAATTTTTCTTATTAGAATAGGTCAGAAAACCTATGCAAAAGTTCTGCCAACTGCTAAGCATATTTATCCCAATTATACGTTTGGGAACTGTAAAAGGCACCATACAGTTGTTCTATACACCCACAGTATTCACTATGAGGTGGACTAAGACCAGAAATACATTTATTATCACCTTTCTTCCATGAATTCCTACTTCAGTGAGAAGATTTTGATGGCATTTTTGTGCACCCTGGTATTAAGATAAACTCAGACCTTATATCCAACAGTTCTAATAAAGTTTCAGAATTTCTCATTGTCCAATGCGCAACTTCCTTTGGGGGAAAGGATTGAAGAAACATTTGTCACACATACAGCATTATTTCTGAGTCATTCTTCTTCAATCATCTGGCTCTAGGCTTGTGAAATTAATCATATTTAAAATCCAAGGAAACAACTGTGATTTCTCATTTCAATGGCAGATGTCACATTTTTGCTTGCCAACTCTCCATATTTTTTTTTAATTTTTATTTTTATTTTAGATTCAGCGGGTATATGTACAAATTTGTTACAAGGGTATATTGTGTGATGTTGAAGTTTGGGCTTCTATTGATCCTGTCACCCAGACAGCGAACATAGTACCTAATTAGAAGTTTTACAGCTCTTGCTCCCCAACCTCCGTTTGAGTCCCCGTTGTCTATTGTTCCCATCATTATATTTGTGTGTACCCAAGATATAGCTCCCACATATAAGTGAGAATATGCAATATTTGTTTTTCTGTTTCTGTATTGATTTGCTTAGGATAACAGCATTCAGCTGCATCATGTTGCTGCAAATAATATAATTTTATTTTTTTATGGTTGCATAGTATTTCAGATGTATATATACCACACTTTATTCATTCACCATTGATGGGCACCTAGGTTGATTCCACATCTTTATAATTGTGCACAGTGCTGTAATGAACATACATGTGCATGAGTCTTTTTTGTAAAACAATTTATTTTCCTTTGACTATATACCCACTAATGGGATTGCTGGGTCAAATGACTGTTCTAATTTTAGTTCTTTGAGATATCTCCAAACTGATTTCCAGAGTGGCTGAACTAATTTGCATTCTCACTAATACTCTGTAAGCCTTCCCTTTTCTCTGCATTCTTGCCAATATCTGTTGCTTTTGACATTTTAATAAAAACCATTCTGACTAGTGTGAGATGGTATCTTATAGTGATTTTGATTTATATCTTTCTGATGATTCGTGATGTTGAGCATTTTTTTCATGTTTGTTGGTCACTTGTATGTCTTCTTTTGAGAAGTATCTGTCATTTGCCCACTTTTTAATGTGTTTTTTTTCCCTGTTGAATTGTTTGTAGATTCTGTATTAGTTCTTTGCTAGATGTATAGTTTGCAAACATTTTCCACATTCTGTAAACTGTTTGTTTACTCTTTTGAGAGTTTATTTTGCTGTGCAGAAGCTCTTTAGTTTAATTAAGTCCCATTTGTCTATATTTGATTGTGTTGCATTTGCTTTGGGGGATGACCACTCTCACTATTCAACATGGTACTGGCAGTCCTACCCATAGCAATCAGGAAAGAGAAAGACTTCAAAGGGATCCAAGTAGGAGAAGAGAAAGTCAAATTATCTCTCTTCACTGACAATATGAATCCATACCTGGAAAATGTAGAAAACCCTAAAGATTCCACAGAAAGACTCCTAGACTTGATAAATGACTTCAGGAGTCTCAGGATACAAAATCAATGTAGAAAAATCAGTAGCATTTCTATAAACCAGTAACATTCAAGTTGAGAGCAAAATAAAAAAATGCAATCCCATTCATAATAGCCACAAAATATTTTAAATACCTAGAAATTCACCTAACCAAGGAGGTGTAAGATCACCATGGGGAGAACTACTAAACACTGCTGAAAGAAATTATAGACGACACAAACATGTTGAAAAGCATTCCATGATCACAGATTGGAAGAATCAATAAAATTAAAATAGCTATACTGCTTAAAGTAATCTACAGATTTAACACCATTCTTACCAAATTATCAATGTCATTTTTCACAGAATTAGAAAAAATTTTTCTAAAATACATGTAGAACAAACAAACAAACAAACAAAAAGCCTGAATAGCTAAGGTGATCCTAAACAAAAACAACGAAGCCAGGGACATCCCATTACCCAACTTCAAAGTGTACTACAAGGCTACAGTAGCCAAAACAGCATGGTAGTACAAAAATAGACATAGAAACCACTGGAAGAGAATAGAGACCGCTGAAATGAAGCCATTTACCTACAACCAGTTGATCTTCAACAAAGTCAACAAAAATAAACAATGGGGAAAGGACACCCCATCCAATAAATCGTGCTGGGAAAACTGGCTAATCTTATGCAGAAGAATGAAACTGGACCACTACCTTTCATTACATAAAAAATTAGCCCAAGATGGATTAAAGTTTTAAATGTAAGATGTCAATATTTAATATAAAAATTGAGCAGCATTCTATCTATCCATTAAGATGACCATGATTCTTTTATCATTTCAGAAACCTGTCGGACAAGTTAGCCTGATTTTTATACCAATCTTGCTACTTTTTACAGTGATTAGGTCACCTTACCTCTGAGTTAAATGCTGCCATTTAGTTTCTGCCTTTCCCTAATTTTATTTATCTCATATATGTTAGAGAGTTCAGTAGCATGATAGCATCTCCCAACTTATAGAAGGCAGCCATTACTGAGCTTCTCAAGATGCTGTGACATATCTCATTTATTTTTTATTTTCTGCCTTAAAGGAGGTAGTATTGTCTGGGCCCTCTTAGGTAATATACTCTGGTGATATAATAAATCTCATTTAATTTTTTACTTTTCCATGTTTTCTTACTCTTATTCAGTGCTACAAAATTTCCAACATCTTTGCTTTGTTTACTCAAAGACAATCATATTCTAGCTTGAAATAGCTATTCCATCAACATGTTAACACCATCTCCGGATGTCCTCACCAGAACGTTGAATTTTTTGAGATATGGGTGACTGTCATTAGCTAAGAAAATTACTTCAGATAGAGGTTAATCTTCTACCCTATCTTTTTGGTCTAACACTTTACAAATCACTGCCTCCTCTGGATTCCTCCCCTTCTGATACCTGATAGCTAAGCCTTATGATCCATTTGATGTGTAATCATTTTAATCCTGAAACACAGATTATATTTCCACACCATTGTGTTAAAACATGATTCGGGTGATTAAAATTATAAAAATCGGTGCAGGTGATGTTCAAACATTATATTTGAAAGTCCATCTTCTGGTTGAGGTATTTGCAGAATCTTAAAGAATGGGGAGATATCTGTCCTCTGTCAAAAAGTAGGAAAATAAATTTTTTATAACACATAAAAATTTGAGGGAATTAGTGGTCCAAGTTCCACAGAATCATTCATCAAAATGTCCCCATCTCATTCTCAGACTCTTGCTATCAAGGCCTTAAACAAAAAGAAAGGGAAAAAGAAAAAAAAAACACACCTTTTCAAGCTATAGATTCATCTTCTTTGCAATTCTGCCTTCCTTACACTTAGATTCTGGTCTGACATTCAGCACTGTTTTGAGACAATAGGAGATGAAGTTCTCCTTATATTGTCATAGAGACTCATCACTCTCCAATTGATGGCTATATAATTTAACCTGTAATTTTTATTTCTCAAGGATCTCAATGCCAGCCTCTCCATAACCTTTGTAATGTTAATATTTGTTGCCTCCACAGTTCTCAAATGTCTCAGCTACAATATAGCACAATGTGGTTTCTGCGTATACTTCATTCCAGTCCAGCACAAGGAAGAATTATAGGAATTGTAAAACGGGTATGCATCTCAGGGTTTTTCATCTCCCCACTTAACACCAACAGTTTCTTATTGCCATATGACCGATCATAATCAACTTCCAAATTTTCAGCTTTCTAAGCAACTATGGATACTATTGTCTTAACATGGGCTTTACAACAGAGCAAAACCTAAAATAGAAGGTTAAATATAAGTAATTTACAGGTGAAGAAAATCCAGGAAGCAGAAGTGAGGGATGGGGGGAAAAGGCAAAACAGAGAGAGAGGCAATACAAGAAGGTCACAGTGAATAGGCCATGCTATGGGCAACTAGTTACTCAATCTCACAGAATCTTCTTTTTTTTTTTTTTTTTTGAGACAGAGTCTCACTCTGTCATGCAGGCTGGACTACAATGGTGCAGTCTCAGCTCACTGCAACCTCCGCCTCCCAGGTTCAAACAATGCTCCTGCCTCAGCCTCCCAAATAGGTTGGATGACAGGCAAGTGCTACCGCGCCCAGCTAATTTTTGTATTTTTAGTAGAAACGGGGTTTCACCATGTTGGCCAGGCTGGTCTTGATCTCCTGACCTCGTGATCCACCTGGCTCAGCCTCCCAAAGTGCTGGGATTACAGGTATGAGCCACCACACCTGGCCCTCACAGAATATTGAAAAGGTTTCTTAGACTAGTATATCATAATGATGAAAGGAGAGAATATCTCCCTATTGGTTCCCGTTCTCTACTGGTCATCCCACAGAGTGTTAAATTCCCGTTTCCCAACTGTATATGTGTGAGAACCAAGAGCCTTGTGCCTGTGCCAGCAAATGCAAGGAAAAGGAAACTAGACGTTAAGGAGGTAAGGCCTGAGATAAGAAACTTCCGAGTGGTCCCTACATGAAGCTGTTTGGAGCCCATGCAGAACTAACAATCCAGCAGTGACTAATGTAAGACAGGGGAGGTTGAGCAAATCTGAAACAGCACACACACAAGAGGTGGTTGTTACAGGGGAAAGATAAACAATAAACAAAATGTACAATATGGTAAATTATGACATGTATATGGAAAAATACATAGCAAGAAAAGAGGATGGAAAGATCAGGGACTGGTGAGTCAATTTAAATAGGATGATTAGAGAGAGCTGGAGAGATAAAATGTGGCGAAGTTACATATGGCTTTGAAGGACATTTTAAGGTATTTTGCTCTAAGTAACACAGATAGTCTTTGGAAGACATTGAGGGGAGACATGATGTATCCTGACTTATGTTTGTCTGCTATCTGCAGAACATACTACGTGTGGGGAAATAGCTAAAGCTGATAAATATATTTGAGGCTATCATAGTAATCTAGTGGAAGAATATAAAGTTTTAGACCAAAATGGTAGTGTTAGAGGTACTAAGAGGTGGTCAAATAATAGATATATTTAGAAGGTAAACCTAGGATCATTTACTGATTTTATGTGAGGTCTAATATTATGGACTTAAATAATTCAAAGAATTGAAATGGAAAAAAGACACATATTATTTATTATTTTTTAATGTATTCCCTGCACAATTGTTGTTATTATCACCACTTTCTAGATGATGAAACTGAGGTTCAAAAGGGGCGAAATGAAATATCCAAGATAAATTCACAAGGAAGAGAGCTGGCATTTGAAAAAAGCCAGATGCTTTTCTCTCTAACATTACACTTAAAAAAATAATAAGGTCAAGTCTGAAAATTTGACAAAAATGGCTATTCTGAATGTCATAGCTTGAAATAGAGCCTCTTACATCCTTCTTGCTTCACTGCGGAATTTAGGAAGGTATACAATTGCAAAGTATGGATTTAATAATCTCAGATGTGGGGATGGGAATGCCTCACAATTATTTTGAAGTTATAAAAATTAAAGTGTGAAACTCTAAGAATTGTGAATTAAATCAACATCTTTATGATCCAAATTGTCTAAACCGATGCTCAGCTCAATAGCTACTGAAACCCTGAA
Organism: Homo sapiens; assembly: GCF_000001405.40. Lineage (NCBI taxonomy): Eukaryota > Metazoa > Chordata > Mammalia > Primates > Hominidae > Homo > Homo sapiens. The sequence continues at coordinate 102,075,353 of NC_000001.11, read as the reverse complement.
GATGCTCTGTAGTTGTCAGGTCTGTAATGCTGGTAGTCACATTGACCCACGAATGGAAGAAGGGAATATCTCATGCTTCATAATTTAACCAATAGACATTATCCTTTAATGAAAGATAGCATTTTAATGAGCAGTGATCTTGAAGGAAAGGAGAACTACTCTGGGAGTATCAACACTTAATTTATTAGTTTGGCAAGAGGGTAAGAAGAAAGCAATCCCATAGTTTGAAAAATAGATCCCTGGAGGCTGTACAGTCTGCCTTTTCTCATTAAGTTCATCTAAACACAGGGCTCCCACTGATTTCCAAGGGAACTCTAACCTTGCATTGACATCCTTAAGGATGAAGAATTACAGGAAAAACTGTCTAGTTCCACACTGAGAATCTGTAGAGATGGAGGATGGCAAATTCCTTTGCTTTGGGCTTATGATCCTATCACTTCAAGAATTTCACAGGTTGAGTGGGTACTAGGACAAGAATGTAAATATAAAAATAGAATATGGTTTAACATCAAATTAAAATTCTAGAAATAAATTGTCATGTGCCATTAAAGAGATGTAGAAGAAATGATGAAGTATTTCTGCAGAGATTCTACTTCCAGCTATGAAAAGAACATGAACCAATCTACAAAGCTAATGACTTGGTATCCGGTGACTAAAAGTGAATTAAGTAATTAAGTGAAATGTAAAATAAAATCTTGGCAATGCAAAAATCCTTCATTAATGACTCATCTGAGGCACGGAGGAGAAATCATGGTAAAATCCACTGCACATTTCCTTCCTAAAAGGAAAACCAAGTAAAGGATTTTTAAGAGAGTCCATATAATATAGCTTTTACTTTATGATTCATTGTCTTCATTAAGTTATTAGTTATTCTGGTGCACTGCAGTGAAGTGTTATATAATAGTTCAGCTAAAAATGGTGTTATACATAGTGTTAAAAGTTTAGCAATTATCATGGTAACTAAAACTTGATTTCTTAAAAAAAAGAAGTCAATCTGTCTCTTTTGTAATTTCTGCAAAGTATTGATTGACGAATGTGCAGTTGCATTAATTGCTAAGTTTTATAACATCGTTGTGTGTATGTTTGTGTTTGTGTGTTTGTGCTCATAGTTTTAACTGGAGAAGCAAAGGCTGAAGCCGTCTTTCTCCAATGGCTATTTTCAAATATTCAACTCTTTTTTAAAAAATAAAATAGCCATCAGAGAAATGCAAATCAAAACCACAATGAGATACCATCTCACATCAGTTAGAATGGCAATCATTAAGAAGTCAGGAAACAACAGGTGCTGGAGAGGATGTGGAGAAATAGGAACACTTTTACACTGTTGGTGGCACTGTAAACTAGTTCAACCACTGTGGAGGTCAATGTGGCGATTCCTCAGGGATCTAGAACTAGAAATACCATTTGACCCAGCCATCCCATTACTGGGTATATACCCAAAGGACTATAAATCATGCTGCTATAAAGACACATGCACACATATGTTTATTGCGGCATTATTCACAATAGCAAAGACTTGGAACCAACCCAAATGTCCAACAATGATAGACTGGATTAAGAAAATGTGGCACATATACACCATGGAATACTATGCAGCCATAAAAAATGATGAGTTCATGTCCTTTGTAGGGACATGGATGAAATTGGAAATCATCATTCTCAGTAAACTATCGCAAGAACAAAAAACCAAACACCGCATATTCTCACTCATAGGTGGGAATTGAACAATGAGAACACATGGACACAGGAAGGGGAACATCACACTCTGGGGACTGTTGTGGGGTGGGGGGAGCGGGGAGGGATAGCATTGGGAGATATACCTAATGCTAGATGACGAGTTAGTGGGTGCAGTGCACCAGCATGGCACATGTATACATATGTAACTAACCTGCACATTGTGCACATGTACCCTAAAACTTAAAGTATAATAATAATAAAAAAATTAAAAAAAATAAAATAAAATGAATGTTATTGTGTATATTTGAAGTTTACAACATCATGTTATATAATACATATAGATAGTGAAGTGGTTATAACAGTAAAGCAGATTAACATATCTATCATCCCACAGTTACTTTTCTTTTTTATCTGTTCAAGCAATGAAGAAACACAGTTACTTTTTACTATTTTCATGATGAGAGCAGCTAAAGTCTACTTATTTAACAAAAATTTTTAATACAATTCACTTTTACTAACTTTAGCCCTGATTTTGTATATTAGATCTCCAGATTTATTTATCCTGCATATCTGCTATTATTTATGTATTTATTGACTCCGCTTGATAACATCTGTCATTTTGTTCAACTCTTTACACCATTTAATAGCTTCTGATTTATAGAACACACATGGAAAGCGAGCTCCTTCTTAAGAGCCTGAACTCATCATTGTAGGTTACATGAAACGTGTCTGACCATGGTTATGAGAACTGGTAATTTCACTATTTCAAGAATTTGAAAATTTTATTAAGAAAAACATGATTCAATGTTCATAATTTTCATCATCAGAAGGGCACATTTTGTATACATTTATTATTTATACATTTATTATTTATACATTTTGTATATAGTTATTATGTATACATTTATTATTTATTGGATATCTAAGTCCATTTTGTGCTACTATAACAAAAAGACCTGAGACTGGGCAATTTATAAAAAATAGTAATTTATTTTTCATGGTTCTGGGGCCTGAGAAGTCCAAAATTAAAGAACTGGCAGGTTCCATTGTCTGGTGAGGGATGCTCTCTGCTTCCAAGACGCCACCTGGATGTTGCGTCCTCCAGAGGGGAGAAATGCTGTGTCTTCACATGGCAGAAGACAGAAGGGCAAGCTGCTGAATGCTGTGAAGGCTCTTTGATAAGGTCCTTAATCTCATTTATGAAAGATGAGCCCTCATGGCCTAATTACTTCTTGAAGTTTCCACTTCCTCACACTGTTATATTGGCTACATCTGAATTTTGAAGGGGACACATTCAAACTGTAACACTGGGCCATAGTATTTATTCCTTAGTTTTGACATTTAATGTAAGTCCAGAAACAAAAAGTCTGACATATTGAAATTCTTTTTTGATATATAGATGTAAATGGTTTATTTGTCCCACAAAACACCAACTCCTTCCCATTTAAACTAATAAAGTTTCCTCCCTAGTAGCCCCCTCGTTTCGCTTACTTTAGCCACTCTCTTCATTTAGATTTTCATCATTTTCACTAGGATTATTTTAATTCTCTGCTAACTGCTGTTCTAATCTCTAATATTTCCTACATCTACTATGTATTCTGCAACACAGGAAAAACATATGTCCTAAAATATGGTTTTGATTCTCCTTAGAGATCCTCGTATGATTTATCAGTCATGGTTTAATCGAATAAGTAGAACTACTGGACACACACACATGCACACACACACACTCCCACACCACTGTGGGGGCTGGTTAAGCAGTCCCTGTAAGAGGACTGCAATCTTTGCATCTGATGCTAGAGCTTGAAGTCTGCAGGACAGGTAAGCTCACAATGGTGATGGATGTAAAGTGGGAGAGAGTGAGAACAATTTGGCACCTATAAGCATGAGCTGGAAAACACATGGATGTTAACTCTGTGTCAGGTCTCACTTCTCCTGACTTTGTTCATATGGATGTCCTCACAGAAGCTGGCATCCTTCAGGGAAAGACTGAACAGTTAAAAACTGGCTGCTGCCCCAGACTGATAAAGTAAGCCAGCAGGTTGATGACAACATGTGTGTGCTAGAAAATGCCTCATTGTTCACTTCCCCATCTAAATCTTGCATGAAATTCTCAATTATAGCCTACCCTAAATGAAAACATATGCAGAAAAAACTTGAGGGTTATATATTTTAGTCTAGCCAATTTGAGACATTACAAAGCCACTACATATGACATACTACTATCTTAGGCTAAAGTACAAACATTTTGGCACATTTTATGAGGCTTTAAATTTTTTTTCTGGTCTTTCTACCACTCTTATACCCCTACCAAACTGCATCCTACATCAGGGGCTCAGAAATTTTATCTGTAAATGTTAAATAAATATTAAATATTTTACACATTGTGGGCCATATATGATTGCTCATATTCTTGTTTCGTTGTTTGTTGTGCAACCTTAAAACAATTGTTAGCTCATAACCCTATAAAAACAGATCACTGACCATATTTTGTCTGTGGGCTGTATTTTGCAATCCCATCCTACCCTATCCTACAACATAGAGACTCAAAATTATATTCATTGCCCTCAAATCTCCACATACTTAAAATCTATTTCTTCTATACATACCTTTCTTTAGAAATACATTTCTCAAATTTTTGTACCTATGCAGCTTCTGTTTATCTCATACTACTCAGATAAAATGTCCTTATTCCTAGAAAAACTTTCCCAGAAAATAAATTAGATTTGGTTCCACCTCATAAAACTTTGTACATAATCCTAGTATAATGCCTTATGATTATTAATTTTCCATGCCTACCTTATCCATTGAACTAAAAGTTGCATAAAATCAGAGTCAACACTTTCTACTTTTTTTTTTTTTTTGAGACAGAGTCTTGCTCTGTCACCAGGCTGGAGTGCAGTGGCACCACCTCGGGTCACTGCAACCTCCACCTCCCAGGTTCAAGGGATTCCCCTACCTCAGCCTCCCAAGTAGCTGGGATTACAGGTGCGTGCCACCAGGCCTGGCTAATTTTTTGTATTTTTAGTAGAGAAGGGGTTTCACCATATTAGCCAGGATGGTTTTGATCTCCTGACCTTATGATCTGCCCACCTTGGCCTCCCAAAGTGCTGGGATTGCAGGTGTGAGCCACCACACCTAGCCACTTTCTACATTTCAATTCCCCAATGGCCAGGACAATGACTGGCATCAACTGGGCTCTCACTTGGTATAACTTGAATTATAATCACATTTATGTCCACTGTGCCTTTCCATAAAGGAATTGAGGTGGCTTACAACAAAAGTATGAACAATGAAATGACAAAATAGAAATATTAAAACAGAATCATGGAAAAGGAGGACACTAAACTATTAAAATACATATCAACTTAGTTTCTGTGGTGAGTTTCAAATTTGGATTTATTGTTTTGGGGGAATGAAAAAAGAAACAATTTGTTATGATGTTTTGTTTATACAATGGAAACAGCAGCATACCATTTGGTCATGAGAAACATTTACTTTCTCACTGTGAAATTTTAATCCATTCTCAAGAAGAACTTGATAGAGAAAATTGGAAATTCTCGTTGAATTACATGACGAACAGTGTCCTCCACATTTTTTTTTCTCTTAGACACAAGATCTTTCTGTGTTTCCCAGGCTGGCCTAAAACTCCTGGGTTAAAGGGGTCCTCTGGTCTCTGCCTCCTGAATAGCTGGAACTAGATGCATATGCCATGGGGCCAGGCAATTCTTTGAAAGCAAATGCAGTAGTGAATTGTATATAGATTTAACTTGGAGCTTAAGAAGAATGATAACTTTCAGATGGAATCAGGTACCTTGACTAATCTTCTACTACCATTTTGGAGTGATTTTCTTACACATACAGACATTACATGGGCAGTTCAATTACTCTAGTCGTTCCTTGTAGGAATGTAGGCTGAATCATTGAGTATGACAATTGAAGGAAAGAAGACCAATAGGTTGATTTGAAGGAAAAAAAGAATGAAAGACTACATAAGAGAACTGCTCTTTTACACCCTGCCTAAAGTAAGAACTTGCAGCAAAAAAGCTCAGATTCTCTTTAATTTAATAATCTAATAATTACTCTTAAGTGGAGGAGTGAGTAAAAAGAGAGAGAACAAACTGACTAATACCGATATTTCAAAACTGGTGTTTCATGGCTGGGCACAGTGGCTCATGCCTGTAATTCCAGCACTTTGGGAAGCCAAGGCGAGATGAGATGATTGCTTGAGACCAGGAGTTTGAGACCATTCTGGACAACATAGCGAGACCTCAACTTAACCTGTTGCTTCAATATTGAATGGCAATGAAAGTTTTCTTAAGGAATACATGGGGACAAGATAATAAAGGTCCACCTCACAGCCATGACGATAGGAAATAATTCCCAAGTGCATTAGAAAAAAAAGGAATTGTGGTTAGTGCCTGTATTTCCCCTAGGGATGATGTTGATGCAAGAATACCTGGAAGTATTAAATTGCATATAGCTGAAATATATTTTCTAAGTATGACATTTCTCAGTTGGAGTGTGGATAAAAACTTGGGAAGAAAAAATTTTCAACTATTTTTTATATGAAGGCAAAAAACAGTTGACATTCCATGACACTTCTATATTTCTTATTTAATAGCCCCATGAAGAATTTTTTTAAATGGCTGAAATATAGTGACTCTCTACTTACCACCATATCTCTTCTATCCTTTGTCCCTTTATAACATGTTCTCTTTCCTGCTGCCTGCAATAATTTTGCTTATGTCTTGTCTCAGTTTCTTTTTTTAAATTTTTTATTTCAACAGCTGTTGGGGTACAAGTAGTTTTTGTTACATATATTAATTATATACTGGTGAATTCTGAGATTTTAGTGCACCTGAGTAGTGTACGTTTTACCTAATGTGTAATGTTTCATTCCTCTCTCCCCATGACCCTCCCCCTTCTGAATCTCTAAAGTCCATTTATCACTCTGTATGTTTTTGCATACTCATAGATTAGCTCCCACTTATAAATGAGAACATACGGTTTTTGATCTTCCTCTCCTGTGTTACTTCACTTGGATTAATGGCCTCCAGCTCCATCCAAGTAACTGAAAAAGATATTACTTTGTCCTTTTTAATAGCTGAGTAGTTTTCCATGGTGTATATATACAACATTTTCTTTATCCACTCATTAGTTGATAGGCACTTCAGTTGGTTCCACATCTTTACAATTTGCAATCATGCTGTTATAAACATGCGTGTACACGTGTCTTTTTCATATAATGACTTATTTTCCTTTGAGTAGATACCCAGTAGTGAAATTGCTGGATCAAATGAAAGATCTACCTTTAGCTCTTTAAAGAATCTCCATACATTTTTCCATTGAGGTGGTACTAATTTACATTTCCACCAGCAATGTGTAAGTGTTCCCCTTTCCCCACATCCATGCCATCATCTATTGTTTTCTTTGACTTTTTAGTAATGGCTGTTTGTGCAGGAAGGTAGTATCTCATTGTGGTTTTAATTTGCAGTTCCATGATAATTAGTGATATTGAGCATTTTTTTCATGTTTATTGGCAATTTGTATATCTTCTTTTGGAAAATGTCTGTTCAGGTGTTTTGCTCACTTTTTGATGAAATTATTTGTTTTTTTTTTCTTGCTGATTTCTTTGAGTTCTCTATGAATTCTGGATACTAGTCCTTTGTCAGAAGCACAGTTTGCAAATATTTTCTCACATTCTGTGTGATGTCTGTTTGATTATTATTTCTTTTGCTGTGCAGAAGCTTTCGAGTTTAATTAGGTCTCATTTATTTATTTTTGTTTTTGTTGTGTTTGCTTTTTGGGGTTTTAGTCATAAATTCTTTGTCTAGGCCAATATCTAAAAAAGATTTTCCAATTTTTGTTGTCTTCTAGAAATTTTATAGTTTCAGGTCTTATATTTAAGTCTTTTATCCATCTTGAGTTGATTTTTGTATACAGTGAGAGATAGGGATCCAGTTTTATTCTTTTGCATGTGGTTTGCCAGTTTTCCAAGCACTACTTATTAAATAGGGTGTCCATTTCCCAATTTATGTTTTTGTGTGCTTTGTTGTAGATCAGTTGGCCGCACATATTTAGCTTTATTTATGAGTTCTCTATGATGTTCCTTTGGTCTATATGCCTACTTTTATACTAGTACTATGCTGTTTTGCTAATGATAGCCTTGTAGTATAATCTGAAGTCTGATAATGTGATGCCTCCAGATTTGTTATTTTTGCTTAGGATTGCTTTGGTTATTTAGGCTCCTTTTTTTGGTTCCATATGAACTTTAGGATTGGTTTTTCGTTATCCTATGAAAAATCCTGTTGCTATTTGGATGGAAATGACATTGAATCTGTAGATTGCTTTGGTTAGTATGGTCATTTTCACAATATTGAGTCTTCCAACCCATGAGCATGGAATGTGTTTCCATTTGTTTGTGTCATTTATAATTTTAGCAGCGTTCTGTAGTTCTCCTTGTAGATATCTTTCACCTCCTTGGTTAAAAATATTCTTAGGTTTTTTTTTGTTTGTTTGTTTGATTTTTTGTTGTTGTTCTTGTTGTTGTTTGCAGCTTTGCAAAAGGTATTGAGTTCTTGATTTGTTTCTCAGCTTGGTCATTATTAGTGTATAGCAGTGCTACTGATTTGTGTACATTGATTTTTAATCTGAGATTTGACTGAATTTGTGAAATCTAGGAATTTTTTGGAGGAGTCTTCAGGATTTTCTCAGTATACAGTCATATCATTTGCAAAGAGCAATAGCTTGACTCCTTCTTTTCCAATTTGGATGCCTTTTATTTTTTTCTCTTGCCTAATTTCTCTGGCTGGGACTTCCAGAACTGTGTTGAATAGGAGTGATGTAAATGACGTCTTTGTCTTGGTCCTGTTCTCAGAGATAATGCTTTCAACTTTTCCCCATTCAGTAAAATGTTGGCTGTGGGTCTGTCATATAGGGCTTTTATTGTTTTGAAGTAGGTCATTTCTATGACTAGTTTGTTGAGAGTTGTTATAATAAAGCAATGCTAGATTTTGTCAAATGCTTTTACTGCATCTATTGAGATCATCATATGGACTTTGTTTTTAATTCTGTTTATATAATGTGTCACGTTTATCGATTTGCATATGTTAAACCATCCCTGCATCCCTGGGATGAAACCCATTGGACTATGATAACTTTTTTGATGTGCTGTTGGATTTAGTTAGCTAACATATTGTTGAGGATTTTTTTGCGTCTATGTTCATCATGGAAATTGATCTGTAGTTTTCTTTTTTCTTTTTTATACTTTAAGTTTTAGGGTACATGTGCACAATGTGCAGGTTTGTTACATATGTATACATGTGCCATGTTGGTGTGCTACACCCATCAACTCATCATTTAACATTAGGTATATCTCCTAATGCTATCCCTCCCCACTCCCCTCACCCCACAACAGGCCCCGGTATGTGATGTTCCCCTTCCTGTGTCCATGTGTTCTCATTGTTCGATTCCCACCTACGAGTGAGAACATGCGGTGTTTGGTTTTTTGTCCTTGTGATAGTTTGCTGAGAATGATGGTTTCCAGCTTCATCCATGTCCCTACATGGGACATGAACTCATCATTTCTTATGGCTGCATAGTATTCCATGGTGTATAGGTGCCACATTTTCTTAATCCAGTCTATCATTCTCGGACATTTGGGTTGGTTCCAAGTCTTTGTTATTGTGAATAGTGCCACAATAAACATACGTGTGCATGTGTCATTATAGCAGCATGTTTTATAATCCTTTGGGTATATACCCAGTAATGGGATGGCTGGGTCAAATGGTATTTCTAGTTCTAGATCCCTGAGGAATCGCTACACTGACTTCCACAATGGTTGAACTAGTTTACAGTCCCACCAACAGTGTGAAAGTGTTCCTATTTCTCCACATCCTCTCCAGCACCTGTTGTTTCCTGACGTTTTAAGGATCGCCGTTCTAACTGGTGTGTGATGGTATCTCATTACGGTTTTGATTTGCATTTCTCTGATGGCCAGTGATGATGAGCATTTTTTCATGTGTCTTTTGGCTGCATAAATATCTTCTCTTGAGAAGTGTCTGTTCATGTCCTTCACCCACTTGTGGATGGGGTTGTTTGTTTTTTTCTTATAAATTTGTTTGAGTTCATTGTAGATCCTGGGTATTAGCCCTTTGTCAGATGAGTAGATTGCAACAATTTTCTCCCATTCTGTAGGTTGCCTGTTCACTCTGATGGTAGTTTCTTTTGCTGTGCAGTAGCTCTTTAGTTTAATTAGATCCCATTTGTCAATTTTGGCTTTTGTTGCCATTGCTTTTGGTGTTTTCATCATGAAGTCCTTGCCCATGCCTATGTCCTCCATGGTATTGCCTAGGTTTTCTTCTAGGGTTTTTATGGTTTCAGGTCTAACATTTAAGTCTTTAATCCACCTTGAATTAATTTTTGTATAAGGTGTAAGGAAGGGATCCAGTTTCAGCTTTCTACATATGGCTAGCCAGTTTTCCCAGCACCATTTATTAAATACGGAATCCTTTCCCCATTTCTTGTTTTTGTCAGGTTTTTCAAAGATCAGATGGTTGTAGATGTGTGGTGTTATTTCTGAGACCTCTGTTCTGCTCCATTGGTCTATATCTCTGTTTTGGTAACAGTACCATGTAGTTTTCTTTTTGTATTGTGTCCTTGGTATTTTTTGTTCTTGGTTTTGATATCAGGATGATACTGTTTTGGTATCAGGATAATCCATTCTTGGTTCAGGATGATATTGGTTTCTATTTCTGCCTTATTTAATCTAGGAAGGTTGTATGTTTCTAGAAATTTACCCTTTTTTTTTCTGGGTTTTCTAGTTTGTGCACATAAAGTTGTTCGTAGTAGTCTTGAATTATCTTTTGTATTTCTGTGGTGTTAGTTGTAATGTCTCCAGTTTTGTTTCTAATTTAGATTTTTGGATCTTCTGTCTTCTTGGTTAATCTAGCTAATGGTTTATCTATTTTGTTCATTTTTTCACAGAACGAACTTTTTTGTTTCATTGATCTTTTGTATTTTTTTCTGAATTTCACTTATTTCTGCTCTGATCTTTGTTATTTCCTGTCTTTTCCTTTTTTTATGATTTCCAACTTTTATTTTAAGTTCAGAGGTACATGTGCAGGATGTGCAGGTTTGTCACCTGGGTAAATGTGTGCTATAGTGGTTTGCTGCACAGATCATCTCATCACCTAGGTATTAAGCCCAGCATCCATTAGCTATTCTTCCTGATGCTCTCCCTCCTCCCGCCACCCACTCTTCATCAGGCCCCAGTGTGTATTGTTCCACCACAGTGTGTCCACGTGTTTTCATCATTCAGCTCCCACTTATAAGTGAGAACATGCGGTATTTGGTTTTCTGTTCCTGCTTTAGCTTGTTGAGGGTAATGGCTTCCAGCTCCATCCATGTCCCTGCAAAACACATAATCTCATTCCACTTTATGGCTGCATAGTATTTCGTGGTGTGTATGTACCACATTTTCTTTATCCAGCCTATGATTGGTGGGCATTTAGGTTGATTCTGTGTCTTTGCCATTGTGAATCATGATGCAAGGAACATATATGTGCATGCATCTTTATAATAGAATGATTCATATTCGTTTGAGTATATACCCAGTAATGGGATTGCTGGGTCAAATGATATTTCTGCCTCTAGGTCTTTGAGGAATCACCGCACTGTCTTCCACAATGGTTGAACTAATTTATACTCTCACCAATAGAACATAAGTGATCACTTTTCTCCACAACCTTGCCAGCATCTGTTGTTTTTTGACTTTTTAGTAATGGCCATTCTGACTGGTGTGAGAGGGTCTCTCATTGTGGTTTTGATTCACATTTCTCTAATTATCAATGATGCTGAGATTTTTTTTCATATGTTTTGGGGCACATAAATGTCTTCTTTTAAGAAATCTCTATTCATGTCACTTGCCCTCTTTTCAAGGGGTTGTTTGTTTTGTTTCTTGTAAATTTGTAGGTTCTGGAATATTAGACCTTTGTTAAATGGATAGATTGCAAAAGTTTTCTCTTTCTTTTGTAGGTGTCTGTTTGCTCTGATAATTTATTTTGCTGTACAGAAGCTCTTCAGTTTAATTAGATCCCATTTGTCAATTTTTGCTTTTGTTGCAATTGCTTTTGATGCTTCCATCATAAAATCTTTGCCTATGCCTGTGTCCTGAATGGTGTTACCTAGATTTTCTTCTAGAGTTTTCATATTTTTGGCTTTTACATTTAAGTCTTTAATTCATTTCAGTTCATTTATTTTAATATGGTGTAAGGAAAGGATCCAGTTTCAGTTTTCTGCATATGGCTAGCCAGTTCTCCTAGCACCATTTATTAAAAAGGAATTGCTTTTCCCATTGCTTGTATTTGTCAGGTTTGTTGAAGATTAGATCGTTATAAGTGTGCCATCTTATTTCTGGGTTCTTTATGCTGTTCCATTGGTCTATGTGTCTGTTCTTGTACCAGTACCATGCTGTTTTGGTTACTGTAGCCTTGTAGTATGGTTTGAAGTCAGGTAACATGATGCATCCAAATTTGTTCTTTTTCCTTAGGATCATCTTGGCTATTTGGGCTCTTTTCTGGTTCCATATGAATTTTAAAATAGATTTTTCTAATTCTGTGAAGAATGTGAATGGTAGTTTAATGGGAGTAGCATTGAATCTATAAATTACCTTGGGCAGTAAGGCCATTTTCACAATACTGATTATTCTTATCTATGAGCATGGAATGTTTTTCCATTTGTTTGTGTCATCTCTGATCTCTGTGAGCAGTGGTTTGTAGTTCTCCTTGAAGACGTTCTTCATTCTATTGTTAGCTATATTCCCTGGTATTTAATTCTTTTTGTAGCAATTGTGAACGGGAATTCATTCATGATTTGGCTCTCAGCTTGCCTGTTGTTTTTGAATAAAAATGCAGTTTGACCTCCTCTCTTTTTATTTAAATATGCTTTATTTATTTCTCTTGCCTGATTGCTCTGGCCAGAACTTCCAATACTGTGTTGAATAGGAGTAATGAAAGAGGGCATTCTTGTCTTATGCCGGTTTTCAAGGTGAATGCATCCAGCTTTTGCCCTTTCAGTATGATATTGGCTGTGGGTTTCACATAGAGGGCTCTTATTATTTTGAGGTATGTTCCTTCAATACCTAGTTTATTGAGAGTTTTTAACATGAAGGGATGTTGAATTTTATCAAAGGCCTTTTCTGCATCTGTTAAGATAATCATGTGTTTTTTTGTCTTTTGTTCTGTTTATGTGATGAATTAAGTTTATTGATTTGCATATGTTGAAGCAGACTTGCATCTTAGTAATGAATCCAATTTGATCATGGTGGATAAGTTTTTTTTATGTCTGCTGGATTTGGTTTGCCAGTATTTTATTGAGGATTTTTGCATCGATGTTAATCAAGGATACTAGTCTGAAGTTTTCTGTTTTTGTAGTATCTCTGCCAAGTTTTGGTATCAGGATGATACTGACCTCATAAAATGAATTAGAAAGGAGTCTCTTCTTGTCCTGGGTATTTTTTTTTTCTTGGTAGGCTGTTTATTACTGCCTCAATTTTTGAACTTGTTCCTGGTCTATTTTGGGATTCAATTTCTTTCTGGTTCAGTCTCAGGAGGGTGTATGTGCTCAGGAATGTATCCATTTCTTTCAGATTTTGTAGTTTTTGTGCATAGAGGATTTTTAGTATTCTCTGATGGTTGCTTGCATTTCTATGGGGTCAGTGGAAATAGTCCCCTTATCATTTCTGAATGTGTTTATTTGAATCTTCTCCCATTTCTTATTTATTAGTCTAGCCAGCGGTCTATCTATTTTATTATTTTTTTCCAAAAGCCACCTTCTGGATTTGTTGATTTTTTTGAAGTTTTTTTTGGTGTTTTAGTCTTTTTCTGTTTGCTCTGATCTTGGATATTTCTTGTTTTCTGCTAGCTTTAGGGTTTGTTTGCTCTTGGTTCTTTAGTTCTTTTAGTTGAGATGTTAGGTTCTTAACTTGAAATTATTCTATTGTTTATTGTGGGTATTTAGTGCTATAAATTTTTCTCTTAACACTGCTTTAGCTGCATCCCAGTTATTCTGGGACATTGTATCTGTGTTCTCATTAGTTTCAATGAACTTCTTAATTTCTGCCTTAGTTTCATTATTTACCCAAGAGTCAGTCAGGAGCAGGTTGTTCAATTTTCACGTTGTTGTGTGGTTTTCAGTTAGTTTCTTAATCTTGAGTTCTAATTTAATTTTGCTGTGGTCTGAGACTTTTATGATTTCAGTTCTTTTGCATTTGCTGAGGAGTGTTTTACTTTCGACTATGTGATCAATTTTAGAGTGAGTGCTGTATGGCAATTAGAAGAATGTATATTTAGTTGTTTTTGGGTGGAGAGTTCTGTAGGTATCTATTAGGTCAACTTGATCCAAAGCTGAGTTTAGGTCCTTAATATCTTTGTTAATTATCTGTCTTTATGATACATATAACATTATCAATCGGGTGTTAAAATCTCCCACTATTATTGTATGGGAGGCTAATTCTCTTTGTAGGTCTTTATGAACTTGCTTTATGAATCTGGGTGCTCCTCTATTGGGTGCATATATATTTAGGATAGTTAGTTCTTCTTGCTGAATTGAACCCTTTACTATTATGTAGTGCCCTTCTTTGTCTTTTTTGATCCTTGTTGGTTTAAAGTCTGTTTTGTCAGAAATTATGATGGCAACCCTGCCTTTCTGCTTCTTTCTGTCTTCTATTTGCTTGGTAAATTTTCCTCCATCCCTTTATTTTGAGCCTATGTATGTCTTTGCATGTAAGATGGGTTTCTTGAAGACATCATACCAATGGGTCTTGTTTCTTTATCCAGCTTGCCACTGTGTGTCTTTTAATTGGGAAATTTAGCCTGTTTACATTTAGGATTGCATTATTATGTGTGGGTTTGATCCTGTCATCATGATCCCATCTGGTTATTTTGCATACTAGTTATGCAGTTTCTTTATAGCATCATTGATCTGAGTACTTTAGTGTGTTTTTGGAGTGGCTGATAATGGTTATTCCTTTTCATATTTAGTGCTTCCTTCAGGAGCTCTTGCAACACAGGTCTGGTGGTAGCAAATTTCCTCAGCATTTGCTTGTATGAAAAGGATATTTCTCCTTCACTTATGAAGTTTAGTTTGGCCAGAAATGAAATTCTGGCTTGGACATTCTTTCCTTTAACATTGTTGAATATTGGCCCCCAGTCTCTTTTGGCTTGTAGGGTTTCCACTGAGAGATCCACTGTTAATCTTAAGGGCTTCTCTTTTTAGGTGACCTGGCCTTTCTCTCTGGCTGCTTTTAACTTTTTTTTTTTTTTTCATTTCAACCTTGGAGAATCTGATGCTGATGTGTCTTGGGAATGATCCTTTCATGGAGTATCTTATGGGATTCTCTGCATTTCCTGAATTTGAATGTTGGCCTAATTTGCTAGGTTGGGTAAGTTCTCCTGGATGATATCCTGAAGTATATTTTCCAACTTGGTTCCATTCTTCCCATCTCTTTCAGGTACTCCAATCCATCAGACATTCAGTCTCCTTATATAATCTTATATTTCTCAGAGGTTTTGTTCTTTCATTTTCATATTTTTCTCTATTCTTGTCTGCCTGTCTTATTTCAGAAAGATAGTCTTCAAGCTCCGAGATTCTTTTCTCTACTTGGTCCTTTCTGCTATTAATACTGGTGATTTCATTGTGAAGTTCTTGTAGTGTGTTTTTCAACTCTAACAGGTCAGTTACATTCTTCTCTAAACTGGCTATTTTTGCTGTCAGCTTCTATATTGTTTTATCATGATTCTTAGCTTCTTTGCATTGGGTTGCAACACGCTCCTTTAGCTCAGTGAATTTCATTATTGCCCACATTCTGAAGCCTACTTCTGTCATTTCAGCCATCTCTACCCCAGCTCACTTCTGAGCCCTTGCTGTAGATGTGTTATGGTCATTTGGAGGAAAAGGGGCACTCTGGTTTTTAGAGTTTTTATCTTTTTTTTGGTGATTCTTTCTCATCTTTGTGGGCTTATCTACCTTCAGTCTTTAAGTTGCTGACCTTTGGATGGGATTTTTGTGGGTTTTGTTGTTGTTGTTTTCTGTTTGTTTTTCTTTTAACAGCCTGGCCTCTCTTCCATAGGACTGCTGCAGTTTGCTAGGGGTCCACTACAGACCCTAGTTGCCTCAGTTTTGCCCATATCTGGAGGTATCACCAATGAAGTCTGCAAAACAACAAAGGTGGTAGCTTACCCCTTCCTCTGGAAGCTTGGTTCTGGAGGGAGCTGACTATTGCTGGCCTGAATGTGCCTGTAGAAGGTGGCTGGAGACCCAGGTTGGGAAGTCTCACCCAGTCAGGAGAAACAGGCTTAGGGACTCACTTAAAGAAGCAGTCTGGCTGCTTTTTGGTAGAGCAGCTATGTTGTGTTGAGGATCCTCTCAGTCCCCAATTAGTTTGGGTTCTCCAAGACCCATAGGCTGGACTGGCTGAGAAGCCCAAAAAGGCCAACGTGGCAGCTTACCCTGCCCCTCAGGCATTACATCCTAGGGAGAAATTAGAGCTTTTTCAGCTTCATAGAACATGAGTGGGGGTGGCTGGAAGCCCCAGCTGGGAAGACCCAGTTGGGAGGATGTACCCTGCGAGGAGGAGTGGATCAGGGCCCAGCTTTAAGAAGCAGTCTGGCTATGCCTTGACAAAACAGCTGTGTTGTGGTGGAGAACCATCTGTGCCCCTGTCAGCTTGGACTCTCCAAAGGCCATAGGCTGGAAAAGCAGAGTTGTCCAACCAGCCCAGGTGGCAGCTCCCTCCTCCCCCAGGCATTCTGTCCCAGGCAAAGATCAGAGCTCTGCAGGTGGGCATGGCTGGATGACCTGCCTTGGAGGTCCTGCCCAGTGAGGAGAAATGGATTGACGGCTGGCTTAAAGAAGCAGTCTGGCCATAATTTGGCAAAGCCACTGTCCTGTGGTGCTGTAGGGACCCTTACTCATCTGGACCCTTTGGATGCTCCAAAGCTCACAGGCTGGAATGGCTGAGTTGACTAAACAGCAGAGATGGCACATGCCCCTTACCCCAAGGGCTCTGTGCTGTCTCAGACAGACTCCATCCTGTGGCCAGTGGCTGGTTGGAATTCCAAGCCAGTGGGTCTTAAATTGTGAGGTGCTGTGTAAGTGGGGCCCACAGAACAATGCTTGCTGACTCTTTGTATTCTGCCCCCTTCCTAGGGGAATATGTGGACCTCTCACCTTTTCTGAGTTGCAGATGCATTTGCTGGGAATCCCGTGGCTGAAGTATGTAAACCTCCTGGGTCTGTGCATGCCTGAGCACCTGCTCTGCCAAGACTCCACAGAGCTCTGTGTGTTGGACCTAAGGCCCTGGTGACACGGGTTCACAGAAGGATCCCCTGATCTGCAAGTTCCAAAGACCTATGAAAGAAGCATGGTTTCCTTGGGTCCCACAATTACTCACTGCTTTTCTTGGCTGGGAGTGAGGTTCCCTTTGTTGTGTGTCACTCTCAGGTGGGTCATCGTTCCACCTTGCTTTTCTTCATTCCCTGTGGTTCAAGTTGTTTCCCTAATCAGTCTCAATGCGAGAACTTGCATATTTCAGTTGGAGGTGCTGTATTCACTTGCCCTTTTTATTCCTCTCTGTGAGTGCCATAGATCACAGCTGTGTCTATCAGCCATCTTGGCCCCTCCCTGCATTAGTGATCTTTGTTATTGCTCTTCTTCTTCTAGCTTTGGGTTTAGTTTGTTCTGATAGCTCTGCTTCCTTGAGGTGTGACATTAGGTTGTCAATTGTATTCTCTCTCAGACATTAGTTTTAAACAAAGAGTAATTTATTTTTATCTATGTATTTATTACTGAGACAGATTCTCACTCTGTTGTCAGACTAGAATACAGTGGTGCAATCTCGGTTCACTGCAACCTCCACCTCTCACGTTCAAGAGATTCTGCCACCTCAGCCACCCAAGTAGCTGGGACTACAGGCACATGCTACCATGCCCAAATAATTTATTTTTTATTTTTTATTTTTATTTTTTGGTACAGATGGGGTTTTGTCATGTTGCCCAGGCTGGTCTCAGACTCCTGAGTTCAGGGCAATCTGCCCACATCAGCATCCCAAAGTGCTGGGATTACAGATGTGAGTAACTGTGCACAGCCCAGACTTTTTGATACAGTCATTTTAGTGCAATAAACTTTCCTCTTAATAGTGCTTTTGCTCTGTCTCAGAACTTTCAATAATTTGTGTTATTATCATTCAATTCAAAGAATTTTTAAATTTCCATCTTGATTTTATTGTTAGCCCAGATACCATTTAGGAGCAGATTATTTAATTTCTATGTATTTTGTATAGTTTTGGGGGGTCCTTTTGGAGTTGATTTCTAGTTTTATTCTGCTGTGGTCTGAAAAGATACTTGATATAATTTTGATTTTTAAAAATTTTTTGAGATATTTTGTGGTCTATAATATAGTCTATCTTGGAGAATGTTCCATGTGCTGATGAGAAGAATATATATTCTGCAGTTCTTGAGTAGAATGTTCTGTAAAAATGTATTAATTCCATTTGTTCTAGTTTGTCATTTAACTCTATTGTTTCTCTGTTGACTGCCTGACTTGAAGATCTTTCTAATGCAGTCAGTGGCATATTGAAGTCTCCCACTATTATCGTGTTGCTGCCTCTCTCATTTCTTAGGTCTAGTAGTAATTGTTTTATGAATCTGGGAGCTCTACTGTTAGGTGTATATACATTTAGATTTGTAATATCTTCATGTTGGACTGATCCTTTTATCATTATATAGTGACCATCTTTGTCTTTTATTGTTGTTCCTTTAAAGTATGTTTTGTCTGATACAAGAATAGCTACTCCTATTCTCTTTTCGTTTCCATTTTAATGAAGACAGCAGATATTTGGATTGTGATGATTTTATCTATTCTGCCATTTTGTATCTTATAAGTGGAACATTTAGAACATTTACATTCAACTTTAATATTGAGATGTGACAGGGATTATTCTTTTCATCATGTTAATTGTCACCTAGATTTTTTTCATTGTGTTGTTGTTTCATGGGCCTTGTATGTTTTAAGCTTTCAAAAGGTTCTATTCTGAT
Organism: Homo sapiens; assembly: GCF_000001405.40. Taxonomy (NCBI): domain Eukaryota; kingdom Metazoa; phylum Chordata; class Mammalia; order Primates; family Hominidae; genus Homo; species Homo sapiens. The sequence continues at coordinate 102,056,580 of NC_000001.11, read as the reverse complement.
GTATATCTAGCTTTTGTTTCAAGGTTTAGAACTCCTTTTAGCATTTCTTGTAGTACTGGTTTGGTAGTGACAAATTCCCGCAGCTTTTGTTTGTCTAAACATGATTTTATTTCTCCTTCATTTATGAAATCTAGTTTTATGGGATACAAAATCCTTGGCTGACCATTGTTTTGTTTAAGGAGGTTGAAGATAAGACCTCAATCTCTTCTGCCTATAAAGTGCCTACTGAGAAGTCAGCTGTTAGTCTGATAGGATTTCTTTGGCAGGTTAGCTGATGCTTTTGTCTTAATGCTCTTAGAATTATTTCCTTCATGTTTACTTTATATAACCTGATGACTATATTCTTTGGTGAAGATCTATTTGCAATGAATTTCCCAGGAGTTTTTTGAGCTTCTTAGATTTGGATATCTAGATCTCTAGCCAGGCCAGGAAAATTTTCCTCAACTTATCACCTCAAGTAAGTTTTCCAGACTCATTGTTTTCTCTTCTCCCTCAGAAACACCAATTGTCCTTAGGTTTGGCCATTTTACATAATCCCATGTTTCTTGAAGACTTTATTCATTTCTTTTGATTTTTTTTATCTGATTGGGTTAATTCAAAAGCTTTGCCTCGAGCTCTGAAATTCTTTTTTTTCTACTTCTTCTAGTCTATTGTTAACACTTTCCACTGCAATTTGTAATTTCCTAAGTGTGTCTTTTATTTCCAGAAGTTCTGATTTTTTTCTTGATGATATCTAACTTTCTAGAAAATTTTTTATTTATATGCTGAACTGCTTTTTAAATTTCTTCGTTATGGTTTTCACCTTTCTCTGATATCTCCTTGGGTAACTTAATAATAGCCCTTCTGTATTCCTTATCTGGTATTTCAAAGATTTCATCTTGGTTTGTATTCATTGCTGGAGTGCTAGTGTTATCTTTCAGGGGTGTTATAGAACCCTGTTATGTCCTATTACCAGAGTTAGTTTTCTGGTTCCTTTTCATTTAGTTAGATTATTTCTTCTAATTACTCTTGAATTTATACTTGACTAGACTGTGTTTTGTTTGTTTGTTTGTTTGTTCTTTAATTTCTTTTTTCCCCTTAAGGATGTGACTTTAATGCTTAAAGTCAACTACATCCTAATTTGGTATTTAATGCTTTCAGGGGTGAAGGCTCTGTAAGAGTTCCTTGGTTAGAAATAGTTTTTGTATGTGGCTTTCTTATATGCTGCTTGTGGTACCAATATGCTTGGGGTGTGAACAAGTTCACTGTCTCCTATGGGGTTGGAATAGTAGAGGTCTTTTAAGGCTTATCACATTCCCCTATGGTGTTCACGTTTTAAATGATTTTTCCCCAGTATTTTATTTACTGGTTTGATGGTTCAAACTTCAGGCCAGTAGAAGAAGTGTCCCTGGGTATGAACAGGTGTGGTTACAGCATGTGAGTAAATGTAATACCCAATGGTGAGCAGAGGTCTTAGCCATGACAGGTGACTGGAGGAGCTCTCAGTGAGTCACACTGAGGTCTTACCAGGGGAAAGGATTGCACCCACCTCAGTTCCCTTCCCAGGTCAGCAGGAAAGTTATCCATCTCTCAGACACACTGTTGTCCCAGTATTTTAGCTATTCAGATCAGACAGGCACCTCTTTTCATCTGTAGAAGTATTGATGTTCCAAGTAGAGAAGAATTGTGACTCTGTCTCTCATGGAAGCCTGAAAATGGAGGGTGCTCCTCCTGCGGGGATGTAGTCACGTTGACATGTTCCAGAAAGATTATAGTTGTACCCACACCAAGTTCCCATGGTAGAAGCCCTAACTGTGCCTGCAGTTGTGGACAAGAGGGAAAAGACATTCCCTTCTCCAAGACACTTCATGCACATTGGGACTATCTGACTGTTGGGTTAGAGCTGAAGACTTTCCTTCTGAGTCTTGCACTGCAAATGTGCCTCTGCTAAAAGAAACTTCCCACCAGTGGAAAGATCTGGTGCTTAAGACCTGCCATCCAGATTCGTTTGTCCCACATGGTGTTCCCTTGATGTGATGCCCTTCCCAGTCCCCTAGGAGTGGGGATACCTGGGAGCTAGACAACTGTGAGTGTTGGTGCTTTTCTGGGTCTAGCCACCCAGTGAAGTTGCCACACTCCAGGCTGATGTTGGGGAATGTCTGCAAGGTGTCCAGTGATGTGACCTGTCCCCAAGTCTCCCAGCAGTGGGCAGCAGCACCATCTCTAATGGGGGTGGCAGGGGAGTGACATAGACTCTGTGAGATTCCTTAGTTATTGATAGCCTTAGTGTGAACACTGGTTATAGTAGTAATGAACTGGTCATGTGGACGCACTCAGGACCTCCTAGTTAGACAGAGTGGTGCAGGCAGTGGCGATGGCTGAAATCACACAGCCATCTTCTTCCTGGGCATAATGTGATTCTACCAATAAATGCTGTAATGAACTCTTGGTTGGCCTCCAGCCAGGAGGTGGTGCGTATAAAAGAGCATCAGCTGTGGTAGTAGCAGTGGGATTTTTGCTTGCCTTATGTTGCCCAGTGGGGATACTCTAGTTTCTCAGGCAATGGGTAGAACCATATAGCTCCCAAGAGATGATGTTGTTTATATTAAGCTGCTAGGGTGGGTGGTATGGCAAAGCCAGGTTGGGGCTGGGTCAGGTGGGTTTGCAGTCTGAGTCTCTACATACAGTGCAAGCAGCAGCCCCCCTGTGGGTCTTGAGGGATAGGAGCAGATCTCAGGCCACTGGGTTGATGTTCCAAAGAGGAGC